>NC_000011.10:20060000-21310000 GCF_000001405.40 Homo sapiens | reverse complement strand
TTGTATCTGCCATGCCTATCCTATCTAAAATAAACTACATCATTAAGATCATAAGTCTTATGGTTTAGCTGTGTCCCCACCAAAATCTCACCTTGAATTGTAACTCCCACAATTCCCACATCATGGGAGGAACCCAGGGGGAGGTGACTGAATTAATGGGGTGCGTCTTTCCTGCACTGTTCTCATGATAGTGAATGAGTCTCACAAGATCTGATGGTTTCAAAACTGGGACTTTCCCTGTACAAGCTCTCTCTTTGCCTGACGCCATCCATATAAGACGTGACTTACTCCTCCTTGCCTTCTGCCGTGATTGTGAGGCCTCCCCAGCCATGTGGAACTGTAACTCCATTAAGCCTCTTTTCCTTCCCAGTCTCAGGTATGTCTTTATCAGTAGCATGAAAATGGACTAATACAATAAGCAACATTAGAATACCGACTGGAATGAAGAATAAGTTAGTATTTGTAAAGTGAAAGATTAAAAATAACTTACAATTTCTAAAAGTTCCCATCCACTCATTCAATTTGGAAGGGGTAAGGTAAACTCATTTTAAGGAATATTTGTTTTCACATCATTTCTTATTGTGGAAGTAGAGTTTGAATAATAAAAAGCAGGAAAGTCAAGCATTTTAAAAATCATTCTAAGAAATGATAGAAAGTTTATTCATATTCAGGAAATATATATATATATTATATATATATACATATATATATATATATATACATATATATATATATATATACATATATATATTTAGAGTGGGTTTTTTTAATAGGCTTTAAGAGGCATACATAGAGTAATAAAACCAGCTTTGGAGTTTGACCTGAATCAAACTGCTTGTTATGTGACCTTAATAACATTAACTTTCTCTGTCCAGCTGATTCTTTAATAAAATAGGGACAATACCCTTACTATACAAAATAAATGTAAAACTTAAATGAAAGCATATGCTAAATGTCTAAAATGATGTCTGGCTCAAATAAGTGTTTCCCAAAAATGATAACTACTTGGGTTTAGCTGAAAGTTAACACCACCCAGGAACTTTGCTTTTTTTTCAAGGCATTTTAGAGCCTTCTTGCTCCTAAACTCTTTTCCTTTTGATAAAATTCCTATAATGTAATAGCAACCCCATGGGATGATCAAAAGGAACATGTTTGACATACTGTATGTGAGTGGTTCAAGGAGGAAATTAAGCACTTTACTATGTGTATAATTAGAAATAATGTCAGTGGCTTATGATCCTATCACAAGATAATGTAATAAGGAAATGGTTTCCCACAGCTAGATAAACTTCAAAGTAAAGTTGAAGAATTGATAGTGAATTGGGGGAGGAGGGAGAGAAGATGAAAGTAGAATTTTGGAGGAATGAAATTTAAAAATTGAGATCCTGATCATCCCTTCAAAAACATCTTTCTCCCTAGAACAGACAGTAATCTTGGAAATTAAACCATAAGCTCCATGATAAAAGAATAAGACACTTATTGATTATTCCTTATAGATTATGCTGCTTTCATCACATTTTCATTCCTATATACTCCTTAAACATATTTCTTTAAATTGAGAAAGAAATGCAGAGTCTTACAGTCCAGAGGAGTCCCCTCTTATGACCTATTACCCAGCCTTCTCAGAGGGAGTGGAGAGGCTAAATATGCTCTTGTTCTCAGCAGCTTGCTTCCTTGATGTCTTAGCTCAGAAACCAGATTTTCAAATCTAGTGAGTTTTCTTTAACAGTTTCTACATTTAGCAACATGGTTATCTTTAATAGCTTTCTACTATGATACACTATAGCCTCCTTCGCATACATTATCTCTCTTAAGGTTCACAGCAACCCCACGAGGTATTTCCTATTACTATCCTTATTGATAAAGACACTGAGAGTCAGAGCAGTTGAGTAATTTGCTAAAGGTTACCCAGTGATAAGTGGCAAAGCCGGCGTTCCAACCTAGAGCTATGTGATTCCACATGAGTCAGGCTTTTTCCTGTATGTAAGTAATCATACTTAGCATTTTGTTCCATATGACCAATTTAGTTTGGCTCCTATTCATGACAAATGGCCCTAAATCTTTCTGAGGTGCAATAAAAACAAAGAACTTTACTCAATAATTTTTAAAAAATTAACTCTGAGTACAAGGTTACTTGTTTTTTTACTTGCTAATTAAAATTTGACCTTGGGTTCATATTGAACTGTGGCTCAATCTGCTTGCTTAAAGTAAGGGTTCATATAGGCCTCTCTTTTGAAAGAGTATAAATAAATTTTGCCTGTTATCTTAGAATAAAGCTAGGGAGATGTGTCACTACTATATTTTGTCAAGGTAAAGACCATGGAACCAGTTTGTGTCCTGGGTCCATTTTTAAGGATCTGGTTAGATCTCTACTCCATTGGGCAGAATATCCAGAATATCCTTAACATCCTGGATATTCAGAACAAAATCCAGAAAGAAACCATGCTTGGCTGAGTTTAAAAATGATAATACATTTATTATGAGCCATTGCTCTTTGGAGAGGTATTTTCCTGTGTGTGAGTGTACCGGTAAATATGTAGGTGTGTGTTTGGGAATAAGTGTAGAATAAAGAAAGAAGAAATTGCCCTTTTTTTCTTTTTTTTCTGTTACATAAATTTACTTTTATCTTATCAATACACATGTACAAAAACATACACACACACACACAAACACACACACATCCAGGGTTAGCTGCAAATGGATTAAATTATTGGACTATTTCATCTACAGTAAATCAGATATAATCTTATTACAGCTGCATGAATACTACCATCTGTTAAATTTTAATTAGTCAAAGAGCTGTCGATGTTGACAGCCATGACACCTGCAAGAGGAAAACGGTGTCCCCTGATGCAGGGTCACCAAGGCTCATTACAGCACAGCAATAATGCAGGACAAAATTAACAGTGTCTATTTTTAGAGCAAATATCCAGACATAAATAAATTACTTAAATGAATAGGAAATCATGGAAAAAGGCACGCTATTGACTCAATACCCTAATTCTTCATAAAACAAACATATAATTCAAGAATCTAATTCCAATTAATGGCATGAGGTAAGACTGAAAGAATTCAGACCCCTTTTATGCCTGCTGACCTTAGCTCCTATTGCATCTTAAATGTTATTACATTCTATGCTCATGATGGCAAAGTTGGGAGACAGCATCCCTGCTAATGAAAAACTTTCACAAACTCAGGTGGAAAAAAATATTCTTCTCTTTCACGTACAGTGTAATAACCTTGTGCTCATAATTTTGGATAGTTTCCGTGTACCTTGATCTGGCATGAATCCAACTGCAGAGTAGAACCTATGATAAATGAGGGAATGAGCTTTCTCATTTATTAGGTGAAGTTGATGAGAGTTTCATCTGAGTAAAGGTCACTGAAAAGAGAGAACTGAGGCTGTTAATTTTAAAGGGATAATTGCTCTCAGAACACCCAATGAGAAAGAAAATAAAAACATCGACATACTGCAATTAGTGCAGAGGTTCCTAGTATATGTGGAAAACAGATGTTTCTTGAACTTTCCATCATCATTATTATTATACTTCAGTAAGAATCAGAAAAGAGGTGCTTGTGCACTCATGAGCAAGTCGTGAACTAGCTTATGCAGTTTATTCTTTTATTTTCAGCTCTACTTTCTAACATGATTTATTGGGAGCACCTTTACTCTACCAGATGTTCCATTTAATTGATCCACTCTTATAGATGAAATGACCCGTCATGTCAGTAGATTGACCAACTGTTCCAATAAATTGATTAATTGTTTCAGTATATTGACAATTTGGCTTGACTGAGACTTGGCTTTTTGTGTACGTAGAATTCTGAGTGTGATATCCAAATGAAAAACACCAGGCTCCAAAAGATAAAATATCCAATGGCATGAGCAGGCATTTCAGAGAAGAGCAAACAACTGGCTAATAAATATAATCTCAACCTCAGTAATACTAATCTATAAAAACACTAACAAGTGCCAATTTTAACCAAATTGGCATACAGAATTGATGCAAAAATAATTTATATCCTTTGATCCAGTAATTTCACTGCGAGTATGGGCTCTCTGGAGAACGATCCTTAATACAGAGAAAAAACAAACAGTGCAGAAAGATATTGATTGTAGTGGTAATTATGATTATGAAAATTTGAAATCTTAAATGTCCAAAAGTGTATAAAGCTTTTATATAGTTTTGTAATTGTTCAAAATAGAATAATATGCAGCTATTTTAAAAGGATTATGAAATGCTTGTAACAAATGTAATATATATATAGAATCTATACTGTCTAGATATGTAGTGTACATATATATAGAATCTATACTGTCTAGATATGTAGTGTACATATATATAGAATCTATACTGTCTAGATATGTAGTATACACTACTAGATATGTAGTTTGGTAGCCTCTGTTCATTCACAACATCGCCTTGTAGCATCAGTCTTTTGACTTGCTATTTATCATATTCTTTTTATGTTTTGGAAGCACACTTTTGAAAAACACACTGCTGCATTTCACTTGCTAGAATGGCAATTATGATTAATTTGGATGCATTTATGCTTGTCACCCATCAGGCATCAAACGATACTCTAAGTACCCTTAGAATCTATGTGCTTCTCAAGTCTTTTACAGTGTAACAATCCTCTAAATAGCAGACTTTTACTGCTAAATTAAATTTAAAATTCAATTACCATAAATAAGGACGAACACATCTGCATCTGCACATTTTTCTCACTGAGCTCAGAGTACAATATCACTTCTTATTTCTTTGATGGCTCTTGTCATTTCCCAAGAAAGATTGACCATACATTTGAGCATAAAGTTAAATGACACTTTCAAATACAATTAAGCCTCAAGGGTTGTTTCTTAGAATCAACCATTGCACTCCTAGAATTTTGGTCCACTAACAAGTCCTGGAGATAAAACTAGCTTTCTATCACCTAACAAAATCTGGACTCTTTCATATAACATGGAAGACCCTCTTAATTGTGCATCCTGCCTACAGTCCCATCTTCTTTTATTGTTTCCCCACAGAAATAAAAATCATTCTAATACCAGTACACCAATGTCTTCTTGTTTCTTGTTACATCATATTTTCTATCCTTACTTCCTATCTTCTCCTCCCACTCCCATCTTCCTTTAAAAAGTGTGCATCATATTATTTATTAGGAGTCTCCCATGTGCCTGGAAATTTTGGTGGCACTGGTATTTGCACCCTACTGCAGGGGAAATGGAAGAAACAATATAGAATAATTAAGTCGATGATACAGAATATTAGGTGATATATACTCTTTAAAAAAATACAACAGGGCAAGACAAAATAGGAGTGCAGAAGATTTACAATGTAAGCTGTCAGGAAAATATAAGCTCTAAATTACCATAGAAATGTAGGCTGTAGACTCCTATGCTTTAAAGGAGAGAGAGAGAAAAAAAAAAACAGACAAAAGAAGCTGATTTGTACAGGATAACATATTAGTTGGTTCAGCCCTAAGGACTGGAACTCAAGTGTCCTGAACACTATTCCAATCCTTTTCCCACTGCAATCCTTTCCCCACTGCATCACTTCTGTGTCACACAGTGGTAGAGACAATAGACTTCGGAGTCAAAGGGACCAGGGTTCAAGCCCTGTCTCTGACTCCTGAGAAAGTAACAATTCCTAAGACTTTGTTATCTAGGTAATGAAGATAATTACAGTACATATACAAAGGCATCTACAGAGATAAAAGGAAATAATACATAGGACGCATTTAGACAGTGTGTGGAATAGTCTAAGTACATGTTAAATGGCATGGTGGTTTTTCTTTGGCTTTGTATCTCATTAGAATACCCGACACTTGTATTATAACCATGATCAGTAAGTTCTGCTTAGAAATTAAAATTAAATGAGCATGTGACCATTCAAAATGGTTTGAATGATGGTTTCCCCGAAATTCATGTTGCAAATTAATCCCCAGTGCAAGAGTATTAAGAGGAGTGGCCACTGGGAGGTGATTAATTCTGCCCCATGAATAGGATTAGCACACTTATAAAAGGGCTCAAGGTTAAAGAGAGGACTCTTTTGCCCTTTTGCCTTCCACCATGTGAGGACGCAGTGATTATCCCCTCCAGTGGACTCAGCAATGAGGCACCACCTTGGAGGCAGAGATCAAGCTTTCTCCAGCACCTTGATCCTGGGTTTCCCAGCCTCCTAAACTGTAAGAAACATGTTTCTGTTTTCTTATAGTTTCAACCTGAGTGATGGACGCTTAGGTTGATTCCACAACTTTGCTATCGTGAATAGTGCTGTGATAAACATACAAGTGCATGTATCTTTTTGGTATATTGATTTCTTTTCCTTTGAGTAACTACGCAGAAGTGAGATTGCTGAATAGAATGGTAGTTCTAGTTTTAGATCTTTGAGAAATCTCCACGCTGTTTTCTATAGAGGTTGTACTAATTTACATTCCCACTAACAGTGCATAAGAGTTATATTTTCTCCACATCCTCATGGAGAGGGAATCATACATAAGGCTACAGTCAGATGGAAACCCATTAGGCTTTTTGACTTTTTAATAATAGCAATTCTGACTAGGGTAAGATAATATCTCATTGTGGTTATAATTTGCATTTCTCTGATGATTAGTGGTGACCATTTTTTCACATACCTGTTAGCAATTTGTATGTCTTCTTTTGAAAAACATCAGCCTTCTAAAAAAACAATTTGCAATATATCTTAAAGTATACATTTTATCTACAAACATGCATTCATATGTTTTAGATAACCAGCTGGTAGCATATTTTCTCCTAGACACTAAGCACCTTGAGGGAACGGCCCATGTCTTACACTGTTATTTATTTGTTTCTATTTATCTATCTATATATGTATGTATGTGTATAGATAGACAGAAGATAGATATAGATATAGATATAGATATAGATATAGATATAGATATAGAGCAAAAGAGAGATATGGGGTCTTGCTCTTGTGCCCAGGTTGGCATGAAGCAGCATGATCATGGCTTGCTCTATTCTCAAATACCAGGGCCCCAGTGATCCTCCCGCTTCAGTCTCTTGAGTTCCTAGGACCACAGGCATGTGCTGCCATGCCAAGCTATTTTTTTTTTTAATTTTTTTGTAGAGATAGGGTCTCACTATACTGCCCAGGCTGATCTCAAACTCCTCACATCAAGTGATCCTCCCACCTAGGCCTTCCAAAATGCTGAAATTCCAGGCATGAATCACTGTGCCTAGCCCCCATTCTCCTTTTTGTTTTCTCCCACAGAACCTAGAGCAGTGTTTCACTCACAGGAAAAAAACCAACAAATGTCTAATCAGCACATGAGTTAATAAATATCTGGTGCCTTAGTCTATCTTTAATTACTGAGAAGAGGGCCCTGATATTCTACAAAAGAGGAAACCATTCCCCTACATTTCTATCTAAAGGCAGAAGCCAAAATAATAATATTATAGGTATGGGTTGGTTCCATAAATGAGCCCACCTTTCATGTAGATTCTTTTTTAAGTTTAATTTCATAACTGGCCATATGAATTACTCTGAGGTAATAACATCATCAAATGTAATTCATGCTGAGCTTGATAACCATTTGCACATTAGAACATGGTTTTCTGGAAGCTTCCTTGTCAGAATCCATCTATCATTCAGTAAGAAATTCTGTCTAACATAATGGTGGTTTAGAAGTCACATGGAGGAAAACAAGAGACACCTCAGCCAAGTAGTACCAACTACTAGCCATGACAGTGAAGGCATCTGGGAGGCCTCAGGCTGTGATGGGCTTCTATCTGACTGCAACCTCACATATAATTCCAGTCAACAACATATGGAACAGAAGAACCACCCAGCTGAGCCTGGTCAACCCACGAATCATGAGAAATCATAAATTTTTGTTGTTTAAAGCCACAACACTTTGGGTTGGTTTTATATGTAGCAGTAGATAACTAAAACAGAGGAGAAGATGAGCAAGTGAACAGATCATGGGCTTAAGAGCCAAGCATGGAACCTATACTGCCTCTGCCACTTGCCAGTTTTGAGATATCTTCACCTATTGCAGAACATATTAGTACCTCAATTTCTTCATTGATGGAGTAAATAATGACACCTGCCTTACAGAATTGCTGTGAGGATTAAAAGAAATAATGCTACATTATTAAATATCCCCCAAATCCTTAGCTATCATTGTGAGCATTAGAAATAATATGGAGTTTTGTTGCCTTCTGTTGGCTTTTGTACAAAAGCAAAATTTGACAAATGGGATCTAATTAAACTAAAGAGCTTCTGCACAGCAAAAGAAACTACCATCAGAGTGAATGGTTAACCTACAGAATGGGAGAAAATTTTTACAATCTACCCATCTGACAAAGGGATAATATCCAGAAACTACCAAGAACTTAAGCAAATTTACAAGAAAAAATCAAATAACCCCATCAAAAAGTGGGCAAAGGATATGAACAGACACTTCTCAAAAGAAGACATTTGTGCAGCCAAAAGACACATGAAAAAATGCTCATCATCACTGGTCATCAGAGAAATGAAAATGAAAACCACAATGAGATACCATTGCATGCCAGTTAGAATGGCGATCATTAAAAAGTCCTGAAACAATAGGTGCTGGAGAGGATGTGGAGAAATAGGAATGCTTTTACACTGTTGGTGGGACTGTAAACTAGTTCAACCATTGTGGAAGACAGTGTGGCGATTCCTCAAGGATCTAAAACTAGAAATACCATTTGACCCAGCCATCCCATTACTGGGTATATACCCAAAGGATTATAAATCATGCTGCTATAAAGACACATGCACACGTATGTTTATTGTGGCACTATTCACAATAGCAAAGACTTGGAACCAACTCAAATGTCCATCAATGACAGACTGGATTAAGAAAATGTGGCACATATACACCATGGAATAATATGCAGTCATAAAAAAGATGAGTTCATGTTCTTTGTGGGGACGTGGATGAAGCTGGAAACCATCATTCTCAGCAAACTATCGCAAGGACAGAAAACCAAACACTGCATGTTCTCACTCATAGGTGGGAATTGAACAATGAGAACACTTGGACACAGGATGGGGAACATCACACATTGGGGCCTGTTGTGGGGTGGGGAGAGGGATAGCATTAGGAGATATACCTAATGTAAAGACAAGTTAATGGGTACAGCATGCCAACATGGGACATGTATACATATGTAACCAACCTGCACGTTGTGCCCGTGTACCCTAGAGCTTAAAGTATAATAATTAAAAAAAGAAATAATATGGAGTTAATTTGAAAATGTTATTGGTGCGAATCTCATTCAGTAGTCCAACCTGAACTGCATTGTGTCATTATTTCTCACCTTCCCCCAAGCTTCTACCAGACTCACACATGAGAAAAGTGTTAGAAGAAGAGAAAATGGAAAAGCCTCTATTTTGGACTGCTAGAGCCCACTATAGCCTCCTGAGTACCCTCCTCCTAACCTCTACTCTCATTTTCCAATGATGGTCCCTCATCCACACAGCAGCCAAAGTGATCTGTCTAAAGGTATAAACCACTTCTCATCACTCTTCAGCTTATTAAAAAACCCATGTCCTAGCCCAGAAATGTGAATAAACCTAAAGCCCTTTTTCTGGCCTCCAGGTCCTACCTCACTTGTCCCTACCTTCCTTTTTCATTTCATTACCTTCCTCCTTCTCCTCTGTAATATTCTCTCAAGCCAGAAAAGTATTCTTGCTTCTTTAAACATCCTGAGCTCATCCCTGACTCACAGCTTTGCCTTTGCTGTTCCTTCAACATTCACATGTCTCCCTGGCATCATTCAGAGAACACCTCAGATGCTATCTTAGAGAAGTCTTCTCTAAGCAGCTAATGCAGCCCATGCCCTCAGTCCTCTTACCACCAGGGGTTTTCAGTCACAACAGCTGTTTTGTTTTGTTTTGTTTTCCTTTCTTCCTAGCACTTAGAATTTGAAATAATATTCATTATTTGTGTGTTTACGTGATCATTGTCTAATTTCTCTACGAAAGTCACAAGAGGTCGGGGTTTCTGTCCTGTTTATTACTTAAGCTGCTTTGCCTATAGCAGAGGTTCACCAATTATGGCCTGCAGGCTTATTTAGTATGGCATGGGAGCAAATGATGGCTCATATTTTTGTATAGTTGAAAAACAAATTAAAGAAAATATTACATGTTATATAAAAGTATTCAAAATATAAATTACAATGTCCATAAATAAAGTCTTCTTAGAGGACAGCCACTTATTAGTCTACATATTATCTATGGCTCCTATTGCTTTCAGATGTCAAAGTTAAATAGTTGCGATGAAGACCATAAAGTCTACAGTGCCTAAAATGTTTACTATCTGACCCTTTACATATGCACAGATTGCTCACCCTGACCTAAAACAGTGTCTAACTTATTACAGGTGACCAATCTACCAATTTATATGGGTCCAAAAAATAAACACACACACACACACACACACACACACACACACACACACACACACACACACATATAAGACAATAAAATGTTGAAATTTCCCAGGACCCAGACACAGGCAATATCTAATCAGGACTACTTTTTCCCATGAAAAGTCAATTAAGCACAAGTTTCTGGCTGGGTGATTGAAGGTGTTCCAGGTTCTTTACTCTCCTCCAAATGTACTGTGATCCTGGAAGGAGCAGAATGCAATGGAAGGAGCAGAATGCGATGTCTGCATTCTCATCAAGTGATCTAATTGATCCACACACAGAGAAAAGCTAAATGAACAGGACTGAAAATGCTGCAAAAATTAAACACAGATTTCTTAATAAAGCTGAAAATAGCTTAATAAAACTGAAAATAGTCTCCTGGCATCCCAAGGCATGTTTATTTCTGTTTAAATAGATGACTTCCCATAGACTGTTATCAACTCAGTGGGGATCCTGGGAGAGAAGTACTTTCCTCCTCCTGTGAATTTTAAGCTTTTTCCAATGAAATCCAGCCACAGACTGTAAAAAGCATCTGCCAATCTGTATAAAAACTATAACCATGGTCAAGTAATGCTAGTAACTTCAGTTGCCCACTTCTGGAGTGCTCTAGACAAATACAAAATAGCCTCACAGGAGAGAGAAGATGGAGAGCAGATAATCTTTTTTCGGGGGAAAGGTGATTTCTTGGGAAAAGATGAGGAAAGTATCAGGTAGAAGAGTGACAGGGTCATTTTCACTGGAAATGTTGTTGTTGCTGCTGCTGCTGCTGTTTATTTACTTGAACCTGAGGGGCATGCAAATATTTTGACCATTTCCTGATGGCACCGAATGGTCCAGATGGTATACATCCTGCTACTACTGCAGAAAAGTGGTAATGGGAATTACCATAGACCCTGGGCAGAAACTGGCCTATTGGTGGCTTCTCAGAGCTCTTGGCAAGAGTAGATTATGCCACCTGCTCTAGGAAGGCTGACTAAGGAGGGTGATGGATAAGATTTCAGCAGAAACTCCTGCAGGCTCCTTGAAAGAAAGCACATCAATTCTCAGACCTACTACTTCCAGAAAGAGTAAGAGATCAAAACGGTGTCAGAGAGGTGAGCTCACTCTGGAGCTGAGCACCAAAGAAGGGAAGATGAGATCCATTTCACTACTAAGGAGACATCTGAGAAGAGAAGAAATAAATAAGAAGTGAACTGAAAATAACAAATTGATAAAACATGAGCTCAGAGAAACTGACATTGAGATAGAATCATGACAAAGAATAGAAAAGGTTTGCAGAGCTACTGATGGTGCTGGGAACTAGCTTAAGGAAAATAATAAATCCTAATCACAAGAATTAGAACCAACCACAGTGAGATTTTGAATCAGGTTAATTAACCAATGTAAAGAGTATCATTGAAACAAAAACATTTCATAGAAAAATCAGCTGTTCACCTTAAATCTTGAAAATCTTTCCATATAGATTAAAAACATAATCAGGGCAGACTTTTTGGGGTAAAATGAGTTCAACAATAATTATAGGGTACAAAATAAAAAATGATGGAGGAAAAAGTAAAAGGTTTGCATGTCAAGCAATGGGCAGGTGATGGCAGCCCTCTCAGCCCTATTTTGCTCTCCTCTTCTCTCCTCTCTCTTTCTCTTTCTCTACTCCCTCCCTCCTTCTGTCCCTCATCCTAAACTTTGTCAAGGCTCATCTGAGACAGGAGTTACTCTGGAGAGGTTACTATGATTTCCCTTCCCCGCCTCTGTCCTCTCATAGATCCTGCTTATACCTCCATTACAATACTTATTATGCTCCATTATAATTGCCTGATTATTGTTGATTCTCTCAGCCCTGTGGGCTCCTTGAGAGAAAGCACAACAATTTTCAGAGCTGCAGTCTCAGTGCTTGCACAGTTTATGGCTCAAAGCAAGTATTCAATGGAAGACAAAGAACATTGAGAGACAAGTAAAGGAGTCAAAGAATGAATGGATGAGGTTACTGAGTATACACAGATCTTGCTGCTGGTAAAAATAAAACAGATCAAAATAACTTAATTCTATCACAACCTGCACACTGGAAAAGGATGAATCCAGAGGCTTTTCTTACCTTGGAGAAAACAGTTCATTTAATCATGAGGTTTTTCAACATCTTTTTCTGAAGCTTATCATAAAGTGACACTGTACACCTTCAACAGAAATTACATGTTTTATAAATTTAAAATATCAAAACTAGATGAAGTACCATAGGTGTGCTCTAGTACCAGCCTTAAGTAGTTAAACATAACTTCATTTGAAATTCCTTGTCTATGACCATATCACCCTGAATGTAGCCTATCTTGTCTTAAATTCCTTTGCATTTCTTTCCATAATACTATCGATATGTCCAGAAACCCTGGCTTCTTCCTTTGCTATTATAGATTTCTTTGCAATAACTTCAAAATCTCCTTTGATCCCTTTTCCCACAGAATGCTGCAGATAGGAGAAAATGTAAATGCCTACATAGAAATAAATTCCAAATATAATTAAAATAATTATTTTTTTAAATTAATGACAACATCTAAAGAATGAAAAAAAATTCTAGACCAACTTGAATAACTTTAAGGAATATATTAAATAAATATCTGTATAATATTTGATTTATGGGTTCAGTTATTAGGCATAGCTATATTAAGTATATCATTTCATGGACTATATTATATATTAGTATAGAAATATTATCTTTTCTTTACTATAAAAATATTAAATAATTTTATTTAATTTCTTCCCATGAATCTTGACCTAAAGGATTTCCCCAACCCAGAGCCACTTTTCAAGTTCTCTCAGATTTTCCAAATTCATCACCATTCCATCTGTCTAAGTTGTTTGAGATAAAGCACTTTTTGAATCTGTATTTGATGCCTTTTCCAGCAAAGTCACACGAATCCAACTGCATAGTATCAGCGCTTCTTCCTTCCCCATTTGTCTAATAGGTCTGTATTTGTGATCTTTACAATGTAACCAAACACTGAACTGTGTTATTAAGTGTTTTGTATGGTTATCAGTATTTACATTTGTATTTTTTCAAGATTTACTGAAGTATAATTGATAATTTTAAATTCCATATATTTAAAGTATACAACTTGATGATTAGAGATATATATATATACATATAATGCAGAATTGTCATCACAATCAAGCTAATTAAACAATGACATTCAATATTTGCAATTGTGAGACTACGCTCCCAGGAATAATAACTAATTATTTGTTGAGAGGGGGTTTTTTGGTCTTTTTTTAAAATTTATTCTCCAGATAATTTCAATTAAAATCATAAGCTGGCATAGATAATGTCATTTTTTCTCCCCAAAATAGTTTCTTGTGTTCAAAATAACAGAACTGGGATAATACCCGGTATTATGAGAACATTTATAAGGATTTGAATTTAAGGCATTTCCTTTTTATGAGGGATAGAAAGGAAAAAAGTAGTAACCTTGTGTTTAGACATATACAATATTTTCTCTCTCTTTTGTGGCAACATTTATTCATTTACATCTATTGTGTATGCACTAAATTTGGCATTAACTGTAGCAAACCAGATGCTTAAACTGATCAGAGCCCATATGAGAGTCTTCATCAGTAGACTGTTTTTACTCAGGCTGAATTGGTTTTTAAGTATTTGCAAAATTGGTAACAAGACATTCCAATTTTTTAACTGCCTTTGTGAAGTTAAGTCATTTTTTTCCACTTCAAATATGTCTCTTTTCTCTTTTCCTTGCATTTCCTGGAGCAATCACAGTAGCTTCCCATATCAGTGTAAGCAAATTCATTTTGATGTGAAGAACAATTTACCACACTGAGTTCCAATGTTATGCAAGTTGTCAGGGAAACTCCAAGGACCAAGTGCCTCCCTTCAAAAAATGTCTAGCTCCTTAATCAGCTTCCTGCAGAAATTATGCGTATTCCCAACTGAGCCTTTAGTGATGTCACCTTTTCGCAACTGCTGTAATGACCCAGAACTGGCTACATTTCTTACAAATCCTCTTCTTACTTGCAAAATTCTTTGTGTCTACTCCATATCATTATTTTAGCAATTCTTTTGTTTCAATAGCACATCATTCCTGTTTTAAGTGTTCTCTCTTTTTGTCTGTCATTACTCTAAGGAAATAAGTTGACTATTTGATTTACCATTCTTGAAATGTCATCTGTCTTCAATATTTGATGCTTGGTTCTGGTACCAAATGATCTCGTTTGTCTGGATAGTCTTCCTTTTTCGTTCACAAATATCTAGTTAATCCAACATTTTGAGAGATAGCTTTAGTAGTATGGTTATACTCCAGTGCCCTGGGCTGGGTTTTAATCCTGGTTCCCTACTTACTATCTGTAATTGACCTTGAGCAAGTCAGTGAGCTGGTCTGTGCTTCAGGTTCTTTATCAACATAATGGGTGAATGTGAGAATTAAATTTATTAATATTTGTAAACCAATTACAACCATACCTGACATATGGTAAGTATTTTTAAAAGTCAGAAATGGCATTTCCTACAGGTCACATCAGGAGATAGCTGTGGAATAACAGAACGAAAACTTCATCTGAAATCAGAAGATGTGGATTCTCATTCTGTCTCAGCTATGTAGTAGTTGTGAGATTGAGGCAACTGACTTTGCCTTCTTGGGCTTCAGCTTTTGCAAAACTGAGCTTTCTTTACATTTCTTAAATTCTGTGAGTCTATAGTATTTTTTTCAAAAGCAGATATTGATCTGTCGCTGAAACCTAGTCCACTTTCACATAAATGTGTGAAAATTCACAATGTACAAACACTCATGACCATTTAAATCCTTGGGTTTTAGAGCCAAACCCTTTGACTTTTAAAGGTGGCCTCAACTCCTGTTAGTTGTGTGACCTCAGGTAAATTTCTTAACACCTTTGTCCCTCAGTTTTCTCAACCATAAAATCAGGATTACAATAATAATCATCAGATTAGGTCGATACGAAAATAAATAAATACAAATCATGTAGAACAACATATGACATCATAAACTCAATAATGCATAATAACTATAATCACTATTATCTTCAATCCAATTTGCCATGCAATTAATTACCAGATTGCACCAACCATATGTAAGGCACTGTGCTGGGTAATACAAGGTCCAGAATGTTGATTGAATATGTTTCCTACTCTCAAGGTACATATGATTCATTAAGGCTAAACTCAAGTAGATGTCCAATTAATACAAGACAAAATGTGAAATAAAGAAGTTCAAATTTGAGACTAGTTCGACAACTTTTTAAATAGTCCTTGAGATGGTATAAGCACAGAATAAACTAGATGAATGAAGGGAACCAACAAAGGGTACACTATGGGGACAGAAGTGGCAGGTAGTGAAGCTAAAGATGTAGGAGGGAAACAGTCAAGGCTGATAACAGTTGCCTCTGATTAAGCAATGCCCATGTGACTGGCACTGTGTTAACAGTTTTTTGCCATTTTTATATACTTCATTTTATTACTTTTTTAAATTATACTTTAAGTGCTAGGATACATGTGCAGAACATACCAGTTTGTTACATAAGTATACACGTGGAATAGTGGTTTGCTGCACTCATCAACTCATCTACATTAGTTATTTCTCCTATTGCTATCCCTCCCCTAGTCCCCCACTCTCCAAGAAGCTTCAGTGTGTAATGTTGCCCTCCCTGTTTCCATGTGTTTTCATTGTTCAACTTCCAATTATGAGTGAGATCATGTGGTGTTTGGTTTTCTGTTCTTGTGTTAGTTTGCTGAGAATTATGGTTTCCAGCTTTATGCATGTCCTGGCAAAGGACATGAACCCATCTTTTTCATGGCTGCATAGTATTCCATGGTGTGTATGTGCCACATTTTCTTTATCCAGTCTATCACTGATGCACAGTTGGGTTGGCTCCAAGTCTTTGCTATTGTGGACAGTGCTGCAATAAACACACATGTGCATGTGTCTTTATAGTAGAATGACTTACAAACCTTTAAGTATATACCCAGTAATGGCATTGCTGGGTCAAATGGTATTTCTGGTTCTAGATCCTTGAGGAATCACCACACTGTCTTCCACAATGGTTGAACTAGTTTACACTCCCACCAACAGTGTAAAAGCATTCCTATTTCTCCACATCCTCTCCAGCATCTGTTGTCTCCTGACTTTTTAATGATCGTCATTGTAACTGGCATGAGATAGTATCTCACTGTGATCTTGATTTGTATTTCTCTAATGACCAGTGATGATGAGTTTTTTTCATATGTTTGTTAGCTGCATGTCTTCTTTTGAGAAGTGTCTGTTGATATCCTTCACCCACTTTTTGATGGGGTTTTTTGTTGTTTGTTTTTTTTCTTGTAAATTTGTTTAAGTTCCTTGTAGATTCTGGATATTAGCCCTTTGTCAGATGGATAGATTGCAAAAATTTTCTCCCATTCTGTAGGTTGCCTGTTCACTCCGATGATAGTTTCTTATGCTGTGCAGAAGCTCTTCAGTTTATTTAGATCCCATTTGTCTATTTGGGCTTTTGTTGCCATTGTTTTTGGTGTTTGAGTCATGAAGACTTTGCCCATGCCTATGTCCTGAATGGTATTGCCTAGGTTTTCTTCTAGGGTTTTTATGGTTTTAGGTCTTATATTTAAGCCTTTAATCCATCTTAATTTTTGTATAAGGTGTAAGGAAGGGGTCCAGTTTCAGTTTTCTGCATATGGCTAGCCAGTTTTCCCAATAGCATTTATTAAATAGGGAATCCTTTCCCCATGGCTTATGTCAGGTTTGTCAAAAATCAGATGGTTGTAGATGTGTAGCATTATGAGCATTTCTGAGGCCTCTGTTCTGTTCCATTGGTCTATATATCTGTTTTGGTATCAGTACCATGATGTTTTGGTTACTGTAGGCTTGCAGTATAGTTTGAAGTCAGGTACCATGATGCCTCCAGCTTTGTTCTTTTTGCTTAGGATTGTCTTGTCTATGCAGGCTCCTTTTTGGTTCCATATAAAATTTAAATTTGTTTTTTTCTAACTCTGTGAAGAAAGTCAATGGTAGCTTTATGGGGAGAGCATTGAATCTATAAATTACTTTAGGCAGTATGGCCATTTTCACGATACTGATTCTTCCTATCCATGAGCATGGAATGTTTTTGCATTTGTTTGTGTCCTCTCTTATTTCTTTGAGCAGTAGTTTGTAGTTCTCCTGGAAGAGGTCCTTCACATCCCTCATAAGTTGTATTCCTAGGTATTTTATTCTCTTGGTAGCAATTGTGAATAGGAGTTGACTCATGATTTTGCACTGTTTGTCTATTACTGGTGTATAGTAATGCTTGTGATTTTTGCACATTGATTTTCTATCCTGAGACTTTGCTGAAGCTGATTATCAGGTAGGTTAAGGAGATTTTGGGCTGACAGGATAGGGTGTTCTAAATATACAATCATGTCATCTGCAAACAGAGACAATTTGACTTCCTCTCTTTCTATTTGAATACACTTTATTTCTTTCTCTTGCCTCATTGCCCTGGCCAGAACTTCCAATACTGTGTTGAATAGGAATGTTGAGAGAGGGCATCCTTGTCCTGTGTGGTTTTCAAAGGGAATGCTTCCGGCTTTTACCCATTCGGTATGATATTGGCTGTGGGTTTGTCATAAATAGCTCTTATTATTTTGAGACACGTTCCATCAATACCTAGTTTATTGAGAGTTTTTAGCATGAAGGGGTGTTGAGTTTTGTCAAAGGCCTTTTCTGCATCTATTGAGATAATCATGTGGTTTTTATCATCAGTTCTGTTTATCTGATGGGTTACGTTTTTTGATTTGTGTATGTTGAACCAGGCTTGCATCCCAGGGATGAAGCTGACTTGATCTTGGTGGATAAACTTTTTGATGTGCTGCTGGATTTGGTTTGCCAGTATTTTACTGAGGATTTCTGCACTGATGTTCATCAGGGAATACTGGCATGAAATATTCTTTTTTTGTTGTTGTATCTCTGCCAGGTTTTGGTATCAGGATGATGCTGGCCCCATAAAATGAGTTAGGGAGGAGTTCCTATTTTTCTATTGTTTGGAAAAGTTTCAGAAGGAATGGTACTAACTCCTCTTTGTCCCTATGGTAGAACTGGGCTGTGAATCTATCTAGTCTTGGGCTTTTTCTGGCTGGTAGTCTATTAATTATCATCTCAATTTCAGAACTTATTATTGATCTATTCTGCTTTCTTCCATGGGCATTTAGTGCTATAAATTTCCCTCTAAACACTGCTTTAGCTGTGTCCCAGAGATTCTGGTACGTTGTGTCTTTGCTCTCATTGGTTTCAAAAAACTTGTTTCTGCCTTAATTTCATTATATCGTTAATAATGATATCCTGTCTTCCACTTGATCAATTCGGCTATTGATACTTGTGTGTGCTTCACAAAGTTCTCCTGCTATGTTCTTCAGCTCCATCAGGTCATTTATGTTCTTCTCTGAACTGGTTATTCTGGTTAGCAATTCCTCTAGCCATTTTTCAATGTTCTTAGCTTCCTTGCTTTGGGTTAGAACATGCTCCTTTAGCTCAGAGAGTTTGCTGTTACCCACCTTCTGAAGAATACTTCTGTCAATTCATGAAACTCATTCTCTGTCCAGTTTCGTTCCCTTACTGGAGAGGAGCTGTGATGCTTTGGGGGAGAAGAGGCATTCTTGTTTTTGGAATTTTCAGCCTTTTTGCACTGGTTTTTCCTCATCTTCATGGATTTATCTACCTTTGGTTTTTTATGTTGGTGATCTTCGGATGGGGTTTCTGTGTGGATGTCCTTTTTGTTGATGTTGATGCTATTCCTTTCTGTTAGTTTTCCTTGTAACAGTCAGGCCCCTCTGCAGCAGGTCTGCTGGAGTTTGCTGAAGGTCCACTCCAGACCCTGTTTCCCTGGGTATCACCAGCAGAGGCTGCAGAACAGCAAAGACTGTTGCCTGTTCCTTCCTCTGGAAGCTTTGCCCCAGAGGGGCACCTGCCATATGCCAGCCAGAGCTTTCCTGTATGAGGTGTCTCTCAACCCCTCCTGGGATGTGTCTCCCAGTCTGGAGGCACAGGGGTCAGGGACCCACTTGAGGAGGCAGTCTGTCCCTTAGCAGAGGTTGAGAACTGTGCTGGGAGAACCACTGCTCTCTTCAGAGCCAGCAGGAAGGAATATTTATTTATTTATTTATTTATTTATTTATTTATCTATTTATTTTATTTATTTATTTATTTTTTGAGATGGCGTCTTGCTCTGTCACCCAGGCTGGAGTGCGGTGGCGCAATCTTGGCTCACTGCAAGCTCCACCTCCCGGGTTCACGCCATTCTCCTGCCTCAGCCTCCCAAGTAGCTGGGACTACAGGCACCCACCACCACGCCCAGCTAATTTTTTGTATTTTTAGTAGAGACGGGGTTTCACCGTGTTAGACAGGATGGTCTCGATCTCCTGACCTCGTGATCCGCCCACCTCGGCCTCCCAAAGTGCTGGGATTACAGGCGTGAGCCACCGCGTCCAGCCCGGAATATTTAAATCTGCTTAAGCTGCACCCACAGATGCCCCTTCCCCCAGGTGCTATGTCCGAGGGAGATGGGAATTTTATCTATAAACCCCTGACTGGGGCTGCTTCCTTTCTTTTAGAGATGCTACTCCCAGAGAGGAGGAATCTAGAGAGGCAGTCTGGCTAAGTGGCTTTTCGGAGCTGTGGTAGGCTCCACCCAGTTTGAACTTCCTGGCAGCTTTGTTTACACTGTGAGGGGAAAATTGCCTACTCAAGCCTCAGTAATGGCGGATGCCCCTCCCTCCACCAAGCTCAAGCATTCCAGGTTGACTTCAGACTGCTGTGCTGGCAGTGGATCTTAGCTTCTTGGGCTCCGTAGGGGTGGAATCCAATGAGCTAGACCACCTGGCTCCCTGGCTTCAGCCTTTTCCAGGAGAGTGAATGGTTCTGTCTTGCTGGCATTCCAGGTGCCACTGGAGTATGAAAAAAAACTCCTTCAGTTAGCTCCCTGTCTGCCCAAACTGCCACCCAGTTTTGTGCTTGAAACCCAGGGCCTGGTGATACAGGCACCCAAGGGAATCTCCTGGTCTGCAAGTTGCGAAGACCATGGGAAAAGCATAGTATCTGGGTCAGAATGCACTGTTCCTCACGGCACAGTCCCTCATGGCTTCCCTTGGCTAGGGGAGGGAGTTCCCTGACCCCTTGCACTTCCCAGGTGAGGAACCGCCCCACCCTGCTTTGGCTCACCCTCCGTGGGCTGCACCCACTGTCTAATCAGTCCCAATGAGATGAGCCAGGTATTTTAGTTGGAAATGCAGAAATCACCCGCCTTCTGCATTGATCTTGCTGGGAGCCACACACTGGAGCTGTTTTTATTGGGCCATCTTGCCCAAGAGTTTTAAATACATTTTCATGGTGGTAGAGCATGTTTCCAAAAATGGTCACATCAATAGTGCTCCTCACCTATGTGCCCCTTTGTAATGTGACCCTGTCATTCTCTCATCAAGAGTCAGAATTTGTTCCCCCATTCTTATATCTGGTCTACCCTATTATTGCCTAATTTGATCAACAGAATATAGTAGAAAGGGCATTAAGCAACTTTCATGTCTGAGCCTTAAGAGGTCTACAGCCTTGGTCTTCACTTCTTAGAACACTCCTTCTTAGAACCCAGGTGCCATTGCTGTGAGGAGATCAAAATACCACATACCACATACGACAACCAGGTGGAGAAAAATGGAGGCCCCCTGACTGACAATCATTAGTAGCAACTGCCAGCCATGTGAATGAGGTGATTCTGGAGCTCTTAGCCATCCTACTGCTGATAAGAAGAACCCCCCGACTAATCTACATAATCATGACAAATAATTGCTGGTCATTCGAACTCACTAATGTTTGGATAGTTTGTTTTACAGCAATAGACAACCAAAACAATCTTACTTAATTTTGACAACAATCCCATGAAGGTACACATTTACCTTTATTGCACAGATAAGCAACTAGAAATCAGAGAGGTTAAGCAACTTATCCAATGTCACACTGCTCCTGTGTGGCAGAGTTGGGATGAATGTCAGTCAGCTATTAAATCTGAATGACTGAGTAATTTGTAAGACCAGTAACCAAAACAAATCTGTAAAGAGAAGGAGTAATTTAGAGAAAAATCAGACAACTTGTTGATGCCATTTTTTATAACACCAGAATTGTAAACAAAGCACAGTAAACTGATAAAGGCTAAGATGAAATTATCCAACAAATGCAGTACAGACATTTTCTCAGGAAACAGAGGCAGCCTGCCAACCAACTGTTTTACTGACTTGAGGGCTTTAGTCTTCTTTAGAGAGGAGTAATTTTGTAAGATAGTTTCATAGACTGAAGTCAGACAAGAGCATTTTGCAATAGATTAGCTCTTCCAGTTCCCTACTCCTAAGCCATTAGGAGTAAGCCCTTCCTTCCTTTCTTTCCTTCCCTTCCTTCCTTCCTTTCATTCCTTCCCTTCCTTCCTTCCTCTTTCCTTCCCTCTTTTTTCCTTCTCCCTTCCTTATTTCCTTCTTTCCTTCCTTCCCTTATTTTTTCTTTCTTTCCTTCCTTCTTTCCTTCCCTTATTTCTTTTCTTCCTTCCTTCTATTCTCTTCTTTTCTTTAGAGTGAGTATGAACTAAGAGCCTGTCCCTATCCTAGGTTCTGATGCTATAGTGATGAATGACTTCACTCCTATTGCCAAGGGATGCATTGTACAGTAAAGTTAACGAGGGATGGTGGGGATAAAACATGTAATCACAATCAGAGAAATAAATACTAGATAGTGTATATAGAGAGCTGTGGCAGGGGACACTGAGAGTTACCCCCTCAATCTCAGCAAAAAATGGGAAGAGGGGTAAAAAGATAAGACTCCCCAAAAAAGGTGATGATTAAGTTGAGTCCTGAAGCATGAGGAGAAATTCATCTAATGAAGAAGAAAGGAACCAAGACTGTATACAAAGGCCTGATCTAGAGAGAATAGATGGTCCTTTAACAATAAATTCTGTTATAGTCTTGTTGGAATGCCACATTGCATTGATATTGGAATGAGGGTGGGGGGACAGACATGGTGAACCTGAGGAAGGGAAAATGAGGCCAGAACATTAGATGGTTTTCATGCTATGCTCCACTGCCTTTCTTTTACAGAAAAAATGAAGCCTTTGAATAAAGGTTTTAAGTAAGAAAGGGACATGATCTCTTTGCCTGTCAGAAAGATCATGCTGGATGCATTGTGAAAATAGATTGAACAGGGCTAAACTACAGGCAAGACATCAGTTAGGAAGCTATACTTGCAGTAAGAGAAATTAGGAAGTTACCAATGATAAGAAAAGCTAATGAGGAAGAAGGTGTTGGTGAAAAAAAAGAGGGGTTGCCAGATTCAAGAAATAAAAAGGAGCTAGAATAAGGAGACTTGATGAATCAGCAGATATGATTTGCTTTTCTATTTAAAAGTTGGCCGCAAACCAAAAATCTATAATGAATTAATAAAATTCACTCAGTTCTATTCAGAATTATCTTTTAGAATGGTATATTCTGTGTAATAAGGAATATAATAATTTCTAAAATACACTAAGCACTTATAGGCACAACAACACAGGTTTTACGTGAATTTTCTCCGTCTTTCCAACAACCCTATAAGGCAGGTACAGTTATCACACTTTACAGATAAAAAAGTGTAGCGGTATCAACCATAACACTCATATTTTGGTTGATTCAACAAACATGTATTCCATGCATTATGTACCAGCCATTATGTTACAGACTACAAAGGACAAGGAAAGAAAACACGTGGAGCTTACCCTAGAGATGTTCATATCTAAGTGAGAGCATCTAACAGTGGAAATGAAAAATTTTACTATGGTGTACTAGGTGTCACTGCAGCAGTCTGGTCCAAGAATTGCAATGGGATTCTGAAAATGACCATCTTTAACAGATAGAGAAATTTTAACTGAAGTGTATCATAAACCCCCATTGCTAAATAGAAGCCAACAACTGGGCCACTGTCTTTTGTTAAGCTGATTGTGCCATAAATAAATCCTTGTCATCATAAAAAAGAGTGGTACGAGTGGATAGTATGGGTTAAAGTAAGATCAGTTAGCGTGGCATTGGAGGTGCAGGGGGCCATCTGGCTAAAATCCGCCCCTTGCTCCACTTGAAAAGAACATGCCTTTGGTGCACGTCTAGATCAGCCCAGAGGTGGGCACCATTTGGGCTAGTGGCAGCCCTGGACAGTGACATGTCTAATGGCCAGTAAAGTGACTATCAGGGTCATTTTATACATAGACTCTTTCCTGTTTGCCTTATTCTTCAAGAAAGACTTCTAGATAGGGTTTCAGGTAGTCACTTTCTTTTCAGACTAAATCCTCTCAAACTAGCTTTCAGTTGTCCAAATCCTGGCCCTGACTTTATGCCCAATTAGGAAAGGTTAGACCAAGGTAATATGATTAAGGCAGAGCCTGGTGGAAACTGTAAGAAACTTTCTATGGTCTAAGTGTCTTTAACTTGTGACCTATTAACCAGGCAGAGATCCAAAGGTAATAGGCGAGACACACATTTCCACAATGTAGAATTCATTATTTTTCTCTGTCTCATTTCTATCTACAGGCCTTTCCTACTGATAAAACTACTGTAAGTTTTTACAGTCATTGTGTTTTTAATTTCCTAATTAAGTAACAATTTCCAAGCACCAATAAAGTTATTTTAGTTTGTCTCCCAACTATAACTTTAAAAAATACTACAAATAAAATAGGATAAAGTGACAGTAAACATTTAGCTCAGTGCTTTTTGTTTTCTTTTGTTTTGTTTTATACACACATTCTTTCTTTGAAAGATTGAAAGTAAACCGTAAAAGACTGTGAAACACTGACCAAAGAGTTTACAATCGATAGTTCTCTGTTTCGCAAAATGTTGTGGGTCTAGTGCCTGTTAACTGGGGTTTTGACCTCTACACTCTTGAGTCCAGCTGGAAGAATTCAAGAATCCCCTTTCCAGAAGAGCTGCAGTGCCTAAAAATGTTCATGTGTGAAACAGAACACTGGAGAAAATTCCTAACGTAAAGGTCATAAATAAGACCATAGGAAAGATGGGCTATCTAGGAAGGAGTGGAAGCATTCTATGTCAGCTCTGCTGTATGTTGTCCTATTTATTAGAAAAGTTACAATGTATATTTTTTAGGCAAAGTTTATTGCACTAATTAACTCATTAACGACCTCTAGAGAGAAGCCAGGCTTCTCTGCAGGCTGGTTTGCTGAATGTTAATGACCAAGATAAAGAGAAAATCAGTGTGCCAAGCTCTGGGAAAGCCCCAGGACTCCACAAACAGCTCTGATTTATTCAGTATATAATATCGTAGAGAAGGGAGAATTGTGGACTAAAATAGATAAGAATGTCCTCAATTCATTTAGATAAAATTGTCCTCAATTTAAACAAAAAATTTTTATGGCATTTCAATTTAATGGGAAAAAAATCAGTTTTGGTTCACACAGGCCCCCACCCTGCCCTGCTTGTGAATTAAAGGATAAGCTGGTTTCTTGTGGAGTCTGCAGTAGCTAAGCTGGCTAGGGTTTTTAAAGCAGAAAGAGTGGAGGTAACAAGTAGGACAGGACAGACTTTGAGGGATAGCTTAGCCTCCAAGGCACAGAACAATTAATTGACATTTCAAATGTGGTCTATGATGTTTTGAATGATGTCCAATGTGGTACCCTGGCCTCCAAGGTCTGCAGTGTGGACACTTTTGTTGTCCAAGGATGCCAAGACTGCAGTATTAATGTGGGTGGCATAGGAGTGGAGTTTGAGGTAATCCAGCATGATACAAATTGCCAGCAGCATGGCGGTAGGGTTTGCCAGATTTGTATTGACTAAATTGTCACATTGCCTTGAAGCTGTCTCAAACACTGCATACATATAGACATAGTTGGCTCCAGGCACAAGGCCTGCCCCACCAATCAAACCTGTGCAGACACTGTTGATAACATTGCCATAAAGACTGAGCATTACCATGACATCAAACTGTTGGGGCTGGGATACTCACTGCATTGTGGCATTCTCCACAATCATGTCTTCTAAGGTGAGCTGAGGATAGCGGGATGCCACCTCCCCCACAGCACTGGAGGAAGAGACCATCTCCCAGTTTCGTGATGTTGACCTTGTGCACAGCCATCACTTTTTTGCATCCCATCTTCTGGGCCAGCTGGAAGGCATATTCAGCAATGCACAAAGACTTGGCCTTAGTCATGATCTTTAGGCTCTCTGTCACTCCTTTCACACTCTCATGCTCCAGATTGCTATACTCACCCTCTGTGTTTTCCCAAACAACTAGGATGTCTACATCTTTGTGCCAGGTCTCCACGTTTGGCAAATTTTTTAAATGAATGACACTGGCATAGAGATCTAGGGTGGTATGCAACATGTTGTTGAAGGATTTGTATGATGGTGGCAGGGTGTCGTCAGTTTTAACGCTACTCTTCAAAGCCACACGGTTTCAATGAACTGCCATGATGGCATTATGAATTTCCTCTTCATGTGAGGCAGAGGTGGAGGTCACTGACATTCCCTCAAAGTCCACAGGCACACACACATGTCTGAACATAATCTTGACAGGCAGCATAAGTTCAGTCCCAGTGCCATCTCCAGGAATCATAGTCACTGTGTGCTGCCCACCACACTTCGCTGATGGAGGAATTGTGTGAGAAAAAGAGAAGCTTCTCAGGGGGATCTCACAGCCAAGTAAAATATCCCAGGAGTAGCCAAGAATGGTAGGTTGGAAAATTGCCTTCACAGAGCCACTGGCTACTGTCAGCATCTTCAATACCAAAATCATGAAGTTGAGATCTATTCAATTGTGTGAAAAGCTGTGCTCTTTCTCTGGCTTTGAACTAGCTTCCTTGGGTGGAATTCTGGACCCATGATTCTTGCTTGGGTCATAATTCTCTCTCCTTCCTTGTGTTCTATTTCACAGACATTCTACTTTGTGAGAGAGATAGCTAGACAGATGATGTAATGTGTTATATAGTAGAAAATACAACTATTTTGGATCTAGATAATAATTCACTAGACAAATTCAGTGTGTGAAACTCTGTATCACATGCTTTTAAAAACACAGACTTTATTTTTAGAGCAGTGTTAGGGTCACAGCGAAATTGAGTGGAGGGTACAAACATGTCCTGTTTTCTCTTGGTCCAAAATAAGCACAACCTCTTCCACTACCAAAATCCCACACGAGAGTGCTCAATTTGTTCTATCTTATTTTTTAATTTTTTAAAAAATATTTATTTTTAATTTTTGTGGGTACAATAGTGTGTGTATGTATTTATAGATTGCTATGAGACATTTCGATACAGGCATGCAATGCATAATAATCACATGAGGGTAAATGGGATATCCATCACCTCAAACATTTATCTTTTATATATAATCCAACTACACTCATTTAGTTATTTAAAAATGTACACAAATTATTATTGACTACAGTCACTCTGTTGTGCTAGTGAATACTAGGTCTTATTCATTCTTTCTAGTTTTTGTACCCATTAACCATCCCCACCTCCCCCACACTCCCCCACTATCCTTCCCAGCTTCTTTCACTATCCTTTACTTTCTATCTCCATGAGTCCAATTATTTGAATTTTTAGCTCCCACAAATAAGTAAGAACATACACAATTTGTCATTCTGTGCCTGGCTTATTTCACTTAACATAATGACCTCCAGTTCTATTCATGTTGTTGCAAATGATAGGATCTCATTCTTTTTTATGGCTGAATAGTACTCCATTGTGTATAAGTACCTCATTTTCTTTGTCTATTCATTTCTTTATGGACACTTACATTGCTTCAATATCTTGGCTATTGTGACTAGTGCTGAGACAAACATGAGAGTACACATATATTTTCTATGCACTGATTTCCTTTCTTTCAGGTATATACCTAGCAGTGGGATTGCTAGATGCTATGGTGGCTCTATTTTCAGTTTTCTGAGGAACTTCCAAACTGTTCTCCATAGTGGTCAGATTAATTTACATTCCCACCAACAGTGTTGGGTGTTCCCTTTTCTCTACACCCTTGCCGGCATCTTATTGCTGATCTTTTGCATATAAGCCTTTTTTTTTTTTTTTTTTTTGAGACAGAGTCTCACTGTGTTGCCCCTGCTGGAGTGCATGGTATGATGTCAGCTCACTACAACCTCCACCTCTCAAGCTCAAGCGATTCCCGTGCCTCAGCCTAAACGCTGTTTCTATTAAAACCACAAAAATTAGCCAGGTGTGGTGGTATATAAGTCATTTTAACTGGCCTGAGATTATATCTTATTGTAGTTTTGATTTGCATTTCTCTGATGATCAGTGATGAACACCTTTTCATATGCTTGTTTGCCATTTGTATGTCTTCTTTTGAGAAACGTCTATTCAGATCTTTTGCTCATTTTTAATTAGATTGTTAGATTTTTTTTTCCTATAGAGTTGTTTGAGATCCTTATATATTCTGGTTATTAATCTCTTGTCAGATAGATAGTTGGCAAAATATTTTCTCCCATCTGTAGGTTGTCTTTCACTTTGTGGACTATTTCCTTTGCTGTGAAGAAGCTTTTTAACTTAATGTGATCCCATTTGCCCACTTTTGCTTTTGTTGTCTATGCGTGTAAATTATTACACAAGAAGAATTTTTGCCCAGGCAAATATCCAGGAGACTTCCTCTGATGTTTTTGTGTAGTAGTTTCATAGTTTGAGGTCTTAGATTTAAGTCTAATCCATTTTTATTTATTTTTGTATATGACGAGAGATAGGCATCTCCTAGATGTAGCACCTTAATGGTCTTAGATGAGATCCGGAAGAATTATCTGGATTACCATGCAGAGACTCTTCTTCTCTTTCCTTACTTTCTCCCAAACAAATGGAGTCTCTCTCTCTCTCTGGATCTGGGGGTGGAGTGACACAAGTACCCCTGTGGCTACCACCACTGGAACTATGCTGGGTCAGTCCTTAAGCCATCAAAGCACTGGGCCTTGTCCAAGGTCTGCTGTAACCACTAACTGGCTACCCCCTAAGTTCACTCAAGGCCCTGGGTCTACAATCTGTGGATAGTGAAGCCAGCCAGGCTTGCATCCTTCTCTTCAGGGAAGCAAGTTCCTCCAGGCCCTGGTTGGGTACAGAGGTGCCATCCAGGAGCCAGGGACTGGAGTCAGAAACCTTAGAAGTCTACCTGGTATTCTATTGTATTGCAATTGAACTGGCACTCAAATCATAAGACACAGTCCCTCCAACCCTTCCCTCCCGTTTCCACAGGCAGAGGAGCCTCACCTCACAGCCACTATTACCATAAGCCTCTTTAGTCAGCAGGTGAAGGGTCTTTCTAAGACTGGGTCCTTACCTTCATGGCAGCAGGTTCCCTTCTGGCTCGGGGGGTGTCCAGAAATGATGTTCAGGAGCTGGGGCATGGCAAGGGGGCCTTATGACTCTGACTGTGACTGGTGCCTATCCTACTGTGACTGAGCTGGTATCCAAGATGGAAGACAAAGTCCTCCCCACTCTTCCCTCTCCTCAAGCAGAAGAAAGGGGTCTCCTTGGGAACTGTAAGCTGTGCAGCCTGGGGTTGGAGGAGGGACGGTGCAAGCACTCCCTTAGCTGGCCTGGCTGGTGTCTCAATAGGTTGCCTGTTCTCCAGGTCCACTGGCTCTGAGTCCAGTTCAGGACTAGGACATGCCTAGGAGTTGTAATCCCTGTGGCCTAGACTGTTTAGAGCCTAGGCTTTGGAACCTTAAATAATGTTTATTATTAACTTAAATTGTTATTTATTAAACTTAAAATTGTTACTTAATTGGAACTTAAATTGTTATTTAAGTTTATTAAACTTAAATAAACATTATTTAACGCCCCATAGCATTTTAGCCCGCTTTGCTGAGGCTTGCAGTAACTCAAGTTCTGACTGTTGGGATGGTGATTCTCCTCTGGCTAGGGCTGGTTTAAATACTCCCTCCGTGGGCTGGTGTTACTAAAGTTCAGCCCAGTTTTGTCTTCTGCTGTGACAAGGCAGAATTGAGTTCAATGCAATATCTCAGAATCACTATGCTCTCCCCCTCCCACAAATGCACAGATTCTCTCTTCATGTCACATGGCTCCTGCTGAGTGATGGGGAAAAGGTGGCATCAGTGATTCAACACTGTCTTTCCTACCCTCTTCAATACCTCTTTCAGTGGTATGAAGTTAAAATCAGGTACTGTGAATGCTCACCTGATTTTTGGTTCTTATGAAAGTGTGTTTTTGCACAGATAATTGTTAAATTGTTGACCATGTAGGTGGAACGATTGGTACAGCCTTCTATTTGGCCGTCTTGCTCTGCCATTCTCCATTTTTTATAACCAATGAACCAACACTGATGCATCAGTATCAACCAAAGTCCATAGTTTACATTAGGTTTCACTCTTGGTATTTTACATTGTACAGGTTTGGACCAATGTATAATGATAGGTATCCACCATTGTAGTATCATTACAGAGTAGTTTCACTGCCTTAAAAATCCTCTATTTGAGCACCTTTTATCTCTCCCTTCCCCCAACCTCTGGAATCCCCTGAAGATTTTACTGTCTTCATAGTTTTGCCTTTTTCATCATGTCATATAAGTGAAATCACATGTGACATTTGCAGATCGGCTTCTGTCACCTAGTATTGTGCATTTACGTTTCCTCCGTTTCTTTTCATGGCTTGATAGTTCATTTCTTTTTGGCATAGAACAATATTCCATTGTCTAGATGTAACAAAGTTTATCCTTTCAACTCCTGGAAGACATTTTTATTGCTTCCAAGTTTGGGTGGTTATGAATAAAGCTGCTCTAAACAATCTGTTTGCAGGTTTTGGTGAGGACAGAGTTTACAACTCATTTGGAAAAATACCAAGAAGCACAATTGCTGTATCGCATGGTAAGAACATGCTTAGCTTTGTGAGAAACTGCTTTTTTCCAAAGTGATGGTAGAGTTCCTGGTGCTTCATAACCTTTTGAGGATTTGGTGCTGTTAGTGTGTCAGATTTTGGCCATTCCAATAGGTGTGTAGTGTATGTCACTGTTGTTTTAGTTTGTAGTTCCTTAATAACATAAAATGTTGAGCATCTTCTCATATGTTTATTAGCTACCTAGTGAGGTGTCTGTTAGGTCTTTGCCCATTTTTTAATCAGGTTGTTCATTTGCTTTTTGTCAGTTTAAAGAGTTCTTTGTATATTTCGGACAACAGTCCTTTATCAGATGTGTCTTTTGCAACTATTTTCTCCCACTCAATGACTTGCCTTCTCACTTTCTTGACAGTGTCTTTTCTAGAACAAACGTTACAAATTTAATGAATTTCATATTATTATTCTTTCATGAACTGTTCCCTTGACTGTATCTAAAAAATAATTGCCATACTATAGGTCACCTAGAATTTCTCCTGTTATCTTCTAGGAGTTCGAGTTTTTCATTTTCATTACCATTTATGATCCATTTTGATTTATTTTTACTAGAGTTTTAAGATCTGTGTCTACATTTATCAATTTATTTTGGCATGTGGATGTAGTTTTTCTAGCACCATTTGCTGAGATGACAATTTTCCTTCATGATATTGTGTTTGCTCCTTTGTCTAAGATCAGTTGACTATATTACTATAGATCTATTTCTGGCTCTCTAGTCTCTTGCATTGACTTGTTTGTCTATTCTTCATCAGTACTACACTGTTTTGATTACTGTAGCTTCATAGTAAGTCTTCACATCTGGTAGTGTCAATTCTTCACCTTTGTTCTCCTTTAGTACTCTGTTGGTTATTCTGAGTCTTTGTCTGTCCATATAAACTTTGGAATCAGTTTATCAATATCCACAAAGTAACTCCCTACGATTTTTATTGGGATTGCATAAAATCTTGAATCAAATTTGGTAGAACTGACATCCTAACAATATTGAGTCTTCCTATCCATAAACATGGATTATCTCTCTATTTAGTTCTTTGATTTTTTTTAAACTGAGTTTTATAGTTTTCCTCTTATAGATCTCGTCCATGTTTTGTTAGATTTAAATCTAAGTATATCATTTTGGGGTTGCTAATATAACCGGCATTGTTTTTAATTTTAAATTTCACTTGTTCATTGCCAGTATACAGAAAAAACTATCGACTTTTGTACATTAACCTTATATTCTGCCACTATGCTATAGTCACTTACTAGTTTCAGAAGGGATTTTTTAATTGATTTTTTAAAAAATTTCTACTTAGATAATCATGGTATGTAAAAGCAAATGCAGTTTTATTTCTTTCTTTCCAGTAACTACACCTTTTATTTTATTTTCTTAATACATTAGCTATGATTTAGAATACTATGCTAAGAAAAAAACAGTGGTAAGAGGGGATATACTTGCCTTCTTCCTAATTTGGCAGCAAATCTTGTAGTTTCTCATTATTGTGTGACATTGCTGTAGGGTTTTTGTATATGTTCTTTATCAAGTTGAGGAAGTTCGCTTCTATTATTCCTTGTTTACTGAGGGTTTTTATCAATGATAGGTGTTGGATTTTGTCAAATGCTTTTTCTTTCTTTTTTTTTTATTATACTTCAAGTTTTAGGGTACATGTGCACAACGTGCAGGTTAGTTACATATGCATACATGTGCCATGTTGGTGTGCTGCACCCAGCAACTCGTCATTTAACATTAGGTATATCTCCTAATGCTATCCCTCCCCCTTCCCTCACCCCACAACAGGCCCCGGTGTGTGATGTTCCTATTCCTGTGTCCGTGTGTTCTCATTGTTCAATTCCCACCTATGACTGAGAACACGCAGTGTTTGGTTTTTTGTCCTTGCAACAGTTTGCTGAGGATGATGGTTTCCAGCTTCATCCACGTCCCTAAAAAGGACAAGAACTCATCCTTTTTTATGGATGCATAGTATTCCATGGTATATACGTGCCACATTTTCTTAATCCAGTCTATCACTGATGGGTATTTGGCTTGGTTCCAAGTTTTTGCTATTATGAATAGTGCCGCAATAAACATACATGTGCATGTGTCTTTATAGCAGCAAGATTTATAATCCTTTGGGTATATACCCAGTAATGGGATGGCTGGGTCAAATGGTATTTCTAGTTCTAGATCCCTGAGGAATCGCCACACTGACTTCCACAATGGTTGAACTAGTTTACAGTCCCACCAACAGGGTAAAAGTGTTCCTATTTCTCCACATCCTCTCCAGCACCTGTTGTTTCCTGACTTTTTAATGATTGCCATTCTAGCTGGTGTGAGATGGTATCTCATTGTAGTTTTGATTTGCATTTCTCTGATGGCCAGTGATGATGAGCATTTTTTCATGTGTCTTTTGGCTGCATAAATGTCTTCTTTTGAGAAGTGTCTGTTCATATCCTTCACCCACTTTTTGATGGGGCTGTTTGTTTTTTTCTTGTAGATTTGTTTGAGTTCATTGTAGATTCTGGATATTAGCCCTTTGTCAGATGAGTAGATTGCAAAAATTTTCTCCCATTCTGTAGGTTGCCTGTTCACTCTGATGGTAGTTTCTTTTGCTGTGCAGAAGCTCTTTAGTTTAATTAGATCCCATTTGTCAATTTTGGCTTTTGTTGCCATTGCTTTTGGTGTTTTAGACATGAAGTCCTTGCCCATGCCTATGTCCTGAATGGTATTGCCTAGGTTTTCTTCTAGGGTTTTTATGGTTTTAGGTCTAACATTTAAGTCTTTAATCCATCTTGAATTAATTTTTGTATAAGATGTAAGGAAGGGATCCAGTTTCAGCTTTCTACGTATGGCTAGCCAGTTTCCCCAGCGCCATTGATTAAACAGGGAATCCTTTCCCCATTGCTTGTTTTTGTCAGGTTTGTCAAAGATCAGATGGTTGTAGATATGTGGCATTATTTCTGAGGGCTCCGTTCTGTTCCATTGGTCTATATCTCTGTTTTGGCACCAGTACCATGCTGTTTTGGTTACTGTAGCCTTGTAGTATAGTTTGAAGTCAGGTAGTGTGATGCCTCCAGCTTTGTTCTTTTGGCTTAGGATTGACTTGGCAATGCAGGCTCTTTTTTGGTTCCATATGAACTTTAAAGTAGTTTTTTCCAATTCTGTGAAGAAAGTCATTGGTAGCTTGATGGTGATGGCACTGAATCTATAAATTACCTTGGGCAGTATGGCCATTTTCACGATATTGATTCTTCCTACCAATGAGCATGGAATGTTCTTCCATTTCTCTGTATCCTCTTTTATTTCATTGAGCAGTGGTTTGTAGTTCTCCTGGAAAAGGTCCTTCACGTCCCTTGCAAGTTGGATTCCTAGGTATTTTATTCTCTTTGAAGCAATTGTGAATGGGAGTTCACTCATGATTTGGCTCTCTGTCTGTTATTGGTGTATAAGAATGCTTGTGATTTTTGCACATTGATTTTGTATCCTGAGACTTTGCTGAAGTTGCCTATCAGCTTAAGGAGATTTTGGGTTGAGACGATGGGGTTTTCTAAATATACAATCATGTCATCTGCAAACAGGGACAATTTGACTTCCTCTTTTCCTAATTGAATACCCTTTATTTCCTTCTCCTGCCTGATTGCCCTGGCCAGAACTTCCAATACTATGTTGAATAGGAGTGGTGAGAGACGGCATCCCTGTCTTGTGCCAGTTTTCAAAGGGAATGCTTCCAGTTTTTGCCTATTCAGTATGATATTGGCTGTGGATTTGTCATAGATAGCTCTTATTATTTTGAGATATGTCCAATCAATACATAATTTATTGAGAGTTTCTAGGATGAAGCGTTGTTGAATTTTGTCAAAGGCCTTTTCTGCATCTACTGAGATAATCATATGGTTTTTGTCATTGGTTCTGTTTATATGCTGGATTACATTTATTGATTTGCGTATGTTGAACCAGCCTTGCATCCCAGAGATGAAGCCCACTTGATCATATTGAATAAGCTTCTTGATGTGCTGCTGGATTTGGTTTGCCAGTATTTTATTGAGGATTTTTGCATTGATGTTCATCAGGCATATTGGTCTAAAATTCTCTTTTTTTGTTGTGTCTCTGCCAGGCTTTGGTATCAGGATGATGCTGGCCTCATAAAATGAGCTAGGGAGGATTCCCTCTTTTTCTATTGATTGGAACAGTTTCAGAAGGAATGGTACCAGCTCCTCCTTGTACCTCTGGTAGAATTCGGCTGTGAATCCATCTGGTCCTGGACTTTTTTTGGTTGGTAAGCTATTAATTATTGCCTCAATTTCAGAGCCTGTTATTGGTCTATTCAGAGATTCAACTTCTTCCTGGTTTAGTCTCAGGAGGGTGTATGTGTCTAGGAATTTATCCATTTCTTCTAGATTTTCTAGTTTATTTGCGTAGAGGTGTTTATAGCATTCTCTGATGGTAGTTTGTATTTCTGTGGGTTCGGTGGTGATATCCCCTTTATCATTTTTTATTGCGTCTATTTGATTCTTCTCTCCTTTCTTCTTTATTAGTCTGCTAGCAGTCTATGAATTTTGTTGATCTTTTCAAAAAACCAGCTCCTGGATTCATTGATTTTTTGAAGGGTTTTTTTGTGTGTCCATCTCCTTCAGTTCTGCTCTGATCTTAGTTATTTCTTGCCTTCTGCTAGCTTTTGAATGTGTTCGCTCTTGCTTCCCTAGTTCTTTTAATTGTGATGTTAGGGTATCAATTTTAGATCTTTCTTGCTTTCTCTTGTGGGCATTTAGTGCTATAAATTTCCCTCTCCAAACTGCTTTGAATGTGTCCCAGAGATTCTGGTATGTTGTGTCTTTGTTCTCACTGGTTTCCAAGAACATCTTTATTTCTGCCTTCATTTCGTTACGTACCCAGTAGTCATTCAGGAACAGGTTGTTCAGTTTCCATGTAGTTGAGCGGTTTTGAGTGAGTTTCTTAATCCTGAGTTCTAGTTTGATTGCACTGTGGCCTGAGAGACAGTTTGTTATAATTTTTGTTCTTTTACATTCGCTGAGGAGTGCTTTACTTCCAACTAAGTGGTCAATTTTGGAATAAGTGCAATGTGGTGTTGAGACGAATGTATATTCTGTTGATTTGGGGTGGAAAGTTCTGTAGATGTCTATTAGGTCCGCTTGGTGCAGAGCTGAGTTCAATTCGTGGATATCGTTGTTAATTTTCTGTCTTGTTGATCTGTCTAATGTTGACAGTGGGGTGTTAAAGTCTCCCATTGTTATTGTGTGGGAGTCTAAGTCTCTTTGTAGGTCTCTAAGGACTTGCTTTGTGAATCTGGGTGCTCCTGTATTGGGTGCATATATATTTAGGATAGTTAGCTCTTCTTGTTGAATTGATCCTTTTACCATTATGTAATGGACTTGTCTCTTTTGATCTTTCTTGGTTTAAAGTCTGTTTTATCAGAGACTAGGATTGCAACCCCTGCTTTTTTTTGTTTTCCATTTGATTGGTAGATCTTCCTCCATCCTTTTATTTTGAGCCTATGTGTGTCTCTGCACGTGAGATGGGTTTCCTGAATACAGCACACTGATGGGTCTGGACTCTTTATCCAATTTGCCAGTCTGAGTCTTTTAATTGGAGCATTTAGTCCATTTACATTTAAGGTTAATATCGTTATGTGTGAATTTGATCCTGTCATTATGATGTTAGCTGGTTATTTTGCTCGTTAGTTGATGCAGTTTCTTCCTAGCCTCGATAGTCTTTACAATTTGGCATGTTTTTGCAGTGGCTGGTACTGGTTGTTCCTTTCTATGTTTAGTGCTTCCTTCAGGAGCTCTTTCAGGGCAGGCCTGGTGGTGACAAAATCTCTCAGCATTTGCTTGTCTGTAAAGGATTTTATTTCTCCTTCACTTATGAAGCTTAGTTTGGCTGGATATGAAATTCTGGGTTGAAAATTCTTTTCTTTAAGAATGTTGAATATTGGCCCCACTCTCCTCTGGCTTGTAGAGTTTCTGCCGAGAGATCAGCTGTTAGTCTGATGGGTTTCCCTTTGTGGGTAACCCGACCTTTCTCTCTGGCTGCCCTTAACATTTTTTCCTTCATTTCAACTTTGGTGAATCTGACAATTGTGTGTCTTGGAGTTGCTCTTCTCGAGGAGCATCTTTGTGGTGTTCTCTGTCTTTCCTGAATTTGAATGTTGGCCTGCCTTGCTAGATTGGGGAAGTTCTCCTGGATAATACCCTGCAAAGTGTTTTCCAACTTGGTTCCTTTCTCCCTGTCACTTTCAGATACACCAATCAGACGTAGATTTGGTCTTTTCACATAGTCCCATATTTCTTGGAGGCTTTGTTCGTTTCTTTTTATTCTTTTTTCTTTAAACTTCTCTTCTCGCTTCATTTCATTTATCTCATCTTCCATCACTGATACCCTTTCTTGCAGTTGACTGAATCAGCTACTGAGGCTTGTGCATTCATCACGTAGTTCGCATGCCTTGGTTTTCAGCTCCATCAGGTCCTTTAAGGACTTCTCTGTATTGGTTATTCTAGTTAGCCATTCGTCTAATTTTTTTTCAAGATTTTTAACTTCTTTGCCATGGGTTTGAACTTCCTCCTGTAGCTCGGAGTAGTTTGATCGTCTGAAGCCTTCTTCTCTCAACTCGTCAAAGTCATTCTCCGTCCAGCTTTGTTCCATTGCTGGTGAGGAGCTGCATTCCTTTGGAGGAGAAGAGGTGCTCTACTTTTTAGAGTTTCCAGTTTTTCTGCTCTGTTTTTTCCCCATCTTTGTGGTTTTATCTACCTTTGGTCTTTGATGATGGTGACGTACAGATGGGTTTTTGGTGTGGATGTCCTTTCTGTTTGTTAGTTTTCCTTCTAACAGTCAGGAACCTCAGCTGCAGGTCTGTTGGAGTTTGCTGGAGGTCCCCTCCAGGCCCTCTTTGCCTGAGTATCAGCAGTGGAGGCTGCAGAACAGCAGATATTGGTGAACAGCAGATGTTGCTGCCTGATCGTTCCTCTGGAAGTTTTGTGTGAGAGGAGTACCAGGCCGTGTGAGGTGTCAGTCTGCCCCTACTTGGGGGTGCCTCCCAGTTAGGCTACTCGGGTGTCAGAGACCCACTTGAGGAGGCAGTCTGTCCATTCTCAGATGTCCAGCTGCGTGCTGGGAGAACCACTACTCTCTTCAAGGCTGTCAGACAGGGACATTTAAGTCTGCAGAGGATTCTGCTGACTTTTCTTTGGCTGTGCCTTGCCCCTAGAGGTAGAGTCTACAGAGGCAGGCAGGCCTCCTTGAGCTGCGGTGGGCTCCACCCAGTTCGAGCTTCCCAGCTGCTTTGTTTATCTACTCAAGCCTTGGCAATGGCAGGCGCCCCCTCCCCCGGCCTCACTGCTGCCTTGCAGTTTGATCTCAGACTGCTGTGCTAGCAATGAGTGAGACTCCATGGGCGTAGGGCCCTCCGAGCCAGGGGTGGGATATAATCTCCTGGTGTGCCATTTGCTAAGACTGTTGGAAAAGTGCAGTATTAGGGTGGGAGTGACCTGATTTTCCAGGTGCTGTCTGTCACCCCTTTCTTTGACTAGGAAAGGGAATTCCCTGACCCCTTGCGCTTCCTGGGTGAGGCGATGCCTTGCCCTGCTTCGGCTCATGCTCGGTGCACTGCACCCACTGTCCTGCACCCACTTTCCGACACTCCCCAGTGAGATGAACCCAGTACCTCAGTTGGAAATGCAGAAATCACCCATCTTCTGCATCGCTCATGCTGGGAACTGTGGACTGGAGCTGTTCCTATTCAGCCATCTTGGCTCCACACTGTCAAATGCTTTTTCTGCATCTATTGTTATGATCATGTGATTTTTCTTCTTTAGCCTTTTGATGTGCTGAACACATCAATTCAAATGATTTTCAAATGTTGAACCAGTCTTGCCTTACCTGGGATAATATACACCGCCTGGTTATGGTGTATTTTTTTAAATAACTGTCGGAGTCAATTCACTAATATTTTGTTGAGAATTTTTGCATCTATGTTCATGAGAAATACCAGGCTATAGTTTTCTTTTCTTGTGATGTTTTTGTCTGGTTTTAGTATTAGAGTAATGTTGGCCTCACAAAGAATTTGGAAGTATTCCCAATGCTTCTGTATTCTGGAAGAGATTGTGGAGAATTTGTATAATTTCTTTCATAAATGTTTGGTAGAATTCACCAGTGAACCCATCTGGGCCTGGTGCTTCTGTTTGAAACTGTTATTAATTATTGGTTCAATTTCTGTAATAGATATAGGCCTATTCAGATAATCTATGTCTTCTTCTGTGAGAATTATCTTTCAAGAAATTGGTTCATTTTACATAGGTTATCAAATTTTGGGCATAGAGAGTTGTTCATAATATTGCTGTATAACCTTTTAATGTCCATGAGACTACAGTGATATCCTCTTTTTCATTACTGATATTAGTGATTTGTCTTCCTTCTTTTTTGTCTTAGCCTGACTGGAGGTTCATCAATTTTGTTGATCTTTTCAAAGAACTAGGTTTTATTTTTGTTAATTTTCTCTATTGATTTCCTGTTTTCAATTTCATTGATTTTGGCACTAATTTTTATTATATGTTTTCTCCTGCTTATTTTGGATCTAATTTTTTTCTAGTTTCCTAAGGTGGAAGCTTGGATCATTACTCTCCAATCTTTCTTTTGTTCTAATATGTGCATTCAATGCTAAGCACAGCCTTCCCTGCAAATTTTGAAAAATTTTATCTTATTTTTATTTAGTTTAAAATATTTTTAATTTCTTTTGAGATTTCTGTTTTGACCCATAGGTTACTTAAAAGTGTGTTGTTTAATCCCCAATAATTTTGGAGTTCTCCAGCTGTTATTGATTTCCATTTTAATTCTATTGTGGCATGAATGCAGATATTGTATGATAATTTCTGTTCTTTTAAATGTGCTAAGGTCTGCTTTATGACCCAGAACATGGTTTATTTTGATGAATGTTCCATGTGAGCTTGAGAAGAATGTGTGTTGTGCTGTCACTGAATGATGTAGTTCATAGATGTCAATTATATCCAGTTGATTAATGTGGTATTATTGCTATGTCCTTAAGAATTTTCTGCCAGCAGACTCTGTTTATTTCAGAAAGAGGAGTGTCTAATTGTCAAACTATATTAGTGAATTCATCTGTTTCTCTTTCTAGTTTGGTCAGTTTTTACTCATGTATTTTGAGGTTCTCATGTTAGGCACATACACAAAAAGATTGTGTATATCTTTTTGGAGAATTAACCCTTTTAAAATTATGTAATGCCCATTTATCCCTGATAATTTTTCTTGCTTTGAAGTCTGTTGTGTCAGAAATTAATATAGCTATTCTGATTTCATTTTAGTATTAGCATGATATATATTTCTTCTTCCATTTGCTTTTAATCTGTATATTTTTTAATAAAGTGAGTATTTTGTAGACAGCACGTAGTTGGGTCTTGTCTTTTGATCCACTCTGATATTCTGTATCTTTTAATTGGTATATTTAGACCACTGATTGTTGACACAAGTGACACTACTATATTTATTACTGCTTTCTTTTCACTACCTGTGTCCTTGCTTCTATTTTAGTCTTCCAATCTTTGTCTTCTTTTTGAGGTTTTCATTAATCATTTTATGATATTCTATTTTTCTTTTTTCTTAGCATAGCAATATACTTTTTTTTAAACAAAAAGCGATTGCCACAGAGTTTTCAATATACATTTATAATTAATCCCAGCATACCCTTAGATAATACTATACTACTTCATAGAGAGTACAAGAACCTTATGATAACAAAAGAAGCCTAATTCTCTCTCCCATCACTGTATCATTGCTGTCATTCATTTCACTTTTATATAAGAGTATATAATCGAATACATTGTTGCTATGATTTTGAACAAACTGTTATCTGTTAGATCAATTAATGATAAGGGAAAAGTTTTAATTTTAATTTTGCTAATTCTTTCGCTGATGCTCTTTCTTTCTTTATGTAGATCCATGATTTGAACTATATGATTTTCCTCTTCTATGAAGACCTTCAACATTTCTTGTAAGGTAGGTCTGCTTGGCACAAAACCCTCAATTTTTGTTGTCTGAAAATGGCTTTATGTCTCCTCTACTTTTGAAGGATAATTTCACTGGGTGCAGCATTCTAAGTTGCTTTTTTTCCCTCAACACTTACATATTTCATACCTTTCTCTTCTTGTTTGCATGATTTCTAAGAAATCAGTGGTAATTCTCTTTGGTCTTCTAGGTAAGAATTTTTTTTTCTCCTGAATTTCTTCAAGAATTTTTATCTTTGGTTTTCTGCAGTTCGAATAGGATATGCCTCTGTGTGTGTGTGTGTGAGAGAGAGAGAGAGAGAGAGAGAGAGGGATTTGGCAATTTGGCATTTATCCTGCTTGGTTTTCTCTGAGCTTCCTGAATACATGGTTTGTTGTCTGACATTAATGTTAGAAAATTCTCAGTCATTATTGTTTCCCATATTCCTATTGTTTCTTTTTGTTTTCTTCTTCTGATATTCCCACTATATGCATTTACACATTCTATGGTGGTCCCACAGTTCTTTGGCTTTTTGTTTTGTTTTGTTTTTTTCTCAGTTTTCTTTTTCTTTGTTTTTCCATTTTAGAAGTTTCCATTAATATATCTTCAAGCTCAGAGATTTTTTTTCCTCAGCCATGTAAAGTTTACTAATTAGCACAAAAAAGGCATTTTTCATGTCTGCTACAGATTTTTTCTTCTGTAGCATTTCTTTTCAATCCTTTCTTAGAATTTCCATCTCTCTGATTACATTGACCATCTGTTCTTACATTCTGTCTACTTTATCCATTAGAATCCTTTTCATGTTAACCATACCTGTTTTAAATTCCAGGTCTACTCCCAATATTCCTGCCACATCTGAGTCTGGTTTTTATACTTGCTCTATGTTTTAAAACTGTGCTTTCTCCTTTTAGTATCCCTTGCCATTTTTTCTTGATAACCAGACATGACATGATGTATTATGTAAAAGGGACTGTAATAAACAGACCTTTTGTAATGTGGTGGGAAGTTGTTGAGGGGTTAGCATTCTATATGATTAGGTCTCATTCTTTCATTAAGACTGTGCCTCTGAACTATGAATTTCACAAGTGCTTCTCCATCTCCACCCCACAAGACTCAGGTGGGACAGGTTGGTTAGAGTGGGCTGGAGCTGTGAATTTTTCTTCCCCCATGTGGAAGGCTAGGAGGTGGCTGGAGTTGGGTATTTCCTTTCCCCTAGATTGGGTAGGCTCTGATAAAAACCCCTACAGTTCAGGCTGTGCTAAATAAAATAGTTCCTCTTAAAGGCAGGTTTTGTTAAGAACAGAATGCTCTGGCATATGTCCACATGGTTTCTTCTCTTCTCCTCCTGCCAGAAGCATAGGGGAATTTTTCATTCTTAGAAGCTGGTCAAGCTCCTGGATGTAAAGCTCACAAAAGTGTGAGGGCCTCTCTATCGCCATCCTCCGACCCTATGGAGTTTTAAACACTCACATTAGTCTATAAGCCTAAAGCAATTAATCAGTTATATTTCAGGTTTCCCTACCCTGGTCCTGGTTCCCACATAAGTTTCAGTTTGGAGTTTTTCTTCCTTAAGTTCTTTGTTTCTGCCTGTCTGTCTTTCCAGTTTGGGGGGCAGCAGTTTTCCCTGTGACCTAACTTCACTAAATTTTCTAACTAAAAGACAAAGGATGGCTAAATAGATTAAAAACAAGACCTAACTATATGCTGTCTATGAGAAACTCACTTCACCTATAATGACACACATTTACTGAAAGTGAAGGAATGGAGAAAATCATTTCATGCAAATGAAAACCAAAACAGAGCAGGAGGAGCTACATTTATATCAGATAAAATAAACTTTAAGTCAGAAACTGGTAGGACATCCACATAAAGATGCCCAGTAGGTGGCTTAATAAATGACTGCAGCCCTGGATAAGTTATTGTGGGTGATGATATCGATTCAAGAGTCATCAACATATGGACAAGAGTTAAATACAAAAGAGTATATAAAATAGCCTAGAGCAGAGGTTTTCAACTTTTCTTCTGCTATGACAGATGTGAATGACATTCATATGAGACACACTCCCAGGAACATACTCAGACTGTAATGAAAACCAAACACACACACTTACAAACAAAAGTAGTTGGCCAAATAAAGCAAAGAACTCCCAAACTGTTTTTATAGATCATACTCGCAAAAGCATTTTACTACCAAAGGATCAGTAAAATCACATATTTAATTATCTTAAAACATCATTTCTTGGAGAGAAAAAAATGCATATATGGTTAATCTAACATAAAAACTATTTTGAACTATATTTTGAAGACTAAATTCAAACCCCCACAGGTAATACAAGGAAATAAAAATGTATTACTAGTAATTTTTAAATTATCATTTTATCATTAAAAAGTATAGTGAGTAGTATTTCTATTTATTCATGATATTATTATAAGTAACATTATTGCACACACTATTTGAATGATCACTTTGTCTTTGATTTGGAGATTGTAAGGACAGCCTCATTCTCATTTCTATACCATGAGGATGTAGATGCATATACATTTTCTTCATCTCTCTTTGTTATTAAAAATGTGCCCATGGATAAATCAAGAAAAGAAACATACCTATAAATCCACAGTTTATAGACTATAATATTTCAAAATTGTTATAACTCTTAATGACACATCAATAATCATAGTTCATGGATGTTTTCAGCAAATATAAAATAGGCTAAGAATTATGAGAAATTCACTTACAGCTAACTCTAATTCCATGTTTTCACACACAAGTAGGTACACACTATTGAAAAATAAATGCATAAGTGTGACATTCTTATAATGGTAAATTTGAGGTGAGTCTAATTAATTAAAAATTTAAAATTTTCACAAATCCTTATAACAATTCTTATGAGTGAGTAGTTTTGACACGTGCTATAACTGATCGTGATCCTGTAATGTGTCATGCCACTAAGATCAAGAGGACTAGGCTAGGAAGAGGACTGTAGAGAAAGCACAGAAAAATGATGATGACAAAACCGGGGACCACCAATATTTAAACTGTCAAAAGAAGATGACAAGATAATTAGCTGGAATGTAGAAAAAGAGAGAGAGAAGGGTGTCACAGAAGCCAAGAGAAGTGCAACATTCAAAGGATAAAGGGTCAACGTGTCAAAATCCTGTTGAAAGGTAAGTAAAGTTAGAAATGGCAATGATGGAGTCATTGATAAGCTTCATGGGCCCACGTAGATTACTGGTTAAAAGCATGAGCTGCAGAGCCAAATGTCTGCCATGTGCAACCTCTGTAGCCTGTGCAAGGTTCCTGATATCTTTTGGAGCTTATATTCAAGTGGGAACAAATAGCAGAGAGTAAAAATAGGTAGATAGATGATTGATGGACAGACAAGCAACACACAAGTGAACATTTTAATGTCAGGGAAAAAAATACTATGAAACAAATATAAAACCTACTGCCTTCACAGAGGTTACATTCTAAGCCGAGTTAAAAAAAAAATACCTAAATGGAATGCGAACTGCCAGTTCATGCTAAATGGTTCCAGAGTGACCTCACTGGGTTGTGGAAGTGCATAGATGAACTGACTGCGTATCTGGACTAGGAGGGTTAGGGAATCATCCAATCTTAAGGAGGGGCTAGTAGCAGGTAAGTGCAGAGGAAGGGAGAGGATTTTTGACACAGAGGCAAAACTGAAAGGTCTGTGGGGTACACTAAGCATTCCTGTTTGGCTGAAAGGAAGGATTTATGTAGAAAAATATTGACCAAAAAATAGGGAAAGTAAATTGGGGTCAGAGGGTAGAGGGCCTTGAATGAAAAACTAAGAATTTGTAGAATACCCTTAGCGTGGTACACAGACATTAAAGAATTTCTGAAATAAAAATACAAGGCTCAGAAAGATACTACCTTAAAAAGGAAAATATGAACTTCAGAAAAGAGAGAGAGACAGTAAAGTTTTAAGAACCCAAGACTATTTTATACCAAAGATTTGCCTTAATGCAAACAGAAACTTTAAAACATGCACACAGACACACATACTCTTCAAGAAAGCTCTTGAGACTTATTGGATGTTGTCCTAGAGAACCAATGATTATAAACATTGTTTTATTTACTTTTTTTTCTAAAAAGAATCAATACAGAGATACTTAATTTGTTCCATTTTCTCTATTGCACAATTAATGCAATTTCTCACCTGTCATGCCATCACTATTTAATAACCACAGAAGAGCTGACAGATGGCAGAAAACTGTGGAGAGCCAGATTTAAAGGATTCTAGAAATGTCCTTGCTGTTTTCCAAAAGAGAATACACATTATATAATACCAAATCCACTGTAGCCCTTGTTTGAGGAAGTGATACCCCTATTTTTACACTAAGAAGAGCCTTCTGAATATAGTTTTTATTTAGTAAAAGAAAAACATCTTCCTTTGCAAAGAAAGTATTAAGGAGGGGGTGAATAGTTCACATTATTCATGCTGAATTTTTTTGGTTTTTGGCTGAAATAGAGGTGTTTATAGTCTACTCACGAAAGTGATGTTTAAGCAGCAAAAGTTAGCCTTTCTTGAAAAGATGACAGGTGAAGACTCAAGATTACAGGTAAATTAGAAATTGGAAACAGCTTATCTTTTATCTTCCCTTCTAACTAAACATTACAGCCACATGAACAACTCTATTAAATACTTTTCTATTACCTAAGGCCTTTACTATGCCACTCTAAATTATCTTTCTCCCTATCTAGGAGGATTGTGTCCTTCCAAGAACTATTCATATGTTTTATTATTATTTTTCTTCAACTGCTCTCTATTTTGGAGGCTTTCTTTTTAAATAGGATAAAGCAAGAGAATCTCTTTGTGCTAATAATGAAAGGATACATGAGTCAATGAAGTGCTCTCTGGTAAAAGTATCTGTTTTAGTTCAACACACGCACGCACACACACACACACTCCACAACTGTTGTCACCAGCTCAGGCAACCATACACTGAGTTTTCCCCAAAAGTCTCTATTTCAATTAGCCCCAAATTCATAGTCTGCTATAAGGTACACTCCACATTTGTTAAACCACTGTGACCCAATTCCTATAGTAAGGTTATTATAATAACTAAAAGATCTAGAAATTAGTGGGGGCTTTCAGAAGCCAGATATTTTAGCCAAGTAGTTTAGCCCTGGTCAATATTACAAAGTAGATATAATTGTACAAACTATACATATCTGAAAATATTCTCAAAAAGATTCCCTCCAGCCTTCCCATCTCCTGCTGGCAAATGTTCTTCCTTCATTCCAGATACAACATGGCCTCCACTGGGCACCATATTCAAGGCTTGTGCAGGATGACACTTTATCTCCATCTGCAAAATGCAACTACAAGACAGCTGTTATTCTAATCACTTCATAGATAAGGAAAGTGAGATGCCAAAAAGATTAATAACTCAAAGTCAGCAGAAGATTCAATCTCGGTCTCTTCCTCCTAAGCCTGTGCTCTTTTTCCCTATATCATGCTGCTTTTCTTCTCCTGTGCTTTTATATGTCTCTAGGTGCTACATTCCCCCTCCCACCCCTATTCCTAAGGAGGGAAGGATGAGACAGACAGACACACAAACACACACACACACACACACACACACCCCATTGTAGACTTTCAGACATCTAACAGAGAAGCTGGTAATTAGGCAAAACAAAAAAATTCTCTATAAACAAGTTTCCAAATAAACATGGTTGGCTAAATGCACATAATTTCATCTGCTCCTTCTTGAAATTTCATTAAAGTTATATATTTAAGAGCTTTTTTTCCATTTTTTAAGGATTATATACCTATAAAGGCTGTGAGAATTGTAACTCAACAAAATTTTGAAAACTTAGAAGCAGATGAAGGAGTGATGACTGCTTTCTCAGATCTGAAAAAGCTGAATTCAAACACTCAGTGAGAAAAGCCAAGAAACAATTTGTTTTGCACCATGGGATTTAAGAGGCTCAGGAATTAACACCACCAGATACTTCTGACAATGGCAGCTAAATATAGGATGAAAGTCTCCTTAAAAACTAGGTATACACCTGGTTCCTCTTCCCATTCTGCCCAGTTAGATGACTGCCTCTCCACCAGCCTAGAAAAAGATGGGAGATTTATTTTCTGCACTATGGAACACCACACACAACTGAATGCAGATTCCATATTGAATACCGGGAAATCAGTGAAAGTGTATATGGCAATCAGAATGCTGAAAGATGGCTTTTATTGCCTGGGCAGGAATTTTGAAGAATATTTTCTAAGGAAACAAACAAACTAAAAATACTTAAATTGACAATCAGGTGTTTCCTGAGAGAATGAATGGCTCGCCGTTACCCCACATTGAATTTAATCATTAACAATCACATCTCCAGTTGCACAGAGCTTTCGATTAGTGTTTTATTGCAGAGCTCTTAAGTATGAGTGGAAAGCCGGGTTAAACATTTGAGGGAGGCTTCTAACATAAAAGACAAAAGCCACAGCAAATTTGTAGACAAACCCAAGAAGAAGGATGTGAGAACTCCATTAACAGAACACTTCATTATCACTATCCCTTGATTACTCACCATGATTAATGTCCTAAGAGTGAAAGGACACCATGTTCATGAAACAGAGTATGCTATGAGAAAACACAGGAAGAGAAAAAGCAGTCTTGAAACATAAAAGAGGACAACAGAAATGAAAAGGGTTACAAGATAAAGTGAACGAAGTCTCCAGATATTAGAAGAAAATGACAAATATATGTAAAATAAGAAGACAAGTATAAAAATTGAAAAATCAGAAAGTCCAGCATCAAAATAACAGGAAAGCTAGAAAAAGAAAGAGAAGACCAAGGAAAAAGGAGTAAGAGTACAGGAGAAGTCACCAAAGATATCATGTCAGAACATTTACAGACTTAAATGTTATGAATATCTAGATTGAAAAAGTCCACTGAGTGACCAACAGGATGAAGAAAATGTATACCAATATCATCATGAAATTTAAAACAATGGATTTCAAAACCAAAGATAAAAAGTCAGAATAGCATTGGGCTTCTCAAATTCCATACAGGAACCTAGGATACAATGGAACAATGCTTTCAGAATCCTGAGGAAGGAACAATGATTTACAAACAGAAATACAATACCTTTTCAAATTGCCAGTCAAGAGTGAAGGTATAATTATTTTTAAAATGTATATGTTTTGTTTGCCATGTGCCAGATAGTTTTCTTAGCAATTTGTAAATATTAACTCACTTCATAAGACAGTTATCAGAGCAGAAATTTCTCAAAACCTCATCTCCCATGTAGTCTTTCTCAGGTAATTAATGGAGAACCAAGCCAGAGCGGTCAACTAAGAAAAGTAAGCACAGTACATAGGAACGGGGCTCTCACCCGACAGAGAGGCAAAAAGGACCCCAGAGTCATGGTACAGATATATTCCCAGGACATTCACTACACAGTGAACCTGGAAATCAACCAAACTGTGGGGGAGATTTATTCCAGAACATAAAAGAGTTAATGTCTTAGAGGGTATTTATACAACTAGAGGGAGTTTGAGGATTAATTATGATAATACCATAGTAAACTAAATAATAAGATTAATAAATTAGATGATTCTTAATGACAAGAGGAACGAAGAGCTATGCAAGAAAGAAAATCAAGTATATTCCATGATTAGATTATCAATAGCACACGCACAATCGTAATAACATAAACGATACTAACCTAACGAGAAGATATGTGGAGAGGTGTGTAAAAAAATGAAAACTTAAAAATATCACAAAGTAGCAAAGAAATGTGCTATTTAAAGATCTGAACGAAAACACCAATTGAATCTGTTAAAAGCATTGAAAGTGGTTGCCTCTAGGGATAGGAAATAGGGAACTGTTTCCAAGGGATTAATCTTCCCTATAAAACTTTCTAGAACTGTTTAGTTCTTTAAACTACATGTATGTAGAGACTTGAAATTACAAAATAATTTCTCAGTGTTCATAAACAGATTTTTCCTTTGAGGCAGTACTGCATAAAGGTTAAAAATTAGCAGATTGCTTGGGTTTAATCCTGGCTCTTTCATTAATAGCTACTTGACCTTGGGCAAATTCTTTAATCGCTCTCTGCCTCTGTTTCCTCTTGTGTAAATGCAGGTAGGTAATAGTATCTTCCTCACAGAGTTTTGTGAGGGCTAAATATATGCAATTTGAACAGTGCCTAGCTCAACATGAAGTTTATGATCATAATTAGTCGTACAAATGGAATATTTGAGGGTATTTTAGGTCCATCTAAATAATAAAAGAAATAAAACTAAAGCAACAGGACATGTAGAGGGGAACAACACACTGGAGCCTTTCAAAGGATGGAAAGGGGAAGGAGGGAGAGGATCAGGAAAAATAACTAATGGGTACTATGCTTAATATCTGAGTGATGAAATAATCTTACAACAAACCTCCATGACACAAGTTTACCTATGCAACAAACCTGCACTTGTACCCCTGACCTTGAAATAAAAGTAAAAAAAAAAAAGGCCATTTCATTTTATTTTCACCCAAATTATCTATACTGGCCCAAAATTATGATTTAAAAATGTCGAGGAACCAGCAGACTAACATTCTAAGTAGCAATGATTTATTAAGCAACCCTTTGATAACTGAATACAGTTGCTAACTATGATCACTTACTGAATTTCTATTCAATAAGGTATAGAGGGTTCTTTAATATTACCTCCACTTAAAGAATATTTATAGCCCTTAATATTCTAACCTCCCTCCACTTAATAATTTCAGAAATTGATAGAAAGTATTAATATGTCTTCTAAAGGAAAAATGAATTAACTTCCATGTATAATTCTCTCCTTACCAAAAAAAAATATTTAAAAAGCTGTCTTCATATTTTGTGAGCTCTGGCTAATTTTTTAATATTTGTAAAGCCAATATGAGTATAAGTTAAAATTTATTCTTCTTCAGTATGCCAAGAAAAAAGGAGAGGCTCCTCAATAACCCTCAAGACATAATGTCATTTTCTCTCCTGTGGATGAAGACTCTCTATCTGCTGAATATTTATTAGTCTGCTGGGTCACCTGCTAGAAAACAGACAATTCTCCAGCAACTTCAAACACTCTTCTTCACTGAACTACAGTTTGGTATGAGACGTCAAAGGATAAGAATGTGCATACCTAAATGGTCAAATGAAGATGAATGTTCCATATGGCTTTTGCCCCATACTGCCCAAGACTGTGTTAAAAACTAAATACATCAGGATGCTCTAAGCCACTGAAGAGCCATGTTTGCCAGTCACATTATACTGGGCTTCTCTGGTTATACAAAGGGACACCTAATGAAGATATTCTGTTGATATAAAAGCAGTCTCATGGACAGTAATCTTTCTATATCCTTAGGCAGCCACAATACTGCCTGTCAAATATAATTACCAGCAGAAGAACAGAAAACTAACACTTACCTATTACCTTGTTAACATGTCCACAATGAGCCAATATGAAATGAACATAATAATGGTGTCATTTGTGGGGAAAAGCCTGAGAGACATGGTTTATAGTGCTCACCAAGGTCTGAATGTCAGAAAGAATATTATGTGATAAGACTATTTTAACATGCAAATATAATGGGCCAGGTTTTCCGTTTGGTTTCCTGCTATATCCACCACATCTAGAATAGTATTTGGTACTCAATAAATATCTGTTCACTTAATGAATTGAGAACTATGCTGAGTTGTACTTTAAAGGTGATTTATTAATAAAATATTTGGTGGTAATTTTGAGTGTACATAAATCACATCTCAAATTTATTGCTCACATATGACCCTACTCTAAAACATGATTAGAACAACTCTATTTAAATTCAACTTAAATGCAAATCTGCTTAACAGGGTGAATTGCTTCAGTCATAAAGACTGGGTTCCCAAAAGCTATGCAAGCTAATTCTTGAAAAAAAGTCATTTTTGAAAACACAGAATAAAAAAGAAAAAGGTCTATGGACTATAGTGGTCTAGAGAAACTCCGACTTAGTATTTTGCATCTTCTTTTTTTTCTCTGTAAAACACCAGTGTAAGCATGTCACTTTTGTGTTTTAGATGGATTTAGGTCCAAAATTCTTAGTAGGGCATTCAAGGCTTCCTGGCTACCGACCCCAGTCTGTCTATTGCAGCACTCTTCTTGGAACTCTTTTCATCTGCTGTCCACTCACATTGCAACTCAGCACCATCACATGATATCCTGTTCTCCAAAAGGCTGAAAAATTGTATTTCCATAACTTTACTCATGCTATTCCTCTGCCCCAAAAGTCTACCCCTCATATCCATTTGGCAAAGTCCCACTTGTCCTTTGAAATTCCCAAGGAAATAAGGCCACTTCTCTAAAGCCTTCCCTGACCCCCTAATTATAGCAAACCACTCCCATTATGCTTTATAATAATGGCTCCCTTAAAGCACAATAGAATTGTACAGTTATCAAACGTTTCTCCATCTAGATTATAACATCCTCAAGGGTGGAGATGGTGTCTCATTCATGCTGAGTCTCCAAAATCTAGTACAGTATTTCTTATACAATAAATGCCCAACAAGTGTTTTTAGGTGTTACCTCAGCCATTTTTGCACTGCCCCCCTCCCGCTTCTATAGGAACAATATAAAGCATTCTTTGTCAAAGACAAAATTTACCTTAGGTTTATAGTCTTCTTGTCTTAGGGACGTTCTATTTTTGCTGGTCTGACTACTGGCCTACATTTGACCCTGTGACTATACTGTTCCTGGTTCTCTATTTCCTAAGCTTGGATCCAACTCTTGCTTCTCTAAACAATTCCATTAGTAATAATTATGGCTACCATTTTCTGAACCTCTATCTCTGCCTATGCTTCACAAATTTTCTCACTTAATCTCTAAGCAACTCATGAGATTATAAAAATGGATTCATAAAGTGTAAGTATGATGGTTAATTTTATGTGTCAGCTTGACTAGGTTATGAGATGCCCGGATATTTGGTCAAACATTATTCTGAGTGTTTCTGTGAGCGTGTTTTTTTGATGAGAATAACATTTTGAATCAGTAGACTGAATAAAGCAGATTGCCCTCCATTACCTAGGTGGGCCATATCTAATCAGTTGAAGGGCTGAATAGGCAAAAAGCTAACCTTCCTACAAATAAGAAAATTCTCCTGCCTGCCTTTCTTCAAACTAGTACAACAGCTCTGCAAATTTAGGACTTGCCAGCCTTCATAATTGCATGAGACAATTTCTTATATTATGTAATAAATACATAATATCATAATTATTAACCATAAAATATGTTGATTTTATATACATTCTATTACTTCTGTTTCTCTGGAGAATCCTAATTAATACTTTACCAAGACAACAGTGCTAATTAGCTACAGAACTAGAATTTCAATTGAGGTCTGTTTCCACAGTCCATGCTTCAGCAAACACCATCCATAGGATGTTATCAAGAAACAGCTTTTCTTCTGGCTCTGACACTGGAGGAAAAGATTTTCCCTTGTCCTCAAATGAAATCTTGGCCTTCAGCAAGTCACATAACATTTTTTTCTCACTCTCAGATAACAGCAAGTCCTGTGGACAAATGTCCAGCCCCAGATAAGAATCCAAACCTTAAACTTGCTTCAACATCTGATTTTAACTTCTTCTCCACTTCGGGCGTCTCCTGTAGTTGAGCACTTACAGTGAGACAAAGAGTCATGGTCCTTTCTCTCTTCCCACCAATGTGTCTCCCTCTTCCCCACGTTGCTTTTTGTTTTCTTCTGCCAGGATCAGATTGAGGAAAAGAGACTAGGAGAAAGGGATGTATCTTGCTGGTTGGTACATTTGTCACTTAGGGTAGGATGCTCTGGTGGCAGATGAACAGTTGTGGACACTGTCATGGATAATCCCCTCCTACCATTAAACTGGCATGAGCAACAGCTCTCATTCAGGTGGCCACTTTAGCCACAACTCCTGGTTCTCTTTCAATCCATTTGTATTCTCACTGTACTATTGCTTCTTTCAAGCAACATTCTTGACAAAGAATGTTGTCAAGAATGTCCAGTCCAGCATACTGGCCATGGGGAAACATCTATGACTCCTCTAACAGTTTGTTGGAATGTTCAGGAGTTCACCTTTACTTCCCCTCCAAATCAGTTCATCAGTGTGTCTCTCTGACATACTAGGTTGTCTCAAGAGGGGCTCAGATTCCAGTTTATTGTATCACCAAACTTCATACAACATAGATGAGGCTCTCCAAGTGATCTGATTGAAGATCTCCCAGGCCTGATCAAAAGGAAGGTGCAAGTCCACTTGCAGATGAAAATGTGAGGCTCACAGGACAGATTCCTCTAGATAAAGTATTATCATAAAATCCTAACTACATTTCCTTGAAATTTCCAAATCCTTGAAATAGATGAGGAGCTCAACATCATGAAACTAGCTTTAAAATATCTACTTCAGAATGCCCACTTAGTGGTGTGGCATCTCACTTTGAAACTGCACATAAATTGTATCCCAGGGCCACACTGGAACATGAAGAGTTCTATTCTAATATATTCTTACAGTTGACACTGTTCGTCCCTCCCCTACATCTCCTTGGGTCTTACCATTTTGACACACACCTGCCTGACTTCCCACTGCCAGCAACTGCATCTCTGAGACTGAGGGGAAGCTCTAGGAACTAGTGCTAGGAAATTAATTTTCCTGTGGAGCAGCTACGTAGCAGTGACATACTGCCTGAGTGAGATAAATTTGGGTCACATTTTCCCAAAATTTCCTACCAGGATTGGGTTCCTGCTGTGCACAGCTGTAACCCACTTCACTTGAATGAAGTACCCAACACTGGATGTCTTGCCTTTCCTGTCTCACTTGCCCATTGCCCTATACCCGTGCTTCCGGTGCTCACCTCCCAGATACAATCTATGAGCTCAAATCCTTTTCTCACAGTCTTCTGGGAGAGCCAGACACTCACACTCTTAATCATTCTTCTGCATTGTCATTGTCCTTGCCTCCACAGTTGCACCCAGAGCAAGAACTTTGAAAGACAGACACTATGTGAGTAGTCACATACCTACTGTGATGGCAACAGCCTCCACATCTTAACAAAAGTGAGCATTTTTAGGTCACTGGCAGTTTGCCAACATGAACACAGCTGACCCCAAGAAGTCAGGATGAGACCTGCTATATAATTCCAGGTAAAGAAGCAGTCAAAGCACAATGATGACCTTAAGCTACTTATGACGTGAGGCCAAAGAAAAATGCCAGTGCTAGTAGATCCAAGAGCAGATCTGCCTTCCAGATCTTAATTGTTGCCACTTGATTTGTTTTCTACCTGGCTTCAGACTCAGATCAGTAGCTCTTCAGTTCTGTTAACTACACAGTGCAGAAATAAATCCACTAAATGTAGCATTTATGTGCTCAAGTCAAGTTGCCCCAATCTTTATGTCTATCTTTAGTTCTCAGAGAGAGCAAATATACATTATATAAAGATTGCTCAGTAGAGGTAAAAATTACATATCATATAGGTACAAAGTGAAAGAACCTTGGAAAAATAAATGTCACAAACATGAATGGTCGTGTTGGACATCCATTCACTGAATGCTCTTTATGGACCAGATGGTATGCTAGGCAATGAAGGTAAGAAAGATATTAGGTCTGTTCTTAAGAGAATCACAGCCTGGGAGGGGAGACAGCTACATAAAGACACAATATGATATATATACCGAGTGTTAGAATGAAGGTAAGAATTGTCTGCAATGGGAGGAGAAAGGAAGAAACATGTTTGAGCGCTAAAGGAATTTAAAAAGAAACATTTTCTTAAAAAGTTGAAACCCAGAGAAAATTCCAAGCAGAAATACCAGCAAGTACAAAAGTATGAAAATAGACAAAGCAAGAGGTGTTCCCCATTAGAAGTGGAAGTGAGAAGAGTAAAAAGTGAATCTGGATAGGTAGGCACAAGCTAATGAGACCTGAATGAATTGGGTATGTCTGAAACTTTATTTTTTCTAGCATATTTCTATAATCAAATATAAAAATAGAAGAAATATAATCTGCAATCAGGAAATGCAATAATTAAATTGTGTTAGGAAATGGAAAGGAAGAGGAGACACAGGCTGATTACTGTAGAAATGTATGACATGTAACTTCTTTAGCAGTACATCTTCATTTCCAGCTTTCGAGCTATACTGAAGTTGTTTTTTTCTCCCCCAGATGTTTGCCTGAATGCAATCTTGCCAAATTGCATTCTAATTCTTCCTCCAAAGCTAGTGCACACAAGATATTTTTCTAAGAAAGTTCTGAGTTTAGTGGTTAGCTCTGTAGTAGATGATTCAAGCAGAAAAGCCTATTTGCCTTACAATATATCCTGGGGGTTTCTTAAGGAGAGTTTCTCTGCTTTTCCATCACTAAAAGAACAACACAATTACTTTCCTGGGAAACAGAAATTTAAAGAACACAGGTTATCAACAATCTTAAGAAAGCTGAGATGTCAGATTCAGAAGTTCAGCTTCTGTGGACAGACAAGATAAATGTCAACCTCAGCTTAACCTCCGGGGGGGAAGATGTTGTCACCCGAATAGTTCTTTTAAGACCACTCCACCCAGGGTTAAGGATATTCTCACTTGGCTCCATTAAAGGCCTCAGGACAGGGCATGGGACACCTAGTCTCTTTGTTGTTAATTTGGAGAGTGCATTCTACCCTGTAAATTAGCTCATCCTAGCCCAGCATGTCTGTCATTTCAGATCATTACCATTCCCTCTGCTCCCTCTCATGTCACACAAAGGTGAAAGAATATGCTTCTGGAAGGCAATTCAATGAGTGTTTGAAGGCTGTGGGGCTTGCTCAGCTGCTCTCAAATGTCTCTGAACTCCATGCAACCACACTGTATCCCCTCAGTGGCCATCTCGGCACAGCTGGGCTTTTTCAGAAATGGCTGTGAAATGTACTGTGAAAAGAAGAGAGAGCAAAACTCTACTTAATAGCAAATAGAAAGCTCACCAACTAGATCAGTTCAGCTTGGTCTTTTCATCAATGTTCACCAGTGTATCTGCCACCTGAACCGCCAAGGACTTACTAACAAACACAAGCCTGGCCAGAGATTTTTGAAAATGGCTGGTAGACAAACACGAATTTCCAGGCAGTTCCACAGATCTCAGCTCCCTCGGGCATGTGTATGTTAACTCTCCTGCTGTCCAATTTCAAATCTCCTTTCTGACCCATCCCCTTTTCTCCATGAAGTCTTTTTTTCGTATAAATTGAGCAAATGTTACCTTAACATTAACCTTTCTCATGATACTTAATTTATGCCTTTGTTTGCTGGGCATTGAATTTTTTAAGCCACCTATTAATTCATTCTGATGGTGCAATTTCCATAATGTAATTTCTTTGGTAGAGAGGAAATGGCTTTTTTCTATCATCATATTTTCTTCAGGTACCATTATGAATGTTCTATTTAGTCTTGCAATTAGTCTTATACTTAACATATGCTGACTTCACAGAGACACATTTATTATTTTCATTGCCTAATGCTATGAAAAGAAATTCTTGGTGTAGATCAGTAGCCTATATTTTTCAGGCAATTTTGATAATTGAATGACCAGGCATATGGAGAAGGAGTAAGCTCCATATACATGCTATGCTCTTCCCTGCAACTGATCCACAGTGTTCCTTTACATGGATTTTCTTTCTCTTTTTCACCACATGTCCCTCTGCAAACCTCTGACTTTGTTTATCTGTCTCATATCTGCATCCCCTCAGTAGTCAACTTAAAAATAACTTCTTCAAACCTTCCTAGTCCTTCAAATTTAAACTAAGAGGTTGAGGTTCCTCCTTTCTCCATTGGAGTATATCCACACTACATTGTTTAATTGCCTTGATTTGCTTGTTTATAGCCCTCACAAAATTATAATCTCTTCAATGGCAGAAGCTGTGTTTTTTTGTTTTGTTTTAACCGTCACATCCCTGCCTTTAGACATCTAATATATCCTTGGCTGACTGACTATTATAGAGTGAATTATAGAATGATCACATGTTCTATCCCAATTTGTCTAATATGGAACTGGCTGTTTTGCCAATGAAACCAGTAATAGCTCACTCCCAAAAGTATCACAAGTTGGATTAATATATATGGTTGCCTTTATGAGCAATACATTGGAAGAAGAATATATTCCATATTCAGAGAATCTGCATTTGAATCTGAGCTCTAGTATGTCTTTGTAGTATGACCTTGAGCAAGTTACTTCCCTTCTTTAATCCCAGTTTCATCATCTATAAAACAAGGTTGAAGACAGTATTTACCTAAAGGGTTATTCTTAGAAACATTGGAAAATGACACAGTGGAAATTACTTTGAGAACAGGCAAATTGCTATGTAAATCATAATTACCACTCTATCACTACAGTATTAGTATATACAGCAGTATATACAGACAGATAAAAATAGCCATGAAACTAACAAAATAGTCTAGAAAGACATCATGGAATAAAGAAAAGATTTCCAAGAATTAAAGAACTTGGGTTCTCAGCCTCATTCTTTCATTAAGAGGTTATAGGTATGTCCTTCCCCCAGGGCATCCTGACCTTTAAATAGGAGAGATGATCCCTAAAGGTCATTCTAGCTCTAAAATGCCTGGTTGTCTACAAATGAGGTGTTTTCCACCATTTCTTGATAACCCTTAACCACAGAGACATTTGATTACTTACAACAATGTAAATTTTATAAATTTACTCAACTATAAATACTTCAAAGTAAAGTATAGACTAGGCTACCTCAACTATTAGCAGTTGTACACTCCAAGACCATGAATTACTAAGTTGTAAAGTTATTAATCAGGGGTAGGTGCTGAGAGGCCACAGAATGCAAAACCATGTTTAAGTTTAAGTAATAGAAAGCTGCCTTCGAAGAGATTAGAATCTAATATTTGAGACTTTTGTGTTATTCTTAATGACCTTCTTACTTATCCTGAGTGTTTTCCTTCTTTGGATAGCTCTACTAAAAGATTAAACATATAAATGAAAGCAAAACCTCAAACTCCACGTTTGATCAGAGTATGAGAAGCTTCCATTTTAGTTCCATTTCTGATTAATTCCCAATTATAAATTCATTACAGAGGGACTTGATAGCTTTTGACTAAATTTAGCAAGGGATATCAAAATATATCTGAGCTCATTTTGAGGTTCAAACTGCTATCCTAAAAAGTATAACATGCCATAATTTTTCAGATGAAAATACCTTCCTTTAGCTGCATGAGATTTGAAAGAAACTTACGCATGGTCAAACGGGAGTGTCAGGCACAACTTGGTGTCAAGTCTCTGGTCTGTGCTTCTGGATCCCTGATCTAGCTCCATTTTTTATCCCATTCCATGGATCAAACCTGACCTAAGGCACAGGTATACCTGCCCCCAAAACCAATGTTACAATAGGAAAACCAATTGGATCTACCCATTTTACTCAGTGTTTCTTCCTTGGTCCCTATTCTCAAGATCCTAGTTACCTAGCCTCTGTAACATACCAGTGAAAAGAAAATGAACTTTGAAGTCAGACCTGAGTTCGAATCTTGTTTCTGCCATTTACTAACTGTGTGACTATTGGTAGCTACTAAGTCTCTGTTGTCTCATCTATAAATAGAATAATGAATGTCCTTTGGAGATTTAGCAAGAATTAAATGGAGCAGTGTGTGTAAACATGTGACACAGTCTTGCGTGTAAACACTCCATATGTGTCCATTAATTTCTGTGTGTGCCTGTGTGCATTCAATGAACACAACCCTGTTCTTTCATGAACATTAATCTTGTTCTTGCCCTTGATTTTCCGGTAGTCTGAAGCTCTATCATTGAAGTTGTTCCAGAACTTCATCTTAGTGTATGTAACATAACTACTCACTTACAGACCATCTTGAAGCCAAAATCTGCTTGGTTCATTGAATATTTCCAACTCCAAAGTCTTCTTCATGGTGATCCATTCCATCGCCTTGAACCTCCTCATGTCATTGCCAAAGTTTACCTGGACTATGATCATTAATTATTGATTCCCTTGGACCCTGGATTTGCCCACCAGAATGAGCACTGCCTGGTGGTAACTTCAGCTTCCTTACATCCTGATCATTTGTCCCTAAATATTCCTACCTGGTGGATCTAGTGCTGCCCTGTCCCATGAAAGTGGTCTGCACTTGCTGTTGATGGCGGGTGGAGGTGGGGGGCTGGGAGAGAGTGTAGTATGTTACTGGAACTAAATTGTCTCTAACTTCATGTGATTATATTTGACTAAGGAGGGTTAGGCTAGTTAATAATGTATAAGATTATGGATTTATATGCTTGGATCTTCAATTGCATATTTGCATGATGTTCTATGCAACTATACAATGATGATTTTTAAAGAGTCTCCTTTTATATTGGGGGAATAGAGGATCTGAATGCCCTCACCTCAGAAATTCTGTGACTAATCTCTGGGTGCTTAAGTCAGACCCTGACACTGTCCATCACATACTGTCATACAGGTATCTAGATAATGTAGGCATGCTGTTTTTTAAAAAGTAAGTGTCCTTAGCAGTAATTAAACAGATCTAAGTGGTAAACTCTTATAGATGCTTTCATGCTTAAAGTCTCAGTATATCTCAAAAACCTCCATTTTTATATCTGATAATGCTTTTTTATATATGCCTGATAAATGGCATTTACATTTGAACTAGACCTCAGATTCCTCATTTAAGCATTCAGAACCGAGGACTCAAAAGGAAAAGAGAATGCCACAAGAACGTAGTGGGGCTTAGTGACTGAGCCAGGACGAAAACCCAGTCCATATGGTTTACAAATTCAAGAGCTTCCCAACCAGAGTGTCAAGAATAGGGTAAGGTATGCTGAGCTACTGATCCCCTCAAACCAGCCTGGCCACCTTTAGCAGTGAGAAGCCTCATCTATTTATTTCCATGTACCTATCAAACATTATAATTTATATGTGTATCATAATATAAAAAGGTTTGGGATTCACTTATTTCTCTTTATTCCCAACATTTATAATCTGCAATGTCAAGGAATAGAGTGTTTTGCTCAAGATAATACAATTTATGGAATGATCTGAATTAGAGTCACTGGTTTAATCTTACCCAAAGGTTGACTCTTTTGAGTTTGTTTGTGTTCTAAATTCCTATCAGCCAAAGACAAAATATGACAACTTTCCTTATCTATCTAGGTGATTAGGCTATAGGCCTTCAAATCCAGCTGGCAGCTGATAAGAAATCAAAACACCATTCTGAAGAAGAGGAAAAAGATATTTCAATTCCAACAGCCAGGAGCAAGGAAGAGCCCTGCAGGTTTTCAGGATGGTGTAAATGATGCAAAGTGGTGGCTGTGTCATAGCCCTAAACTGAAAGGCCCCCGAGTGGAGTGGAGAGGAGAAAAGTACCTAAAAAGCCCACATATGCATTCATACAATAAGTAACTGTTACTTAGAGATCACTGCAAATCAGGTTTATGTTAAATAACTGCAAATTACTCCTCTACACAGATCCCTGTCTGAATCTTTTAATATGTGAAGATGCTTTTTGAGTAGGATCTGAATTAACTTTCCCAGTACTCAAAGAATGAACCCTTATGACACTTTTAAATAGTTGCTGGTTTGTTGCCAACCACATTAGCAAAAGTACTGGTTACTAAGTAAAAAATATTTTAAGACTAAATTACAGTAAACATGAAAGCTCCACAGTTTAAACCCAATATAAATCAACCATATCCAATTATCAAGTTAAAACAAAGAATATTAACTCCTGAAAGCTGAAAGCAAGATTTTTTAAAAAACATCACCAATGGGTATTTTAGACTTTTGCAGTTTTTTGTCCAAATCTTCTTGATATTGTGAACTGTACCCCTTCCAGTTTAGTTTCTTCTGGACTTTCCTTACTTAACTGACAGTTACCTTTTAAAATTTGCACACATTATGATTAAAATTGGGCCTCTACTGTGATGATTCCTATTTCCTCTCATGTTTTAAAGTGCAAACTAACATTCAAGTGAACATTAGCATCAAGTAATGCAGACATTTGTATGCATTTCCTTGATTCAATTTGTGACCTTACCAGTTTTGAATTGGAATTGCACCATTTCGTAGATAAAGGAAACTAAGTATATTGCTGCACTTTTAAGTTTTCAAAATAGTGTTTAAAAATTGCATTGTTTTTATTTTTTTTAAACTCAGTTTAAAAAGACAAAATGTTCTTTCAAAAGAGGCATCTAAATGTGTTCCTAATTTTGTATATGGGCTTAGGTTTTGTAACCAATAAAAAAAGCTGCTATCAAATATGAAAAAAAAAATAAGTAACTGTTTTAGTGAATAAGAAAAAAAAACCTTCTTTCAAGAATATATCTGTTGAAATTGATAATAATGTGGTCATGCCTGAGGGAAAAATGCATAGGTTTTGTAGTCAAACCTACTAATTATTCTTCCATCTAAAACACTGTCTTCCCTTTGGCTTAATAATAAGAACCTTGATCACCAGATTTGCATAATCTCTACACCAAATATATCTCACCCTCATAAAAATACAATGATTTTCCCATTAGGATATGAAGGATTCTTACTGCTTTTCTTCACATAGAAGCTGAGTTACCCTACAAGCAGTTAGTGCTTTGTTAAAAAATGACAGAAACTGATTAAATGGGGTTAAGCAAAACTAGGGGGTGGTCCTGACTTCAGGCAGGGCTGGGTATAGAGGCCCCCCAGCAACAGTATCATCAGGATCTGGTTCAACCTTATCCCTTTATTCAGTTCTCTCTGTTGGCTTCCTCCTCAGACAGCCTCTTCCCTGTCATCATGTTCTTCCAGATTCCCTCCCACAGTAGAAAAATGAGACTCATTGTCCAATATTACCAGGATAAAAAACAAAAACAAACCTACTTTGATTGGCTTGTGTAACAGGACAAATCCTGAACCAGTCCTTGTGGCCAGGAAAATGCACTGTTATAATGGTCTTAAAGAAAAGTTATGAGTTCCAATGCTAAATCCATATGGACTGAAAGCGAGCACGGGTGGGTCCCAGAAGGAAATCGAGAAACATTTAGCAGCAGGGTAAAAGAACGCTGGGTGGCAAAAAGTAACAGATGTCCTATTCTCCACTTGAGCTGTCCTTGTTTCCTCACCACCTACTTTCTCCTCAATTCTCTGTAATCCAGTTTCTACAGCTATCATTCCCCAGACTCTACCTCAGGAACCACCATTTGAAGGCTGAGACTAATCTAAACAGTGGCCACAAACCTCTGATTTCTTGCCATCACCCAAAATGCAGTCCATCCCTATATCCACCTCAATTCAAACTTACAATCAGATACTGCACTTCCTCTCTCCTGCTTTGTTTTGTCTTGTTATGTTGTTTCTTTTCTTTTCTTTTCTTTTTTTTTTTTGACAGGCTCTCACTGTCACTCAGGCTGGAGTGCAGTGGCATGATCTCGGATCACTGCAGCTTCGACATCCTGGGCTTAAGCAATCCTCCCATGTCAGCCTCCTGAGTAGCTGGGACCACAAGGTGCGTGCCACCACATCCAGCTAATTTTTTGTATTTTGGTAGAGATGGAGTTTTGTCATGTTGCTCAGGTTGGTCTTGAACTCCTGAGCTCAAGCCATCCACCAGCCCTGGCCTGCCAAAAGGCTGGAATTACAGGCGTGAGCCACTGCACCCGGCCTCCTGCTCTTTTTTGTACCAGAGATACTGGCTATAACTTTTAAAATTTCTGCCAATGGGAATGAAATTTCTCTATACCTCCATCTCTTCAGAGAATGCTTCCTCCACCGTCCATATGATGGATTGCATATAAAATGGTGGTCCCATAAGATTATAAGGAAGCTGAAAAATTATAATGGAGCTGAAAAATTCCTATTGGTCATAATGTCGTAGCCCAGTGCATCAATCACATGTTTGTGGTGATGCTGGTGTAAACAAACCTACTGTGCTGCCAATCATATAACGGTATAGCATATACAATTATATACAGTACATAAGAGTTGATAGTGACAAACAGCTATGTTACTGGTTTATGTCTTTACTGTGCTATTGTTTTTAATCATTGTTGTATAGTCCCACTTACATATTTTAAAAAGTTAACCACAAAATACCCCACGTAGGTCCTTCAGGAGATATTCCAGAATAAGGCACTGTTACCATTGGAGATGACACCTCCATGCGTGCTATTGCCCCTGAAGACCCTCTAACGGGACAAAAGTTGGAGGTGGAAGACAGTGATACTGATGATTCTGACCCTGTGTGATGTGTGTGTTTTTGTCTTCATTTTAAACAAAAAACCTCAAAAGGTTAAAAAAAAATTAAAAATAGACAAAAGCTTATAGAATAAGGCTATAAAGAAATTAGTTTACAGAGATGTACAATGTGTTTTTTAAGCTAAGTGTTATTGCAAACCAGTCAAAAAGATTTTAAAATATAAAGGTTTATAAAGTAAAAAAGGTATAATAAGCTAAAGTTAATTTATTATTGAAGAAAAATATTTTAATAAATGTAGCGTTGCCAAAGTGTACAGTGTATATACAGCCTACCATAGTGTACAGCAATGTCCTAGGCCTTCACATTCACTCAACCACTCACTCACTGACTCACCCAGGGCAACTTCCAGTCCTGCAAGCTCCAGTCATGGTAAGTGCCCTATATAGGTGTACCACTCTTTATCTTTTATACCACATTTTTACTGTGTTTAGATATTGATATGGTTTGGCTGTGTCCCCACCCAAATCTCATTTTGAATTGTAGCTACCATAATTCCCACATGTTGTGGGAGGGACCCAGTAGGAGATAATTGAATCATGGGGGCGGTTCCCCCATACTGTTCTTGTGATAGTGAATAAATCTCGCAAGAGCTGATGATTTTATAAGAGATTTCTCCTCTCTGGCTTGCCACCATGTAAGGTGTGCCTTTTGCCTTTTGCCATGATTGTGAGGCCTCCTCAGCCACGTGGAATTGTGAGTCCATTAAACCTCTTTTTCTTTATAAATTACCCAGTCTCGGGTATGTCTCTATCAGCAGCATGAAAACAGACTAATACAAATATGTTCAGATAGACAAATATTACCATTGTGTTATAATTGCCTCAAATATTAAGTACAGTAACATGCTATATAGGCTTGTAGCCTAGAAAAAATAGGCCATATCGTAGAGTCTAGGTATGTAGTAAGCTATACCATCTAGGTTTGTGTAAGTACACTGTATTATATACATATAACAACAAAATCGCCTAAGGACACATTTCTCAGAACATATCTCCATCATTAAGTAATACATGACTATAATTAGATCCATGTCCATGCTCGAAATGTCTGTATCCTTTACAGCTCTTTCCATTCCATGGAAAGCTTTGGCATTCTCCAAGCTTGCTAATGCTGATATCTACACACATGACAATTTCAGTGTTACATAAACCTTTTCTTGACATCTAACCTCCACTCTAGCCTAAACTACATAGCTGATTGCCTCAGACATCCTTTCTGCACCTCAGTTTGCTCACATATAATATGGAGACAATACTTCTGCCTTCTTCATAGAAAACTGGTATGATTTAAATGAGATACATGCTGTAAAGTTCTTAGCCCAGTGCCTGACATATAGACGCTCAATATATATTAGCTGTTATTACTGTCATATGGGTGGGCTTGCAGGTATATGGTCATACTTTACTATATCTGTATTATTTCAACATTCTTTGAGTCAAAAAAAAACAATTTGTATTAAATGGAATAATTTGAATCTGGTGGACCAGATGATTGCTGTCACTATTCTGATGCCCAAAGACACATCCAAACAGAGACTGAATCTAAAGTGCCTGTGCATTGAGCAGGATCCTTATTTATTGACTCTTAATTTTCTTAGTACAGCTTAAAACCTTCCCCTTCATAACATAAATACCTAAAGGTAAGTCTAAGAGAAAGGTATTTTGTAATTACTGAGTTCCTACTATGTGCCAAGCAGTCAAAATAGGTAATTTCACTTAATCCTCACAACTATTTTATTGCATGTTTTCCTCAATGAACATTTACTAAATAACCCATACATGATAAGCTTTGGGACACAAAGATGACAAGGATACATTGTCCGCCTGCCTACGCCAGTGAGGGAAACAGATTAAGCAAATTAACAAGTACAGTGCAGTGTGAATAAATGCCAGGACAGAGAGTGATATTCTGGACACAGAGTAGAGGTGAAAACAAACTGCCTTAAGGAGGTAAAACCTGAACTTCATTTTGAACGACAAGGAAAAGCCAAATAAAAATGAGAGAAAAGATATTTCCTTCCAACTGAGGACACAACAGCTAAGAATTTACTGTGTACAAGCACTGTGCCAAGCACTTTATTTATTTCTCATCTCATTCTTATAACCTGAGGAAGCAGGTTCACAGAAGCTTGTGTAACTTCCAAGGCCACAGAAATTGCCAAGAGCTAGAGCCCAGCTTTGAATACAGGCAACTGACTCCAAAGCCTCATGCATTTAACCACTGAGCTATTTCACAGCAGGGAAGAAGGGAAGACTTGGAAAACTATGAGTAGTTTTAGTTTGACTAAAATACAGGTTTTGTGTGGGGGAAAAGGAAATGAGGCTACAGAGGCAGGTGAGAACTAAATTAGGAATGGCCTGTGTATCCCACTAAGAAGTGCTAATTCCATCCTCAATGTAACATGTAAGAAGGATGCATGGCAGGATCTTAAGCATGGAGTCATAAGGTAGATAGATAGATACCTAATGGCAACAATTTATATGCCAGGATGTGCCCTAAGCAGTACACTCCATTTAATCTTAAAAACAATCCATGGAGATAGACACAATTATTATCCCCAGTTGTAAAAGTGAGGCACAGAGAAGTTAAGTGACTAGCCCAAGATGGCACACTAGCTAAGTAGAAGAGCCAAACTTCCAACCAAGCAGTCTAGCTCCAGAAACCGTGACCTTCACCACTCAGTCACCTTGCTTGCAGGTAGAACACGGACAATCTCTCTGGCTCCACCTATGTGCTAGATGAATTTGAGAGTATCTATCCTGGAAGAGACAGGCAACATGGGAAGACAATATTCTTCAGGCAAGAGAGCAAACTCAGAGAAGTGAGGAGACTTTGCCCCAGATCAGACATGTGCCAGAGTTGGGATTTGAGTCCAAGAGTGTCATATTCAAAAGTCCTTAAATTTATAATGTTTGGGGATGTGTACTGCTAATTCAATTTCTATAAAATTATTCCAAATTCTAAATTATCTTGGTCTACATTGAGATTTTATTCTCTGTACATTCAGCATTCAAGTATGATCCCACTAAGTGCTGTGCTTAAGCATGTCAGAAAATTATCCACAAATTGCCATGTTTCCCTATCCTCAAGAATGCATGGGCTCTTCTCTGTCTAATGGCTGTAAGAGAGCCTGCAGAGCATGTCACTATTTAAAGTTAATAAGCATCAGCACAGTGAGCAGATCATTATGAAAATCATTATGTCTGCTCTCTCATGAACTGTTTTTAATATGAAATTGATCTTAAAATGCAACGAAAGTAAATGCTATAGATTTGTTGTGTTCTTTTTTCTCCTACTCTCTTATCTTAGTAAAATTTGAAGTTTAATGAATGTTACTCATTTCTATTCAATATCTGACTTTATGGTGAAGTTCCATCCAGAGACAGGAAATGTTATGCTGTAGAAGGAATGAGGTATTCTCAACCTCTGGTATATGGATTCCAGCTACCTGTCTGCTTAATAAATGCTACAATGTTGCATCCCACCAAAAGCCAGACTTGGGCTGCTCAACATAACAAAAAAAATAATGGAAAGTACCATTTCATTTTAAGGGTGCCCTGCTGCCTCTCCAGAGATCACCCCTTTGTGTGCTTAAGGGTGCAGATTAAAGAGTGTGCCTTTTTTTTTAATTAATTTAAACCTACACTGAAAGTTTTACAATGGCTATGGTAGCCACTAACCACAGGTGGCTGCTGAGCACTTGAAATGTCGCTAGTCTGAACTGAGATGTGTCTAACCTGTGTCTAGTATCTTTCTTATGGCAGCTTCTAAAAAATTTTAAATCACATATGTGGTTCACATTATCTTTCAGTTGAACAGTACTGTTCTAGAGCCTTTACGTCTTCTACTAATCTCATAGCATTCACGTGTTATGTGCATGTGCGCATTTTGCTTTGTTTTGGTAAAGATACAGCGAGTCCTCTTCCAAGAAATTCATTACAATTTGCTTTCCTTCTACAAATACAGTCTTCAAAGAGGTAACTTAAGTGAAGATACCAAGACTCAGTTTTCTTATCTGTAAAACAGAGTTTGCCCACTAGACCCCAAAGATTGTTTCCTAGCTTTAAGCAGTCTAGGAGGCTGAGTCAAAATCATTTTCTACCTCATCTAGTTACATGTGCAAAAACGGCCTATGCTTCAGAAAGATATGAAAAATTCCTCATCTACACATGCACTTATTTAAGCAAAGTATTCATTTTATGGAATTTTAATATTCTACCTACAAGAAGTATACCTTAGATTCGTTCATTATTCCTAATAAAAATCTAAAATAAATTATAAACTGTTAATAGATATGAATACTTGATTTTTTGCCATATCCCTGCCTAGTATCTTTCAGAATATACCACATTAAAAATGGCATCATCCTCAAATGAGTAGGGTGATAGAAAAACACAGCCTGAGGGAATTCACATATCATTCTCTGTTGCAAGTTTAAAAAGGACAAATTCCCAAGTTGGGGGAAAAATGATCACTAACAACAGGAAGGGAACTGTCATATGGACAAGTGGGAATCAGTTATGTAAGTAATAGGATTATGAAAGGTCCAGAGCTCAGGTGGAGTGTTATTCTATTATGTCACTAGAAGTTTCACTCAAAAGATATTTAATGATTGAGTTCCTTGTACTACTTCAAGTGACCCATAAAGCAGTTTCTCAATTTTCCTTAAAACTGGCAGCATCAGAGGCTTAGATAAAAAGCAACTGTCTTTAATTTGATTGAAGCCAGAGAAAAGTGGTGATGACACGGTTGGAAGGGATGAGTTTACTCAAACAGAGAGTTATTTAAACTCTGGATATTCACAGTAATTTTTACGTGTAGGCCTACAAGAGATCTTTACAGTGTATCAGGCAGAATCCATTTCAGAAATACATGAGGTTTATTTTCTACAAACAATAATGCAGCTAATTTTATTCATGTAGCATTTTATTTACAACAGCAGTGTAGCAGAGGCTGCTGGAACCAAACAATATCTGTGTTCTCCCCTGCTTCCTGGGCACACATAGCTTCTGTTTTATTGTTCGGTGTGGCCATGGACTGAGTTCTGGCCAATTCAATGCAAGACAAAAGTGATAGGTGCTGCTTTCATAATGGTCCCTAAAAACCTCTCGTGTTTGACCTTTTATTCTTTTCCCATCTTCTGACGGAGTGGTAAGGATTCTGAAAACCAAGAGGTTAGAGACACAAGATAGAAAGTGACTGTATTCCTGAATCACTGTGACACACAACCACTCTCACCATTAGCTGTTAATGAGAAATAAATAATATTGTGTTGGACCCACTGAAGTTTTGGAGTTTATCTGTTACAGCATCTACCATCATTTACTTATCTTTAACAAGCAGTTTCTCATGTGTTCATCATTTTACCGTAAACATTTTCTCACTTAGGAGCTGAGAGTGAGAAAAAAATTTGAAAATGCCATCATATCTATTCACAGACAAGGAAATGTGAAACAATAGGTCATTTGACTGGTTTATTCTCACAGGACAAGGTGTAACACACATGTCCTTGGAAGTAAACGTCTAGCTGTAAATGACACAATTAGGCAAAAAAAAAAAAAAAAATAGAAACAGACATCGAATTCAGTCGAACCAGAAGATGGCTGTGTTTTAAAGATGAAACACAGCTGAATGAACTCTACTATAAGCATATCTAACTTTATTGCAGAAAGCAAACAGAGTGGCATGCATAGGGCTGAAATGAAAAAAACAAACACATAATTCTGTTTGGGGTAGAAATAAGTAGAAATGTGAAAACAGGCAAGTGAGAACCACACACATTCTACTGGTCAGTCCTAGTTAAACATTCCACCAATATCTGATGGCAGAAAGACTACAGTTAGCACTACCCCCAAATTATGCTGACACTTGTACATTATTTGTAAATATTTTTAAATTTATCCTTTGTTGCCTTAAAAAAGACCTGAGTCAAGAGAAGCCTCTTGAAGCATCTGGACCAAGCAGACCCAGTAACAGTACTTGGCGTAAGCCTAAGCTAGTTTACATAACATAACAGCCATTAAAAGGTAACAGATCTATTTAAGCTAACCTTGCCTTACAATATGGCACCCAACCAGGTGAGACAGTTCTTTGGCTCTATTTAAGGCAAATACTCTGCCCATAACCTGAGCTGATGTGGACATATCAACTAGAGCTGGCTGCCATTCTATAATAGTACCAGCTGTTGAATACTGTGAATATTTTGCAAATAACTGCTACCCAAAACAGATCATAATCCAGTAGATAGCCTACATATTGACAATGAAATATTTCAGTAATGTTTCCTAAAGTCTCCTGGTCCATTGAGAATTGTTACTAAGGAAAGGAAAACAATCTTATTCTGATTGCTTGAGAGAAAGTCAATGTTTGGTAGCCTGTTTTAAAATAAAACTGACTGATATATGTATACGGCTTTGCTAATCTTATGGGTCATTTCAGATGTGACAATTATGGTTAACAAACATCTATGTAACTCAGCAAAGTGCAACCTGGAAATGCACTCAAAAGAATCAGCACTTGTCTAAGTGTCAGATTTCCACTCCCTCTGAGATACAAGCTGATCTGATTTAACATGTTTCCCTTAAGCCTCTAGGGATGTAGTTACTGTCTACTGGGCTGCAAACTTTAAAAGGTAAGCGCTGACTTTGGAAAGTGATGGAAAGTGTTTTAAGCGCATCCAATAGACTCCCCCCTCCCCCCCCCCACTAGAAAGGCACTTGAAGGAAAGGAATATTAAAGGCTAGGACAAGACTACGTCAAGGTGCACCTTGTTAAGCCAAAAGAACGCAATCCATATATTGTATCTTGTGCCACAAAAGTCCCTTTGCCTTGCCCCAATCTTGTTAATGTACTATTGCTGGGTTCAAGACTGAAAATACAGCTTCTGTGTCTACTTGCAGTCCTTTATCAAACTGATGAGCATAAATGTCTCTAGGTAACTTAGATGAGATAATTAGTTTTATTCTCTAGTTTGAGACATATTTTTCAAAGAAAACACTATCAGACCTTTAAGCGTAACCTTCTCTGGGCCTAAATACTCTTCCTTCTCTTAGAACTAAATTGGAATTAAGAAGTTCCCCCTCCCACTTCAGGATTATAACTAATACCCCCACATCTAAATTTAGTATCAGTATTTGTTGGTAAGCATTTTTATGACAGAGATTTTGCAAAACAATTTGAAGTTATTTTAACATTGCCTAACACTGCAGTTAATAATCATGTTAACAGTACTGCCAATCTACTTTTACAAACAATATGAACAGTTCATCTAAAATACGTAGCATTTCTGGGGGTGGAATAGTGAGGATGGGAGAAAGTCCTTATCATTTATCTTCTCCAGACTTCAGGAGGGAATGGTAGAGGAATGATTGCTCTGAATTTCTTTGCTTTTGTACCCAAGTAATAGCTTTTGCCCTTATGAGGAGGAATGTCTATGTGGCAAGCATGATGAAGATTGGTTCATGTTTGCCAGAGACCATGGCTCCAGCAAGGCACAAGCCATTCCTTTTCTTGGACCTCCCACACTCATATGTGATCCCCAAAACTTCCCATTTCTACATTATCAGCAGAGCAAATATCTCAATAGGTCTCTGCATCACCTGTTCCACCTTCTCCTACAACTGAGAAGTGAGAAGATGCCAGCCCTGCAGTGGGGTCTGATGGTCCCAGAGAGCCAAGAACCATCTATCTTGGTTCACTTGATTCAAGAGAACAAAGATAGATGTGGGACTGTGATTCCCACACTGTCCCATATCTATCCCCTACTGAGTCAAATGTGTAGAAGTGGAGAAAAAAGTAATGATACCTCATACCTCCAACAAGCAGTGGTAGGGTACTATTCCATTTTTCTGGAACAAAGTGATCCTGAGTTTATTTATGGCTAAAACTTAAATGGCCTACAGAGAAATGTATTCCATGCTGCTTCAGGCTACATATTAGAATACTGATCTGAGTCTCACGAATGTTTCCCACTGGTCACAACTAGGCCAGCACACATATGAAAAGACAATGTCTACTCAAGAGCACATGCCACACTTGGGTGGGTAGATGTATATGGCAGTATCTTGGATCATAAAGTTTGAATTATTGATTTTTATTTTTTCCAACAAATAGTGAGACGATCCATCCCTGTTATAGGTATGATGGGAAATATAGTAATGTATACAACATATGTTAAAAAGGCAATGAGTGCATTAAATAAGGACACAAAATGACTATCATATGCATAAATAGGTGTGTATTATATACATAATGTTTATGAAGTACCACAGAGCAAGAAACACCATAGGTTCTAAGAGAGATGTAATGATATCAGGGAAGATGGTAAGGAGAAAAATTTCAGTGGATTTTTCATCGTGCTAATAATAATATTGACAATTGCTAATGTCTACTGAGCAACTACTGTGTTCCAAACACTAACCTAAGTATCATAAGTGTATTATCTCATTTAATTTTTACAGTCACGTGAAGTAACTACCCTTATGGTTCTCCTTTAAAGATAAAGAAACTAAGGTTTAGAGAAATAAGCTTATGTGTTGAGGTATGTTCTTTTACAATCACCTTTCACAGGTGAAGAAAATTGAATTTTTCAACAATTTAGTCACTTGCTGAAGTCACATAGCTAGTAAACAGAAATATCAAAATTTGAACCCAATGTGTCTTCCTCCAAAGCCCATGCACCTAATGGTTATAATAGAATTCTCTATCAGCAACAACTCTTACAACAGCCTCTTCAGTTTTCCATCTTAGTTAAGAATTGGGTCTTCTGCCACCCACTCAGCAGAGGCCATATTTTTCTTTATAATTCTTTGAACCTCAGAAAAAGAGGGTGAATACTTTTTGTTTCCCATTTTCATTTCAAGACTACTTCCCTTTCCTCCAGCAAAGCCCCTTTCTCCTTTGAAGCTCATTTTGCCACATCCCCCAACCTGTGCCTCTCCACTACGACCTCTCATTTATTAAAGTGTCTCTTCTCTGGTCATCCTTCTCAGTGATTTCAGCATCAGTCCTAACATCATTCTTCAATATATGACTGCATTTAATATTTTATTGAGAAAATAGAAGTTATCATATTATAATATCTCATCTTTGCACCATCAAATCCACAGCCTCCAAAATTCTACATCTACTTTTTTTTAGGGCAATATTCCATGGAGAGATGATCATGGGTTAAACTAAAGCAAAGTTATGGAAATGAAAAGAAATAGTTGTATTTGTGATATTCTGAAGGGAAACATGATAGACTTGTTGATGTGTTGATGACAAATCTGAGAGAGAGAAATCAAAGAAAATACTTAAGATTGTTTTATCTGAGCAACCTGGTCAATGGTAATCCCATTGTTTAAGATGGGCAAGAAGTAGAAATGAGAAGTCTACTATGTGAAGAAGGAATCAAGGATCCTGTTTGGTTGTGCTAGGTTTGAGATACCTGTAAGGGATCCAAGTGGACATTTCAAGTACGTGATTGATTACATAACTCTGGAGAAATCAGGGAAGAGGTTGGGACTGAAGATATAAATTTAGTAGTCATTAGCATATAGATGGTATTTAAAGCTGTTATATTTGGACACAATTACCTAGGCAAAGAAAAAGAGAGAGAAAATGTTGAGCCAGTACAGCATTTACTGACTATAAAGAAGAATCCATCAAATAATCAGAGGAGGTACCTGAGACAGAAGGAAACCCAGGAGAATATAAGGATCTCTGAAATAAAATGTTTACAGAACAAAGGAAAGATTGATGATTTTAAATGCTTCAGAGAGGTTTAGTTCCATTCAGACTATAGTCTGATCATTGGACTACCTTTGTCTTTTTCCAGTTAGATAACCAGAGCCTAGCATAGTGCCTGGCCCATCATAAGTACACAATCAATATTTGTTCAATAACTTCTATGATGACTGCCTTGATTTATAAATTCATTCCGGCAAGTAAAAAATATTTAATGATATTACACGTGGGCATTCTAACAAGAGAAAAAAAGATCGAATTATAAAACTAAAGAGAAGAGGCACATGTAAGAAAGAAAGACTCATTCAGTTTTGTGGAAAAGGGATACTTGAAAATAAATCTAGAACCATGTTTTAGAGTCCTTTTGTAAAGAGCCTTGAATATCTTGGAATGTTGATCATCCCAAAGAGACTTAATCAGAAAATTAAATGCCCGGGGTACTATACAGAACTAAGTAACAAGAAGAATTACAGAAAATGTATGTTGTTTCTTTCTACCTTGATAACATTATTGCAGATCCTACAGTCTCAAGGTACAGGTAGTTGCCCAATTTGAATGTTCTGGAGAATGAGTGGGGTGGCTCAGCCATAGTCCTGTGCCTTGCCCTCCTGGGAACTAATTCCAGGTTCCCATGGACAAGAAATACATTAATAGCTGAAGGCTGTATCATAACAGATCTCAGGAAAAGGGGTAAAAAGCTATAATAAAATATTTGGCCAATATATCAGTAAAGATCAGCCTGTAGATGTTTTACAGATTTGAAGGATGTGAAATGGCCAATCTGCAGTCCCTAAGTCATGTAGTAAAACTTTGTTTACATTAGCCTTTCTTCAAATGGCAAACTATAGGCAAAAGTATGTTTCTTCCAGGTGGCTGGCAGGCCTTCTTTTATTTCTTAACGTGTGTTTAGTAACTTGTCATGTCCCCCATGTTGTCTTGACCGTCCAGCATGTTCAGTGCCTCCCAGCTCTAAACCTAGCTCATATTATAATTGCAGAATAACTGAATGAGTCTAAAAAGGGTCAATAAAGAAGATTTTCAAACAGACATTATGCAAAAAGGAAGCTAGACTTAGCCTAATTATTGCCTCTCAAATTAGGCCAAAGGATTTTATCATTTCTGGTATAACTATATTTAGTGTCTATAGGACTTTCAGCATCTATAGGCATTAAACATAAAATAGAATAAATTTTCTGTATGCAACAGACAATGTCTTTGAACTTAAATAGCAGGTCCACTGATGATTTTCCAAAACATTAAAATATGTAATACATAAAAATTTGCTTCACAATTTTAATTTGTCTTTGATTTTTCAGAATAATGGTGTAGATTCTGCAGTAATTAATACACCAAGCTACAAGAGCAGGTTGATTTGCATTAAATCAACTGGTCAATTCTCATTTTGCATCTATGTATTTACTGAGCATCCATTATGCACAAGGTTTTGTGTGGTAAAGGCTGAAATATAAACAGCTAAGTTTAACAAGACATAATACATTGAATACTACAAGCAAAATTCAGAGGACAAACAATTTATTCTGACTCAGAAGATCAAGGAAAAATGGGATTTGAGCTGGACTGTGAGGGATGAATAGGATTTCAGTTGGAAGAAGAGAGGATAGAATTAAGCACTCCAGTATAATAAATGATCCCAAGGAGAGGGAAAGGGCCCATGAAATCATCCATCTGGCCTGGTCTGTTGGGAGAATGATTAGTTAACTCTCAGGTGTGACTGGCAAGGTAATGGGGAAAGATGATATCATAAGAGATGAGGTTCAAACTATTCATATGGGACTACATGTCACAGGGCCTTGAGTGCCTTGCTAATAAGTTTAGACTTCATTCAAAAGAAAATAGATTAAGAGAAAAAAAATTGTATGTTTTTCCATTATTCTGTAGCCCACTCCTTCAGTCTATGTCCATTTAAGCATGACATTAAGGCTCTGCATACTCTTGACAAACTAATTCTTACCATTGTATGTTAAAAATTTGTATCCCTGTGTTAAGAGCACTTTGTGATAACTCCTTAAACTTAATTAAAAGGGATTTTTGTCATCCATGTTCACATCAATCTTGTCTTTACGCTTATGATTTATGGTCAAATCATCTAATAGTTCTAAAGAAATTCGAAAGTCAAATTTCTTATATAGTAACATCACCTGGTCCAGTTATTTCAATATGACCCTTAAGAGAAGCTTAAACACTACCAAAGATATACCTCCCCGCTCCATCAGTCTCTATAGGTGGGAAATTTTAACTGGCTCTAATTATAATGAGCATAGTCCACACTTGCTGCAAAGATTCTTCTGATTGATTGAGTCCGACCCTAAGCCACCTCTAATCTACCTGTTTTCTGACTTTATAAATCAATCCTATGTGGGGTACAGTCTCAAATCCTTTCTTAAACTGTTATGAAATTGCTCTATAACCAGAGGAGCACTCTTAGAAATATGCTTACAATCCTCCCGTTTTTCAATATGAATGTGTTTTTACAGATGGACCTGGCCCTAATTGAGCCAAACCATCCCCTGATATCAGACAGTCTTGCCCCTCATCATTCTTTCCAATATTTTGTCTAAATAAAGGCACCTAAGGGCAGACTTTTAGATTGGCACCTTCCTGAATTCTTCCTCATTACATTAACCATGTTTCAAAACTATGTCTAGAGTGCTGTAAGTACTTTTGCCAAAGGCTTCCTATTCCACTTGCTTCTTCAAACTCCCCAAATTTCATCTTCTCCGATTCACAGCCCAGTAGTTTATAAAGTTTATTATCCTTGGTGATACCTTACTATAATAACTTACCTTTCTATTCTCCCTCTCCCTCTCCCTTTCTCTCATATTGCCTGTGAGCCTCTGAAAAACAACTTTGTACATGTGAGATGTCTATTTGACTTATTTAATTCAGGATTGTTTACATCTTTAGCATGATCTGTCACATTACTCTTTCTGTCTATATCAAACCTCTGGCCTTCTGCTTCTGGCTTTCTGTGTTTTCCTTGTACACAGTTTATCCAGCAACTCATCAAACAGAAACTTCCAGGAAGCAGCTTGTCTGCACATGCACTCAATGCAAACATACTCATAATGAATGGTTTCAGAGCACTACAGGATTCTGGAGAGCCTTAAAATAAAGATTTCACCTATGTTCCTGGAGTTTCTACAGTGACCTGAATTTTACTGTAGTGATTTTCTTTGAAAGGCAGTCAACGTTAAAGTTGGTTTGAAGATATCTTGAGAGAAGGGGAGATACTTGATTCAACTTCCCTGTCCCACGCCCAATCATGGTGCACTGGTCAGGGAGTGAGAAACCCCAAAGTTGGTGGGCCACATGAATATACCAAGTGGCAAGATGGGCCTGAAGCTCCTACAGGGTTAACATTCACCCCAAAAATATCCCCAAGCCTAAAGAAGCAACATTAAATAGCAACTACAAAACTCCACGACAGGAGAAGAGAGAGATCATGGGAAAATTTCAAAGCTTTGTATTTCAGTATCTTTAATTTGCAAGTTTTTCCTGCTTTTCGAACTAGGAGCCCATGCTTGCATTTTTCTCTGGGTTCTGCAAGTTACATAGCCAGTTTGCCAGTGGATTTCTATTACTTGCAACCAAAGGAATCCTAACTAATGCATATGCTTTACACATAGCTCTGTATTTTGGGTAATTCTTTTCAAGCCTCTTTCACGCGAGATAATACCATTTTGTAAATGTTCCGTTGGGTTGGAAGAATTTGTTAAAATCTTTCCCCAACACTAAATGGTGAAATCCCTGGGGACTTGTCTTATTTATTTTTGCTCTTTTGGTGCCCAGACACAGAATTCACACTCACTGTATGTTTTATAAATAAATGTTAATATTATCAGTCATTAAGACAAGAATGCTTTCAAAGATCACCACATCCTATCCAGAGCTAATGACAGATAAGAGAGAAGACATAGTCTATCAGCTGCATATTGACAACTGCCTAGTGAAAGCTCACTTTCTGTTTTGGCATTAATGCAGGACTGGGAAAGCAGATAAACACTCTGCTGCTGATAAGCCTAACCTTCATGTCAGGTAATGCAAATCTGACTTGAAACTGTTTGCAAGCATTTTGTCCATTTAAACTCAAATGCCAAACTATTAAGCAAAACATATTGTATAGTTTCAGAATGACTTTAGTCTATTTATTAAATATGTGAGCAATTTTTAAAAAAATTCTAGGTTATCATTGTATGCTCTCTTCCCTTTCTATTTTCTCTTTAGTTTCTAGTTAGAATACAATGTGTGAGGGAGAGAGTTAAATGATAAACAGCCAAGAGAGGAGGAGGAAATAAAAAGAGAAGGAAAAGGAGGAGGACAAAGAAAAGGAGGAAAGGGAGGGAAAAAACTAAAAGCAGTTCCACTAGTTGAGTTAAATCAGATTCAACTACGTCTTACTTAAAATTTACTTGTGAAATAGAATAATGGCATCAACTTCTCAAGATTATGGTGGGAACTAAATGAGATAACATATATATGAATACACACATCAAGGTGTCTTGCACATACTTAATGAGAGTTTTTGTAGCTGAACAAGTATTTTCCATCCAAAAGAAGAAAAGACGCCTTACATGGGCATCGACCACCACGGAAACCCATCTGAGAGAATTCACACCAATTAGTATTGTTTCAGAAACTGATGTCTTATGTAATGCTTATAAAAAGGCATGTTAACTATTTACTTCTAACCAGATTTAGTCAAGTCTATGAACAATACCATGTCTGCCTAGAAAAGCTTTTCTATATTTAACACTTAAAAAGACTTAGTTCTGCTGAGAGCAGTGCCTCATGCCTGGAATCCCAGCCGTTTGGGAGGCTGAAGCAGGCAAATCACTTGAGGTCAGGAGTTGGAAACCAGCCTGGCCAACGTGGTGAAACCCCATCTCTATTAAAAATACAAAAATTAGCTGGGCATGGTGGGGCACATCTGCAACCCCAGCTTCTCAGTAGCTGAGGCAGGATAATCGCTTGAAGCCGGGAGGCAGAGGTTACAATGAGCTGAGATCAAGCCACTGCACTCCAGTCTGGGTGACAGAGCAAGACCCTGTCTCAAAAAAATAAAAAGTGAAAATAAAAAAGACTTAGTTCAAGTTGTCTGGTTATTCTTGTCCAACTCCCACTGTAAATGTTTCAGTTACAAGGTGGCAAAGTTAACTATAAAATATATGCCCTGAAATTGAGACACAAATTTGGTTATTTCAGGCAGAAGGCCATAAACTGCCAACCTCCTCCTCCTCTTTCTTCTTCTTTATTATAAGGCTAATACTAGTCTTTAGTTTGTATAGCATTTTACAGTTTAAAACACCAAATATAAATTCCGTTAGTGATTCTATGCAATAATACTGTTAGATAAATAGGGAAAGTAATACTAATCAATTTTTTTTTTTTTTTTTGAGATGGAGTGTTGCTCTGTCCCCCAGGCTGGAGTGCAGTAGCATGATCTCGGCTCACTGCAACCTCTGCCTCCCAGGTTCGAGCAATTCGCCTGCCTCAGCCTCCCGAGTAGCTGGGATTACAGGTGGACACCACCACGCCCAGCTAATTTATATATATATATATATATTTTTTTTTTTTTATTTTTTTTTAGTAGAGATGGAGTTTTGTCATGTTGGCCAGGCTGGTCTAGAACTCCTGACCCTCAGGTGATCCACCCGCCGCAGCCTCCCAAAGTGCTGGGATCAGGTGTGATCCACTGCGCCTGGCCTTAACCAAATTTTAATATGTAAAAATATAGAAGTTACAATTCACCAGTAATGAAAGCCAGTGTAAAGAACCAGTAGTGAAAGAAGGTGTGAAGAGTACAAGCTCTTTATCCAATTGTTCAACTATACCACATTGCTTTCCCATGCAGCATTTATAAAACACAAGACTTTTCCTTACTGAGGTCAACACAATTGATTATGACAATCACTTTAAGAAAATTATTTTCCCTAATTCATAACTTTCAAGGGAAGATATGTTTCCCCTCACAGTCTGCGGACATCAGGAACATTATTTAAACTCATATTTTTTCACAGCTGGACTTACAAAATTCTACGAAGGTGAAACCACCACTTATCACAATGGCAAGAGAGGACTCGGCAAATACAAACTCACTGGACAAGGGCAATTAATATTATTTTATGAGGTAACATAATTCTGAAAAAAAGTGCATTAAAATCCCTATGTTGCTCCTCAGATTTATAGCACTAGCATGCAGGTACCAGCAGTGGGCTTGATAATCCCTGGAATTACATTAACGTTTTTGTTTCCTTGTTTTGCTTTGGAAATTTCCTTAGCCTTTTAAAAAAGCTGAGCACTAGTTTATTTGCTTCAGGGTACTTTAGAAAAAATACGCACAAATATTCACATATAAAAGACCACTGGAAGAAGTGCAAATAACATGGAGTTCATAGCAATAAGTGAATTTTCTTTTTTCACACACACATGGGCAATAAGGTGACTAGTTTGCATGTTTCCAGTCTTTATGTATTTACATAAATATGTATATAGATATTTATAAATATTAACTTAGATATTTGATGATACTATATTGTTCTGAACTTGAATTTATTTTATTTTTTCTCAAAAATATGTAGGGTATCTTTCAATGTGATGTGTACATGTATGTATGTGTTTGTGTGTGCGTGCGTGTACATACAAATGTTTAGAGTTTTAAACCATAGCATTCTGCTCTATAAAATTCATATGCCAAGATAAATTTAATCATTCCAAGACTGATGGATATTTTGGTTGTTTCCAGTTTTCAGTGAATATAAACAGTGCTGCAAAAAAAATTCTATGCACATTTCCCCCTCTTCATGAACCTGTGCTTTTTTAGAATAAATTTCAAGAGGTAAAATTGATGGAATCAGTAGAATACGTACTTTGAATGTTGATAAATTTTGTCAAATTGCTGTTAAAAAAAAATGAGTTTTACCAATTTACACTCATAGTCATGTATTAGGCTTTCTGCTTACCTCACCTTAACCAACACAGAATAAAATTGATCTTTTAAAATTCTTCCCCAATCCAATCCATAAATATAGTGACTTAGTCGTTGTAAATTATTTTTCACTCATTACCAGCATTTCATCCCTGCAGAGGAATACTGACAATGTGTTTACTATGTATCTTTGGGCAAGTTATTTAACCTCTCTGTGTCTCAATCTTATCACTTCTAAAATAAGGATAATAATACCTACCTCATAGGATGTCTTTTGTTTTCTTGTTCATGTTGCCTATTTTTTCGTTATGATTGTGCCTTTCCTCTTTGGTGATTTGGTGAATTAACACATAGTGAACAAGCACCTACCGTGTGCAAGTCACACTCTAAATGCCAGGGACAATGGGGGGAGAAGATCAAGTGTTCACTGTCATGGAGCTTACATTCTAGTGGGGAGGCAGATAATATCTAAACACCAGGGACAGTGGGGGGACAAGACCAAGTGTTCACTGTCATGGAGCTTACATCCTAGTGGGGAGGCAGATAACACAGAGATAAGCAAACACATAAACCTGTGATGTTCTGTCAGGTTGTTTGTGAAGAAAAAAATCAAGCCTGGTGTGGGCTAAGAAGTACTAAGCGTACTATTTTAGATAGGGTGGTCAAAGAACATTTCTGTGATGAGGAGACATTTGAGTAGAGACATGAAAGAAATGAGCATTGTGGCTGAGGCAACAACAATGCTGAAGGAATAACAGGGACCCAGTAGGCTGAGGTAAAGGGATTCAGGGTGAGAGGAAAGAGAGGTGTCAGCTGTGAGGAGCCAGGGACCAGATGCTGAATGCCCTCATAAGCCAGAAGGAGGAATTTTATTTTTATTCTAAATGCTAAGGGAAGCCAGGGCGCTGGCCTCTGAATTGATAAACTGCTCCCAGACGCTGAGCAAGGCTAAAACTGTAAGTTTCCTACCCAAGCAGATACCTCAAGTGTGGACAGAAACAGTGTCCACTTGCCCTTGGGGAAAATCTCACAGGAAAGAAAAGCCAATATCCGCAATCCAAGCTTCCCTCACAAACTCATGCCAACAGGCAAAGCTGAACAGAGCCATCAAGTTATGTAACTGTGTCCCTGACCCATACCTATACCTTTTTCTTTCAACTCCAAAGCTAAACCTGAAGCATTTTTCTTTTTCCCTGACGCACAGTACCCTTGCCAGTTGATAAACCAGGAGCAGGAACCCTGGCTGTGTTCCACCAAGAGTTACCAAGAAGGTCCGACGCACAAGTGCCAAGAGCCCAGGCAGAATGGCTGCTCACAACTCAACACTAAGGCGGCAAGCCTACCTCTGCAGATGGTCCCGTTCCCCACGTAGCCCGGTTTGCAGGTGCAGCTGTGTCCCTGGACAGTGTTGGTGCAGATGGCATTCTCATCACAGTTGTGCTGGCCGCTGCCACATTCATCGTGTTCTGTTTCCAGGGTGAGAGAAAAAGAGAAATACTTTTTCTTAAGTTGGAATTACTGGTATTGGGAAATGTAGCTGGAATTCACCAAATAAGAATGACAGTGACTACCACTTGTCAGTACCTTACTATGCGCCTAAAAGTTCCTGTTGAAATCTAAACTCTGAAAGAAAGATGTTATTATCCCTACTTTGCAGGTAAAGAAACAGTATCAGAGAAGTCAAACAACTCCTGTCCGTCACACAATTGGTAAGTGCTGCACTAAGGCCGTTGTTTCTTCCACCTTCTAAAAAGGTTTTCACAGAGATTCCAAGGTAATGGTTCTTAGTAGGGGGAATTTTGCACTGCCTCATCCTGCAAACATTTGATATGTCAGAGGGTGTTTTTGGTTGCCATGATTGGGAACAGGAAGTGATACTGAAATCTAGGGAATAAAGGCCAGGAATGCTGCTAAGCATTGTACAATGTGCAGAAGAGCTCAAAACAACAAAGAACTAGCCAGCCTAAAATGTCCACAATGCTGAAAAACATCCACAATTGGAAACCTTCCCCTCAGGTTACAAAAAAGAGGAGAGGAAAGGAGGGGAGGGCAGGGGAGGGGAGGGAGGGGAGGGAAGGAGGGGTGGGAGGGGAGGGAAGGAGAGGGGAGGGGAGGGGAGAGGGGAAAAGAAACAAACCTATATGAGAGATTGCATGGCTTCTTTAGAACAAAGAGGATAAAACTGCAGAGAAAGGCTGGTGAATATAGCCTAGCAAAGGAGAATTTCCCAAAAAAATTTTTGAAGGAGTACCACTGGTCACAGGGAAGGCTGGCGAGCACAGGATTGTGCTGAGAGTAGGAAAAGGATTTACTCTGAGGCCTCTGTTTAAGGGCCTTCAGCAGTTTAATTTTCCATATAGCCCACTTTCATAGGGTTCAGAATCTAACCTCTGCGTATCTGCCTGCCATGTAGTGATATGGGTTATATATATTCAGATAGCTGTGGCATCCTTGACCCACAGGACATGGAGGGAAACCGATCTAACCCTAGAAAACAGATGAAAAGATTCCAAGTTAGAAACTAAGGTTTCATAGATAACTATAATTTCCTCTCACACTCAGCAAGTTAACGGAGTTACCCAAATGACTCCTCTATAACTAAACAATATGGCAAAGTTTATATCCTTTATTCCTTTTTAACATCTGCTAGCATAACTTCTCACAAATTTTAAGAAGAAAAATCCAGTAGGGCCATTCAAATCATAAATAGTTATAAAACAAGAATAGAAATTCCAGTTAGAAACCTCAAGGAAATAACACTAATTGGAACAAAACAAAAAATTCAATATAGTTTGTTAAGTGAATTATTCAACCAATGTACCAATCATTTGAAAAACCATCAATCTTCATTTATTTTTATTTTAAATTTCCTAATGGGGACCCAGTAATGAGAAAGGTTAAATCCTACAAAATAGGACTGTTTTCATCACACACACACAACAGAGGTAGGGCACACACATGCATCTGATTGTTGATTTAATAGTTGAATTTTCCAAATAAAATTTTTATTTAGGCCTTAAGACCAACCCAAACTGTCAGCAAGAAATGTGCACAGGTTAGCAAACGGTGAGAAAAGAAGATAAGATTTCTGAGGACACACTTCAAGTCTGTGCTTAAGTCATCTCCGGCACACTCCAGAAACAGTATACCCTTGTGCATGTCCACTCGAATTTACAAACCTATCAAGTACCTAGTATTTGCAGGTGCAATAGCAGACAAGGTTAGAAACATAAAAAAGTCTAAGGATTCAGACTTATACTCCAAGAGTTTTCAGCCTCCTTCTTTAAATTCATTTAATAAATAATTATTATGTTCTGTACTGGGAATACAAAGATGAGTAGATAATGGTCTTTGCTAGCCTGAACGTTTTAATAGGGGTAACTAACCGGAACACAGAAGATAAGTGATAAGAGTTATAAGTAGTTGACCTTTTATTTTATCATACAAAAGGAACATATTTTAGAATGAAAGGGTGCTCTACTAATAATTACACTGGGATAACAAGCATAACTCAGAATGACCCAGGCAAACTAGCATGTGTGGTCATGCTAGATAAGAGGAATAAAGATAAGCTAGACTGAGAGTTCATTGGAGGGAAGAAATTCCTTCTAATGGAGAGAAGAGAAAAGTCCTCTTGCAAAAGGTAATATTTTAAATAATCTTTCACAAATGATCAAGGTTTCTCAATTAGAGTTGCTCACGCAGACTTAAGTATGGAGAAAGGTATGGTTCTGTGCAGCATTCCAAAAGCCTGGTCTATCCTTCCCTACCAGGTCTTATCTTCCAATATTCTTGAAGTAAATCTTTTTCTCTAATGAGGTGGCATCTTTGCTGTCCTACAAATGTACGAGTTTGTTTCTACCTCTCTAGTTTTTCATGTTGTTTCGTTGACCCACAATACTCTCTCACAATGTAGTTGGTTTATCTGCCTTTGCCTGGCTTCAGACACCACTTCAAACCCATACTCTTACCATGTTCATGAAGGCTTACACACTTTTTCTCTAGACCATGAATTTCATCTATCTTAGAACTTTTATAAAATTTAATATCTTTACCTCTTTGGAGGCAATGATATCATAATATATTGTGATGATATTTGCAAATTTTGTCATTAATGCCATAATTGACTTTGAGGAGAGGAATTGTAGCATATTTTCCACAACCTTCACTTTATCTATTAATATCTTCCATAATGTTATTGAACCTAGAGAATGCCAAGCACTGAAGTCAATATTTTAGGCATATTATACCATTTAATTCTCCCAGCAATTAAATGAAGTAAGTTTGCTCATTTTACAATGAAGAAACTTAGACAACAGTACTTTATATAACTTTCCTAAGATCATAGAACTGGTAAGTAGAGAAACTCAGATTGTGAATGTAGACATTAGATGAACAAACATGTCACTACTGAGCAGTTGCAAGTTAATTTGGATGTGGCTGAAACTAAACCATGAAATGTGGAAATGATATCATAATGCCAACAACGAACTGTCTTCCTGTATTTTTGCCCCCAATTCCTACTGGGATCTCCTACATACTTACTGAGAATAGATGACCTATTCCCAAAGAACAAAGGCCATAGAACTTCCACATTTCATTTTCTTTAGTCATGCCCAAGTTTTCAAAATGACCAGCACCTTCAAAACTGTGTTTAATAGAGACAGCCAAAGAAAATACCATTTTCTTCTATAAATATCACATTCCTTTCCAGTTGCCAAGGATGCTGCAAAAGATATGACAAGTGATTGCGAAAGACGGACTGGCATAGAGGTTAAGAGTATGAACTCCAAAGTCACCGGCCTAGTTTAGAAGATCCTGGTTTGCCAATTGCAAGGTATGTCTACTTAAGTAAGTTACCCAACCTCTCTGTCTTAGATTCCTCATTGTAAAATGTGGACAATGATAGAACCTATCACTTGGGATTGTTTTGAGAATTAAATTAATTAATATAGGTAGAAAATTTATGACAGCATGTTACAGCTGGTAAGTGCTCCACAAGTGTTAGGTATTTGATTGTCATTGCTGCTGCTGCTACTATTACTACTACTACTACTAATTCTACTAATATTGCTGCGACAATTACTTGTGGGCAGACTTAATCATAGGATGGTGGTTACAACTGAATTGAGACAGATGTTATCAAGATGATTAAATAGAGGTGTCCAGCACTCACCTCCCTGACAAAGGACCACAACAACCAGTAGATAACCACAAATCAAACAGAGTATTTAAGGAAGAATACTGGGATTCAGTAGAGAAGTTATGAAGACCTTTTAGGGTACAGAAACTTAAAAAGGCATTACAGAGAGAAAAGCAAAGCACCCGGTATCAATTTGTTTCAAGCCAAGAGGAACTCCCATTGTGGGAAAAAAGAAAGTGGGAGATTGCCAGCAGCCATATTCTCACCATGGACACCAACAATTCTAGGTACAGAAGAGCCTCACAGCCCTTACAGGCCCTGATCCCAGCATAGGGAGCATTTGGAGTCCAAGCAACTTCATATTTCCTGAGAGGGAAAACACACTGAGTCCTTTGCACTCCCCTGGATCCAGGATGCTGAAGCACAATACCATTTTAAGAGCAGAGCTGCCACCAGAATGTATCCATTCATAGGATCCAGTAGTCCCTGCATGTCCATATTCCTGGGGTCCTGCTGCCATCCCACCACATACACCCAGAAGGTTGCAGCATCGTGACATGAGATGGACACAGAAATGATACCATTACCATAGCATCTGAGCCTGTGTAGCACCCTATATCCCATGGGACAGGCAATTCAGCACAGCAAAGAGGCTTACCCCAGGACAGAGGGAGCCAACACACAAAAGCAAATGAAGTCTATGAAATGACTGAAAATGAATTCAAAATAATGATCTTAAGGAGATTCAGCAAGAAACAAGAGAACACAGACATTTCAACAAAATCAGAAAAACAGTGCCTGATCTGAATGAGAAATTCAACAAAGAGATAGATATTGCAAAATAAAACCTTGCTTCAAAAGAAATCTTGAAAGAGAACAATTCAATGAATGAAATAAAACTTTAATTGAGAATGTCAATAATAGGCTAGTTCAAGCAGAATAATTTCTAAACTTGAAGACAGCTCTTTTGAAGAAACTCAGTCAGACAAAAATAAGAAGACATTTTAAAAGAATAAATTAAGCCTAAAAGGACATATGGGCCACCATTAAGTAAACAAATATGTGAATTTTGGAAGTTCTAAGAAGAAAAGATGGGAAATGGCATAGAAAACCTATTTTTAAAAAATAGCCATAGGCTGGGCATGGTGGCACATACCTATAATCCCAGCACTTTGGGAGGCTGAGACAGGAGGATAGCTTGGAGTTTGAGACCAGAGTGAGGAAGATGGTGATGTGCCATATCTACCAAAAAAAAAAAAAATCTGGGTATGGTGGCATACAACTGTGGTCATAACTTCACAGGAGGATCACTTGAGCCCAGGAGGTCAAGGTTGCAGGGAACCATGTTCATGCCACTGCACTCCAGCTTGGGCGATAGACAGAGACCTTGCCTCAAAAAATAATAATAATAAAATAAAAATATTAGCTAAAAACTTCCCAATACTTAGGAGAGATATGACCATCCAGATTTAGAAAGCTAAAAGCCCCCAAATAAATGTAACCCAAGAAGGTCCTTGCCAAGGCACATTATAGTCAAACTTTCAAAAGGCAAAGATAAAGACGGAATGCTAAAAACTGAGAGGAAAACATCAAATCACATATAAGGATATGCCATCAGACTAACAGCAGATTTTCCAGCAGAAACCTGCAGGCCAGGAAAGAATGGTATGATACATTTAAAGTGATGAAAGAAAAAACAAATGCCACCAAAGAAACCTATACACAGAAAAACTAACCTTCAGAAATGATGGAGAAACAAAGTCTATCTCAGACAAGCAAAAACTGAAGAAATTCATCACCAGTAGACCTGATCTACGAGAAAAGCTTAACAAAGTCCTACATCAGGAAGTGTAGGGCAATATATATTTTTTGAGTCATATACTTTCATGAAAGTAGTACTCATGTATAACTCACTGGTAGAGCAGATAAACAAATACAAAGAGAATGGGATCACACATTACTATTACAGAAAACCACCAAACCACAAAAATAAACAATAAGAGAAGAAGAAAGGAGCAAAGGGTATAAAAAACAACCAGAAAACAATTAACAAAATAAGAGGAGTAAGTACTCATCTATCAATATAAACCTCAAATATTAATGGTTTTGATTTCCCAGTTAAAATATATGGACGGGCTGAATGGATTTTTTGTAAGACCCAACTACCTGAAGTTCATAAGAAACTAATATTGCCTGTAAAAACACACACCATCTAAAAGTAAAGGGATAAAAAATATATTCCACACAAATAGATATCAAAAGTGAGCAGAAGTAGCTATGTTTATATCAGAAGAAATAGATATTAAGTAAAAAAAAGAAAAAAGAAAGACAAAGAATCTCATTATATAATGATAAGGGAATCAATTCAGCAAGTATATATAACAATTGTAAATACACATGCATCCAGCACTGGAGGACCCAAATTCATAAAGCAAATGTTACTACATCTGAAGAGAGAAAGAGAAAGAGAGAGAGAGAGAGAAGAGATTCCAATACAATAATGATAGGGGGCTTGAACAACCCACTCTCAGCATTAGATAGATCATCTAGACAGAACATCAACAAAAAAAGATTGGATTTGAACTGGACTTTAGGCCAAATAGACATAAAAGACATTTCCAGAACAATATATCCAACGACAAAGCATACATTCTTCTCATCAGCACATAGAACATTCTCTAGGATAGAACATATGTTAGATCACAAGAGTCTAAACAAATTTCCAAAAATTAAAATCATATCAAGTTTCTTCACAGACCACAATGGAACAAAACTAGAAATCAATACCAAGAGGAACTTTGAAAATTATATAAAAACATGGAATATAAACAAGTTTCAGGAACCCAGTGGTTCCTGAATGACCACTGGGTCAATGAAGAAATTAAGATGGAAATCATAAAAATTCTTGAAACAAAGGAAAACAGAAACACAATATACCAAAACCTCTGGGGCAAAGTAAAACCAGTATTAAAAGGCAAGTTTATAGCAATAAAAGCTGACATAAAAATAATAGAAAGATTTCAAATAAGCAATCTAATGATGCACCTCAAGTGATTTCAAAAGCAAGAGCCAACCAAACCCAAAATTAGTAGAAGGAAAGAAATAATAAAGATCAGAGCAGAACTAAACTGAATGGAGACTTAAACAATACAAAAGATCAGCCAGGTGTGGTGGCTCACGCCTGTAATCCCAGCACTTTGGGAGGCCGAGGCAGGCAGATCATGAGGTCAGGAGATCGAGACCATCCTGGCTAACATGGTGAAACCCCGTCTCTACTAAAAAAAAAAAATACAAAAAAATACAAAAAATTAGCCAGGTGTGGTGGCAGGTGCCTGTAGTCCCAGCTACTCGGGAGGCTGAGGCAGGAGAATGGTGTGAACCTGGGAGGCAGAGCTTGCAGTGAGCCAAGATCGCACCACTGCCATCCAGCCTCGGCGACAGAGCAAGACTCTCTCAAAAAACAAACAAAAACAAAACAAACAAACAAAATACAAAAGATCAAAGAAACAAAAAGCTTGTTTTTTGAAAAGATAAACAAAATCAACAAACCTTTCGCTAGACTAAGGAAAAATAAGAAAAGACCTAGGTAAATAAAATCAAGAAACTGAAAATGAGAGACATTACAACTAATACTACAGAAATATAAAGAATCATTCAACTAGGCCGGATACAGTGGTTGATGTCTGTAATCCCAGCACTTTGGGAGTTCTGAGGCAGGCAGATTGCTTGAGCCCAGGAGTTAGAGACCAGCCTGAGAAACATGGTGAAATACCACCTCTATAAAAACTACAAAAATTATCCAGGTATGGTGGCCCACACCAGCAGTTCCAACTACTCGGGAGGCTGAGGTGGGAGGATTTCTTGAGCCTGGGAGGTCAAGGCTGCAGTGAGCCCTGATCATGCCACTTCACTCCACCCTGGGCAACAGAGTGAGACCTTGCCTGAACAACAACAAAAAAATCATTAGACACTATTATGATAGCTATATGCCAACAAACTGGAAAACCTAGAGCAAATAGATGAATTTCTGGACACAGGTAACCTATCAATTTTAAAGCAGAAAGAAATAGGAAAACTGGACAGACCAATAACAAGTAAAGAGATTGAAACAGTAACAAAAAAATCTCCCAGCAAAGAAAACCCTGGGAATGGATGCCTTCACTGATGAATTCTATCAAACTTTTAGAAAATAATTAACTACCAATTCTTCTAAATTATTACAAAAACTGAAGAGGTGGTAATTCTTCCTAACTTATTGTACAAGTCCAGTATTACCCTGATACTAAAATCAGACAAAAACATTACAAAGAAAGCAAATTAAAGGCCAATATCCCTGATTAATACAGATGCAAAAATCCTCGACCAAATACTAGCAAACTGAATACAACAGTACAACACAAAGATTATACACCATGATCAAGTAGTAATTACCTTGGAGATGCAAGGATGCTTCAACATACTCAAATCAATAAATGTGAGACATAAATCACAACATTGTCCAATCAACAGAATGGACAAAAACCATATTATCATCTCAATAGATGCAGAGAAAGCATTTGGTAAAATTCAACATCACTTCATGATAAAAACTCTCAATGAATTAGGCATAGAATCAGCATACCCAGACACAATAAAGACCATATAGGCAAGCCCATAGCTGACATCATACTGAATCAGAAAAAGCCAAAATATATTTTCCCTAAGAACTAGAACAAGACAAAGATAACAACTTTTAGCACTGCTAGTCAACATAGTACTCAAAGTTCTGGCCAGAGCAATTAGACAAGGGAAATAAATAAAGGGAATCCACATAGGAAAAAAGGAAGTCAAATTGCCCTCTTTGCAGACGATATAATATTATATATTGAAAAACCCAAAAGCTCCACCAAAAAGAAATCTCAGAACTAATAAACAAATTCAGTAAAGTTGCAGGATACAAAATTAACACATAAAAATGGGTACATTTCTATACATCAGCAACAAACTAGCTGAAAAAGAAATCAAGAATGCAAATGCATTTACAATAGCTACAAAAAAAACACCTAGGAATAAATTTAACCAAGGAGGTGAGAGATCTCTATAATAAAGACTACAAAACATTGATAAAAGAAACTAAAGAGGACACACAAAAATGTAAAACTATTCCATGTTCATGAATTGAAAGAATTAATATTGTTAAACAAACCATACTCTTCAAAGTGATCTACAGATTCAATGCAATAGCTATTAATGACATGTTGATATCAATATCAATGAAATTCTTCACAGAAATAGAAAAAAAGCCTAAAACTTGAGGAACCATAAAAGATCCCAAATAGCCAAAAAGCAGAACTGAGCAAAAATGATAAAGCTGAAGACATCACACTACCTGACTTCAAAATATACTACAAAGCTATGGTAACCAAAACAGCATGATACTGGCATAAAAACAGATACCCAGGCCGATTGAACATAATAGAGAACCCAATAATAAATTCATGTATTTACAGCTGATATGGCTTGGATTTGTGTCCCTGCCCAAACCTCATGTCGAATTGTAAACCTCAGTGTTGGAGGCAGAACCTGGTGGGAGGTGACTCAATCATGGGGACAGATTTCCCAATTGCTGTTCTCATGATAGTGAGTTCTCATGACATCTGGTTGTTTAAAAGTGTGTAGCACCTCCTCTTTGCTCTCTTCCTCCTGTTCCTGTCTTGCAAGTTGTGCCTCCATCTCTTCACCTTCCACTATGACCATAAGTTTCCTAAGGTTTCTGAAGCCATGCTTCCTGTACAGCCTGCAGAACTGAGAGTCAATGAAACCTCTTTTCTTTATAAATTACCAGTCTCAGGTAGTTCTTAATAGCAATGTGAGAGCAGACTAATAAAACAGCCAACTGATTTTTGACAAAAGTGCCAGCAACTTACATTGGAGAAAGGACAACCTCTTCCTTAAATGATGCTGGGAAAACTGGATATTCATAATGCAGAAAAATGAAATTAGACCCCTATTTCTCACTATATACAAAAATCAACTCAAAGTAGATTAAATATTTAAATGTGAGACCTAAATTAATAAAACTACTAGAAGAAAACATAGGGAAAATGCTTTAGGACATTGATATGGGCAGAGATTTTAGGGTAAGACTTCAAAAGTACAGGCAACAAAACTAAAAATAGGTGAGTGGAATTATATTAAACTAAAGTGCTTCTGCACAGGGAAAGAAACAACAGAGTATAGAGACAACCTACGAAATGGGGCAATAGGTTTTCAAGCTATCATGTGACAAGGGATTAATATCCAGAATATACAAGGAACTCAAATAATTTAACAGCACAAAAGCAAATAACCCAAAATAAAAATTGGCAAATAATCTGAACACTCACTTTTTAAAAGCAGGCAGCAATATGGACAACAAAGATATTTTTAAAATGCTCAACATCATTAATCATCAAGGAAATGAAAATCAAAAGTACAGTGAGATATTATCTCACCCCAGTTAAAATGGCCTATATCGAAAAGATAGGCACTAACAGATGCCAGTGCGGACGGAGAGAAAAGAGAACTCATACAATGTTGGTGGAATATAAATTAGTACAACCCTTATCAAAAACAGTATGGGTGTTTCTTAAACTAAAAATAGAACCACTGTGTGATCCAGCAATCTCACTACTGTGTTTATCTAAAGGAATAAAAATCTATATATTGAAGAGATATTTGCACCCCCATATTTACTGCAGCATTATTCACAATAGCCAACATACGGAATCAACCTAAGTGTCCATCAATACAAGAATGGATTCAAAATGTGTCATGTATACACAATGGAATACTACAAAGTAATAAAAAGAATAAAATCCTGCCATTAGTGGCAACATCGATGAGCTTTGAAGACATTATGTTACATAAAATAAGTCATGCACAGAAAGATGAATACCATGTATTCTCACTCATACTTGGGACTTTAAAAATTTGAGTTCACAAAAGTATAGTGTAGACTTGTGGTTATGAGAAGCTGGAAAAGATAGTAGATAGAGGAGGATACAGAGAGGTTGATTAGGAGACAGAAAATTATAGCTAAAGAATAAGTTGTAGTGTTCTATAACACTGTAGGGTAATTATGGTTACCCCTGGGGTAACTTATTGCATATTTTTAAATACTGGAAAATAGAATTTTGAATTTTCCTAACACAAAGAAATGATAAATATTTGAGGTGATGGGTAAGCTAATTACTCTGATTTGATCATTACTCATTGTATTCATGTATTTAAATGTCATTCTGTATCTTATAAATATGTACACTTACTACATGTCAATTTTTAAAAAAATTTAAAAATTGATCGAGAAATCTTTCTCTTTCTTTTACAGCTAATAGTTCAGGCAGAATGGTTGTGAACAGATAGGCATTTGAAGCAAATTAAATTAGAATGCCTCTTTGCAGGTCCAAAGAAATATTTGCTTAGAATCAATTATAGTCCCCAGGAAATAAGACTATGGATTAGAAAGGTGAAAAATACACATTTAGGATGGATGTATAACCTAAGTTTGGCTATAGTATATTTGAAATATCCAACTTATCAGGACAAAAAATGATGATTGTCACACCAAGCTATTTCTTCACTGATTATAATAATAATGATCATAACAATACTTTAACTAATATTCAAGCACTAATTAAACAGTCATTATCACATAGTTCCTTTCTTCTTCCTTCTCATTTCCTGTCCATGGAAAGTCTCAGGAAGGCTCTAATAAATCCAACCCTGTAACAGTGACTCTGGCGTCAGTAGCCATGATCAATTGACACATTGCTGTCCTTAGTAAACCAATCAGGACCCAAACGACTACCTGACAAACATTTCTACTGTGGCTACAAATGCCCCACGTTTGGGGGTCTGCTGGCTTGTGGCTTTATTTTGTTCAAAGTAACCTTTTACATATCTTAAAAAATTGTAACAATGACTGGACTAGGACATGACAAGCAGATTTTATCTATCAGTAACATTTTATAGATGAAGAAATTAGGAGTTGAAGCATGTAAGGCACTTTTCCTATAAGCACATAAATATCAATAATAGGTTGTACTTCTGAAACTCAAACTACCCTCTCCTCATTCCATCTCCTACAGTCTTTCTAAAAGTCCACTTTACTATGTCATCCAAAAGAATTGCTACAATGTTGGCCACAGTGTAGGTAATTTTTTACTTAAAAAAATTACAGATTCACAGGAAGTTGCAAAAGAAGAAAGAAGACTCCTATGTACCCTTCACCCAGCTTCCCCCAATGTACCTTTCACTCAGCTTCCCACAATGTACCTTTCCCCTAGCTTCCCCCAATGTACCCTTTGCCTACCTTTCCCCAATGTATTATCTCGTTCTCACACTGCTGATAAAGACATATCTCAGACTGCATAATTGATAAAGTAAAGTAGTTTTATTGACTCACAGTTAAACGTGGCTCAGGAGGCCTCAGGAAACTTACAGTCATGGAGAAGGGGAAGCAAACATGTCCTTCTTTATATGGTGGTTGTAAGAAGTACAGGGTGAAGGAGGGGGGAATAGCCCCTTATGAAACCATCAGATCTCGTGGGAACTCACTCACTATCACAAGAGCAGCATGGAGGTAACTACCCTCATGACTAAATTACTTCCCACTGGGTCCCTCCTACAACACATAGGCATTATGGGAACTACAATTCAGGGTGAGATTTGGGTGGGAAAACAGCCAAACCATATCATTCTGCTCCTGACTTCTCCCAAATCTCATGCCTTCTCATTTCAAAATACAATCATGCCTTGCCAACAGTCCCCCAAAGTCCTAACTCATTCTAGCACTAACCCAAAACCCAAAGTCCAAGGTATCATCTGAGACAAGGCAAGTCCCTTCTGCCTATAAGCCTGCAAAATCAAAAGCAAGTTATTTATTTCTTAGATACAATGGGGGTACAGGCATTGGGCAAATATACGTGCTCCAAATGAAAGAAATTGGCCAAAACAAAGGGGCCACAGTTTCCATGCAAGTCCAAAATCCAATAGGGCAGTCATTAAAACCTTTAAGTTCCAAAATGATGTCCCTTGACTCCATGTCTCACATCCAGGGCATGCTGATGCAAGAGGTGGGCTGCCATGGTGTTGAGCAGCTCCAGCCCTGTGGCTTTGCAAGGTACAGCACCCTCTCCCAGCTGCTTTCATGAGCTGGTTTTGGGTGTCTGCAACTTTTCCAGGCACACAGTGCAAGCTGTCAGTGGATCTACCATTCTGGGATCTGAAGGATGGTGGCCCACTTCTCATAGCTCCACTAAGCAGTACCCCAGTGAGGACTCCGTGTGGGGGCTCCAACCCCACATTTCCCTTCTGCACTTCCCTAGCAGAGATTCTCCATGAGGCCTCTGCCTCTGCAGCAGACTTCTGCCTGGACAACCAAGCATTTCCATATATCCTCTGAAATCTAGGTGGAGGTTCCCAAACCTCAATTCTTGACTTCTGTGCACCTACAGGCTTAACACTACATGGAAGCTGTCAAATTTAGGGGCTTGCACCCTCAGAAGTAATGGGAAAAGCTGTACCCTGGCCTCTTTTAGCCATAGTTGGAGCATCAGGAACAAAGTCCTGAGGCTGTACACAGAGGGGAGGCCCTGGACCTGGCCCAGGAAACCATTTTTCCCTCCTAGGCCTCTGGCTCTGTGATAGGAGGGGTTGCAATGAAAGTCTCTGACATGCCCTGGAGACATTTTTCCCATTGCCTTGGTGATTAACACTCAGCCCCTTATTACTTATGCAAATTTCTGCAGTGGGCTTGAATTTCTCCCCAGAAAGTCAGTTTTCTTTTCTATTACATTGTCAGGCTGCAAATTATCCAAACTTTCATGCTCTGCTTTCTCTTGAATGCTTTGCTACTTAGAAATTCCTTCCACAAATCACCCTAAATCATCTCTCTCAAGTTCAAAGTTCCAAAGATCTCTAGGGCAGAGGCAAAATGCTGCCAGTCTCTTTGCTGAAGCATTACAAGAATCACCTTTACTCCAGCTGCCAACCAGTTCCTAATTTCCATCTGAGACCACCTCAACCTGGACTTCATTTTCTATATCACTATCAGCATTTGGTCAAAGTCATTCAACAAGTCTCTAGGAAGTTCCAAACTTTCCCATAGTTTCCAATCTTCTTCTAAGCCCTCTAAACTGTTCCAATCTCTGCCTGTTACCCAGTTCCAAAGTCACTTCCACATTTTTGGGTATCCTTATACCAGCACCTCACTCTCTACACCAATTTACTGGATTAGTTCAGTCTCACACTGCTAATAAAGAACTAGCTGGGACTAGGTAATTTATAAAGGAAAGAAGTTTAATTTACTCACAGTTCAGTATGGCTGAGAAGGCCTCAGGAAACTTATAATCATGGCAGAAGAAGAAGCAAACATGTCCTTCTTTACATGGTGGCCACAAGGAGAAGTGAGAGAAAAGGGTGGGGAAATAGCCCTTTATAAAACCATCAGATCTCATGAGAATGCACTCACTATCATGAGAACAGCATAGAGATAACCACCCTCATGATTCAATTACCTTACACTGGGTCCCTCCCACGACATGTGGAGATTATGGGAATGACAATTCAAGATGAGATTTGGGTGGGGACACAGCCAAACCATATCAGCATCCTATATACCTATAGTACAATATCAAAATCAGAAGATTGACATTAGCATGTTACTGTTAACTAGTCTACAAATATAATTTAGTTTATACCATTTTAATTTATATTCATTTATGCATGTATGTATTATGTATGTGTATAGTTCTATGCAATATTATCTCATGTAAAATTCACAAAACCACCAACACAATCTCTTTTTATTTGCACCCACTCAACCTTTCCCACCCACCCGCCCTAATACTGTCAACCACTAACCTGTTCTCCATATCTATAGTTTCTCATTTAAAGAATGTACAAGTATTTTGTGAACATACATTTTTACATTTCTAGGATAAATATCCGAAAGTGTGATTGCAGGGTCATCTGGTAAGAACATGTTTAGTTTCCAAGAAAACTACCAAATGATTTTCTAGAATGGCTGTAATTTTACATTCTCATCAGCAATGTCTGAATGATCGTTTCTCCATACCCTAACTGACACCTGATGTTGTCACTATTTTTTGTTTTAGCTATTCTGATGGGTGTATAGAAATAATGCATTATGTTTTTAATTTATATTGTGCTAACTGCCAATGGTGTTGAGTATATCTTCACTCGCCATCTGTATCTACACTTTAATAAAATATTTGTTCATGTCTTTTGCCCATTTTATAACTGGATTGATTTTTTACTGTTAAGTTTTGAGAATTCTTCATATTTACATATAGGTTGAGCATTTTAAATCTGGAAATCGAAAATCTGAATTGCTCCAAAATTCAAAACATTTTGAGTGCTGACACGATTGTCAAAGTATGCTCCCTGGAGCATTTCGGATTTCAAATTTTTGGATTTAGGATGTTCAACAGATAAGGATAATGAAAATATTCCAAATTCTGAAAAAGTCTGAAATCTGAAACTCTTCTGGTCCAGAAATTTCAGATAAAAGATACTCACCCTGTATAAGGCCTTTATTGGATATGGGATTTGCCAATATTTTCTCACAGCCTGCAGTTTGTATTTTCATTCTATCACAGTCTTTCACAATGCAAAAGTTTTAATTTTCATGACAATGAATTAATCATTTCTTAGTTTATATATAGTGCTTTTAATGTAATGTCCAAGAACTCTTCTCTAACCTTAGGTTCCAAAGATATTCTCCTAATTTTTCCAATAGTTTTATATTTTTACATTTAAACCCATGATACATTTGAGTTAATTTTTGATAAGGTATAAGGTTTAGGTTGGGATTAATTTTTTTGCCTATGCACACCCAGTGACTCCAGTGCCATGTGTTCAAAAGGCTGTTTCTCCATTGAATTGTGTTAATAACTTTGTCAAAACCAATTTGTTATATTTGTATTTGTCTGTTTCTGGGGTCTCTATTCTGTTCTATTGATCTTTGTGTCTATTCCCCTGCCAATACTACGCTGTCTTGAATATAGTATCTATAAAGAAATCCTTAATATTCAATTCAAAATTATTCAATTCAAATTTCAATTCAAAATTCAATTCAATTGATTCAATTGATTCAATTCAATTCAATTCAATTCAATTGATTCAGTCGATTCAATTCAATTGATTCAATTGATTACAGTATCTATAAAAAAATCCTTAATATTCAATTCAAAATTATTCAATTCAAAATTATTTTAGCTATTCTAGTTCTTTTGCACTTCTACCCAAATTTCAGATTAAGCTTGTTGGAATTTTTTTAGGAATTATGTTAAACTTTACAGATCAACTTATGGAGAATTGACATCTTTACTATATTGAGTCATCTAATCCATGGATACAGTATGCCTCTCCATTTACTTATATAATATTTTATTCCTTCCATTAGTGTTTTTTTAAATGTTAAGCATACAGATCCTATAAATGTTTTGTTAGACTTTTAACTAGATATTTCATTTTCTTAGGCATTTCATTTTACTTTGGAGCAATTATATATGATAGTAGGTGCTTAATTCTAGTTTCTACACATCAGTTACTAGTATATAGGAATAAAATTAATTTTCTGTATTGATCTTGTAACTTGAGACTTTGATGAACTCATTTATTAGTTCTACAACATTTTTATAATTTCTTGACATTTTCTACATAGAAAATTATGCCTTCTGTAAATAGATACAGCTTGATTTGTTCTTTTCCAATCTGCAAGCTTATTTCTTTTTGCTGCCTTATTGTTTTGGCTAAAACTTCCAGTGCTATGTTGCCCAAGAGTGGTAAGTGCAGACATCACTGCTTTGTTGCCAAATTTAGGAGAAAAGCATTCAGTCTTTCACCACGAAGTATAATGTTAGCCCCACCTTATACCACCTTGTCAATGCTGGGTGGAGGTAGAGCTCCAGTTCCCTGATGGGCTGCACTAACAATGGATTTGGGAGAAAGTGAGGGCCAAATAGCCCTGCCTTGCACTGCCTTATTGAGTCTCCATGTTTCTGCATGGAAGTGGTGGCTCAGCTCCCTGCTGAACTCCAGTGACTTTACTTCAGTAGAGGAATCTCAGCACCAACTGCTTCTACTAAGCAGTTTTTTATTGCCACAGGATTGGAGTAGGGTTATGTCCAGGCGATTTTTAGTTGTAAGAGGAAGAACCTAGAAGGACTGGGACTGCTCTAACTGAGTTGGAACCAAAAGACTCTAGTGTATTTAATTTTTCAGAAATTAGTCACTTTTCTCCTTTGCTTCTTTTCTAAACAGCAATAATAATTTGAATTTTTCATGAGTAACATTTATTATGCTCATACTATATGAGCCAGATACTGTTGAAGTGCATTATATCATCCATATCAATTAAGTATTATTGTCATCCCTATTTTCTAAATGAATAAATGGGGACAGGGAGGTTGTATATGGCCTAATATTATATTAATATGATGGTAGATTCAAACCAGGGTAGCCACTATCAAACTATGTCAGAAGAAGCAGAACCATGGTTCACACCTGTAATCCCAACACTTTGGGAGGCCAAGGTGGGTGGATAACTTGAGGTCAGGAGTTTGAGACCAGCCTGGCCAACATGGTGAAACCCCATCTCTACTAAAAATACAAAAATTAGCCAGGTGTGGTGGCATACTCTTGTAATCTCAGCTACTCAGGAAGCTGAGGCACGAGAATCATTTGAACCCAGGAGGCAGAGGTTGTAGTGAGCTGGGATCACACCACTACACTCCAGCCTAGGCGACAGAGAGAGACTCCATCTCAAAAACAAAAAAACCAAACAAACAAAAAAAATAGAAGCAGCAGAACCGTGCAGTTATTATTCATTCTTGATACCTCCTTCTCCCTTAATCTCTTGTAATCAATCCATCACCAAGTCTTGCTAATTTTTCTTCCTAAGTATCTCTCAAACTCATTTGCACATTTCCACTTCCATTGCCATTCCGCTTATCCAAGTTATCAACATCTCTCACTTGGGCTATTGCTATAGCTTCCCAATGCATCTCCTCACATTCCCCATTGCCCACCTGCAATTTATTTTTCATACTGCACTTACAGCAATCTTTTAGGAATTCAAGTCTTATCATTTTGCCACACCTGGCCAAAGCTCTTCAGATACTTCCCATTGGTCTTAAAATGCAGACAAACATTATTAACATTACTCTCAGCCCAGTATGCTCTTGCCTTTACCTACGTGCCCAGCATGATTTTGCTCCATTCCCCTTCTTGTCTGCTAAGCTGCAAGCACAATGGCTTTGTCTCCTGCCTCAAAAGTTCCTTTTTACCTCTCATCATAAGCATTTTCATATGCTCTTCCCTCTTCATCCTACGTAATATCCGCTTATCCTTGAGATCTCAAGTATGTCTTCACCTTCTCAGAGAAAGAACTTTTAATTTCCTTGAGTGAGGCAATTTCCCCTGTAACATTCTTATATAATATCCAATATATTTCCTTCATAGGACTAATCACATTTATAATTTACATTTATTAGTGTATTATGAAAGTCTTTCTTCTCACTAGAGCACAAATCTCTTAATAGAAACCACATATTTCTTTTCTTTATCTCCAGCCCATAGCTGGGCTTCTAAAATTTAGTAAGTGCCTAATACAAATACCCCTTTATAAAAGAAAGAAAGGAAAGAAGGAAGAAATGATGGAAGGCAGAAAAGAAGGTAGGACAGAGATAAAAAGCTTTGGTATCAGAAGCTGTAGACAGGTCAAGAAGAACTAAGACCCCCCAGAAAGGTAACTGAATTGGGGATCTGGAAGGAACTCTAAAGAGAAGAGCTTAAAAATGAAATACAACCAGGTAAAGACATGTTGATATCCCCATTTATTTATCACAGTGATTTTGTGGGTGGAGAAAATAATACCGAGGCTTCAGAGGCTTTCTTTGAAGCAAGGCATTTCTTTTGCAAAAAATTGTTGAAGACACACAGTAAGAGAAAACATTTGCAAATCATGTATCTTAAAAGGGACTTGAATCTAGAATATATAAAGAACTTTTAGCAAGCAATAATTAAAATATAACCCAATTAGAAAGGGGGAAAAGTATTTAAACAGTCTTTTTCCCCAAAGAAGATACAGAAATGGCTAAGAGGCACATGAAAAGATTCTCAACATCATTAACAATTAGGGAAATCTAATGCAAAGCCACAATGAGATACCACTTCACACCCACTAGAATGCCTAAAATAAAAAGGATAGATAACAATAAGTTGGCAAGAAATGGAGGAATTGGAGCCCTTGGATATTGCTCGTGGAAGTGTAAAATATTTCTGTCTCTATGGAAATTAGTTTGGCAGTTCCTCAAACAAACACAGGGTTACCACATCATCCAGCAATTCCACTTGTAGGTATACACTCAAGAGAAGTGAAAACATAAATCCACACAAAGACCTGTACACAGATACTCATAGCAGTATTATTCATAATATCCAAAAGATTAAAACAACCTAAATGTCCATGAACTAATCAATGCATGAAGAAAATGCAGCATATCCATGCAATTGAATACTATTCACCAATAAAACAAAATACTGACAGATGCTTCAACAGGTTTCATAGACGAACCTCAAAATCACTATGCTAAACAAAAGAAACCAGTCAAAAAAGATATAATTATATAATCCTATTTATATAAAATGTCCAGAATAAGCATATGTATAGAAGCAGAATGTAAATTAGTAGTTATCAAGGGTTAAGCTCAGCAGAATGGGTAATGATTATTAAGGAGTATCAGTTTCTTTGAGGTGATAGAAACATTCTACATGACCATTGCATAAAACCAAAGTTAAAACAAATAGCTTCGCTTCTTTTTTTTATTCTAGTTGTGGATATTCCTATCGGACTAGGTGACTTAAAAGAAACCTTGAAACATTGGACCACAGTTAAGAAATGTTCTAAAACCAGATTATGATAATTGCTGTGCAACTCTGAAAATACACTTAAGATAATCAAATTCTATACTTTAATGGGGTAAAACTTATACTATGTAAATTATATCTTAACAAACTGTTAAAAATTATTAAGGAGAAAGTTCTGAAATAAGTTAACACATTTGTTCTCTGTCCATATGTTAAGAAGGGGATGTAAAAACTCATCAAAAGTTATACTTAGACAAAATATTCTTCCAAGAATGGGAGTTAGAAATGGTAGTTATTTTGATAAAAATCCCAGGTATATGCCATATTTCCTTAATTGAAAAAAACCATTTATTTGATAGTAATATGGGGGTAAGAAGTAATTATGTATTTTATATATATATATATATAATATATACATATGTACCATTTATTTTATAGTTAATGTGGGGTTAAGAAGTAATTATGTATAACACATATCTAGGAACAAGATGGTTCCTAGAATGTAAAATCTGAAAATCTGTGCTTTAGGCTGAAAGACATGTTATTTATAATACAACACAGTTCTTGAGTTCAAACAGCATTTTTCTAAGTCAAAATAAATATAAATCTAAACCCGTTATGTGCCAGAATCGATAACTAAATCTCATTCATTATTGGACTCCTTTGTGCCCAGTAGGATCCCACTACAGTTCTGGGGGTATTAGACAAAAGTTTTGGGGAGGGCTATCTGGTCTTCACAATGGTTACTATCTAGCCCAAAAAGTTATTGGAGGTCAAAAGCCCTGCTGATTCTCTGCTAAGCTCAGGTGCTGAGATCTTTGCCAAGGGCAGAAACTTTAGTATTGGAGATCTGAGTCTTTGGGTATACAGAAAATTCTATTACCCTTGGTGGAACTACCCCCACTCTGGCTGTAAACCACTTTAAGAGCTTATAGATTCTTAAATCTTTCTTCGGGCTATAACTACTTCAGCTTGGACCACTTTTACATCCCCAGACATCAACCTCTGTAATCCTAACTCCCTCTAGATGATTCAGTCTCTTGGAAAGTGTGTATTAACTCTGCCCCAGTAACAGAGGGCTTGATTTTCCAGGACTGGAAGCTGCTCTTGACTCAAAACCCTAAATAAGGATATGGGAAGAAAGGATAGAGGTGCAGAGAGGAAAGTGGGGAGGAGGGGTAGAGGGGAAATAGCTTCCTCCTTTCTAGTAACTCTACAGTAGCAATAAATAAAACACAAAGTAGTAATTCAATCAAGTGCTTTTCTATTTGGATATATAAATTATGTATTAAATATGACATATTATATATAATATATATCCATCATTTATATATAATTGTGCATAAATAGAAAAAGTCTATAAAATGCATGTTAAAATATTGACAGTAATTTACACTAGTGTTGAAGAGAAGATAAACGGGAGTTATGCATACTATGTATTTTACTCATTTTGCACTTTTGAATGTTTTATAATACGTATCTTTTATTACTAAAGAATAGACGGTTTTTATTGTGTTTTGTTTTAAGAAAAAAGAAAATAAAAGGGTAGATGTAGGTCAGAGGATACAAAGTAACAAATATGTAAGATGAACAAGTCTAGAGATCTAATGTACAACATGAGGGGGACTATAGGTAATCAAATAAAATTGTACTGTATTTGAGATTCCTGCTAAATAAATAGATTTTAGCTCTTCTTGCCACAAAAACAAAACAAAAAAAAGAATGGGTAAGTATATGAGATGATGGACATGTTAAATGCTTCACTATTGTAACCTTTTTATGATCTATGTGTATCCCATAACATCATGTTGTATAACTTATACACAACAAAATTTATTTTTAAAAAAAGAAAGAAAATGGATTCCAGATGTATCTAAGACTGAATGGAAAAGACAAAGCTTTGGCAGCAGATAGACCTAGATACAAATCCCAGCACTGTCACTTAGGAGAGGTTTGGCAAACTCTTTGTGGTCCAGTTGGTGTGTGTGAGTAAAATACAGACAATGATACCATGACTAAAGAGTAAAAACTTGGCATAGTTGGCTTAGTCTTTTGTTCCTCAGATCTGAACAGATTCTGCTAAAGAGGAGATTCTCAAGACCATTGATATAATGAGTGTTCATAGGAAGAAACTTTGTAGAGCATCTAGTTTCATTATTTGTACATAAAGTAGTAGGAACTCCAAAAATGGCAGAGACTATCCCACTGACACTATTACCATCATCAACATCATCACAGTGTGATGTGGGTCTGTTTCTAATGAAGCCTTCCCTAAAACTTCCAGGAAGATTTTATTAGATTCATTACTCTCCTCTATGTGCCTTAGGAATATAGAGTTCATGGCATCCTGCAAAGAGAAAGAACCTCAGTTCAAATCCAGCTTTGTCACCTGCTCACTTTGTGACCTTAGAAAGCATACTTGATGTCTCTGAGCCTCTGAGTTGTCACCTGAAAATGTGAGCAATAAGATCCACCACACAGAGCTGCTGGGAAGATTAGCAAAAGAGACTACGCAAAAAAGTGTCCAGTAGCACACCAGGCAAGTAATACAGATTCAGTGAATCTTAGTTTTGTTCCAGAGAGATCATTTAGAAATGCATTATTAAACTACAAAATTAATGAAGAGCTTAACTGTGGTCCAATGTTTCAAGGTTTCTTTTAAGTCACCTAGTCCAATAGGAATACCCACAACTAGAATAAAAGAAAGAAGTGAAGCTGTTTGTTTTAACTTGGGTTTTATGTAATGGTCACGTAGGCATCCCCACAGTGTCCTTTTTGCTGAGGCCCTTTGTCTCTCTACTGTGAAGAGAGTGGCTTGTGATTCTTTTGGTTTCACAGATACCTAGAGGAGTTCTGAAGACAAGTGTCTAAAGATGAAACATGGTAGGAAAAATAATGCTGGGTTAATCTTTTTCTTTATCACAGAAGTTTGCCCTCTCCTTCAGGGAGTCTCAGTATGAACATGTTGTTCTTTCCCTTTCTGAAATAAGATGAGGGACAAAAAAAGCAAAAGGAACTTGAGAGAAAGACTGACAAAGGGGAAAAATCTCTTTTCCTCCCCCTTCATCAGTGGTTGTGGCTCCCTGTCCAGATGCTTTGAGGCTCAGTCAACTATGAGATTCCAAAGAAAAGGCAGTGGGGAGGGGTAGGTAGAATCAAAGAGAAACACAGAACTCTGAAAATGTGCTATCCCTATTATCCTGCTTTTCAATGTATCTTCATATTCCTATTGAATTATTCATTCCCACCCATATTTGGTTGAACAGTACCACCCCCAAATTTGTATACACCAAGAACCTCTGAATGTGACATTATTTGTGAATAAAGTCTCACCAGATATAATTTGTTAAAATGAGGTCATATGGGATTAGTATGGGCCCTAAATCCAATGACTGGTGTCTTTATAAGAGCAGAAGGCACACTGTGATACACAGAGTGGATCAGGCCATGTCAGGACATAGGCAGAGATTGGACCGATGCTACCACAAGTCAAGGCATACCAGGAGCCACCAGAAGGTGGAAGAGGCAAGGAAGTATTCTCCCTGAGAGCCTTTGGAGAGAGTATGACCTGTTGACCCCTTAATTTTTGATTCTGATCTCCAAAATTGTCAGAGAAAAAGATTCTGTTGTTTTAAGCCATGGAGTGTATGACAATTTGTTATAGAAGCCCTAGGAAAATATTATAATCAAATTTTTGTATAATTTTTCACACCATAAAGTACCGAGAGGACAGTGAGGGCCCAAGTCCTAATGACCTTTACTGTTTTCTAAAAAAGATACCCTAAAAGATAGAGGGAAGAGGCCTGGGCATATATGTCCATAATGAAATTATTTAACTATCTTTGGCAGGTAAGGGGAAGAATAAGGGTTTTAGAGACAGACACACTGCATTTAAATCAGAGCTCCAACATGAGACAGCAGTAAAATATCAGTACATTTCTCACATCTGAGCCCCCATTTCCCCATATTTAAAGCACAGAGACAACCATCTACTTTGTTGAGGAATGGTATTAAGAAAAATATAAACTGGACGGCTATTTGGGCAGACAGCGAGCTTGCTGCAGGAGTTTCTTTTTTCATATCCCAGTGGCACCTGGAACACCGGCAAGACAGAACTGTTGACTCCACTAGAAAGGGGGCTGAAGCCAGGGAGCCAAGTGCTCAGTGGATCCCACCCTCACAGAGCCCAGCAAGCTAAGGGCAACTGGGTTGAAATTCTCGCTGCCAGCACGGCGGTCTGAAGTCCACCTGGGATGCTCAAGCTTGGTGGGGGGAATGCCGTCTGCCATTACTGAGGCTTTGGTAGGTGGTTTTAGGTTTTACCCTCACGGTGTAAACAAAGCCGCAGGGAAGTTCCAACTGGGTGGAGCCCTCTGCAGCTCAGCAAAGCCACTGTAGCCAGACTGCCTCTTTAGATTCCTCCTCTCTAGGCAGGGCATCTCTGAAAAAAAGGCAGCAGCCCCAGTCGTGGGCTTAAAGATAAAACCCCCATCTCCCTGGGACAGAGCCCCTGGGAGAAGGGGTGGCTGTGGGCGCATCTTCAACAGACTTCAATGTGCCTGCCTGATGGCTGCTGAAGAGAGCAGCAAATCTCCCAGCACAGCGTTCGAGCTCTGCTAAGGGTCAGACTGCCTCCTCAAGTGGGTCCCTGACCCCCATGTCTCCTGACTGGGAGACACATCCCAGCAGGGGCTGAAAGACACCTCATACAGGAGATCTCTGGCTGGCATATGTTGGGTACCCCTCTGGGACGAAGCTTCCAGAGGAAGGAACACGCAGCAATCTTTGCTGTTCTGCAGCGTCTGCTGGTGATACCCAGGCAAACAGGGTCTGGAGTGGACCTCCAGCAAACTCTAGCAAACCTGCAGCAGAGGGGCCTGTTAGAAGGAAAATTAACAAACAGAAAGGATTAGCACCAAATCAACAAAAATGACGTCGCTCAGAAACCCCATCCAAAGGTCTCCAACATCAAAGAACAAAGGTAGATAAATACACAAAGATGGGGGAGAAACCAGCGTAAAAAGACTGAAAATTCCAGAAAAAAAGAACTCCTCTTCTTCTCCAAAGGATCACAACTCCTCACCAGCAAGGGAACAAAACTGGACAGAGAATGAGTTTGACAAATTCAGAGAAGTAGGCTTCAGAAGGTGGATAATAACAAACTCCTCCGAGCTAAAGGAGCATGTTCTACCCCAATGCAAGGAAGCTAAGAATCTTGAAAAAAGGTTAGAGGAATTGCTAACTAGAATAACCAATTTAGAGAAGAACATAAATGACCTGATGGAGCTGAAAAACACAGCATGAGAACATCCTGAAGCATACATTGGTATCAATAGCTGAATAGATCAAGCAGAAGAAAGGATATCAGAGATTGAAGATCAACTTAATGAAATAAAGCGTGAAGACAAGATTAGAGAAAAAAGAATGAAAAGGAACGAATAAAGCCTCCAAGAAATACGGGACTGTGTGAAAAAACTAAATCTACATTTGATTGGTGTACCTGAAAGTGACAGGGGAATGGAACCAAGTTGGAAAACACTCTGCAGGATATTATCCAGGAGAACTTCCCCAACCTAGCAAGACAGACCAACATTCAAATTCAGGAAATACAGAGACCACCACAAAAATACTCTTCGAGAAGAGCAACCCCAAGACACATAATTGTCAGATTCACCAAGGATGAAATGAAGGAAAAAATGTTAAGGGCAGCCAGAGAGTAAGGTCGGGTTACCCACAAAGGGAAGCCCATCAGACTAACTGTGGATCTCTCTAAAGAAACCCTACAAGCTAGAAGAGAGTGGGGGCCAATATTCAACATTCTTAGAGAAACAAATTTTCAACCCAGAAGATCATCTCCAGCCAAACTAAGCTTCATAAGCAAAGGAGAAATAAAATACTTTACAGACAGGCAAATGCTGACAGATTTTGTCACCACCAGACCGGCCTTACAAGAGTTCCTGAAGGAAGCACTAAACATGAAAAGGAACCAGTAGCAGCCACTGCAAAAACATATCAAATTGTAAAGGCCATCAACACTATGAAGAAACTACATCATCTAACAGGAAAAATACCCATCTAGCATCATAACAACAGGATCAAATTCACACATAACAGTATTATCCTTAAATGTAAATGGGCTAAATGCCCCAATTAAAAGACACAGACTGGCAAATTGGATAAAGTCAAGACCCATCAGTGTGCTGTATTCAGGAGACCCATCACATGTGCAAAGACACACATAGGCTCAAAATAAAAGGATGGAGGAATATTTACCACGCAAATTGAAAGCCAAAAAAAAAAAAAAAAAAAGCAAGGGTTGCAATTCTAGACGGATAACAAAGATCAAAAGAGACACAGAAGGGCATTACATAATGGTAATGGGATCAATGCAACAAGAAGAGCTAACTTTCCTAAATATATATGCACTCAATACAGGAGCACCCAGATTCAAAAAGCAAGTTCTCTGAGACCTACAAAGAGACTTAGACTCCCACCCAATAATAGTGGGAGACTTTAACACCTCACTGTCCATATTAGACAGATCAATGAGACAGAAAATTAACAAGGATATTCAGGACTTGAACTCAGCTCTGGACCAAGGGGACCTAAAAGACATCTACAGAACTCTCCACCTCAGATCAACAGAATATACATTTTTCTCAGCACCACATCACATTTATTCTAAAATTGACCACATAACTGGAAGTAAAACACTCCTCAGCAAATGCAAAAGAACGGAAGTCGTAACAGTCTCTCAGACCACTGTGCAATCAAACTAGAACTCAGGAATAAGAAACTCACTCAAAACTGCACGACTACATGGAGACTGAACAACCTGCTACCGAATGACTACTGGGTAAATAATGAAATTAAGGCAGAAATAAATAAGTTCTTTGAAACCAATAAGAACAAAGACACAACATACCAGAATCTCTGGGACACAGCTAAAGCAGTGTTTAGAGGGAAATTTATACCACTAAATGCCCACAAGGTAAAGCAGGAAAGATCTAAAATGACACCCTAGCATCACAATTAAATGAACTAGAGAAGCAAGAGCAAACAAATCCAAAAGCTAGCAGAAGATGAGAAATAACTAAGATCAGAGCAGAACTGAAGGAGTTAGAGACAGGAAAAACTCTTCAGAAAATCAATGAATCCAGGAGGTGGTTTTTTGAAAAGATCAACAAAATAGATATACCACTAGCCAGACTAATAAAGAAGAAATGAGAGAAGAATTAAATAGATGCAATAAGAAATGATAAAGGGGATATCACCACTGATCCCACAGAAATACAGTCTACCATCAGAGAATACTATAAACACCTCTATGCAAATAAACTAGAAAATCTAGAAGAAATAGATAAATTCCTGGACATATATACCTCCTAAGTCTAAATCAGGAAGAAGTTTAATCCCTGAATAAACCAATAACAAGTTCTGAAATTGAAGCAGTAATTAATAGCCTACCAACCAAAAAAAGTCCAGGACCAGACGGATTCACAGCCAAATTCTACCAGAGGTACAAAGAGGAGCTGGTACCATTCCTTCTGGAACTATTCCAAACAACAGAAAAAGAGGGAATCCTCTCTAACTCATTTTATGAGGCCAATGTCCTCCTGACACCAAACCTGGCAGAGATACAACAAAAAAAGAAAATTTCAGGCCAATATCTCTGACGAACATCAATGAGAAAAGCCTCAAGAAAATACTGGCAAACCGAATCCGGCAGCACATCAAAAAGCTTATCCACGACGATCAAGTCGGCTTCACCCCTGGGATACAAGGCTGGTTCAACATACACAAATCAATAAACGTAATCCATCACATAAAGAGAACCAATGACAAAAACCACGTGATTATCTCAATAGATTCAGAAAAGGCCTTCGACAAAATTCAATACCCCTTCATGCTAAAAACTCTCAATAAACTAGGTATTGACAGACTGTATCTCAAAATAATAAGAGCTATTTATGACAAACCTACAGCCAACATCATACTGAATGGGCAAAAGCTGGAAGCATTCCCTTTGAAAACTGGCACAAGACAGGGATGCCCTCTCTGACCACTCCTATTCGACATAGTATTGGAAGTTCTGGCCAGGGCAATCAGGCAAGAGAAAGAAATAAAAGGTATTCAAATAGGAAGAGAGGAAGTCAAATAGTCTCGGTTTACAGATGACATGACTGTATATTTAGAAAACCCCAACATCTCTGCCCAAAACCTCCTTAAGCTGATAAACAACTTCTGCAAAGTCTCAGAATATAAAATCAATGTGCAAAAATCACAAGCATTACTATACGCCAATAATAGACAGAGAGCCAAATCATGAGTGAACTACCATTCACAATTGCTAGAAAGAGAATAAAATACCTAGGAATACAACTTACAAGAGATGTGAAGGACCTCTTCAAGGAGAACTACAAACCGCTACTCAAGGAAATACGAGAGGACATAAACTAATGGAAAACATTTCATGGTCATGAATGGGAAAACTCAATATTGTGAAAATGGCCACACTGCCCATAGTAATTTATAGATTCAGTGCTATCCCCATCAAGCTATCATTGACTTTCTTCACAGAATTAGAAAAAACTACTTTAAATTTCATATGGAACCAAAAAACAGCCCGCATGGACAAGACAATCCTAAGCAAAAAGAACAAAGCTGGAAGCATCACGCTACCTGACCTCAAACTATACTACAAGGCTACAGTAACCAAAACAGCATGGTACTGGTACCAAAACAGATATATAGACCAATGGAACAGAACAGAGGCCTCAGAAATAATGCCACACATCTACAACCATCTGATCTTTGATAAACCTGACAAAAGCAATGGGGAAAGAATACTCTATTTAATAAATGGTGTTGGGTAAACTGGCTAGCCGTATGTAGAAAACTAAAACTGGACCCCCTTCCTTACACCTTATACAAACATTAACTCAAGATGGATTAAAGACTTAAACTTAAGACCTAAAACCATAAAAACCCTAGAAGAAAACCTAGGCAATACCATTCAAGACACAGGCATGGGCAAAGACTTCGTGACTAAAACACCAAAAGCAATGGCAACAAAAGCCAAAGTTGACAAATGGGATCTAATTAAACTAAATTGCTTCTGCACAGCAAAAGAAACTATCATCAGGGTGAACAGGCAACCTACAGAATGGGAGAAAATTTTTGCAATCTACCCATTTGATGAGGGGCTAATATCTAGAATCTATAAAGAACTTCAACAAATTTACAAGAAAAAAAATCAAAAAGTGAGCGAAGGATATGAACAGACACTTCTCAAAAGAAGACATTTATGTGGCCAACAAACATGAAAAAAAGCTCATCATCACTCGTCATTAGAGAAATGCAAATCAAAACCACAATGAGATACCATCTCATTCCAGTTAGAATGACAATCATTAAAAAGTCAGGAAACAACAGATGCTGGAGAGGATGTGGAGAAATAGGAATGCTTTTACACTGTTGATGGGAGTATAAATTAGTTCAACCATTGTGGAAGACAGTGTGGCGATTCCTCAAGGATCTAGAACTAGAAATACCATTTGATCCAGCAATCCCATTACTGGGTATATACCCAAAGGACTGTAAATCATTCTACTATAAAGATACATGCACATGTATGTTCATTGCAGCACTGTTCACAATAACAAAGACTTGGAACCAACCCAAATGCCCATCAATGATAGACTGGATAAAGAAAATGTGACACATATACACCATGGAATACTATGCGGCCATAAAACGGATGGGTTCACGTCATTTGCAGGGACATGGATGAAGCTGTAAACCGTCATTCTCAGCAAACTAACACAAGAACAGAAAACCAAACACCGCATGTTCTCACTCATAAGCGGGAGTTGAACAATGAGAACACATGGACACGGGGAAGGGAACATCACACAACAGGGCCTATTGGGGGGTGGGGGGCTGGGGAGGGATAGCATTAGGAGAAATACCTAATGTAGATGACAGGTTGATGGGTGCAGCAAACCACCATGGCACATGTATACCTATGTAACAAACCTGCACGTTCTGCACATGTACCCCAACACTTGAAGTATAATTAAAAAAAAGAAAAATATGGTTTTCAAGTTTTGCACAGTAACCAATATATCACAGATTCTTCATAATTGATAGCTTTTTTCTAACTAGCCAGACTCAAACTACAAAAGATAGAAAACTAGAAAAGATATGACAAGCCAACTACCAAAGGGAATGCCACCCTGGAAATATAAAACTATGTACTTACTGAGATTGCAAGAGTCTTAAAAGAATCTGTTTTTGCTGCCTCAAACATCTGATGAGTTTTCCTGGGAATGTGTATTAAAAATAAAGCCCCTGGAGCTTAGGAAGTTATTAGGTTTTCCCAGCCACATGTCCTGGAGGGTACTCTGTCTTGGTTGACTACCCAAAAGTTGTTGTTGCCCTTTTTCCTCTTTGTTGCTAACAGAGTCTACCTACAGAGTTGGCTAGGAGCCCAATGGATTTAAGGTAAGTGTGCTAGGAGATGTCCATGATTGATTCCTTCCATAAATGAAGAGGAAGAATAAAAGAAAGAATAAGAAGAGGGGTAGTAAGAAGAACAAGATAAATATATCATGATAATTGTATGGCCCTCTCTCTGCCCTTGAGTTTGCCTATTTTTTTCCCAGACCAGATGTAAAAAGAATAGATACAAAACTGACTTTAACCATGTACTAGTACAAGAAATACAATGGTGAAGACAGACACTGGCCCTGCCTTGCTAGATCCTACAATCTAGAGACAAAAATAGGCCATTCTAATCCCAGATAACAAATGCTAGGACAAGAGGTAGGCATGGTGCATGGTGCCATAATAATTCAAAGCAGAAGAACATAATCCAGGTGAAGGGTCAGAAGGGACTTTCTGGAGGAAGTGACCCTTCATGAAAGGATTGTATAGGAGTTAGCCAAGCAAAATGAGGCAGAGGATAGACTTTGAAAATAAATGCTGATTTCCAAATGCCAAAGCAACACCAGATCTCACACAGTGAGTCACTGCACTAAGGTGATAAATCTATGAACATTGCTCCAGTGAAACATGGGATGGAAATGCAGGACAGAGCAAATAACCCCGTTTATAAACAAAATGTGTACACTATGGGCCAATGTTGCTTTTCAAAGGAAAATTAAGCTTCCTGACAGCAGTCTGACGCACCTGTCTCTCTCTACCAGTGATTGAGCTCGTGATGTTCACAGGTAGTAACAAATATCATTTTCTTCACTGTGTCTGTGGCAGATTTTCCAAAAATGGACATCATAATATCTCCCAGTCCCTATGCTGTTTTTCAGTGTAACCTTGCCCTCCTTCATCAAGGGGTCAAATCTAATTGCCCTCCGTTTGAATCTGGACTGGCCTTAGAAATGTGTTTGTAACCGACAGAATGTGGCTGTGTTACTTCTAAGGCTAGGTGAGAAGTCTGGCAGCTTCTGAACACTCATTGTCTGGATGCTTCAGCTCGGGCCACTGCTTCTCAGAACCCAGCTTCCACACTGTAAAAAGCCAAGAACATGTGGAGAGGCACATGGAGTGCTCTAGTTGATAGCCCCAGCTGAGTCCAGCCTTGGAGGAATATCAACCCAGGAGCCTGACATATGTGGAAAGAAACCTTCAGTTGATTCCATTTCCCAGCTTTAAAAGTGCCCTCAGCACTTGAAGTTTTCCCCACTGAGGTCCGGATATCAAAGAGATACAAGCCATCCCTGCGGGGCTCTATCTGAATTATTGACCCACAGAATTTATGAGCACAGTAAAATGGCGGTTGTTTGATACCAATAAGTTTGAGGTAGTCATTACATAGCAATAGATGCAACTGATACAATCAGGATGATATCCCTAGCTCCAAGCTCAGGGTATGATATGAAACAGAAGTTCAGTGAGATCTTGTGAAACTGGGTTGAAATGAAAGTTAAAGCACCTAGAAAGACTCTCTGTTTGTTCCTCTGAGACAGTCTCCCATCGTTAAAGTGAGGTGTATTAAAGGATGCCTCACTATTTATCAGTTGCCTCACACTGCCTTTACTCAGTAGTCTTCAGTTATCACTTAATATAGACCCTAAAATAAATCCCAAGAAGGGGCAATTTTGCAGTATTCAAAATATATTTTCATCAACATCAACTCAGTAATTGCCCTGGGAACTTCAATGCATCTGTTGATAGCACTGTCAAAAGCTGTCACCAAATTCTACATCCAGTTCCTCTGGCTGAGGCTGTCTAACAGCCTATTAACAACAGAGGAAGTAGAAAATCATACCAAGAAAGCTACAGTTTTTTTTTTTTTTTTTTGGTTGTTTGTTTCTTTCTGGAGAATCTACAGGAACCCAGAAGCATAGGAAACAAGATTTTGTTCTCCCTAGAGAAAGTACAGTGATTACAAATCTGAGCTCTGGACATATAATCCTGAGTTAAAATCTCAGCTCTGCTACTTAATGACTGTGAACTTACTCATGTTTTTATGTGTTATCTGTCATACTGTTTCTCCTTTAGTTAAAAAAAAAAAAAGACTGGCTTAAGAATTAAATAAGACCGGTTGGGTGAGGTGGCTGACGCCTGTAATCCCAGCACTTTGGGAGGCTGAGGCAGGCGGATCACAAGGTCAGGAGTTTGAGACCACCCTAGCCAATATGGTGTATGGTGAAACCCCATCTCTAATAAAAATACAAAAATTAGCCGGGCATGGTGGCAGGTGCCTGTAGTCCCAGCTACTTGGGAGGCTGAGGCAGGAGAATTGCTTGAACCTGGGAGGTGGATGTTGCAGTGAGCCAAGATGGCACCACTACACTCCAGCTTGGGCAACAGAGTGAGAAAAAAAAAAAAAAAAGAAAAGAAAAGAAAGAAAAAGAATTAAATAACACCATGGGTATTTGAAGTTATTCAAATATTTGTGATGTACCTCTTAAGTGCCTGTGCTATTCTAAGTCCAGAAAACAAAATGGTGAACAAATGAAACAAATCTCCTGCTGTAATACAGCTCACATTCTAGCAGGAGAGACAAACAATAAATAAATATGTAAAGTAACATGTAATATGTAATTAAGGGTAGTGATCAGTAATATGGAAAAATAAAGCAGAGAAAGGGGATGGAGAGTGATGAGGTTACTAAAATAGATAGAGAGGCCTGGGGAAGGTTTTCTGAGGACACATAAATGAAGACTTAGATGAAATGCAGAAATAAACCATACGATTATCCTGGGGTGTTCCCAGGATAATTCTAGCAACCCTCTAGCATTCTAGCCAGAGGAATGCCAAGACAAAGGCTTAAGGTGGGAAAAAGAAGAGCAAGAAGGCCTGGGAAGCAGAAGTGGAGTGAGAAAATGGGATTAAGGTAGGAAATGGTATCTCCAAGGTGGCCATAGGTGAAATCAGGTAGGTCCTTTTAAGCCATCTGGATTATATTCTAAGTACGGTAGGAAGCCACTGGTGGACTTTCCGTCAACCTCTGTAAGAATTGCTTAGCACTGTGCCTGGCATATCACAGCACATGCTCAGCAAGTGGCTGGGCTGTCACATTATTATGGACTAGGGCCAAAACAGGACAGCAGAAACACATTCTTCACCAGCAACACTAAGTCCAACCTCCACTTATGTAGCAAATGTTAAGGTCAGAGTGTACAACTTGCAGGCTACAAGCAGGGCTGACAATTCAGATCATACACACAAGATGTAGAAACAATAAAACCAAATAACCCTAAAGAAATGTCAAGTATTCTGCTTTGACTCAGACTACATGACTTCGTTCTTCAGGAAAATCCAAGGTGGGAGGTAATAACACTTCATGCTGAAAAATAGTATTACTTGCCTATGGCTGAGCCACTGAATAAACTGTGAGCTTGTTGAGGCAATTACCAGCCCTTGCTTCGGTGCTCGGCCCCAGGACCTAGAGCTGTATTGTCCAGTATGGCAGCCACTAGCCTCATGTGGCCATTGAGCCCTTCAAATATGGCTTGCATGGATTGAGATGTGCTATGGGTATAAGATATACACTGAATTTCAAAGACTTAGTTCCAAAAAGAAGAATGTAAAATATCTCATTAATAATATTTATACTGACTACATATTGAAATAATATTTGGATATATTACATTAGGTTAAAAATACTTTAAAATTTAACTGCCCTTTTTTTTTTTTTTTTTTTTTACTTTTCTTAATGTGGCTAACAGAAAATTATATCTGTATCTTGCATTATGTATCTATTGGACTCTGCAGAGCAGGTGTGAAGTAAATGTGGGAAGGAAGAAAATGAAAGAATAGGAATATCTCTAAGATTTTTGCAATCTTAATTAGAGGTGGAAAATGGGGTTTATCTTGAAAGTCAGATCCGATTTTCTGATAGTGGTTGCCCCAGCCTACTGTATTAGAAAGGACTTGAGACCAAACTCAGGTTCACTGAAGAGACTCCTTTATGATTATAATTTATAAGGTTTGACATTGGACACCAGAGGCAACCATGACAGCCTTCGTACAATGTATTGCTTATTCTCATATGGGAATAATAATAATAGCAATAATTTCTTAAGCATGTATTTTTTACTGGGCATGTGCTGAACATTTATTCTTGCTGGACCTTTCCCATAGACAATTTTATTTTTCACAACAACCTTGAAAGGTAATAATTTTTTTCCCAGTGAAAAATGAAGCTCAGAGACATTAGTTTCCTAAATTAATAAAGAAAAGTCCAAGAATTAAACCCAGCATAACATCTCCCCGACGCTCACACTCTAGTCCTAACCTGCTATGAACAGGCATTACCTCTTGATAACAAAAATTGTTGGCTGGGATGCTCATTGCTAGCATGGACCCCTGTAATCTGCTTACTCCCCAGTGGTTGGTGTATGCCCTAGTTCTAGACTCGGGTCTGTGCTAAGCACCTTTTGCATATGATACAGTTGTATCCATGGAGTGCATCCTCAACAGTTTACCCCATCTTAGAAAGTTGATCAAATCAGTGGTTCTCAAACTTTCATATGCATGAGCATCATATGGAAGGCTTATTAAAATGCAGATTTCTGGGCCTTACCCCTAAAAAGTTGCTGATTCGGTAGGTCTTGCTTAGGGCCTGAGGATTTGGATTTCTAATAAGTTCCCAAGTGATGCTGATATTGCTGATCTAGGAGCCACACTTTGAGAATCCAGAGTGTGGACTAGCACCCCAGTCTTCTTGGCCACATATTAAATCATCTGGGGAATTTTTTAAAATGAACCAATGCCCAGCCCTAGACCAGACCAGATCAACTAAATCAGAATCTCTATGGGGGGGTCCAGACATATGCATTTTAAAAATCTCTTCCAGAAAGAAATGAAGGTTGAGGACCACTGAGCAACCCGGTCCTCCTTTCTAGCTGTTCCAAAAGATAAAATTGGGAAAAAACAACCAAGCCCATTCCAGTCAGAAGCCAAGCCTTGATTGATTCATTGTGGATAAGCACCAACTTTAGGGCTGTGTTAGAACCCGGAGGTGAAGAGGTAGATGTCAGCATGGGTGCTAGAGAGTCTGGAGGCTACAGGGTAGGCCTCCAGAAGGCAGAGACAGAGTCCCTAGAAATGCCATCTGGTAACTGATATTATGAGAATCCATGAGTCTGTCCTTTAGAGATATTTTAACAGCGACTAAAGGTCAATATGAGTTCCATCACTGTCATTTCCTTCATAGCTGGAAAATCTTCCAATGTGAAGGACACTAACATTATAATCATTATCTGGCTCAACAGAAATAAAATTTGATGGAATAAGGATGATCCACATCTGTGAGACTCCTCAAAGATGAAACCCATTGCAACTAGCATCGAATCCTCTGAAATCTACAAAGATAAGAATTTCAAGTGTAAACATTGTGAAATATTTTCTCCATCAAAGTGAGACAAACCCTAGGAATCTAAAAATCAGATACTGACTTCTCCCTTTGCAGTGCCAACAATGAAACCAGCAGACAATCTCTAAAACTTTCTTTTTATCCCTGTCACTCAAAAGGAAAAATCAAGAACATCAAATGAAATGACTTATCTGTGAAATTTTTTGGTGTTTGGTAACTTTGCAGAATCACAAATCAAAACTTCCCAGCATCTCCTAGTCACAAACTTCCCTAAGCATTTCCACTTTAAATGTACTTATAAAATTATTTTTTTCCTCTATAAATACATTTTATCCTCTTTTTCAAAGCTTCTTTATTGCCTGATGGCTATGTGAAGATGCTGACTGGTTCTAAAATGCAAATAAATTTTAAATATTTATTGATTTTATTTTTCAAGATGCCAGTGACAAAATGCCTTATATATATGCTGTTATCTCTGCATGGTCTGCATTCAGACACAGTCCTTCTCCAGTTCTTGAAAAATTACCCAGTTTCCACACATTTGCTGTATCATCTCAGGAGGTTCTTGCGTGCTTTATTTCTGATTGACCTAAGAGTATCAAAACTGCTGAACATTACAAATGTAAAGTTTTCTGTCCTATTCCAACCTCTTCGACAGGAACCGCATTCTTGGGCAAAACAGATCAACTATTTGCAACATTAAAAATTACCCCATTTACCTACTCAATCTAAATTTTTGGATTTTCGCATATTAGTAGTCAAATAACCAGATTTCCCCCCTCACCTATCCTGCAATACCTCACGTTTAAAAGAATAGGAGAAATAACAAAAAGTAAACTGTCAAGTTATGGATTAGAGTCACAGTCATTTTAACCACTACATTTTGTAAATGGTTTTCACTTCTTAGTGATAAATGGCTTTAAAACAATCATTAAAAGCTCTACAAAAACCCCAGTCATTAAAGACTCCACGATGTCCGCCTTCCTCTTTCTCTCGACACTGGAAAATGGATGAGCACATTTTGTGGTAAGTTTGCCCCAGTGGGGAGTTGAAACATCTCAAATGCTTGGTCCAGTGTGACCTCTATTGACTAGACTAATTGTATGCCCAGAAAAAAGTGGCCACATTCCTTCCTTTAGCATTCTGTTTAAGTTTCTTCTATGCCCTGGTATAGAATTTAAACAAACCTCTACTTCTTAAAATTTCCATAGGAAGCATGAATTTGAAAAATCTGTCACTACAAAACATGCCCTTTGACTGTGCCCAAGAGTCAACTGAAAAATAAGATGATGAAAACAATATATCTGTTAATATAACAGTGCATATTGCCATATGTTTATGAAAATGAAAATAGTGATAAGCAATTACAGTAATAGCCTAATGCTCACTTTTCATTGCATACACATACACTTACTGACCTCAGTAAAGGAATACTTCAAACAGTGAGACAAATAAATCTTAATTTTATCTGCCTGAATTTACTTATTTAAATGCATAATCAATCAAAATTAATGATAAATATTTGAAATGCTTAATCATTAGCATACAGAACAATAAGAACTTCGCCATCTCACTTACTAAAAATTAATACACCGTTTAAAATATTCAAAATGTGTTTTAGAGGAGCTCTGATAATTATATCCTGGCCAAATATGTGATTCTTCCACTTTATCTTTAGTTCAATTAAATAAATATTATTGTGCTTACATTCAGACATTATAAGCAAAGGCTGCAATTAAAAGATAACACACATCCCTGCCATATGAAATAAAGAACCATAATTATTACCACATAAGTAGGAAATATAAGTGCTATAAAAATAGAATATCTTAAAAGAAAGAACTTACTACTCAGTACCAGTCATTGGAATTAATATTATCTATTACCCCAACACTATTTTTCTACAATCAGCTGATGACTCAAGTGTTGAATTTTTATATCTTTCACATATTATCTAATAAGTCCATTTGGAATGTGTAAGCTAAATTATAACAAGAAGTTATATTTGAATAATGCTTTAGTTAAAATATAAAAGTTAAAACATAATTTCATTTGCTTTTCACATCAACTTTATAAGAAAGGCAGGAAGTTACTCGTGTCCTCATTTTGTCTGAAACCATAATCCAAGTTTCCTAACTTCTTGTTCAAATACCTAAATGTCTCGTCCAAAGATTGAGTCTTACCAAGAGTAGGCCAAATGCTCTGCACAAAAATGGATATCTTAAAACAATCTCCATAGGAGGAAAGTGCTGTTATAATCCTTATTTTACAAAATGAGAAAACTGAAGCATCAAGACATAAATATCGCTATTTTAGTTTCCTATTGCTGCTGTAACAAATTACCAAAAATAGTGCCTTATAGCAACATGAATTCATTGTCTTCCACTTTTGGAGGTCTGAAGTCCAAAATGGGTCTCACTGGGCTAAAAAGGTACTGGCAGTGTTGTTTTCTTTTGGCGGACTTCTAGGGAATATCTCTTTTGTTTTGTTTTTTGACTTCTCCAGCTTCTAGAGGCTGCCTGCATTCTTTGGCTTGTGACTTAATGTCTGCCTTTTCAAAGCCAGCAACATTGAGCCACGTCCTTCTCATGCTGCTATATGCGTGGTTCTCTCTTTCTTGCTTTCCTCTTTCACTTGTAAGGACTCCTGTGACTAAATTGATCCCACCCAGAAATCCAGGACAATATAACTATCTCAGGGTCAGCTGATTAGCAACCTTAATTCCATCTGAAACTTTAATTCTCCTTTTCAACCTAATATATTAACAGGTTTTAGGGATTCATATATGGAAAGGAGGAATTATTTTGCCTACCACAGTAACACATAGCTAGAAAGCAGCACAGCTAAGACTTGAACATGGCCTTGTCTGATTCCAAAGCCCACCCATGCTCTCAAACCACCCTATTACACTGCCACCTTGCAATATGCCCAACATTACATACAAAATCTTCCCTGCTAGGGAGGCAGAAAGCACCATCTCAGAACTCTATGACCTCTCTCATTGTCTACTTGAATTGGCAAGGCTGAATAAACTGAGGCAACATAATAGATAAGAGTTAATGATTGGGCTATAATCTCTTTCTCCAGCTTCTGGGAATGCTTGAGGAAAATTTGACACCCAGTTGCACTTTTTGCAATATCAAGTGAGAAAATATAATCTTTAGAGATAAATGAGGGTCTTATTAGGGTTGTCATATACTGATTACATTTCCAGGGCTGTCCCTGAGCATCCTGTATTTAGTTGTCAGAATATCTGATCACTTATGCCTGCAGCGACACTTAAGAATGGGAACTGAGCATACTCTCCTGCAACATGCTAGGAAATTCTCAAGGATTTTAAGATGAAGGAGCATAGACACTGCAGCTTCCTTGGGCTGATGTGACCCAATCTAGGGTCAGTTCCTATCCCTTGGAACTAAAACAAATACCAGACTATGAGGGGACACCAGTGTCTGGATGACTAAGGCCTTATGATGCTCCTAGTTGTGAATTCCAGTATTCCCATTTTACATTCTTTCTGTTTGCTTGTTTGTTTTTTGTTTTGGAGACAGAGTCTCACTCTATCGCCCAGGCTGGAGTGCAGTGGTGCGATCTCTGCTCACTATTACCTCCACCTCCTGGATTCAAGCAATTCTCCTGCTTCAGCCTCCAGAGTAGCTGGGATTACAGGCATCCACCAGCATGCCCAGCTAATTTTTGTATTTTAGACGAGACAGGATTTCGCCATGTTGGTCAGGCTGGTCTCAAACTCCTGACCTCAGGTGATCCACCCACCTCGGCCTCCCAAAGTGCTGGGATTACAGGCATGAGCCACCGCACCCTGCCTGCATCTTTTCTTAAATCTAAATAAACTCTCTGGGTGAAACTTGTGTCTTGTGAATTGAATTGACAAAACAAACTAGAAACCAAGACCTGTTTGTTGTCTTGTTCATCCAATGACTGAATGTCTTTCCACAATCCACAGAAAAGCCATTCTTAGGGCTCCAGTTTCAATACTGCTAAATGTGATAAGCAAACATCTGTATTAAACTCAGCAACAAAATATCTTTTTTCTTACATTTCAATAGTTACAACATCCTTTGTAGATCAATAATAAAACCAAAGGACTTAGACCTTAACTGAGGCAAACTTATAAAAACTAAAATATTTCTGTATCCCAAGTAATATTTAATTCTTATAGTACCAGAGTACATTAAATAAAAAAAAAAAAAAAAGGAAGAAACAACAGACAACTAAAATATTTCAGGGTAACTGGCACCCACTAATCTTAAGAAAGGTGATACAAGTAAATTACTCTTGCTCAACAAACTGAGTAGATATTCTCTCTATAATATATAAAAATAATTATACATGCACATGCCTTGTCTAAAGTATAGGTAACCTTGAGAGCAGGTTGCCATGTCTTTTTGATTTTTATATTTAGTACAGTGCATTGTGAAAGACTGTGTGCAATGTGTCTTAAATGAACAAAGATATGTAAATGTAGGAGTCTTAATAGTTTCTAGAGCTACTAGGTAATTATAAAATAAATAAACCTAGGAATAAACAATTTGAACAATAATGTTCCAAACTTTAGAAGCAATTTGACAATATCAAGGCAAATTAAAGATGCACATAACAGAAGGAGACTTATGCCAGTACATTAATTCCAACATTCTTTGTAATTGTAAAAACTAGTCATCAGGAAAAAGGATAAGTAAATTGTGAACTATTCATACAATGGATTACTGTATCATAATTAAAATGAAGAGCTACATATGTGAGCAGGGATAAATCTCAATGACATTGAGTGACAAATGCAAGTGGCAGTTGAATATATACATTATGATATAATTGTATAAAGTTAAAAGCATTTCAAACAATACTATACAAATTGGTTTTAAATATAGGGACATAGAGTAGCAGCATAAAACATGCGTGAAAATGATAAGTATCAAATGCAAAGAAAGGAAGACGGTATATATGACAACATGTTAAGATTTGATAGGATTCAATGATGGGTCCAATATGGTCACATTATACTTTAAATTTTCCTATATGTTTGTAAGTTTGTGAATATTATTAAAAGGAAAATGCTTATAGTGTCACAAAGATTTATACTGGAAAGAATTCTAAAAATATTCAAAATGAAGTGTCCTAGGTTACACAGCCAGACACTTCAGAGCAGGTAAATGGAAACTCTGATGCTAAAACCAAGTTTCTCTAATTTGCACATCTGTTCTTTATCCACTGTGCCTCACTGTATATTTTGCATTGCTTCTATTTTTGGTTCTTTTTAAATAAATTTTTTTTATTTAATTAGAAAAATGTCAGTACAACAATTCCTTCACTTCTAAATAACAGCCTTGTGGACTTAAGGGTTGTAAATTTCAAGACTGTGAGAATGAGTAAAGAAAAGTGAGAGAAAAAAGCCATAGGGCCCTGAAAGTCTTTACATGTCCAAGCTGGAAGGAATCATTTCACTGATATTGCCAACACATAAACCTGCTATGGGAGCCAAACACATTTGCAGAGTTGTGGATAAAGGGCTGGGGTGCAGTTATTCTTAATGGAGATGATGGCCATCTGTCTCACCCCTCAAATGTCAGCCTAAATTCCAACCAGAATCATGAGAACTGTCCCAGCCCCAGGCACAGTGACTGAGGAGAAAAAGCTAGTTCACCTGCTTCCCCAAGATGATACTGACTGTAGGAAAAGAACAGAAGCAAAAAATGTATTCATTTACCATTAGATTTCTTCAGTGATTTTTACCTTTCCCCTTCATCTTCCCCAAAGGGATGATGCAATTCTTTTTTTATAGTCCAGAACCCAAATCAGTTCTAAAAGTAAAGGGAAGGAAACTAACACATATTGAGCTCTCCTTTCAGATGTTCAAGAGGTATTTCCTTGTTTCAGTTTCATAGACACCCTTTGAAACAGGTATCATCAATTACCTGCCTATTATACAGAAAAGAAATTGAGGTTCTAAAAGTCAGATAAGATTTCCAAGTTTATACATCTACTAAAGTGCATGATATCTACCTAAAATCCTTATTTGTTTATTTTTGTTAACTACATGCTGCTCTAAAAGTCTATAATCTGTGTCAATTCATGTCCTCTTTCAGGTCCTCAGCTTTTTAATCTGAAAATTGGGTAGATTAGAATAGCCTATCTTGAACATTCTATGATTCTCTGAATAAAGTGACCCTGTAAGGGCAGACACAGGATGTCTATTCACATAGACAACTTGGACAGAAGAGGTCAGAAGAGAGCCTGAGACAAATCATAGAGTGACAATAATAGACAAGTAATAGAGTCAGCACCCTTGCCCAGAGACACTGCATGAAATTTAAAAATAAATAGGCAAAAATTTGAAAGGGAGGTATTAATTGCTTAATAGACCAGTCAATGTGGTCTTTGAGAATGGCCATGTCATTAAGGATGAATTTATCATTTTAAGTGTTACTTTGATTTTATGCCTCCTGAGTTCAGAAACCTCAAATCAAATCTCATCTTCTTAGCAATTACCTTAGCACCATCTTCCACCCTTTTCTAGCCAGCTATTCTAATTACCAAAAGGAAAACTAGTTAATCTATCTAACTTCAAACTTTCAGACATCTTGTCTCTCTTCTGTTCATGTTCTCCTGTCTTCTTTCCATAAAGTCATGTCACTTTTCTCTGTCAAAGACCAGCTTCTGGCTCGCTTCTGTCAAGTCTTCCCTTGACTAACCCCAATAGGATCCAGTGACTTTTAATTATTTCAAACTTCTCTTATCTCTTTAGTGCAAATGGACAAAAAAAAGACTTTTAAATTATATTTCTGTCATGTGCTAAATATTCCGCCAAAGCCTTAATAAGTGAAATCACGTGAGTCACACTTAATCCTGTCAAGCGGAATATTATTATTTCTATTTCACCAATGACAGAAATGACAGTCAGCAATATTAAAGTGACTTGTCCAAAGTCACACATTTGGAAAACTAGAATTGACAACCAAATCAACCTGGATCTAAATTCCAAACAAATGACTTTCTGTACTCAGAACAGATTGAGGGTTTGTAGAAATGCAGCTTTTTGTTTATTTTTCCCTTTCTCCTACATGGTATCAAACAATCCACTACTTATTCATTTCCCTCTATTTAGAAAATTTTAGACCTCCCCAGTGCCAGCAAGGCTTGCATTGCTGGATGTTCCAGTGATATAAAAATGAGACTGATTTTCCTCCAGTAAATAACATTAATGTTGATCAAGAATATTGGACATAAGACCAAACATATTAGCCTTTCCTTGAAACCAACTGCACTATGTCAAGACACAAAACTGTGCAGCTCTGGTTACCACAGCTCAATAAAGGCTTAACAAGCCTTGGAGAGGGTCCAGAGATGAGCAATTAAAATATCCTAAGAGATGGAAAGAGATGTCTTAGACGAACAAACTAAAATCAGTCAAGACCTATAAGTTTACCAATATAAAGACTGAGAACTAATGGATTCTGAGTCTGGGTAAAAACAAGTAGATAGAGAGAATATGAACACACATATACTCACTGTCACTGACATTTGCCATTTTTTGGCCATCCAGCATCCATTTCCTCTTCTAACAGGTGTCAAGGTCCCTTACAGGGAACTGCATATGCTTCACTGGTGTATATACTGTGGTGGAATCCAGAAACTCCCTCCTACTACAGGGTCTCAGTGAATGGGGCCCTTCTTTTAACATGTCCAGTAAAATAATGGAGAAGTCACATGACCTAAGATCAGCCATCATGTGACCTAAGCTCAGTGAATCAGACTTTTCCTTTCATTCAATTTTGACTCTTGAGAGACAGAGAAATAAGAAGCCAGAGGATATGGTGGTTAGATGTATCCAGCTAACCATTCCTTCTATGAGATCTTTCCTTCCTTTCTGCATCCTGGCCCTTAGGAGCCTCCTTGGTTTCAGTCCCTTTCTACACAAGTTTCATCATCCTACCAATAAGTTCTGTGAGCTCCTGATAGCCTTGCAATAAGCCCCTTTTTGTTTAAATTAGAGTCATTTGCAGATGCCTCTTTCCTAATAGATAAGAAATACTCATCAAAGGCCAGATAAGGTGCTAAAAGTCAATCCATTTTACTAGAACTTAGTAAGCAAGGTGCAGGTTAAAAGCTAGAGGAGAGAGAATTTATGTATGACAGACACTGCACTAAGAGCTTTATACCCATTATCACATTTAGTCACAACAACCCTGTGAGCTGGGAAGCAGGATCTCAATTTTGAAAACTAAAACCGAGGCTTAGGAAGGTTAACTAGCTTGCCCATGGTAAGTAGTAAAAAAACGATAGGGCCAGGTGCAGTGGCTCACGCCTGTAATCCCAGCACTTTGGGAGGCCGAGGCGGGTGGATCACCTGAGGTCAGAAGTGTAAGACCAGCCTGGTCAACATGGTGGAACTCCGTCTCTACTAAATATACAAAAATTAGCCGGGTGTGGTGGCGGGCACCTGTAATCCCAGCTATTCGAGAGGCTGAGGCAGGAGAATCGCTTCAACCTGGGAGGCAGAGGTTGCAGTGAGCTGAGATGCACCACTATGCTCCAGCCTGGGCAACAAGAGCGAAATTTCACCTCAAAAAAAAAAAAAAAAAAAGATACTGGAATTAAATACAAGTATGTTCCTAGTCAAATTATAAAGAATTCAAAATAGAAACAAATGTGATTTGGGCTGTTTATTTATAACATTAGTAGCAGACATCAAGAGAGAAAACATTCTTTTACAATATGTTTGAATTATCCTGTCAGCCCTAAGGATGGATGGATAGGTTAATGGAAGGATGGAAGTATAGATGGATGGATGGATGGGAAGATGGACAAGTGAAGAGATGGGAGGAAAACACACTAAAAGATGACAGACAATTGGTTAAGCTCAAGGAAGGGCAATTCTTATGCGATTGGCTGTTAAAGCATCAGTAATTATCGGTGCTAACAACAAAATACTGTATCTGAAGTTGCCGTTTGAAAATGTAACACATATTTACATTGCATATCAATTTTTTTAATATTATATTTAGAAGGATGAGGAAATTCACAAGTTGATTCACTATTTGATGGCTTCAAACTTTCCATTTCAATAATTAGAACTTAAGGCAAAAATCTACATTTTCTAGAAAACACGATTTCACTTCAATCAAAACTCCTCGTTAAAAACAGAGGACATTCATTTTATTATGGTAAAACATATCATAAATTAAATGCTTTTGTAGGAAAACTAGTATTCTTTTATAGTATGGGCTTTTCTTCAGAGACATTGACTTACATCTTGAAAAATGAGTCTGTTTTCGACTGACACATTTGAAACACAATTTAGCATGCCTGGCTGGGTGTGATGGCTCATGCCTGTAATCCCAGCACTTTGGGAGGCCAAGGCAGGTGGATCACTTGGGGTCAGAAGTTTGAGACCAGCCTGGCCAACATTGCGAAACCCCATCTCTACTAAAAATACAGAATTTAGCCGGTCATGGTGGGCACCTTCCTGTAATCTCAGCTACTCAGGAGGTTGAGGGAGGAGAATCGCTTGAACCCAGGAGGCGGAGGTTGCAGTGAGCTGAGATGGTGCCACTGCACTCCAGCCTGGGTGAAAAAGCAAGACTCCATCTCAAAAACAAAACAAAACAAAACAAACAATAAACAAACAATTTGCATGCCAATGAACTAAGAAAAAAGAGGAGGACATAGAATGGGGTAGGAGGGAATGTGGGATATTGATTATAACCAATCACTTCATTTTACAAAAGAGGAAACTGAAGGCCAATGAAGTTAAGTGACTTCTCCAAGCTCACACACCAGTTGCTAGCCAACTTGGGGTTCCCAGTCACACGTTCCTGGTTTAGGAATGGTGCTACTGCCTCTATATCGCATTGCCCTTCACTACACCTAGAAAACATACTATGGGCCAACATGTAAGAAAACAGGCAAATTTATTCTTTCCACCTATGAGCCCCCAAAAATGATCATAGTAACGGAAACGCAGATTTTTTTCCTTTTGTTTCAGACTAGTGAAGCTATTTCCCTTTACCCTCCCTCAATCTCACTTGTTCAGAGATGTGACTCATTTTCTAACCCTGTTCAACTCAACACTACATTCCAATCACCTGATTCCAATCACATTATTAAAATAAAGTAATATCTGTTGGGTCGGCATGGTTCCCACTAGTTATATTCATTATCCTTTGACAGGTAACACGGGGGATCAAAATGCTGCCATCCAACTGGGAAACATCCTTGAAATACGAGTGAAAATCTCAACCTGCGTTTTATAGGCCAGAGCTCTGCTGATGGAATGCTATCAAACAGATCGATGCCTGCATTTCCTTAATTAATGATAATCTCACCAGGGGAGGGGGAGTAGATATTGTTTTAATCTTTGTAAAACTTTTCTGCAAACACTGGAGCTCTCTTGAGCATTCACAGGGATAGAGCAAGCCCTTCTCCTGAATAATATTCTCATTCGCAAGCTTTATTTGTTCAGCTGACCCTATGAATAGATGTTCTGAAACCTGTAAAAGTAATTTTAAAAGAAAATCTACATTTAAATGTTTCTAATATCACTTCAGCAACAATCATTTATTATGCACCTCCTATGTGCCTTGCACTAAGCTGGCCCTTGAAAAAGGCTTAAGTCAGAACTGGTTTGAGAGAGTCCATAATTTGTTGGGAGAGACAGATCATGTTCATAAAAAACGTATAAGATTATATTATACTGAGGTAATAAAATTCTCCAATAGCACATTATTTTTTCATAAATCTTGAACATACTTTTCTATTTGGAAATTTGGTTTAAGGTCAATCCCAGCTTTGTGGTGCTGGGACTGGAACTGTAAACACCACATCTTTATTTTGCCAGCCGTTCCCTCTCAGGCTCTGCCCATATGGGTGAAAGAGGAGAACTGCAAAGCTTCAGAATGAAGACAGGACTTCATCCTTCTTGTTTGTTCCCTTTTAGCTTCTTCTTGTAAGTATCATCCTAGCAATGATTCTTCAGTCCAACAGCAACAATTTTCTTTCCAGTAGCAGTACTTGGTTCCCATTTGCCGTTTTCCCAACATTTGAAGAGCAATGTTTATGGCACCCTCAGATAACAATATCAGCTGGCCAGCCTCTCTTTACCTTCCTCTGGTAGCCCCCATCCTATTATACCATTTTTCTATGCTCAGAGACTCTAGCACCTGGGAAGCCTCTTTTCCTCTAAATATTAATAATTCCAACCTCTTCCTCCTGTTTCCCTAGCCCTAGGTAGCTGCTTCCTGAAAAGGCTATTTCTGTGATACCTGAAAAGTCTACTTCTGTGATAACTTTATGCTCTTTTCGTATTATAAGTTCTTTAATATGTAGTTATATTAAATTCTCTCTTATAAAATAATTTGTGTGGTTACTGTCTCCTGACTGAACCATGACTGATTACAAAGTTCAATGGAGCCCATTTTCTTTCTTTTTTTTTTTTTTTCTTTTTGAGACGGAGTCTCACTCTGTCACCCAGGCTGCAGTGCAGTGGCGTGATCTCGGTTCACTGCAACCTCCACCTCCCAGGATCAAGTGATTCTCCTGCCTCAGCCTCTCTGAGTAGCTGAGATTACAGACACCTGACACCACATCCGGCTAATTTTTGTATTTTTAGTAGAGACGGGGTTTCGCTATGTTGGCCAGGCTGCTCTCGAACTCATGACCTCAAGTGATCCACCTGCCTTGGCCTCCCAAAGTGCTGGGATTACAGGCAGGAGCCACCGTGCCCAGCTGGAGCTCATTTTCTTAAGAGCACAGGCTCTGGCTGGCGTCTGCTAGAATTTGAATCTCAGCTCCACCATCTGGTAGCTGTGATAAAGTTAAAAGGGAAGTTAGCTCACCTCTCTGTGTCTCTGTATTCTTATCTATTACATTGGGATAATAACAGTATTTACTTCATTAGATAGTTGTGAGAATTAAATAAGTCAATATATGTAAAGTCTTAGAATAATGCCAAATCTACAGAAACACTATTAAAAATTCAGCTACTGTTCTCACAGAGTGAACCACATATACTCAGAAGCCAGCATGTCTTCTTCAGTACACTAGTAGAAAAAATAATAATAATGACAATTAAGGTGTTGTATTTTCTATTAATTAAATGAAGATTTAAGGTTTCTGCAATTTTTCTGCAGTCCATTTAAGAAAGTGGAAAAATTTAGCCTGCGATAATAGAGAGAAAAGAAATGTTAACAAAATTAAGTGTGAACATTTCCCATCTCTAATATCATAAAAATTCAAACTTCTTACTGAATGTATAGTTCAGAGACAGCAAACAAGAGGCATAATTTCCCAGCTGTTTCCTTAAATCAGTACATATTGCTAATGTGAAATAGTGATGTAAGGAAAAGAGGAGCTTTGCAGTTGAAATGGGATTCCAATCTCATTTCTGCCATGCCCCACCTCTGAGACTGTGGCAAATTACTAACTCTTTAAAGCCATATAGCTGTTATGAAGTAGGCATTCAATAAACAGCAGCTTTTTTTTCTCCTTTCAATAAATATCCCCTGAGTAAATCCACTTGCCTAGTATCACTTTGTATTATAGGTTGGTGCAAAAGTAATAGCGATTTTCACCATGAGTAGCGGTTTTCACCATGAGTAGTGGCAAAAACTGCAATTACTTTTGCATCAACCTAAACCTGAATATTTCATCTGCTTTTCCCCCATAAATACAATATAAATGTATTACTCATCTTCACATGTCAGCCAAATGAAAGCCAGCAAAATCTCAATGATGACAAATAAATTAGGTTTCAAAGGTCTAAAAATTGTTCTAGCTCCTGCTATGTTACCTTGCAGGGAGAGAGCAAGAGTATCCAGTTCACCAAAGAAATGTGAACTTTAATGGGGAAGTATAGGCACTTCGAGCATCCTCATTTTTAGAAAAAAAATTCTTTGACATGGTGTTTACTTTGCCTAGTATATCAATGGTGAGATGGGGAAAAATAGAAATAGGATTCAGGATTCACCTAGAAAAACGTAGTTTTCTAGGCAGAGAACATTTTTTTTTTTGAAACAAGATATTAAGGAAATCCATGGAGAAAGATTTCTTTAAAAGAGTTGGATGTTCAGACAAAAAGTTTGCTGGGCTGCTTCTACATGACCTGACCAAGCCAGAGAGCCCCTAAACCTTGCCCCAGTAAAGGAACAGGGAAACTCACCAGAAACAAGAAGGCAGTACAGAATACATAGCTAAGGAACTTCTATGATAAAATGTAGAGAAAGTACGAGGCCAATGTGTTTGCTGCTCAGCTAAAGGAAGAACAAAAATCTCCCTTCAAATTGAACCCTAAATGGCTTCCAGCTGTAAATAAATAGAAATAGATGATTTATTTCTACTTTATTTGCCAACTCATTTCTCTTTCACAGAAAGAAAAATTGTCTACTCTTGATCTTAAAGCATTTTCTGATTGTTCAGAATTCATGTCACAGGCCAAAAGAGAATCTCTGTGTAAATTATCTGATAAAAATCATGAGCAGCAGCATGCCAAACAGAATCAGGCACAAATTAGTAATTCCACATCAGAACATATTTCAGTCATGTAAAAAATTTGTTTTCCAATTAACACCCGCTGATTTGCACACCAAAAGGAAGCATCAACTGTAATCTCAGCTTTGAAAGCAACCGCAGAGTTTGTTCTTCTTCCAGACGATAAGATATAAATAAAAGATTATGTAATACAGGTTAATTTAATTATATAAGAACAGCAAAATGACATTGCCTAATGTATATTTATACTAGGTTGTCTCCTAAATAATTTGTCTGCAAACTATGGCATGGGGGGCAAATCCAGAGCCCCCCGCCCACCCTGCCCCCAACTAAATTCAGTCCTCTAGCCAGCTCTTTGTGTAAGTAAAGTTTTATTGAATTACAGCCAGACCCATTTGTTTACATATATTCTGTGGCTGCCTTCCTGCTGCTAACACACTTGAGTAGTTGCTACCCAGACAGTATGACCTATGAAACCTAAAATATTTACTTGCTAGACCTTTACAAAAAAAAAAAAAAAAAAAAAAAAAGTGTGTTGATTTCTGTCCTAAACCTTTGCACAAATACTTCCCTATATTTTGGTTAAAAACATAAATCAGGTAAGACCACTCCTAACTCAAACTATGTGCAAAATGTAGCTCCAGGAAGCAAATAAAAGACTATTCACTGAGTATTCTCTTTATGTCAAGTCTCAGTATTGTCACGTGGTGTCTAGAAATTTGGATGGAGTATATTTTTCTTGCTCTTTGATTTTGTTCTTAGCCAAGTGACTTGATTTAGCCAATAGATGTTAATAGATTTGACATAAGCAAAGACTTAAAATGTGTTTTTATATATTTTGGCGCTTGTCTTGCACTTTCCTTTGCCATACTAAAAACATGCCTGTGCTCACCTGCTATCACAAGTTGGATGAGAATACACTAGCCAACTCACATCATGAAGCACAGCCACCTCTGCCAACCTGCAAATCCTTGAGAATAAATGAGTTTTTTTAAGCCATTGAGTTTTGAGATGATTTATTACATATGACTATTGTGGCAATAACTAACTAGTACATAATCAAACCACTCTCTCATTGTGTTTCAAAACCTTCCAAATATATTATTTCCTCTACACGAAATTTCTGCTAGACCACTTGCCTAAAATATTCTCTCTTCACTACTTTCTATTCAAAATATTTTATGTTTTCAGAATCTAGCTCCAGCCCAACTTTTCCATGGAGAAGCTGTCAGCTGTTTATCTGATAATGAGCAAGACTGTTACTGAACTCCTATATTTCTTGAAGGTTAGAACCCATGGACAATAAATTAATTGTTCTATAAATCAGTAGTTGCCAGTTTGGAAGAACCGAGGTCATTCGAAAAAGTTTTTTAAGTGCCAGTAATACTATGCCCCTTTCCTATCCCCTGTTCAGTCAGATTACAGATTCTCAGCTTTCACAAACCTCAGCCATGCATAATATCAAAGCCATTCTTTCCCATCTCTGAGAACCACATGGGTTACCTTCCAGTTTTTGTCTAATCATAAAAACCTCCATTTTCATTTACTCAAAAATATCCTTTAAGTTGAATCTTTTTTAAAATTTTATTTAACTAAATGCACCTAACAGAAAAACTTTTTTTTTTTTTTAAGACAAGTTCTCACTCTGTCCCCAAGGCTGGAGTGCAGTAGTGTGGTCTCGGCTCACTGCAACCTTGATCTCTTGGGCTCAGGCCATCCTCTCATCTCCGCCTCCTGAGTAGCTGGGGCTCCAGGCAGAAGTCATACCTAGCTAATTTTTAAAATTTTTGTAGAGATGAGGTTTCACTATATTGCCTGGGCTGGTCTCAAACTCCTAGGCTCAAGCAGTCCTCCAGCATCAGCCTCCCAAAGCGCTGAGATTACAGGTGTGAGCTACGATTCCCACCCAAAGAATTTTATAATTGAAAAAGAAATAAATTTCTCATTATGACTGTTGTAAAACTATTAAATAAACCCCTAGCAAAGTGTCCTTAAGATAATCCAGCACACTACCTGCACTTTTTGGGGAAGGGAAGAGTGTTCTGGGATATTCTACAGTTAATTTCATCTGTTCAATTAGATTACAAATTCCTTGAAGATGAGGATCAAGTCTCATTAAATATTTAGTGATTAGCAGCCTCAGGTGAGGCCAAGAAAACAGAAACATTGTGGAAAAAGCAAAGAAATCCCTATTAGAAAAACAGGGCCATAAAAATCTAGTAGTACTTCTTTTACTAGATCACTAATTTTAGGTAATTCATATTAGTGTCTAAGAAAGAAATAACTTTGCAAAGCAAAGAAAACAATTAACAGAGTGAAGAGACAACCGACAGATCTGGAGAAAAATATGTACAAATTGTACATCAGATATGAGAGTAATATTCAAAGTATATAAGAAACTCAAAGTACTCCATAAAAAGAAAACAAATAACCTGATTTTTAAAATGAGCAAAGCACCTGCATAGAAGTGTTTCAAAAAAGACACACAAATGGCCAAGAGATACATTTTTAAAAGTTCAACATCATGAATCACCAGAGAAATACAAATTAAAATCACAATGAGACATTACCTCACACCTGTTAGAACGATTATAAAAAAAATGAAAGGTAACATGTATTGGTGAGGATGTGAAGAAAAGGGAATGGGTGCACACTGTTGGTAGGAATGTAAATTAGTACAGCCATTATAAAAAGACAGTATGGAGGTCCCTCCAAAAACTAAGAATAAAATTACCATGTGATTCAGCAATCTCACTACTGAGCATATACCCAAAGGAATTGAAATCATTATGTCAAAGACATGTCTACACTTGCATGTGCATTTCAGTATTATTCACTGTTTATTATTTCCAAGCTATGGAAACAACCAGGGTGCCCATCAACAGACGACTAGATAAAGAAAATGTGGTACATATACACAATAGAATACTCTTCGGCCTTAAACAAGTAAGAAATGTTGTCATTTGTGACAACATGGATGAAGCTAGATGACATTATGCTAAGTGAAATAAGCCAGGCACCTAAAGGCAAATACTGCATGATCTCACATCTATGTGGAATCTAAAAAAGTCAAACTCATAGATGTAGGGAGTAAAACGGTGGTTACCAGGGGCTGAAAGATGGCAGGGGGTAGATAGAAAAAGGGGAGATATTGGTCAAAATGTACAAAGCTTCAGTTAGACAAAAAAATCAGTTCTGGTCATCTATTGCATAGCATGGCGACTATAGTTCATAATAATGTGTATTTCTAAATTCCTCAAAATAGTAGATTTTCTCTACCATTTTGTTCTCACCACAAAGAAGGGATACGTATGCGAGATGATAGATATGTTAATTAGCCTGATTTGATCATCCCATAATGTATACATGTATTGAGACATCATTGTAATCCACAAATATACACAATTATTTTTTGTAAATTAAAAATAAAAATTAAAAAAACTGAAGAACTCGACTTGACCAAATAACATGTTATCACTCCTTAAATCAGGAGTGCATTAACATCCCTTAACATCAGTTTGGGGTGCAATAACAAAATACAAAATACCACAGACTGAATGGCTTAAATAATAGATATGAAGTTTCATCAAGAACCCATATTATCAGAAATTCACATTTCTGTCACCACCTAAACTTTGATTGATGACAACATAGAGAAGAGAGGACCCATGCTCACTCTACATCTATTGGATGTGACGCAAACGTAGGCAAAGTGCATAAGGACACCTGGCTCACCTCCTTCTCTTGTGTAAAGAATCCTTCAGTTTTTCCCTTAATTTTGTGAGATAATTTCAATGGAATCAAATTTTAAGGCCTAAAAATGCTATAGTGACTATTCAATAGCAATCACTAATTGGTTCAAGCCTGCCAGTATGGCCTTAGTAGGAAACTGTCACACAATAAACCTCAGGTGGGCCAGACTGGGCTCATAGGCAGCTTTCTGTACTCCCCCTGCCCATGATGTAGAAATATAACTGCCATCACTTTCCAATAATCCCATGCGAGTAAGACAAGAGGGCTCTGGAAATAAATGTCTCCTCAATCATTACAATCTCACTACCTTGGGAACAATTTCAGCTCTCTTCATTGGAGAGACAAATTTTACTTCACTAAGGTGGAATTCAAAACAAAGTGAGGTTCTTGGTATTTTGAGCAGGATGGTTCAGAAAGTTGATGGCGACAGAAACATTCATGACATCTCCACTTAGGAAGCACTTTCTACATACCAGGTATTGCACTGTTTTATATGCATTAGCTTATTTAATCCTCACAGCAACGCATGAAGAAGATGAAGAAATCCAGAGTCTACTCTCTAAATATTTAGGCCCAGAGTTTGCAGGAAGGAAATAGTAGGGTATTCTAATAGGGGAAAAGAAGGACTTTTAGCAGAAAAGCCCCTGAACCTGGAGTAAACATGGCAGACAAGGTAAAGATTGTTTGCCATGAAGGAAAACACAGACATCTAGGTTAGATAAGCAAGAAGGATTGGTCAACTAAAGATCCTAAATGCCCACATTGTAAGGCAAAATTGGACGGCACAAAGCCTCAACTTTTTCATTGACTATGACAGCACTCATCTCAGATAGGAGGTATTTTAAAATTAGGCTCCAAAATTTAAATGTGCACAAAGACAAAACATCGTTGTTTTGATAAAAAGTGACAGTCGCATTGTCATGATGATCTGAAGCTTCTTCTATACTGTAGCATCGGAGCTGCCAATTAACATTTAATCATTCTGTTTGTAGAGTCGTGAAACAGAAAGACTGATACCTATGTAGCAACCCATTTGTACCTTAAAGATGAGAAATTCATAGATTTAAACCCAACACTGTCACACATTATTCCAGTGGATTACTATTAAGTTCTAAATTGGACCAATTAAGGATATTTTCTACCTGATTAAAATTCATCATGAATTTGAATAACAACAGGAAATATTTACAGTGATTAAGTATGCTTTGCCAGAAATCCCTTCTCATATTACTTAGTATCAAGATATAACATATGTGCATTCACAATAAAATCAAGCTCTAACATTGACTCTCGAGTTAGAAAAAAAGAGAGAGAGCAAACATGAAATTGAAGAATGGTTAGAATTGAAAATTCAGCCATGCAGAAAGGCCCAGACACCAAACAAACAAGAAGATCCCATCTATTGGTGTTAATGCGGTTACTGGCTCACAAACCCACTCAGAATGCAGAATTGACGGGAAACAGCTAAGAAAATAGGATATTTCTTTTGGAAATGAAAGAAGGTCAGAATTACGCTGCTACTAATTTTAGACAGCAATTCAGTAAATTTAAGTCTCATATTTTAGCCTGGAGTAGAATTATTTCTACTGGAGCCAGTTTTCAACATTGTTTTAGGTCATGTTTGTCCTGGCCTGCCCTGTTTGTATGGGAGATGAGCAACATGTGATTCACGACTACTCATAATTAAGGTACAGAAATTTAGAGTGCTTTACTTATTGAATGTCAATAAGAATGAACTCAAGGTTATCCCAATCATAAAGTCCCTCTCATTTGCTCATATTTCAGTTATGGAGAGGGAATGACAGAAGTGGAGTTAGATTATAGGAATTAATTACACAAAACCTGCTGCCTTTCTTATCTCTTCTGCAGCCATATTATAGCTAATCTGAGCATTCCCAGGGAATTAATGCATCATGTGAATTATGACACAAAAATGACTAAGAATAGTGGGTCTAAAGCAGTCTCAAACCAGGATGAATTATCACTTCTTCCTCCTCCTTCCCTCCTTCACAATGTCCCATACTCCCACATGTCCTTCCATAACTGTAGCAGTTTTTCTTTTTTCCACCATCCTCATTGTCTGTCCCTCACTTCTACTGTTCAAGATAGAGGATATATTTAACCAACTACCTTATCATTTGAAATGAAAAATAGTGGGCTAGACCATCTGATTATTTCAATTTTATATATCAAGGTCAATAGCTCCTTTTTAGTTATTGACTATGTACACACTCACCACTATAAGTGCTACTAGGTGCTATGGAGAATGGGGGAAAAAGCTTAAAATGTTAGAAGACATAGTTTTTTGTAAGCTACCACATATATTTTGTGGGAAATATAGAATTTAGTAAGCAGGGAGAGTTTGGTAATGTTGCCATACATCCCAGTTTGCCTGGGACAGAATCAGTTACTTGTATATTAGTTATCTAATAGCAGTATCTCTCACTTTCAGCAGTGACTCAGTTTGGATGAAAAATATATGACCACTCTACACAGTGGTGAAGGTTACATCTCTTGGATTAAAATATTGGCTCCAGTTCCTCTTGGCCAGATAACCCTGGACATGTTCCTTAACCTCTCAAACCTTCAGTTTCCTTGTCTGCAAAGCAGGGAGAACAATAGCATTTAGTTGCTACTGGAATTGTTTGTAAGGATTAAATAAATTAATGCATATAAAGCATTTAGAAAAGTACCTAGCATATAGCCACTGCCATAATTATTATTATCATTTAGGACAGAGATTAGGTATCATCTAATCTAAGAAAACTCCTGAAATCTGTCCTCAACCCAAACAAAGACCTCCACACTAGGTCAGGTCTTCCACTGAATTCCTGTAGCAACACACAGACAGTCACAGACACACACAGACACACAGACACACACACACACATACCTCTACATATCAAGCAATAATCAAGTCAATTCATACTTATGAAATGCCACCCACCATATGTCAGGCACAATGCCAAGCACTGTCCCCATCTGTTCATGTGCTTGCCTCTTCTTGAAGACAGAGATTGTGTCCTATCATTTCATTCAGTACCTAGTTTGCTCTCAAATAACTGTTGAACTAAACTGAAGGCAAGAAAGAAGGCTATCACTGCCTTTCCCTGGAGTAGTGAGGAAAGTCTTCATGAAAAAGGTGGGTATTAAAGTTTAAGAGTGTTCTGATAGGAAAGAAAAAGTATCATTCTCCCTGTGGCAAAGTACATAAGCTGTTAAATTAGAAAAAAAGAATGTGAAAGTGCTTGGTAAATCTGATAGCCCTGTGCATTCCTAATTATAAGCAAAGCAGAGAACTAGGAGTTAGATTGATATTGCCAGAAAATGTGCCAGAGTCTATAATTTGCCTCTTCCCTCACTGGCCTCTACAGTCAAGCTTGAAATTTACCCCCTTTGCCTCCTACCGTCACGTAACTCTTTTAAATGAGGATGCCTGGAGCAGTGTGTGTCTCATACCAAAGACCTGTTCTGTACATATATTTCTGAGAAGTTGTAGGTAAATCAAATTTTTGCAAGTCCAGTTGAAATTGAAATGCATAGGGAGAGCTAGCTATTTAGGGATATCCCATAGTGAGATCTATTGTAAAGTGAATTCAATATATTAATAGAGCAACTCAAACTCTTTTATTCCTATTGTTTCTAAACCTAGGTTTTCAGAGATAAAGTTCTATAAATCAAAGTAGCATCACACACATACACACACACACACACACAGACAGACACACACCTGCCAAAGAGTGAAGTCTTACAAGATCCATGAAAGGCCTACATTTAAAAAATACCCATTTTCCTCCACTTCTTTACCCAAAATATCTAGGTTAAGCTAAACTGCATTTAAAAAGGAATTATATAAGAGTTACATCTGAAAATGTGTGCAAAATGTCTCATTCCTGAAAATGCAGATAGAGTATTTGGCATAGTGTGTGGCATACGGTAAATACTCCATAAATGGTCTTATTTGTAGAAGTATCATTGTTGAATACAGAGACTAGAGAAAAAAAAATAATTAAAAATAGCCCATGGGATTAATCCCTCGGAGAAGGTAGTGGTATACACTCAGGACTAGATATGTAAACAAAACTATTTTGGGGATAATACCTGGAATAATGGCTATTTTCTCAAAGTCAGCAAAGGGGAATAGAGACTGATTTAAAGCTGGGATCAACTGCATGATCACGGAGAAGGAGCATGCTATCAACGGAAATTCAGCCCTGCAAAGTCACATTTCACTAGACCTTGGGCCTGGCTGGTTAAATGTGGGTTTAAACCCAACCAACCCACAGGCTGATACACGAAGCCAGAAATCATAGAGAAAACCACTCTGTGCTAACAAGCTTGAGCTAAAACGTAGCAATTCCTTGGTCTACTGATGTGGTTTTGTCCTGCAGAATTACTAGTAGTTAGAATCTAAAGAAGGAGACTAGAATTTTAGATTTGGAAGGAGCTGAGGAGACATATAGGCCAGATGAGATGTTAATGACCCTGTGGCGTTCAATAGGTAGATCCAAAAAATACCCTTTGCGGTGCAGTTTTTAAAACGCCCTTCTTGGATTTTCACAGTAGCTAAATGTTAGAGACAAATTTGAAACACAATTGTTTGGGCCTTTGAAAACCAGATAATCATAAGTACATTTCATCAGGTTCAAAGAAAGTTCAGAAACATGAAAATGTAATTTCAATTGCAAAAGTCATAAGAAGAATACTTTATTTTCATTACAATAAAAACATCTTACTAAGAAAAGATCAGTGCAAATGAAATAATAACAAAGAATTAAGGGCAACTGATTTAATTTGGTTCAAAAATGGGAGAAGAGACTAAGGGAGAAGCATTAGAAACCCAAATTCACACCCTGCAGCCCCAGAAGAGCACTGTAGTATTGAATTTAATATAGGGAATTTCCATTCTGGACCCTAAGAAATATCTTACAGTAATAAAGTAGGTTTCTTGAGGACAAAGTACAACAGCATCTATATCCTAATTCAGAAATGCAAAGGAGCCCAAGCTTCAGTGGCTTTAGATTATAAGACAAAAGTTAGAATAAGAAAACTAGTTGTCTGAGAGTTGTAAGCAGCTTATATAAATATCCGAAAATAGAGAAAATCCATATGGTATTAAAATGCTAATAACATAGAAACACTCGCAGTTTGTTAAGTGAAACAGCAATTTACAAAAGGGTCTATCACAGTTTCGTTAAAAAATATACAGACATGTTTATTTTGTGCATAGACAAGGATAAAAGTATATGTACCAAAATGTTAACAATTATTATTTCTTGTCGTGAGATTACAGATGAATTTTGCTCTCTTCTTCTTCTTTGTGTGTGTATGTGTGTGTGTATAATTATATATAGTACACAAGTTCCACAGTAAACTCATTTTTTGAGATAAGAAAAAATATCTAAAACAATGGGGCTAAAATGGGTACCCTTTGTTAGGAGTTCTACAGGAACTGATATCAAAGTTTAGTGAAATCATTATGTCAGCAGATGAGAAAATGTAGAAAACATGATGTTTCAGAATATTAGGAAAACATCTAGAGGACAGCCGTAAGGCAAAGGCTGGATATGTACGTATTCACTGATGAAAAACAACCTAACCTAAATCTTCATTAATAGGCTGTACCTGCATGTAGGATGGTCTCTAAAAACAGTTATGTGCCCAAAGCTTGCCATGTTTATCACAGAATCAATAATTTATATGAAGATACCTATTTTATAATGATCAGATCTACAAATGATAGATAACATGTTAGTAAAAAGAAAAAGGGTAAGTTAATAGAACATAAATCAAGAAGGATTATAGCAAGCCAAGAAAATGGAGTCAAGTGCCATGAAATGCAGTCATATATAGATAAATGTAAATTTTTTCACTTGTTTTATAAAAACAATTGTACATATACTTTATATAGAGTGACAGATATATATATATATAATACAGTATATATATAAACTACAGTATATATATAATACAGTATATATATATACTGGAAAGACACATTTGTATGTTTACATGGATGGATAGACAGCTACTGACACTCATTCAACAAAGTATTTGTAAGGAAGCTTACAAAAGTGCATATAGTTTTTTAAAAGGCAATATTATATATTAGGTAAATGTGACAGAAAACATGCTTAAATTTTTTTGGAGGAAAAATAGCAATATATTGTGGTATAAAACTGGGATACATAAAGTGGATCAGCCTTTACTCCTGGTTGGATTTTAAATTATGTCTTCAAGATGTGTGTGTCCCTGTATCTCTGTCTTGTCTCTACTTGCCACTGCTTCTAGTTGTACATCAGCCAAATTCTCTCATCACAGCCTCATAGACAAGCAATATAAGAGAGAGCTACATGAAAGAAAATATGCAGTCCAAGGCCCATACCCTTGTAGTTATGAACCAAGAGGACAAGAAATTTTCCCAACACGTTCGACAGATGAGTTTTGGGATTATTCTAATTCACCTGCTTAGATCACATCCCAGTCATGTATTGAAGGAGTCATGGAACAAAGTGGACCTGAAGGGTGGTTTTGCCTCCACATCCTTTTGTTCAAAGAACTTGGACTCCAAGAGGCTGGGTTCAGGCTCAGGGATGTGGTCTGTGCTGATGACAACCCTGTCCACATCTGAGTGCTCAAAAGCCTGAGGAGCCCGCATTGCACTGTCCCTGTCCCCTACAAAGAGAGGGCTCTTGGTCCAGCCGCACTTCCTCCTGCCATAAAAGGCATCGGTGGACGACCTGGGGACATCTGCCAGTGCTGGGTGACATGGCAACTCTTCCTGGGGGGACTCTGGGGTGCAAGCACTTGCATCGGGCTCAGCAGGCTGATTCTGTCCCACTCTCCGGGTGCCCGGCAGGAGGGACTCCACCGCCACCTCAATGCCTAGGAGTCAGACTGGTCACATGACTACTTCTGTGCCAAAAGATGACCAAGGAATTATGATTTACAGTCCCATTAGGTACATATGGAGTAAGGAAGGGGTTTGCCTAAACATACTAAGAGAAAGAATATGGGAAAGAATGCATGCAAAATAAAGCTCCAATTAGCATAGCTCATCATAGAATAGAAAATCACAAATCAAATCTTATATTTTAATGTTGAAAGGAAAATATGGGTAGGAGAATAGTCAAGCCAACAGTAACATCAGCAACAGAAATGTATACCCTGGAGTTCTGCATAGGTATTACATGTGAACAAAAAAATAGATCTAAGCTTCCTAAGAGTCAAATGAAAATGAGAAACATGGTTACCAGATACACAACATTATAAAATAAGAACATGCTGTTCTTTCTAGCAAGTTCCAGCTTTTCTTTATTTTATACTGAAACATGGGAAATACTTCTCCCTTAGGTCTTTAGAATAAAACAGGAGAGTACCCTGTGTGGAACCCTAAACAACATCCATCCTTAAACATATACCTACAAACAAATTTCACTTGGTTGTTCCCTCTTACATCCCTCCGTGTTGGTCACCATGATCCCTATAAACATTACTCCAGTTATCTGGCAAGATTAAAAGGTATAATTTACAGTATTTGGAATGATGGGTAGACTGAATATCCTTCAGGCAATCCCGGGTTTCTGATAAGAATTATGCAATAGTAGCATCAAGCTTTTATCTCTCCTTAGGGTTCAGACAGCAGATACACTGCATCACCAATACAGAATTGAGTCATATGCACTGACAAATAATTAGGAAGAAGGTAGCAATAAAGTCCTCTCGTAGGACTGAAGAAGTTTAACCAATGCAAATACCTAAATGGCCACCTGATCTCACAAAATCTTCTTCAGAGAAACAATTCTGTGCCTGTTACAACAGAGAAAGATGAGGCATTGAAAATATGCATAATTTTACAAGTTGATGGCCATGCAGCTTAACAACAGCACCTGGGGGAAAAAAAACTTATGAGCTTTAACTGGCCATAGGTTTAATCTGAATCAGTAACTCAGAGATTTTAGGAGGATTAAGAAAATTGCAATCTCTAAAATAAGGCAGGGAAGGTCTCGCCCAATGAACAGTGAATGATATTGTGTGTATCACTGAACACAACTGAAAACAGACAAACTGGACCATGTTAATGGATGAGTCACTAGGATGGTGAGGAAGTATTAGATAAAATCTTGTTAGATAAAAAATAGATGAAGAAGTTAGGGAAAGGTAAAGAGAAGAGGTGACACAGAAAGGGAGGAGGATGTGATAGCTGACTTCAACAACTTGAAAGAATATTATACATAAATTGGATTCCAAGGAATACACCTAGCATCAGCATATCTGAATTACAGTGAGATGATATTTTTTAACTCAATAAAAAAAAAGGAAGAGCATTCTAATAGTCACGGATACCCAAAGGTGGAATGGAATGCCTGGAGGAGATAGTAAATTCCATGTCACCTGGGTTGTTAAGGCAGAAATTGGATGCCCATTTATCAGAGATGACCTTTTAATTTCCTTCCAACACAGTGATTTTTATGGCTTTAGGAGACCATTCACTTATTACTTTACAAATACTTAAACACCAATTGTGTTCTAGATATTTTCTTATATAGTGAGAATCGAGTATGGAATAAGATTGACATGATCTCCCCCCACCATTCATAAAGCTTAAAATCCTTGAGAAAATAATAAATAAATGTGCAAGTCAATGAGCAAACTATTACAGATTCTGGTGAGTACTCTAAAGGAAATAAATAGAACAATGAAAAGTACCTAAGGTGAGAAAAAGGGTGCATGGAGGCATATTTGGTTTTCTGTAGGTAAGTGGTCAAAAGAAGAGCACATTAAAATGGTGATTTTAAGCTGTGATCTAAAGAAAAAGAAAGAGCTAGCCATGTGAAACAATGGGGAAAGAGACTTCCAAGCAGAGGGAATAGCTTGTGCAAATGTGGCCTGAATCAAGAAAGAGCTCAGTGTGTCCAAGGAATGAAAAGAAGACCAACATAACTGGAGAATACTGAACAAGGGAGGAGACTCATACTCCAGAAGGTCGGTGGCAGGAAGAGACACCTGGTATTCTTGAGTGCAACTATAATAAGGTATTCGTCAATTGCCAACCTCATGACTGATCCTCATGATTAGGAGGATTAAGAGAACTGCAGTATCTAAAGTAAGGCAGGAAAAGTTCCCTATTTCTTAACATATCTCAAATTTTTCATCCTTGATATTTGGGAAGAACTGACCTAATCTCCATCAGAGTGAGCCTTAACTGCTTAAGCCAACCAGGGCTCAAGCCAACCACAATGTTCCATCCCATTGTCTAAAGTTATTGCCAAAAAAAACAGTACCCAAGTCAGGTCTATATAGGCCAAGAACACAATCCTGGCACTGTGGTTTGAATTGTTCCAGGAGAAGAGTCTCTCTTGTCTCTTAGGACCTAAAACTGAAAAGTATGTGGCTTCTCACAGACATTCTCAGACCACAAATGGAGGTTATGCTTGAGACTGGGGCAACACTATATAATGAAAGCCAATACATGTAGAAAAATAATGCTGGTCCTGATAATATTGATTCACTAGGTCAATCCGCTCTGAAAATGAACCTTATGTATGTATATTATGTCTGGACTTTTCAGTTGCTTGAGTCAATGTTTTTCCTCCATTGTTTAAGGAACTTGAGTTCTTTCCTGTTACTCAGTATATAAAGAACCCTAATAAATATACAGTGTAGGGTGTTTCAACTTTATCCTACGAACAAAGAAAGCTAGTAAGGACTTTTAAGCTTGGGAAGAAGTTATCTCATTGGCATTTTTGTTTTTTGAATTACTCTAAATGTCATTGTCTTTTAATAACAAAAGGCCATGTTTTTACATTTAGTGAGTGGTCAACTAGCATTTTATTTGTTTCTTCATCTGTACATTTATTATTTGTTTTAGATTGTCACATGCTCTTTTTTCCTTTCATTTTCTTTCATTTGATCAAAAGTTTCGGCCTTAGCCTCTACATGGATTATGGTACTATTTATAGAAATAGGAAATACTAGAGAAAAGACAGATTTTTTGTGCGCTTCTAAGTCTCTTTTTTATTATTTTATTTTTTATTTTTGTGGGTACATTGTAGGTGTATATATTTATGGGTTACATGAGATAATTTTGGCATAGACAAGCAATGAGTACTAATCACATCAGGGTAAATAGGGTATCCATCATGACAAGCATTTATTCTTTGTGTTTCAAACAATCCAATTACGCTGTTTTAGTCATTTTTAACTTTTAAAATTTAGTCATTTTAAATTAATTTGTAAATGTGATTAATTTTTAAAAGTGATTTTTAAATGTAAATGTAAATTATTTTTTACTGTAGTCACTCTGTTGTGTAAGCAAATACTACATCTTATTTATTCTTTCCAACTACTTTTTTGTACCCATTAATATAACCATCCCCTTTTCTCACCCCCACTCCTCCAACTACCCTTCCCAGCCCCTGGTATCCATCCTTCTACTCCCTATCTTCATGGGTTCACTTGTTTTAATGTTTAGCTTCCACAAATTAGTGAGAATATGTCATGTTTGTCTTTCTGTGCCTGACTTATTTCACTTAACATAATGACCTCCAGCTCCATCCATGTTGTTGCAAATAACAAGATCTTGGGCCAGGCACGGTGGCTTACCCCTGTAATCCCAGCACTTTGGGAGGTCAAGGCAGGTGGCTTACTTGAGGTCAGGAATTCAACACTAGCCTGACCAATATGGTGAAACCCCGTCTCTACTAAAATTACAAAAATCAGCCGGGTGTTGTAGTGGGCACCCAGCTACTCGGGAGGCTGAGGCAGGAGAATTGCTTGAACCCAGGAGGCAGAGGTTGCAGTGACCCAAGATCATGCCATTGCATTCCAGCCTGGGTGACAGAGTGAGACTCAATCTCAAAAAAAAAAAAAAAAAAAAAAGATCTCATTGTTTTTTATGGCTAAAGAGTACTCCAGAGTGTATTTGTTCCACATTTTCTTTATCCATTTGTTTGTTGACAGACACTTAGGTATCTTCCAAATCTTGGCTATTGTGAATAGTGTAGCAATAAACATGAGAGTGAAGATATCGCTTCAATACAGCGACTTCCTTTCTTTCAGGTATACACCTAGGGGTGGGATTGCAGAATCATATAGTAACTCTGTTTTTAGTTTTTTTGAGGAACCTCCAAACTGAGAACAGAGAGATTTGAGGGCAAGTCAAGAGTTCATTTATTGAAAAGGTAACTCCGGAATGCTCATTTGATATTCAGGCAGAATTGTCAAGTTGCCTCTTAGATTCAGAAGGTTGGATCCTAAGGGGGAGTTGAAGACTAGATACAAAAATTCTGAAGTCATCAGCATGTAGAGTATTTAAAATTTGGGCCTACCTGAGATGACTAGGGTATAGACGTTTCTACTATTAATCCAAGGAATGGACAAATTCCAGGCCATAGACCTCAGCAGTTTCTAAGGAAGAACAGAAAACCATAGGACATACCATAGGCAGTCAAAGTGAAGATCACTATAGAGAAGTGTCAGCTTCCTCTGCGAATGGCACCATGAGGTCATGAGCTGGGAAATACTGTAAAACTTTCTGGATTCAACCTTTCAAGATTAATAACAATAACTCAACATGAATAATTAGACGTGTTTTATCTACAAAATGCTGTCAATCAAAACAAATTGATGGTAAATCATTTAAAATAAATAATCAAGTCTCTATGAGAAGGAATGTCAGTGAGAAAGTAATTGAATTGAAAGGAAATAAAAAGAAAATAAAGAAGATACTGGTGAAGAATATTTATTAAAAATGTTATCATCTAGAGAAAAAGCAGGCAATTAAATGTAGGTATTTACATTTAATTACTACATCTCCCATGAAGTGGCTTCATAAAGGAAACAGAGTCAAAGTCTTTAAAATGAGGCACAAATCAGAGGATTTTTGTTCTCCTTCAATCTTCTTGACAAGAATGTAACACAGGAGAAGACTCTGGGTGCTCTCAAGAAGAATTGTACTTTCCTTGACCTTACTCTATTTTTAAAAGCCAAAACAACTAATGCATTTTATAACACTATGATTTCTTTCAGAAGTGGGACAAGTGAAACTCTTTCCATAATAGATTAAAAATGTAGTATCTAGTGTGTATAACACTAAAGGCAGGAGAAAACAGGACTTAGCCAATAAATGTCACTTTGGCTAATTAGGTCAATAAAGGAACAAACACCCCACAGTTATCTAGGTACCTTAAGTGGACATTTAAAGTCTAAGATTAGCTTGTTGAGGGTGAATAGAAATGTTTGTACAGAATTGAGACTCACACAGTTGTCCTGGTATTCCACTAACTTCTTCTAACTTAGCCATCTTATCCTCTTAAATTTCACAAGGTAATTAAAGAACTTTGTTTCTCAAGCTTCCTACCAAGTCAAGAGGGTGCAGAGAAAACAATGAAAAAACCCATATATAAAAACAATGCACAGTTTACATCTATTTGAAATCAGCTACTGTAATAGTCTGCCAGAGCTGCCAAACCAAACACCACAGACTTAAACAACAGAAACTTATATTCCCACAGTTCTGGAGGCTAGACATTTAAGATCAAGGTGCGCACAGGTTTGGTTTCTGAGGCTTCTCTCCTTGACTCGCACACTGCTGCCTTCTCTCTGTTCTTATATGACTTTTTTCTCTATGGGCATACAGTCCTGGTGTATCTTCCTTTTCTTATAAACACACCAATCTTATTGCATTAGGGCCTCACCCTTATGAATGTTAGAGACTGCATCTTTACCCACCCCCCTCAAAATTCATATATTGAAGCCTTAACCCCCAATGTGATGGTATTTGGTAGCAGGGCCTTTGGGAGACAACTAGGTTTAGATGAGGTCGAGAAGCTGAAACTTTCATGATGAAATTAATGCCCTTATAAGAAGAGAAAGAGACACCAGAACTTCTAACATCTGAGGACACAGAAAAAGGCAGGCCAAGAAGAGAACCCTCATCAGAAACCAAATCTGCTGGCAGCTTTATCATGGACTTCCTGACCCCCAGAACTATGAGAAATAAATTTGTGTTAAGTCACCCAGTATACAGTATTTTATTATGACAGCCCAAGATGATGAATACAACTTCATTTAACCTTAAGTACCTCCCTAAATACTGTATCTCCAAATATAGTTACATTGGGGATTAGGGATTCAAACTATGGCTTTAGGGTAACACAATTCCACCCACTATAGCCACCAAAAGCGTAGCTGCCAAACCCATCTTAACTACCATTGATTTACTTCTGACTATCATCATCCTTCCTCCAGACTATTCTAAAAGCTTTTTAAAACAATCTGTCTCTAGATCATCTTCCCGCCATGCTCCACCCATTCTCAACAAGACTGTAAAAGCATTGTGTTTTAAACTAAATTCTGAAGGATGAGATCCTAGCACAGTGGTAAACCCCATTATGACCTGAGTCTGCCTGTCTTCCCATCTTCATTTCCTGCCACTCCCTTTTGACAGCTCATACTCCTCTGACACCAATTTACTTGAAATTACCCTAACATTCCCCATGTGAACTTGTGTTTGAATGACCAGTGTTTCCAAATTTCTCAAGCACCTGCTCTTTGTTCAAAACTCAGGCATCGGTGTCATTAACTTAGTAAAGTCTCACAGTCTCATAGACAGGTTTAATCCCTCCTTTCTCAGTGCAATCATTTAAAATTATACCAATTTTTATTATTATACTTTCACAGTATTACATGTCTCCCTTCCTAACTATAAACATCTTGGGTATATACCAGCTGTGATTTAAGTCTTTCTGCATTTCATGTTTCAATTAAATTGTTGTATTGAATTATTTAAAACATATAATTACACAAAGAGTGTATACCGAACAAATTCATAAACTAGTGATTGTTGTCCATAGTATGCAAAAGGTGGCAAATACATAAACAGTCTCCGGCTCTGTTTATTCTCTGTATGAGACACCACCCAGCCCCATCACCGCCAATAATTCTGTGAGTAATATCTAACAGGTTGAAGATCTTGAAGGTCACACTCTACCAATTTCATTTAGAAACTAATTCCAAGCCCTATGCATTCTTGGGGGCATAGCTTCATCCTTTTCTTCTATGACATAGGAACTATTCAGAATCTTAAAACCTGGTCATATCTGGAACAAGATAAATGAACACATACACTATACCACTCTAAGACAAACAAACTGACCAGTAAAATCCATTTTGCAGGGATGTATCTTCAAATACGTTAATCTAGTTAACTAATACAGTAGATTTCCTGACCTCTTGTTTCTCCCACTTATACTGAGAGGCACTCAATCCCAATCCTTGCTCCACTTAGCTGCATCCTCTCTCCACCCAACTTACATTACAGTAAAGTCAAACAACAACAAAACAAAGAAAAATGCTGAGTTAAATGTCAACATAAAGATTATGTTCCCAGGCCGGGCGCAGTGGCTCACGCCTGTAATCCCAGCACTTTGAGAGGCCAAGGAGGGCAGATCATGAGGTCAGGGGATTGAGACCATCCTGGTCAACATGGTGAAATCCCGTCTCTACTAAACATACAAAACTTAGCTGGGCCTGGTGGCTCATGCCTATAGTTCTAGCTACTCAGGAGGCTGAGGCAGGAAAATCACTTGAACCTGGGAGGTGGAGGGTGAAGTGAGCTGAGATTGCACCACTGCACTCCAGCCTGGGCAACAGAGCAAGACTCTGTCTCAAAAAAAAAAAAAAAAAAAAAAAAGATTATGTTCCCAGAGAAAAGATTGGAGAGGGAACTTTTACTGTACTATCCAATATGGCAGCCATTAGCCACATGTGAAATTAGTCATGTGAAATGGGGTTAATCCAAATTTAAGATGTGCTATAAGTATAAAATACATACCAGCTTTCAGACTTGGTGAAAAAATTATATAATATCTCAATAATTCTATATTAATAAAAAGTTGAAATGATATTTAGGATATAGTAGATTAAATAAAATGTACTATTAAAATTAATTTTACCTTTTCTTACTTTAAAAAATTTGGTTAATAAAATTTTTAAATTATACACACACATATAATTATATTTGGTCAGTCCTGTCTTACAGAACCTGATGGGACAGAGGAAAGAAGAGATGGCAGCAGTTCTATTTTTTTATTTATTTTTTGAGACAGAATCTCATTCTGTCACCCAGGCTGGAATGCAGTGGCATGATCTCGGCTCACTGAAACCTCCTCCTCCCAGGCTCAAGCAGTTCTCCTGACTCAGCCTCCCGAGTAGCTGGGATTACCGGCGTGCGCCACTACACCCAGCTAAGTTTTGTATTTTTAGTAGAGACAGGTTTTGCTATGTTGGCCAGGCTAGTCTTGAACTCCTGGCCTCAAATGATCTGCCTGTCTCAGCCTCCCAAGGTGCTGGTATTATGGACATGAGCCACCATGCCCAGCTGATGATGGCAGTTCTAAATGACAGAGAAATGATGACCAAAAGAAATAAATAATAGCCCAGATGCAAGGGAAGAGATTCTTTGATCACAGAGGGTCAGAAAGCAGAGTGGAAGGTGCTTTGAGATGAGCTCTTCGTGGTATTGTTCCTGATACTTTTTAGTTTATCTTAAATATTTCTAAATGAATTTTTAAAATGTTACTAATACTAATAAATGTGTGTGTGTGTGTGTGTGTGTGTGTGTGTGTGTGTGTGTGTATAAAGGCTAGCAAGAGGTTAAAACCATAGTTAAGGTAACAAGTCCATAAGAACTCTACATGTTTAAATTAAGTAAGTTATTTAAAATCAGAATGTTAGGACTAAAAAGACCTATATCTTAAAGAGATTGCAGTATTACATGCAGGGAGTAAAAAAAGGTGACCTTACCATTTGTAGCTGAGCTAAAACAGAATGTGAATTAGGTAACGAATACTGTGGAAATAGTAATGTATAAGTTTCCTTTGTTTCCATGAAACACATTATTAGCCTAGGTTCTTTTGCCTTGAAATAGAATATCCATTGCTCAAAACTTGCTAAAATATTCAAAAATAAATTATTTTTTATGAAAGCTCCATTTGTTTCCTTTAAACAAAAGGAAATTTCAAATGTTATGATTACACACATGCAGATATAAGCGCCAGTTGTAGAATATCAGAAAAATACAAAATGCTAATGGATTCCAGAGTCTAACATAGCTAGGAAAATCTTGTCTCCTTTTTACTATTATGCAGGAACAAAAGGGCACACAATGAAATTAAAACATACCCCACACTGAACAGGGATTTAAAATAAAAACTCCTTTCTATTCTGAATAATTAACCTAGAGAACACCATGTCGGATGGTATCTTTACAAATAGTAGACATTTCAAACAATACCCAGGCATTTTGACAGGTTCTAAAAAAAAATATTAGCTAAGAAAAATGTCTTCAAATGATGAATAGAAAATAGTTCCCAGAGGAGGACACCTCGGTGTTTCCCACATGGCACAACGCTGCAGTTTTTGATACTTTAAATTACCCCCTGAAGCTTTCACTTGTCCTCAATTTTACAAAGGCACAGAGGCAGACCTACATATGCTCTCTTTGTATTCTTTGAGTAGATAAATGTGCTTATCCTTAATAAAATCCAAATGTGGTTTTCTCTAAAAACAGAAAAGAAATGTGGTTGCTCTTTGAGTTACATGCAGATTAGCTATTGGGACAAGAGGCGCCTGGGGAAACTGTTAAAACCTTTAAGAATCACGAACGGACATTCTGGTTGTTAGGTCTTGGGACACATCTGGTCCTGAGAGTTGGTCACAGCTAAATAGAACAGATGAAGAAGGTCTGAATCCTAAAACTGAACATAGTAGGTGGCTCAGCTAAGAGGGATATGGACCCTATTACAAGCAAGGGGAGAACAGATAGTGGGTGGTGTGTTTGACTTTTGTGTTTCAACCGGTCAGCCACTACACATTCTCACTTTTTGACATTTATCTCAAGATTTGTTAGCAGTATAGCCCCACTTTGCAGTGTAGATTCCAAAGAGAACAAATATTTCCTCTCCCTACACCCAGATAGCTAGAACATGGATATGTGACTTCAGCACACAAAATCAGATGCCTTCTGCCAGGATCTTTAGCTCTTGGGAAGTGGTATGAAGGCATTGGTCAATCAGACATTATCCGCTGCAATAGACATTTGTATTTGCAACTTTGGTGACAGATGCTGATTTCCCAGAGTTGGCAAAATCAGATGCACAGTGGCAAGTATTCAAGTGCAGCAGCAGCATCCTAATAAGATCATTCCTAAGGCAGGATCTTAGATGTGCATTTATTTCCTTGTTGCATACCTCCTATCATACCTATATCAATATCCTCCAATACTTCTATTTTCTGCTTAAATTTATCATGATCAGGCATATTAAGCTAACCCCACTGGAGAACTGAGGAGGATGTATGATTTAAAGATCCAAGTAGGCAGCTTCACAGAATCTGGTCAACAAGCTCACGGATCCAAGACCTAGGTCCAAGTCTAAGATCTAAGTCCTATGATTGACTGGTTAGAAAAAGGCTGGAGTTCAGTTCTAGAGAACATGGAATAATTGATAAGTTATCGATATGGACACTCTGGCAGAGAAGCAAGGACCCAACAGAGCTAAGATTGAGTTAGGATCTTGGTCTCAATAATAAGAAAGTCATTAGAACTGAAACACGAGATCAAAAGCAGATCGGCAGCATTATGCATGCTATATTAAATAGCAGAAAAACAGGCCAATCATTATGTGACCTTAGACAAGTCAAACAACCTCTCAATTCCTCAAAAATACTCCTACAATATGTCTGAATTCAGAAAACAAAGGAGATAATATATAAAAAACTAAGCTTCTTGAAAAGAGAAAAAAAATAACAGAAAGGTAAGATTTTATTACTCTATAATAAATAACCAAATATGAATTTAATAAAGGCAGCTGAACAAAATAAAACTGCTTGCCCACTCAGTCCTACTTAAAGGAAGTCCATACTTAGAGAAATTTTGAATGAAATGTAGATATGATATGAAGGCTGAAAAATTATTTCCCAAATACAGACAAAAACTATGCTACAGTAGGATGTGTTCCCAAGTTGGAGACTCTAAGACTTCACAAGGTAAGATGAAGAATCAAAGGGTAAAGATATAGAATGTAAAAGTGGAAAGATCACATCTAACATTCAAATGATTATGTATTTATGTAAAGTAAAATTGGAAAACAATAATAGATAACACTGTCATATACAATAGCAAGGTACCATTTTAAGTACGAAATTAATCCTCTCATTTAAGCCTCACAACTTGTATTACGGTTCTCTAGAGAGACAGGACTAATAGGATAGAGGTATATATGAAAGGGAGTTTATTGAGGAGTATTGACTCACATGATCACAAAGCGAAGTCCCACAACAGACCGTCTGCAAGCTGAGGAGCAAGGAAGCCAGTCCGAGCCCCAAAATCTCAAAAGTAGGGAAGTGAAGCCTTCAGTCTCTGGCCAAAGGCCCAAGAGGCCCTGGCTAAACAATAGTGGAAGTCCAAGAGTCCAAGGCTGAAGAACTAGAAGTCTGATGTTCAAGGGCTGGAAGCATCTAGTGTGGGAGAAAGTTGGAGGCCAGAAGACTTAGCGAGTCTAGTCCTTCCACGTTCCTCTGCCTGCTTTTATCCTAGCCACACTGGCAGATGATTAGATGGTGCCCACCCAGACTGAAGATGGGTCTGCATCTCCCAGTCCACTGACTCAAATGCTAATTTCCTTTGGAAACACCCTCACAGACACACTCAGGAACAATACTTTGCATCCTTCAATCCAATGAAGCTGATACTTAATATTAACCATTATACAACTCATATAAGCTATATGCAATCTTTACAACTATGCTGTATGGTTAGACTAGTGTTATACTCATTTTACAGATAAGAAAACTGAGGCATAGAGAGGTTAAACTAATCACCAAAGGCAAGATGTTGCATGGAAGATCTATACCCTGGCAGCCTGACTCCAGAGTTTATGTTCTAAACTACTATGTCATATTGCTTCTCAAAGAAGAAAAAATATTATTGAAGAGATGCCAGAAATAGGAATTCAAAATTGAACAACTAACATATATAATCAATTTAAGACTGCAGTTTTCATTTGAGGCAGAGACAATTTGCTTTCTCATGGCTCAGCAAGAACTGCTATACCAAGAATTATAAAGATAAGTGCGTGTACTATGTCAATCATCAGGGTGTAATTCTCAAAAATGCATAGAAGCTGATGGTACACATTTTAATTCATTCAACAAATATTGAATACTTGCTTTCATACACAATGCTTGTTGTAATATGCTTGTATAATTTTCCATTACAAATAAATATATCTAATACTACATGTTCTATTTATGTGAGGAAGAAAATGAAATACTGTAGAGATAATCAGATTGAGTGAGTCAGCAAGGACAAGCATAATATCATTCTAAGGCAAATATTTAAAAATACATGGGGATGTTTCATTTCTTTAATTTGGTGTGTGTATATATATATGTACACACACACACACACACACACATATATATATATACATACACATTCATATATATGTACGTGTATATATATACACATATTTTTGAGTCAGACTCTCGCTCTGTTGCCCAGGCTAAAATTGCAGTGGCACAATCTCAGCTCACTGCAGCCTCCGCCTCCTGGGTTACAGCGATTCTCATGCCTCAGCCTCCCAAGTAGCTGAGATTACAGGTGCCTGCCACCACATCTGGCTAATTTTTTTTTTTTTTGTATTTTTAGTAGAGGCGGGGTTCCACCATGTTGTCCAGGCTAGTCTCAAACTCCTTGCCTCAAGTGATCCACTTGCCTCAGCCTCTCAAAGTGCTGGGGTTACAGGCATGAGCCACCGCATCTGGCCTAATTTGGTATATATTAATAGCTGCTCTAATGATTTTACCCTTAAGTCTCAGCATTATACTAAACGATTTCAATGTCCCTATGAATGACCTGCTGACTAATGTACTTTCAAAGTTTTGACCTCGACAAAAATAACAATCTTCACCTTCTTTCTGCTTCAGTGTCATCCTCTCATAATCACCTGCTGGGTACTGCCATCTCTTTGAAGTAATCCACATCAGGAATCTTCAATCCAGTACCCTGGTCCCTGACTACAATTTTCTCCCCTTCCAGGTGTCTACCTCCCTTACTCAAACTACACCTGCTCTTCAAACTACAGACTCCTCTCTCATCTCCTTTTTCCTTGTTTCTGACTATTTAGCCTAGATGAGCTCCACTGTCCATCACTTAAACTCTTGTCTCCCTAACCGACACACCTCCCTTTGCCCAGCCAAAGCCCAGTTCTGTTGTTAACCTTCTCTACTCTGGCAGAGGCAACTGTGCCCTGCTGGAGCAAAATCATTTCCTCAGGCAGACTGGTTTTGCTTAAAACGTATGATTTCCAATTCCATCTGGATCTTCAAAACTTCAAATTAATCTTTAAAAAAAAATTTCCTTCCTTCTAGGATGCTGTGTTTTCTGCAGCTTCAGTCACATGTTCACTCTCTTTAAATCTTCATCCTCCTTCATTTTTAACAGATGCCCTCAGGTTCCACTGGGACCCATTAATAAGTGGCTAGTAGCATAAACACCATCAGCATCCTGCCCCCTGTCCCAACTACAAACTTCCATCTCATTGGGATACCCATCATCTCCTACTTCATTATGACTCCTAGGGTGAAAAAGTCCTGTTTTATTCAAGACCTGTGCTCGCCATGTGGGCTAAGTAATCTATATGCTATTCAAGTCTTTCCTTGGTCTTCAGCCTCTGCGCTGTTAATAAAATCTTGTCTTCACCTAAAGGTATTCTCAAGTCTCTCCCTTTCCAATCAGTCACAACCTCTCCTCCCTCTCCCCAACTCCATATCCTTCCCTTGCTACCATCTATTACCTCATTTCCTTCCACCCAAGCATTTTGAAAAATTGACTTACACTTGCTATCTTCACTTCCTAATCACTCATTCACCATTTAATATAAAGCCCTCTGACTTCTGTCCCCTCTCCCCAGCATTTTCTTGGCAAGGGTCACAATGCACTCCTAAATACCAAACCAAGGGGGGTTTTACAACACTGTTACTTGATCTCTCAGTTCTGTTCTCTCCCTGTCTCTGAAAACTTGTCTCCTTCATTTCAAGAAAATAATGTTTCTGTTGTTTTTCCTACCTCTTAACTACTTCTCAGTTTCCTTGGCTACATACTTTTCCTTAAACACTGATTTACCTAGAGTTCTATTCTCTCTTCTCTTCAAAGGTAAATTCATATATTTCCAAATTTATAATTGACACTCTTATCTTCACAACATCCAAATATACATCTCTACACTCAGTGCCTCAGAGTTTCAGACACATCCATTTACCCAATCCTTAGACATTTCCATTAGGGTTTCTAAAGTTTGGACCCAATCTGTCCAAACTGAACAAATGACTTGTACCACTCCCATGACCAGATTCTCCTTTGCTTAGAAACCTCTTGGTTAGTAATACCATCATCCACCCAGCCCCCTGAGTCAAAGCCTGAAAATGATTTTCTGATGATTTTCACACATATGCTCCCAAATCCAACAATCTCTAGGAACTGCATCCTCTACCTTATATCAAATCTACCCTCTCTTTCTTCACTGTCTTCAGACCACTGTCTCTTACCAGAAGTAATGCATTCACCTTTCATGTGAGTTTTCTGCGCCTAACCTCACCCACAAAAAACCCTAGACCAACTTGCTTACAACCCAGTCCTATAAATTGTATACCACACAATACAAGCTTGTTTATGCCATGGCCTATGTTAACTCGTATTATCTATGCTCATCACGTCCTTCTTTCACATTTTGTGTACTAACAACATAGAATTCTACATATTTTTCCCAAATTAATTTTTAAAGGCCCACATGATAAATTCCATTTTCACTGCTTGGGATACCCATCTCATGATTGCCTGGTTTATTTGCTGTCATCCTACATAATCCAGCTTAATATCTCCTCCTTCCAGGAAGGCTTGCTTTGTTCCTTCTTCCTTTCTACATTAATCTCTCCTCCTTCATGACTATTTAAGAAACTTGTCTATTTTTATATTTTTGTCCTTATCACCTTAAAAGAGAATCTATAATTTAACATGTATACATCACCCATTGGACTTCTGCTCCTTAAGGGAAAAAGACTGTGGTTTATTCATCTCTGGAGTCTCATAACTTAGCATAAAGTCTGGCAGATAATAATCAATTAATAAATGTTTAATGGATTGAATGGAATTGGATTTCACAGTTCAGTTTTGCTTTTCAGAGATAGTTGCATATATAGATTTCCCCTGCCATGTCAAGTCCCAGACCAATCATTTTTCAGCCCAGATTTAATATCACCATCCTCCAGGGTAAGAAAATATTCTCTGAGATGTGTGTATTTACTTTTGATCATCATATATTTCAGTAGATCTATAAATGGGGTCTTGAAAATAATCTATCCCACTGCCACCATTAAGAGAGGTAGCAATTCATTATACAAACTTCACAAAACATCAACATTTTATCCATAACTGGTCTCAGCTCAATCAAACCTTTCAGCACAAGCCACAGAGCCACCAGGCCTGTTTCTTGGGTAGTCTAATCCCATTTTCACATCTCTTTTCATCTTGTCCATTAAATGGGAAGAGAGAAATAAAACATGAGTTTTTGCCACACATGGGCTCTTTAACGCTGCCCAGTGTATGGTTCTTAATTTTAGTGGATTTTAAAAACCTCAATTAATCAATGGCTGTCTCCAGGGGTTGGGAATAGGATTCCTCATGGGTAAGAACACGTTCTCCACTTCTAAAGAGAAATAACTAGCACAGTGTGGTAGAAAGGGCATGACTTGGAAGTCAGACAATCCTAGATATCCTTCTTATTAGTGTATAATCTTTGGTAACTGACATTAACCTCTGAGCTTCAATTTCCCTCACTGGTAAAAGGAGAATAACATCTACCTCACTGACTTCTTATAAGTGTGATAAATACACTTGATCTTAGCCAAAAGGCCAAGAGTGATAGTAAGTGTGATAAATAAAGAGATATAATGTATTAAATTATTTAGCAGAGTACTGGGAACTATAAGTGCCCTTCCTTTCCCTTAGTTCCATTTCCCCAACGCCCTCTTGATGATGAGCTCCATCACGGCAAACATTCTGTGTCTGCTTTATTCATGCTGCATCCCCAGTGCCTAGTACAGTGCCTGTTACACAGCAAGTGCTTAATAAATAATTTATTTAATGAAATAAATGATTTTTCTTACAACTCTGTTCTACACGCCCCCATAAAAGAAATCTTAGTTTACTCCCAGCCACACTGATGTCATCTCACATACACAAATACACACTCACACATGCACGCACATACACACCACTAACTCAGACACAAGGCCCCAAACTGAGCTTCTCATTTCTGAAAGCCTGTCTGCCCACCTCAGATAGGCTTAATGAATGGTCCATCTGGTTAAATCAAAAATGTCTATTTAACACACTAGCAATTTTATGATTTATAAAATGCCTGATGAAAACACAATTGCATTTTAAATGCCTAGACTAAAATCCATCTACTCTAAGAACGTTAAGAGGGACATAAAAAGACCCAACCAGCTATATGCCATCTGCATAAACAGGAAGGAAACATCTTATGAATTCCAGAAGAATAATTTTAAAAGGTTATTCTTAGGTGCTAAGAGGTGATGTAAATGAAAATTATAGAAAACAAATCTAGAATAAAATCAGACTCTTCTGTGAGAAAGTCAATGTAAATGCAGAAAAACAGGAAAACAGTTGAGATCAAATTTCTGAAATCATTCAGGATATAATTAGGAAAAAGCCTCTGGAAATAGCTCAAAAGAAAAGAATACAAAGATGAAGTATCTCCATCCTGAAATATTTCATTTTCATGGTCATTCTTAGAAAGAAAAAAAATCCATAATTTTCTATATGTATATTTTTGTTTAATTAAAAAGAAACTCATATGAGGGAATTCTCATTTTAAAGACCATCTCTACAATTGTCAATTGCAGAGACAAGAGCTGAGTATGATAAAATGAAAATGCTAATAACTTGACATCTAACAGTCTGCTGTATTATCAGGATTCATCAAGGTCAACATTATTATAGGCCTCAGCTTTGCCCTTTCCTTCCGCCCAATCCCCAATACCCGCAAAACCTTTTTGACAAGAAAACAAATGCAGACTGAATTTTTCAAAAACATACTTGAAATGATGTCTTTTGGTCAAAATTGAAGCTGTCTTTGCTGGTTCAACATTTAGTATGCACCTCATTTTAAGCAATGGAGGTGGAACTTTAATCAATGTCAAGCAAAAACATATCACCTGTCAAAATACTACGCTGGGAAAGGTTGGCAGACATGAAGGTGGCGAGGAGAGAATTGGGATCAGGAAATAGATTAAAAGTACACACTTTTCACACTCAATCACACTGATGCTACCATTGTTGGACAACAAATGCTTTGCACAAACAAAAAGCCATCAGCCCCTCCACCCCCTGCATTCCATTGCTGGAAAACATACCGAACTGTGACATGGTATAGCAGGACATTAGAAGTTGATTTGTCCATGTCCTTCAGGAGTAGCCTAAACACTCTGATATTCCAGGACTATTAAATCTAGTACTTCACCTTCAGGGAGGATTAGTGTCCATACTTACCTCTATATTGTCAGCCAGTGTTACAGTCAAGATTTGAAGAGGCAAAAGACCTCTGTTTGGAACAAAGAAATCAGACAGGCCAAATGGATGGAGATAGATGTTTCAATAAAGTGATACCTCCAGACATATCTTACTTTGTGTAATACTTCAACATGGAGTGAATGCTTGGGGCTATTCATTTGACTTTTGCCAAAACATTGTGCATTAGTAATAGTAATGGTAATTCTAAATCAACTGATACAGAAAGCACAGCTTAGAAAGGTTAAGCAAATTCATCAAGATTTCATCTTTAACCAATAACTTTTATTGAGAGCTTACTCTATGCTAGGAACTGTGCTAAGATATTTTATATGCATTATCCCATTTAATCTTTAAAGCAAACACATGAGGCAGAAACACTAATGGCATTCCAAATTTCAGATGTGGAAACTGAGGCTCACAGAAGAGAAGTAATTTAACCAAGGTCATTACATAGGATGAATGGCTGAAGTACTCCACAAGATACACTTCAAATTTACACACGTCACCACGCGCACCATCAACACGCAGCATGCACACACAAATACACACATCATTCATACCACACACACTCCATACATACATGCACACACCTATTTGTAAGTTGCGATCAGAAGTCCCTGGGATGCCACCTTCATGCTGCTTTATGAAGGGTAAGTCTTTGTAATTTGGTAAAGGATCCTGGTTTTCAAACCAAAGACATGCAGAAATGATGTAGGGAAAATAAACAAACAACAAATGAAGCAGCAATGTATGTTCCTCTAGACCAGTGAAACAGAGCCTAGCTACACAGCTAGGCCACAGGGTATTCAACCTGGGTGCTCTGGGAAAAATACCTGATATGGTTTGGCACTGTGTCCCTACCCAAATCTCACATCAAATTATGATCTTCAGTCTTGAAGAAGGGGCCTTTTGGGAGGTGACTGGATCACAGGGGTGGATTTCCCCTTGCTGATTTCATGATAGTGAGTGAGTTCTCATGAGATCTGGTTGTTTAAAAGTGGGTAGCACTTCCTCCTTTGCCCTCTCTCTCTCCAGCTTCACCATGTGAAGAAGGTGCTTATTTCCCCTTTGCCCTTCCACCATGATTATAAGTCTCCTGAGGACTCCCCCACCATGCTTCCTGTACAGCCTGTGGAAATGTGAGTTGATTAAACCTCCTTTCTTCATAAATTACCCAGTATCAGGTAGTTCTTTATAGCAGTGTGAGAATGAACTAATACAATACCTAATTCTGGGTCTCACTCCAGACAAATTAAATTAGAATATTTGGGTGAAAGAGTAGTGTGCTGTCCCTCAGCAATTAAAAAATTGCCCACCCCAGATGATTCAAATGTACAGACAAGATTGAGAACAATGCCATCTGCTTTCCAGGCATACTTTTATCTCAGTGTCCTATTGCCCAGGCCATGAACGGCATTAACCAACCAGTGCGGCAAAAGTAACAGTCAGGGCTCACCCACCCCCACTGCCTTCACATTACCAGTCCCTCATGCCCTTCTTATGGCTCTTAGCAATTGAAGAGGATTAATGAGAACTTGGCCAAGGGACACTCTGCATGGTGGCCTCCAAGCACAGCTAAAGCCATAAAACTGAAGCAAACAAGGAATCCATTACAGTCAACAGGTCAGAGCCTGAAGCCCCTCTGCCCCCCTGCCAGTCTGTGAAGCCCTTTTCTTAGCAGCACTTTGAGTAATATACGGTGGATGCTTTACAACTGTGCAACCATAGATAGAAGAAAGCAAGGCAAGACCAGATCTTGACTGTGCAGACCCACATGTGCTGACCACAAGCTTTCCTCCTTTCAGTTCAAGGAACTCCTGTGACATCTCTGTAGCCTAAGCATCCACCATTAGGCCTCACTATGCTCCAGTGAAACTCATTCCCACTGCCACAGGACTTTTGCAATTGTTGTTCCCTCTGCTTGAAATACTCTCCTCCTCGGTTTTTGCACGGCTGTTTCTTTCCAGTTCTCCAGATATCAACTCAAAAGCCACCGCCTTCAAAGAGCCTTCCCTAATCAACTAATCTAATATGGTCCCTCCCTAACCCTAGTTATTTACAGCTTCACTCTGTTTTGTTTCCGTCATAGTGTTTGTCATTCACTGGTACTTTTTAAATTATTATGGTTATTATTCCTACCTGAAATTGCCATACGTGCAGTAAACAAGAAAACCTGTTTACTTTCTCTTTTCACTACCTAGAATATAAGCTCCATGAGAACGGAAATTCTGTGCATCCCATTTATTTACGCCTATTGGGCCAGTGACAGCACCTGGTATACAGCACGTATTCAGTAAATGTTTGACTACATGAAAAAACAAATGAAGACTGTTTGATATGGTTTGGCTGTGTCCCCATCCAAATCTCACCTTGAATTACAATAATCCCCATGTGTCAACGGTGGGGTCAGGTGGAGATAAATGAATCATGTGGGGCAGGGGAGGGGATTCCCCCATACTCTTCCATGGTAGTGAATAAGTCTCACGACATCTGATGGTTTCATAAATGGGAGTTTCCCTTCACAAGCACTCTCTTGCCTGCTACCATGTAAAATGTGACTTTGCTCCTCCTTTGCCTTCCACCATGATTGTGAGGCCTCCCCAGCCACATGGAACTGTGAGCCAATTAAACATCTTTCCTTTATAAATAACCCAGTCTTGGGTATGTCTTTATTAGCAGCATGAGCCCAGACTAATACACCATTCCTTCAGATTTTAGGAAATCCAATAAAGGACTTATAAACCTACATGATACAGTTAGAGGGGATGTATCTAATACTAAGATATAGATTTAAGACTCCTCAGCAGCCAGGCCATCAACAGAGCAGAGTCAAACTCACATCCATGGGATGGCAAAGCCTGGGCTTTTAACAATAATATGGTTATATTTTGCGGTCTCCCTTCATAAATAAAACTAAAGTTAAAGACCAGAACTGCAACAAAAAACCTATAATTTTCCCTGATACTCTTTTCTGCAGGCTGTGAGTGATGTTAGAAAGAGACAGAGTAGGGAAGAAAAAACCCTAGCAAAACCCAATAGATAAACAAAGTATCAATGAGCCCTTAGTTTTCCATATGCAGAATTTATGTTCCAGGACCACAATGTGGCCCCTAAGGTAATGTAATATAACGAATTATGTTATCACTGGGCCTATCATGCATACAAATTTTAAAAAGAAAACCTTTCTGCTACAACTCAGAAACTCAAGGTCTTCTATTTTGGCAATTTCTCGGCAGAAAGAAAATATCTCAAGTAAAATTCTCCCTGGTCCCCAATCCAATTTACTGGCTCCTTACAGATGAATCAGTGTGAAAGGTGTGCAGGGGGGTTGTTTCCTCTAATTAACTTTCAGTGGGTGAAAAGTACACTAATAGCCCACAGGGAGAAGTTGATCCCACGCTGTTCATCAGCAACTCAAGGAACTGATTGAAGTAAGGCTCATAAACCCTGTTAAGTGATATCCACCAAAAGCAGAGGCAGCTTGACTTCAAAAATAAAACCATCAGTCTCGTCCTTTCCTTCCATGAATCTATCACCTGAAGGAACACATGCTTTTCCTGATAAAACCCTGCTATTCCCATTCTTCTGACTGAAATACCAGTCTCTCCCAGTATCCACCCTCCCCCCGGCGACCTCTCATGATCTATTAAAATCACTGCAGGGCCAGGTGAGGTTGTGCAATTTCTGAGAAGCCTTCTTCATTCATATGCACAACCACAACCAAATATTGAATATGCCTTGGTTCTATAATGGGTTTTGGCATTTGATCAAGAGCTATCTGGAATTATTTTTTCTGAATGGTTTATGTGTTCATATCTTTATCCCTTTACAACAGTATTTCAGGTTCTTTGACAACAGAGATGCTGTCAAGCTCTTTCTGTATTCCTCTGTGGCACACACACTTAAGATACTCGTCAAACGGTACTAGGAATGCTAACATAGCTGGCCTGCCCCAGGGAGGCCCAAGAGGGATAAATCCTTGTCAGTAGAGGCCTTAACTTGAAGACTATTGCCTGCGTAGCTTAACTTTCCATTAGGGTACCTCTGCTAATGCCAAACTAATCCAAAGCAACTACTTTTCTAAGATATCTAAAAAATAAAAAGATATCTTTTCTTTTCTTTTTTTTTTTTTTTTTTTTTTTTTTTTTGAGACGGAGTTTCACTCTTGTTGCCCAGGCTGGGGTGCAATGGTGCCATCTCAGCTCACCACAACCTCCACCTCCCGGGTTCAAGCAATTCTCCTGCCTCAGCCTCCTGAGTAGCTGGGATTACAGGCATGCACCACCACACCCGGCTAATTTTGTATTTTTAGTAGAGATGGATGGGTTTTCTCCATATTGGTCAGGCTGGTCTCGAACTCCTGACCTCAGGTGATCCACCCACCTCGGCCTCCCAAAATGCTGGGATTACAGGCGGGAGCCACCATGCCCAGCCTATATCTCATACAAAGGTATTTACCACTAAATGCAGAGCCACTTATGACAGCAGAGGGTTCTGGCTCAGGAAATCTGGGCCCCAGCTTGTGTCTTCGAAGCAGAGCTAAGATAGCTGTGTATTTCTCCTATGCTATAACCCCTAAACACAATTCCTTCAGTATATTCCCAGAAGTATTTATTCGTAAAATTCTCCAAGAAAACAAATTTGGGGAATGCGGCACATTACATCTCCCACAGAGAGATTCAAAATGTTCCTTAGCTAGCAAAGGCTCTGAGAAAACTCTCAGCAAATAAATCTGTTTAATTTTGTTCAGCTCCTCATTTCCCCATTAATTTAAGCATGAGAACTGTTTTTCAAATAACAGCTATTAAATCCCCCACGGAACTACTATCACTCTCACTAAAAGGGGTTCTAAGGAAATTTCTTCAGTACCACTTTTAGAAGCCTAATGCATCGGAATCTCTCAGTGCCATGATGTGAGAAGTGATACTTTACTCTTCTTTTGAGAAGGAGTCTGGCTCTGTCACCCACGCTGGAGCGCAGTGGTGCAATCTTGGCTCACTGCAACCTCTGCCTCCTGGGTTCAAGCAATTCTCCTGTCTCAGCCTCCCAAGTGGCTGGGACTACAGTCACACGCCACCGCACACAGCTAATTTTTGTATTTTTAGCAGAGACAGGGTTTCACTATATTGGTCAGGCTGGTCTCGAACTCCTGACCTCAGATGATCCCCCCCACCTTGGCCTGCAAAAGTGCTGGGATTACAGGCATGAGTCACCGCACCCGGCCAAAGTGATACTCATCTAGATGATAAAAGTGAGTTGCATTTTCTTCCCGTTCTGTTTACTGTTTGGTTATGGGAACTGGTGGTTCTCCATTTATTTGCCATCCACCCACCTCACTCTCATAGCTATACTCTACCTTTTCTGTCCTGCACTGTATCCCTGGAGGGCCCTGTTGGCTGGCTTCCAGATAAAGGGCAGGAGGAGAGAGAAGTAGGAGTAATTCTTCCCAGTTTCTTCCCTCCTAGTTTGGTGTCACTCTTACGACCACAGCTATGAGGTGATAAAGGCGACTATAATGACAGCTCTCACCAAGCCTCCTCAGCTCCATGACCCCGGCTCTCTCTGGCCTCTGGCACCACTATTTCTTCCCCTCATCCTTTCAGACCTAAAGATGGGAAAGGCTTCCTGATGAAATTAGCACTGTTTATCTCATCCTTCTTTTTTATATCCTTAATCCCACTTATGCCTCTGTAAGTGGCCCTTTATCATTGGTCATTTTTTTTTTTAACTATTCAGGAATAAAATGTTTTTTTTCTTCTGTCAGATTCTGATTGGTAGAGCAGAGAATGGCACTGATACTAGTGCTTTCTGTGCACCAGACACTACACAGAAGATTTTATACACATTACATAATTTAATCCTCACAACAGCCTTTGATGATAAATATTATTATCACCATTTTACCAACGAGTAGGATGAAACTTACAGGCATGAAATAGCTTCCTTCACTTATATTGTCCAAGGGAGGCAGAAGCAGATTCAGTCTGAGGGCACACAGTCTCTCAACCAATACGTCTTGCAAACCTACTTTGTTCTAGGCCCTGGGCTAAACCCTGAAGATAGAATGAGGGAAAGACATAAAAGAAGTAGAGAAGAAACAGAAGTAGACCCCTGAGGTTGTGAAAGAAAATTCCTTCACCCTTGACATTTAATGTTGGAATACAAAAATTAACACACGTGCTACTCCTGGTACTTCTGGCCCACGACCCTGATACTGACTTTGCTTCTGAGGACTAAGTTAACAGAGGGCAGGTTTCACTATAAAGGTTAAGGACGGGCCCCCAGAACCCAGTCATCTTTTTCTTGGGCATGTCTTACTAAAAATGTCTAAGACATGTGGAAGAGATCAAGCTTATTTGACTCTTTCATTGTAAATCATACAATTGGATAATCAAGAGATAGCAGCAGCAGCACCATCAGTCTATGTATCCTAAATCCAAAGGTTAATTGTGGTATTTCCTTTCTACATCTGATATCTGGTTAATTTAAACAATACCAACCCACATCTTTCTATCTCAATTATTTGAATCAGCTCTTTCCTTCTACCACATACCAATTCCATTTTAAATGATTATAATAGTAGCTATTATTTGCCAAGCCATTAGCAAATGTCAGGTACCTAATCAGTTTACATTGCTAAGAACTGGGGCTCTAGATGTGGCCTGTCTAGGTTTATAAACCAATTCTACCACTTATAAGTTGGATAAATTATTTAACCTAAGTCTTAATTTCTCCATTTGTAAAATGGGAATAATAATACCTACTCACTGAATTGTTATGACAATTAAATTAGATATTCTATACGAAACACTGCCTTGTGTGCTTGGCACACAAGAAATGATAATAGTAGTAATAATAATAAACAACACATATAGCTATATAGCACTGACTATGTACCTGGCATTTTTCCAAGCGCTTTACATGTGCCAACTCATTTAATCATCACAACAACCCTATGTGGTAGTATTGTTATTTTTAAGTTTTGTGACTGAGGAAACTGAGGTGCAAAGAGGTTAAAATGATTTGCCCCAAGGTACATGCCAATATGTGATGATTCCCATCAGATCTGCCTGATTCCAGAGCCTGAGATAAAGAGCACCATGAAACAGCATTTTAGAACTTCCTTGTCATGGGAAACCCTACCTCATCTCTGGGTTTCAGAGTCTGTCAGCCTTTCTCTCCCTGGATCTCCAATTACAGCATACCCTGCCACTCAAACTACTGTTCATGCTTAGCATTCTATTCATGCCTGTTATTCAGTGTCTTCTACCTGCAGTAACTACTACCTTCATTTCCTATCACGCTCTTGAGACAGTCACGCTAAAAGCAGCAGACTCTAGTGCAAAAATATCTACTTGTCTTCATTCCTAGGAACATTTCCCTGGGGATAAGGCCCCAGTGACAGAGTAGAAAGGAAAAACTGCCACATAAAAGATAGGGTGCTCCTGCTAACAAAACCTTTATCTCCTGTCTCTTCCTCTCTCTCTCTATTACGGACAAATTTGAAAACCTAAAGCTTTATATGCATTGTTTTGTAAGAGCTTATTCATCCAGGTTTAGCCTCCAACACAAAAACAGATGCAGGGATGTAAACATGCATGCATATTTCACATACCTCAAATTAGTTGACTCAATCAGAATGCAACTGTCCTTAGATACAAATGTGTAAGAAAAACAGTGGTTTACTTCTAACTTCCACTCAGCAGGAGCTTGTCCTAAGGTGTTCCATAGCATCATCCCCTCAGCCCATCACTTGGCCCACCTGAGGCTTCCTGCAGACAATAACATTGCAATGCACTTGACTTGCTGTTTCCCTTACACAGTCCCCATTTTCTAAACTAACACCTTCTCCCCAGAAACTCTCCAGAAACTAATGCTCCACCATCGTTCCTTTTCTCACTTGTTTTTAGGTATCATTTTGGGATGTTATGTGTGTTTTTCCTTCCAAATCAGACTTTATACTTAACCCATTCCTGTTTTTCTGGTTCTGTTCCTCATTTTTGCTTCCCTTCCTTCACCTCCTGTTACTGGTGGCCCCATGGTCCATCTCCCAGCTCCTTGTTCTTACATTAGTCTTGACACAGACTTCTTTTACCTGGTTAATAAAGCAGGTCTTTTATCTTTCAAGTCTCATCTTCTGCTCTAAGTTGAAACATTGATGGGTATTCATCTTGCCGGGACTTTATAATGGAGAATCTGTCTACAGGGAGCTTCTTGGAAAGAAAAATAACCAATGGTCACCATGAGATTTCCTGACTTACTACTGCACAACCATAGAAACCCAATGCCCCATGTAAGATTTACATAAATTCCAGTGAGTTAGGGCTCAGGTATATAATTTGAATGAATTCATTCAGCCAATGGATAGTTCTACTGTTTAATGAAGTGATATATTTATGTTTGAAGAAGAGGGCCTTACAGCCCCACTATGCCAACTTAACAAATTGAACATGGGACATCCTTGTTCCTACAAGTCCTTTGGCTACTCCACCAAGGACTTTTCGCTAGCTATTTCACCCCATATAATGCCCGAGCTTCACATCATCTCCTTGACTACCCTCTCCTTTCCCCTTTCTTTCCTCCTTCTCCATCACCTACAAACTCCTATTTATTTCTATGACAGAGTACTCTAACTATACCTTGATTCTCTCAATTTCATTCATTTGGCTTATTATTGTCCCAAGCAAAAATTCCTAAGAAGAATTCTCCTGCAAGCTATTATGATAATAAAAAGTTCATCCTGCTGCACACAGTTTAGCCAAAACTGTTCATGAATTCCAGTGAGTTACAGCAAAGTAGTCTTTGCCTCTTGCCTTTCATGGTAAACACAAACACAAAAAGGCAACTAGTAAAGGTGTAAAATGGGAGTTTGGCCTGGAGACTCACGTGCATACAGTCACTCCTTAAATCCTTACCCAGATGCACTTCTCCCTACATCCCACTTGGGTTGCCCTTTTGAGAATATTTGTTCATCAGCATATATTTCTACTTCATTTTACTTACATATAAGTTGGGACATAGAAGGAGGAGCTACACTCAGTTGCCACCTGCCTAGAAATAGTCTTAATTGTGCCATACCGTGCGTCTGTTTCATAGGGCCTATGTATCCATTAGGATTAGGTTCAGCAACACAAAATAGTGATCCTTTTAGTTATCTCATGATTCAAGATGGCTGCTGGGCTTTGATCATTGTGTCCTTTTGCAGATGAGAAGACGGAGGCAACAGAGGAAGGATGACAAAGAGACTCCAGGGTGAACTTTCAGGAACAATCCCCCAAACCACACCACAGAATTGGGATAACAAGGAAAACTCAGCTTCTGCCACCATCAGGAGGCTGTAGAATCACAAAGCTTCTATTACTTCAGAACCACACTACCTCGGCCATGATCTGGAAGGTGTCAAGTCACAAGGCCTGCAAATAAAGCAGGAAGCTGACACCATGCCTCTGCCGTGATTTAAGCCCGCAAAATGGAAACCTCTGTCCCATCCTATTTTTATATATAACTCAGTTCCTTGTCAAAGCTACCAACAATTTATCTATTTAGAAGACCCTAAGTCATACTTGGGACCCAGATAGCAAGGGAATTTGAGAAATGTGGATCTAGTCATCCCAGACTCTGTAGAACAACAGGAAGGCATGCCTGCAGGCACTGGAATCAGTATTGAATGGACCAGTCCACAGTGCCTGCCATCCCAGGATAATGCTGTGGATAGTTCATTACCACCAAGGCATGTTTCTTGAGAGGAGCAGAAAGGCTCATCCTAACAGGAAATTTCTGTTGATCAGCAGACGCCCCCAGCTGGTAGAATTTTATAGGGATGGAAGAGACAGGTCTGAAATTTGGTTTCAGAGCATATGACTTTTGAGTCATGACTTTACTCAAGATTGATAGGAGAGAGATACAGAAATAAAAAGGAGAGGCCAGGTGTGGTGGCTCATGCCTATAATCCCAGCACTTTGGGAGGCCGAAGCAGATGGATCACCTGAGGTCAGGAGTTCGAGACCAGCCTGGCCAACATGGCAAAACACCATCTGTACTAAAAATACCAAAATTAGCTGAGCATGGTGGCAGGCACCTGTAATCCCAGCTACTCCGGAGGCTTAGGAAGGAGAATTGCTTGAACCCAGGAGGTGGAGGTTGCAGTGAGCCGAGATCATGCCATTGCAATCCAGCCTGGGCGACAGGAGCAAAACTCCACCTCAAATAAATAAATAAATAAATAAATAAATAAATAAATAAATAAAAAGGATAGAGGAGGAGGGTATACAATGGTAATACCACTGTTCTCTGCGTTCCTAAGTGCTTGAAGTTTGCCCTGTGCTTTAAGCTACTGCTGTTTCCTTAATCACCTCCTTTTATCATTCCTCTTGGATTTATAAGGCTCATATACTACCATCAATTTATCTTCAGATTTCTTACTTAAAATCCACTGAAGCATAATTTATCTTGACCACATCTCTAGTAGAGATGGGACTACTAGGGTAGGGAGGAACTGGTTTTTATTATGTGAGGCACACAGAGGTTAACTGGCTCACCCAAGATCACACAGTGAAACAGAAGGATAAAAAACAAATAGGAAACGCCAATTCATTGTATGTGATTGCCAAAGAAATCTTCCAGCTCTAGATGCTTAGAGAAAACCTACAGAGCTGAGGGAAGGTGGCTTGCTTCAGATTGTGTCCTGAAGGAACAATTAACTGAATATCAAAGACTAAAAGTTTTCCAGTGAGATTCTTTCTTTTAATATTCTATTTCTTTTGCACTTGAGATCTCAAATTTGATTGTCAAGATCACTTAGTTTAATCAAGCAAGATTTCTTTCTGCAAATACATTATGTGTGCAATGGATGTGCATATGGGTACAAGCTGGAATAAAATTGAGTCTCTAATTTCTCAAAACCATAAAATTGACCATTTTTCATCTGTAAAAACTAAATCTTCCAGAGCACTTCATTTCTTGCTATACTGGGACACAGGCAGACTACTTTGCAGGGTCTATAAAAATAATCATTCAGGTATTTTCCACAATGTCAATAACCAAGATAATTCTGACACATAATTTGGAAAAAAACTCAACCAGAGTCTGATGATCAGGGTTTAATTCCCAGTACTGTCACTAACTTCATAACCTTGGAGCAAGTTAACCCCATGGGCCTGTTTATTATTCATTAAAATAAGGATGACAGCTAGATGACGATTAATTTCCTAACTTTAAAACCTCCAATTGAAGAAAGGTTTTCTATAAAGAGCTAGCAATATATTAAAAATCAGAATCTAAACAATTTTAATTCCCATTTCTCTTTTTTATGATATGACCTAAACAAAAAATATATAATTGGATAAATTTTACCATGTCAGACCTTAGAAGATAAAACAAATTGCCTTAGAGTTAATTCATTGCAGACTTTCAGAACTGTGACCAAAGCCTCATCCAAAGCTAGTGATGGTCAAGAGAGATGACCTTCAGAATACTCTTCCAAAGCTTCTGTGTACTGAAGTAATAATAAGAGCAATTTTAAAAGCAGTTATTAAACTCCAGTGCATCTAACAGTTCCAATACAATTACATATGTGATCTCATTAAACTCTCACATTTGTATTCCCATCCTATAGCACACAGCACATGATTGTAATATACATAATTAATTTCCCTCGGTAGGTATTAGGCTTTGTACAACATGTGATCTTACTGGTTTAAAAGAGTTTTGTTGTTCTCTCCCTGTTATCCATTTGGTTTTCATTTTATAAATATCCTGATTTTCATTAGGGTGCCCACACACATAGCCCAGGTGCTTTGAGATATTTCAAGTCCAACCCAGGCTCTTGGGATGGAGCATGTGATTAAGCTTCAGCGAATCAGTGTATCTGCCAGTCACGGTGTTTAGTTCAGAAGTGAGTATACAAGCTGGGGAGCTCCTGAAAAAGGAGCTTTCTAGCACTTCTGATAGAGTTTCTCAGAGATCATTATCTGTTTCCCCAGATATGAAAGATAATGTTGTTCTTGACACTCATCTCAAATCCACAGAGAGATCCCAGGAGGCTTAGCATAAAGCTGAATCATAGGAAAAAAATGGGAACAAAGGAAAGGTCTCAGGTCCTTGATGACATCCTTGTGTTGCTGTGCCAACCCAGTCCCCAAACTGCCTGACCTCCAGACTTATGTGCACATGGGCCAACAAAGCTTCCTTATTGTTTATTTTGAGCTGGATTTTTGGTTACTTGCAACTGAATATATCTTTAGCATCTACCACAGTACCCAGGACATTGAATATTTGCTGGTCATATTTACTGATCACCTACAATGTGAACAAATGTTTATCAAGTGCCTACCATGTACCAGGCACCATTCTAGTGTCTAGGATATGGATTGAAGAAAAGCAACAAACATTCATGCCCTCACAGAGCTTACAAATTTTCTAGTGGAAGAGACAGATCATGATTAAGGTAAATGAGTAAAGTATGTAATGTGGTGGATAGTGATAAGTTGTAAGAAGGGAAAACTAACAGAGAGAGGAGAAAGCAAGTGACAGTAGGGACTGAACATTTGGAAAGATGGCCAGGGAAGCTCCACTGAAATGGAGACCTTTGCCAGAGGCCTGAAGGAAGTAAGGGAGCCAGCTATGCAGATGTGAGGGGAAGTGCTTTCCAGGCACCGGGAAAAGCAAGTGTCCCTGAGTTAGGATGGATAACTAGAGACTGAATTGATGGTACTATTTTAGGCTTCACCAGTCATGGCAGCACATTTAGAAAACAGCAAAGGCAAGTGAGAAAATGGGCAGGAAAAGAAAAAGACCACACTCTTACTTTCCAAAGAAGGTCCTCTTCCCTACTTTAAGATGGTATTTTGGGTGGCAGAAGTAAGATGGACCTGCTCTCTTTGATTCTTCACAAGCCATCTCTGCATTACCTAGAGGTTATTACACACCAAACTTTTGTTAGAAGCATGAGCCCTCAATACGTTCCACTTGTATTATTCTTACAAAACTACTCCAATGAGGACATTGCATGACAAACTCCATCTTCATTAGTTGAATTAACTAAAATAGAGTCAGATATTTTATGGACTATGACGAGCTGGATGCTAGATCCATTGTAATCCAGAGCTTTGGCACAAGAGCAGACAAACAGAAATTCCTTACACTAACACTTCACAAAGAGGAAGGACCCCTCCATGAGTCACGGTTTCAAACAGAAACTATCATTCTTCCTAATTAAAATTCAGAGATTCCTGACTTGATTGTTATTTGAACAATCAAGTTATTTGATTAAAATAACTTTAATTTTAAAAATTAAAAATGTTTTTAAATTGCTGTCACTGATAAATCACACCTATTCACAGTTGGATTTCATACTTTGTTTATTGACATCTCAAACCCAGCATGACCCAAGAAGCCTTCAGGTCTCCTTTTAAATATTTTTCCAGCAAGGTAGGGGGCAGACTTTGTTTTCAGGAGAAAAATTCACAACAGGCTCTGCACCCAAAACAATATTTAGGTCAAAACAAACCATGTGTTCACTTTTTATTTTCTTGTTGACGTGTCTCTGAGTGATAGATGGTTTGTCTCAGTTTGTGCCCTGGCACAGAAAGCATATCTCTACAAATGCACAGGCTATTGCTGTGGAAATGAACATGAGGTAATAAATATATCATTATGAGTGTCATCATATCTAGTAGGTGGGTAATGATGGAACTTCACATTTAGAATCTTTCCAGAGATTTATAAAACATTAACTTAGTAATCCCCGCAATGCCCTAGGAAGGAAAAGAGGGATTTTATACCAGTTTTGCAGATGGAGAGACTGAGAGAGCAATTATGAGATTTCCCCAAGAGCACCGAGGGAATAAGAATTAAATGCCATTTTGCAGAGCTCTCAAACCCAGATTTAGCTGCACAAATAATGCCATCAGGTTCTCTCCACCCTCAGAAAACACCTTTGCCAAACAAAGTGCTGAGAATGTGAGAGAGCAATAAAGTGTACACTACATTTCAAAGGTCCCTCCAGGGAGAAACCTTACGTTTCTATTTACATAGGGTAGCGCTGGTTTTCGTGGTTTCTGAAAGATGGAGAAAGACATTATGTTACAGAAAATGTACTGAATGAAAAGATCGAGCCAGTGCATTCACAGGCATGGATCTCTCCAAGTATATTTAACTTTAACAATAGACCCCCTCTTCCGGCTTGGACCTTTTAACCCTTCCTTCTAGCCTAAGAAGAAAATGTTTCCTCTTCTTCCACAAAGCCAGCTCCTCCACCTGTATGCTGCCTGCCTGAAATGATGCCTTAAGCATCTTTATTCTGCTTTCCCATCTAGCCTTCAAGTATTCTTCATCCTAACAGTTGGCCTGAGGAGGACAAAATATCTTTCACTTGACCTTGCTGTCTTCATCAGGTTTTTCTCCAATTCTTTCTAATCCTTTGACTGCCAAAACCCTCCAAATTCTACCCGCTATCCAACTTTCTATCAAAATGTCTCTTTTTAAATCCTGTTATTAGAGACAGCAATGATTCTCCTCTTTGGAATACTGCCAATGACTCTCTTCTTGCCAAATACAATGGAATTTTCAGTGCCTTCACCCTCCTGAGCCTGTATGATCCTCTAGCAGTACCGCCAACCACCAACTCTTTCTGCCTCTTATTTCCATTTTATAATCTCTTAATTTTATTGCCACTTTTACTACTGCTTCTTCCACCTCCAGGTCTCTACATGGGGTTCTCCTCCAGGACACTGGTCGTATACCCTTTTCTCTAAACACTTTTTCATCCTTATTTACTTATCTGTATCAGGATGATTCACATCTCTATTTCAAATATCTAACTCTTCCATGTAATCCAGTCCAGTATTTCCATTCACTTATAAGATGAATTCACCATGAATTTAAAGGAAGGAAGAGAAAATCTCCACTGCTTTCTTTACCACATGCCTCCTCCTTCTCTCTTCTGTAAGAGTTGGGCATACCAATCAGATTGAGTTAGATTCCATAACAGTAATTGGTCTACATTAATACAGGTAGAATGACTGCCTTTAAGGATACGCCTAGCCAACTCACCTTCTCTTCTCTTCTTTACTGGTGAGACTGGGTATTTTGGTCCAAATCCATACAATTTCATTTGACTGGTGAAGAAAACATCCACTTAAACTTGTGACTAAATTGCTTACTGCAGACCATTTTTTACAATAGTCTTGTACTCTAAAAAAAAGTGGACACCAACCCAAATGATGATGATGATGATGAAGATGATAACAGTAACAATGACAGTCTTTTTAAATTGCTCCAAACCACAGGGGACTGTTCCTACTTTTAACTTCTTTTGCACTTAGAGATAGTAATACAGTGTAGCAAATTATTTGCAAATGACTCAGTTTGTAATAGATTTGTCTCCTCACTTAAATATTAAGTACCTTATGGACAGAGTCATTTCCTGTGCCACCTCTTTGAACTCAACAATACCCAACTACCCTTACTCTACCTCAACAATTTCTATATTGGAAATATAGGAAATGCTACTAAATACATAGATTACTGAACTACTGATGTCACCAATAGTGACTATCCTACCACTGCTATAGTTGAATAAGCTTTTAATGGCTTCTCAAAACATTCATAATTATATCTAAACCCCTTACCATGGCCCACATGGCCCTACATGACCTGGTCTCCCCTTATTACTCCAACCTCATTACCCACCCCCCTCACAACAGGCATGGCTGCCTTCTGTCTTTTCCTCACACATACCAAGCTCAGTCCTTCTTTGGCAACATAGCATTTGGTATTCCCTCTGAATGAAATGTTCTCACAGAACTTTTCAGGGCTCATACTATCCCCTTATTCAGATTTTCACTCAAATAGGCTACTGCCTCACTAGATCTTCCCCTACGGCCCTATGTAATTTAGCCCTCTGGATCACACCAATAATTTCCTAATCCTTTACCCTGTTTTGGTTTTCTTCGCAGCACTTATAACAACTGAAATAATAAGTATTTTTAAATAGCTATTTCCCCATGTAGAATATAAACTCCACAATGGCAGAGACCAAATCCTGGGGGCTCACGTGCTAGAATACAGAAACAGTTTCAGATATGAAAGTGAAACACCAAGTTTAGGGACCAAAAATTGATAAATATTCTCAAAAGAATATTTTTAATATTTTACTTCAAATCTATATAACCATATGAAAATACATAAAGTTACATGAGAGAGAAAAATGATCTAATATTTATTGAGCAACTACTATGTTGTAGGTATTACTAGATATATAGAATGTTGTTATATGTTTTAGTTGCTGATTCTATATGCTATAATTCCATTAAGCATTTTATATTTCTTAGCTCACATATCCCTCATATTATGTCATGATAAAGGAGCAGCTATTGTTATCATTCCTGTTTTTCAAATAAGGAAACAGGCTCAGATGGGTTAAAGTGACTTGCTGTAAGTCACATGAGTTGTAGAACTAAGACACAAATTCAGGTCTCTTTGGTTCCAAAGTTGGGCTCAAGTGCATCATGAATTGCATCCTCCATTTAGTTGGTAAATCTGGTCATATAAACAAAACGCCTCCTGAATCATCTTCCTCAGTTTTCTGGGTATCTGTACTGCACCAGACAATTACACACTTCTCTGCCTGAGTTCTTCATGAGTTAACATCCATAGGACATGTCTATCTATACCTAAGAAATATAATCATCATCATACCTAAGAGGATATATATTTTTTCCTTCCTAAAATGCAAGGAAGCCACAAATGGATGCTGTCATAAAAGCTATAAATAGATTGCTCTTATGATCTACATGTTCCCAACAACCAAGGAACTCTGTGAGTTTAAGAGAAAGCAGTAAATATCACAATGATAAAGGTGATAGCGTGCTTTTCCCCACTTTTAAGCAATACTGTGATTCCATGTTCAACATTAAGTGAAAAACAAAAATAACAGAAATTATAATAATAGTAACAGTGACTCTAGCATGTTTTGCACACCTATTATATGCTAGGCATTCGGTCTTTTACACTGATTATTTAATACTTAAAACCACCCTATGTTATAAATACTAATATTATGCACATTATACAAATGAGAGATTAAACTTCAGCAAAGTTAAGTAATTCATACAAGTGCATTAAGCTAGTAAACATGGTTCTGCTGGCTCCGAAATGCTATTCAGTCATACCTCCAATACTCAATCATTTGGACTTTACATTTCAAAGCACGCTCTATTTAATAGATTACTGTGGGTTGCATATACGCCTCTCTCAAATGATACTTAAAACTGTGCCAAAAGGCTTCCTCTACCCATGCCAACTGCATAGATCAGATGTTCTAACCAAGCACAAAGGACAGGGATTCTGTCTCTTCCATCTACCCTCAGTGCACAAAAGAGAATCTGAAGCACAGTAAATTAAAAAATATTTGCTGTGGAATAAGTGATTATCAGAACTGTTAAAATCAGGAATTTGAAAGCAAAGATGCCAAAGGAGCATAGACGAGTTTGGTTAAGAGTGTGTCATCCTTTCAAGAGCTCTCATCCCCAGTGAAGGCTAAAGGCCATCACACCAAAGAGAAGATGCCTAAACAGGCCTTGGATCTTTCTTCCTCTATGCTTTGACTCCTTCCTGTCCTTCCACTGAGGAAGACTCTCCTATCCTTATAGTCCCAACAACAACAACAATAAGGACAAAACCCTATTTCACAGCTCCAGAGATACCAACTCAAAGAAGCTTTCTTTGGTCATCCTAGCCTGAGTGCTGCCTTTCTTCTGACCTCCTTGGTCATTCACACCACTTAGAATCATAGACTTTCAGAAGCACTAAAACAGAAGTCTCCACTCTCACTTTGCCAAAGAAGAATGACAATAGTCATGTAAAGTGTCTTCCCCAAAGTCATAAAACTCGCCATATCAAAGCGGAGACTTGAATGCAGGTCTTCTGGCATTTAGTTCCCACTCTTTTCATGATCCTGATGGCAGCTGCGGCCTGTCTGAAAGTGGTTGCTGCAAAGACATCAGCTGCAGTGGAGGAGGCATGGCTGGGGCTACGTGCCCCATGGAGCCTGCAAGAGCTGGGAACAGGCAGAAGCCCTGCCCACTTCTGAGTTGGTGGGGTAGGAGCCCCACCCTCCAGGTGCAGCTGCAGCCACCCAGCCACAGTTGTGAACCCGGGCCTCCGTTTGCTCTCAGGGCCTAGGAAGCCCCTGTACCCCTGAAGGCTTGGAAGTGCTTGCTCTCAAAGCCCATCCCCCACCCCCCCACCAAGCCCCATCCCCCAACAACTGCCCCACACCACCCCTGCTCCCGAGTCCTGCTCTGATTTTGGAGCAAAGTTGAGGCCAAACCTGGGTGCTTTTGCATCCTGACCAGGTGAGCGAGGGCTCAGGGCAGCACTGACACACCAGTCCCATGCTACCTTGGGGCCCCTTCTGGACTTTGGGCACTGATGAGCATGGGAAGGAGGCCAGAGGGATGCTGAGGATGGCTGGGTGGGGGCCTGCAGGCACCCCTCAGCAGGAACAGCCTGGGTGCCAGGGACAGCAGGTTGATGGTGGCAAGAGGCAGACAGGCTCCTGGGTGGGAAGTGGTGGGTCCCTGGTGAAGCCTCACCTTCAAACCAGGACAGTCTGAAGCCTGGGGGCTGGGCTGTCAGTTCTGCCAACTGGAATGAAAACTTTCGGTGCTTTATCTTGGCCCATCCATGGACCTATCAGCATGTACTTCCTCCCTTCTGGAGCCTATAAAAATTCAAACTCAGCCAGACTCAAAGAGAGAGGTCAGGACTACTAGCTGTGGGAAGGAGCTACTCACTTTGGGTCTCTTCATCAAGATGACCTGCCTGAGGAAAGAAGCTACCCACCACAGGTCTTCTCTTAAGCTGGACACTTGTTGGGATGACCTGACTGTGGAAAGGTCATCTTCCATCTATCCTCACTTCCGTCTAAGACCCGCACTATGGGTCTCCTCTCCACTGAGGGCCAGATACTCATTGGGATGACCTGCCTGCAGAAAGGATCTACCTACTTCGGGTCTCCTGAGAGCTGTTCTGTCACTCAATAAAGCTCCTCTTCACCTTGCTCACCCTCCAGTTTTCTGCATACTTCATTCATCCTGGATGCGGGACAAGAAATTGGGACCCATCAAATGGCAGGACTGAAAGAGCAGCAACGCAAACAGGGTTTAAACATGCACTGAACCCCCTCTAACACTCCCCTCCCCCACCCCACTGCTCACCATGTCAAGAAGGAAAGAAGAGCTTCGACCCTTCAGGGAGCCCAGATTTAGGGGCTCCCCGAGCCAGGGCTGTAGCATCTTCTTTGGGGCTCTGTGGTTCCTGGCATTTCCAAGCTTTTGGGCACCAACGTATTCCCCTTGTTCAGGTGCCTGCAGTGGAAGCCACTTGTGGTACATCTGGTCCAGCCGCAGCCTCACACGGAGCTAGCACCTGTGCCAGCAGCTGCTTGCCCCACCAAAGCAGCCAGCATGCCTGGCTGTGTGCAGTGCCTGGACTGTGTGCTCACTTGCTCACACATCCCTCACCGCTCTGTACCTGGCTCACCCTTGACAGATGTGGGATCCAAGCCAGTAGTATAAGCTAAGCACAGCCTGCTGGGCCAAGAGGATGGAACGAGCCCAATGGGCCTGAGCAATACTTAGACGGGAGGCTCCGTCAGCCACAGAGGTTTCCAGCTGGTGAGGCAACACCCCAAGGATCCCGTGACAATCCCACATTACCCTCCCCATTGCCCTGTGTGTGTGCACGCGTGCATATACAAATACACACACAGACATGCACACACACACACACACACACAAAATACAGGCTAATCCTTGAGGAAAGGCACAACTGGAACCTGTTATCATTGCACCATGAGCCTCTATGTTACTGCCTTGGCTCTGTGGGCACCAGTTTAAACAAACAGCATAGTCAATGCCAGAGGGGTGATATTTGCCAACAAGTGTTCAAAAGCGTGTATGAAACTCAGCATGACAAGAACTTCAAAGGGGAGACCAGCTGTCCATCCTGTACCTGTGTCTCCAGTTTTCCCTCAGAAATCTCCTGATGTGCAAAGGAAGGTTCTTTGATCACTTGTGTGACAATTCCAAGTCACAAGTCAATAGTGGTTAATAAAACATCATTATGGCCTGAGTCAGTATGCAAAAGTTACATGCAATATTCAGCAAAACAAACACCACCAAAGAAATATGTCAAAATGATGTTCACACATTCTTTTAAAACATCTGTTCAAAAGTTTTAAGTGTAAAACTAAAAGGGACCCTTACAATAAAGTTTTATGAATCAAACAAAATTGCAATGCTCCAAATGATTATAGATGTATATTTAAGCCTCCCTCCCCCAAAACAAAAAAACAAAAAAGGAACAAGTAAGTACATATCATTGTAGCAAGCACTGTGGATGAAGAGATGAAAGGCCATGAATCTTGGCTTCAAAGACGTCAGCACTTAATGGTACTTCTAAAAGTCCATTTATAATCCAAAAATCTCCTGCTGCAGATGATGACTGAGGCCTAAAGAGTTAAAATGACTTGCCTGAGGCTATGTAGTATGTTAGTCTGGATTAAAATAGTCTCTCTAATACCCAATACCAAATGCTTTCCTCTCTACCGCATTTCCTTGCCAAATATTCAGCATTCATGGTGAATGCTGACACAAATGATTTGCTTAATAGGTGGATAATAACATTGCTTCTAAACATAAATAATCCAAACAACTATATCCAGAGTCTACCTTCTTAATTATTGTTATAGATAATATAAATTAAATCATTATTATTATTATCCTCATATTAGAGATGATTTTCAGAAGTGAACAAACGGGTAGGTGGCATTGTTAGGTGTGCATGCACATCCTAGTTGCAAGAGGCAAAAGTTCCAGCATTAGGCATCCTGACATCTCCCCCCACCACATCAGCATGCATGTCCCCAGATACTCAGTGTGGTAGTCTAGTCCACATCTATTTAGGTTGAAAATCAATTATATGATGTCATAAAATATCCTCAGATAATCTCGTCTTCTGAAAAAAGCTGCACAGCCCACTAATGCCCACCAGTCTATTACCTGTTGCTCAGCAGCCCAATTAGGGACCGTGACAAGATGACACCATTAGGTCTGTGCATTTCATACATGCAGTCCTCACTCTCCTTCTAGCTACAGAAACAAAGCCCATGGATTTCAAAGCCCCAAAGAACATACTGCCAACTAACAAATACAAAATACTGACCTTCGCACAAGAGCCTGTGGGTGTTTGGGGACCAATTGCAAATGTATTTGTCCTCCAAAAGGTCATGGCTCTAATATTCTTTTCTTATCTGAATTATTTATCAACAGCAGGGAAAATGTAATACCATAGATGTAACAAGAAAGAAAAAAAGCAAGCCTCTTTCAACTCCCTGGTTGCTTAGAGATATTTCTGTCCCTGACTCTAGAGTTGCCATGTTTACCCTGTAGATTTAGATGTGGAGGCCTTGTTATCAGACATGGGACATGGGTACTGAATTTCCTAAATGCTGTGTGTGAAGTGCCCCACCCAAAACTCTGTTCCTCTTCTAGAAGGGATACTGTCCAGGTAATCACCATTAAGTCCTTGCTTTCCATTTATAGAAAAAAATTAGTAAAACCTTATTAGATCCCATAGCCAGACTTCTATCGTCCTCATCTCTTAGGAAGACAGCCATGACCCAGAATCTGTGAAAGGAGTCTCTGAGGCTGTAAAACCCATGCACTTCATTCCACAAGACAGTACTAGAGATACTCACAGGATAGAGAAGGGCTGATTGGAGTTTACTGATTTAACAAGCATCCATACCTAATCCTAAGTCATCGAGCAGATGACTATTTGAAATTTTATTCCATAAACTTAAAAAAAATTAAATTAAAATAAAAAGGTGGATGCCTGACATTATCTGAAAAACTCTCCTCTGTGATCCTTTCATATACCTATGGTAGTAAAGAAATTAGACCTACTGCATTTGCATAACTTACTAATGGGAAGAGATCTTTCCCCTGGTGGCATTTTTTCCCCAATGTTTTAGTTGAAGTAAAATATAAATAATATAAACATAACATAATGGTTACTCTCTTAACCATTTTTCAGTGCACAATTCAGTGGTATTAAGCACATTTATATTGTACAGCCATCACCACCATCCATCTCCAAAACTCTTTTCATCTTGTAAAACTAATGCCCTATACCCATTAACAATAACTTTCCATGCCCCCATTGCTCCAGCCTGTGGCAACCACCATTTTACATTTTGTCTCTATGAATTTGATTACTCCAGGTACTTCATATAAGTGGAATCATGCAGTGTTTGTCTATTTCTGACTGGCTTATCTTCCTTAGGATGATGTTCTCTAGTCTCATCCACATTATAGCATGTATCAGAATTTCCTACCTTTTTAAAACGGAATAATATTCCATTATATGTCTGTATCACATTTTGCATATCCATTCATTCATTGATGGATACTTGAGTTACTTCCACACTTTATTGTCAATAATGCTGCCATGAATATGAGTGTGCAAATATCTCTTCAAGACCCTACTTTCAATTCTTTTGGGTATATACCCATAAGTGGAATCGCCAGATCATTTAATTCTATTTTCTATTTTTTTCTATTTTTAATTTTTGATGAACCACCAAACTATTTTCCATGGTGGCTACACCATGTTTACGTGCTCGCCAACAGTGCACGAGGGTTCCAGTTCCTCCACATCCTCACCAATACCTGTTATTTTCTGTTTCATGGCATTAAGTCTCTCATTTAGACCATTATTAGATTCACCCATAAATAACAACACACACACACATACACACAATAATGAAACAAATGTAAACGGTAAAGAAAACAAGATTTAAGGAGAAAAGCTATAATAATCCACCAAAGAATAGAGTCAAGAGGAAAAGGGAGCTAGAAGAATAGTCAAAATAAAATAAATCTTGTCCAAGTAGAGGTTGAATAAATTCAGAACTCCAGCTGGTTTGAGAGCTAAGCATGACAACATGTGAGTGCTACTTTGTAACTTGTCAGTTTTCTAAATCCTAAAAATAGATAGAGGGCACTAGTCTCTGGTATCCCTCCTGGGTTTGGCTCCAAAGCTGTAAGCTGTTCCAACCTGTCCTAAAAAATAAACAGTTTGCTTGAGGCCAAGAAAAGCATTACAGGGTAAATCTTGACTTGATTCCCTCCCCTGTACTGTATACCACTCAGCCTGGGTGGCCGTGATGTAACAGTCATTTACTACCACACTCCCCTGGCTGGGACAATAATTGTTCCTTCATCCCCCTCTCACACTGATAGTAAGGGATAAGGTCTGCCTCTTCTAATCAATGCCGCATTTTTATTATAACCAATTAAATGGACGATCTGCTTGAGGGTGACATAGCTCTCCTAATGAGAAAAAATACTAAAGATTTTGATGATTCACAAGTAAGATTTCTCCAGGCACATTTCTTCAACACTTCCTCAAAATTCAGAATCAAATGGCTTTAATCTGAAGATATTTCTGATGCCTTATATGTCTCTAACATCCCAGCTATTTGAAACTCCTAATACTTTAATACTTTCCCTATAGTCTGCTTATCAACGAGAATGGGAAAATAAACGCCAAAAGGGGGGAAAAATGCTAATTCATCTAGGGAATACTCTTCAAATTTTAAAGGACAAATAATTCAGTAAGAAAATACAAATATGAAAGCCACATCTCATAAATGAGGCAAAGACTCACTTTAGAGCACCACTGTCTAGTTACAACGTGCTTTTCTGTAAAATAATTATGTGGGGTCCTTAAAACATCACGATATTTATTAAGATTACAGAGCTCTTTAACCTCCTATTTTTCCCTAAAATGTCCCTAAATAGAAAACATCAGACAAACTAAGATGCTCCCCTCCAGGAGTCCGTAAGCATGCATAGTCCCTGTGTTGGGCTGGTTGAGTTTTTGTTCTGTGACGCACTCTTTGTCCAAACTGAGGAAAAACAATGATCATCATGATAATACAGAAAGAAAAAAAATGCATGCATCTGTTAAAAACAAATGAAGACAGAGAGGCAACTGGATGTTAATACTTCTCTAATGTAGTAACAGCTATGATAAGATGTCCATATGAGAGAATATTTTTAACCATAAACAAGTATATCTTTCAAATAATCTTATAATTTGGGCAATGCTTATGAAATAAGTAAAAAGAAAAAATTGAATATTGATCATTAGTGTGATTTCCACAATGTAGACTACAAATGCAGGCATTGAAAACAGACATAAGATAAATACTCCTAAATGCAAAATGTTAATAGAGGTTGTCGTCATTTTCCTCCTCCTCCCTGTCCTCCCCCTCCTCCTCTTCCTCCTCTTCTTCTTCCTCTTCCTCTTCTTCCTCTTCCTCCTCTTCCTCTTCTTCTTCTCGGATCATAGCTCACTGAATCCTTGAACTACTAGGCTCAAGCAATCCTCTTCCTCAGCTTCATGAGTAGCTGGGACTACAGGCCCATGTCATAATGCCTGGCTAATTACACCTGGCTAATTTTTTAAATTTTTTTCTTTTGTAGAGACAGATTGCTGCTATGTTGACCAGGCTGGTTTTGAATGCCTAGCCTCAATGATTCTCCCACTTAGGCCACCCAAAGTGCTGAGATTATGGGTGTGAGCCACCATATATAGCCTATTTTCTTCTTATTCTTCTAAATTTCTTAATGTTACTATAGTATTAATATACTATTTTTATAACTAGAAAAACCCTTTTTATAATTGTATTAAACTTGCTATTTTCTTTACCTGTCTCTCTGTGTGTTGCGAATTCCCTCTAAGGAAATTTCCTGAGTGCCAAAGACTCCATCCTTGTGTCCAACCTAGACCAGTCTTCTCTTGAAAACAATTTGTCCTATGACCACCCTTAAGGAATAACTAGATGCCAGCCAGCAGAACTGATAAATGCCAAAAAGTGTTTGCAGTTTAATGGGCTTCCCTTCTCAGGGAACAAAGTTAAATTTTTAAAGGGAGCTAACAGAGCACATTCCAAAGCTCTGTTCTACAGCAACTCACAAACTAATGACTCTAGGAAGGTGATATTTCTCTTGACTTAAAGGAATGTATTCCTTGGTAGTTATAAACTCTGTTTTGAAGTCCACTTTACACTACATCATCTCCTTGTTAACTCATGAGCCTAAAGCATCTGATTCTAGGCTCATCTTCCCAGTCTGAACACTGTCTACACAGCCTGGGCTTCTCAAGGCAAGCGGCTTTCCAAATGTATCTTAAGGTGCCCTGTTATTCTTTTAAGTGCTTTAAGAGCTACTTAGTAAGGTGAGGGAGAAAAAGGAAATATGGTGAACAGGTCTTAGGGCTTCAATATTGAGTACCACCTAGGACTCAGTCATTGGGTTGGGCTTTCTTTCACATGATCAAACCTTAAAACCCAATCGTCTTTCTTGGTGTTATAAACTGAGGCATGGAGCACTTAAAGAATCTGCCCAAGACTCCAAAGCTTGTAAGAGGCAGAGCTGCGGGTTAAATATGGGTTCACTTGGTCACAAGCCCAAGCTATTTCTTTCTTTCTAACAATGGCTATTGCTTGCTGAACACATCGCATTAGCATTTTATTTATTTATTTATTTATTATCTCAATAGGTTTTTGGACAACAGTAGGTGCTTGCTTACGTGAATAGGTTCTTCAGTGGTGATTTCTGAGATTTTGGTCTGAATGCACCCGATCTTGTCTGCATTCGCATTTTAAAGACATTTTCAAAAGAGCTCTGATGGAGGTTATATTTGAGCTTCTGGAGTTAACACAGCCTGCTATCCTATCCTATCTTTGAGCCTATGGAGTTACAATGTCGACTTTCCTATCTCTGCCTCACCACCAACTAGCCTACAGCTGTAGACAAGTTCCTCAACCTCCCACACCTTAACATAGATTCCTCATGTGTAGAGGTAGTAATTGCTAACAGTTATTGAGCGTTTACTCTATGCTGAGCTCTCTTCCAAGCACTTTACAAATATTCTCTCATTCACTCCTTGTAAGATTCTAGAAGGAAGATGTGCCCATTTCTCTGAAGATGATTTGAGTTGGTGCTATGAATAAATACCCTACTTGGGGCAGAAACCCAGGCCTGGCTGATTCAGAGCCCTGTGTTCTTTCCATTTCTACACAGGTAACCTCCAGTTCACATTGTAGATCAATAAAAATGGAGATGGATCTATTTCTCAAGCAACAGGCACAATTACTTCTCAATGCACTCCCACCTAACATCAAATTCAAACCCTTTCAGACACCCGTGGAAGGATAGAAAACATTTCCTCTCCACCAGTTAGTAATAAATGTCCTTTCTCCCAGTACCAATGCTCTTTCCCATAGCATTTAATGCCTGTAACTCACAATTTAGAACTCAGTTATATGCCTGATAAAATTATTCTACTTAAATGTAAATTTTATGTCTCCCAAAGAGACCACAATCTCCTAGAGGTCAGAAACCATATCTTACAGAATCATAGAATTAGAAAAGTAATAGTTTGTAAAATAATCCTTTTTTTTTAAGAAGCTGAACTCTTTCAAAAGAAAGATTATTTAGAATCCAAGTTATTCTGACTGAAAACCATTGAGCTAGTTAAACCTTAATCTTTCAAAGTCCAAGAAAAATGTTGACATGATAACTTTCAGTGAGCTGGTGGTAGGGGGAAGACCGGAATGTATGTTCCCTGATTCTCATTCAGTGGTTGCTTTCCTATGGAAATACTGGGTCTTTTCAGGCTCCCCTTAGTATCTCTCTTTGTCTTGGCCCTGATCCAGAAAAATCTGGACCAACTGCCTTGTTTCTGAAAACCCTTCATAGAAAGCTTATGAGAGGTAGTGTGGTAGGACTCCACTATCAGATCAGCTGCCAGGAAGAACACAGCATCTGAAATGTCTGAATGTTTTTATTCCCCCAAAACTCATGTTAAAATCTTAACCCCTAGGGTGATGGTATTAGGAAGTGGGGCCTTGGGAGTGATTAGGTTATTAGTGCCCTTATAAAGGAGACCCCAGGAAGATTTCTCACCCCTTTCATCATGTGAGCACACAGTAAGAAAACATCATCTGGCCAGGCACAGTGGCTCACCCCTGTAATCCCAGCACTTTGGGAGGCTGAGGCAGGCAGATCACCTGAGGTTGGGAGTTCAAGACCAACCTGACCAATATGGAGAAACCCTGTCTGTACTAAAAATACAAAATTAGCTGGGTGTGGTGGTGCATGCCTGTAATCCCAGCTACTTGGGAGGCTGAGGCAGGAGAATCGCTTGAACCCGGAAGGTGGAGGTTGCAGTGAGCCGAGATCGCACCATTGCACTCTAGCCTGGGCATCAAGAGCGAAATCTGTCTCAAAAAAAAAAAAAAAATCATCTGTGAGGAACAGGCCCTCACCAGACACCTAATCTGCAGGCACCTTGATCTTGAAATTCTTAGCTTCCAGAACTGTGAGAAAGAAATTCCTATTGTTTATAAGCTACCCAGTGTCAGGTATTTCATTACAGCTGCCTGAATTAAGACAGCACCATAATTGCAAGTGGCCTTCAGTTGCCATATTGGCCATGCAGATTCTCCAGGAACATGAAGCAAAGCCATTGCTTTTAATCACTTTAGTTCAGAACTATAATCTGTGTCATAAAAGATGAAAGACATTATCCCTACCAGGTCATAAATATATATTTTTTTAATTTACTGAGGTAACATTTAGGAGACTTCGGGGGGAAAAAAACTCAATGTCACCTTTGTCTAGCATTTTCTGCTTTCTAATATTTTAATAACACTTTTCTCATAATAATATGTATATAGGTTCATTGTCTTATATTTCTTTCTACAGAAAATTTAGAAAATATATAGAGTATAAAGAAAAAGTATCATGTTTAACCATTCACTCAGAGATACCCTCTGTTCTCTGTTTATTTGGGAAGGAGTGTGAGGATATTTCCTGTCTGTGTTTCTATGTGTCTGTGCTTGCATGTGTATGTGCATATGTATTCATACATATTTTTTATTATTTGAAGTGAAAAATAAAATACATACTTGCTTAAATCATGTTAGATGATGAGACTTTTCCATTGACACATAATATTCTTTTAAACATTATTTTAATATGCATTATGTTCCACTATATGGATTTATTGTCATTTATTTAATCGAATTTCCATGAGTTTATATTTACGCTGCTTCCAGTTTTTTTCTTACAAATAATAAATGGAATAAATGGCCACAATGAAAGTCTTCTTACATAAATAATTGTGACTGATTGTTTTCTTAGGATAAGTTACTATAAATAAACATTTCTAGGCCTTTGGCTATAAACCGTCAAGTTAGCCTCAAGAAAGGTTGTATCAATTTACATTCTCATCAGTGATATATGAAAGTGCTGAATTCCTGAACCTTCTCCAGAAAAGAGTGATTGACATATATGTCTATCTATATATGTGTATCCATATATCTACACACAGATAGTCACACACATAAATTTAGTATAACTGCTATCTAATTTTCATTTTAATTTGCATTTCTTTTTATTAATCCTAAGCTTGAAACATGTTTTCAAAGCTGTTAATATACTCTAACAATTGTGGATCTACACATACATGGAAACGCACACACACACACACACACACACACACACACACGCAGGCACACACATCTTCCTTGACAAAGAAACCCACATTTTGTTTAGATGTAAGTTATCCAAGTACTACAAAAGAAGCTGGGATCTGCCCAAGCCTCAGGGGATAAATCTTGATTCTATTTATCTTTCTAAGGTATATTTTATGAATAGGTAGGTCAAACTATTTTTGTTAATGAGACATGACAATAAATCTGTTGAGGTTTTTAATAAAGTTACTCTTATTTTTAAAAAGGGACTGTGAAAAGGGAAATCTCTTTTCCCTTCTGACTCTGGGACATGGTTAAGTCAGGATTTGATGCTTGGAGTAACTTCACCATTTTGAGATCTTGAGGGGAGCTAGATCAAGTTCCAAAACTATCATACTGAAAATAACCAAGTAAAAAGTTAGAAAGAATCTGTTCCACTGAGGATTTCATGGAGCAGCTGAATTAACTATTTCTGAAAAACCTGTCCGCACAGTCATTGTTTTATGTGAGAATTTGTCATTTAAGCCAGTTGAGTCATTTGATGTTATTCTGTTTTTTTTTAATTCTTTCAGCTAAACTCACTCAAACTGATATACGTACGCTGTGTCACTTTATCCTTTAACAACTCTGTGAGGATGTACAGTGAATACTGATGAAGAAGCAGAGAATTTAAATAGCTTTCTGATTCACAGAGTAAATAAGTGACATAATCAAAGCTTGCAACCAGTAGAATTTATACACTAGACTTTAACCATGAGAATTTATAGCTTTCATTTTGGCCAAAGAATAGTTAGTATATATTCTCAATTATCTTAGCAAAAGAAAAAATCTTAAGGCACTTCACTATACTTCTAAAAAGTACAGAAATAACAATAGACAGATAGATTAAATAGATAGATAGATAGATATGCATGTACCATGTCTTTACGATAGAAATAAAGAATATAAGATAAAACACTGGTTGTTAAAGAGAAATGTCCATTCATTGTATGACCTGAATGTGGATAGAGTGGAGCTGCAAGACCAGCCTCAACAATTTTGTAAGCGCTAAAGCATCCTTAATGAAACTCCTTTATGAGAAAGCCTTATTGTGATTCTGAATGCACAAATCTAACAATAGAGTGTACAGAAATATTAACAAGGCTTTTATGATGAATTTGGGTCAAGGGCAACACAGTACTTAATAGGTTTGTTCACAAACACCCTAGGGGCAAGCTCCATCATTGATCCTGGTTGTTCTGCAACAGCCAAAGTGGTTCAGGTCCTTTATAACACATGTAGGAATAAAAAGGAACTCCCACTTAAACCCAACAAAACAATCAAACACTAGACATGTCTTTCAGACTTATTTTCATCATGAAATTTCAAGGTAAATGAGCTTTGATAGTCTCCCTAAGATATATGTGCTGGATTTAATAAACCCTAACATTATTTTAACACTACTATCACTAAATGAAATAAATATGTGGTCTTTGGCTTTTCCAGTACTACATATGGAAAACTAAAATTGGTCTGGAAAAACAAACTTTCGATGAATTTTTATACTATAATCCCTCTTTAGAGGGACCTCTTAATTTTTTTCTGTTTCGTTCTTTTATTGACTTCATTTTTTGTGTATGTGACAGGTAGAGAAGTCCAGTCACAAAAGTGTTTGTGCAAGTGATGAAAGTTTCTATAATTTCTTCAATTCAACTTGAATGGTTGTGAGCTCCTATTCTTCTGAGATAGTGGGGTCACTGAAATGTCTCAGTCATTTTAAGTGTTCCCCACTTCCATCAGGCTCTATCATGGCTCTAGAGGACCCCCAATAACCAAGGCATTGGCACAGAAGAAGCTGCCTAATCCTCAGCCCATGGAACACAAAGTCACCATAGATATGCTCCATTTGTCTTTAGGGCGCTTTCAGGCAATGCAGCAGCAATGTCACAGTTAAAGATTCAACATCTTCCCATGAGGCCCCATCTATAGAGATACCTCACAGTCATTGTCTATCCAGCGTCTTATACATCTCAGAGTGCAGCTTTGGAAGCAGGACCCCTCCTCCAGGAACCATCCAAGTCCCTGCTTCATGACTTCCTGAACTCCACATTTCTCACCACCAGTTCTATGGAATCTTTTTTCTCATCTACAAAATACAGTGGGCAATTCATATCCCTTCCCATTTCCCTCTGATATTCTCTCCATACTCCAACCCTCTCTGTTCTTCTGCTCTATGCTAAAGCAGTGGCTCTTGACCTTGACTGGACATTAGAATTACTTTTAAACAAGCCCACCAAAGCTGGGTCCCAACCCCAGAACAGCCAAAAATCAAAATCTCTGGGGATAGATCCCAGATTCCAAGTGATTCAACCCTGAGGTGAGAATTGGGAATCTCTGCCATAAAGAATTAGGATTTTGGAATCCTGCTTTTGGTACAGTAGCATTCCTCCTCTGAGGGCGTAGGGAAGGAGGGTTACAGAGCCAATTATCTATTTATATGAAAGGAAGAAAAAAAGAGAGAAATTCCAGCCATACAAATGAAAACAACAGATAAATAACTATCATCAGACCTTCTAGGTTGGTTTTGAAATATGCAAAAGTAGTAGCACATGCTTTATTTTGACTTTTCTTGTTCAATATATCAATAAATAGTTTCTGGTTATCTTTAACAAGCAAAAAGTAGCTTTGCATTCTATAAAGCATTTCATAGAGCATATTTTTACTAAAGTAAAATAGTCTAGAGGCCTGTGACCTGTTTCATTCTTATAAATGTATCACCTCTGCTGAGACTGAAAGCCAAGCAATTGTCCTGTAACTTGTCCCTTAATGCTGCCACACAGCCTACGGTAAACAAGGACAAGCATTCTGACACAAGTACATGGTATGGGCCTGAAAGATAATGATGATCCGTGGAAAATTTGCCATTTTGCTCAATCAGGTTGCGGAATGTTCTGTTTTAGTTCCATTTCATGTGGCTCTGCTAAATGAGAAAATATCAGATATCTCATATTTGAAAATATTCTCTATTTCATCAATATAATTGACCAAAATTATAATAAAATTTCATCAAAAATATTTGTATAGTTCATCATGGGAGTAAAGCATATTCCAGAGACCTAGCCTGACATTTCTAACAACTAACTATTACTTTTAAGGCATTTAAACTGTTGTCTAATCTCTTTTCATTATAGTGTACTTAATTCAAACCATTAAATTAATAGGCTATTATATCTAAGTCTTTAAGTTTTCTCTATTTCAAACATAAACTTCCTTTAAGGTTTCTTCCATGCCAATATCAAGAAAATAAAAATCCTTTTAGCAAGGTAATAGAGATCACATGGGATATTTGTTATCTCACTTGTTCCCTTTATTTCTTACCTTCATGGGAAGCTTTTGGCATAAAAATGAATGCCTACCCGTTACTGTGAAGTATCTGTCTTATCGCTGCATGCTTTTGTTGTAAATCACAAATATCCTCCTTTAAAACTGCCTGCGTATCTAATGATAATGTCTTATCAAACAGCCAGAAACACGGGGAGTTTAGTTGGGGATAAATGAAAGTCAGAGGCCAATAAATCAAGCTGGTTGACTATTCCAAAAACCAAAAGCATACGGGGGAGAGAAGAAAAACCCCTCCTCCCTGTAACACCTCCATTTCAGGGACCTCTTCCAGTTTCAAAATTCATAAAAGAGCAAGAGCAACTAAGGGATCTCTTACAAGAAACAACGCAATTTCAATCCACACGAAAATTCCAAGGCTAAAAACTCCCCCAAGGGTCAAAGGCCAAATGTTTTAGATTTCACCCTTTCAAAGGCCAAGGGAGACTTCCCTACAAAAAAGTACAGAGCTCCATATATAACACATACTCATGTCAGGGAAACCCCAGTCCCCAGGGAGGTAAAGATTAAGTTACAGCACACTTTTAAGCTCTAGATAATTATTCTCAATGTTGAACTCTTGGAGCTTTATTATCCCATATATATAATCCTTTTTTTTTTTTTTTCAATTTTTAGCAAGAAAAATGTTGGGTAAGAGCTAAAGTTTCCTGTTCTGTGTAATGCATTGCCTTTCTCCTCCATCATGCTTAGCATCCACTGTCTCAGGTGTAGTCTTCTGAAAGGACCATGGCTGTCAGCACAGAATTGGGAAAGACTAGTTTGGTTTTCCTTCTTTAAAACTTGTCAAGTAGTAATAACTACCACAGGGTGAAACATCCAATACTAAACTAAACTACTAAGATTTCAAAGAGGGATTGATTTGGCAAGCAATATTTTTGATGGTGAATGAACATTTGAGTTTTCTCATTTGAAGATATTGCCTAATTAACAAACCATGAACCCCTTGGCACAGACATTATTTTTTAATAATCTTGGTGACTATCTTTTATAACACTTGTGACAGACACTAACTGAATATTTCATACATAGTAAAATAATTAATTAATCAATCATCCAATAAATCAATGAATCACCAAAGCTGATATATCTTCTTTAACTTTAGGCTTCCTATTTTTGGTTGAATAGAATTTTTCAGTATGACTACTGACTTCTAAAAACTGAGTAGCAAAGCTAAATGACATAAAACAGCAAAAGAAAGGAAAAAAATATGACCTTGACATGGTTATAAAACCAGCTGAACAGCGTCAGCAGGTACTGATTGATTTGAGAAGAGACTAGAATGGTCTTTGGAAATAAGGAATGTCAATAATGGAAATGCTATATCAGGATCCGGAGTCAAATAAAGGAATGCCTTTAGGCCTGTCAATTTCTCCCAACAAATAATCATCTGGCAATGAAACATTTGAAAAGACATTTTATAGTGGCAGATATCTATCATACACCTCATTTATTACACAGGCAAATGACCACTAAGGGAAGGAAGTCTTCTTTGCCTATAAAAAATGGCAGAGGTTATGGGTGGGGACATAATATATCTTGGAGAGTACAGAGCACGTTTGGTCTAACAAGCTTATTTTCAGGACACAAAATAAATGTCAGCATTCCAAAGACTCAAGCTTACTATGAAAGCGTCTAATGAAGGTCCTTGAATCTGGCCTAGAGGCTCTCCTCCTGTCTCCTGTCTCCCATCCATATTCCCCATTGTAAATCCCTAACATAGTATAGTCATTGCATGCTAGCATGCCTCAGTCAATTCCCACAGCCCCCCATTGCTTTCAGAAAACATTTCAAACACTTCATCTTGGCAATCAAGGGCCATTTTTCATTGTATTTTGCTTGCATTTCTATCATAGCACTTAATACAATGTGCCTAATATTGTAATTAATTTTTGAGAATACCTACATAGCTTATGAACTGCTGTTGAAAAAAGGTTATCCTAATCAACAGCTACTCATGTCAAAATAAACCATATTTGTTGGCAATCTGTTAGTATCACTCACTATATAGGCATGGGTACCATTTGCCAAATGTTTCTGGTCCTCTACCATTCCAGGCATGAGGTAGGACAGTATTTTCTCATCCCTTTGTGGATGGATGGAACTAGTGATTAGTTCTAGTCAATGAGTTATAAGTAGATGTGATTTGTGTCACTTCCTGGTCAGAACATTTAATGGCTGATGGAGGGCCTCCAGGATCTCTTTTCCCTGTCTTGATGATTGGAAATGTTCACTATAGTGACCATTCCAACAGCTTGCATCCCAAAGTGAATATGGTATGCAGAACGCCTCTGTTGATCAGAGATAGACAAATAGCATAAGCAAAAAATAAAATTTATCTTAAGTCACTTATATTTAGAACATCCAATAGAATGTTCTGAACATCCTACAGAACATCCTATCCTTACTGATAAAAGTGCTATGATAAATACTTTCACATATATTAGTTGACGTTCACTATAACCTGTGGGTACGACAGATGTGAGCAATATTTTATAAATGAGGTTTTCAAAAGTGAAAAATTTGCCCAAAGTCAAGTAGCTTTATGCATTATTTCATTCAACAAATGTTTATTGAGCACTGCTTTGTGCCAGGTAATGTTCTAAGTAGTCAAGGTATAGTAGAGAACAAAAGGAAAAAGGCCCCTGCTCTCAAGAGTTTACATTCTAGTGGAAAGAGACAGATAAAAGAATCATTTATACATAAGAAAATTCCAGATAATAATATGTATTACTCAGAGAACTAAAATCAGGTGGTATGACAGAAAACAACAGAGTGGCTATTTATATTGATCATGGAAAGCCTCTCTGAGGCTTAGGCTAAGAGGTAAATGAGAAGAGAGCTCAATACACAAATATCAAGAGGAAAAAGACTTCCATAAAAGGGCAATAGCTCATGCAAAGGTCTTAACAAACAGAAACAAGCTTGTTACATGGAGAAAAAGACAAAGGTCAGCATGGCCATGTCATAATGGACAAGGAAAGAAACGGTAAAAGACAGAAGGGAAAGAAGGAAAACTATATAGGGTTATATATTGAAATAAGAAACAGGGATTTGATTTTCCATGTAATGAGACACTAGATCAAAGTTTTAAGTAGAGTTGTATGATTTCTCTTTTTAAAAAAATTGCTCTGTCTGCTATGTGAAGAATGGGTTATGATGGAACAAGACTGGAACAGAAAGTCCAATGTGATGGCCATGGCTGAAGTCCACTAAGATGGTAATAGGTGATATAGACAGAAGTGGATGGACTTAGGACAAGACGTAAAGGGTAGCATCAACAAGACAGATGCATGGATTGAAATTGGAGGGGTGATCAAGTGTAACCCCTGGGGAGAGGAAGGAGTTATCTCTACATTTTTGGCTAGAAAAATTGGGTAAATGGTGCTTTTGCTGGAATGGGAGAAGTTGGGAGAGAAGGAGGTTTGTAGAAGTGGAAAGAAATCAAGTTCTGTCTTATCCATGTTAAGCATGAAATTCCTACTAAGCATCTATGTGTACATGTCAAGTTGAATATATAATTCAGAAGTTCAGAAAAAAGATTGGAACTGGAGCGATACATTTAGGAGTTGTTGACATAAAGATACTATTAAAGCTCTAAGATTGATGAAGGCATCTAAAAAGAACCTATAGGTAAACAGGGGAAGGGGACCAGGATAGAACCGGAGGGTACTCTAACCTTTCAGAAGTCAGCAGCACAAGAATAGCTGGGGACATTGGGCAAGAGTGACAAGTGACAAAGAGGGAAAACCAGGAAATAGGATGGCACAAAAGCCAAGAAAACATGTGCTTTAAAGAGCAAGGTGTGGTCAGCCCTGCTAAATGCTGCTGAGATAAGAACACTGGCTTTAGCAAAACAGAGTTCATAAATGGCCTTGATAAATGTATCCTCTGCAGAATGGTGAGTATGGAAGTCTGACTGGAGAGAGGTGAGGAGCATATGTGAGCTGAATAAATGTAAGGTGAGGACAATAACCACAGGCAAATTAAGAAGTTTTGTTGTGAGGAAAAGCAGAAAAATAGGGAAGCAGGTTGAAAGAAATCTGGGATCAAAGGAAGGCTTTTTAAAGAAAAAAAAACCTCACCTATTTTGTGACCTATGAAAATCCACAGTCCTCATCAAGATTTCTGAAATTCCTGAGAGGAGGCAGTGATGATAATGATGTGTGTGTATATTAGTAAGTGTATGTTGGTGGGGGCAGCAGAAAGAACTGTAACAATGGTTACTTGATAATGGTTACCTCTGTGGTCCCCACATCCTAAATGCACTGGTATCCTTTCTGTTGTCCACCATGTGAACTTACATTCTAATAGGGGAGGGAGGGCGGTTCTCATGAGGCATTCAGGGTGGGAAGACTTTATTGAAGATTTGAGGGTAAGAAGGAAAACTCACATAGCATACTGTATGGCAAAACAATAAAAAAAAACTCACATAAAATATTTCTTCTCTTAAAAATCCTTTCAGCTATCCTACTATTGGGTGGTTTTCACCAGCCCTCTGTCCTCCACAGCACCCAACCTTCTGTTCTCTGACTGGTTCCTCTCCCCTCCTTTCTTTCTCTCTTTTGTTCTGTCTTTTGTGTTCCCTCTTAGGCACACACACAACAAAACAAAAAAGCGTGTGTGTGTGTGTGTGTGTGTGTGTGTGTGTGTGTGTGTGTGTTTGATGTAGACTTTTCCTGCAGAGCCTTACTCTTTCCTGTGTAGGGGGGAGAAGGGCACTTGGGTGCCCACTGATACCCACACTGTTACCTTTTATTCCAAACCACATAGTTCCCTTTCTAAAAGTAATTGTGGAGCCAGTTCTTAAGATAACACATTTTCCATCTTGTTCCATATATAAACCACCAGACAGAGCGCCTATCCTATTAAGGCATTCGACAAGTGCCAGCTCTTGCCTTCCTTTCTCAGTGAGGAAATCCGAGCAAAGTCAAGCATTCTGGTAGAATTTCAACAAGGTCTTCCACACAGCAGGGCTTTAATTAATGTTTATTAAGTTGCATAATATGGTGCTCTTGGGCTAGGAGGATATTCACTGCCTTCTTCTAATCTTAGGGTTAAAAGACGTTAAGAGCCACATTTAGTATTAAGAACAGATTGATAGGCCCTGTAACTTTACAGCTTTTTAGAAAGTGTTTGTTTATTGGTCCGAAAAAGTTTTGATCCTTTAAAACACTGAAATCCTAGCGCACTATGTTTATGCAGTCTCTCTCTTCTTTTCCTAAGAGTATTAATTATAATATGTAAAAGACAGATAAGTGAGATGTGACTTTATGTGGTCCTCAGAAACCTGTGTCAATCTGAACTCTCCAGCCCTTCACCCAAAGAATAGTAACTTATAAATAGACATCACTGGCAAAGAAATTTGGACATACTAACATGTGCCCTTAACTTTTGCAACTTTTTGCACTTCTGAAAAGGTCATTCAGAAAAAAAAAGTACATTAAAAATAGCGGTATTATATTCTGAGTAAAGAATCCACTTTTTATATACCAACGTGATTGGAACAAAGAGAAAGATGCAGACATCAGGAAAAGTTACAACATGATTGAAATCTTGGGTTCAAGGGACCCTTTTCTTATAACTTACAGATTTAGTATTTAAACACATTTGGTCCAAGAGAAGAAAAACTTGGAATCTTCTACCACCCTTATCCAATTTACTGTTCATGTCTGTATGTACATGATTGAAAATATACTGGAAAGCCAAACCAAATGCCCCATAAAACCAGCGCTACTCCAACAGAGTCAGTGACCACTGTAGTGCTAAGGGATATAGAAAGAGGTGGGACACAGACAACAAGCATATATTAATTAAATACAGTTTCGACCAGCTCCCATATACCTAAACTTTGACCACCAAGTACTCCCTGTCACCTCTTTAAATTTAATCCTTGTCTTTCCCAGTGGGAACAAAGTACATTTTCTTATCTACAAAAACACCTCATCATGATGCAACGAAAATAATTGATACTTTCTATTTTTAGAACTAGTATATCTAACTCCCTCAGTGTTACTATTGGCAACTGGGACTTCAGTTTCAAATCACACACCCATGTATGCAAGCACACACACAGAGGCAGAAATATTGGGAGTGGAAATCAATTATGCAGATAATTTATTTATTATTGCTTTTTTCTCAAAAGGTGGGGTGAAGTAATAAAGAGAAGAACTATTTAGATAAAAATAGTACTTTGTGCACTAGGAATTAAACATAATAACACAGACATGGTGCAGAGAATGGATGAATTAAAAAAACAACACTGCTTCTTAAAGCTCACCTGTACAAGAGAAGTCATCCACACGAATGTATCCTGGGACACAGTCACAGCGATATAACCCAGGAAGGTTGACACACACAGTATTGGCATGACAGTAATGCATCTTAGCTGCACACTCATCAATATCTGAAGGAAAAAAAATAAGTAAGATCATGGTTAGCAAAATAATGGAACAACAGTGTAATCATTTTGCAGATAAATTAAAAAAGATAAATGTCCATAGAAGCCAAGAGAAAAAGTAACATGCATTAAACACAAAAGCTTAGGTGAAAATTCAGCTTGGTACGTTAGATCCCATCCTGAGCTGAAAGTGTTTCCAGAACGATGCATGGTGAGACAAAACAGGTAAGAGCCCAAGAAGTATGAAGAATGAATTTACAACTATTAGTTTCTTACCAAGGAGAATACTCTTTTTAAATGTCCAAATTCAAGGAGTTCTGTGTCCACTAAGTCGATATCAATGAATATTTATTAGGTGTCCACAGTACATGGTATAGCTTTTATCAGAGGGATCAAGGGAATCCAGCCCCTCTCTGCTTGTATGTCTTACTAAGACATGCTTCAATTCAAACGCTACAAAATGATGGTGTAGCTAGTTTCTCCCATGTTGTACTATGAATATAGACAACTGCTGTTGCCTGATGCAAATTAATGTCTCTCATCCTTTGACCTGGAGCTCCTCCCCATGTGATAGAATAATGGGCTGATTCAACAAAAAGTCTTGTTCTTTTTGGGATGGAGTTCAGAGCATCACCTGCTTTCTCATAAAAGTTCGTGATAGGGATTAAAATAACCTACAACCTTAAGCACAGAGTTTAGCCTTTTCTGGAGATTGTTTTCAAAAACAGATTTATGTTCCTTTTACTCAGACTGCTTGTGTGTGATGGTTAGAGAAAGAAGGACATGAGTACATCATGGGAATCCAAGACAGAAAATGTGAGCTCTAGTTCTGGTTCTGCTGATTAATAGTCTATGACTTGCATTCAACTACTCTGGGTCCAAGTATCCTCATCATTTTGTCCCAATGGTCAATTCTGAACCCAATGTTTTATATCTGTAAAGATATTATCTAATTCAATCCATATGCAATCCCATGAGCAAAATACAAACACTACTCCCGTTTTATAGTCTAGAAAACTGGGGCTTAGAGAAGTTAAATATCTGGCATAAAGTCATCCTGTTAGAACACGCTAGACCTGGGATTTGAATTCAGAAGTTATTTACTATTATTTACTTCATGAAAGCTTCTTGAAAATGGTGATTAGTCAAATACAGTATTTCTATTACAATAATCATTAGAGCTTTAATATTATTAATGTACAGAAACCGAGGATAAAAATGGCTACATTGAGTCACTAGGAAACTCATTAATCTATTTATCTTAAAAGAAAAGTAAGTTGATTTATTTCCTAATAAAATATATTGAAATAACATCAGATTCTTTTCAGAGCTAAAGATCTGACAGCCTATAAATAAAAGTTATTGCGAGGTCATTGAGATCTAAGAAGGAGACCCACAGTTAGCAAGACTTTCATAACCATGAAATAAGAACAAAACACCAGAAATCAGTGAAATAACTCAGGCAATCAACTTCCTGCAGGCCAACCACAGAGGTTGCTTCCTGGGGAACTCAACTTCCACCAAGAATCCTGATGAAGGCAAGGAATTATTACAGTCAGACCACTGGAATCCAAGAGATGGAAAACTAAAAGAAGGAGTCATAGAGTAGTATGGTGACATTAAGATTTTGGAAGTGATTTAGTTATTGTTGCTTATAAGGTCTTTGGTAGGACGATGAAAGGTTGGGTGAAAATAGGCATAACAAGTGAGAGGCTGGAAACAAGAAGAGAAGCCAGGTATTAGAGAGGGCTGCTTGACATTAGTGTGTTGTTCATAAAATATTACCAGTTTTCCACTCTCTGGGCACATAGCACAATTGTATTTCCCCATCCTTTTCAAATTTAAGCATGGTTTAAATTAATCTCATGATTGATCATGAAATCTGAGTGGAAGCATATCACTTCTAAGTGGAAAGATTAAGAGCCAGCATCCAGCTTACCACATTTTCTTGTTTCTGCCTTGTAACCCATGGAAGCAAAGACATGGAGACTCTTTCAACCTGGGCCCCCAAGTGAGGAGCAAGCCACCATATACCTGTTGCATAAGCAAGCACCATATACCTGTTGCATGAGCTAGAAATATGCCTTTGTTGACTTAAGCCACCATGCCTTCCCTGATTGGTGCAGAGAATGACTACAAAAGTTATCTCAAGAAAGGATATAATTACGCTTCATCTTGAAAGATGAGCAAGAATTCATCAGGTAGAGAATGAAGGTAGGGAAACTATAGAGGCTAAAGTTTTTGTCTGTCAAGTTAGAAATGGAAAGCATCATTTAGTCATGTACATTCAAAGAACATTAATTAGGCTTCTACTAAGCCCAGAGGCGGACTGATGAACAAAATGCCACATAGACCTCGCAGACAGGCAAGGCATTGAGCAAAATGTGTAATAAATTCTACCAAGGATGTGAGATCTTTCAACAAGAGGAATTTGACCTACTCTGAGAGAGTCAGAGAAGGATTCTCTCTGGTAGTGATGGTTCATCTGAGACATGAAACAGAAGTGAAACAGGCCAAGGGAAGAGCAATAACCTACCAGACAGAAAAGAATGTTTGAGAAGACTTAATTACAAAAAGGAGCTTTGCGTATTTGAAATGAAACTGGAAAAATAAGCTTGGGCCAGATTCTTTGTGGACATTAGTGTGCTGTTCATAAAATATTACCAGTTTTAGATTCCGGCAGGCCTTGCAGGCCGTGTGAAGGAGCTCAGACTTTCATCAGGGTAGTAACACAATTCAATTTCTCTGTTTTAAAAATATCACTCTGGCTGTAGTGAAGAGAATTGATTGGAGCAGAGTACGCTGAAGGCTAAATCACATTGGTATTTTACTCACAGAGATACAGCCACACTGAACTCCATCTCACTCTGCTGGGATGCCCAGCCATCCTTTAAGATGAGAAACTAGTCAGGACTTGCCTTAGAGGCAATTCAATCTTCAGCCCATGGGCCACAGCTGCCAGCCAGCCTGCTGACTGCAATGAATGTTTCCCTGTCATGGACCCTTGTCAACACCTTCCAGAGAAACCTCCTGGCTCATTTTTCTTAGGCCATCACCAAGCTGCTGAGAGGCCTCTGCCTCATCTAGATTTGAAGGAGTTACTTGGCTATAACAAGCTTATTTTGAGTCAAGCCAGCCAAGCTATTTCTTTGTTTCATAAGATTCCAAGGCCCTGAATAAAAATATTTTCAAAAATCAAACAAGGGATGGTTAGAAAACCCCAGTGAGAATTTTTTACATGGATTTAATCCAACCCTTGCTCTCTACATGTCATTGAGACTCTGTGCCCACACGTCCCTGATGCTCTGCTGATGTGTTTTTGAGTAGGTTTTCAGTTTATACCATTATTAATTTCAGCTCTTGCATATCTAATAATTTCCTGGTACTAGTCCAGAGAAAGCACTGAAATAAAGATGAAAAGTTGATGAATGTACCAGAAAATTAAAATGTCACAATCTTGCCTTCATTGCTTATTCTTCATCATGTAACCACCAGATATAAAAGCTATCTTGTGGTAAAAATGGTGGGGAGAAGAGAGAGAAAGTGAAGTGGAGTACTCCAGCTGATTCTCTTGAAACAAGAAGATAAAAGAAAGAAAGAAATTGGCAACTCTCACGGTTTTGGGATGGGAACAGAGGATGGAATGGCAACACGTTTGCCAAAGGATTGCCTCTCCATCCTCAGGGAAACACACAACCCAGAAGACAGTTTCAATAGGATTCAAGGGTGTATCAAAAGCAAATCTGATTATAAACGGAGTAAAAAAGGAATTAACATCTTTAGAGAGCTGGGCTATCCTGAGAAAACAATCTTCAGAAATAGCGAATGATTGAGATTTTATAAATTTTATAGATGAGTCTAGGACAAAGGCTGCTTTTTGTTCACAGAAAAAAGGCTCTGAAGGGTATTGAATAATTACAAAACAAAAATCATAACTCCCTAATGAAAGAACAAACTGACATTTAAAGAGAGAAATTGAGTTGGACCAAAGCAATTAGTATGCTAACCACAGACTTGAAATGCAGTCTGACCTTTGCCCAGGTGGTGACAGTACTCTGCCTGAAGCAGATATCTTGAGCAATGGTCATATTCATCCAGAAGCCAGGAGACAAGAAGAGGCTAAGCCTGAAGCTGAATCTCAGAGTGGAAGTTGAACATACACAAATCCATGTTCACGCTAAAAATTTGAATCAGTCCAGAAAGCTTTACTAGGAAGAACCACAGTTAACCTGACATGTACTGGAAGGACGAACTATTTTAAAAGCACATTTTTGGGCACAGGCTGATACCCATATTCTAAGAGTCTAATAGTACGTACCTTATAAAGGAAAACTAGGAACAGCCCCTGGCAATTGGTAAATACCCAAAAAATAGATGCTGTTTTTTAGGTATCAGACACTATGCTAGATACTTTATATGGAGCATCTCATCCTTCCATTTATCTTGACTCCTCGTGGTAGGTATCTCCATGCCACGAAACTGAGGCTCGGAGGTTATCAGGTGACTTCACTTGCCCAAGTACAAAATCAGTAAGCATAGAAACCTGGGTCTGGATCCAAACAATATGACCACAAAGTTGTCATTGTTCTCACTGTGCCAGTTTTAGCACTCAATAACATTTTGATGCTATGATTATGTTCGCTGTAGCTGATGTTTATGACTGTGATTATGTTAGATGCATCATGATGTGTATGGAAACAAATAGATCTCCAAATTCTATATCCGTGTGCAAGGCCATTCATGAATTTGTTCTGGCATTACATTCTCTGTTAAAATGGCAATTCTGCTCCGTGCATCACTGCTTCCTTGGCTCTTTTAAATCAAATCCTTATACTTTCACACTTTAGGCTCCAGTGACCCAAGGCCCCAAAACAGACAGAAGCATTTTGCTCCCAGCTGGAACTCACAGACTGACACAGCGTCTACTCATAACGCTTGAGACTATGGAATTAGAAAAGAGTAACAAAGAGTCCTAAGGTTTTTATTATTAACTATTGTTAGAGAAACATCTATAAACCCCATTGCAGCATATATCATCTTGAGTATAATGGGGCTTAAATTGCAATTCTTTCATATAAATTGCTTGTCGCTTTTGAAATATTAGAGCTCATTTTCTGGTGGTCTTTTGAGGTAATAAAAATACATGATTTACATCCCTCCCCAGGATGGTGAAATAGTTTGTTTTTGTTTTAAAAGGTGTACTTATGGACTGTAAAATGAAACTTGATGTGGCATAATGATTCTTCATGTATCACCAGGTTCCATCTGCATAAGAGTTCAGAACAAACACAGACTCAAATTTGGCATCATCATCATTAAATTAGAAGGCAGGGCCTGGGTAACCGATAGAAGCGATGCAAAGAATTCTCTTAATAAAATGATATGATCTACTCAGACTTCTTCCATAAACATTTACTAGAAAAAGAACCCAGGGAGGGATATACTTAGGAGGGGAAAAGGCATTCCCCACTCCCTGTGTACATTTAAAAAGGAAAGAAGATCAACAGCTCTTGAGAACATGTTTTTGGTCAAGCACTGTGTGCCTCTCATCTCATTGCTCCTAACCATCCCAGGGATTGACATCGGATACTACGTGTAGAGTGCCTAAAATTTCAACCAAGGTTCTTATGACTCCAAAGAGGATAGTTGTTCCACACTAACTGTTGGACAAAGAACACTGGATTGACAGTTAAGAGTCAAGTTCTATTCTTGCTTTTTCATTTAGCTAACTGTGGCACTGGGCAAGTCACTTTTCTTCTCAAGACCTTGGTTTTTCCCACGTATACATTCAGGGAGTTGGACCAGAAACCCTTTAGCCAACCATCACTTCTAAAGTTCTTGACACATTCAGGTATTTTGTCCACATCATACAAGCCTGCTTCTGGAGCAGCTTCTCTTGGGCCACCCCCTCTTTTTGCAAGAGGAGCTTGCAGATGTTCCAGATGCCTTTCCCAAGATACAGGTCCAGGAAAATACTATCTAGATGACCCGAGCCCCCACACTATTTCTTGATAGCTGTGTCAACTGCGTTGACATCTCCCCTGAAAACTAAGAGCAACTAGGGTGAACAAGCAGATATCCACACAAAAGCATAGCTCTTGGCAAGTTCTTCATGGACTGGTAAGATAACTTGCAGAGCAATTTTATCAGACTTGAACCTACTGACTTTGCAGAGATCATGAGCTATAAAAACACAGTGGTGTTGGCTAACTGGTTGGTATATTAGAACAATCACTACTTTCCCTTTGTGTCATACTGATTTTTTTTTAATTGGGCCTATTATCTCTGATTTGAACTTATAAAAATCCAGTGAGGTTTTAGGGCAGTGAAAATACTCTTTATGATACTGTAATGGTGGATTCAGGTTATTATATATTTGTCCAAACCCAAAAAATATACAACACCACGAGTGAACCCTAAATGTATATTACGGACTTTGTGTAATTATAACATGTCAGTGAAGGTCCATCAATTGTAACAAATGTTCCACTCAGGTGAGGGATATTGATAACGGATAACAGCAGGAGGTATATGGGCAATCTCTGTGCTTTCAGTTTTGCTATGAGCGTAGAACTGCTCTAAAAATACTTTTAAAATTAAAAACAATAAAAACATCGAGGCACACAAGATGTAAATTATTCTTCCCTTTTTCAGATGAGAAAGTAAAGACCCAGAGAAAATTTCCAACTTGCCCAAAGGAACACAGATAATCATTGCACTGGGAATAGAATCAAAGTCTTCTAATTCTGAAATTAGTGCTTTACTCAATGTTCCATGTTTTTCTATAATTATAGCGTCCTCCCTAAAGCAAGGGGGGAAAAACAAATGCCTATAGAACCTAGGAATATAAATCAAATACCTACAGAAGTCAGGTAAAAAAATATATATGCAAACCATGTCCTTTCCACAAAGAAATCAAGTCTTTCTTATTTTTCTTAACACAGAAAGCCAGCTATCTCTCTCTCTCTCTTTCTTTTCCTCTTTCTCATTTTCCTACTCCAAGAACAATGGAATGGATCTCTTTTATAAGAGAAAAAACACGATGCAAGGCCAATGGTAATAAAAAGTGACACTTAACCCCAGTGGCAGAAAAACAATAGGAAGAGTGTGGACTGTAGAAAACTGTAGCTCTAGTGAAATAGTACCAGGAAGGTGTGATAAGAAACAGTGCTTATATAGTATTTTCTATGCACCAGGAAGTTTTAAGTGCTTTAAATGGATTAACTCATTTAATATTCACACTCTATGAGGTGCATATTAGAATCATCCTCATGTTACAGATGAGGAAATAGAGGCATAGAAACATGCAGTAAATTGTCTAAGGTCACATAGCTAGGAAGCAGACCTGGACTGCCAGGAGAGGAGTTCAGGCAGCACAACTCCACAGTCTGTATTGCCTCTCAGGAATTGTGGGCTAGGTCTCTGATCTTTTTAGAGAAGGTGAAAATCTTAGCATTATTTTTTAAATATTGGCTTCATATTTTTCTCCAAACATTTTGAACCAAGCAAAACATAGCTATCTATCAGATTTAATCCATGGAGGTCTGTGCCTTAAGGCATGTTATCACAAGGAGCATTAGTGAGCCAAGAGGAGAGAGAAACAGAGAGAAAGAAGAAAGATGAAAGGAAGAAAGAGAGGGAGGGAGGAAAGAAGGGAGGGAGGGAGGGAATGAGGGAGGGAAGGAAGGGGGAAGAATAAAGAGGAGAGGAGAGGAGAGAGGAAGGGGAGGGGGAGGGGAGAGAGGGAAGGGAGGGGAGAGAGGGGAAGGGAGGGAAGGGGAGAGGAGGGAAGGGGAAGGTTGGGGAGGGGAGGGGAGGGGAGAGGTAATGATATAGGAGTTAGGAAGAAATTATTTAGGCAGATAGTGAGGGTAAGGAAGTCCTTGGTAAGATTTTCCTTTTAATGAAAAGCAGCACCAAAATCAATTTCTTTTCTAACAAAGAGCAACCCATAAAATCGAGCTGCAGACACAGATAAGCAAGCTGGAAGCTTGCACGGGCAAATGCTGGCAGCTGTGCCAATAGGAAAAGGCTATCCGGGCCCTAGGCATGTCCAACATGGTGGCTCCATCTTCTCCTTTCTTTGTCAACCACATTCACAGTAGGGAGCAGGCAACATGGCAATGGCCAGGTAGAGACCCTATTTGCATAATAAAAGATTAAGGTGGGGTGGCCAGCTTCCTTGAGTGTGACGTAAACACCACATCTGGTTCAACCAGTCTTTTGGCCCTATGTAAATCAGACACTGTCTCATCAAGCCTGTCTATAAAACACTGTGCACTTTGCCTTGGGCAGAAATTCCCACTTTGGTGGCCCTCTCTCTCTCTGCAGGAGAGAGAGCTATTTCTCTTTTCTCTTTCTTTTGCCTATTAAACCTCCACTCTTAACCCCACTCCACGTGTGTCTGTGTCCTTGATTTCCTTGGCATGAGGCAACAAACCTTGGGTATTTACCCCAGACAATGATGCTGCTTCAGTAAGACAATCTAGGGAGATGCCTAGATAACTGCTATGAACTGAACTGTGTCCCCCCCAAATTCATATGTGGAAGCCCTACCTCACAATATGTTGGTATTTAGAGATGGTGCCCTTAGGAGATAATTAGGATTAGATGAGGTCATGAGGGTGAGGCCTTCACAATGGGATTAGTGCCCTTATAAGAACAGACATATAGTGCTCTCTTTCTGAAGACACAAGGAAAAGGCAAGTCAGAGAGAGCATTCATGAGACCCTGACCATGCTGGCGCCCAGACTATCAGCCTCCAGAGATGTGAGAAAATAACATTTGTTGTGCAAGCCATCTAGTCTATGGTATTTTGTTATGGCAGCTTGAGCTGACTAATAATGATAACATAACACTTTACATTTCTCAGGTGCCCAGTGAAATGAATTTTAACATCATCTTCTAACATATGCGTCAAGCAGATGTGTTGATTACCAGATCAAATATTTTCAGATTAAAAATTCAAACGACATTTTGGTCATCCCATGTATGGTAAAGAAGTCTTCTTCAACAAGGTTACATACACCATGAAATACAAATTAGAGTGTTGGATTGCTGACATTTTTCAAGTATTTTCCACATGTAGCTATGTTAAATATTTGGGAATTCATGCTAAGTCATTTTTATTTCCCCTTGCTAGGCTCAATTTCAGAATCAAACACTGTCATAAAGTAACATATCTTTTTGTGCCCCTGGGAATCACAGCATACGAATTTCTAGCTGGCACTGGAAAGGCATCATAAGACAACACCCCATGACTTTCTTCCCAACCTGGTATTTCTGACTTTTGAGGGTGTCCATAAAACTGATGTTAAATGTCCACACGGAAAGAAACACATTGAGTGAAGGGTGATCAATTCAGTCTTGGCCTTAGGATGTGCCTCAGCCTACCTCAATCTGTCAGGGTGTGAACTCTGCTTCAACTGATGGTACCAACAAACCCAGTGAGTGCTTCCAAAAAGGTCCAATGGACTTAAGACTTTTCAGTCCATTGGGCTTATCAAAGAACACCCTAGAAATGTAAAAGCTACTATCGTCTTTTGGATTCCCTGAAATTGGAAAAGGAAATTCAAAAAATATTGAGAGGCTACCAAATGCTATAGGCCGTAAAGTTTCCAAATGTCAGTGGGATGTGGTCTCTGCCTTCACAGAAGCTGTATCAATCCAGCAGAGAGGCAGTCACAAGAACATGAACTTTGTAAAAACAATAAAATTTCTACAAGAGAAAGAAGAGGCTAATTCCGTTGAAAGAGACTGGGGAAGGAATCCCCCAGAAAATAATAATTGTTTTGAGTCTTGAAAATGCAAGAAAGATGCCTTCATAAAACATTGATGGTCTTTCCTATCTCTCTGATTCCATTAGCTAGCTACTCTTGTTTTGCAAAGATAAAGAAAATTCAGTCAAGAGTAAACAAGATGTAAGAGTGCAATACTACCAGCAAAGCTGTCTATATCCTCTTTATCTCTGATTGTACCTTTTTATATAATAATAGGTACCATTTATTAACCACCACTTTATGCCAAGCATAGTTTTAAGCATTTTGCATGTATCAATTCATTTCACCTTTACAAGTACCACACAGGTAGGTATTATTAACATTTTTACCTTATGGAGGCTCAAGAGATTAACTAGCAGGAAGGTGACCTCTGGGGAATTTTAGCCCCTGGCATCTACTCTGTTGTGCCTCTCTACAAGGCAAACTTAGCTTCCCCTTTAAAAGTATTCACATTTCTTGGTTAATTCGATAGCAATTTCCCACAGTTACTTGGTCAAATTATTCATTCACCCCTCCCCTCAAGCAGTCAAAATAGAGTGAACAGGCTTTAGGCCTTTAAAAATAAATGATTTGGTGCCAGAGGTTTAGATCTGATTCACTACAGGATCAAATTAACCAATGATTAAACACCAGACTGAATTACACAAACAAACAAGGGCCTGTGGACCTATGAGCAGGTAGTTAATGAACACAACCTCGGTTCATTAAAAACATTTTGTCCTCTACCACCTGTATGATGAATGATGATCAGCTAAATGTACTCAAGAAGACTAGTTACGTTACTTTTTCATGTATTTCGCCATGTAGAGAGTCCTTAGATGAAATAAGCTTCTTTAACTGAAATCAACCTTATTCCCAATTCCAAATTCTTATATATGTGACTATATCTATGACCTTATTATGAAAACCATAAACTACTGAAGCTGGTTCTTAAAAAATCACTAAGTCCAGACTCCTATGCAATGTGATTGTTGAGACAAAAATGAATGGATGGGGAAAGAAGAGAAAACAATTTTAAATGCATAATAATTATTCATATTATCACTGAAAACACAACCCAAAGGTGGAACGGAAAACACCATGCAAAAGGTGGGAAGTAGGAGAGAATCTGGTGCCCATAATGTCCAGTGGATTTTAAGTCATTTTTTAAGTGAAAGAACTCTGTTAAAAATAACAACAGGTAACATTTGTATAACATTTTGCAAGTGCCAGGTGCTGTCCTATATTATTAACTCATTTAATCCTCATAATAACCCTTTGAAGTAGGTATTGTTTTTTAGCATCCCAAGTCTACAGATAAAGAAATTGAGACATGGAGACTAAGCAACTAGTCTAAGGTCATACAGCAGGTAAGGGGCAGAGCCAAACAAAAATCCAGGCAGACCTGGCTCCTAATGTGGTGCTTCTAACCTCTACACCATGCAGTCTCAACTAGAGTGACATTACCTCTAAGGGGGTGAAAAACTGGGTCTAGAGGTGGTAGTAATGGTGGTGATATTAGATATTATAAAGGTCTGTGGTTCCCCAAAGGGCCATGCTCATGAACAGATAGTGTATCTCTGGTAATAAAATTTCATGGGACAGGGATAAGGTAAAAATGTTTAAAAGACTCCTTAGGGAAGCAATAATTTTTTAACAAAAAGGTTAAGAAACATTGTACTTTGGCCGGGTGTGGTGGCTCATGCCAGTCATTCCAGCACTTTGGGAGGCTGAGGTGGGTGGATCACCAGAGGTCAGAAGTTCGAGACTAGCCTGGACAACATGGTGAAACCCCGTTTCTACTAAAAACACAAAAATTAGCTGGTCACAGTGGCAAGCACCTGTAATCCCAGCCACTCAGGAGGCTGAGGCAGATTAATCGCTCAAACTCGGGAGGCCAAGATCACGCCACTGCTCTGCACTACAGCCTGGATGACAAGAGCAAAACTCCATCTCAAAAAGAAAGAAAGAAAGAAAGAAACGTGGGATCTAATTAAACTAAAGAGCTTCTGCACAGCAAAATAAACTACCATCAGAGTGAACAGGCAACCTACAGAATGGGAGAAAATTGTTGCAATCTACTCATCTGACAAAGGGCTAATATCCAGAATCTACAATGAACTCAAACAAACTTACAAGAAAAAAACAAACAACCCCATCAAAAAGTGGGCGAAGGATATGAACAGACACTTCTCAAAAGAAGACATTTATGCAGCCAAAAGACACATGAAAAAATGCTCATCATCACTGGCCATCAGAGAAATGCAAATCAAAACCACAATGAGATACCATCTCACACCAGTTAGAATGGCGATCATTAAAAAGTCAGGAAACAACAGGTGCTGGAGAGGATGTGGAGAAATAGGAACACTTTTACACTGTTGTTGGGACTGTAAACTAGTTCAACCATTGTGGAAGTCAGTGTGGCATTTCCTCAGGGATCTAGAATTAGAAATACCATTTGACCCAGCCATCCCATTACTGGGTATATACCCAAAGGATTATAAATCATGCTGCTATAAAGACACATGCACACATATGTTTATTGCGGTACTATTCACAATAGCAAAGACCTGGAACCAACCCTTATGTCCAACAATGATAGACTGGATTAAGAAAATGTGGCACATATACACCATGGAATACTATGCAGCCATAAAAAATGACGAGTTCATGTCCTTTGTAGGGACATGGATGAAGCTGGAAACCATCATTCTCAGCAAACTATCACAAGGACAAAATCCAAACACCGCATATTCTCACTCATAGGTGGGAATCGAACAATGAGAACACATGGACACAGGAAGGGGAACATCGCACACTGGGGCCTGCTGTGGGGTTGGGGGAGTGGGGAGGGATAGCATTTGGAGATATACCTAATGTTAAATAACAAGTTACTGGGTGCAGCACACCAACATGGCACATGTATACATATGTAACTAGCCTGCACGTTGTGCACATGTACTCTAAAACTTAAAGTATAATTAAAAAAAAGAAAGAAAGAAAGAAAGAAACATTGTACTTTGCTATACTGTCTCTATCTGGAATAATACCTAACTTGGAAGAACAATATATAAAATAGAATTAAGCAAAGCTGCTATGGTATAGCAGAGTCTTGGGCCCTCTATATGTGGTTGGGATTAGAACAAGCCACCTTTTGGCTGTTGTGAATAATGCTGCAACATTGGTGTACAAGTATCTCCTCAAGTGTCTGCTTTCAGTTCCTTGGAGTATATGTCTACAAATGGAATTGTTGGATCATATGGTAATTCCATGTTTAGGCTTTTGAGAAACCGCTAAGCTGTTTTCCATATTGTGGTTCCACCATAAATTTGAGGTTTCCAGGAGCTGGGAGATTTCAAGAGCTGAAGGGAGAAAAGATTGGACAGTCGATGCTTAATGAGCACAGAGTTTCTGTATCCAGTGATAAAAAAGCTTTGAAAATAGCGATGATTGTTGCACAACATTGTGAATGTAATTAATGCCACTGAACTGTACACTTAAAATGGCTAAAATGGAGGCCGAGCATGGTGGATGATGCCTGTAATCCTAGCACTTTGGGAAGCCTAGGCGGGAGGATTGCCTGAGCTCAGGATTTAGACACCAGCCTGGGCAACGTGGCGAAACCCTGTCTCTACTAAAAATACAAAAAATTATCCAGGCGTGGTGCTGCATGTCTCTAATCCCAGCTATTCAGGAGTCTGAGGCATGAGAATCAGTTGAACCCGGGAAGTGGAGGTTGCAGTGAGCCAAGACTGTGACATTGTACTCCAGCCTGGGCAACAAAGCAATACTCTGTGTCTCAAAAAAAAAAAGGGCTAAAATGGCAAATTTTATGTTCTATACATTTTAGCACAATTTGTAAAATACTGTAATATACTGAAATCCCATTGATTTGTACCCTTTAAATGGGTAAATTGCCTAGTATGTGAGTTATATCTCAGTAAAGTTGTTGAAAAATAAAAAGGGTACCAATCCCAGGCCTGTATTTCTTTTCACTCAGAGGACAAGAAAACAGGCATGCCCCTGAGTAGCTGAATGTCACATAGCTGGAAAGAAAAAAATGTGACAAATAGTTCAAATGCCAGATTTTCTACCTATTAGTGTTACTGTGGGAAAGTTCCCTAAGATTTCTGAACTTGGGTTTCCACATCTGAGGAACACAGGGTTGTTGTGAAGATCCAGTGAGCTGGTGCACATAATATACCTTGCACCACGTCTTATGCCTCAATACATGTCTCAAGCTGCTGCCTCTCATTTTTTTGGTTCAAAGGAAGCCATTCTTGACAGGTTACTGGGCTTTGCTAGCCAGCCTTGGGGACCTAAGCGAAAGCCAGCGTCTCCTCAAGTTGGTGTTGCCACCCGTCAGTGATTACCCTGACTCATCCACCGAGCCAGCCAATGCCCCTTGACTGTCCCTTCACAAGATGAGATGAGAGAGGCATTCTCTTCCTCCATGGACTGCTGCTCCCTGCTGACAACCCCAGGGCTGCTGCCTCCTGCTCAGGCAAACTGACTTTTCCTTTTCCCTGCCTGAGCCCAGCTGCTATTCCTTGGACTATGCCATGGGATGACAGCTGATCCGTGTGTGTGTGTGTGTGTTTGTGTGTGTGTGTGTGTGTGTGTGTGTGTGTGTGTGTGTGTTGTTCAGTGTCTTTTTCCAATAAATTGTGAAAGAAATTAAAACTCCTAAGTTTAAAAAAACTCAGAATTTATGCCTTTTGAGTGGAAACCTTCTTTAGGAGTAGCAAAATAAAAGAGACTTGAATAAATAAAAGGCTGATAACAAAGATGAATTGGTCGTCCTACATTAGGTAAAGGAAACGAGTTTTTGGAAAAATACAATTAAAATACACAAATATAATAATAATAATAATTTTCTGAAGGTTAAAAAATGCTGAGATCACTCCTTTTAGATATATGTTGATGTCTAACTCAGAGACATGCCTGAGAGTTACAAACAAATTTTAGAATTTTAGGATACACAAACACACACATACACGAGAGGCAGACAGAGAGAGAGAGAAGGGTAGAGGGTAGCAAAGGAATTGGGGGGTATTTATTATCAAATGCTGATCTAAAAAGTTTTACTGGGGGAAAAACCTGGAGTAAAAAAATGGGCCAGAGTTCAATCAATGACAGCTTCTTCTTCCTCACACACCTGTGACCCTGGAGCACCTGCTTCAACATAAAGACCTTCAACAAAGTGGTACCATCAGGGAAAAAGTCCCACTGGAAATTTCCACTGGTCTTTCCAAATACTACTCTACTGTTTTGGGTGGGGTAGGACAGAGCCAGGTAGGTGTTTTCACTATGAGTTTCTGAGGGTGAGAGTGTTTACCTGAGTCCTACACAAGCCCTTAGATATTCACCTGCTCTTAGGAGCTCAGCTGCCCAGGAGCTATGCTGGGCGATGAGGTTACAGAGATTAGGCAGGCTTGGCCATGCCTTTCACCGTTAATAAGAAGAGACAGAGGTAAAAATAAAGGACCCTGACATGTACGAAATATGCATGGAACTGTCACAAGAAGGTGATAAGTAATCCTATCTAGAAAAGGTCGTGACACAAGATGTCATAAAAGATGGATAAAGGAGAAGGTAAGAAATGGAAAAGAAAAGAATACCTGGAAAAATAATTACCATAGAAAAGACACAGGGCATGAAGAAGCCCCACCCATGAATGTGACTTCACAGAATTGGAAGCTGGTGTTAGGAACCAGAACTTAGCTGTGGCATAAGGAAGGTCAGATCCAGGCAGACCTTGAATGTCTTTAGAGTGTAAACTTCATCCTGAGGACAATGGGGATATATGCTCTGCATGAAACTACAAACTGATCAGGGTAGCTTTTTTTTTTTTTTTGGAGTTGGGAGGGAGATTTTTAAAAATGTTTTTCTTTCTTTCTTAAAAAACACAAATGAGATATGTGCATTTGAGAGCAGTGTTTTCTTGACTGCTTAGTTCACTGTTCTATGCCTCTGAATGAATGCATAAACTAATATACAATTATTTAAGTTTTTAAGCTAGGAAATGACATGATAACTCATGCAGTTTTAACACATTGTAAGACAAAATAAATCTTTCTGAGTTTCTCTTCAAAGGATTTAGCCTGTTAACTTCCTTATCCTTTGTTCTCAAACTCAACTTTCTTATTCTTCCTTGCCCCTAGTTGCTGTAAACAGCCTACCCTGCTTCCCGTCAGCTCTAATCAATAACTCACATCTGTTCCCTCGGCTACCTGTACCCATTGTTCCCCCGAAATTGCACATCTCACACACTCCACCTCTGTACCTCACATCCCCCTCCCCCAGTACATTTAGGAAAATATGTACAAGTAGCCAGTTGGGTCAGTTCAGATTGTGCAGTCCATCCCCAGCCCATAGGGAGGGACAAAGAGATAAGGACTGCGTCCAGGATATAAAAACCCCCTGGTGTCCTTTGTTCTCTGTGCTCTTGCAATCTTGACTGATGCGAGTGGCACCCTTCTGCAGAAATACATTGCCTTGCTGAGAGAATTAAACTTTTGCCTGAGTGCTGGTTTTACTTCACGGCACCAAGCATTTATTCCTGGAGCATTTTATATCCAACAATGTCATTTTGAAAGCAGGATGAAGGGTAAATCTGACAGTCAGCAGAGCATCGGTGACTACGTTAAGAACAGTACAAGTAGAATGAACGTAGAAATCTGGCTGCAGCGAGTTGATGAGTGGAGTGAGAGTGTGCAAAAACTTTGGGCTGAAAGATTCTACCTGGAGGTTAGTCTGAATTTATGATTTTAGGAGTAGAGTAGTTAAGCAATGGCAAGGTCAAGAGCATTAGGAAGGCCAGGGGTGGTGGCTCGTGCCTGTAATCCCAGCACTTTGGGAGGCCAAGGAAGGAGGATTACTCAAACCCAGGAGTTGAAGACCAGCCAGGACAACACAACAAAACCCGTCTCTACAAATAATAATAATACAAAAACTTAGCCAGGTGTGGTGGCGTGTACCTGTAGTCCCAGCTACCTAGGAGGCTGAGGTGGGAGAATCACTTACAGGAGGTCAAGGCTATAGTGAGCCATGATTGTGCCACTGGGTGACAGAGTGAGACCCCGTATCAAAAAAGAGAAAAAACAAACAAAAGAGCATATGGAAGTGGTATGGAGTGAAGATGATTGTAGTCCCCAAAATAGAAATCTTCAAGGCTGGACTTCTGCCTAGAATGATGGTACAGTTTATGATAGAGATAAAGCCTGAGCAGGTAGGTGCCAAAGACCTCAACAAATGAGGGGGAGTGGCCAGGAGATTTGTCACTGACAGCAATTAGAAGGGATAACAGGTGTTATAAGCAGATGGCTGGGGCTTCAGAAGAGAAAGGGTTTTGTATGAGGAAGGAAGAAATTACTCTAGATGCAGCAAAGCTGTCTTTGGAAAAGTTGATGCTGCTTCTGGGAGAAAATACAACCTCCACTCAGAGAGCTGTAGGAGAGCTGTATCCCCAAAGGAATTCAAAAAGGCTGAGAGACAGAGGGACATTCTGTGAAGAGTTCAATGAGGATGTAGGGGACGTTTTTTTACAATGCAATAAGGTTTCCAAAGAACACAGTGTGGTGGGTGGGAAAAGAACAGGCAGAGAGAAGAATCAGCTCCTAGGACACACAAAAATAGAACCGGACATTGGCGCTAGAAGAGGGTAAGTCATAAAAAGGCCTGGTGATCTGGGTAGTGGGCAAAGGCAACTGATATGGCTTGGCTATGTCCCCACCCAACTTGCATCCTCAATTCTCACATGTTGTGGGAGAGACTGTTGGGAGGTAATTGAATCATGGGGGCAAGACTTTCCCTTGCTGTTCTCATGACAGTGAATAAGTCTTATGAGATCTGATGGTTTTAAAGAGGAGTTCCCCTACACGAGCTCTCTCTTTGCCTGCTGCCATCCATGTAAGATGTGACTGCCTGGGTGCAGTGGCTCACATCTATAATCCCAGCATTTTGGGAGGCTGAGGCGGGTGGATTACCTGAGGTCAGGAGTTCAAGACCAGCCTGACCAACATGCTGAAACCTCATCTCTACTAAAAATACAAAAGTAGTTGGGCATGGTGGTGCATGCCTGTAATCCCAGCCACTTGGGAGGCTGAGGCAGGAGAATCACTTGAACCCAGGAGGTGGAGGCTGTAGTGAGCTGAGACTGTGCCATTGCACTCCAGCCTGGGCAACAAGAACAAAACTCTGTCTTGAAAAAAAAAGAAAAAAGACGTGACTTACTCCTCATTGCCTTCTGCCATGATTGTGAGGCCTCCCCAGCCATATGGAACTGTAAGTCCAATTAAACCTCTTTCTTTTTTAAATTGCCCAGTCTCTGGTATGTCTTTCTCAGCAGCATGAAAACAAACTAATACAGTAAAATGGTACCAGTAGAGTGGGGCACTGCTGAAAAGATACCCAAAAATGTGGAAGCGACTTTGGAACTGGGTTACAGGCAGAGGGTGGAACAATTTGCAGGGCTCGGAAGAAGACAGGAAAATGTAGAAAGGTCAGAACTTCCTAGGGACCTGTTGAATGGCTTTGATGAAAAGCCTGATAGCGATATGGACAATAAGGTTCAGGCTGAGGTGGTCTCAGATGGAGATGAGGAACTTGTTGGGAACTGGAGCAAAGGTGACTCTTGTTATGTTTTAGCAAAGAGACTGGGAGCATTTTGCCCCTGCCCTAGAGATGTGTGGAACTTTGAACTTGACAGAGATGATTTAGGGTATCCAGTGGAAGAAATTTCTAAGCAGCAAAGCATTCAAGAGGTGACTTGGCTGCTGCTAAAGGCATTGAGTTTTATAAGGGAAGCAGAGCATAAAAGTTCAGAAAATTTGCAGCCCGAAAATGTGATAGAAAAGAAAAACCCATTTTCTGAAGAGAAATTCAAGCCAGCTGCAGAAATTTGCATAAGTAATGAGGAGCCAAATGTTAATCCCCAAGACAATGGGGAGAATATCTCCAGGGCATGTCAGAAGTCTTCACAGCAACCCCTTCCATCACAGGCCCAGTGGCCTAGAAGAAAATGGTTTTGTGGGCCAGGCCCAGGGTCTTCGTGCTATGTGCAGCCTAGGGACTTGGTGACCTGTGTCCCAGCCTTCTTCAGCCACCGATGAAAGAAGCCAACATAGAGTTCAGGCCATGGTTTCAGAGGGTGAAAGCTCCAAGCCTTGACAGCTTCCACATGGTGTTAAGCTTGCTAGAATTGAGGTTTGGGAAACTCCACCTAGATTTCATAAGATGTATGGAAATGCCTGGATGCTCATGCAGAAGTTTGCTGCAGGGGCAGGACACTCATGGAGAGCCTCTGCTAGGGCGGTGTGGAAGGGAAATATGGGGCTGGAGCCCCCACACAGAGACCCTACTGGGGTACTGCCTAGTGGGGCTGTGAGAAGAGCGCCACACCATCCTCCAGACCCCAGAACAGTAGATCCACCAACAGCTTGCACTATGTGCCTGGAAAAGATGCAGACACTCAATGCCAGCCTGTGAAAGCAGCCTGGAGGGAGGCTGTACCCTGCAAAGCCACAGGGTCAGAGCTGCCCAAAACCATGGGAACCCACCTCTTTCATCTGCATGACCTGGATGTGAGACATGGAGTCCAAGGAGATCACTTTGGAATTTTAAGATTTGACTGCCCTGATGAATTTCAGACTTCCATGGGGCCTGTAGCCCCTTTGCTTTGGCCAATTTCTTCCATTTGGAGTGGCTGTATTTACCCAATCCCGTACCCCCATTGAATCTAGGAAGTAACTAACCTGCTTTTGATTTTACAGACTCATTAGTGAAAGGACTTGTCTTGTCTCAGATGAGACTTTCGACTGTGGACTTTTGAGTTAATGCTAAAATGAGTTAAGACTCTGGGGGACTGTTGGGAATGCATGACTGGTTTTGAAATACAAGGACATGGGATTTGGGAGGGTACAGGGGTGGAATGATATGATTTGGCTGTTTCCCCAACCAAATCTCATCTCGAATTCCCATGTGTTGTGTGAAGGACCCAGTGGGAGGTAATTGAATCATGGGGGCAAGTCTTTCCCATGCAGTTCTCATGATAGCGAATAAATCTCATGAGATCTGATGGTTTTAAAAACAGAAGTTCCACTGCACAAGCTCTCTCTTTTTGCCTGCTGCCATCCATGTAAGACGTGACTTGCTCCTCATTGCCTTCCGCTATGATTATGAGGCTTCCCCAGCTACATGGAACTGTGATTCGAATTAAATCTCTTTCTTTTGTAAATTGCCCAGTCTCTCGTATGTCTTTATCAGCAGCATGAAAGCAAACTAATACAGTAACAGAGATGGCTGTATGGCTACAGGAGGCTCAGGAGAGGATCTGAGGCAATATGAAAGGCCTGACGAACCTGGCAGTGTATGGTTCAGTTGACAAGTACAATCTTTGTTGGGGACCAAATTGAATGCTAGAGAGTTGGCCAAAGAAGAAGTACAACTAGTAGTGACTGCATCATGATAACAAAAAAATAAAAATAAAAAAAATCAATCAATCAGTAGGACTCTGCCCAAATGGCAAAGATGGACTTTGTGGGTTACCAGAATAATCCCTACAGTTTGTCATCTTGCATCTCAGTCTGGGGCCCTGGCTTCAGTGGTATGTTTCCCCAAGTTCACACAGGCTCATGAAAGCTGACTCTGCACATGTCTTCCCAAATCCACAGTCAGTGATTTCACATTGGCCTGTTGATGGAAATATTTACACCAAAGAAATCAATAAACTACAAATCGGGCTTTTCCTCCTCCCACCCCTGAACCAATGGTAAACATTCAGTAGCTCTCCACTGCCTGCCTAGCCCTGTTCCTGTTGCTCACAGAAAACAAGACTTGTATACCAGACTCCAAGCTGACTCTTCTCTGCTCTGATCCCGCCAGACCACCTAGAAGAGAATTGTCTGTTCACCTAGATTTCTGCGTTCATCTGCATCTAGATTCTCCTTTACATGCTATCATCCTAGAGCTATCCCTAGGCCTTCTAGGTCCCAAAGCCTCCCAACTACTTCCCATCAGCAAGTTCTCTAGCTCTCAGGTCTCCACATAATATTAACCATAGATAAGTAGACTTTGATGTAGATTCAGCTTCTGTACCTTGCTATGTAATAACATTGCACACATTCATTTTGTCTGTTTCCTTTTCTACAAATGGCTATTTTGTAGAAATACCCTCACTGGATTTTTTTGACAGCAAATTGATCAGGTATGTAAATTTCCTAGAGCTGTACCTAAAATGCAGATGGGCCTCAATTTTTCTCCTCTCTAGGGGGCATATATTATCATCATCATCATTATCATTTTAGGAAATACACAGTTTCTTTCTGCACATTTCCCACGTGCCAGACATTGTTCTACACCCTTTACATGTATTAACTCATTTAATTCTCACTAGAACCTCATGTAATAGTATCTTTATTCATTCCATTTTACAGATGGGAAAAACTAAGGCACAGAATAGTTAAGTAACTTGCTTAAGACTGTACAGCCAAAACCTACTAGATCCAGGTCTAATGCTAGTCAGCCAGCTACAGGGTGCTGACCCTTAACCACTGAGCTATTGTCCCTATAGACACTGTTCCCACTGTCCTTCTACTAACCATGAATATTTTCAGTCTACCTAACTTGCCCTTCTAATCCAAGCTGCTATTGACCAAAATCCTGAACTACTTACTGAGTCCTATTGACAGATTTGAACCAAGAAAATGAAAAAGCCATCCAGTAGATATTATGTGTTTTAAAAAAATCACATCACCTTGGAATACTCGGTGCCATTTCTCATCCTGTTCCTTCCATCTGGGATGCTCTACTCACCTGTTCCTTGAGCAAATATATTCTCATCCTTCAAAATCCATCTTGAGATTCACTCCACAAAAAAGTTCTGCCTTCCCATCCTCCATCCTTACACTAGGCCCCCTATGGTACCTTGTACACGTCCTTGACTTAGGGCCTACCCTGAGAGAAGAATCACCATCCCTTCTCAGTTTTTATGAAGTTAAATTCTGTAAAGTTCAATTATATTGTCATTGTCATTGTGCATGCATCTACTTCAATGGCCTGAATTTTTTTTAAACACAGGGGATGTCTTACATTTCTGTATCTTTAACCCTCAGCACACATGGAATCTAGTATCGAATGTGGGCTGAATAACATTTAAAAACAAATGACTAAGGACAAATAATTGGATGAATGGATGGATAGCTGGATAAACAAACACAGCAATGGATAAGACGTATGGTGAATATGTTATATATTAAAATCAAAATCAAAATTAGAAGCATGGTGAGATAACAGTAGACCCTAGAATGATCATTTTCCCTATTTGCCTAGTCTGTTAGTTGAAAATGCATTAAAAATTTAAAAATATCTGCTCTCTAAAGTTGAAAATGAATTTTCAGATTATCATCCATTTTATCCATGTTTCCATGCATTCGCTGTTGGCTTAGAAATAACTTTATTCGCTGAGTCCCCGTTCTCACATAACTGAGTTATTTAAACCAGAGTTATATAAAGGCCAGTTTTTAACTAGCTGGAAATTCCTCAAGGCATTCTTTATAATGCTCAAAAAATGTTCTGAGGTCTTTATCTAGGCTGTTTAAATAGAGGGGGTAAAATCTACCAGATAATGTTATATATTTCCCAGCTCCAGAAAAGATCTTCAGAGAAGGGGATATTTATCATTGAGGAGATACTGAGCCAGAAATGGACCTCCTGATGTTGCCTGAGGCAAAATCTATGTCATATAAAAATAGCTACAGTTTATTAAACACCTATTATGTGCCAGAAAATGTGTATTCATCATCTTTAATCTACATGATTCTGCAAGGCATTTTTTATTTTTCAGAAAAGGAAACTAAGGTTTGAAAAGTTAAGTTTCCTAGGCTCTTATGCTTAGCACATGGCAGAGCCAGGGTTGAAATCCAAGTCTATTTTGTTTTGACACTCCAGGCTCTTTCAGTTATATGATATCCATAAAGAGATTATATCCAATAATAGGACAGTTGATTAAGAAAAATCATATATGTCCTATATCTGGGTAAAGCTCTCATTTGCCTCCCAAGGAGCTGGAGGTTTTGCCTCAATTCAAATCTCACCTAACAGAAAGAATCCCCCATCAGCCTTACTCATGAAGGTATTTGTTAAGATCCACATAAAAATAAGTGAAAAGTAAGCAGGTCGAGGTAGCCAAAGTTTAAGCAGACCTCTCTGCATTTATGGCATTGTTCTCAACCCTCCTAATTTGTCTTGCTCAATATACCAGGTCTTTCCATGAGCTCAACGTCACACAGCTGCAAAGTGACAGAGCCGAGCCCAAATCTCAAACCCCTGACCCCAAGTTCACTGCTGCTTGTTAGAAATACATGGCCACACCATGAACATAAATGCTTTTTTTAATAGAGCCAAAATAGCTCTGTTAGAACTAGAGAAATAAACACTGAACAGGCAAATAGGGAGAACCCCAATGCCTTTTTCTATTATGTATGATCCACATCATGGCTGTACTATATTTTGCTTACCCTCCTAGAGATGAGTGTTAACCATAATTTTGTGGCTAACACCCTCACCATCAACAACAACAAATGAGGTCGTTGAATACTGGAAAGATGAACTAGCCTTTATAAACCCAGCTGAGACCAATGTTTCTGGGCCATTTAACACCCATTCTTTGACCATTCCTCTTCTTTGTAGACTCTATTTATTTTCTGTATTATTGTACATCTCAAACTACAGGAAGTGGCAAAATGGAAACTAATCTCCAATAAGAGATGAAGATAGCTCACAAATACACCATGGTCCATAGGAAGCCCTGCCTCTCTCCTCCACTATAGCTAGTAAGAAATCACTGAGAAACTGCCTGCCATGGCAGACCCTCACTTTCAAATAAGCACCATACGAAAGCCTAACCACAATAAAAGCACCTCGTTTGCCCGCACTTGTTCCAGGAAATGGCCAACCACAGAAAGTCCTCCATCCCTAAGATTGAACAATCCTTCCTCTTTTGAAATATCCCCAAATGGCTAGCTTGCTCCCTAGCCATCAACCAAGGACTACCAATATTCCTAAAGATGAATGAGAAAGTCTCCTCTGCGTCCTAAAATCGCACCCTATAGAATGATTGCCAATCAGAGACTGCCTCAATCTTTCCTCTTTTAATTCTATAAAACTTACTCTCCTTTCTGATATCTTTGCAGCTTGCAGAAACAAATAACGGCAGATGGATTACCTTGCCACAAGTTTACGAATAAACAGCCTTTGTTAATTTTGTCTTGGTCTTTGATTTGTTTCCGACAAAATTTATATAGTTAGCCGTACAAATATGCATCCTACTGAGGGGGGTTTGTTTCATTATATATAGCCCACCATTGCTGTCCATAAGAAACCATTCAAAGAGAGAAGACATGCACCACAGGGGAGAAGACATTCATCCACAATTATTTTTCCTTCTAATCTAATTGATAATTTTATGTAATGCTATTTAAATGTTTGGATGAATTTCAAGGGATTAGCACTTTGGTTAGTTTTCATAAAAGCTTTTCACTCACCTTGGAGAATGAAAAATGAGACAAATTAATGTAATTAAACCAATTTCCACTTGGCTACTACATGATTCACTTTTGTAAGCCATTACATCTGATTCCTCTATTGGCTCAGGATAGACACTGAATTATTATACTGAAAAATAAGTAATTCTTGTCTTAGCCTTGCTTTACTCTAAGCAATTATGCTAAAATAGCACTCAGCATTTTTATCTATGTCCCATCCCCCATTCATGAGGGGCCACAGTAGGGAGGCTTCACTTCTCTCTTTTTTATGTCTAATACTCTTATACTGGCTGTGTCCTGTCTCTGTGCTGTGATATTGACTAGCCTCTCTTAAAATTCACATAGATGCTATCTTCAAATGATAAATCGTAGCAGGCTACCCATATAATTGATCTCAAATTCCCCATGACCCCAACAACCTTTAGCTGTGGCATTTTGAAGGACTTCGTACCTCTTTGAAAAATTAAATGCTGATGAAAATTCTGATGGGGTATGTCTCACTCTACCTATGTTTCAAATCTCCCAAAGAGTATGAACATTGCCCTCTATAACCATTTTGAAGATACACTTTAAAAAAATTAGACGTGAGGTATGAATAGCAGTTCGTGGTAAGAAACTAATACTTTCTCACTTCGCAGCTAAAAAAAAGTCACTTGACCTGTATAGGCAGCATAAGATTACATGCAGTATAAGATGGTGTGTAAAGTTAAGAAAAAAATGATTTGTTGCTATCAATACAAATCTGTTGAATTTGTCTGACTTATGTGTATAATTTACCCAAGAAGAGCCCAAATGTGGTGATAGAAAGGACATATATGGGTTTTGGAGCCAAAGGCAGGTTTGAGTCTGGACTCACTAGATTTGTTGTTTTAAGAAAATAACTTCTCAGAGCCTCAGTTCCCTATTTTCCTCATGTGAAACTCTAACTGTACTTTGCATAGTAATTATGATAATGAGAAAAAAACCATTGTGAAACACAGATCCAGCAATACAGAGGCACTCTGTCAATATCAGTTTACTTCTATCACGATTATTATTTTGCCCAAACTGCTGCTATGTATCTTTTGAAGCACATTCTCTATGTCCCGGAGGGTATGGTCGTGGTCATCTATAAACTCCTATGGCCAGGTACATAAAATCTAGAACAATAGCCTTTATTGAAGCTACAAAATTTATTCAGTGATACACACACACACACACACACACACACACACACACACACACACACACAGAGCTACTGGGACTCACAGAAAACAAGCTGTCATCATAGAAGACTGATAGACAATTTGCTTTGGGGAATTAGGGATGGCAAACTTTAAAATCTGCACTATGACAGGGATTAGCAGTTTTCTTATAAAGGGCCAGATAGTAACAGTCTTTCTGGAACACGTCTCTGACACAACTGCCCAATTATGCCACTGTAGCATAAAAATAGCCATAGGTAATGCATAAGCAAGTAAGTGTGGCTATGTTCCAATCAAACCTGATTTACAAAAACAATCAGCTATATAACTAATACATATCAATTTTTTAAAAAACCGTCAGGAGGCCAGGTTTGGTACATGGGCCATAATTTGCTGACTCCTAATCTAAAGGGAAACAATTCGCCTGGACTCAATATCTCATACTCCCTCCTTCCTGCTGCATTTCAGCTGACCCTGGTGTTTAAAGCACCTTATGTCCCAAACAACTTCCCAGGACATCAGGTTTTGAACATTCATAAATGATATTAGAGAAAAGCAAAGAAGTTCTTACTGGCCTTAACATAATAATTTCTCATTCACATATAATAATATTTGTCAGTATGATAATAGAAAAATAGAGAATAAAGATCTCTTTCCATAAATTTTGGCATTCTGCTATAATTTGCAACTCTAGTAACTAGCAAAATATTTTTTTTTTTCTTTTCAGATCACACCAGCATTAAATTCCTTAGTCAAAACCTAAGGCGACTCAAACAAAAAAATTTTCTTAAAAAGTTCCAGGATATGAACATAAAATTTCCTCTTCCTATCTTGTTCTTCACTTGAAGTTTGGTGAAAATTTTGATTCTACTTGTTTTGCTCTTGACAATGAAATAAAAGGAACATTTTCATTCTGCTACCTCCAATGTCAAAGATAAGTTTTATATGTAGTTAAAACCATTCCACTGGGCCAGGAGTGGCGCCTTACGCCTGTAATCCCAGCACTTTGGGCGGCCGAGGCGTGCGGATCACGAGGTCAGGAGATCGAGACCATCCTGGCTAACACGGTGAAACCCTGTCTCTACTAAAAAATACGAAAAATTAGCCAGGCGTGGTGACACACGCCTGTAGTCCCAGCTACTCTGGAGGCTGAGGCAGGAGAATCACTTGAACCTTGAACTGGGGAGGGGGAGGTTGCAGTGAGCCGAGATCGTTCCACTGCACTGCAGCCTGGGCGACAGAGTGAGACTCCGTCTCAAAAAAAAAAAAAAAAAAAAAGATCCATTAAGACTCAACAGTCTACTTGTTATTCATTCTTTTTCTCTTCTATTCAAGGTTTTTTCTATCTGCCTTTCAAATCAGAAGCTCTTTATCTGAAAGTCACACTGAGTTTTATCTTCAGTTAGAACCTATTTTAGGGTAAAAGTTGATAAAGGGTTAATGAATTATTATGAAAGGAAATGAAAGCTTCTAGGATCAACAATGATGAAGTAAGAAGTTCCCACGTGTAACTGGGTACATCAAGCTTTCCGTTTAAGTTAATCCAACGACAGAAGCCAATAGGTGATTGTTGCTGGTGGTGGGTGAAGATTCCGGTATCAGACTCAGCCCAAATTTTATCTTTTAGCTACTATATTGATGACCTGAAAAGACTTCTACCAATGCTACCTACCCCACACGTAAAGATAATATTTAGTAAATGAAAATACTAGTGCTTTTAGTATCCTGCAAAAACAAAATCTTCTTATTCTAAAATAGTTCATGTGCCCAAACAGAAAGTAAAAACTTTGTTTAATGTCACTAGGTTCAATGTTTGAAAATCAAGAGGCTGAAAAAAAAAGATACAGAACACTCTCCTTTCTTTCTAAATCATTTGCCATTTTCCTTTCCTTAGGAATATTCACTCCAATTACTGAGAACAAAACAGATCTGGTCAGGTGTTAGGGTATGACACAGCCCCTGCCTACAAGGGATGAGGGCAAGGTACCTGTCATACGTGGAATTTACAGAGTTTCCTGGTTCATTCAATTTATTTATTCATCCAATAGGCAGTTACTAAGTACCTATTGCATTCTGAAAAATGGAGAATGGAGAGATGAGCCCTTCAGAAGCTCACGGGTGTGAAAACATAAACTCCAACAGCTTGATGGTGTTCCTGCTTCAACTCATTCCTCAAAGTTCACTCTTCCCACAGCCTGAGCCACTTTTGTGAAATACATAAATCAGGTCATACCCCTCTCTTCCTTAAAATGCTCCTTTGCTTTCCCGTTACATTTAGAATAAAATCCATTTTTTCTTCTGGTTCTTCTACGACCTGTCCCATGTTTCCTATCACCTTGCCTGTCCTGTCCCCTATTCTACTCTAACAATGCCAAATTTCTATCTGTTCTTTGAATGTTTCAAATTCCTTCTTGCATTGGGGCATTTGTTGTTGTCCCCTGACTAGAAAATCGTTTTTTGTTTTTTGGTTTTTTTTTAATAGACAAAGTCTCACCCAGGCTGCAGTGCAGTGGTGTGATCATGGTTCACTGTAACGTTGAACTCCTGGGCTCAAGTGATCTTCCTACCTGAGCCTTCTGAGTAGCTGAGTCTACAAATATGGGCCACCAAAACTGGCTAATTTTTTAAGATTTTTCTGTAGAGGTGGGGCCTCATTAGTTGCTCAGGCTGATCTCAAACTTGGGGCCTCAAGTGATCCTCCCAACTTAGCCTCCCAAAGTACTGGTATTATAGGTGTGAGACACTGTGCCCAGACTAAAATAAACTTTGACCAAAGCTAGTCCCTTTTATGTCTCAACTCAAAAGTCACCTCTACCTTTTACATCATCCTGAAAGTATGGAGTTCATTTATTCACTTTTTATTTGTCACCTATTTCTTCCACTAGCATGTGGGTTCCATGACAGTGTGGCTCATTGTGCCCCCCAATACTCAGAATAATGTTGAACATATTATAGGTACTCAATAAATATTTAGATGAATAGCTAAACATGTAAACACAGAAATAATAGTTAACATTTATTTAATTTTAGGTGCCAGATATTGTTATAAATATATTGTATGAATTATCACCTTTAATTCCTACACCATAAAAGATAAGTATGTCTTACCCCCATTGTATAACTGAGGAAACTACATATTATGTGGTCAAGTTCTAGTCCAGGGTCACTCTGCTAATAAATGGCAAAGCTAGGATTCAATACCAGGTAGTCTAATTCTGGAGGATGTGCGCTTAACCATTATCACACTGAAAAAGGAAAATCCTGGACAGTGTATTTTTAATGTCTCTGGGTCTATGCACAGCTTGCCACTAAGCTCTCCCAACTATAGTATTGTGAGAGGGGGTAGAAACATAAGACACAAACGCACAGTGGTTGCGCTATCAAGACAAAGGGAACTAAACACAGTAAGATGACTGGCAATTCCACTACTGATAAACCACAGACTAATAAATGGCACTCATCCGGAAATGCCCCTGGTGCCTCTATTCTCTTGGTATGCCCCTAGAGTTAGCCCTGCAAACCACCATTTCACCCAGGGCCAGAGAAGTCCTTGATCGTAATGTGGAGAGCGAGACTCTCATCTCTGACCTACTGAGCCCAGAGCCAACTTCATAAATCAATAAATCAAGCGATCACTATAAGAGTTAACATCTATTGGACAAAATACTATGTTTAGAAAGTATTCATTATCTCATTTTATGCTATCAGCAATCATATGCAGTAGGTGCCATTATAATCACTCTATTATTAGATAAAGAAATTGCTGGTTGAATGGCATATTGGTCTATTTTACAGCAATTAAACAGCCAGAAAAACTAGAAAATGGAGATGATGCATACATAAACTATCTTTGACACTAACATTGATGCACATATGTCCAGGACCTCAGTGTTCAGGAGAAGCTCAGGACATAGCATCACTATTATCTGCAACGGCAATCGTGGACAAACAAGGGAAACAAAGCATCTCTTACTTACAATATTTCAATGTCATCTGCCTGAAAATCACCATAATAACAATATAAACCTGCAGTAATTACAATGAGAACGCTCACTGTAGTCATCCACAAGAGCTCCCTGGGGTAGTGCCAAGTGCAGCCTACACCATCATGATCATGTCCCTGCCAAGTCATTTCTATTTTATAAGGCTCCTTGTATATTTCTTAATGAAATCCCAAAATACGATTACAAAAATGGTAATAACTTTTGCCTTATATAAATTAACACTTTTAACATAATAGTGCATTTTCATTTTGTCATTGGCAAGACAATAATAAAAGTATTTAATGTGTTTTAATTTATATGATACTACATGCAGTGAGGGACAGTAATAAGACCCAAGTTTAAAGTTGAATGACAGATGAACACTTTCAATACTCTCAGAATGTCTCTGTAGTTCAGGTATAAGCTGACAGGGACATATACATACTCTAAACTAAGATACAGCCCAGATCTAGTTTATTTTTTAAACTTCAATGTCTTCCCAGTGGCTGACAAGCAAAGGCTAGATGTTATTTTAGCATTCAAGATCTGTGTGAATGGTCCTTCCACTCACCCTGTGATAGGGCTTGAATCCTATCACAATTTGTATTGTAACTGCCAACAAGAATTGTTCTGAGAAGCAGTGTGTAACCTGTTAACACTGGCACCATAAGGAATACAGCTAGCAGTGTGACCTCGAGCAAGTCACTTGTTTCTCCAAGCCTCCTTTTCTTCCGTAAGGCTCTTATAAAAGGAAATTTAGCAGTAAAGTTTGGGAAGACTGGTCCTTGACTGGGCAAAACACCCCTATACCCTCTGACCTCAGACCATTTGATGCCATATGAGTAACACACACCCAGCAATCTGCTACGGGCTATCTTTTGTCTACCACACTTCTGATCATTTTCCTCCAATGGCCCCGTGGTTGACACCTTTGATATTTTTTACCTACCAATGGCCCCATAAAAACACATACTGACTTAATTCTTATGTATGGACTTGCTCCTTTCTCTCTACTTCAGCCAAGAGCTGGCCACATGCCTACTCTTGCTGACTAGCCTGGAGATTCAGAGACCTCTATCTGAATATTCATTATTCAAGCCGCAGGCTCTAGCTGACCAACATAGTCTATCCACTGTACTCTGCATTCTTATTAATCCAATTTCCTGAGCCACTTCTCTACTAAAAGTCAGGCTACAGGAAAAATAAAGAGTAGCAAATAGTAACAATAATTTAATTTCTACCTAGCACTATGCTGTATGTTTTCGCACCTTAAATAAGGATTTTTAAATGCAGACGTTGGGTAGGGTGAAGCATTTCAGTTGAAGAAGATATGAGAACAAAGAAGACTAAGACACAGAGTGAGAATATAGAGCTTGTGTAGGAAAAATTAACTGTTTTTTTGGGGGGAGGGGAATCATGTACATAAATGGAATAGACAGAGATAAGTCTGAGAAAAAATAGCATAGGAACCAGATCCTAGAGGCTTTCAAATGCTAGAGCAAGATCTGGCCTTTGTTGGGAAGAGAAGACTTTGAAGTTTAAACCACGAACTTCCTGGATTTGGGCTGTATTTTAGAAAAATGAATTTAACAGTATAGAGAGGATGGATTGGAGAGAAAGAACTAGCAGTGCTTGTTTTTATGCAGATCGTCATGGGAAAATTGTCATATAATGACACGGTCTCTCTCTGCATCTTTGATTACTATGATTAACTGATAAGAGACTAGTAGGTATTCTGCAGTTGCTGAGAAATGTATGTAAATATGCTATTTCCATAGAATCACCTTGGTGCTTTTCTAAATTAATCTGTACTTTCAGAGAAAATGATTTTTTCCTGTAGTGCATCCCCATCAACAGCATCATAAAATAGTGTGTATAAAATCCTGTTCACCTGAATGGAGCCCTCTAGGAGTTCAGGATGCAGCCCCAACAAGCATGTCCTAATTCAGCTGCCTAAACCAAGACTCCCTTTGATGCCGAGTGCCAGGAAAAGAAATGATCGCCATTGTAAAGAATTCAGCTGTAATTTTCAAGGTCCCCAGAGGCAATACAGGTGAAGTATTAAGCTACAATAGTTCAAGTTGCTGTTAGGAAGAAAATGGTACATTTTTGTGAGAGAGTATGGCGTAGTGTTTCAGAGTATAGGCTCTAAAGCCAAGTGGCCTGCGTCTAAATCTCAGTTCCCCCATCTGAGTAAATTATTTAACTTCTTTAAGGGCTATAGTAGTTCCTGTCTCATAAGATCATTTGAAAAATAAATGAGATAACCTTCATAAGTCCCTGAACACACAGTTAGTATTCACATGATTTAATTTATACTTTTTACGAAGATCACTCTGGCTGCATTAGATTGGATGAGTAGAAGGAGAGATATGGAGAGCAGAAAGGAGGGTATTTAACTAGTTCACAAAAGAGATCATAGCAGTTTGAACATGGGTAAAATTATATGAATTTGAGACACATTTTCCAGAGAAACTAGACAAGACTTGCTAGATGAAGTCAAGAATGACTCTCATGCTTCCAGTGTTCAAATTGGAGGGACGGTGCTATAATAAGCTGAGATAGTAAAGACTGCCAGAGATATATTTAGAGTAGAAAGTTAGAAGTTGAGTTTAAGACACACTATTTTGTGAGCTGAAATAGTAATTGGGCATTTGGATACAAATTCAGACCTCAAAGAAAAGATATGGGCTGGAGATGTTGATCTGTGATCACCTTCGTTTATAGGGGGGAAAAAAAGGAAAAGAGAAACCAGGTTGGAAGCCTAGAAAACTTCAACATATTTAGTTTAGATAGAACAGGAGCCTGCAAAGATTATTAAAAAAGGGTAATTAGAAAGGTGGCAAGGGAAACAATAGAATGTGTTACCACAGAAAAGAGAAGAAAGTGTCTCAAGAAGGGGGTTGGTGATTGACAAAGGTCAAATGCTACTGAGACATCAAATAAGGTGACAGCAGTGATATGTCTCCTGGAGCTGCCAACATTAAGTCAGAGAAGAGTGATAAGGCTGGAAATGGAATTGGAACAGTTTATGGAATGGATGTGGATAAAGAATTGACAACAATCTACAGAGCCAATTCTAAGAAAATGACTTGAAAGGTCATATGGATGGGAGGAGGATGTGGGTGACAGAGCAAGATCCTGTTTAAAAAAAAAGGCTCAAAGAAGAACAAGTTAAAATAATAAGGTACCATTTTATCTCTGTGTGTGTGTGCGTGTGTGTGTGTGTGTATGTAATATATATCAGATTGGCAAAGATCATATAATCCAACACTACTTTGTTGGCGAGGATGTAAAGAAAGATGTACTATCATATGTTACTATTAGAAATGTAAATTGCTACAAATTCTTTGGAAGGCAAGTTGGAAATATCTATCAAAATTTAAAATGTACATACCTTTGACATAGTAATCCACTTACAAGATTATTTTTCTACAGATAAACATATGCATGTACCATGTGCACAGATAGGTACAAGTTTATTCACTGAAATGTTCTTTTTGGAAGTAAACCTGGAAAAAACCTAAAAGATTCACCAATAGTGATCTGTTTAAATAAATCATGCCACAGCCACACTAAGAATACAATATAGGCATAGAAAGATATAATATGATTCTATATGTTGCACACATGAGACTATATCCAACATACTAAGTGAAAAAGGAGGTATTTAACAATATATAATATGCCTCTAGTTTATAAATAAAAAGGGTTATATGCATAAATCTATACGTACATATTTTCCGAATATTCATGCCAGATCATGAAAAGGACATCCAAGAAACAAGAAAAGTAATTATTTCTACACAGGGCTGTTGGTGGTCTGAGATAGCAAGAGGTAGCTATATTAACACATTTCATTCAATAATCTCTTTTACAAGTTAAATTTTTATGACGTGCTGTATTGCTTTTTAAAAATAAAGCCATTATATTTAATTGAAATGAAAAAATAAGACATAGACAAATACTTTAAAGGTATAGGAATATAATGGGAATTCATTGAGGTAATACTGTAAAGCACTTAGCACAGTGTCTAGGACATTTCAAACCCTTAATAAAAATATTTACTGTCATTATGATTGTAATTATTACCTTGTTTTAATGTAGTAATGAATCACACATCAGTATGTTCAAAACCAAGGTCATCATTTTCTCTACCAATCCTCTATTCCCCTCCTCATCCAGAAATCACTTTCAAAAAGTACCACCCACATCACTAAGAAACTTTATTATCTTCTACTGTAAGTGGCATTCATAGCACTTTAGCAACTGACAACTGCCCCTTTCAATTTTCCTTAACTTTATTTCCAATAACTTACCTTCTGTTCTAGGCAGTGCTATAGAGCACACTTCCTGGAATGACAAAATATGCAAAGATATGAATTTATTTCAAAATATAGTTTTGGCCATGTGGAAGTTTGGCATATAGTGCTGTGTTTATTCCCATATATTCTAGTAATTCTAAATAATTTGTTACTCATGTTTTATTCTTTCTTTGAACAATTTGTTATTTAGGAGGTTTACTTTACTAGACGTTTCTCAGTAGTTGTGGTTTCTTGGTTTGTGGAAACTTTTGTCATTCTTTCAGAGTTTTACTGTGTATAGCCAAATAATTCCTGGTTTACAAACATGACTAGTGTTTTCTACTATCATTGTTGGTAATATTCCATGAACACTTGAAAAATAGGAATATTCTCTATAGGGTACAAATTTTGAGATATATGTGGTAATTCACCTTTATGAATTATTTAATCCTTATTCTTGTATTTATTTTCTGTGTCGCTTGTTACAAACTGAGAACGGTGCATTAAAATCTGCCACTGCAAGTCTGTTTCTGCCAATCTTCCTTGCTTAAGATATTTGCTTTATGTGTTTTCATGTTTTATTAGTAAACACAGATTCATATCTATGATGTCTATATGATGAAGTTTACCTTTCATCAATATTAAGTGTCTAGTCACTCACAATTCTTTCAAGGTTTTTTCCCTTGAATTCTATTTTTACAGATATTAACATTACCTCCACTGCATTCTTTCTGTTCAGAATTGCTTTACATTTGCCCAATTCTGGATTTTTTTTTTTTAGTTATCAGTCTTATAACTTAATGTTGTTGATTTTTAAAATACAAATGCATAGTTTTTGCTTTATAAGTGGGAAGCTAAACCATTTATACTTAATTATACCATATAGTTAATATTTTATTATTTTATATTTGACATTCTATATTGTAGGCTGCCCTGTTATCTTTTAAAAATCTATATGTTTTATTAAGAGGACTACGATTAGTTTGCTTGTACCTGATGTGGTGATTTGGAAAACTAATCTATCTTTAATTCTACTAGAATTTACTTTTAAGATTTTCAACACCTAAATCTTATCTGCCTCCCCACCTTCTCTCATATATTGCAGGTATGACATAATATATACATACACACATACCCATGCAGTATGCATGTATATATGTGTGTATCTCTGTGTGTATGTTGGTATGTGAGAATATAGAGACATATAGATAGTTGTAGAGCAATATATCACTTCAGACTCACATGTGAAATATAAAATTTAATATGCATTCATTTTCCCTTGCGGTTGCACCATGACTGCCTATTTCCTATGGAACATTTTTCTCTTTAGATTTATATTTTCTTTTTAATGTGTTCTGCCTTAGTAGTTAATTTATGTAAAACAATTATTTTAATTCTCTTCTATGAGCAACTGGCTTTGATATTCTTTTCTGTGTCTTTAATGAAGTGATTATTCTTGGGGTCTTTATTTTAAATTACCTGCTGGTATGTGGAGTGCCTTATTCAATGTGTTTTTTGAACTCTTAAACTTTTTATTATCATCATATAGAAAGAAAAATTTGGCTGGATATGTATTTATTGAATCACATAATTTTCTCCATTAAAATGTAGTAGCATTTATCTTTTATGTTTTGATTTCTTTTGCAGAGAAAAGCTCTGGGATGCACTAGATTTTTGTTTCTTTGAGGTTATACTTTTCATTCTTTTATCCTCCTCTATAGAATTTTGTATCCTTGAAAAAAATTATCTTTGAAAAAATCATAAGGACGTAATTAGGTGTAACACTCTATTATTGTTACCTGGAGCCTTGTGTTCTACAGATGAATGTATGGTTCTGCTTTATAAAATGTTATTATATAATTTACTAATCTATATTTTGGTATGTTTCATTTGAGAAACACTGCTGTGGTTGTATCTTACCTGCTACCTTCAGACTCATCTTTTCTGTCTTTCTTTCCCTCTGCTTTCTAAGACAACTTCTTAATTTTGAATTATTTACCATTAGTTCTATTTTGTAATATGTTATTTATTTATGTTACAGTATGGGAATTTTAATTCTTCTTTTTTTTTTTTTCCTGAGACAGAGTCTCACTCTGTCGCCCAGGCTGAAGTGCGGTGATGCAATCTTGGCTCACTGCAACCTCCGTCTCCCAGGTTCAAGTGATTCTTGTGCTTCAGCCTCCCGAGTAGCTGGGATTACAGGCACGTGCCACCACGCCAGGGTAATTTTTGTATTTTTAGTAGAGACAGGGTTTCACCATGTTGGCCAGGCTGGTCTCGAACTCCTGACCTCAAGTGATCCACCTGCCTCGCCCTCCCAAAGTGCTGTGATTACAGGCGTGAGCCACCATTCCTGGCCCTAATTCTGCTCTTGAATTTTCAATATTCTTGTGGTGGTTTCTTCCTCTCAGTCAAGATGCCTATCATCTCAGATTATTGACTTTTTATGGCTTATTGGCTTTTTATAGCATTCTGATATCTCTTTGTGATATATATCTTTATTTCCTATCATAATGAGATAGCATCTTAAATTGCCTTTTGTTGCCTGTAAAGCATCATTTACAAGAGTATGCATTTCCTCTATGTCTTTAGAATAATATTGTCATGTTACTCAGGTGAATTTTTAAATTAGCTCATTTATTTTCCTTTTTATGCATCTTTAAAGAAACAGAGAGCAACTCGGTGTGAATGACCCTTTTTATCACTACTTTTATTCCCTTGCATGCTATTATTTGCCCTTTCCATACTTAAAATGGGAAGGTGGGTTGACATGTGTCTTAGTTCATTGTGTTGCTATAAAGAAATACCTGAGACTCGGTAATTTATAAAGAAAAGAGGTTTATTTGGCTCGTGGTTCTGCAGGCTATACAGAAGCATAGGTTGGCATCTGCAACTGGTGAGGATCTCAGACTGCTCCCACTCATGGCAGGAGGGGAAGGGGATTCAGCGTGTACAGAGATCACACAGTGAGAGAGAAAGAAGCAAGCAGAGAGAGAGAAAGATGGGGAGGTGCCAGGCTCTTTCTAACAACCAGCTCTCATGGAAACTAATAAAGCAAGAATTCACTCATTACCAAGAGGACAGCACCAAGGCATTCATGCGCTATCTGCCCCCTTTACCCAAACACCTCCAATTAGGCCCTACCTCCAACACTGGGGATCAAATTTCAACATGAGTTTTCAGGGCACAAGCATCCAAATTATAGCAACATGAATAAACCTTTGCTCACTCATCAAATACAGCTCCGCTGGCTAGAGATAACGTATTCTCTTACCTCCACTGCCTGGCTCTGTGAGTCTGAGAAGGATTTTTGTCCTAGGAAACTGAGAGAGTTTAACTTCCTTCTTTAACCAAATTCAGCCAATGAAAAGCCATAATTCCTAACACATGTACTATTTCCAGGTCACTTTCTCCATCAGCCTTGCCTCCACCACTGTGTGTGAAATAACCACAGATCCCAACAACGTCCCAAACCTTGTTTACAGTTACAGGCTCTAGTGGATGAAAGTGAGGGGCCAATGAAGAGGAACTGAGGGGAAACCCTGACTCCATCCACCTAGAATGTGGTATCCGTGTTACACAGGGTCAGCCCCATTTCTGGTTGATGTGGAATCTCATTCATCCTAAACACTGAAGGCGTTGAGCCTGCTTCCAATCCTTTTCTATTAACTGTGCCAATCACATACAGAGAATAAAAGACCGTTTCCACAGCTGTTTTTCAATCCAACTCAATAAAACTTCCCTCAGACTCTGGAAAACTGTTTTAGTCATCCTTAGTTAACAGTTAAAATGTCCAGTTATGTATGTGTTTGTATGTGTTTATAAAAATTTGCTCAGAATCAATAAAATTCCAAGAGATTCATAGTTAGAGGTTCTAATAGATTCCAACAATTATTCCTACTGTTCTAAGACCAGGTTTATCTCCTGACCATGCTCAATAACTATACTTCTTCTGAACTCTGTACCCCATGACCGATTATAGAAAAATAAAAGGAGAAAATTGCTGGAAATTTACATTCTTATGAATTCAAGAGTAAAGTGAGTTGAAAACACTGTAGAGCTGAGATCTTGTCAAAGACTGATCTTAGGCCAGGTCTGGTGGCTCACGCCTGTAATCCCAGCACTTTAGGAGGATCACTTGAGCATAGGTGTTTGAGACAAGCCTAAGCAAACATAATGGAACCCCATGTCTCTGCAAGAAAACAATTAAAAATTATCCAGGCTGAGGTGGGAGAATCACTTGAGCCCAGGAGTTCAAGGCAGTAGTGAGACATTATTGTACCATTGTAGTGTATCACTGCACTCCAGCCTGGGTGACAGAGTGAGACCCTGTCTCAAAAAACAAACAAACAAACAAAGACTGATCTGAGAATGAACCACTCATGGTTACCTCAAGCATGAAGCTCCTGCCTCTTCCTTGTGATATTATAGTAAAAACAGGCATGTGTAAATAAAGAGTATTCAGAGTGTAGCAATATATGTACTTCTTATCAACCCACCTTTAAGGAAGATACATGGAGGTATGAAGAAGGGTCTGTGCAACAAACAAGGGATAGATCACAACACAGATTGTCTTTAATTGCAGATTTAAAAGGTACTAAATTCCGATATTCAGGAGTTTCTTGGGTGTAGTATACCTATTGTTGCTCCTGCTGAATTTGGCTATGTTGAATTTCATAAATAATCTGAAAGTCTAAATATTTTATGCCTCTTGCCATTTCCCTAATCTCTGAATAAAAATGAGCCCTACACAGGAAAGAGGGAAGTGAGCCCACAGGTGTCACTATCCATCTAGTCGGTCAAATGAAACTGACATAATCCTAGACTATTGAATTAGTTCTCTACCCATGCAAAATTAATTTTTAAAATCTGTTAATTCAACCTCAGAGAATTCTCTGAATTTCTCTCTACATCTTAGCCTCACACATCCGTACAGACTTCATTCATTGACACTACTGAAAATCAGATCTCTTTGTTTCCCAATGGGAGTATATAAGAGCCTCCTGCTAGTCTTTCTCCAGGGGTTCTCAGGCTTGACTGCACATCAGAATTATCCTGAAACCTTTTTTAAAAAAAGTTGCTGTATGGATGAACTTTGTGGTATATAAATTATATCTAAGTAAGTCTGCTTTAAAAAAAAAACACATGTGTAAATTCCACCCAAGGCTAATTAAATCAGTATCTCTGGAGGACTGAACCTAGCATTATAATTTTTTTAAACATCACAAATGATTCTAGAGAGCAGTTAGAGTTATGAATCACTACTCTAGTCTCATACATCAGCAGCATCCAAACCTGGATTACCAGAATTGCCTGTGAAACTCTTTGAAATGTAGAAACCTCTATATTATATATAATACAGTTTCTACAACCTCTGCCTACCACAGCCCCCAACTTCTGACTCATTAGATCTGAGTTACTGTTAAAAAAATGTTTTAATTAAATTTAACAAATACCACCTAGATGATTCTGCTGATTATCAGCTGGGTACCACAGCATTACAACAGGCTGTCCATCTGAGAATTCTGCTGCCTCTCAAATGTTAAAGTGTGTACAAATGATCCAGGAGTCTCGTTAATATGCAGAATCTGATTCAGTAGGTCTGGGAGGGTACTCAGATTATGTATTTTTAATAGAATCCCAGTTTATGCTGATGTTACTGGTCCCAGAACCACATCTTGAGTCGCAAGAATCTTATTCTCTTAGAAATGTAATTTGACACGAGAACTCATCCTCAACCAATAAGGCTTAAAGACTCTGACTTTTCCAGCCTTCCTCTAGTTTTCCAGTATATAATTCCAATTTTTAAAAAATTTCTGACTACTTGACATTCAACACCTATTGGAATGAGGTAGTTTCCTATATTCTTTAGCTTAAATCTTTTTTGTTGTTGTTGTTTGCCTAAAAGAAGCCTCTTTAAAACTACCTCCATTCTCTTTGTACATTTCTAAACAGATAATTGAAAAATTTATTCATTTTCTATTTATAGCACTCGAATTAATTGGTTGAATCTAGCAACCGAAGTAACGTTTAGAAATATATTACTAAAATGTAAAATAATGAAACAACTCAACTACTTTTAATGTTTTCATTTTACTTCCTTCAAATCTCATTGCAAATGCTACTTCCTCCAGGAAGCCTTCCCTGACTGTGCTTGTTCATAATAACATTTGGTTCTGTGAGCTTGTATTACCTTCAGACCCCACCAAGTAGTCTTTGATCACATACAGCTGTGATGCCATACATGGGCTTTAAGCATCAAGGTCTTGCCCTACCCATGAAGACATGCAGATTCAAAGGTCTGGCATTTCTTTGGCTCAACACTAAGCCATTACACAAGGACTCAACTTGAAAATCAACTCATTCGTTAGATAAGTTGTACTTGCTGACGTCCATATATATCCAACCATAGATTCCCAAAATTGTCAGACCACAATGGACCCAAAATTGGTGTATACCTGTATTTTTCCTTCTTCCATTCAGCAAACTGACCCAAGCCATCCTGGAACGTGTACCCTCTGATTTTTTCTTTAAAATCTCCAGGCACTGAGACTCTAGATGGATCCCAAGTAATCTACTCAAAGATGACCCATGATGGTTACCAAAGATTATTTACAAAATGCTAGAGCTGATGAAAGTTTGTCATCTGCCTCCAAGGTAATCAGATCAAACAGACTCAACATAATTTCCAGGTTTTGAGAGGCTCTATTCCAAGACATCTTCTACCAAATTGACGAGACACCTACAATGCCAGCAACAGAGAAAAAGGAGGGAGGTGGTCTAGGAGAGGGTTCAGGGATCTTGCTATTATAAACGATGGGGAAATGAAGGAAGAAAGAGCAAGCTAGATTAAAAGGTCAGGGACACATTTCTGCGTGTTGTGTGTTCGAGCAGGAAGCAGAACACATGTTAATGAAATATGGGCTACAGCTGTATTGCTGACTAAAATGTACACATATGGCTAATGGCACATATTCTGAATAATCAACAGAAAAAGAAATGTTTTGCTTCTAAGACAACAAAATTAGGGCATGTTATTCCTTACTGATACTGCCTGAGGCAGCCAAGTCTCATTATAGCTTTGAAGCATACGTTCTTCACTTCTTTTTCAGTTCCTCTTTACTGATTTCTCTGGCATGAACAGTAGTTTTGCTTCTCTGTATAAATCTTTGCCAAGCTTTATATGCTGGGTTTTGTTACAACTTAACCACCTATCTTTAGTCTGTCATGTCTTATTTCTCCTATCCCTATAAAGAATTGTTACTGTGCTATATTCCTCATAGAAAATGCCAAGAACTTGCAGCATGAAGAATGCTCTTATACAATGAACTATTGATGTTTAAAATGAAAATGGAATTCAAGACTGAGTTCTGCAGCTGGGGAGAAAAAATAACTTATCTGAGAATTGTAAATAAAACCCAGAGATCACCTTATACAGGACAATAATAGTGAAAGAACTGTGTGGTGTGTAGCTTCCATATTTCAACTTGGATTGTTCTTTCCTTCAAATAATAATAGAGTAATTTATAAGCACTCAGCAATTCTATTTCGGGCCATTGCGCTTGTGCTTAATAATACCCACATTTATTGCTTTGATTATTATATGCCATTTGGCTATTAGCAACATAAGCTACCCAAAAGTTCACCTGCCACATTAGAAACTTGAATGGCTTGCACAACAAAGCTAAACAAGTTAATAGACCAGGTCTTGATAAATATATCTTAGTTGCTAGTTTAAATTTATTCTCTTCTGCATATATTGTTGACAAGGCAACCTAATCCCCATGATAATGAGAAAATTGTGGCTTCCAAATTTTTGCTTCTCATGGGCTTCTGCTACCAAATTGGGCAGCATAATGAAGACCCTGATCATTGTTGTGAGACAAAGTGAGTCATCAGAGATCAAAGAAACTAAGCCTGAAGGAAGGTAAATACATTCACTCAAAGATACTCTCATTATTTAAAGGAAGGAAATAGAAATGCTTCCTGGAGTGATCATCTCATTAAGACACCTATTCAGCCAAAAGGACTCAAAGAACTTTCCATCCTCTCCCCTCTTAGAGCCGAGCTTTGATTCCTGATGTCTGCATCCATGAACCACCTGCTGCTTCCAGGAGCCACTCAACAGTCTGGAAACACAGCTTGCAAGAGAGGGAGACTGGAAGTCAGATTATTCTCAAAGTTTGGCCTTGTGAAATAAGACATGGCCAGAGACTGTTTTGTCCAAAGCTACACTGATGATATGAAAAGGGCATTGAAGTTTAGGAGGCTGCCTTCGGAAATGTCATTTTAAACATATCCAGTCTTCCAGCCGCAAAATATTCTTTGTAGTTTTTCAAAATTTATTTCAAAAGATGTAGTAACTTAATGATAATGATACAACAACTACCATTATTATTATTGCCATCTTTACTATTTATTGAGAGGCCAATATGTGCCAGACATGTTGCCAACTGCTTAAGATGCATTATCCATTAATTTTCTTTTGTAATATTTACTGAGTGTATGCTATGGGCACTGGAGTTACTGCAATGTTTAAACCAGAGGTGATCCCTTCTCCAAAGAGAGTATGCAATTCTGGCTTATTAATTTATTTATCATCACAACAAACTTACTAGTGAGGTGTTACTATTTATATTTTGCAAATAATAAAACTGAGGCCCCAAATTTGCCCAAGATTACACAGCGAATGGGGCAGGATTTAAAACCAAGTCACCCTGACTGCAAAACTACACTCTTAACCTCATAGCTATGGTGATGTTCTGAGATTCTGAGGCAAACCTGGACTATATGAAGTAGGAGGGCTAAAAACAAGGTTAGCACTTAAAATGCTTAGCGTCTTTACAATGGGAGATGTGTTTGTCAGTTTTTAAGTAAGCATGATAAGTAGTGCTCCCTGTTGTCAGAATAAGGGAGAGAAAAAGTATTTTTCTGATATTTTCGATCTGGCAAGAGGGATAGTTGACCTGGCTAAGGTCACTCATACTTAAAGATGCTTTTTAAGGCATCTTTAGGCTCAAATCTCAGACAATGATTCTCAGATTTTATGAGACGCTAACTTGAATGTCATGGTTGCTCTGCAACTCATCATGAACTATTGAAACATTATACTCAAATAATACTGTGCTGAATGGTATATGCTCGGCTCACACAAGACTCTGGAAAAGGCAAGAAATAGCAGGTGCCAAAATTAAGAAAAAGCATGGATGCAAACCTAGAAAATAAGCACACTCTCTGTATTAATGTATTTTTTTGCAAATTAGGAAAAATATTGTTCAATTTCAGTAGCAGAATCCTCATGGAGCCCCTGGAACAGCAATAAGATTTACTGCTATTGAATCAGCCCCAACATCTGGTTTTCTAATTCCTTTTAGCTCTTACTTTAGTCTCTGAGAAGCCAACCTTATAATACCATTTGGAGAGTATAAAAAACTCTAGATTAAAGTTCATCCAGGATCCTCAAACACCAAGTCTACTAATTTTAAAACCTTCATTTCTTTATAAGGGCAGTTTAACTCCTGAAATTTTCTACCTCTATTAAATGAGAAAACCTCCAAGGAGACAAGATATGTATAGATACTAGTGTACATCCAGCTGCCTTTGAGTTTTCTTCTCATTTAATTTAGTACAAGGCTCCACATTGAAATCACTGTCAGCATATGTTTGGCATTAGGCTACTTCAAAAAAAAAAACAGCCTTGGAGTGACTCAGTAAGTAGGTTAGTCGAGGTGTGAGATGAGCAAACCCGTCATTTCAGGCAAGGAAACTATTTTGTCCCTCCAATATACGTTATCACATGGTTCCTGACAGCATCATTATTATCTATGAGCGTCTATCTATTTGAAAGAAGGGAAGGAATGAAAGTAAGGATTTATAGCGCACTTACTGTGTGTTGGACATTGTGTCCACACATTTCAACTATTTAAAGCTTAAAGAAGCTCAGAGAGGTTACATGGCTTTCCCAAACAGGATCACACAGATAGCAAGTGGTGAAATTGACAGGGGAGCCTGGCCTCCTGCCTGCAAAATCCATATTTTTCTAGTCTACACCACCGGCCCTTAATCAGTGATTCCCACCCTACAGTATCACAATCATTTCAGTCAAGAAAGATACTAAAATTCTACAAATAATACTTCAAACCAAAAATCTAGTTAATTTTAAACATAATTTTAAATATATATGTCACACAATGCTTTGTATGGAAGAGTAGCTTTAATTAGATGACATCAGGTCAAACAGCTTCACAAAAGGGTGGGACTTACTGGACTAAATGCATAGATTTTACTCCCCATGTTGCTTCCCTTCCATTCCTCCTCCCTCCAGAGTGCCAGTCCCTCTATTAAGTCAGGTGCCAGCCATCAGTAGTGTCCAAAGACTCTACTTATTGATGTCTTTAAGTGGTGTTGACAACTTATAGAAGCTCTCACTGTAAATGGATGATACTGTGAGTAACAATTTTCCATGCAATAAACCATTCAAAAGAGTTGAAGAACAAACATGTCTGTTTTCTTTCTTTTTTATTTTTTCTAACTTTTATGTTAAGTTCAAGGGTACATGTGCAGGACGTGCAGCTTTGTTACATAGGTAAATGTGTGTCCTGGTGGTTTGCTGCACAGATCATCCCATCACCAAGGTATTAAGCCCTGTATCCATTAGCTATTCTTCCTGTGTCCAAATTCTAAGGCCTTCTGTTCGTGCCAAATGGACACAGACATTCACTACTTTCAAATCCAAATTACAAGAGCCAAATGGAGTGTTTCCACAAGAAAGAAAATTCTGAATGAAAAGCAGTGTCTGGTTGTATTCTGTAGGATTTGAGTCCAAAGAAATGTGGACTCCAAAGGAATGTGTACATTTATGTATACACCCATGTTTAGAGCTAATCCATTCCCTTTGTCACTGCCTTAATTTAGGGGCTCCCCAGGCCCCGAAAGCCTCATTTATTTAATACATATTAAGCACTCTCCAAGGCCCTGAAGATTTCCTTCAGGCAAACTTTAGGTATTCAAAAGGTAGTTCTGCTCAATTAATTCAGCCCCAAGTATTTATTCAATGCACCTCTAGCCACACTGCACAGCTATTGGAGGCACTTGGGATCCTGAATCTAATCGTCAATAGCAAACAATCTGCATTATCGGTGGACTGGCCTTTTTGCTCAGCAGCCCCGCCCACTGGCTGCACCCATTTATCTCTGCGTACAAATGTGTTTTCAAGTATTATGTGTGTTTTCAGTGTGTATGTGTGTGTTGAAGGGCAAAGAGAAGTGAGAAGAGAGTAAGAATCAGACTAATATAGCAAGTTCCTATTCCATGTCTACATTTATTCCAGGCCACTCAGTGGATTCTAATTCTTATAGAATTATCCGTTGTTTATCTAATGAAGTGGAAAGAGTAGACTTGACTCAGATGGTCCTACTTTAAATTCTGACTCTACTATTTATTAACTCCATGGTCTTGGGCAAATTAGTTAAGCCTTTTATGTTTATTTCTAAAATGGAGAGAATGTTGTGATGATTAAATGAGGTAATATATGTAAAAGGTATAAAACTGAACATACCACATGATATGCACTCCAGAAATGTTAGCCATCATTTATATCAATAGGGCCCCTTCTTGCACAAAGACCTCCATTCATCCAGGCACAGGGTCTAGGATACATCCAAAGGCCACTAGACACCAGAATGAATACATCTCCATCTATGAGAAAAATGTACTTAAAGCAACAAATCTGTTAAAGAATATAGTTCTAGAATAGAGGTCTTTTTTTTTTTTTTTTTTTTTTTTTTTGAGATGGCATCTCACTCTGTTGCCCAGGCTGGAGTGCAGTGATGCAATCTCGGCTCACTACAACCTCCGCCTCCCGAGTTCAAGTTATTTTCCCGCCTCGACCTCCCAGGTAGCTGGGATTGCAGGTGTGTGCCACCACACCCGGCTAATTTTTATATTTTTAGTAGAGACCAGGTTTCACCATGTTGGCTAGGCTGGTCTTGAACTCCTGACCTCAAGTGATCCATCCACCTTGGCCTCCCAAAGTGCTGGGATTACAGGCGTGAGCCACCATGCCCGGCCTAGAATAGAGTTCTAAACAAAGTGACAAATCTGTTAAAGAATATAGATTATACTATTTTAGAAATATATCTTATTCATGGTATATACTAAGCCAATGCTCTCCAAAGCATTTTGCAATTCACCTGCAGTTAGTTTTCAGACTCCTTCGTTAACACATCTTTTTCCCCAAGGAAAGAGAACTTCCTCTCTGTAAAATTTCTTCATTAGTTTTTCCTTTGGTCAAAAACATTTCTGAAGATATTCCTCTGAGCACTGTGAGTTGTCTTCCTCCCAGCATACAGGCCTCGGAAGAGCAAGCCTTACTCTAATTAGAGACAGTAGTGTTACATCCCAGACTGGGCCAGTGAGATTTTTGAACACTACTTTAAAATGCAAGACTTTAAAAAAAAATCATGTTTGCAAAATTAGAAGGTTTTAACTCTCCCAAGCAGTCAGAATCTAGGACATTTGACTTCAGCGCTGTCCAGAAATTTCTCCTAATCATTTCCTTTCCTTGTACTTGTTAGGAACTCTTATGTTTAAAAGTTACAACTTCACCACAAATTCCCCTTTCAGATTTGAAAGCAAAGCAACAAAAATGAAGCACAAAAATAATAATTATAAATATACTTTCATGAAGCTAATTCCTTACTGTGAAGGGAGAAAAGGTAAAAAGAAATAGCAATATAGGAAGGAATATATGTGTCAGATGGTCTCACTTGCTGTCTCCTTCACACCTTAATAAAAGGTAACTCCAAGAGGGTAGGAACTCTATTTATTTATTTATTTATTTATTTATTTACTTTTTAAATTTTTTTGCAATGGAGTCTCGCTCTGTCGCTCAGGCTGGATTGCAGTGGTGCAATCTTGGCTCACTACAACCCCTGCCTCCTGGGTTCAAGCGACCCTCCTGCCTCAGCCTCCCAAGTAGCTGGGATTACAAGCGTGCACCATCACACCCAGCTAACTTTTGTATTTTTAGTAGAGACAAGGTTTCACCATGTTGCTGAGCCAGGCTGGTTTCTAATTCGTGACCTCAAGTGATCTGCCCACCTCAGCCTCCCAAAGTGCTGAGATTACAGTCATGAGCCACCACACTGGACCTGGAACTCTTTTATTCAGTGTTATATATACTCAGTACCTAGAATACTTCCTGAAAGATAGGCATTCTAATAAATATGCATTGAATGAATGATAGCAACCTTTATTTCACAGATTAGTGAGCTGATGAACACAGAGAGAAATAAATTAACTTGCCCAAAGTACGCAGAGAAAGGAAAAGCTGTGGATTGAAAAGTCTAAATCCCTAGTCCATATTTTTGGTTGTTTCCTTTTGTACTTTTTTATGTTGTATTTAAAACAAAAATAAAGGCCAAAAAATCATCCTGCTACCAACTCCACTAATACAGTAAGAGAAGAAAGTAAAATACTTATCACAGGCAACTATCCATGCAAAGTGTGAGATGATCACGTGAGGAAGGCAATTTCAGTGCTGACTGTTAAGATTTTCTATCACAGCAATGAAAATGGTGTACTAAGAGAACAGGGAGACACAATGTCTTTGTGAAGAGATTGGCAGCTTGAAGTAAGGTAAAGAGAAAAAGGTGTCATCATTCATCACTCAAATATCCATCTGAAAAGCCTTTTGTTTCATTACTAGCAAGGACTCCAAAGCAAATGGGCACAAAAGAACAATCAAATCTGATGAACCGTATTCATTTAAAAGTGAAACTAAGAATACCACTCAGGAATAGGCTGCAAATCAGATAAATTGTAATATTCAAAATTACAACTGAATTAGGAACATGTAGGGTAGACATGGGTGAGTTCCCCTACAAAGGAACAAGTATTTATAAATGGTCCTAGCAAGTCCATTCTGATGAACAAGGGGAAAATAACTCGATCTTTAAAAATTCTAGTTTGATTTTTCTTAACTATTTCCTCTTTCTTGTGTAGCACATACAATATCAGAACATTTAATCTCAAAAGCACTTATTCAATTGAATACAGAAAAGACATTTCTTTGCATATTCATTGCAAAATCTTTTGCCATTTTATAGTAACTAAAAGTGAATTCAGAGTTAAAATGAGCAGTGTCCCCTTAGAATTATTTACTCCACAGTTGACATCTAGCCCTGTGTAATATAGCTAGGACTAGAGTTCTCTTTGAATGCAACGCATGCAATCCAATGCCAGGTTACCAGGAAAATAAAAAGAGAATCCATTATCAAGGGTGGTAAAAACAAAATCAATGTTTTGTGTCTTTTTTTCAGCCTCTTAATAATTCTATAGACATCCTCACTGAATCAGAGTGGAAAATAGTTCCACAATGACATAAACAGACCGTATTATAGCAAATCGAGTCAAGGAGCAAAATCATCCAATCATTCTAGCAAGTTCAAGATAAGTTGTACAAGAAACAGAAGGTAACTTCTGAAAAATGAATGTAGAAATTATATAACAAACCCTAGGACATGGTAAACACTTGGATTTCTCTAAAATCCTGCCTTTATGAAGCTAGTGAAAACCAGATCCTTTTAAAGGTCCCTCTCAGACAACACAGCTTTCTAACTGTTCTCGGGGTATCCAGAGTCATTTAATCCATTAGGCTTATGAGCCTATAAGGTTTTTAGGAGCCTATAAAAACCTTAGAGACTTGTATAAAAGAAAGTATGTGCTCAAAAATGCAAAAAGAAGATGACATAATCAGACATAATCAATATTAAGATGTGTTGATTTGTCTACACAATGTACCACTGTATCATTAAACTCTACATTGTTAAAAATTACAAATTGTAAAAAATATGTTTACATCTGAAATCAACTTGTAGGTCAGATTTTCTCACTTAAGTATGCATAATGATTGCTGAGGAATCAAAGTGATTTGTGAATTAAATGGGTAATCCAGGTCAAATAATTTCACAAGCAAAATTATTAAACTGCTTTACAATTTTTATAGCAAAATTGTTATTTAATAGGAGATGTGGGTGTGTTTTAATGTCTAATATGAAATGACATGGGTCATCTAACTTAAGAGCACTTAATACCTACAAGGAGTTTAAATGCTACCTCTCCACCCCCCACCCTCCACTCTTCCCCACTTTCCCATCCTTCCTCCATAGAACCTCCAGAGTGACTTTTATAATATGCTAATATAATCAGGCCACTCAGCTTATACTCTTCAGCAGCTTTCCATTGCACACAGGATAAAATCTGAACTTTTTACCATAGCCTAGAAGACATCCAGTACCCAGTCTTACCTTGGACTACTCAACCCCTCAGTTTTCAATTTCGGAGGAAATCCTATCGGCTCTAGCTTCAAAACATATCCAAAACCTGACCGACTGTCACCCCCTCCTCTCTTAACACCCTGTTCTGAACTACTATCATCTCGCTCCTGGAAAATGACAACTGCCTCAAAACTAGTATTCCTTCTATTCTTGTTTGTTATAGTCCGTTTTTACCACAGCAGCCTGTGTAAATTTATTAAAGAGGAAGTTAGTGCCATTCTCCAAATGGAAGAGTTCACTCAGAAAAAAGTCAAAGACTACACAATGGCCTATGAGTCCCTACACCATCTGGCCCCTTGCTGCCTCTATTTCTCTCCTCTCCCACTGTCTTCCCTGGTTCTGGTTACAAGGGCCTTCTAGCTGTTTCCTGACTATGACAGAAACATACCTGCCTTCAGCCCTTTGCACTGGCTATTTCCTTGACTAAAACATTCTTCTCCATGATTGCTGCAAGGCTAACTCCATCACTTCCTTCAAGTCTTTGCTTCAGTGCCACTCTCCTAGAAGATCTACACTGAACAGTGTATTACAAATTACAACCCACAGTTTGCCAATCACACCACACCAACACTGACAATCTGTTTTATTTTTGCTTTCTCCCATAGCACCAACTTCAAATAGTTTTTATAATTGATTTATTAGTTAGTTTGTTTATTGTTGTCTGTGTCACCTGCTGGAATGTAAGGTTCAAGAACAGGAATGTTTGATATTCACTAATATATCTGAAGTGTCTAGAAAAATGCGGCACAATAAACATTAGTTAAATGGTGAATTCGTCTTTTTGCTCTTCTCACACTGCACTTTTCAGTCTGTTGTGTTACAAAGAATTTGTCTGGTCTTTGTTTCAGGCTCCTGGCACAGAGCTTCTAAAATCCTTGAAATTTCTCAAGTAATATAAGTGTGTCTTTGTTATATATGAGCCTCCTGTATCACACATGTGTTTATGCTAATGAAATAACTCATGGTGGACCCCTAGATAATGTCAGGATTGGGGCTGGTCACCAAAAAGAAGAAGCCTATAATTAGAGGGTTGGGATTTTGAAGCAATTTGACCTCCAGGGAGAGAAGGGGGACTAGAGATTGAGTTCAACTAAATGGTCAGTGATTCAATCAACCATGCCTGTGTAATAAAACTCCAATAAAACCTCTGGACACCGAAGCTCAGCAGAGCTTCCTGGTTGGTGAACACCTCAGTGTGCCAGGAGGTTGATGCGCCCTGATTCCAGGGGAAGAAGCCATGGAAGCTCTGTGCTAGGGCCTCTCCCAGAACTCACCTTCTGTGTCTCATCATTTAACTGTTCCTGATTTGTATTCTTCTTAACAAAACTATAAGCAGCTGGGCCCAGTGGCTCACATTTGTAATCCTAGCACTTCAGGAGTCTGAGGCAGGGGGATCACTGGAGCTCAGGAGTTCAAGACCAGCCTGGCCAACATGGTGAAACCTCATCTCTCCTAAAAATACATATACACATACACACACACACACATTAGCTGGGCTTGGTGGCATACGTTTGTAATCCCAGCTACTTGGAAGGCTAAGGGATGAGAATTGCTTGAACCCAGGAGGCAGAGGTTGCAGTGAGCTGAGATTGTGCCAATGCACCCCAGTCTGGGCGACAGAGTGAGACTCTGTCTAAAAAATAAATAAATAAATAAATAAATAAACAAACAAACAAAAAAGGAAAACTATAATCATAACTGTAGAACTTGCCTGAATTCTGTGATTTGTTCCCATGAATTATCAAGCCCAGGGAAGGCCATAAGAATCCCCAGATTTATAGTCAGTTAGTATGAAAGGAGGGCAGTCTTGCCGTGGAATGTGCCCTTTAGCTTGTAGGATCAATGGTAATTCCAGGGGGTTAGTGCCAGAACTGAATTGCAGTATACCAATTGATGTTGGAATATAGTCCCTCAAACACTAAAGGCAAATGAACCAAAGTTCACTCCTTCTACCTTTTGGTTTATAACTAGTTCATGAAACAGAAAAGAAAGTTTAGCCAAAAGCTTTCTAGTTAATAGATTTATTAATAACTGGATTGACAACTGTGGCTTAGATCTAAGGGAGAATGGAAGCTTCTAGTCTTCTCATACTTCTAGATCAGCACTACTCAAAAGAAATATAAGCCTCAAATCTGAACCACCTATGTAATTTTAAGTTTTTCAGTAATCACCGTTAACAAATTCAAAAGGGTAAAGCTAATGTTCATTATATATTTTATGTAACCAACTATGTCTTAGATATTAGCCTAAGTTATAATCAACACTAAAAAATTATTAATGATTTTACTTTTTCACATTAATTTATGAAAATGTAGTGTGCATTTCACACTTATAACACATCTCAAATTCGACTAACCACATTTCAAGTGCTATCAATAACCACAGTGGTAAGTGGCCACCATATTGGATGCATAGTTCTAAACATTTGAAACTACCTTGGGGAAAAATAGACCAACCAGTTGCAAGTAGACAATCTGGAGAATGTATGGTCTGAGGCAAGTCCTGCCTAACTCACTCCCTTCAAGGAGAGAGAATAGAAAGACTAAGGCTGAGTTGGAGGAAGAATGAGAGTTCAGCTAATTGAAAAGAACACAGACCATTCCTAAAGAGATTTACCTCATCTAATAAAACATGGCTCAGTTAATGTCTCAGACTCTTACCAGTCTAATTGGAGACGTGAGTGAGAAAGAAGCATAAATGCTCCCACCTCCAGTTCTCTGGAGGAGAAGCAAAAATGGACTTTTGCTTCTCTACCACCGACAGCAAAATCCGAAGTATCAGCGAAGACTATCTCCCTTTCTCTCACTCTAAGGCCTTTGCAAATGTTAATGACAGTTCATGTTTCTTGAGCACAGCACCAAATTGAGCAATGTAAGAAATACATTTTAATCTAATCCTTATAGCAAATCCCTTTTTCAGATGGGTAGACAAAAGTATAATGAGGTTAAATACCTTGTCCAAGGCTAGCTAGTCAAAAGTGGATCTGGCCCCAAAGTCTAACTTCCTAACTAAAACTTTACAGTGGAACAGCTTTCTCCTTCTTTTTTATCTGGTCAACTCCTGTGTACCCTTCAAAGTTCTACTGAAATATCACTTCCTCAGTGAAGTCTTCCCTGATCTCTTTGATAAAGCCAATCCTACTGTCACTCCACTCCAGTCAATTCTATTTCATTATTCTGGTTGATTTAGTGTTTTATCATGACTTGAAATCATTTTACACACACACATACACTCCTTACTTATGTGTTTGCCTACTGTCTGGCTCCACCAGAATATAAACTCCATGTGAACTCAGGCTTTATCTGTCTTGTTTACTGTTGTATCCCCAGGATTTAAATCTGTGGTTAATGCACAGTAGGAAGAACTAACACTTCTACCAGCAGATTTAGGCTGGTTGTTAGGCTTTGCAATATCAAAGTCCCTTTAGGCATAAAAAAGAAAGGGTGGGGCCAGGCGTGGTGGCTCACGCCTGTAATCCCAGCACTTTGGGATGCCGAGGCAGGCGGATCATGGGGTCAGGAGTTCAAGTCCTGCCTGACCAATAGGGTGAAACCCCATCTCTACTAAAAAATATAAAAATTAGCCAGGCATAGTGGTGCACACCTGTAATCCCAGCTACTCAGGAGGCTGAGCATGCCTGTAATCCCAGCTACTCAGAAGGCTGAGGCAGGAGAATCACTTGAACCTGGGAGGCGAAGGTTGCAGTGAGCGGAGATCATGCCATTGCACTCCAGCCTGGGCAACAAAGTGAGACTCTGTCTCAAAACAAAAACGAAATCAAAAACAAAAACAAAGGTGGAGGATGTCCACAAACACAAGTGCTTTCAGAGATAATGGAGCTAGTCCTAGACAATTCAAGAATTTTCTTCTTTTGTACTCTACTTCTCCCAACTCTCTGGCTCATTATTTGCTACATAATGGAATGCTGATATCAATAATATAACATTTTACCAGATGTCAGCAAGTATAATGAGAACTAGGTTGCAATGTTATATAGAAACATACACACACACAAAGACAATCCCCCATAATAATGATGGCATAGCTAAGGCACATATTCACAGGAAGCAAATGACTGAACTTATTAATTAACAACAACAGCTAACGTTTTTAAGTGTTTACAGGCTATTAACATGCATAGTTTGATTTAATAATCACAACAATCCTATGAAGGAAATAAAATTTTCATAATACAGAAGGAGAAATCGAGACTCATAGAGGTTAAGTGACTTGCCCAGTGTCCCAAAGATAATAAGTAGCAGAGTCAAGATTCAAGACCAGGCTGTGGGAGTTCAGAGCCATAGCTGTGCCAAGTGAGGCTACAGCTACAGATACAGCTTGTAGAAATGAATGGTGACAGCATGGTCTTCCTAGCAGAAGCAGAGAGTGACACCAAGGTCCTATTTACCTAATTAATGTGCCTAACCCCATGTGGTTCATTAGCATAAGGCACGCTACTATGGCTAGTGTGCTGGGTCCAGGCAGATGGGCTCTTGAGAAAATAAGAGCTTTTTAATAAATTTGACCAGTTTCTTGTTACTAGACATTGTTTCAAGACTTTCTCTAGTTTAAATAATAGAGAGAAATATATTGGCATATTTATGCACAACCATAATCACAAGATGTCATAAGATGAACTGATTTTTTTAATTTAAGGACATAGCTCCAACCTCTGACTCAGCAAAAGCCTATTCTACTTAATTCCAGTAGCAGCAAAGGAAGATGCAGTAGCGAAAGGCAAACCTGTTTACTCATCCCCATGCTCTGTTATTCCTGGGGTCCTATAGGGCATAGAAGAGATGACTACTGTCCTACAGAGTAGGGGAATTAAGTCATATTACGTTAATCACTTTCAGACCCTAGTGTATATCCGAAAGTAAAAAGCTCTTAATTTCTCCAAATTGGTAAAATACCAATTTTTCTATGGCTTGGTGAAATAAAATATTATACCAGGGTAATTAATACTTTCTTATTGGGATGCCTTTTGGTATCATCAGGACTAAAATCCAAGAGAAGAGCAAAGATTCTTCTTGGGGAGTAAGGGTGAAGGCTACATTTAAGAAAGGCTTTCTTAGAATGGATTCAGAATGAAGTATGAAAAGCAGCTGGAAAAATCCCAAGGTTCCGGTCAGCAAAGGCAGCAAATGTTCACTGAGTACTGACTATGAGTTAGGTACATTTTTTATCTGCAGATACAAATTTGAAAAAAAAAAAAACAAAACAAAACTTGTTCTGTGCCCTCAGGAAGCTTGGAAACTCAAAGTGTAGATGTAGAGATGGAGAGTTAAGAAAATGCAACTGCCATAAAAAAGGTGAAACATATGTAAACCTCTGTTCTACCATAAAGAAGGGTACCATTTGTGCTGAGCCCTGAAGGATAAGCAGGATTTCACAATTCATCCTGTGCCCAGTATATTATTAAGTGTTGAGAATGTAAAGGCCAATGGTACTCAAACAGAGAAGATCAGAAAAAAATGATGATTGGCCACCAAAGGTGGCTCTGAGTCCATATTCAATGCAATTTTATTTTCCACTTGCACAGAAATCATGAATCTCATCCTGGAACTTGACACAAAACCAAAAAGATAACAATAAAAAGATGAAAGAAATTAGGTTCTATAAATCTGTGGGAAGTCCCACAGCTAAGCTAGTCCCTCTGACACTCAATGCAAGACCAAGTGCCCTCATCAAAATTAGATGTCACATTTCCATAAGATATTCTAGAGTGCTAAAGCCCTGTTTATATAAATAATACATCACTACATGTCAGTTAATTATATCTCCCCCAAAACCCACAGAAAATGCACTTGGCACTGTGGAGAAAGAAAAAGTTCATGTTAGATCTAGAAGATCACCCTTCTTTACTAGTAGGGGATAAACACAAATATCATCACCATTAGAGTTTTGCCAATCAGGGGCTTAAGTGTCACTCTGCAAGCAAGATAAAATGCTACAAAGTCTCCCACCCCATTTCCATAATACATCTAAATGCACAGTGTGAAACAAGAAATGACATTAAGTGTGCTTACTAATAACAGCAAAGGAGAACAACGATTTAATTTAAACAAGCTAAACCAAACATTTGTTTCACTTAGAGCTTGGAATATGTCATTTCATTAAATCATGTTTTCATTTCAAAAGATGACTGTCAGACTCAAACTATTTTATTATAATTGAAGGAGGATATAAAGACAATACATTTTTAGGCAAAGTAATTCAAAATGTATTCTAATTTTAAAAAATTGTAATGAACTTATGAATCTGTATGCCTAAACCAGAAACCAAATTTGTACAGATTTGTTTCATATGCCTTCCATGGTCCCATACCCATACAATTGTCTTTCTATCCATCAGTCTATCAGTTATATATTATGAGAGCTCTGCCCACTGGTGAGTATTAAAATCTCCTTAGCCTTGTACACAGTGACATTTTTTATATTTCTGGAACTTTCTATGGCCTAGATTTCAAGCTGAAACTCAACCTCCTCTTCTGAAAGATGGCAAACAATTGACATAGCAGGTTTTAATCAACAAACTCTGCCTATAGGAGAAAGCATAAGAAAAAAATAATAACAGTTTCTTTAAACCATGTAAGCATGTTTGGAAATAATTCTAGTATTAATTTTTTCCTAGCATAAAACTAATTTATGGTCATTATAGAAAAGTTAAAAATCACAGATAGGCAAAATTTTAAAAACTATCCATAATCTATAGTCAGTTTTTATATTTTGGGGATACATTTTTAAGTACTGGTATAATTTTTTAAAATAGGAATTTAATTAAACACCCATCTGCAGCTTGTGTTTTGTATACATAATAATATACCAAATATTCATTTCTTTTCATTGCATATTTTCTATATTATTATTTTAAATACTACTTTTTAATTGTATGGATATAGACTAATACATTTGACCAGTTTCTTGTTGTTAAACATTGTTTCAAGACTTTTTCTATTTTAAATAATAGGTAGATAAATATATTGATATATTTACAAACAAGCATAATCACTCCTAAAGATAAATTCCTAAGAGTAAAATTGCTGGCTCAGAGGATATGCAACATTTTAAGACACTTGATGAAACTGACAAATTTCTCTGGTAAAAAAAGTAGTTCCCATCCACTTCCCAAAAGAAAAGTGAGAGGGTGTCCTTTTTCCTGCTGGTGTGATCTTTACCTAATCTTGTCTTATTCGATAGATGAAAAATGCATCTAATCATTTTAGTTTGCATATATTTGATTAGCAGAGAAATTTAACAGTTTTCAATGGGCCATTTATGTCTTATGAAATGCCTTCTTATGTGTTTTGTTTTGCCCCATTTTTAAAATTTACATGTTTACCTTTTTTCTTATTGATTTGACAAAGTTCTTAATATATTAAGCATACACTCACTCATATATATGGCAAGTTTGTTATCTTTTGTTTTTCAAGCCTTCAAACTTTAAAACTCATAAACCCCTTTTCTTATCCTTTTTCTCCTAGAAATTTCTTCATTTTTTTTGTTTTTGCTACCCAAATATTTTTACAGTGGAAATCACTGTCATAATACAGGCTGTAGCTAGAAGCCAAACATGGTTTTCAATCATATTTCTGCCACTTACTCCCTGTGTAATTTCAGGAAGTAATTCAGGATCCCAGAGCTTCAGTTTCCTTATCTGTGCTAGATAATCTCTAATATACTTTCATGTTCTAAAATTCAGTACTTCTATGAATTGGCAAATATGGAAGTTTTCATTTGATGTGCATTTATGTTTACAGGAACATTTATTTTAAGTTTTAATAAAAAATGAAATGTAATGTAATGGAGAAAAGAGCTTGCTAAAGTAATTGATTTGTTAAAAGAATAAGCTTTCTGTCCAGCGAGAAAACATGTGTCTCAAATGAATGTTCCTTTAAAAGGTAGATTTTCCAGAAGACTGTATTATAACAACCACAGTTTGTTAGTGTTCCTAAAATGTTCCCTGAAATTTACATAATCCTCCCTCATTTTTTTAGATGACAACACTGAGGTCAGAAAGGGAAGGTGACTTAATAAGGAGTTAGATGAAGAGTAAAACAGGGACCCAAACCTCCTCACTTCTGAGGGGAAGTCTTTCTGCTACAGTACCTCTTTACCCTGAGATCCCAACTATAATCAGTTTGACTTCTAAAAGTTAGCAAATAAGGTATCATTGTTTGCCAATATCATAATGCCATGGATAATACGATGTCATATTATTCTTGGAAGGGACTTTCATGAGGGGAATGCCCAAGAAGCAATGTAGCTCAGCCTTTAGGAGCCAGGGCTATTGAACTGCTGCCCTGCTTCATTCAGTCTGACTCTATCCCTACTGTCTCTGTGATCTGGGCAAATTACTGGACCTCTCTCACTTCAGCTTTTCTATCCTCAAATAGAGGATATCCTCATCAGCATGTTGTGAAGATTAAATGCATTAATCCATGATGAGTGTCTGGCCCAGAGCCTAGACCACTGATAGTGCTCAGTAACTGTTAGCAGTTGGTAATACATTGACCTAGATATTATAATACTCCAAAGTATACAGAGTGGAAGTCAATATTGCTGTTTAGCCCTCCTTTCCCATCCTCATTATTACCAGAAGTAAAAAAGGATTATTTGAATAACCAAAAAAGCATTTTTAAATGATTTTTACTGAGCTTCTGTGGTATGTTCAACACAGTCCTTAACTGTATAGGAATAGAAAATGAAAGGAACAGTCCATGACCCAGTGTTTTGCCTTGAGAGGCATCCCTGACCCACCTCTCCCACCTTGGCCATGTTTAACCAATCCCTCCTGGGTACTCCCTCCATTCAGTATGAGATGAGTCAAAAAATAAAACCGTCGGTCAATATCTTTCCTAAATAAAACCAACAATCAATTAGAACAGATAACAGAAGAAAGAAGGTTTCTATTCATATTAGTGAACCAGATGCTCAAAGACACAGTAACAGATTTATAAAGAATTATGTAAGGTCTATAAAAAGAAAATAAGCTTCAAAATTTTATTAAGGGATATAGAAGTTGACTTGCAAAAGAGGGATACTGTGTTCACATAAAAGCGTTAGCACTCTCAAAACTATTTATAAATCTAATGCAATTCCAATTAAAATGTATATTTGAAATTTGATACAACTATTAGGAACACCTAGAAAAATCAATAAAAAAGAAGAATAAAACAATTTTTAAAGGAAAAAGAGAGAAAAATTAAAATTGAAAATAAGCTGAGCTAAAAATATGTATAACCTGATGATAAAAACACAGCATAATGCTACAAAAACTAAAATGCTGACTTAGGTATACATAATTTTTTCCATATAATAAAAGACATTTTAAATTAGCAATAAAATTAGGATTATTTAATAAGTAGTTCTGGTACATTTGATCAACTATTTGAGAAAAAAATAATAACATTAGACACCTACCTCACACCATAAGGCAAGGTAAGCCACAACTAAACAATTAATTCTTTAAAATTAAACTATAAAATTGTATAGAAATTAAAAATAGTCTACCAGTGAGGACTGACTTTCAAATTATAAAAGCAAGGAAAGAAGCAAGATGATAAAGATTTTAAGGGTATGACATAAATCAAAAATGTCTGACAATTCATGAACACCATTAAAGAAAATTAAGAGGCAAATTATAAACTTAGGAAATAACTGACCATCTTTTAAGCCATAAAAATAAAAAAGACTAAGATGAATATACAAGTAGAAAAATGAGCAAAGGACATCAATTTGCAATTCACAGAAGAAATAAAATGCATAATATGCATACAAAAATGTTTAACATATTAGCAATAAAAATAATGTAAGTTAAAACAAAAATGGGCTCTCGCTTGTTTACCTACCAAATTAACAAAGTCAAAAACTATAATATTAGTGAAGACAATCCGGTAGGGCTAATAGCACTTATCTATGCTGTGGAATATAAATGGTTACACACTTTTTTGAGGACAAATTAGGTTTATCAGCTGAGGTTTAAGAAGAACCTTAAAATGATAGAATCCATTTTCTTTAGCCATTCCAAGTACTGTAAGAAAAATAATAAATATACTCACAAAAATATATATACAAGATAATCACAACACTGTGTTTAAACAATATTAAACATTAGATAACTATAGTACATAAAAGATAGAATGCAAGAAATCATTAAAAATTATGGTTTCAATATTTAAGGTTGAAGAATATATTATTACTATTTGAAAAAGAATGTTGGCAAATAGTAACTACACTGTTATCCTAACTTTGTAAAAAGAAAAATATTTATATTACAGAGAAAGGGTAAGAGAGAGAGAAAAAAAGAGAGGGAAACACACAGGCAGAAATTGGAAGAGTTCAAATCAAAATGTTAACTATGGTTTATCTCTAGGTAATAGGATTATGGATGGTTTTATTTCATTTTTAAGATTTTTCTACATTCCAACTTTTCTGTAATGAAAATGTATTGCTTCTGAAATCATGGAAAGCAATCATGTTTTGAAAGATACGTAGGAAGAACCTACAAAATAGTGAATGGGGAAAAAAACTAAGTTCTTTATTGCTGTTGTTATTCTTATTGTTTAGATTTCATATAAGCAGAAATTGATTTTGACCAAGAATCTGGTTTATCAGAGAGACACATTCGCTCCAGAAAGGCACCCTGCAGCCTGAAGGAGATCTAGTGTAAACATGGACACATATACAAAGAAAAGCAATTTTGCCAAACAATTATGTTTTAGGGAAACCTTCCCAGGCCTGACAATTTCTCCAGCTCCATCTGTTTTTGACTGATGGAGACTGTGGCAGGATGCTCTTGAAAGTGACAGAAAAGACTGAAAGAAAAGCTGATGGTTTTTTCCCTTCACTGTATGGGACTCAGGAAGGTTTTCCTAGCACCATCTGCTACTTCTAAGCTAACACTGAGGATGCAGTACTGAGTGCATCCCTCTGTGTTCCCTGAGGAGGGCTCCTGCCCTGAAGTCTTCAAGGCTCTTGAAGAAAGCTCAAAGCTGTAAGAGTGCAATTAAGTTCAAAATGGGTCATCCTGAGTTCATGTCCTTTGCAGAGACATGGATGAAGCTGGAAACCATCATTCTCAGCAAACTAACACAAGAACAGAAAACCAAACACCGCATGTTCTCACTTATAAGTGGGAGTTGAACAATGAAAACACATGGACACAGGGAAGGGAACATCACACACTGGGGCCTGTCACAGGGTGGGGGGCTAGGGGAGGGATAGCATTAGGAGAAATACCTAATGTAGATGACAGGTTGATGGGTGCAACAAACCACCATGGCACACGTATACCTATGTAACAAACCTGCACATTCTGTACACGTATCCCAGAACTTAAAGTATAATAATAAAAACAATGGGTCATCCTAACACAGACCAGTTCCAGCTTTACCCACTGTTCAGGTTGGGACGGGAGCCCTCCTGCAAATGGGCTCCAGACAGCTGACATTCTGCTTCAGTGGGTGGTCTAATATCAAACACAGAGTGTCTATCTCCCTTCAAGCTGCCTGGTGTCTCTGCCACAAGCCTCAGTGACCCAAACTCTCTTCCCTTATCTACAAATTCCCCACCTGATTTGGTCCTGCCTACCATTCCAACTTCATCTTTTATCTCCACCTCCCACTCCCTCGACTCACCCACAGACACTGGACTCCTTGTTTCTTCAGACAGGCCAAGCTTGTACCTGTCTTGGGGCCTTTGCATCCGTATCCCCTCTGAAGTGGATTGCTCTACTGCAAGGTTTGATGTGGGGGCTTCTCCTCACTCAGACCTCAGCAACCTCATCAGTGACCAAACTAAATGCACCAGTCCTCTCGCCCACTCACTCTCCAGAGTCCCAAATATAACCCACTTTATTTCCTTCACAGCACAGCTGGAGATTTCCTTCCTCACTATTTCTTCATACCTGGAACTGTAGCTGGCATATAGAAGATTACTCGATAAATGTTTATTGATTGACTCACTACATTCATAAATTATTGGCTATACTCCCAACATATATGAAGAATGTTACCATTCTTACCACCTCTGTTGCTACCATGTGGTCCAAGATACCATCATCTCTTCTTGGATTTTTCTAGGAGCCTCCTAAGTGATCTGCCTGCCTCCCCGCTTGCCACACTGATCCTGTTTAAATGTAAGTGAGATCATGTGACTGTTCAGTTCAGACTCTTCTGTGGTCCCAACTTCACCCAAAGCAAAAGCAAAAGGTCTTACAATGATGTACAAGACCTTGGAGATCCTGCCTACCCTAATCTCTACTTCACATCCCACTTTCCCCCATCTCACCACACTCCAGACATAATGGTCTCCTGGTTGTTCATTCTTGTCTTGTGGCATTTGTACTGGCTATTTCTTCAGCCTGAAACACCCTTCTCCAGATACCTACATAGCTCACTCACTCTATGCAGGTCTGTTTTTGGCTACCTTCTCAGTGAGGAACACCCTACTAAAAATCGTACGCTTCCCACTACCAGCATTTCCCGTCTCCCTGACTCTGCTGTATTTTTCTCATCCACACTTGTCATCTTCTAACATACTATACAATGTACTTATCTATTATGTTTATTTTCTATTTACTCTTGCTAGGATGTAATCCCCACAAAAGCAGGGATTTTTCTCAGTCTTTTGTCACTGTTACAGCCCCCTCCCTGGCCCCTAGAACCATGCCTGATGCATTGTAGGTTCTCAATTTTTGTTGAATGAATGAAAGAATGTGCCAGGAGAAGAGAGAAAACAAGTATTTATTTTGGCAGCACTGGTGCTAGACATGCAGTGAAGATCACTTCCTTATCCCCCACCACTCCTAGCCCTGGAATCTACAAATGAAAAGTGTCATGTCCCATAGATGGGAGGCCATAGTTACACGGATGCTAATAACAATCCAACCACTGGATTTCTTTTATTATTATTATTATTTTTCTCAGTTTTCTCAGGTTTTATTACTTTTCTCAAGTTTTTGGGGAACAGGTGGTGTTTAGTTACATTAATAAGTCCTTTAGTGGTAGCTTCTGAGATTTTGGTGCACATATCACCCGAGCAGTGTACACGTACCCAATGTATAGTCTTTTATCCCTGAGCCCCCTCCCACCATTTCTCCTGAGTTCCAAAAGTCCATTGTATACTTCTTATGCCTTTGTGTCCTCATAGCTTAGCTCCCATTTACAAGTGAGAACATATAGTGTTTGGTTTTCCATTCCTGAGTTACTTCACTTAAGAATAATGGTCTCCAACTCCATCCAGGTTGCTGTGAATGCTATTATTTCATTCCTTTTTATGGCTGAGTAGTATTCCATGGTATATGTATGCCACATTTTCTTTATCTACTAGTTGATTAAGGGGCATTTGGGCTGGTTCCATATTTTGTAATTGTGAATTGGGTTGCTATGAACATGTATGTCAAGTATCTTTTTTGTATAAGTACTTTCTTTCCTCTGAGTAGACAACCACCGGGTTTCGAGCATTGGGTGCAGAGTCCAGGAAGTGAGAAAGGTGTCTATATGAGGCTCCTGACCCTGGGATCCGTTTCCATTGGAAAGCCATCAACCTCAGCAGCTAGGACAACCTCGGGGAGCCAGTAAGGTGGTGAGGAATTGTAAGAAGTAGCCTCCTGAACCCCAGATCTATAGAGACACAGCCACTTGGCTATCTAGAATAGATCTCAGAATTACAGAGTATCAGAATCAGGTGGAATCTTTGTGGTCCTAGAGTCTAACCTCCTTACTATACAGATGAGAAAACTAAGTCCCAGAGAGTTTAGGAGGCTGAGGTGACCCTGGTATTTCTTCATCCTAGTTAAAGAAGAAGACAGACATTAACAGAGAAAACATTTTTAAAAATCATTTATCTTTAGAAGTAGTTCTTACTGACCCTGAACCAAGCCTTGTAGGCTGATCCAGGATATGGGTCTGAATATTTATGTGTCATAGAAGATTTAGAAATAATTTCTCTTCTCCGAGTCAGATAACACTGTATATTTTAATTCTTCCAGTCATTTCAGAGCCTGTGCTATCTAACATTCATATGACACCTTATTAAATCAACTTCCTTCAAAAAAAAAAGCCAATTTAAAATAGATTGTCTCAAAAATTACATTTATATAATTTATGAGTTTTAAGTAATCTCTATTCAGATTGTCACTTCCAGGAATCTGATTAAAATTATTAGTTTACTGAAGAAAGATTGAAGCTGTTAAAAAAAAGTGGGGGGCGGGGATGGGTTTGCAAGTTTTCCTTTTTCAGTTTCTTCACATACCTCTAATATCACAATGCTAAATAAAACCATACATATTATCTCATGTGCTAAGAAGGAGTGGGGCAAGCCAAGTTAATAATACTGCTGACAAAGGCAGATAATTATATCTTATATTTTTTATTCATCGCCTCTGAAAGCTTTTAAGATGCAGCATTAGCCATCACCAGTGATTGATGTCTACATCTGCGTTTGCTTGTGGCATCAGTTGTCAAACTAACGCTTAATTAACATATATATGTTTCCCAATTTAACTTTTAAAGCATTGAATTCAGGCCTGCAATAGGCCACAAATTAATGGCACGAATTAATTAACCTGAAGTCAGGAGTTCGGGACCAGACTGACCAATATGGTGAAACACCGTCTCTACTAAAAATACAAAAATTAGCCAGGAGTGGTGGCATGCACCTGTAGTCCCAGCTACTCAGGAGGCTGAGACAGGAGAATCGCTTGAACCTGGGAGATGGAGGTTGCAGGGAGCTGAGATGATGCCACAGCACTCCAGCCTGGGTGACAGAGAGAGACTTCATCTCAAAAAAAAAAAAAAGTTATTGAGTCAATATCTCACTCTGAGGCAGCAGACTCTAAAGATACACCCTATGGCAGTGGCCCTGGTTAGCAAAGAAGGTGTTTATGTGCAGTTCCACACATTTAATCAAATGCAATCTAGTTCTCATCTTGGGGGTAATTTGCTCTATGTTCCTTAATGACAGACCTTACAAGTTTCTGGCATCATCTAGAAGCCAAATCAACTAAAGTTGGCTAAAAGAGATGTAATTTCTTTGGGAGAGAGAAAAATTTGAAAACTCTTACAATGGGGTGGCTGCTCAGGAGAAGTTTCAAAAACAAAATCAAAAGCACGTTGAAAAGGGTAACAGTAAAGCTTCCTTTAATAACTGCAGGGGCTTTATGGCCTAGCTCCCTTATAAAGGCCTGAAACATTTATTCCTTCCGATTCTGGAAGTGTGGGTAACTGACAGCTTTCAGCTGAGTCTCTTTCTGGGAATTTCCCTTAGTGGAGAAGAGCTGCCTCTGTCGGAATAGGATTACCAGAATTATGTCTCCTTCCTAGGGGGTACATCCAATGACTAGCGTCTGCCAGGTTGATGTGATCCATTTATTTCAATGCAGGACAACTCAGCTGAGCCATACCAGCATCAGAGCTTCCTGTGGAACTGGCTGAGGGTTTTATTGTGACTGCATGGCAGTTCAACTTCTCTATTTTCCTGCTCTGTTTCTTCCATTTTTTTCACAGATATCGATCTTGAGAAGACCCCCCAATAAATTCCTGCATGCTAGTCTCCAAGTCAGAGTGTGCTTTCTGGGGAAGCACATCTTAGAGACTCTCAGCAGCACTGAGCTCTGTCTTGCCAGCTGGAACAATAAAGGGCAGCAAGCATGGAGGGAAGCCATGGCATAACAGGACAATGCCAACAGAGGAAAATGAGAGAAGCCAGCGGAGGCGTGGACATTCCATGTGCATGGAAGGGAAGGGAGGGAAGTGAGAGCCTAAGAATCGTAAGGTAGTTGGTAAACAGTGCTAAGCATGCTTATGGCTGTCTCCCTGTGGTTTGCATAGCCCCCGGAAAGCAAGAATCATCTTTGTTTACAACAAGAAAAGGTCAAGCCTAAGTCACAGGTGCCAGAAAATTAAAAGGAACCCAGCAGGTTAAAAACTCCTCTCCTGTAAGAGGGAGGATGAGAAGCAAGGGAACATGGTTACATTATCCAAGAGAGGATTGTAAAAGGAACAAAGACATCAACAGAGTGAAGGAAGCAAAGAGACAGATCATCATAATTAGGAATGCAAATGAGGATTTCACAGAAGACCCAAAGGTATGAAAAACACTTTCACTTTTTTAAATGAATATGAAAATTCTGAGGAAACAGATAACTTCCTAGGAAACATGACCATAGATTGACCCAGAAGTATAAAACGTGAGTAGATCAAAAAGTGTACAATAAATGGGAAAAGACATCTAGCAATTATTTTCAAAAAAAGCTCCAGATCTCTTTTCACCAGAAAGTTGTTTCAAACTTCAAAACTACCAATAGCTCCTATATTCTATTAGTATCCTGAGTTAAGGAAAAAAAAATGGATGTTTCCTAATAAGTCATAACTGGGTCTACTCTAGGGTGGGTAAAAGAGTCAGAAACAGAACACAGAAAGTAGTACCCAACTGTACAAGAAATGCCTTATAGGGCAATTCAGTGTGGAACTGCCATCAGCATAAGGGTGTAAAGGCAAAAGACCTCAGCTCTGGGCCTCCCTGACTTGAAGCATTCACCTTCTACGTGATGCGCTGGTTACCTAGTTTTTGGCACACTTCTCTGAAGAATTAGAGATGCTGGGGAGCAGTGTCCATTCGCTCACATCCTCAGCTGCTGTACACCTTTTAGACTGCATGTTAGCTGGTTCACGAAACAAACCAAGTAGAAGTAACATTAAACTAATTGTGAGTTATCATTCTTGAACCTAAACTAGCCCTCTGAAGTCTGGCTAAACATTTCCTGGCCCATTTTATATGTTAGCATAAACTTGGTACTAAAACCTAATACAATAACACGAAAGAATCAGAAAGATAGCTCCAAGATAAAAGCCAGTTCTGGTGTAAAATACTAGGAAACAGTATTTAAGAAATTTAGAAATTCTAGAAATTGTACATCTGAAATGTTAAATAAATTGTATACTACTACTAACTAAGTAGGCATTTGTTCAGTAATGCAAAATGGCTTGACATTAGAAAAGCTATTAGCATATTACATGACATCAAGAAGTCATTTATTAATAGCCATTAGGTTCATCTAATACATGCCTAAAGTCAATGTGGTAAAATTTGACACCAATTATTATAAAATTGTATTATAAAAAAGTATTTCCATTAAATTATAAACAAAAAAACGGGGGGATGCATACTATCATTTTTTCAAACATGAGCTACCATCAGAAAGTTCTGGCTGACAAACATATATAGCAACTGAAAAGAAAGGGATATAATTGGTAATTTTTTGCAGAAAGTAGGTGTTTTGTTTTGTTTTATCTAGACTTCCCAAGAGCAACATTTCTCATACTTAAATTCACAGAAGCCTAAAAGTTCATGGGTATGTTATCAGGGATCCTCCAGTCTCCAACAGTGATTCTATACTTGTATCTTTATTCCTCTAATCATCTGAAAAACAAATATAAGCTTTTAACAAATCTAGAGTAAATAGCCCAGGTGCTGGGGCTCACACCTGTAATCCCAACACTTTGAGGGGCCAAGGTGAGAGTATCACTTGAGCCCAAGTATTCAAGACCAGCCTGGGCAACAGAAGGAAACCCCATCTCTACAAAAAAAAAAAAAAGTTTAAAAATTAGCCAGGCATGGTGGTACATGGCTATACTCCCAGCTGCTTGGGAGGCTGAGGTGGGAGAATGCCTTGAGCCTGGGAAGTCAAAGCTGTAGTGAGCTGTATTCACACCACACCACTGCACTCCAGCCTGGGTGACAGAGTGAGACCCTGCCTCAATATAAATAAATAAATAAATAAATAAATAAATAAATAAATAATTGAGTAAATAAATGGGCAAAGCTGCATTTGGCCTGCAGGCCAAGAATAATTATAGTTGTGAATGTCACTTGATTGGGACACAATTGCTCCTAAGTATTACTGTTTTAATCACTGAGTATTGATAAGAAAAGAACAAAGTCGGACATAACATAAATTTTGCATTTTCATCAAGTAATGATATAAACGAAGGTCTTGCAGTGATGGGAAAAGAGGAAACCAGAGAGAGAATTGAGCCTGCACAGAACACATTATAGTTGAGGCATGCTAAACCCAATCTAGGCTGAAACAGTCAGTACACAGCCATACCAAAAGCACTGGTTTGAATTCAGCCAAATAATGGTAGTAAGAACATATATGATAAGTGCTGTTAACTTGATGTTGATTAGTTTTGTGGTTTATGATTAAAAGCCACCAGAATAAGAAGTGTACTCTTAGTTATAAGTTTTACATTTTAGAAATATTCTTCTTATTATCTCAAAAATAATTTAAATTGTCAGGTTGCTCAAAACATTTTTTCTCTTTAAAAATTGGTCTATACCTTACAGAGACTTAAAAACACTGCCTTAGAGAATGAATTAAAATGCCATTAATACTCACAAAAGAGTTCAGTAATAAAGACAGATATAAAGTAAATATACAGAAATCAATAGCATCCTTAAATGCCTGCAATAAAATGGTACAAAATACAATGGAAAAAGATAATCACCATATTAGCAGCACAACAAACGATAACCAGAAATAACATTAACAAGAAATATTCAGAGAGGACATATGTGTGTGTTGGGGGGATTATAAAACTTTACCTAGAGACTCAAGAGTATTTGAATACGTGGAAAGGCATTTATGACTAAACTAAAGAATGTTTAAAAGGCAGTTATTCTGAAATTTAATTATATGTTTAATTTAATTTCAATTAGAGTCCATATAGGATTATTACTGAAATGTGGCTATGTTAGTCTGGAAGACTGCAATGGTGAAAACAGCCAAGAAAATTTAGCAAAGGTAAGAAATGAGGAGGTGGTCAAGAACAGAAAAGTTCTAAAATAAAATTAACATAAATTAATTAAGTACATTAAACAGGTATCTTTCCAGCAGAGCTTCTTGGAGCTTTCTATATGCTAATATAAACTATTATGCTAATACAGATTGTGAGGAAGAAGGTGATAGAATAGTATGCAGTGTTTACCAAGTGTATTTGAACATGAAACTCTTCTCTATAAAACATTTCCTATGTATATAATTTCTGTATGCCACAGAACAATTTGAAAAACACTCAAAATACTACTATGAAAAAGTCTCCCTGGACTCTCAGTTTCTTGACCTTGTCACCTTCAACACTCTCTTCCCTCAAACCACTTCAGACATTCACAACTTTATTCACACCCTCGCCTTATCATAACCAGAAACTGTGCTAGCTCCAACCATCTCACCTAAAACCTTTTACGATTCAAAATACTATCTCTTAGGCTCTCAACTCACTTTCATTGTTTAGCCTCTGCCACATTTCTCACTCATAGAGGATACCAATCCGTTAATCTATTTACTTTCTCACTATTCATCAGCCTGCCCTCCTGCCTTTACTTGCCCTGGATAATCTTTCTTTTTAATCATTTTCCTAAGCTCAACTCCCTTGGCCATCTGTTTTCCGATGTACTTGCCCAGGCTAAACTCTAAACTTTTTTGAACTCAACTTTCTACTTTTCTGTGCTTTCACACAACTAACTGAAGCAAGTTCACACAACCAGCTGTGTAGAGTGTCAGAGGGACATTACTACATATTCCTTTTAGCCCCTCTTCCCCATCTCTGAGACTAGTCAAACCTTCTCTTACCTTCAGAGGCCGCAGATGTATACTTTACAGCTCTCATTTGATAATCCCACTTCACAGAGAAACCACACTGTCTAATATAGAAACACTCTCATCCTCCAACCATCAAATCAACACTCCTACCTGCATCCATCTTTTACTTCTTGTTAAGAAAAAAAGGCATGTCCATTCCCCTATCAGTGGGCAGTTTCCCCACTTGACCCCTAGATGTTAAGCCACTTGCTCCTAAAAGGTCCCCTCCTTCCTACTTCAAACATCTCTATTGGATCTTTCCCATTCACTTATATACATGCTCTGGTATCGCTCATCTTAAAACATCAACATGCATACACATAACCAAACAACAGCAAAACAAATTTCCATTTGTCCCCTGATCTGCCCTTTCTGATCCATTTTTCTGCTACTACGCCAAACTTCTCAAATGCGTTGCTTAACATGCTTTCTCCACATTCTTACTTTTAATTCACTCTTCCTTTCTGGCAGCTTTCTGCCCTCACCACTCCTATGAAAACTGCTTCAACAAGGTCACCAGCAACAGACCTCCTGATAAGTAAAATACAGTAGATATGTTTCTGATCTCCTAATGTATCTCAGCAGCATTTGACAGAATTAACTCCTCCTTCTTAAAATCCCTTCCTGCTGCTGCTTTCTTGCTAAAGGCACCTTCTATCACCCTGGGCACAATGTATCCATCCTCTTTGTTGGCTTCTCCATCTGCACCCTAACTCTAAACTTCAAGCATCCTCAGGATTTGATCTGAGCCCTATCATTCTCTCTGCCAATCTCAAGCATTTTTATGGTTTCAAATGTCATTTATATCCTGATAACTCCCAGGATATATCTCCAGTAGCAGATATCTTTGAACTTAAGACTTAATGTGTCCAACCTTCTACTGCTTATCTCCACTTATGTATTTCACAGATATCTGAAAAAGAACATGGTCCAAATAGAAATCTTGCAATTTCCCTTCTCAAAGTGACTCCATTATCTGCGGTTACTAAAGCCAGAAACCCTGGAGTGATCCCTGACTCCTCCCTCTCCTTTACCCTACTATATTCAATTCAGAAACGAGTACCATGCATTTAACTTCAATAAATATATCTCAAACTCATTCACTTTCCTTTATCTTCACAGCAACCACCCAATCTCCATCCTCTCTCACTGGAGAAGCTTCCCTGGCATTCCTGCTTTCGCTATTGCCTCCTCCAATAGATTCACCAAAAACCAGTCGTTGGATCACATAAAAATCTAAATCACATGTTACATCTCTGCTTAGAATCCTTTACTAGTAAACTCTTACACTTAGAAAAATTGAATATTCCTTAACATAGCCCATGGACCTTTCATAACGTGAACCCTTACATGGACATCATGGTGGAGGCACATCATGACCTGCCTCTGTCTCCCTTTCTCTCTCAGCAAAAGCCACACTCCCTAGAACACACCATGTTCTTTCTAACCTTAAGGACTTTACATCTAGCATGTATTAAAATCTGTCCATTTGTTTCTTTTCTCATTTAATATCCATCTCCCACCCAGAATATAACTTTCACAAGTTCAGAGCCAGAGCTTTTCAATCTCTTTACTGTTATATCCCCTGCAATGAACACAGATGCCTGGGCCCAGTCATAGTAGGTGCACAATAAATACTTTTAAAGTTGGTGAATGAATAGCAGTACTCTCATTGCCCACACCAGCTCTTTCTCCCCAAATGGGACTGGCAAATTTTCTTGCATCCATCTTCAGTTGTTTTAAAAATATATTTTTTCATAGCCATGCCCCCTTTTCCACCACTATGAGTTATTAATAGCACCGTAAGCAATTTTCAGTGTGCTTATTGCAATTCCAGAAGATGCTTCAATGTACAGATCTGCAATTGCTATTCATTCTATGTCCTCAATTTATGAAAAGACATGTTGATTCACTAAAAATAAAAAAAAATAGGCATTTCAAATGAAATGAAATCTCACAAAGCATATTCTGTATCATACAGCTACTGCCATGGTAATAAGCCAAATACGGTAAAATACAGTTTCAAACAGAGCTGGAACACACAGCTTGGAATTTATGTTGGAAACAGCTCCCTGACCTCCCATTTACCTCAGATGTTTTCAAACGTCATCACCTGCAAGTCCTCAGGTCAGTATGGCAAAGTACTGGCTCTCACCACCAAGAGATGACAAGAAGGTAGCTACAGTAAGGAAGCCACTGTCTCCAGAATGGGTTTCCATTTCAGGCACCTGGTGCTGAGACAACTTCTGGCTTCTCTGTCATCTGAGGCCCCAGCTTTTGGCTGGGTGATGTAGGTGATGTGCTGTTTGGACTAGCACCATAATTGACTCTTTCAATGGATACTGCTCCACAGCAATACTGTGCTCCGTAATACCTGTGAATATTCATTTTCTTAGCCCCTTGTCCTGTTGCCTCTCAAACCTTATCTTCCCTGTGGGCTGCTGCTCATGAGCATAGTAGTATGGCCCATAGCACTATGGCCCACTGCCCTGAAAATGGTTCCACAGGACATTAATAATACATAGATGTTTCCAGGATCTATGAATCCCATACAACAATATATTTTGACAATAGCCTTAACATTTTCATTTAAGCATATTCTGGATTGTTTTGATGAATTCTTTATAACTGAATACTGCCATGCAATTTTTATGCCCATTTTTGTTTTTCGTTTATAATACATTGTGTTAAGAGGTTATATTTTAAGTATTGTTAGCAAATGAGAAAAAACGTAAAAGTAGACTTGATTCATAAATGATGTATTCAAGCTAAATGAAGGCAAGATGGTATTTACAGCATGCTTCTCAAAAGAAGACTTAGCGATGGTTCAAATATAGCAAGAAGAGAAACATGAATCACCATGCCACATGTGGCGGTGCACACACCAGCCCCAAAGAACCTGTACCTTAGAATCCACGCTTCACACACACTGCCAGTGCTGACTTCACTTCAGCAAAACACCATCCTTGGTCATGTTAAATCATTGTAATTAATTTGAATTGTATTCGACTGTAGTTTTGTTTACAGTTACCTAGTAACTTTCTTTGTAGTTGTGTAAGACCCATAATTATTAGCACTATACACCTGATTTTGTTTGTACATATTTAAGGACTATTAGAATAAACATAACTAAATCAAGGTCTAGGTTTTCTTGTCCATTTTCCACTTTTAAAACTTTGTGAATAATGGTCTAGTATAAAAACCTTGAATTTTTGAATCAGACCCAGGTGAGCTCAAATCCCACTTCTGCAAGCAACTGGAACTATGGTCTTACAGAGCAACTTACACATTCTCTTGGAACCACATTTTCTCCAGAGTGGTTGTGAGCATCATGAAAGGTGATAAGGTAATATATACTAACCACCCAACCTATAGCTGGTGAGAAATAAAACTCAGTTACCTTTCACGTGACTCTCTGACTTTTTGCTATAAAAAAGTAGCCTAAAAATTGAACTCAATATCCATGGAATGTTCATCCATTAATGCCATGATATTATATTTATATTAACTATTTTTATTAACAATTAACTATGTTGTGTTAACTCAAAGCGACTACGCAAGGTAAGGCATTACCTTATTGACGTGGAAGATTAGTTTTAAAGCAGTGGAGAGACTTGCTGAGAGTCATGCAGTGATACATGATAGTGCGGCTTGGACTTTCCACCAAGCCTTCTCAGTCAAGTGCCATTGTTCTCTTCACTGTACTATGTCAAATTATGACCAAAGGAATCATTCTCTAAATTCTTTCAACATAATCGTATATTGTAGCTTGCTTATAGATGTAAGAAAGGGCCTATTTCATAAATAATGTATTAAAGATATTTATAAAATAGGAGAAAGTTGACAAAGGAAAGCTGGAAAGCCACAGCAGGTGACATTGCTTTTAAAGCAAGGACACTGATTACTGACCTTGACAATCTCATTTTTTCCTCTGCTCTCCCTTAATCATTCCTCGTACAATGGTATCCTTTTAGAATTTTAAGGTCTATTATGATTCATGCTACAAACAGGATGTGTAATAGCTTTATAAATTATATTAGGTCAGCGAACAGTTATTTTTTTCTAACAATCCAAGATAATATGAGTAATAAGTGGTTTAAACATTTGCCATGAAAACTACTGAAATTGGATGAACTACTCATTCTGGTCTTTTTAATCTAAGATTGGCTATGAGGACCAAAGAAGTCAAAGACTGGCTAATGATACTGATGGAGAAAATCCAGTGTCCAAGCAGACATAAAAAATCTCTATTAAGAGTAAACCAGCTCCTTCTTTGTGCTCATATCAGGAAGGGTCCGAGCCAGGACTACCAACAAATCCATGACTTAAAGAGCACAAGATGATAGAGGCAGGAATATAGGCACAGGTATAAATATTAGAGAGATACAAGGCTTTGATGCACGATAATACATTTGCATACAACTACTTAATTAATACAGCAATTTCCTCAAAATGTAAACAAAGATGAGTAAAAAGATGTTTATCAACTCATACATATAATAGGAAAAAATGTAAAGCAAAGTAAATGTTCAAAGAAGTAGAATATTTATATATTTTATTCTCTTTGTGATAGGATATTGTTCAACCATTCAATTGATGTTTACAAGTAATTCTAATGAAATAGTTTTTTCACATGATGCCTAGTATTAAATTTACACACACACACATATATAGTGTGTGTGTGTAATAATTTCAACCTGTAAAAAAAAATTATATGAGGGCACAAGAAAAAAAAAGCCGGGAAAAAATACCAATATTAGTGATAATTTTAGGCTGGTGAGATTAGGAGGAAATATATTTTTATTTATATTTTATCTGTATTTTCCACCATGTTCAAAATAATCATGTTACTTTTGTATTGGTAAAAAAGTTAAATTATACAATTTCTACAAAGTTATTAAGATTTATTGCATCCATTGCAACAAAATTGAGCTCCTTCAAAAGAGGGCTTTGTAACACCAAAAGCCAAGAAAGGTGTGGGTTAATAGAATAAGGGCATTAGAGATATATATCAGCTCCAGAATGACCTCAAACTGCCTTTGGGAATTCCTACCCTCCAATTTTATTCATTTTAGATAAGAATTTTTCTCTCTGTTAGTTCCTAAATGGGGACTCAATAAAGGCAAACCTGCCATATTATTGCACCTTTTTGTTTTATACAATGAAAATTGTACCAGTTGGCAATAATAATATTGAAGATGTTTACCAGAAACCTTGGTACGCATCTTCCCCAGAATACTGAATTTTGCTCCATCTAGAAAATCAATGAGCAGTGGTAACTTTTTCTTTAGGGGTCATATATAAAACTTTTCTGTGACAGAGTAAACATAAACTTTAAAAAGAAAAATTCCTGGCCAGGTGTGGTGGCTCACGCCTGTAATCCCAGCACTTTGGGAGGCCAAGGCAGGTGGATCACCTGAGGTCAGGAGTTTAAGACCAGCCTAGCCAACATGGTGAAACCCCGTCTCTACTCAAAATACAAAAATTAGCCAGGTGTTGTGATACATGCTTGTAATCCCATCTACTTGGGAGGCTGAGACAGGAGAATTGCTTGAACCCAGGAGGCAGAGGTTGCAGTGAGCCGAGATTGCACCAGTGCACTCCAGCCCGGGAGACAGCAGAGCAAGACTCTGTCTCGGAGAAAAAAAAAAGAAAAAGAAAAATTCCTGGAGTCATTCTTATCTCAAACTCTTCCCCTTTCCCTTAAACATAGCTCCTTCAAATTCACCTCTGACCTTACATTTATCTCCCACTAGTGTCACTTCAACCCCTTATCACCCCCTTGATCTTTTTGATCCTTCTTCATCCTCTAACCCAGTGTTACTCAAAGTGGTTAGTCTGAGTACTTTTTCCTACAGTCCACAGGATAAGGAGTTCACATCAGAATGTAAGTCAGCACTCACTACTTCCTTCAAAGAGAAAGTCTTGCTAGAAAGAACACAATGCAAACAGACAAATGAACAAAAAAATCATCTGAAATAAACAGCATGCTTAGTGACATAGTTGATTTACAGTCTAGAGCAAAGTCTTTTTCTTGTCATAAACTAGTAACACACATTTGCAGGCCAGCATTGGTCCACAGGCCACACTGTTGAGTTGAGCTAATCTACCCCTCCCCACTCTCTCCAAAATTATATCTCAGTGTGTTCAGATCATGATAAATGCAATGGAGAAAATAAAACAGGGCCACAGCACAGAGAGAGTAGTAAGAGACCAGGATGGTCAGGAAAGATTTCTATTGGCAGTGGCGTTTGAGTTGGTAAGAAAAACTTAGCCAAGCAAATATCAGAAAATAAGCCAGCAGTGCTAACCCTTCCCTGTTTACCTCAGTCCAAATATAGTTATATACTTCTCTTTCTAGTAGAAGTTACCCTTGGCCTTCTGTTTCTGTATCATATAGTTGTTTTTCTTGTGTTAGCATCTAATTTACATATGCATTTTTAAATGGAGAGTCATAGAAAACATATTGACTAGTTATAACCAATAGACTCATCAAACCAAGATTATCTTTCCAAATACAACCAAAAACACATAAAACAACAAAAGCATTTATGATCTATTGCCTCACTGATTGAATCTCATTATTATCTTCCAGGCCTTTTGTACAGTTGCAATAAGGCAATATGACCTTCACAACATGGACTCGTGGCTCATATATTAATAATCCTTTGTGCCCTGATGCAGCTGGGAGAATGGATGCTTGCAGTTCGCTTATAAGCCAGGTATGTTAAACCCTAACTATAAACACATAAACAGCATTCAGTTGCCAATACATAGTATCATGTTTCATCTATTTTTTTCCTGAATTTAATGGCCCATGAAAGGAACATTTTTACATTCCTGTTCTGTTATTTAACAACCAACAAACATCTCTCTTCATGCCCAGCAAGAAAATCTACCAATACCTGTCCACAATAAAGAAATTAATCAGTCAAAAAGAACTGGGGACACTTCCATTTCCAGCAATAAGGCAGAATACATGTCCTGAAAACTGCGTATTACAAAACAGTAATGTTGGATAAAATATAGCAAACCCTTCTTCAGATGACTCTCTGAGCTTGTAAGAATTTAAGGGAAGTTTGCAGGGGTCAAAAAAAGGAGGGAGGGACTGAAAAGAGAGATATAAGTGGTTGCTGCCCAAATAACTGTTTGGAGCTGTTTACCAATCTCTATAACCAGGTTTCGATGACTGTTTGGGAAAGCAGAGAAGGATTTAGATTTTCTCAAAATGGAAAATTAAATCCTTAAATAAAGCTGGGGCTCTATGCATATGCAATGTATGCATATAAAAAACTAGGCATACATCGGGGAACATGTGGACTAAAAATTTATCTGCCCACCAGAAAAGGGAGATGGATAATGAGGAATATGTCTTCCTTGTATATATAAAAATATCCCCTAGAATTGTATAAGCACAGGCCTACACTGACAGTTTCAAGGTCAAATTTATTTATTTGTGTAGAGTGAGATAGCCATTTCCAAAAAATTAACATAGAGTGGCCCAAGGTTAGCAGTTCCCAAATGCACTTAGAAGAAGCCAAAGCAAAGCTCTCTAGACCTGCACTATCCAGTAAGGTGGGTAAATTCACATTTTTAATTAATTAAAATTAAATTAAGTTACAAAATTGGCTTCTCACATTAGCCACATTTCAGGAGCTCAATAATCACATGTGGCTAGTGGCTACTATTAATGAACCCTGAAGATATAAAACATTTTCATCACCGTGGAAATTTCTATTAAACAGTACTGGTACTTGCAGGTACATCCTTAATCCAGGCTTCACAGGATCCCTATGATAATTGCTGCTGAAAATAAGTTCACAATCCAAAATTACTACTAGATGAATAAGAAAAAAAGACACTATGAGTGAAAGTAAGTAGAACATGAGTAAACAGTGAAATAAGACTAATAATAACATTAGATAATAGTATTATCTAATACGTGTCATAAAAATAAATGTTTTTCATGTTTTTAAAAATTTAACATGGACTAAAAATACAACAAAGGAAAAAGATCCTATCAAAGGAAACCAGAAAACAAAATTTTAAACTAACAGAATTTCTAGAAGTGTGTGTGTTTGTGTGTGTGAGTGTGTGTGTGTGAGACAGAGAGAGAGAGAGATCACTGAAATTATGAATTCAGTGACTAAAGGAAGAATTCATTAACTGGCAGAGAGATCTAAATAAATTTCCAAGAGTGCAGCAGAGGAAAATGGAAAGTGTGGAAATCAGGATTGAGAGACTTCAAAGGCAGAATGCAAGTCTAATTGGAGTTCCAAGGAAGAGAAAATAGAGAATATGGGAAAGAGATAATACTTGAAGAACACCATGCTGTTTTGGTTACTGTAGCCCTGTAATATAGTTTGCAGTCAGTGTGATGCCTCCAGCTTTGTCCTTTTTGCTTAGGATTGCCTTGGCTATTTGGCTGTTTTTTGGTTCCATATAAATTTTAAAATAGTTTTCTCTAGCTCTGTGAAGGATGTCGTTGGTAGTTTGATAGGAGTAGCACTGAATCTATAAACTGCTTTGGGCAGTATGACCATTTTAATGATATTAATTCTTCTATTTATGAGCATGAGATGTTTTTCCATTTGTTTATGTCATCTTTGATTTACTTGAGCAGTGTTTTGTAGTTTCCTCATAGAGATCTTTCACCTCCCTGGTTAGCTGTATTCCTAGGTATTTTATTTTTTGTGTGGCAATTGTGAATAAGACTGCATTCCTGATTTGGCTGTCAGCTTGACTGTTGTTGGTGCATAGTAACGTTAATTTTTTTGCACATTTATTTTGTATCCTGAGACTTTGCTGAAGTTGTTTATCAGCTTAAGAAGCTTTTGGGCTGAGACTACGGGGTTTTCTACTTACAAGATCATGTAGTCTGCAAACAAGGATAGTTTGACTTCCTCCCTTCCTATTTGAATGCCCTTTTATATCTTTCTCTTGCCTGATTACTCTGGCCAAGACTTCCAATACTATGTTGAATAGGAGTTGTGAGAGAGGGCATCCCTTGTCTTGTGCCAGTTTTCAAGGGAAATGCTTCCAGCTTTTGCCCATTCAGTATGATGTTGGCTGTGGGTTTGTCATAGATGGCTCCTATCATTTTGAAGTATGTTCCTTCGATACCCAGTTTATAGAGACTTTTTAACATGAGGGGTGTTGAATTTTATTGAAAGCTTTTTCTGCATCTATTGAGATAATCATGTGCCTTTTGTCTTTGGTTCTATTTATGTGATGAATCACATTTATTGATTCACATATGTTGAACCAAGCTTGCGTTCGAGGGAAAAAGCCTACTTGATCGTGGTGAATAAGCTTTCTGATGTGCTGCTGGATTCATTTGCCAGTTTTATTTTTTTTTTTTTTTTAGGATTTTTGCGTCAATGTTCATCAAGGATATTGGCCTGAAGTTTTATTTTTTTTGTTGTGTCTCTACCAGGTTTTGGTATTAGGATGATGCTGGCCTCATAGCATGTTAGAGAAGAGTCCTTCCTCCTCGATTTTTGGAATAGTTTCAGTGGGAATAGTATCAGCTCTTCTTTGTACATCTGGTAGAATTTAGCTGTGAATCTGTCTGATCCTGGGCTTGTTTCTGGTTGGTAGGCTACTTATTACTGACTCAATTTCAGAGTTCATGATTAGTCTATTCAGGGATTCAATTTCTTCCTGGGTCAGTCTTGGGAGGGTGTATGTGTCCAGGAATGTATCCAGTTCTTCTACATTTTCCAGTTTATATATATAGACTCCTCTAATGGTTGTTTGTAGTTCTGTGGGGTCAGTGGTATTATCCCCCTTATTACTTCTGATTGTGTTTATTTGAATCTTCTCTCTTTTCTTCTTTATTAGTCTAGCTAGCAGTCTATTTTCCTGAGTTTTTTCAAAGAATGAGTTTCTGGATTCATTGATCTTTTAAATTTTTTTGTGTCTCAATCTCCTTCAGTTCAGCTCTGATCTTGGTTATTTCTTGTCGTCTGCTAGCTTTGGGATTTGTTTGACCTTGGTTCTCTGGTTCTGTTTGTTGTGATGTTAGGTTAACTTGAGATCTTTCTAGCTTTTTGATGTGGGCATTTAGTGGTATAAATTTCCCTCTTAGCTCTGGTCTGTGTCCCAGAGATTCTAGTATGTTGTATCCTTATTCTCATTAGTTTCAAAGAACTTTTTAACTTTTGCCTTAATTTCATTATTTACCCAAAAGCTATTCAGGAGCATATTATTAAATTTCCATGTAACTGTATGGTTTTGAGTAAATTTCATAGTATTGATTTCTAATTTGATTGCACTGTAGTCCAAGAGATTGTTTGTTATGATTTCAGGTCTTTCGCATTTGCTCAGGAGTGTTTTACTTCCAATGATGTGATCAATTTTAGAGTATGTGCCATGTGGCAATGAGAAGAATGTATATTCTGTTATTTTTGGGTAGAGAGTTCTGTGGTTGATTTGATCCAGTGCTCAGTTCAGGTCCTGAACAGACACACAGACCAATGGAACAGAATACAGAACCCAGAAATAAGGCCACGTACCTATAACTATCTGATCTTTCACAAACGTGACAAAAACAAGCAATGGAGGAAGGATTCCCACTTCAATAAATGGTGCTGGATAACTGGGAAGCCATGGGCAGAAGAATGAAGCTAGATCCCCTCCTTACACCATATATAAAAATTAACTCAAGATTAATTAAAGACTTAAATGTAAAACCCAAATCTATAAAAACCCGCAAGGCAACGTAGGCAACACCATTCTGGACATAGGAATGGGCAAAGGTTTCATAATGAAGACACCAAAAGCAACTGCAATAAAAACAAAAATTGACAAACTGAATCTAATAAAACTAAAGTGCTCAACATCACTGATCATTAAAGAAATGCAAATCAAAACCACAATGAGATACCATCTCATGTCAGTCAAAATGGCTATCATTAAAAAGTCCAAAAAACAACAGATGCTGGCGAGGTTGTGGAGAAAAAGGAATGCTTATACAGGGTTAGTAGAAGTTAAATCAGTTTCACCATTGTGGAAGACAGTATGGTGATTCCTCAAAGACAAAAAACAGAAATACCATTCGACCCAGCAATTCTATTACTGGGTATATACCCAAAGGAATATAAATTGTTCTATATTAAAGACACATGCACGTGTATACTCATTGCAGCACTATTTTCAATAGCAAAAGACATGGAATCAACCAAAATGCCCATCGATGGTAGACTGGATTAAAAAAATATATGGTACATATACACTATGGAATACTATGCAGCCATAAAAAAAGAATGATATCATGTCCTTGGCAAAGACATGGATGCAGCTGGAGGCCACTATCCTTAGAAAACTAATAAAGAAACAGAAAATCAAATACCACATGTTTTCATTTATAAGTGAAAGCTAAATGATGAGAACAAATGGACACATAGAGGGTAACTACAGACACTAGAGCCTACTTGGAGGTGGAGGGTGGGAGGAGGGAAAGGATCAGAAAAAATAACTATTGAGTACTATATATCAAACTTGCACATTTACCCCTAAACTTAAAATAGAAGTTAAATTTAAAAAAATACTTGGAGAATAGCTGAAAATTTTCCAGATTTTATGACAATCACCAATCTTCAAATTCAAGAAATTATTACCAGGCAGAATTAATACAAAGTAACCCACACCTGGATAAATCATAATAAAGCAGCAGATCACCAAAGCAAAAGAGATGATCATCCAGGTAATCAGGGTAAAAAGCATCATCTACAAAGGAATATCAAGGTCCACATTAGCAGACTTCACACCAAGAGAGCCAAAAGACCATGGGATTATGCCTGTAATCTTAGAATTAAACACTAAGATAAATCATTATTTAAAAATAAAAGTGAAATAGTCATTTTCAAATAAAGAAAAAACAAATGTGTTCACCACTAACAGTTCTCACTAAAGAAACTTCTCACAGATGCAACAGTTATATCAAAGGAAAGCAAGCCAGGAAGAAAGATTGAGATTAGGAAAGAATGATGAGCAAAGCCTACATGGATAAATCACATCAACATGACTGTGCAGTATAATAATATAAATAACAATTGATTTCGGTAGTAACAAAACAAATTAGAACTAAAAGTCTGGAAAAAGTAACAAGAAAGACAAAGAGATGTTTGGACTTAAAACATCCTACATCGGCTGGGTACAGTGGCTCATGCCTGTATCCAAGCACTTTGAGAGGCTGGGGCGGGTGAATCACAAGTTCAGGAGTTTGAGACCAGCCTGGCCAACATGGTGAAACCCTGTCTCTACTAAAAATACAAAAAATTAGCCAGGCATGGTGCCAGGCACCTGTAATCCCAGCTACCTGGGAGGCTGAGGCAAGAGAATCAGTTGAACCCGGGAGGTGGAAGTTGCAGTGAGCTGAGACGTGCCACTGCACTCCAGCCTGGGCAACAGAGTGAGATTCTGTCTAAAAACAACAACAACAAAAACAACAACAAAAATTCTACATAAAGTCTATAAGGAAAACAAAAATATATTTAGATTTTGTTAAGGTAAGTCTGAATGTTAAAACTTGAAGGGTAGCAACCCACAATAAAGAAATAAAGGATACAACTTCAAAGCCAGTGAAGTTATAAAGACATGCTGAGAATGACAGACTCCTGGGGGAGTAGGGGCAATGCACTGGAGCCGAAGTACAATGCCTGACCTAGATTAATAATTAACACATAAAGAGGTATTTCTTAAAATAGATGGTAGCCACACGGATTGTTTTCAATTTTGTTTATTTTATCATTATTATTATTATTATTATTATTATTATTATTATTATTTTGACATGGAGTCTCACTCTGTCGCCCAGGCTGGCGTGCAGGAGCGCAATCTTGGCTCACTGCAACCTCCGCCTCCCAGGTTCAAGCGATTCTCTCACCTCAGCCTCTTAAGTAGCTGGAACTACAGGCATGCACCACAATGCTCAGCTAATTTTTGTATTTTTAGTAGAGACAGGGGTTTCTTCATGTTGGCTGATCTCGCACTCCTGACCTCAGGTGATCCGCCTGCCTCGCCCTTCCAAAGTGCTGGGATTACAGGCGTGAGCCACCATGCCCGGCCCAATTTTATTTTTTGTATCTTACCATCTGTTTAAAATCATTTATTTATAATAAATTAAAACAAAAAGTAATATGCCCCACTTAAAAAAAAATCTGCTACACTAAGAAATGTTAAGAAAAATCTTAAAAGAGTAAAGTGTTCTAAAATTTACAAAGTGCTATTATTTTCACTGCCTCACAACTGGAAAAAGAAAGACAAGTTCCATATTCTTCCTTTTGCAAATGAGGAAGGGAAACAGGCAGAGTGGTGAACCACCTTCCTTAATATCACACAACTAAGAAGTATCAGAATGTGTTCTCAATCTGTCTCCTAAACTCTGATACAATTTCTTACAGTGCACAATGCTGCTACCTTGCATCTGTCAATAAATCCAAAGAATAAATTACAGAATTAGCAAGTCTCATAGAAATGGCATTATACCTGAAAAGAATTCTGAACATTAACATAAGAATTACTCAAAGGGAACAGTCAGGGATTTAAACAAGATTTATATACAAGGATGTTCACTGAAGCATTATTTATAAGAATGGAAATTGAAAATGATCTAAATATGTAACAGCAGGGAAGTGCACAGAACGGTCTATCTGTACAGTGCAATGTTACCTAGTCATTATAATTAATTTTCTAAAAGAATATGAAATAGCTGAGAAGTATGCTAATGATAGAATATTAAGAAAGAATATTATATTGAAAGTATAATACCCTTTTTATTCAAATATAGATGGTAATGTAAAAATTAAGAAAAGCCGTGCACAATGGCACAGTCCCAGCTACTTGGGAGGCTGGGGCCAGAGAATTGCCTGAGCCCAGGAGTTAGAATCCAGCCTGGGCAACACAGCAGAACCCTGTTCCTAAACCAGAAATAAAACCTTTTTTAAAATTAAGAATGATAATAGAATACATGCATAGTAAAACCCTGGAAGGAAATATGCCAAATATCAATAGTAATTATAGCTACGATGGAGGGGTTCAAATTATTGGTGATTTTTGTCTTTATTCTCTAAATGAACACATTGCTACTGTAATCTAAATTTAAAAAAATTAACAAATAAGTTTTAGAACATCTTTTTTGCAAAAGCATTGCCAACTTTGAATATCTCCCTCCCCTACAAGGTTAAATAAGTAAAAAAAAAAAAAAAAAAAATACAAGAAAATAACATAAGAAAATAAATCAAAGATGAAAATAAAACATCTCTGAAATTGAATTATATGAGGCAATGGCCTGGTTAGTTCTCATTGTCACTGGGTCCTAATCAAATAAGTTAACTGGCCTCCAATATGTAACTGAAAATCAAATACAAGACTCCAGTTACCCAAGTTTCTGGTTTAACAGCATTAGCTGAATATCAAAAAGGCTGCCCAAGGAAGGCACCTCAGCCAAGACATTTCATGTATAACTGCTGTCTGTACGACTAAAAGGTCAAATGGCTCTCAAAAAGTGCAAACTACCCATACAGAGATATATCATATCTTCTCAATGTGACAAGGCTTTAACCTGAACCAGGAAGAATCAGGGACCCTTCCTGGCCATCTACAGTTCCTACATCCGACATGCAAGGCCAGTAACAATTTTCTCATACAAGATGCCTGTTTCACCAAGTCTTTTCTGCTGACCCCTAAAGAAATATCTAACGTAATTTTAAAGTTCAATTCACAAGCTAACATCCAATACTACAGGCTGTCACTTTCCCAAACTTGTGCAGATCTATCATCTAATATATCGTGATGAGCTTCCAATCACTTCATTTACTTCTGTACTGGCAATCTCTCAAGTACCCATTCAGCAGGTCACTCTAGAGGTCTTGCTGATGATGGAGAAATTTTAAGATCTTCAATCTTGTTTTCAGGTATAATGCGCCTGCCATCAAAATAAAAGTGGTTAATGGTTTTCCCATTTCTTTTCCATTACAGAAATAGATGAATGGAGAGAAGATTGAAAGAGGATTGGAGAGGATTGAAAGCTGGACGCTAGTACAGTAGGTGGTTCTTGCCTTTATTTAAATCAAATGTTCTTCCATGCCCTTTATTCAACCCCTCTCCTGTTCTCTTCTTCTTCTCCTGCTTGTACTTGGGACTATGAACCCAAATCCAAGACTTATGGCAGCAAATTGGTCAAGGAAAAAATGTTTGGAAAATCAGATTAATCTAGTTGAAGTCATTAAAATGGAGTTTTCAGAGACAACCCTAGCAGGTCAGGCATTTGCACAGGGATTCACACCTCAATTACGTTTTCATAGTGCATTTGTGTGATCACAGTGATGGTGACGGTGGTGGTGGTGGTGATGATAACAGGATTGTGAGGGAGAGGAGGAGATGTTGAGGAAGAAATTATGAGTTGGAAGACTCAGCAAACATAAACCTATGACACAACAAAACAAGTGTGTTACACAGACACCAAATTGACGAAAGATAAAAATCAAAGGAAGACAGTATAGACGTTGTAATGTGACGTTTAAATTAACTTCATAAATTGAACTTTATGATAGGAAATTTAAGCTTGTTAAAGTGAACTAAATATGGCCTAAGAAGAACTCCATACTTCTGTATTTGAGTCCTTGTGTCATTTGTTGAGGACAAAACCCCTTTCTCTTCCCCCTTTAATGAATACGATTAAAGTATAGCAGAGCAAGCACATCCTTACCACCCAAACAAGACGGTTACAAAGAAGCAAAAATCTGTGTACTTCTCTGCTTGGTTTCAGAAACATTAAAGTCAACACTTACAAATCTACAATACAGAGAATTGGAAAGGAGCAGTAACTGGCTCAGGTGATTCCAATTTAACTTATGTTGTAACAGCTTAGGCAGGGAATCTGTTTCTACTAAATTCCAGAAACCACCAGAGGGAAAGAGCAGAGTTAGGGGTTATAAACTTTTAAGGGCAATATACAAATAAAATAATAATAACTTGAGAGCTTTTTAAATTAAGAGAAATAAAAACTGCCCAGCTAATTTGCTTTTAAAATAAATCATTAGAGACATACAATTCCTCAATAAACACTGCAAACAGCACAAAATAAACCTTATCTCTTACTCTGGCCAAAGGGAGAAATAAGAAAAGGGAAAGAAAAAAGTAGACAAATATAAATCAAAGAAGAAAGGTAACGTTAAAAAAGAAAGAGGTAGAGAGAGCATGGATACAACTGATAGGGGAAAATGGGAGAGAAGTGCAGCAAAAGAGAATAAAATCAGACTGGGACAGTTGTAGTAGATTCTTGGGGAAATATATTAATTAAACTGCTTTGGCAATCCTAGCTTTTCATTTCGTCAGTGGGCATTACCTGTTATCACTGCACTTTGAAATGCCAATTTAGGTCTTCAGCATGGAGTCACTGATTTAAAGCCCCTGTTTTGTAAATGTTTTCTTAGCTCTGAATGGGTCAGATTTTCTCTGGCCAAAGTGCATTAAGCCTGCAAGAGGTAATTATTCTCTTCCCACCCAGCCCAGAGGTGGCTTAAAGCAGAGGTTCTCAATCCTGGCTGCATGTTAGAATCACCGGGAGAGCATTAAAATAAAATGCTGATGTGCTATTTTCTCTGGACTAATTAAATTAAAATATCCAAGGAACAGCCCCAAACAAGGACATCTTATGTGCTAGGTGACACTCTTACATCCCTTCAGAAATATAGAATGGCTTCTAGGGTGTGGGTACACAAGATTTTTACATGGTTACATTTTGTTTTTACTCTATTTTCAGCTCGTTCTTCAGCGAACAAAGTTTCTGAGAACTGAGTATGGGGACATATTCTTGCTGCAGACTTGAATACACCTAACTTTTTATAAAATGTGTGCATGAGTTAGACTCCAGAAAAAAACACACACTGCAGCAGCAGCAATTCAGCATTGCATGAAGCACAGCTCAGCTTCACTATCTTCTCCACTGCCAGGCCCACCCAGCAATACAACTCCTTGTAGTGCCTTTTAACTGAACATTTTTGTTCAACAATGAACTGTTCCAGATTGTTAAGGTTTCAGGGAAACTAAACTGCATTTTGCTAAAAATCAAAACAAGAAGAAAAAGTCCTTCAGGAACTGTAAACAGTCAGAAATTATTTTTAAAACGGCCCTTCCCCACTGGTCTTATTTGAAGAATCCCAGAACCTAAGAGGTGGTTATTGCTGAGATCTGCCAACTCTGAGAGAGCCAAAGCATTATTTGTATATAATCCCATCAACATCCTTGAGAGATACCTGCAGTGAAGAAAAACAAGCATGAAGATCAGTGTCAACTATGGCCTAATGTGAAGATTCACAAAGAGGATCTCTAGGAATGGACTTCATGTAATTATGGATTTGTTTATTCTGGCAGCTTGGAATCTTGTTTCATTTACCTTTGTTAATAATCACTAGTGTATCACTAGCTGGCAATAAAAAAACATCCAGGATCATAAAAACTAGATAGAAAACCAGAAATAGAGATGAAACCACTAAACTAAACTAAACTAAACTAAACTAAACTAAACTAAACTAAACTAAACTAAACTAGGCTTTTCCCAGATTAACCACAGGAACTCCCTTTTTGATGATCCAAGTAGAGGTGCCCTGTGAGACAGACTGGCATTCTGTCTCATGGCAGAGTTATTGCCTTGCCAGAACTAGAACAAAGTGTTTAGCACTTTTCATATAAATTTCATTTAAAATGAATTTTTGTCCTAAACCTTGCTTTATCTACTTCCTTTAATGCTCAGTGAGAGGAAAATAAATGCTAGCATTGATTCTACCCCTTCTCCCAAGGAATGCTTGTTAATCTTTCCCAGGATGCTGGGAAATGCCATGTCATAGCCCACAGGAAGGAAAAGCCCAAGAAGCCTAAAATTGCCTGTATTTCTAAGAAGGGCTGGGGTGGAAAATCTGGGCTGGCATACAAAAGCCAGCAGAATGTAATTGTTTGTGAGGTTATGCAGACCTATGTCATACTTAGCTGTGTGACCTTGAGCAAAATACTTAATCTCTCAAGCTCATGTTTCTCATCTATAAAGGATGTTTGGTAAGATTACTTAACTCAAAGGATCACGGTGAATATTTTACAATTTAATAATGAATGTAGACTGCTCAACACAATGCCTTACACAAAGTAAATACACAATTTATTCATTCATTCAACAAACACTGAATGAGTGCATAGAATATTCCAGGCAATGTTCTATAGTGACTGGGACAACCAACGCAACAGGCAAAAATCCCTGCTTTTATACTACTTGCCATCTATTGTTCATAAACTGGATAGTATTTTAGACAGTGATGATTGCTGTGGAGACTATATAAGAGAGAAGGGGGATGGCGAATGGGAATCATATGCTATTTAAACAGAGTAGCCAGCAAAGACCATACTGATTCAGTGAAATGTGAGTAAAAAACTGAAGAGGTGAGGGAATGAGCCATGCAGAGTAATTTCAAAGGCCCAAATGGAGAAGCCTGTCTGCTGTGTTGGCAGGTCAGCACAGAGGCCAGCATGGAGGCTAAGCATGGGGAGAATCAGGAGGAGACAGGATCAGGGAGGTAAGGGCATCGCTCACTAGGTAGGGCTTCCAAGCTTTGCTTTTACACTGAGTGAACTGGGAAGCAGCTGAAAAGGTCTAGGAAGAAGAATAACATGATCTGATTTACAATTTAACAGGACCATATTAGGAGTGGTTTGCAAAAGAGATTGGGCAGAAACAGAGAGAAGAGTTAAGAGACTAATGCAATAACAGAGGTGAAAGTTTATGGGGGCTTAAACAAGATGATGACAATAAAAATGCGAAGATGTGACCAGATAGAGTCTAAATGTATTTTGCAGGGAGTCAACAGGATTTACTAATGAATTGAAATTGCAATGGAAGAAACAGAAATTAAGAATGACTCCAGAGGTTTCAGCCTAAGCAACTGGAATAATTGCCTTTAATTGATGGGAAAGACTAAAGAAGATGCAGGTTTGGGGAGGGCAAGTTGTTGGGGAATAACTGGAGCTCATTTTGGGACATGTTAAATTTTGCATTCATTTTCAACGTCAAGTGGAGATATAAAGCAATCAGTAAAATATCAGTCTAGGCTGAAATCAGATGTAAACATGGGCATCACTTCTACATAGATGCTATCTAAAACCACAGAACAAGATCAGATCACGAAGGGAGTGAGTATAAACAGAAAGAAAAGTCCATGAAGAGAGTCCTGGGACATTTTAATGTTTAGAACTCAGGCAAGTGAGGAGAAACCAGCAAAGAGAGAATTAGAGGAAATCCAGGATATATACATAATGTAAACTTCCTATACATTAAATTTGTTCACCTAATTATGCAGGTAGCCATGCATCTATTCATCTAGTATAGCAAAACAAGTTAAGAAAATGGGCTCTAGAATGAGATTAACCTGAATTCAAATCCAGATTCCCTCACTTACCAGCTCTGAGACCCTGGGAAGTTACTTAACCTTGCTGTCCCTGCTTTCTTGAACTATGAAATAAGGAGAATAGCACCAACCTTACAGAATTGTGAGAATTAAGTGAAGTTTCGTATCTAAAGCATAAGGCTTGGTATACCAAAAGCTCAATAGAGAATGCTATGGTTTTTATAATTATTATTCAAGTACTTTTTGAGCACCTGTAATGGATGCACAAATAACCATGTCAGGTACAGGGAAGCGGATTCTACCTCAGAAGGATAACAACCTAACCAACAATAAAAGATACATAAAAATTTCAAAAAACATTATACAGACCATGGTCCCCAAGACAAGCTCTTTGAGGACAGTGACATTTTCTGTATGGTTTATACAATATCTTTAGGGAGTGGGACATGGCACAGAGCTGGCTTGCAAGTGTTTCATGAATGAATGAATCAGATTGAGATGAAGAAACACTTTCAGTTTGTAGCAGAAAGAGATTACTGGGAGTTGAAACGGACAGAGGACATTTCATTCACAAGACAGGAAGAAAAGTTTTAGGTAATTCTTTTTCATGCAATGAACCATAATGTACATAAATAGGAAAGGTGGAAGAATAGTCTGAATTATAAGAAACTATAGCCTTGGAAATTATTGAATAAACCCTGGAAACTAAATAGATAGAAGGAAGATCATTTTTGCTGCTGTGTCTTGTTTTAGACAAGTTTATTTTGTTTCATGTTTTTCACTGATAGAATGCAAGCCTTTTCATGAGAGATAACACAAATAAAAGCTAAATGTCACTGAGCTCTTACTATGCCAGGCATTCTTGTAAGCAATTTATATCCAGTTACTCCTCAAAATAATCCTTTAAGATAGATATTACTCCCGCTTGATAGAAGAAGTTTGAACAATAAATTTTAACTAACACTTCAAAGTGGTAGAATTGGAACTGATACATATGTGAGACCATAACTATTACAGCGCTTCCTATGGGGACCATATGAGTCCAGGAGCCAAAATACTGACAGATTTTCAAAGACTCTTTTGGGTAAACAAAGCCATAAAACAGACAATGTAGTCAAATTAATGATAAAAATAATAGTCAAGATCACTCCTCTGGCTTACTTGATTTTAAGTAAATCAATGTAGAAGGTATTTTCTAAGTTGGTTTGGTAGTTCAGATATTTGTGAATGAAGTAAATAAATGAACGAAACCAGTGCATTCCTAAAATTTCCTCAATTTCTGAATGACCTGGTGTTTCCACATTCTGGAACATCAAAACTTATCTAGGCCTTCTTTTCTTCTCTATAAAGAATAGGAATTGTTATTACTTTTGAGAAGTAAATCGCTATCTTTTTTGTAGCAAGGCTTTTGTAAGAAGCTTTCTTACAAAAGGAAGGATTTTGGAAGGATTTCTAAGAAACATTTGCATCTGTTTTGGTAGAATAGTTTCTATGCAACACTGCAATGTCTTAGAGCAATGCTTAGTGATTATTAATATATGTAAAAAATGAAAAAGTAAAATATGGTACACTGAAACCCATTGATTCAAATGAGCCAAAAGACATATGCATTTGTTTTCCCCAAAATGAAAGACCAGGACAATGACACCACACCAGGCACCTGTGCACATGCAGGTGGGGGCTGGAGCCAGTAGATGTCATACATTGTCTTTATTAGCATGTTCCACACTATATTACTCCACAAGCCAAGCAGGGCTGCACACTGCCTACTTTCTAAGTAGTAAGACATGCAGGAAGTTGTTTTCTAGGTAGGGAGTATTCCCCCACCAGTCTATTAAATTTGCAGTTTCATACACTAAAAAAAAAATTTAGCAGCATTGAATAGTTTCTGATTTGAAAAATAATAAATATGCACATTAGAATATTTAGAAAATATAAGTAAACACACACACACAAATTAAAATGAAAGTCATATTGCCGCTACCCAGTGATAACCCCTTAGATTCACATAATTTTGAATCAAAATATAAGTCATTTGGAGAGATAATAGAGCTGTGGCTGGCTGTATTGTTTCTGTTGGTACTCTTTTCGCATTACTATAAAGTCATTTTGTGACTTTTTTAAGGTACTAAGGCTTAGTCACAATTCTTCATTTTACAATGAGAAAACTAAGGTTCAAAGGAGAAGAATGGCTGGCTGAAGAACACACACTGCTTGGCTCTGGAAAGAACTTAACCGCTGACATTTTAACTCCTGTGCTAACCTTCCAAGGCAATATCCCACTGTTCTATCTCTATGGCTTTGGGTCTTTATAGTGTTTTGCTTTTCAAATTTCCCTATAAATTTGAAATACCCTATTAAGCTTTGGGTTAGAAAATTTCAGTGAGTATTCTTCCCAGATGCAGGCCCTTCGAGGGAACCATAGAGCACTAATGAGTAAGATATCACCCTAGTCCTCAGTTCAGCCCCACTCCTCATGTGGCCCTTCTTTCCTATCACAGCCCCTAGGGTCCTGCCTGTTTCCCTTTAATATCTTGAACTCTACCATCATCCCCTTTCTTTTGGAGTTAGTAATCATCATATCAACAATTGATTGACTGCTTAATATATGGCAGGTGCCATACTATACATACATAATCTAATTTAACCCTTATGATAACTTTGTGTTCAGTTTATTATCTCTATTTTCTAGAGATAGAAATATAGGAGGCATGTTGCCAAGGTCACAAAAAAGTAAATGATGAACTCAGACTTGAAACTAGGATTGTCCAACTCTCAACTCTCTCTCCTCCTGTCTGGATACTGAGAAAGATGAACTCTTCCAAGTTCTTGCCATCAAGGCTGTTCTTGAAATCCTTTTAGCGTCAAGAGTTTTACTGTAGATCACTCTGGGGAAATTGGAAAGAGAAAATTAAAGCAACTGATGCAACTTTGGACTTAGTCCCATTTTCAAGGTTTAGCAACCCAATTTAGTAGCTGTGTAACCTGACCTTTGGTAAATTACTTGAACTTCTGAGCCTAATTTCCTTTTATGCAATTACAAAGTTTTGAGCATCTCCCCCAAAACTAGAGTACCTATACAATTTACCATTAGAATCAGTAGAGTTTGAAAGTGAAACAGGGTTCTGTTAATAATTTTGGTGGTACAACAGGTGTGAAACAGGAGTTGCCTGAGCAAATCAGTACCTATGGTCCTTTAAAGGTAACGCCAAAGAACCTGCCACATGGTCCAGCATACAATTTTAGGGTTTCAACATTTTAGAATCCTTTCTTTTCCATATACATGAAGCATCAAATAGCATAGTGGTTTTCAACTAGGAATAATTTTGCCAACCAGGGGAAATTTTGCTTCCCAGGGAATATTTGGCAATACGTGGAGATATTTTTGGTTGTCACAACTGGGGCAGGGGATGTGACTGGCATCTAGTGGGAAGAGGTCAAAGATGATGCTAAACATCCTACAATGTACAGGACAAGCCCCTACAACAAGAATTATTAATGCCCAATGGCAACAATGCCAAGGTAGAGATTTGGTGAAACTGTATTCTTCAACGCCAGAGTAGAAGACATGGTAGAGAAAGTCTGCTGCCAAGGACGCAAGTTCAATTTGCTTCTCACAGTTTAATTGAGGGTCAGCCCAAACATGAAGCTAATGAAATCAGCCCATTTGGAATTCAAGAGAAATGGAACATTATTTTGATAGTTTAATTACTATAAACAGATTTGCAAATGGGCCTATCACCACCGTGAAATCATCTCACATCTCAGAGACAACTTGCTATGCAAGAAAACAAGAGGCCAAGTACCATGTACATAATGCAATTTGCATGCATTCAAAGAACAGCAGTTCATGTGCAATTTACACAGGTGCTTCTCTAAAGATATGAAACTATAATTAGCAATAATAAAGCTTTCATCTGACTTGCCTTCCCTAAGACGTGCTCTGATAATGAAAATAAGTTTAATGTTTTAAGCCCCATGCCTAAAATAAAGCAACTATTTGGGGGAACCAAAGTTCCTTGAAAGAGAATGAGCAATTATCCACAACTCTATGGGCCATAGTTAATTGATCATTCATGGCATTTTCACACTCGCAGATAAACATGAAAGAGATATTGAAGTTTTAAAGCTCTCTTCATATTCACACCCCACCCCCACCCCCAGCCCCATCAAGCCAAGCTTCAGTATTCATTGTTGCATTCAGAGTATGCAGCTTGGCTCAGGAGACTGGCTGTAAGACTGAATATGTAAACTCATATTTATCTCAACTCTTAAGGCAAATATAGTTCATAAAAATACAGTTGCAAGCAAAACATCATCTCTGTTTCTCTGTGGAAAGAACATTTGGTAGTTGTGAAAGTCTAAAAACTACAGTAAAGAGATTTTAACTCTGTGTGTGTGTGTGTGTGTGTGTGTGTGTGTGTGTGTTCTAAGTTTCTTTCTGCTCTATCAGCTGGCCCCTCCTTACCAGGAAGGATTTTTTCCTGATTATCGTGAGAGTGAACCAGTTCAAACAACTCCACAGATCACTGCTATTTGGTACAATACAATGTCCAGCTGGCCAGCTGCATGAGCTCTTAAGATTAGTGGTTGTTTATGGGCTTCCTACAGTGGTGTCTCTTCTGAGCAGGAAAGGGAATGAAAGGCACCTGTTCAGAGACCCTCCCACACAAAGATGTATTTTCTGACATAAATCTATGTATCCAGGCAGAAAAAGTGGAGAGGGGCAAGAAGGAGTGATGTCTTCCAGCTACTGCAGATGAGGGAGAGGAATACAAAGTGATACCAGTTGGGGAGACAGAGCAGCTTAGATGTGCAGAAGCTTCAAGAAATAGCACATCTTGGGTTAGGCTAATAAGGAGAAGTTTCTACTTTCAACTTTTCCTGATCTGCTTTGTCATCTTTTAAAAACTAACCTTCCAAAAAAAGAAAAAAAAACAAAACTAACTTTCTTCTCAGATGGCTTCAGATAGAATTAATCATTCCAATCTGGTGCCACCATAGTAGAGCATATACGGTTCTATTACACTCGTTGGACTATATAGTAACAAATTTACTTATTGCCTGTGAGTTCACTTAGAGCACTTGTGATTTCCCACTGCTCAACGCTGTGTCTGGCATGAAGCAAGGCATGAAATAAAGCTTTGACCAATTAAAGTAAAATGGTATGAGAACCACACAATAATGTTGTGTTGGTATGCTATTGTTCTGAAGTATAGTCAATTACGTAATGGTTAACAGCTGCTAAGCACTTACTAAGTGCCAAGTACCATTCAAGGTGCTTATTAATTGGCATATAGTATTTTTATTTGTGCATATTAATTGACATATAACCATATAAGATGAATACTCATATCTCCATTGTATAGTTTAGTTAGCTAAGGCATAGAGAATTTCCTATGGGTCACATAGCTAGTAAATGACAGGTAAGGATTCAAAGTAGACATTCTAGCTGCAAAGTCTAAATTCTTAACTATTAGCAAATATTGATAACAAGAGATTTCCAAGGAAACTGAACAGAGAAGAATCTAACAGTGGTTGATGTAAGTGCAGGGCTTATTAGGCTAGAAACCTGAAGCAGAATTCAGGTGGGCCCAGGGGCTAAGCTAAGCCATTCAGGGTGCTCATCACCTCCTCAGAGTTCTCTGCATCCTAATGCAGCTCATCCTGCTTGGCCCTGGAACTCTGGGACAGGGTTAAATAAGATACATCATTGTGTCTCAACCACAGCAGTATTGGGATTTGAGATCAGATCATTTGTTGTTGTTGGGAGCTTCTCTTGTGCTTGTAGAATGTTCAGCAGCATTGGTGGCCTCTACCCATCAGATGCCAGGAGCACTCCCTCCTTCCCCTGTGGTTGAAACAGGAAAAAATGTCTTCAGACATTTTCATATGTCCCCTGAAAGGTAAAATTGCCCCCAGTTGAGAACCAATAAGATACACATAGCCCCTAATTCGACAAGAATGCCTCGCAGAGTGCAGAATGACTCTACTCTTTTCTACCATCAGAGTATACCATACTGTGCCTGGAATGACCCTTCTTGGGCCACATATACTTGTGCATTCTTTCCCGACTGGATGTCAGCAGGATAAGATGCAGTATTAAAGTTCAGCTGTGTTTTATTCACTGCTTGGGATCCAATGTTCCTATGTAAAAGCTCACTCATTTAGAGAAAAAGAAATACTACCTCTAGGTTTGCCCTAGAATTAGGAAATTTAATCAGACTAACACACCCTAGGAGGTAAGAAGAGCAATTATAATCATTTCCATTTAAAAGAGCATGAACATGAAGCTCAGAAAGGTTAAGTATTTGTCCAAAATCACAAAGCTAGTTCATGTTAGAGCTAGAGCTCAAGCCCAGACCCTTTTATCTCAAACTCTATTATATCTCCCTGCCATCCGCAGGGGAGTAGAGCTTTCAAAAGACCAATTAAAGCAGAAAGATAGGCGAAAACTTCCCAACTGCAATCTGATGACTAAATCATCTTGAGTGGAGTGGGAGATGTCCAAACATTAGGAATACTTAAAATGAAGTAGAACACAGAGCTGAATAGGAAGCAGCCTCTGCAGATGAGAAATGAATAAGGATCCTGCCACATAGCATCCATCTCTAACTCATACCATTTGGTAAATAATAGATCTAAGCATTCCTGCAGTAAACCCACTCGCTAAAAATTTCCAAGTGCAGCTGAACAATCACTGAAAATATACATCTTCTCTTGCACCAGCTTGTGGGGAAACAACAGGACATTACCCACTGGCCTCACGTTGACATGGGCACCCAGGACCTCTTTTGCCAGCAGGAGGTCATAATCTAATGTGCCTACCACATTGAAAGAAACAGCAGTGACAACGGCCAGACTGACAGAGAGGAAAATAGCTCTGTCTCTCTCTCTGAAGAATTAGATATTCTCCTAATCAGGATGATCAAAACCAAACATCTGACACTGCTGTAGCCACAACAGCAGTAAGTTTGTTCCCAGTCACTATCAGTCTAACAGATCACTCTTCGTGCCCACTGGCCAAAATGTTGCTTGAAGTTCCATAAACTGCAGCACAGCTCTTACAGGATGACAGAATCTGTAACAGCATGGCCTCTAATTCCCACGGCTAAGTGTACTCCTTTGAAAGTTATAAGGCCTATGTTAGTATTAAAGTGTTTGATCATTCATTCATTGAACATGTATTATTGAAACCTATTCTATCCTAGTTTCCGGGCTAGAAATGCCAAGAGAAATAAGAAAGGATTCTCTTCCCAAACATCCTGCATAATTAAAGAAAATACAAATACACAAATATGTAATTGAATATGTCAATCAAGCCTGATAAATAAGGCTGAAATACAGCAGGATCAAAGAGGACTCTCCAAATGCGACAAATTGTGCCTAGGATCTCAGAGGCGTGGATGAAAGATAGAAAGTTCTCCCCAGCAGATGGAATAGCAACAGCAAAGACACAGAAGTGTGAAATACTAGAGCAAGTTTTGGGTTCCTTTTGAAGTTCAGTAGGGCTACAGCAGAGGCTGTGAGTAGATAAGTCATCAATCATGGTAGACTTCATTCTTTCATTCCAACAAGCTGATTTCCACTTCCCCTCATAGATAAGGATGATAGAAAGATGGGGAGCTCCTCGTGATAAGAAGACAGACATGATCAAGTTTGCATTTAGAAATAGTATTCCTCTAATAAAATAAGGAATGGATATATTATGCAAGCAAGACTGAGAGTAGAGAAGGCTCCCAATAAGGGTGTATAGAATAGAATGGAGCTCATATTCCAGTAGCGGACACAAAATATTAAGAAGTATATAATATGTTCAAAGAGCTTCAGGTATGTTTGTTTTTCAGTTAATTCTCTGAAGCCGGTACCATAATTCTCTGCATTAAACTGATGAGAACATTGCACCACTCAGGGTATGGCTAGAAAAACAGAAGCCACTCCATGTATTACAGGTATAAAAAATAGGTAATTAGAGATAATCATAACATTGGGAAGAACTAGGAACACAAAAGCTGGGAAGCAGCCACCAGCAATCCTAGGCTGTAGGCAGCAACAAAGTCACTTATTTTAAGAACTCACTAGCAAGCCTCTAAAAGTTTTAAGAATCTCCAGGAAGCTTCTACCACTGTTTAGAGCTACAGCAGCAAACAAGTCATTCTCAAGAGTTTCTTGGGAAATGACTGTGGCTGTCACATTTGCCCAGGTGTCTGGCTGCAACAGCTTCTGGAGAATGGTGGCTCCTCCTTTCCTGCCTCCCAACATTTGTGCCAGTGCCCGTCATTGGCTATCTCTAACACGAAATCATATAGGGAAAGAAATGCTGGGAAAGTGTTCCTGTTTCTCTGCAATATGATGCAGAAGGGACCTTTAGAAGGGAATGGTGGTGATGATGCCAGGTGGATAACATGGAATCCAGCATAAAAATTGAGGCAAAGGAAATTTAGATGACTTTCCCAAGAACACCTAGGAATTGAGACCAGAGAAATTAAATAATTTGCCCAGGGTAACATAGCTCATAAAAAGTGGAGCCAGGATTTTGGACTTTGCAGTCATATTACAATGCTTACCAATTTTACCACTATGTTGATATGGGAAGTTAGGGGGAAAAAAGAGAGTAAACTCCTGAAAGGTTTCAAGTTGGAAAATGACCTTAGGTGCTATTAAGTTTAGAATAGGTACAATCATGTACCAAGTAGAGATGTGGCCTGAAGGTGGAAATGATCAATATACAGGTGGGAAAGGGGTCACCGGAGGTTTAACAAGGATAGGACATGTGGCAGTAACCTGCATGTAGCATAGGAGTTTATCGGCTGGTGGGTGCAGAGTGGGAGACTATAGCAGGGAAAGGTAATTTGAGGTAAGAACACATTGTGTATAAAGGCACCAAGAGGTGACTGGGCATGATTTGTTACAGGAACTGTGATATCTTCACTATGGCTAGAACAAAGGGTACGTGTGGGTAAGAATGGAGAAAGAGACTAGAAAGGTGGTGGAACTAAATCATGGCAAACCTGAGGTGCCCTGCTTGGGAGTTTGGGGAGCTACTGACTGTATGAAGCATGAAAAGTTCATATTTATAAAAATCACTCAGCCAAATGCATCAGAGGCCTAAGAAAAAGTAAGTAGTATGTTCACTTATTTGATTTATCCCAAAGCTTCTCTAGTTAATTTATCTTCACCTATTGAAAGGGAGAAAGTGAATGAATTAAGCCAAAGCTGATTTGTCATTTAAAACAAAGCATGTTATTACACTCACCTTGCCCTGAATGATCCTGTCGGTCCTAACACACAAGAGAGGAAGAAAGGTAAGGCTTCGGATATATTCGTTATCTGCTATCCATCCATTAGTGTCCAATAATGCCGATAAGCACCACAATGGCAGTCGCTTCTCATTGCAGGACCCACAAGCTCACTTTCTGCCAATACCAGACGCACAAAAGGCAAACGCTACAAGACCCTACAGCTTAGCCCTCGGACACAAAAGCTCTACACATTGCATTCACACAAACCAGGACTAAATGGTCATTTATAAAGCAAAACAGTCACCCAGAAACGGTCACAATGCAAGGATGATTAGCAGGAGGCTTGTGGGAATGGAGCATATACTGTGTTGACAACAGGACGTGCCTGGCTTATGAGGGGCAATGGCATGTTTTAACTTAAATGCAATGTTAACACCTGTAAAGGAGAGTCATTTAGAGGGAAAGCACAGATGGGACTCTGGAATTGATTCTTAGTGGGAGGGAAAGGAGAAAGAACTAGAGGAGGGAAAAAAAAGTCTTGAAAATGGGCCCTACACTCCATTACCAAACAAAGGTGTTTCAGAAGCTGCTGACCTTTCCACAATGGCATTGATCCAGCCACAGGGGGAAACAAAGCTGCAAATAAAATAAAGTCACCTCAGTATAACAGCTTAAAGCAAATTGTGAAAAGAAGAAAGAAGTTGACCTTGAAAGGCAAATACATTGTCAGGCCAACACCACCTGGACAGGCATTTTTAACCAAGGTCACTCTAAGGTAGGAACCACTATGAGCACAGGGAAAAGGGTACTGATTTACAGAGCAAGTCATGAGCCCACGTATCAAGTAATCACAGCAATAATTTCAACGGCGAGGACGAATCTCTGCTTTTCCTCCCTCTTCTGGGCTTTTCATTGACAACCTTGCTTCATTCACACTTGGTTCTCTAGCGGCTTGTTCATTCTTTGTACAGGCATCCCAGTCATGTATGAAACTAATATATTCATCAAACTCCTGATGTTAAAGCTGCAAGAAAATTGAGCACTACACTCACAGAATAAGGGGAAAAGGAAGAAGAAAGAAAACAGAAAGAAGACGTGTCAAAAGACAGTTACCTTAAGAAAAAGAGAATTGACATGACAAGAAAAGATCCAGAGATCTAAAAAAATGAACAAAGTTCAAGTCAGTGAACAAGTGTGTTCAGTGATAAGTGAAAATCAAGAAAAAGAAAATATCTGATAAATACAATGGGGAAGTTCAGCTGACGAAAACAAGAGCCAAAATCAAGACTATTTTTCTCAGAAGTACTTTAAGAGGTTCATCATAATGAAATAACCACAACAAGGGCAGGGAGACTATAACTTTGCTTGAATATTAATTTCATCATATATGTTGATTATAAGATTTCAAGTTAATTAAATTGGATAAACAAACTAATTACATTCCCCATCCAATATTCTTCGTTTATTCAATCAACATTATTGGGCAGCTAACATAGCACCATGTTAGACACTGGGTTTACAAATATGTATAAAACATAGTGTCAGCCCTCCAAGAGTTCACAGTACCCTCAGATTACAGCAATTTGCAGGCAAATAATTACAGAAATATAAGTGCTGAAACCAGGAGGTAAGCAGGCATTGAGTTATGGGTTTATCAACCCTGTGAATATGAAACCTATATTCGTTTTGTAACCTAGTTTTGGTTAGGAAAAGTTCAGACTCTCTGAGGAATGCCAGCATTACTGGGCTGAGAAAGTGGTACATTCAACTACATTTCTTCATTAAGCTGTCTTAGAAAGGATCTTTCCCAGTTAGTTTTCAAACAGAATTTACAGTGTGAACAGGGAGAAAAGAAAAGGAAAAGAAAGCAAGCTTGGCTCTACCCCAAGAATTTCTATTTTAGAACATAGGAAGACCTGCAGGGCACATGGCTTGATGCAATCTGCCAAGTGGAAGCATCGAGTCATAGTCAAAGGCAGTAAGAGTGCAGGCCACCCCTACTCAGAATCCCAGTTGCCTATTACATCAAATCCAACTGAATCATTGAGTTGACTTAGTTGAGTCAAACTTAAAATCCCTGTCAGAAGAGTCAACTGAAACAGCCTCCATTTGCCAAAGCTGGAACAATTAGAGAAACAAAATAAAGCAGTATTGTATTATAACCCTAAGTGTAAAATAAATATCAATGAGTCTTCCTCCTCAATACACATAACCCCAGCCTAATTATAAGAAAAAAATCAGACAAATCCAAACTGAGGGATATTCTAAAAAAATACCTGACCAGTACTCTTCAATATTGTCAAAATCATGAAAAGCAAAGACACTGTCACAGGCAAGGAAAGCCTAAGGAAACATAATGACTAAATATAAGTGGTAGCCCGAATGGGATACCGAACAGATAAAGGACAATAGGCAAAAACTAAGGAAATCTGAATAAAGGTATAGACTTTAGTTAAACACAGTGTATTAACATTGGTTCATTAATTGTAACTAAGTACTGTACTAAGCTTATGTAAAATGTTAATAGTAAGGAAGACTGCAAGCTCTGTACACATCTTCACAATTTTTCTGTGACTCTGAAACTGTTCTAAAATAAGAAGCTCATTAAAAAAGAGAGAAAGAGGGGAAATACATCCTTAGCAGATAACGTAGGACCCATTTATTCCTCAGCAGTCCATTTAGGCAGCTGCCATAGGCAGGTGATATCTTCTGGCTGGTTACTTCCTTGGATGCCTTGTCCATAGCCCAGTGCTGCAGCTCTCCATTTTCACCACTTGCCTCAATATTTGGAGCCAAATTGGCCCCTCTCAACCATCTCCAAGCAGCTCTAATCTTCCTGGAGCACTATTTCCTATACCCTGTGGCCAGAATGAGGGCCTGACTCAAGTGTCCATTCCAACACAGGGCATAAGCCAGCAGGTCCCAGCGGGTGGCCAAAGTTCTGCTTATGAGGTCAAAAAGAGGGCCACGATGAAATTGCCTTTGCAAAAAATTAGAACAGTGATAAAATTGTGACAGTAAAAGAGATCTGACCTAACTGACTCAATCTTGCCTTTAACCTCCAAGCTGCCCTTTGTTCATTCTTGGGCTTAGGCCAAAGTAACTTGGGCAGAAATTTAATTTATAAGTTAACTTTGAAACAAAGATGATAACAGCCCTTCTCCAAAACAAATCCTTTCTTTTCTTGGAGACCAGACCACCTTTGTAAAAACAAACAAAACAGCCACAAGATTAGAAATTACGGCTCAGGATTCATGAAGCCAGAGGGCACAGGATTACTAATCCCCCCAATTGCTCCTAGAGATAACATCACTACTATAAAGCCTAAGATTGGTGTTTGAGGTATTTTTCAGACCCTGCATTCTGATGGATCAGATGGCATCATTCAGACTCGTAAATGGACTCATCTGATCTTGTGGCCCCTACCCAGGAACTGACTCTGTACAAGAGGACAGCTTCATCTCCCTATGATTTCATCCCTGACCCAACCAATTAGCATTTGCCATTCCCAACCTCTCTGCCCACCAGACTATCTTTAAAAACTCTAGCCTCCAAATTTTCAGGGAGGTTAATTTGAGTAATAATAAAACTCCAGCCTCATTTTTAGCGAACTGTATGTATATTAGACTCTTTCTCTATTGCAATTCCCCTGTCTTGATAAATTGGCATATCTGGACAGTGGGCAAGAGGTTCTCATCAGGCAGTTACAATGGGAGAGACCAAGGATCATAGCTTGTCCTAATAGATGCCAGCCACTCCCATGCAGGATGGGGGTGAGCAGGTTTCTGATGACCCTAATTTCAAGACAATGGCCCTAACTGGGGAGAAAGGGAGGTCATGAAAGAAGAAAACTGTGTGGTCTTGAATGGAAGGCTGGCAGGGAGAACAACTCTGAATGTTGAACACAGACAATATCTAACATATGCTCTCAAGGTTGGAATAAACAAAGCAAACCATATGAAGATGTGCAAGGCCAGGATGCTGTAAAAAACAGAGCATTCTGGATGGAGCAGAGCACTCTCCTTACTGTAGTGCGGCAGCAACTGAAAAGTAGAGCGGCTGCAGTGGGGCTCAACTTGGGGGTGGCCTATGTTATTCGACATTGGGTTGGACTCTTAATATGGAAGCCAGAGAAAACACAGGTCTTAACCCAAAAAGTGCTCTCAGCATGGTGCCCAGAAGCTCTTAGCGCAGTGGTTGGCACCCTAGAGGGGCACAGAAAATAGTTTTCTACACTTCACATTACGGTGATGAATACAGTGATAGAAATAACTCCAGAAGTTGAACATGAAAATAAACACTGGTTTTATGCCTATTTGTGGAATGCTTATTTAATAGTTTATTGGATGTTCATTATGCACTAAGTGGTGGAGGCGAGGAACAAAAGATCAGTGAGAGGGAGCTCACAGGCCTGTGGAAAAGGTAGACAACAATCAATTAACTATACACATGAGTGTGTTCACTAAGAACCTAAAAGAAATACTCTGCATGTGCAGTAGGCACAAAGATGGAAACCTAAGATCTCCGTTCATGGAAGGACTTGCTGCCCAACTGCAGAGAGTGTAATCAGCCGACATTCCCCAGCTGTCAGTTCTTTCAGGGTCCACTTCAGCTCCAGAGAGATGCCTGGTCTGAGGACACAATCTCCCCAGGGCAGTCTGCATCTGGCAAGGGGAGCCGGGTGGAGGTATAAAGGTGTAAGGGTCTGGTTATTTTGGTCCAACATAGGAAACTCAGGTACAGTATTTGTTACTGATCTTTGTCATGCCAGAATTATAATTTCTTCCTCTTCTCTCTCTGCTTAATCCTGCTTCCTCCCCTTTCCTTTCATAGGTGTTGATCACTAATAAATATTTTGCACCCCTAATGCCATCTCAGCCATATCTGCTTCCAGAGAATCCAACTTGTAACAGGAAGAAAGGGACTTGTCAATGAAAATGAATAACAAATAACTCTGGGCTAGACCAGGAGATCCAGAAAGACTTCATCATAGAGGATATTCTTGGGTTGATTTCTGCATTTGATTAGATTTTAAGGAAGCAAAGATAGGGGAAATAAAATTGCCAGCTGGGAATTAAATACATAAAATCCACATACAATGTGTGAGATTAACCATCTGGGGAAATAAAGCTAGAAAATGTCTGTAAATGTTTGACTGAGGAAACCAGGAACATTGAAACCCCCAATCAAGGTGATTTGGGAGTAATTTCAAGGAAGGAGAAGTGCAGTATGATTGTAATTTACTAAGCAGAAGGAAGTCTAATCAATGGCATTGTACCCTGTTTAGAGACAGACTGAACAGAAAGGGGGCTGGGCAGCCCAAGGTAGAACAGTACTTTACAAGGTGACACAGCTCAAGACTGGGGAAGCTAAGGGCAGTTTGCTGTTTTCTAATTATCTGGGGCAGGGAAAGGGAGTATTTTTGCCTGCCTTAAAAATTCCCTAGTAAAAAATGTTCCTAGTCAAGCTTTACGGCACCTCACTTTTCAAAAGAGCCCCTCAGCTTTACTCCCTATTTAGCCTATTTTTAAGGTGTATAGTTCTAGGCACTTTAAATGTATTTTATTGTTCACCCTCACTTTCTAGACAGCGAGTATTACCACTTTGATTTTGAGGAAGAAGGAAACCAGGGTCCTAAATTGTAAATTAACGTGTCTTCAGTCAGCTGTTAGGTCAAAGAATGGAGATTTTGCACACTGGTCTATTATGCCCCAGGCATTGGGGTTTATAACTGCAAGCTCATTCCTTTCAAACCTCACCTGAAGCTTCCAGTTGATCCTAGCTCTATTGTATTAGAACTTGGAAAGAGAAGGAGACAGGCAGGGAGGGTGGAGCAAGGGGTAGTTAGCAAGCTGAATCCTCACTATAAGAGAAAGGCAATAGATAATAAATAAAATTGTATAAAATATAGCAATACAAGCACATTATTAGAAGAAAAGAATGGAAGTAAACAGTAGAAGCAACTTAAGAAGAAACTTCTTAGGGGAGGAATAGGGAGGAGTGAGCAGTAGACTGCTGTTTTTCATCACAAGCCATGTAACACATATCATATTAATACATGAATTATATGAATTAAACAATGCTCTACTAAGAGAAAAATGTTTGTGTGGTACAGTCTGAGAGAGATGCAGTCAATCCATTCCTATAAATCCTTCACACCACCATTCCTGGGTTAAGCCAGAATAGCAAACAGCCACATCCCACAGCACAGGGAGAAGATTAGCAAGTTGGCAGGGCCCGTAACAGTGGGTGGGGGGAGGGGGAGGGGGTGCTGATGGTTGCTCAAAAACTGCCACCCCTTGACTCTGTTTGCATGTTGTTGTGATGTACTAACCAGCCTACCAGAACCCACTGCTATTAAACCTTCCTCTGAGCACACGCTCGTTAAGGAAGCTTCTGACCATTTTTTCCTTCCCTTCAAGGTGAGAATATCCTAGTCTGAGATAAATGTCTGACCTGCCTGACAGTTACTGTAAATTACTGAATTGACATTCTGAGATATCATATATAATCAAGTTCTACGGGCATGTCAAATATAATCCTGTCCCTAAGAGACGGAACTCTTCTCAGCAAACTGGCAAAATCAGATTTCTGAGGCAGCAAGACACAGACCCTGGGTAGTCGTGATTTCAAGCAGAAGAAATGCCACGTTGCATGTGAGCTCTGGGTAACCAATTATGCACCCTTGTGCCTGTGATACCCTCTGCCTCACTGTGAGCCACAGATGTGTCCTATGAGAACTTACAGGGTCAAATTTGGATTTGGGTTTTATTACTCTCCTCATCAGCAGTGAGCACCACGAACACAAGCAATGCATCTTTTCCTCTTTATATCCTCAGCACTTTGCATGCCATCTAACAAACAGAAGACCTTCAATTACTGTTAGCTGAATGGATGAATGAATAAATGAACAAGTGATACTAATTGCCATGAGGCTACATAGAAGTTGATGTGAAACAACATAGGGATGGATCAATGCCGAGGAGAATGCTCAATCAGGTGAATTAATGTTCCAGGAATTATGCTGGAGGCAGCCGTGAATCAGAGATGAGCATCCTTGGGTCCCATGAAAAGTGGCTGTCATGATTCCAACAGTAAATTGCAGCACAACAGTTTCACACATACCAAATAAACACAGGTCCATGGACATCAAGGTGTTTATAAACATTCATGTCCCACCAATCAAATTGCCACAGTTGCCCTCTCCCTGATGAACCTGATTGGATCCCGTTGGAGACTCTACCTTACTTGACACACTGAATGCTGCAGTTGATGGAACCTCGAAACCAACAGTATTTTAGAAGCTTCTTCTTCTCCTCCATGTTAAATTCTACTTTCCCTTACCTGTTAAATTACTTTTGTTAAATTACTCACTGTTAAATCATAATTGCATGTTAATGAGTTACTAGAAGAGCTGGTACTATGATACAAAAGAAAGTTATCTCTGCCCCAGACCCCACAGAGAAACCTCTGGACTTCACCTGCCCCTCATTCTTGCCTGGGATACATGTGAGGATGGGTATAGGTCTCCCAAAAAGCTAACCTTTCCCTATAATTATCTCTCCCACACCACACTTCTGTCCATAGCTTTTCTCCTTATTAGTTCTTTATACACATTTTTCATTACTTACCCATTCATTCATTGACTCAATAAACATGTTTTTCAGCACCTACTATGATTCTAAAAATTACTATAATACAGCGCCTGTCCCAGTCTGACTAGATCCCATATATTAGAAAGAAATCTGAAACATTCAGACATTAAGAAAAAATGTCCTAGTATCCCTTTACTTAGAATCATGCAGACAAAATACTTAGATATTTTAGTCAATAAATAAATATTCATTGAATCTTTCTACTAAATAATTAGCATCAATTTAGCCTTCATAATAGAAAGGATTTAAGATGTAGTTTGTATTCAGCTACACTTAAGGTATAGCTGAAAATACGTTAAATATTTTCAATGAAGTAGGTTAGACAAGTCTGCACATATGAAACAATAAAGAGTAATGTAAGAAGTTCCAAAATGTGTGATCAGTCTGTAATTATTTGGGGATTCAGAGATATAATTATTGTAGGAGATGAGAGCTAGCGAGTCCAACCTCTTTTACCAAGTAGTTAAAGGCAAGTTACTTCACTTCTGTAAGCAACCATTTACCCTACCATAAATTGAGGAGTCTGAATTAAATGATTTATAAAATCACTCTGAGCTCTGAATTCCTTGATATGTCTCTAGGACAAATCACAGAAAGCTTCAGGTTGAGGCATTAACTTCATCTGAGCCTTTGCAAATTAACAAATGTGGATATTTCTATTCATATTGACATCTTTAGCTATGTATCTGAGGTGTTACAAAAATCATCTTATGTAAGTGGGCCATACCTTAACTTCAAAATGTCTTTTTTGTAAGTGGGCATCTAAATCCGATTATCATTGTTCTTTGAGAATGGAAGGATGTGTTAAAATTACTCACTGTTAAGTCATAATTGCATAGCACCTACAATTGCAAGTAAGTGTGAATGTACAGGTGTCCCTCCTACACAAACCCATCACCGAGACACCAAAAGGATGGAATCTGGCTGCCTTGTTTCTAACAAAAAAAGAAATCTTAGAGTGAGAAGAGAATGCCAGTGAGGAAGGCTAACAGAGAGTGTAAGATATGCATGCAAAAAGCTCCAGGCAAGGGTTTCAGCAGTTCCTGCAGAGAGCGGCCCCAGGCTAAGACTAACTTTCATCCCAATCATTTCTGCAGTTTCTCACTGCATGCCTGATGTGCGTGTCTGTCTGTGTGTGTGTGTGTGTGTGTGTGTCTGTGTGTGTGTACATACACATACACATTGGTTGTGAATGCCCCAATCCTATCAATGTCACATGTTATTATGTCTTCTGCAGAGGAGAGATCACTAAAAACTGACATTTGTAGCAAGTTTAAAGGTTCTAGTGATTTCAGAAATGCCTACCCTCAACACTGAAAACAAAATGTATAACCAGACAATAAGAGGATAAGGGAAAGATGTGAGGTGCAGTTGACTGCTTTCTCTTGTCTCCCTACTTATGAGACAGGATGGAGGATTAAGTCTGGAATAGAATCCTTCCTTGCTCAAGAGAACAGGCCTATTCTTGTGACTGTTCTAATCATAGGAATAAAGCAGGGTCAGCCAACATTTGCTTCTAGATTGTTATATATAAATATATCAATATATCACCAGCTACCCCTCCAACAGGTAGATATCCATACAAAGTTAACTTCGATCTTTATTTTGTGCTTTGCATTCTAAGGTATTCACCATGTTAAAGGTTGCTAGAGATGATGTTTATTTCACTCTAAGACCAAAGAATTTCCTTTGGCCCAGCCTGCCCGCTTCCCTGTGGGGTTGTCAGAGACAACAGTCTTGTAAAGGGTAATACCAAGTGGAAAGTATTGTATCACAGTGGTCAAAACTCCAACGCCAAGCTCTCAGATAAACATGATGTAGTTGAAGCTTTCAACCCTGAGAGGCGTTGGGGGTCTTATCCCTCTTCAGCCAGCTGCAAAAAGAGACCGTGTCACTGAAACTTATAAGCGCCAAGGGGAAAGAAAAAACAAAAAGGGATTCGAGAGACTGACTATGCATGCTGCCATTCTGAGTCTTAGAGATTCCAGGCAAAGCATTTGATAAAAATGTTTTTTGAATACCACCAGGAAAATAACATACAGAAGAAATCCTGTCTTAATATGTTTTCTGTTGCTATAACAGAATACCACAGACTGGGTAATTAATAAGAAAAAGAAATTTACTTTTTACAGTTCTAGAGTCTGAAAAGTCCAAGGTTAAGGGACTATATCTGGGGAAGACAGCATTACTGCATTATAACGTGGCAGAAGGCATCGCATGGTGAGAGGGCAAGAGCATATCAGATCGGGTCCCTCTTCCCCTTCTTATAGAGCCACCAGTCCCATCATGGGATCCCCCATCCTAATTCTAATACCTTCCAAAGCCTCCACCTCTAAATATCATCAACATCTAAATTTGGGGATTAAGCTTTCAACACATAAAATTTGGGGGACACATTCAAATCATAGCAGACCCACACATTCAAACCATAGCAGATCTCATCCTGGAACTTCACTAGATGCTAAGTATATATTTTTTTCTCATTTAATTTCCCACTCCCCCCCCCAAATCTATGAAATTATCAATTATATCTATTTAATGGATAAGAAACTGTGATTAAAGGAGATGAAGTGAGTTGCTCAAGGCCACTAATAACTGACACAGGTGGGATTCAAACCTCAGTTGGTCTAAGTCCAAAGCCTATGTGATTGCTACTTTGCTATACCAGTGACAGAAGAGATGTTCCTAATATTTTGAAAAGGCATTAACCAAGAATAAGTATACCGTGGTGGCACCCACCACTCTGGTTTGTATTTCTAAAGAATCCATCACGGTTACGTTTGCCACTGCAAATTAAAGTCATTTGAACTGTGATGATTCAAGCAAGTGTGCACAGACAATATTAAAAATGAAATGCCATTGTGAGTTAATGAGACATCAGAAAGCTTTTAACCTCAGGCTGCAAAACTGTGTTGTTAATGCCAATGCTCATGAACACAGTCTTTATCAACAAGAGAAGAGATTGGAAATACATGCTACCCATTTATAAAGACAAGAGCCAGAAGGTAGCAAAATGCCAGCAATCAAGCAGCAGCACCCCTGTGCTGTGAGCTGGGCTCTAAATGCCACCAGTCTGGTGAACCAACAATGTTCCTTCCCTGGCAAAAACCCTGCCACTGTCCAGTCTGAACAGCCACAGGGTGGAAATGTAGCCTGAGATAAAACCACATTCACTCTGTTGCATTAGCCTCTAAGTCAAAAAGAGTGAAATCTGTGATGTTACCTAATTTGTAAACACAGAAACAAAACATGTAATTGTCTACAATGCTCTGGACATAATACAATATTAATTTTAAGTGGCTTAAATGAGAAGTAGAAGTAAACCTCACTTTAAACCATATTGTGGAAAATCATCATATCGATGTTTTTAACCACTCATGTTGGTAAATATAATAATGAAACACAAGTTGATAAGAATGACATGCCTACAGAGTTATTATTCTGAATATGAGCTCTCCCTTTTCAGGGCTATAGCTAAAACAAATATAAGAAATTAAATTTAGTACATTCTTATTCCAGGACACACCCTAAATGGTTTTTGGATGGATGTTATCCTAATTAAATTCCTGATATAAGCCTGTTTTCTCATTATTTGCTTCCAAAAGACAGGTATAGAAAAAATTAACTAGTTGAGGTGTTCCACAAAGGTAGCTATGGTTCCTAGGCTTTGAGGTTTAGCAGACTAGTAACACTTCAAAAAATTATTTTTAATAATATATGTCTTACAAATTGCAGCCAATGTTCCTTTGGACACACGATTTTTTAATATACTATATGCTGCCACTCTAATTTTATTTTAAAAGGGGACATTTTAGCACACACACACACAAGGATGGCCCTTCATCTTAACATAATCTTAGCACTATACATTAATGTATCTTAGCATTATTTAAAAAACTTCACTTTTATTACTCTTATCTCACTTAATCATGGACATATAAAATTATCCAACTACTAGCAATCCATACCTGGTATCTGAAAACCTCCCTGTGGAGACCAAGGCATGTGGACTGATGCCCGGATGGGTGGAAAACTCAATTTCTCATTAGATAACATTAAATATGGCTTCTCTGATTCTGTGCCTTCCTATAGAAACAGTGATAATCACAACTCCCTCATGGGGATGATATTAGAATCATAATCGAGCAAGACAATAAACAAAAATACTTTATAATTTAAAATATTATAAAAATGTTTATTATAATGTATAATATTAGCTAAACTAGACTGACTCTAATTAATTAGTTTTTATTAACCACTTCAATTACTGCATTTTGAACATCTACTACATGCCAGTACACATAATAAGCATTAGGGACATAAAGATGAATACAGCTATTCCCCGCCACTCAAACTCACAGCACAGCCAGGGAGAGTCACAGAAATAACTAAAATAACTAAACCTTAGTACCACAAGTACTATAAAGTGCATAGGAACACAGATGGGACAACAATCTATTCTGCAAGATGGATCAAAGGGCATTAGTGATGCATGGATGAATAAAAGTTTCCCAGGCAGAGAAGTTGAGGAAGAGATTCAAGGGCAATGGAAAGTGCAAGAAAATCTGTATGAGTCCTCTATTTTTCTCACATTCATCACTCCACAATTATCTAGAAGAATATTCATCTGTATATTATATTTAGTACTTCTCAACTTTGAGAATTTGAATCTACAAAGTTTAGAGGTACTGAACTTCAATAATTTATGGATAATGCAAAAGGTAATCTAAACTTAAAGTATAATAATAATAAAATAAAAAAATTAAAAAAAGGTAATCTAGCATTAGTGCTCACAGTTTGTTTCTTGGAGTCAGAGACCCTCAGAGAGGAGGACCTTGGATCCAACTCATCCTGCAGCTTACCAAGTGACAAAATCTCTTCCAGCTTCCCTGACACAGGTCCATAGGTCTCTGTACCAAAAACAGCAGGGCAAAACAGAGTATAGAGAAGGAGACAGGGTCCCAGCTCTTTCATTTACAGGCCCCATGACTATGGGCAAGACATTTTTTTCTCTTCAAGCTTTTGTCTCTGTACCACAAAATAAAGAGTTTGCACTAGATGACCTCTAATACTTCTGCAAGCCTAAACTTTTCAGGATGTCCAAAGCACAAGATTTATGTGACCTAGCAAAAAAACTGGCATTTTAGTAACCATTGCATTGTTGATGCACTTTGAGTTTGTTCTTTGCATTGTATATCTTGATTCAGAGGTAGTTGTTCACCAATTATTTCCCCACTCTGTCAAGAAACCAGAGATCTAATCATTAAGCTAAATGGGAAAAACAACACATTTTTTCAGAAAAGAAGTTATATGTTTATAGGCATGATTTGCAGGAAAAGCTAAAGACTGAGCATCCTGAAGTTGGAGACTATATCTAAATTAGTTTATTCCCAAATTTATTCCGCACAGATCCTGGAACATAGGAAATGCTCAGCAAATGTTTATTCAATAGAAAATGCTTATTCAATTAATTATCAATTAGATGAGAAGAGATCGCACATTTAAAAATACAAAAAAGAAATCAATTCCACTAATGGATGAAATATTAATTTAATATTAATTCTATTAGTAGTTAAAAAATATAATCATGTTAAGGATTCAGTGCAAAACCCAAGAAGAAGAGGAATTGGGGGAATTAAGATAAATTCTTAGCATTCATGGATGCTCCTAGAATAGCCAAAGTTTGCTGAAAATAATTCACTGCAAGTGAAATTGTCAGGAGACAGAGTGTGACAACTGCAGGTGGAAATAGGATTGGCAGAAGAACAAGTTTAAGGACACTGTGCCTCACCAAGGTGACTTATAAGAAGAGGAAATTTTTCCACTGGCTTAGATCCACAATACATGAGGCAATTCTCTCAGTAAAGCAGAACCCTAGACAAGAGAACCTCTTTCTGCCATATTTTTTGGATGGAGCAGGGTAGACTGTTGTTGGATGGAATGTAGAGGCAGGTTTAATGCAGGCCCATGGAGACTTTTCTGGCTGAGGAAGTCCCTAAGTGTAGCTAACCCTTGCTCTGCAGTATCCTATCTATCTTTATTTTTCTGATTAAAGCTTTCTAATAAAACAGAAAGTAGTAATCTGTCCAGACAAACAGAAAGACTTTCCAATCTACCATTCACCTACCCAAGCCCAACCCCACTAACAGCATTTCCCTGCTATAGGCATAATATTTACCAAAGACGGAATAGTCAGAATGTCCAAATATCTGCACAGACTTTCCTTTTACAAAAGGAATGTAGGTAACTGTTATAATATATTCTTGCTCAGCTTTGATATTCTTCTAGTCTAAAGCCTTTTATGGCTTCGATATGTAGATTCTCCTCTGAAATGCTAGCTGTAGAGATGCTGAAATGGCTGTGAAATATATGGAGAGGCAGTTTGCCATTCCCAGTACCCATAGAGGTACACTGCTTGAATCTCTCTTCAAGAAAGACCTTGCTACTCAGTTGTGAAAAGTATAGTTAGCCAACAGACTTCATGTGCATTAGCCCTGGAATCCACTACAGTGGCATCAGAGCTGAGGTTCTTCAACCAATGACTGAGTATTACAGGGGTACTAAGGCTGGGCCATTTTGCCCAACATGGGACTCTAACAGACACTCTTCATTCAAATGGCCCCTTAGCCTGCTGCCTACGGCTGTTTCCATCAGCTCTCACTCTTCAGATTGGCAAGTGGTGAGTCAGATAGTGAACAGTCTTCCCCTAGCTCCAGGAAATGTGCAATTTCTCCAGAGCATCCTTGAGGCTGTTCTCGCTAGGCTTAAGAGGAAGACAGAATCCACCTCTCCCCCTTCCAATGTGGGAGCTCCCCGTTGATTGCCCAAGACTTTGTAAGATTCACATTTGGTCTGAGGCTCTCTTATTTTCTCTATTTTGCTTCTTTCTTTCCTCTTCATTTTTCATAGGCATTCCCCTCTTTCTTAATAAACCATCTGCCCCTCTAGCTCGGTCTCAGCATCCGCTTCCCAGAGAACCCAAATAACACACCAGGGATATCTGGAATGTAACTCCAGTGGGGGTGCAGATCCTTTCCATTCATGCCCCTTAGCCTGCTGCCCAGGGCTGCTTCCATCAGCTGTCACTCTTCAGGTTGGCAAGTGGTGAGTCAGACATCAGTGAACGGTCTTCCCCTAGCTCTGGGAAATGCACAACTTCTCCAGAGCATCCTTGAGGCTGTTCTCACTAGGCTTAAGCGGAAGACAGAATCCACCTCTCCCCTTTCCAATGTGGGAAAAAGTGGGAACAACTTAACAACTTTGTCCAAATAAATGTTTTATTTAATCCTCAGCTCCCCTCATACCTTTCCAACCACTTAATAGAATAAAGTGAGAAGTCAGGAGTTCTTACCACAGGATAATAATAAATACAATAATAATAATGATGGGATAGGAGAAAACTTTGGAAGGTGATTGATACAGCTATGGCCTTGAAGATGCTACTCTTTTCATGAGTGTATACTCATCCCCAAAATATGGACAGTTTTACATTTCAATCACACTTTAGTTTAAGAAAAGAGAGTTCTTTGTGAGCCCTGCTTACATGGCCCAGCATTTCCAGTTTGGAATGGGGGAGTATCATCTGATCTTGGAAGCTAAGCAGGGTCAGGCCTGGTTAGTACTTGGATGGGAGACCTCCTGGGAATACCGGGTGCTGTAGGCTGTCTACGACCATAACACCCTGAATGTGCCTGATCTTGTCTGGAATGGGGGAGTAGAGTGTCCACCTGCTATTCTGTTCTACGCATGTGGGCTTCCACCCATGGGACAGAAAGAGTACTATTTTAACATCCTGCTGCATAAAGAATATTTAACTTCAGAAATGTCTATCAAAAGCCTCATCTTCTGCTGTATCTTGCAGAAAAGCAATTAATTTGATCTATATAAATCCCGGTCAAATGTACTCCATTGAGATAAATTGGAGGCATTATATCACTCTTTTCCATGGAGTCTCCTCACTTCAGGAAAATCATGAGACTTTGAAAGTGACTTAAAGCTGGCTTTGTCTTTCCTAGGTTTTCCTTTTGCTTTTTTAAAAGTGCATTATGTCATGTCCTAACTGCTAGATTGGGAATCTGATTTCGTCAGAGGATTCTGGGTAAAGATCAACAGACAACAATAGCTCTGGGAAATTTTAACTCTGGGTTCCGAAAAGATTATTTGAATGACAAAGTTCATAAAGGTTCCCTTAAGTAGGTAATACACAAACACTTTATAATGATCTTGAATCTCACCACCCTCTGACACAGTAAACTGGATTAAGATTCTTTTTTTTTTTATTATACTTTAAGTTTTAGGGTACATGTGCACATTGTGTAGGTTAGTTACATATGTATACATGTGCCGTGCTGGTGCGATTAAGATTCTTATTCAAGGTCAAACAATAGCTAAGAATGTCAGCTAAGTAGAAAAGTTTTCCAAGGCCAGATCCACATCTTTCACTGTGATTTAGTCAATCATTGCCAACACCTTTTGTTCAACTCCATTTATTTACCCTTGGTGGATCTGAGGAACATCATCTATTAGTGCTCTGAGACATCCCCATCCAAAGACACACACACACACACAACCTTCATATGACCTTTCAACTAATCAAATATAATTAGCAAACATGCTCTGGAGTATCGATGTCCTTTACAGGGCAGGTGGCAGATTAGAGCTAAAACTTTAACACCATAATGAAGAAAACAACAACAGAAGCTACCTTAATTGACTGAAGCTGAGAGACATTTCCAGTTAAAACAGCTGAAAATTCAAATCAAGAGAAGTCCATACCTTTTAAAGTTGGAAGACTCAAGCGAAGTTGGGGCTTTTTTTTTTTTGCAAGGGTACCAAAGGTTTTATATAATGAACTTTTTAGAAAACAAGGTCTGGAAGATACATATGAGGGGATAGGCTACTAATTTTGAGGGTGAATTCAATGGATGCTCCTCAACTTCCCCTAAAGACTCATACTCATGCTTTGGAAATAAAAAACAGCATGTGATCAAAGGAAATTCAAACTGGTCACACATTTTTAGTAGGAAAGTCTAAGGAATAAGTTGAGTCTCTTAGGTAGGACTCTTTCTGCCCAATGAGTGGAAGCCCACATTCACGGAACAGAACAACAGGTGGTTGTCACCATTTAAAATGTCATACACCACATAGAGTGCAGCCAGGGTCCTAAGAACTAGCATGTAGAACAAAAGCAAAGCTATGGACAGACTGAGGTGAGGATGAGACAGTAGCATCACATTAAAGCTTAATGGAGTCCCAAATCTTAGATAGGAGCCAAGAATGATGGGCAATGTGGCAAACAAAGAAGCAAAGGAACTAAACAGAAGGTTGTGGTATCTCTTTTACGTACAGAATTCTGCCATGACAGGGTTTCTGAGAGTCTTACAGGCTTGGAACCTTAACCCCAGCATTTGATATCCATCATTGACTTAGCATGGGGATGTGGCAAATAATGTAAAACATCACAAACCACCATATACACCAAACTTGGACTCTATGAGTCTTTTTTGCAAACCTGAACTTAGCCAAATGTGTGATAGAACTCTCATTTAATTTTGTCCAAGTTGCATTTGCTGCTTTTCAAGTAATGGTAGAAGTCACCCTTCGTCTGATTCCTATTGAAAATGTATATTTCATTTTAAGAAAGGCTGAGTTTACAGAAAGAAGGAAGAGCTCCATAAAAGCAATTTTTACATGAATGTAAGAGGACATGCAATTTTCATCATCCCTGGCATTATATAGATTGAATTTAATCCAATCTCATCTTCTACAGAAGCATACACAGGCAGCAGTTCTCAAGCTCACTCATTAAACTGTGGAGTTAATAATGCTGACCAGCAGGAAGATGGAAGACAGCCGATGTTTTCCTACTGGTCAACATTATTGACCAAGCCAAAGCTGTTAAATTAGCTGCTGCTTTGGCTTAACAGTTCTCAAGATGCATTTTGTGTCAAGGTGCTTACACACCTAGGAGAGATGATAAATTTGGATAATAACAGAACTGGAGGTATATAGAGATGGTGTAGGACTATTTATAAGGTGTTTAATGAAAATTGTCACCATCCTCACTGTGGAAAAAAAAATTGTAAACTAAGAGTACAAAAATATATCTTAGCAAAAGAAACTTCAGAAGGGGTAACAAACAAAATTCAGCTATGGCTAAAACAAAATGAAAAAAAGCTTATGTTATCTAAACTAAATGCAGAATATCCTGCACTCTGAGGGAAAATTAATCTATCAGGAGTGTTAGAAAATCAACATTTTTCTCTCTCTTTTGTAATATCTGCATGGCTATTTACTAAATAGCTATTTATTGAAAACAGGGCTATAAGTAAAACAATGAAAATACACATATATACATACACAAAGAAATATGAGAGTTTTTCACTTCTTAATATTCTTATAATTTTTAAAATATTCTAAAAATCTCAGGAGATGGAAAATGTTAACAATTTTAAGAAGATTGTAACAAGAAATATAATAGTTTGCATTTTGCTTGTTGCTTGTGGGCTTGTCCATAGGTACAAAGAATTTAATTTTTTATTTTTATTCATTTTTTGTTTGTTTGTTTGTTTAGAGATAGGGTCTTGGTCTATCACCCAGGCTGGAATGCAATGGTGTGATCATGGCTCACTGAAATTTAGAACTCCTGGGCTCAAGTGATTCTCCTGCTTCAGCCTGCTGAGCAGCTAAGACTACAGGCACACCATCACACCCAGCTAATTTGTTAATTTCTTGTAGAGACAGGGTCTTGCTATGTTACCCAGGCTGGTCCTGAACTCCTGGGCTCAAGCAATGCTCAAAATGCTGAGATTACAGGCGTAAGCCACCGTGCCTGATCCCAAATAATTTATTTTAAATAAACTTTCTACGTGGGAATAATTTTACACACACAAAAAAGTTGTAAAGATAGTACAGACAGCTCCTGAATACCTCTACCACAGTTTCCCCTTATATTAACATCTTATATACCATGGTGAGTTTGTCAAAACTAAGAAACCAACATTGATTGGCACATCACTATTACCTAAACTCCAAATTATATTCATATTCCACAGATTTTTTTCACTAATGCCCTTATTCTGTTCCACAATCCCCACCAATGATAACATGCTACATTTAGCATCATTCTCTTTTTCAGCCTGACTTGGGGTGATAGAATCTGATCCCAGTGCTCTGGAATGGCTGTAACATACAGACGAACCACTGAGTTACTGTATCTTGTCCTTTAGCTTTTTTATGATGCCTAATGTTTAGTCTTACCATGTCTCACCCATACTACTGACATGGTGATAGGAAACTTAAACTCTTAAATCCAAAGCACTCACCACCTTTCAATAGTCATTGAATTGGAAACCAACAAATATTATTGTACCATTTGGTTATAGTCATACATTGTATTTATTAGTAGACAAATTTTGTGAAATACACTTTGATGTGTTTTTCCTCTTAATCATCTAGTTGTTACAGTGTTGTTTTTTTCTTCCCTTATAGCTTCTCTCATCTTTAGGATAAAGTTTTTTTGCAAAAGCAAAATGGACGATATGCTCATGGGGTAGGGAAAAAGAAGAAATATGATGTAGGAGAAGTTCCTAAAATATAGGAAAAGGAAGTTGAAGCCATTCCAGTGGAGGATATGGAGGTGGGGGAGATTCAGAGAGGATGTAAGGAGAACAAAGGTGTTAAGGACCTAATACCTCCAACTGTTCAGTTTTACGGAGATGGGTAAATCGGGAAGATAAAAACCCTAGAGAGGGCAGAGGAGGATTAAAGAACAAAGAATTTGCTACTCAATTTGCTGTCTGGAAGTCTAGAAGGAGAGCCTCTAAAGATGGACTCCCATGCCCACAGAAAAAAGTTGTAATTTAACAGAAATGGGGATGTGGCATATCCAGGGTCCCTGAACTCCTGATATGGGAAGAAAGGGATCCAGAGTTTCCCATCCCCACCATGAGAAGCTTACTGAGTATCCAGCTGCTGAGGTCACCAGGGAAGAGTCACAGGGTGAGATACAGATGATTTCAAGGTGGACCGCCCAGGCAGGTGAGCAAATGGAAGCTGAAATTAGGTCCTGGAGAATCAGTAGCCCCAGTGACAGCAGAGGTGGGAGCATAGTGGTTAAGATAGAAAGGCTTCCTGGCAGCACTCATCATGCATGGAAACCCATGCTAGGCTACAGCAAGAACAAAGACTATCACCCAAAGACTGGGTAAGAGGAATTACATCAGTCACTCCAGTCCTCTGACAGAACATGCAAGTACTATCTTGAGCATAAGGGAAAGAGGAGGTCTCCAAAAGCTGTGAGGAAGCTTTAAACTTTGAATAAGCTGAATACTTAGCTTACCTAAATGAGCTGAGTCCATCCAAACAACAGTTTTAAGTTAAGTGAGATCCAAGGACCTATAATCACACAGGTCCTCCTTTTATTAAGAACAGGGAATGAGAATGAGATCATACTGAAGAAAATAAATTCTTATACATTAAATGGCAGGGTAATAATTTCAACCCTGATACCTGAAGACTAATACATTAAGTAAAAATAAACCCCTGTAGAATGAGCACAAAATGTTTCTCTTCTTTTGTCCTTTAATCCAAATCTCGTTCATTCTTCAGCCCTTGCCTTCTTCATGAAACTTCCATCTAGTTCAGTGCCCAGTGACCTAACTTTTCTCTGAATTCCTCCCTAACTTAAATTCCGTAGCATTCCAGTGAGCCAGATTAGCTCTAAGGAGGTGATTTACAGAAGATAGAGATCATGTCTTACTCTTTTTTGATATCCCACACTGCCCAGCATGAAACAGAGCAGCACATAAATATGTGTTGATTGACTTATTGATTGATACACAATAAGGCAAAGAAAGCTGGTTGAAGGGAAATAACAAAGGGGAAGAACTGAGTTGAGAACTGGAGCCACTCTTCTCTTCTGGGATGTAGAAATGTGAAGCAATTTATAGACGCTGATTTTTTTTTTTAATGGAGTCTCGCTCTGCTGCTCAGGCTGGAGTGCAGTGGTGCGATCTCTGCTCACTGTAACCTCCGCTTCCTGGGGTCAAGCAATTCTCCTGCCTCAGCCTCCGGAGTGGCTGGGATTACAGGCATGCGCCACCACGTGCGGCTAATTTTTTATATTTTTAGTAGAGACGGGGTTTCACCATGCTGGCACCATGCTCAAACTCCTGACCTCGTGATCTGCCCGCCTCAGCCTCCCAAAGTGCTGGGATTACAGGTGTGAGCCACCGCGCCCAGCCAGAAGCTGATTTTTTTATTGCTTCTTCTAACTCTTAGTTATTTACAGCTACTAAAATTAGTTAACTATTAATCACAAGAAAAGGATGAGCAAAGTTAATTCCTCTGGACAAGTCACACACACTATACCTAATGTGATCAATTTTCTCTGCAGCAATTAGGAGTAAAAAAAAAACCAGAAAATTAAGTCTGTTAGATATCTGCCTCCTTTTGAAGCTTGCAATTCTAAAACAAAATAACATCATGCAGGTGAGGAGTAGAAAGAGAAAAAAAGTTTCCACCAGGGTATCTCTCCTGTTGCCACTTGAAGACTGCAAGGTGAGGGTGGTGGAAATATGAAAATGGCTAAAATCCATGTCTAACATGGGCTGTTAAAACAAGACCTGATTGTCTCAAGGTGGAATTTGTTAGAAACAATAATTATTTATGACATTTTATTGCAACAGCCTCCAAAGCATATGGTTACCTTATTAGAAATTAAAATTCATTTTCATATAAATCTCAGCAGGATATTACACTAAAATAACTAGAGTAACTCCAGGGGACAACAAATAATTCTAGTTTAGCTCTTCTAAGGCCTGGCACTTGTAATATAAAATGTAAGTACAATGGCATATTTGGAAAATGTAAGCAATCTATCTACTGCAAGCATGAGGATAAATATTATATATTCACCACTTTGGGGACATATGTAATTTACATTTTCCCTACAAATTTCCACTCCTTGGTTTTACATTTTCCAACTTAAAAAAACTTTTTATTCATTAGCAATTTATTTGTTGTTCTTTCTTGTTTTTAATTGTGGATGTCAAAGTATAGCTTTTAGCTGATTGACTTTCTGCTCTTTGAATCATAGTAAACAATACATCAGATTATAAAAATTGGCATGCTATTGTGAGCCAGTAGAAGCACTGATCACTACAGATATTTCTAACTGTTATGTCTAACATAAGATTCATCAAATTTCTTTTACCGCAGCTTTGACTGCTCAGAGAATCTTCATGTTTTTTCATGACAATACTCAGTGCTTATTTTCAAAACTGGCCTGCTGAGTTTGTACCATGATTGTTTTTGATAGTGTGCTGTATGGGGAGGAAATAGGTGTATGTGTTTTCAAACCTGGCATTCAAATCCTAACTAATAATGGCTTAAAAGCTAATATAAGGCCCTGAACCTGTTTATGCTATAGAAATGCACAAAAGTAAAATAGATTTCTTAAAAGTTGTCCTAATTAGCTAGAACATTATTTTGTAAGCTAGATAGGGATTACATGATTACCACAGTTTATCTTTGCATTTCTATCTTTGAAAATATAAAGGAATATTAGAATCATATTTGTCATCAAATATTATTGAGGATGCATAAAATGGTAATGCCTGATTCGTACTGATTTTTTTTTTTTTTTTTTTGGCAACAAAGACAATGCAGTCAGCTCTCTGTATCCATGGGTCCCCCATCCCCCGATCCATGGATTCAACCAACTGCAGGTCAAAAATATTGGGGAAAAAAATTGATGTTTGTGTCTGTATTGAATATGTACAGACATTTTTCTTGTCATTATTCCTGAAACAATGCAGTATAATAACTATTTACAAAGTATTTACATTTTATTAAGTATTATCAGTAATCTAGAGATGATTTAAAGTACACAGGAGGATATGCATAGGTTATATGCAAATACTATCCATTTTATGTCCAAGACTTGAACATCCGTGGACTTTGGTGTCCTTGAGGGGGTCCTGAAACCAATCCCCCACAGACACTGAGGGATGAATGTACATTTTACTATATTCATTAAGACTCTGTTCACTGACCAAGCTAATGGACACTAGCCCAAATCACTCCATGGCCATCATGTCTAATTAAGAAGTGATGGGATGCTTCCAACAAAAGCCTTACCATCAAATTTACCACAGCCCATTTCTGTGTGTTCATGTAGTCAACAAACAAGTATTGAGCACCAGTGATAAACTAGTTATAGTATCCCCTGCCCACAAGGAACCCATTGTGGTGAATGATGTGTCACTCAGCAATCATGACATCATGATTATGTTAGGTGGAATTATAATGAGTAGATGATATAAAATGAAACTTAGTAGAGAAAATCTAAGTCTGCCTGGGGAGTCAAGGAAAATTTCAAGGAGATAGCTTCTAAATCGAGCCATGAATATCATGTAAGAGTTTGCCAGGCATACAAAGTAAGGATGGCATTCTAGACAGGTGGAAACTCACTTCATTAAAAGAGGAAAGTATGACAAGGCAATGATTGCCACAAACCGCCTAACACAAAGCTTCTAGAAGGTGGTCAAAAATGCCACTTTTGCACTTTGGGAGGCCAAGGCGGGCGGATCACGAGGTCAAGAGATTGAGACCATCCTGGCCAACATGGTGAAACCCCGTCTCTACTTAAAAATACAAAATTAGCCAGGTGTGGTGGCGCATGCCTGTAATCCCAGCTACTCAGGAGGCTGAGGCAGGAGAATGGTTTGAACCCAGGAGGTGGAGGTTGCAGTGAGCCAAGATCGCACCATTGCACTCCAGCCTCGGTAACAGGAGAGAAACTCTGTTTCAAAAAAAAAAAAAAAAAAAAAATGCCACTTTTGCCTAGGGAAGTAGCAGTCATTCCAATCCAATGGCAACAGCCCTGGACATTGGTTAGAAGACAAAGTTTATGCTCCAGGCAGTACCAATTACTCTTCACCTGACCTTGACCCATTCAAGGCCAGAGAAGGGAAAAGACTCTCCCAAGGCTACAGACTTATAAATGACAAAAAACTATGAACAGAACTAGAACCCACCTTCTTAACTTCTCTGGATCTCCTTTCCTAATCTACAAAACGAGCAGGTTTGAAATAATTTCCAAAGGTCCCTACAGGCTAAATTTCCACAAGCTAAAATTGAAAACAGAACCAACAACAACAACAAAATACCCAAAAACGTTCAATCCTCTGGCAGACTGCAAATCCTAGCATCCAGCATCCTGGACAGCAGTGAAATATGTAACGAATTCATTTTGAAGGACTGCACAGAAATTAAAAGCATGGATTAAGCAAGAAACTTAGAAACCCAGTCCTCTTTGTTAGGTATGCATTCAGTAATTGAGATCACATTTAAATTGAAACAGTCTCCTGGCCTGGCCTCCCCATCTTAGAAGCCCTGTTTACAGAGTTGCCCCAGAAATTGTTCTTACTTATGTATTAAGCAGCCTGTATCTCTGAATTAATAACCTTGCATGTAAATATCTTTGTCTTCCTAAAAACATTATTGAGTTAAATACAAATATTTTCAACTTTTTTTTTTTTTTTTTTTTGCATGCTACACTGGCTTTGAAAGAACCAAAGAAGGAGAGGGGTTGTTATGCCCTTTCTGTACAATACCTGTCACCTTGGGAATGTGATTCTCCTCAAGTACAACACTTCTGGGAGAATGCAGAATAAGAGATGAGTTTAATTTCCTTCTGCCAAATTAACTTCCTCTGCTGCTGCAAGTAACATGCATAATGATAAGCCTGGAGAATGGAAAGTCAGTGTGGACTAGCGAGTATCGTTCCCAGAGCAGGTTCCAGTTCAAAAGCAGCCACACCTAAAGGCAGGCAGGATCAGCGCCAGGAGGCATTGACTGAGGCATGTGCCATTTGATGCAAACAAACGACCAATCCGAGGCACGTCCCAATGTGCTGGCCTGGCCAGACATGCCTTCTCCATTGTTGTTTTATTGTTATGTAGGGGAAAGAGCAATGAATTTTGGAATCAGACCAATCTGGATTTTAATTCTAGCCCAAGATCTAGCTGAACTGAGCATGTGACTTGCCTATGGCAGGGCCTCCATTTACTCCTCCTTAAAATGGGAATAAGGTCACCTATTGCACATAATTGGTACAAAAATTAAATAAGAGCATATTATTAATTTTAGAAGGCACTCAATAAGGGTTGACATATGTTGTCTCTCCCTTTTTGAAAATCCACCTTAGAAATCTCAGTGGCAGTAAAACAGTGGACTTCTACAACTCTGCCCAGTCCCTGATCTGCTGGAACAAAGACAATGCATTACAACAAAAATCTCAGTCTCCAGAAATGTTGGTGTCAGAGGCAGGAATAATGAGACAGGGAAATGCAGTCCAGGGCATGTGTTCCCTTAGTAGGCAAGACTTTGCTCCCCTTGTGATGGCACATGGCTCTAGGCTCTCATCAGATCATGGTGTCTGAATACTTCCTTAGGATAATCCCCATCCTAGGAATCAGAGGCCATCTGAAAATGCTGGACCTGTTGGGCAAACACCAGAGTTGGTTTTCAAGATCAGGACTGGGTCAGGAGAATAGTGAGCTGTGGAATCCAGGAGTGGAAACCACCAGAAGATACCCACAGAGCATGGCTAAGGAAGCACCTGGGGTCAAGAGCCAGAGAAGCCAGTGCAATTGGATGTTGAGCAGGACTTCTCCCCAGAGCCAGAATTAGTATCAAAGCTGAGGATGAAATGAAGCCAAGTACTCAAATCCTAAAGAAAGTTAAAAAAACAATTAGGTGCCAGACACCATCTCCAAGTGTTGCTATCTAAATCATTACAACTCCATCCCCTCGCCTATGCATAGAAGCAAAAATGACAGCTCAGGGAGAAAGGATAATGTGGTATGAGTCACTAGCTCAGAAGGAATGCTTTGACCTTCTAAGAGATTGGAGGTGCCAGCAAGAACAGGCTGAGATGCCATTCCTCAGCTGGGTATCTATTATGCAATGAAACTACCAATGTCTGTGTCTGAGCATGGAGAGAAAAATGCTGGAGAAAAATGGCAGAAAAATGACAAAAAGAGTTCAACAGCAGAATAATCTCTTGGTACTGGCATGTCCTGGTACTGCCATGTCAAGAATGTATGTTTTCTATGGTCAAGTGGGCACTGTGAAAGGTAACTAGCCTTGAGCCACTTTGCCAAGGCCACATCCAAAATAGTTACCGGTTGGGTGAGGAGACTTCAGCAGTAAGAGGCTACAGAGGCACGCTATTAAGAAAAGGATCTAAAAAGGAGGAGTGATTAGATATGAGGCCAGGCCAGAATGAATCTCCCTGTTAGGGACACGTGCAAAGGGATGGTCATACAGGACCTGCCACAGACCTTACTGACCCATGAAAGGGCAAATATTTGCAGGCCCAAGGCAAGGCAAAACTGAAAAACCAAACTGTACTCCCCCCATATTGCAAGCCCTCAGGCCAAAGCTTGGACAGTGCTAAAAGGAGGAAAAAGAAAGAGCTTTAAATTGGGTATGAAACTGAAGTCGCAAACTAGACTGGAATTTCTTTTTTTTTTTTTTTGAGACGGAGTCTCACTCTGTCTCCCAGGCTGGAGTGCAGTGGCGCGATCTCGGCTCACTGCAAGCTCTGCCTCCCGGGTTCATGCCATTCTTCTGCCTCAGCCTCCTGAGTAGCTGGGACTACAGGCGCCCGCCACCATGCCCAGCTAATTTTCTTTTAAATATTTTTAGTAGAGACAGGGTTTCACCGTGTTAGCCAGGATGGTCTCCATCTCCTGACCTCGTGTTCCACCCACCTCGGCCTCCCAAAGTGCTGTGATTACAGGTGTGAGCCACCACACCCGGCCTAGACTGGAATTTCTATAAACAGAAGTCACTAAAAAGCTATGGAATCTGCCTATGATGTTGTCAAGGGAATAGTTGAGGGCAGTTATTGAAGAAAAATAAAACTGCTTCATGCTTTATACCCCAGCTAATTTCAGACTGTTCAATTAATCAGTTATGCCAAATTCTGCTGTCAAGTATGAAATGAGGTCAAGACCTGAAAAGAAAATCAAAGTCAAGAAGATAAGGTAATGGAACAGAAAGGGTAACAAGAGAATGGGAGAAGGACCTGGAGAAGTCAAAGCAGTCTCAATACCCTGGCCTTTTATGTAATGATCACCCTTTTTTGTATTCATAACCTTTCTGCGTGAATAGACAGGCCTGATTTTCCAGCCCAGAATTGGGAACATGCTAATACCCAAGAATGGAGCCCATCTGCCTTACCCACTGCAAACAAACTGCTGGGATAGAAGCCCCTATTCAGAGAACCCCAAGCCTCACGTGTTCCACAGGGGATTAGGACCAGAGATCACAAACTCTTCCTCTTCAGAAACTGAGGAAAACAGTGAAGAAAGAGCATTCTGCATCACGAAGACTTGGATTTGTACCCAACTCTGCCACTTATTGGCTATATGAGTATAGGCAAGTGGCTTAACCTTGCTGTCTTTCACCAATACCACCAAGGGACACTATTGTTACAGATGGGAAAACTGAGGTCAAGAGAGGTTAAGCACCTTGCAAGAATTAGCATCAAATAGTTAGCTAGTGGAGGAGTCAAGAGGAGAACTCAGATATGTCCAACTCTAAAGCTGTCTTTGGTACCAAGGTGAGAAAATAGCAAACCTCGGCCGGGCACGGTGGCTCATACCTATAATCTCAGCACTTTGGGAGGCTGAGGCAAGGCGGATCACGAGGTCAGGAGATCGAGACCATCCTGGCTAACATGGTGAAACCCCATCTCTACTAAAAATAAAAAAAAAATAGGTGTGGTGGCGGGCGCCTGTCGTCTCAGCTACTCAGGAGGCTGAGGCAGGAGAATGGCGTGAACCCGGGAGGCGGAGCTTGCAGTGAGTCAAGATCATGCCACTGCACTCCAGCCTGGGTGACAGCGTCTCAAAAAAAAAAAGAAAAGAACAAACCTCTCTAAAGTGTCCTGACAACCCAGTAAGAAGAAAATACTTTCAAATATATACATACATATATGTATATAGATAGATATGTATATATACACACATATATGTACATGTGTATATATAGATATATATACACACATATATGTACATGTGTATATATAGATATATATACACACATATGTACATGTGTATATATAGATATGTATATATATACACATATATATGTACGTGTGTATATATAGAGATATGTATATTTGTGCCATTATCTACAAGCAGATGGTAATAGGTCTTGTGGAATTAAATTTACACTTATTATTCACCATGATAGGTCATTCAATTCTGATTCAGATGATGAACTTCTACCCAGAAGAAGGGCTCTTAGTATATGAAGTACAGTCCATCCCTATGTGATAAAATAGCAGAAAAGGCAAAGGGGAATTTATTGCATTAAGGAAACACTATTTCCTTAAATGATATGAAATTTCAACTACCAAATAGCAGATTGAAGATACCACAACATATTTAAGTTCTGAAGTAGAAGTTGTAAGTGTAGCATGACTCAGAACGCTGAGCACAGGGATGGTTTAGTTGTTGTAAACACAGGAAAATCCCAATGTTTTTTGTGTTAGTTTTCTTTTCTATTAACTAGGAATCAATATATCACGGTTTTAAGAACCAACAAATTATTCCACAAAATACTCTGCGAGCTGAAGAAGGTAAGAATTTCATTATAATATTAAAATGTGTTAAACATTGTTTCAATCCTTTATGTATATTAATTTGTTCTCAGAGCAATGGTATGATGTAAGTACTATTGTTATCCTCATTATACTGATAGAAAAAAAATGAGGTACAACGAAATTTAAGTTTCTGATATGGTTTGGCTATGTCCCCACCCAAATCTCATCTTGAACTGTAGTTCCCATAATTTCCAGGTATTCTGGGAGGGACCCGGTGGGAGGTAATTGAATCATCGGAGTGGTTACCTCCATGCTGTTCTCGTGATAGTGAGTTCTCACAAAATATGATGGTTTTATAAGGGGTTTTTGCCTCCATTTCGCTCTGCACTTCTCCTTGCTGCCACCATGTGAAGAAGGACATGTTTGCTTCCCCTTCCATCATGATTGTAAGTTTCCTGAGGCCTCCCCAGCCGTGCAGAACTATGAGTCAATTAAAACCTCTTTCCTTTATAAATTACTCAGTCTCAGGTATTTCTTCAGAGCAGCATGAAAACAGACTAATAAAGTTCCCCAACATCCATAGCTAGTAACTTGTAGAGAAGGGATTTTAACCTGAGCAATATCTCTCCAGAGCCCATGATGTGTAGGTTTTGATTAGATAAGAATAAGTACATCCAAGGTTAAGTTAGTTAAGGATGGTTTCAAAGGGGGAATAAGAAATAAAATAGGATCAGTGTAGAGTAAAATCTACCCAAGTTAAAATGGCTTTGGCCTTTTTCAATAGAATTAGGCAATGTTTCAGCCTTATGGGGTTTCCTTCTTATCTATTAAAAAAAGCCATTTTGATTATTGGCTCCCATATGCCAGGGGTGTACCAGGCAAAATTGCATTAGATATTCTGAAGTTTTTAGTTTTCTTCTGAAATAATTCTTTAAAATATATAATTCTTCAACCCAGTTAAATAATAACAAATATTATGACTGTTGAAATTTATTTACATAGAAAATGCTTTCTTACATATTATGTAAGTGAAGATTATAAAATTGACGTAGGGGAGCGACCTGGTGATAACTGCATTCCCTAATTTTCTTAAAGAGTGCTATATTTTCCCATCATTGTAGTTGAAAGCATGTACAATGATACAAATATTGACAGTCACTTGTTTTATTCATGTGGGCTTAAGAAGGGTAAGAAAAAAAAAAGGTGCCCAAATGTCTAGAACAGTGATTCTAAAAGCATGTTCCTGACCTCAGAAATACGGGAAGGATGCTGTGTCTTCTGGGAACTTGTTAGAAATGCCAAATTATCAAGCCCTACCTGAGACCTAATGAATCAGAAACTCTAAGGGTGGGGCCCAGGCACCTGGGTCCAAGTGATTTTGATGCACATGGAAATTTGTGAACCACCAGCATCTGGTAAAACTGATCCTCTGGGGCCTTGTGCAGGTGCTAAAGATTTCAGTTGCCAAGGGTGCACAAGGAAAAGGTCAATAAGACAAGCATCTCCAAATTGGAGGTGAAGGTGACAATGGCCAGCTGAAAAATGCAATCTTTCTTAACAACGCCTTTCACTCCACATCTGGAACATGGGCAGATCTGTCATGGGAGAGAACGGGACCTGGAATACAACTGCAAATGTGAAAGGAGGGTCCTGAGGCTCTGAAAAGTCCTGATCTAACATATTCTCTTTTGAGACTAACTTGAAGTATTGCCTAGTCTGCTCTGCTGAAGGCTCCCTGGCTTGTAAAGAGGGCTGGGTGTATCACAAAAGGGAGCGGAGGGTAGCATGGCAAACTGGAGGCTGCAGACTCTGCCAACAGGCATCAAATTAAAGTCTCCAAAGTGCCTGTGAGCCAAAAAAAAACAAACTTCATATCAAGTGTAGCTCATAGCATGCCAACTTTGGGCTTCTAATTCTAACTTCTTCATTGCGAAGACAGAAACTGGTCAATGAGGTGAAGTCCATTAGTAAAGCCTCACAAGACAGTGACAGCAGTAGCCTAGCTCTGAATCCAAAAGACTCCTTCTTCCCAGGAAATGTCATAATTTTTGTGCATGGATAATGTGAATCTTGCAACTAACCAAGGTTCTTCTTCTGCTCCATAAAAAAAGTACAGCACAATTTCACTAATTATATAAGACTTGTGGCCAAGAAATTCAGATAAAAATTCTCCCCTGCTTTGACTTTTGGCCAGTTTATCTAAACTAGCATGGGTTTATTCTTCAGATAAAGGAAAAGACTCTAATCTTCTTCTAATCTTCTTCCCCCCACTTCCCAAAATACAGGAAACTGAAAAATTAGAGATTCAAAAGGGCCCAACATTCTCTGAGAGATGCCCTCAGTCCCTCATCTGTGGGTTCTTATGGCACCATACCCAACTCTGCACATTGCCCTCATCACACAGCTTTATGATTTATTTAATTAGCTGTCCATACGCCCAAGCTGAGAGCAGCAGTCATAGATTTTCCATAACTGTATATCATTTCTAAAATCTCCCTAGTTCTACTTACCACTCAGCAAAGTTGAATATAGACAGATATTCAAAAATAAAAATGATAGCTATATTTTATTGAGTACTAACTGTGGGTTAGGGTTTGTGCAGATAAACTAAGAAAACATATATAAAGTTTTATCTTTCTAGCTAGCCATGATTTCACTGACTACTGGAATTTTACCTTAAAATTCATTTCTACTGCTTTACTGTACTTGCATATTCTTGTAAATAGAGTAAAATAGTAGAAATGAATTTTCTACTATTCAAAGAATAGTAACCACTTCAAATTCTAGGAAATGAGGCGAGATATATCTAACAACAGGTAAATTAACTTGACCCAGTTTAATCATTCTGTAAGTTGACCAGGTGAATCACATCCAAAAAAATTATTTTACATATTTTTCAGCAAACAAAGTTGACCCAATCAACCTGAAACATTTTGGGAATCAATGTAACTGAGAGGAAACCACTAACTTGGTCAGACCAATGTGGATTTTTAAAATTCATTGAAACTTGGTTTAAATCAAAGAGGGTCCAAGTAGAAATGCTATTTGGGGACTCTAAGAAGAAATTTAATCATCTAGTCTTAGCGACCAAAGCGAGTTAATGTACCTTCAAAATAAGCCAATTACTCCCTTCTCTCTGCAAATGACCCATCATCATAAATGTTGGTCATTAAGGTGCCATATGATTCTGCAGAGACCACCAAGAGGACACAGGATGGTGATGACTCATCACTAATGAACTGAACAGCATCCAGTAGGAGTCATGCAGATGCCCGGCCAGGTTAAAGGAGGAGATGGCCGTAAAGGCTAGGAAAAATGTAAAGAAAGAGCTTCCCAACATTTGTGAAACATAACCTATTCTATTCTAAGTGGGGATTGGAAGGATGGGAGGAAAGAAGAAAGGGAATGAATTACATCAGACAAGCCCATACTAGGTAGTGAACTACATTATCTCATTTGATTCCAACCTATGCAGTAGAATTACTAACCCTTTTTGCAGATCAGAGAACTGAGAATCCAGACAATTCAAGTAACTGACTCAAAGTCAGGTAGCAATTAAGAAGTAAAGCCAAGATACGGACTCAGATCTGTTTGGCTTCAGAGATCTTCCATTTTCAGTAAAATAACAGCTGAGATTCAAATATTTATTACTTACATAATATATGTATCAAACAGTTTATTAGGTGCTAGAGATACAATGTTCATGGGGAAAATGTCCAGAATCATTGAGAAATCCTACAAACAAATATAAAATTAGCATTGTGAGGGTACAAAAAAGGAGAGATACATGATCCTAGGAGAATGCATATTGGAAATTACACTGGAACTGGGCAGGGAAGTTAACTGAGAAGGTGGTAACTAACCTGAGATCTGAAAAAAAAGATAGACGATAACTAAGTGAAGCTAGTAAGGAGTAGGGGAAGAATGCTGCAGGAAGAGGGACTAGAAGATATGTTACTGAGGGATGGCTAATGTGAATGGAGACAAAGAGGCAGCATGGTGCAAAATGAGATCAGAAGGCAGAGAGATCCTGAAGGTTCCTGTGGTCTGTGATAAGGATCCATCTTGTTCCTTACAGCAATGAGAAACTGTGCACCAAGGCCACGAGGGCAAAATGTTCAGTTTTGCATTGTGAAAGATTACTCTGTGTACAACATCCAAAACCAATTAAAGAGAGCTAGAATGAAGGAAGTGAAGAGGCCACCACCAACGTTGAGATGAGAAACATGAAACGCTGGGTCTAAAGGATGTCAAAACATGTGGAGGGGAGTTGATGATTTGAAAAGATACTCAGTAGATAAAAACAAGTGAGTCTGGTAATCGACTGGACTTTAGGGTGAAAAAGAGGAAAGCATTAAGAATGTCTCCTAAATATGTGACTATGTAATGGGAGGGTTGGTGCTATCACTCACAGATAGAGGAAACACTGAAAGAAGAGCAGGTGTTCAGGGCAGAGATCATACATCTTTAAAACATGAAGTTTAGACAAGTGGTCTGAGCTGGGGGGTGTAGTATATAACTGTGTTAGTAAACCACTTATCAGAGTTATGGCACTGGTATAGATGGGTTGGGGATGGGGGATGGGGAGTTAGCAGAGGCCAATGTCTGGGATCAAGCCTTAAGGCACTCCATCATCTGTTGTCTGAGGAAAGGAAAGCGAGCCAAGAGGTGGCACAAATTCCAGAGTGACATATCACAATAAAGTGTGTTTTAAGAAGGTGCAAATGGAGTGTGAATTAAGTTTAGAATGCTATTGAGGATACTGATACAGAACTATAAACAGCGAATACTTGCAGGTCCCCAGAGGCTCAATAACTTGCCACAGTCACAAAACTTAACAGGAGCCAAACCAAGATTGGAACCCAAGTCTTACTGATCTGAAGGTCTCTTTCCACTGTATTATGCTGAAAACAATGAAAATCAGATCTTAAAATAACGTAATAAATAGATCTGACCACACTCTAATAAAAGAGATATCTGAAAAATATTTACCAAAACAAAGGTAAATTTGTTGGAGGTTTTCCACAAAGATCCCAAATCATTAACCATAGAAATCATTCAAGTAGTAAGCTCTACGCTTTTAAGATTCTTTAACAAAAATTCCCTATACAAACAACTTTTTAGAAACTGTAAATCACATTGGCATAATTCTTAAACTCTCCCAGGGCACTTTTACAACTGCTATTAAAATTCTGTCTTTAATATGAGGAGAGAGAGACTTTGCTTACGGTTCTACATTTACTGACAATATGGCCTTGGCCAAGTCACTTGATCCTCCTCTTCTACAAAATGAAGGGGCTAAATAATACTGAAGACATCATATGAATAACATCCTATATCTCACTACAAGCACTGTGGCATCTCATAGCGGATGAACATCATTACTACCATTGAACAGGTGAGGCAACTAAGGAACCTGGGGTTTTGATCACATAGCCAGATAGCAGCAAATAGGGACCTAAATTGGGTCTCCTAAATCTCAGTTCAGTGTTTGCTCCACATAATCATTCTCAATCATATCATCATTTTACAGGTCCCTCATCTGCAAAACTGAAAGACGTCAGAGTAAAAGATAGCTATTGGTTTTTCCTACCCATAAACTATCCCCTCACTTCTAATACAACACCCTCAGTTTCATTTGAGCAGGCATCTCTACCCTACTCTCAGTCACATGGTTTGAGTGAACGTGAATTCTCATCCTCACTTTCCAGGCATGGGACTGTGTTTCAGGACTGGCTACTCACTATGTTACAGATTCTTGGATACCTGAGTTGTTTGGGGCCAAGACTTGGACCCCCACAGACTCATCAATTCTCTGACACTTGCTAGATCCACTGGGATTACTTAGTTAAGAAGACAAGCTTCAAGATGATGGTAGCAGTTGAACCAATCTGCCTGTGAATAAAATCAACAAAAGTCAGAAGGAGAAAGAGAGAGAAAGAGAGAGAGAGAGAGAGAGAGAGAAAGAGAGAGAGCCCTGGTGACATTGTTTGAGCCTTGGTGACATTGTTTGAGCCCTGAATCCAGCTTTGCCTGAAGGCTACTCCTGAAATTTCAGTTACTTGAAGCCATATATTTTCTCTGCTTAAGCCATGTTGAATTTGATTTTCTACCATTTGCATATCAAAGAATCCTGATCAGCACAATTGGCCCTTTTATATACCAACACGAGTTCCTTATTTTAATGAATCTACCACACATCTACACTTTCTTAGCTTATTGATATAAGAGAAATCAGAAGGTGACAAATAGAAATAGGGCCAAGGCAAATGTTTTAGGCTTAACTGCACTTGTCAAAGATCTAATGATTTTTGCAAACTATTCACAAAATTGAGAAACAGCCCCCAGTATGGCTCTGCTCTGCTCAGAAGATTAGGAGTGCATAGTGGGCACTGTTAATAATCATAGTTAAAGTAGGAACTTTACATCACTTCATATCCTACCACTGTCCTATATGTAATTTATGTTCTAGATATAGTCAACTTTTCAAATGTATTTTGCCATCATATCATCTCCTGCTCAGTCTAGAAACTCTTTTCTGTCATACCCACATACCTTTGATGGGGCCTGAGATACCAACAGACTTATGATTCCTACTAAAATTATTTAGCCAACTTCTACAAACTCTTCTAAAAGCACTTTTAAAATGAAAAAAATTAAGAATTTGATAAATAAAGTTGTCAAAATACATATGCCTTTCCTTCTGTCTGGCATCCTTTTTTCTCCCTATTTGTCTGGCAAAATACTTCAAAATTCAGTTTTAAGTGCCTTGCATGGTGGATTCCACATACAGCTGTCACAGTTTAGCTGTGATAACAAACAATCCCAACATTTCAGTAGTTTAAAACAACAAAGTCCATTTAACTCATGTTATATGACTATTACATGTCAGCAAGTGGGCTCAGATTACTGAAAGCCTCAGGAACCTAGGCTGACAAAACAGTCCTTTTCTCAGATTGCTGGCTGGAAGGAATTTTGGAGGTATTGCTCACTGACTCACTGCTCTGGCTTGGAAGCAACACACATTGCTTCTGTTCATAACTCCTTGGCCAGAACTACAAGTCCCATGGCAAACACATTAGTGCCCAGAAGGGGATAGAATCAAAAATATTTGGTGCACTGCTTAACAGCTGCACATCAGAATCCCAGGGCCTTGGACTCCCTGGGTTACCCAGTGGTCAGACTATGGGGTAGGGCATTAGCAAAGCAAAGAGAGACAGAGAGAGGAGATAGACAGAATTTTAGAGATAAATTGATATGCAATATTGTCAAGTTACTATCTTAAAAAATTCAGAACTGTATAGAACTTATTTAGGCTTATTTCTACATTTTATTTTCAAAAATACTGAATTACTTATGGGCTCTCCCAAAAGTTTGAGATACACCACAAACCTTTCAGTGGTTCAGGTCTCTAAAGATTCAACTCTGACTCTAGGTCCAGAAGAGGTCTTAGAGAAGAGTGAATTTTTGCAGAATTCATCAGGAAACTGCAGCTCACCACATTCAAGAACCACAGGGACAAAAGAATAGGTATAATGGGCCAATCTAAATTCCAATCTTAGTCCTAATTCTTCTGGAATCTATATGTTCATCTTTAAAAATGAAGATTGTGAAATCTACTGCATAGTCCCCTATGACCATTAAATAAAATAATATACGTAAACGCACCCAACACAATGTCTGCTGTGTAAGAGGGATTCAGGAAACGTTAACCTCCTTCCTCCTTTGTAGTCTTAGTACCTAGCACAGTATCTGAGAACAAGAGATGCTCGATAAATTCAGACAATAAAAGGAAAAGAGGAAGGAAAGTCAACTTTTCAAACTTTTAAAAAACTTTAGTGATTCAAATATGTCTACTTTAAGTCATTGAGTATTTAGAAAAATGCATCCTGACCAATGTACCATGTACAATACTAAGTGCTAGTATTTTACTAGCAACAGTGAATAAGATCTCATCCCTGACCTTAAGAAGGTCCTGTTCTTCCTTTGTTGCATGTCACTTCAAGGAAAAAAGCCAAAATGATAAATGGGGTACAGAAATAACCTCCAAAACCGTGCCCTGGAGCACACACAACTACAGGCAAGAAGCCTCAACCTGGTCATGTAAATCTAACATTGTAAATGAAGAGGCTCAGAAGCAATACCTACTGTTAGCCTGGTGGCCCCATGAGTATTCCTAGTCACCAAGAAGAAATTCAACAATGAACACGGCCTATCACTCTAAGAGCAGAAAGAGGATTCAAGAATTTAAAGATTTCAACAACAAAGGGGGAATTTAAGAGTTCCAAGATTTTCTCCTCAGATACTCAAAAATTCCAATTAGGCAGAATACGCCATTCTCTGAGTACATCATTAATCAGTTTGAACGTGTTTTCCATTATTTCCAACTTTACAGTGCTGGTTTAAAGCAGGTATTATTTCAGAGCAAAGATTATTTCATTGTTTTGGGAACATCATAAAACATGCTATTTACATGGAAGATAACATGGGGGTAGGCCCAGTAGCATGATTTATTCTAACATAAAACACACACGTGTGCACACACAAACACACACACACTGACATATCTTCCATTCAAGAAAAGTTTAATTTATAGTTTTTTAAGGTTTTAGCAGTTCAGGTTTCCTTTTATGATAGCATGGTTACCAAATATGCTTTGTTTTTTCATTTCTAAAAAAAAGTCACAGATTTATTATGTTCAGCTCCTTACTAAATGAGCTGAAGGGAGATTTATAAAGCAAATAAATGGAAAGATTTACAGTTTCTTCCTCACAGCAGCTAAAAATTATGGAAAAGCTCATTGACCTTTCAAGAGAAGAACTTGGTTCAGTCGACCAAAAACTAAGGGCACTTAAGAGCTTTCCAATTAATCCTTTAATTTAAACCCTTTGTCTTTCTCCAGTAAATATGCTGGGGGGCCTGCAAAATCCTATCCACTCATTTTCAAGTGTAACTACCTGTGGCCACTGCAAACAGCATGTCCCATCACACTAAGCAGTAAGCATCAATAATGTTGATAATAATTAGAAAAGGAGGGAATTGGGAGATTAGAAAGAGAGGAGACCTAGAGCAGTAACGTGGGAGAATCTGATTTTGCAGGGTAACCTAAAAAGAAAGAAAAGAAGCTGAGGGAGAGGACTCCTGCATCTTGAAGGGAGAAGGAAGGGGATGAGAATCCGAAGGTTGCTAAGGACAGGTTTATTACAGACAGGGCCAGGTTAAGTATTCTGCTAAATTCTATCCTGAAGTTCTCCATAGGGGAGAAATTTGGAAGGGGATTGTGGAAGCATGCCTGAATCTATGGGAGACTAATTCCTTATCTATGCTGACCTAAAATTGTAAAATAAGAGTTGCCCAAATGTCTTCTATCTAAGATACACAAATTATGTTCCCTCAGGACCCATAAAGAGAGTAAATATAAACAGGCAAAATCCCTCATTTAGACTCTGATATTTGGTCTTTGTTGTGTGTGTGTGCTTTTTTTTTCATGAAGACAAATATAATATTGGATTAGGATTGAAGGCATGTCATTTATTTATTAACAGTATAAACTTGGGTAAATCGTTAATTCTCTTGGATCTTTGGTTTTATGGGAATAATAGTAATACCTAGCTTCGCGGTGACTATCATAGAGTACATGCTGAGGAAATACTGGCTGTCGACAACAGCAGCAACATTGTCATCTTTTGTCAACCACGACTGAATCAGAACAAGACAAATGAGATGGTTTGTTACAGAAACAACTGGATTCAGTATAAAAAGATACAAGTTTAAGTATGTGTGAGCCTCAATTCCCTCTTACAAAGATGAAAACTAGGATTGTAGAATCAAAGCTCTAACTCTACTACTTAACTTCCTAGGTAAGCTTAGGGTGAGTCTCAATTCTCTCTTACAAAGATGAGAAATAGCATTGCAGAATCAGAGCTCTAACTCCACTACTTAACTAGCTAGATGACCTCAGGCAAGTCTCTCAACTTTCCTTAGTCTCAGTTTCCTCACATGTAGAATGAGAATAACAATATTTTACTGGAGTATAATAGCAAAAACCATGTAAGGTACTTAGAATATAAACATAGAAGTTGTACTGATAAATATTAGCAGCAACAACAACTAGGATTTATTTATTCACTTATGCACTCAACAATTATTTACCAAGTAGCTGCTATGTGCCAGGCAAGGCTGGTTATTAGAGAGTCAACAGTGAATGAAGCAGACAAAAATCTCTGACATCTTGGAGCCTGCTCTCCATGCTAATAAGAGTGTCTTATGCACTTAAGTATTTATTTAATAATTTGAGTATGTTTTAAGAGAGGACAGCATGAAAAAAGTCCTAATCTGGACTAAGATTTAATTTGCCAGCCGGGTGCAGTGGCTCACGCCTGTAATCCCAGCATTTTGGGAGGCCCAGGAGAGTGGATCATGAGGTCAGGAGATCGAGACCATCCTGGCTAACATGGTGAAACCCTGTCTCTAGTAAAATACAAAAAAATTAGCAGGGCGTGGTGGCAGATGCCTGTAGTCCCAGCTACTCAGGAGGCTGAGGCAGGAGAATGGTGTGAACCCGAGAGGCGGAGCTTGCAGTGAGGCGATATGGCACCACTGCACTCCAGCCTGGGTGACAGAGCGAGACTCTGTCTCAAAAAAAAAAAAAAAAAATAGATTTAATTTGCCTGAATCTTGGACATGTCACTTTACCTCTCTGGGCCCTAGTTTCCTCAACTATAAAATACCCTAAGGAAAAAAAATCCCTAAATTATGAGAGTTTATAGGATACTAAGGAAACAATATATATTAAAGCACTTCATAAATTAAAATGCCTTATACAAATATTTGTTATTGTCATATTTATTCTAGCTATACACGGGCTTAATGGCCACATATTCAGAAACATCATACCCAAACTTTACCCAAAGAGGAAAGCAAAATGACGAACCATTCTCTTCTTAATTATGATTCAAAAAAAAAAAATTTGCACACAGGTTCAGTAAATTATGGAAGAGAAACAACAGGTTTTGTAGGAGTTTGCGTTAAAGAAAACAAACTTTCATAACTCACTACAGTTACCATAAAAAAAATCCTGCCACTTATAATATAAATATACAGAGATTTTTAGGAATTCCCAGATTTGTAAATATTACTAAAGCTTATAATTATGTAGTAAAAGCCATTAAGGAGCATTTTTGAAAATATGATCCACAGAATTCTGGTTTTATGGAATGATATTAAGTTTCATGTGTGAATTACAATAATTCCATGTACAAGTAAGTTAAACAGATGCTATGTTAAACACAGTTTGCAGTGAGCTTTTCAAAGCCATTATATGCAAATTTGATATCTGGTATGTAAAATGTTCTAAACATATTTGAACAAGGAAACATTTTCCCTCTCTTCTTAGGAAAAATGGAATAAACTTTAAGAAATGTAAGTAAACACAGCTGAAACATTTAAGTTACCCCTTTGAATTTTCAACAAGAGGCATTCAATACTCAGTGACAGTGGAGAATCACAAAGCCCAAAGTTGGGTTGGGATCTAGATATCAAATGGTCTGCTTGTCACTCAGTAGCCAGTTACATTCTGATTGTGTTTTGGCCAATTACTACACGTCATGGGCATTCATTGTCTATACTGAAATTTATTACAAATTATGTTCAAAAGTCAAAGTAAAAAATCAACCTGAACATTACATGTATATATATACACACACATATCTGTACATATATATGTACAGATATAAACATATATATGTACAGATATAATGTGTGTATATATATACATGTGTGTACATGTGTATACATAATACATATATGTACAGATATGTGTATATATAAATGTAATGTATATAATACATATATGTACAGATATATGTATATATAAATGTAATGTATATAATACATATATGTACAGATATAATGTATATATAATACACATATATGTACAGATATAATATATATAATGTATATATAATGTACATATATGTACACATATATGTACATATATGTGTGTTTATATAATACACATATATGTATATATAATACACATGTATGTGTATATATAATACACATATATGTATATATAATACACATATGTACATATATAATACATATATAATATGTATATCATATAATACATATATAATATGTATATCATATAATACATATATAATATGTATATTATATAATACATACATTATATAATACATATATAATATGTATATTATATAATACATACATTATATAATACATATATAATATGTATATTATATAATACATACATTATATAATACATATATGTATTATATCTACATATGTGTATATATAATACATTATATCTACATATGTGTATATAATACATTATATCTGTACATATATGTATATATAATACATAATATATTGAATATATATTAAATAATATATAATATATTGAATATGTAGCTATATCCATGAAGAATAAGAAATATCTATTTTGAAGCTATACCAGAACTAATCATACAATAAACAGTGGATTTCAATGGCCTTCTCAGTGAGGGGCAAGCTGTTACCACTGGACTGGAGAAGAATGGATGATATACATTTAGATGTGTTAAAGAACACAAAAAGGAAGCCCCAGCCGGGTGCGGTGGTTCATGCCTGCAATCCCAGCACTTTGGGAGACCAAGGAGGGTGGATCATGTGAGGTCAGGAGTTCGAGACCAGCCTGACCAACATGGTGAAACCCCATCTCTACTAAAAAAAAAATAAACAAAAATTAGCCAGGCATGGTGGCGGGCACCTATAGTCCCAGCTACTTCGGAAGCTGAGGCAGGAGAATCGCTTGAACCTGGGAGGTGGAGTTTGCAGTGAGCTGAGAGCATGCACTGCACTCCAGCATGAGTGACAGAGCAAGACTCCATCTGAAAAGAGAAGAAAAAAGGCCCGGATTTTTATCACCTATGGAAATAATGTTAATGAATAACAGTGAATAACCTTTCACTAAAAATGAGTTGCAATTTGTCGAAGTTGATTTAGGAAAAAAATCCACTTCCTGGAAGTAGATTGAGGCATCAGGTTGTAGAAAGTATTAAAACCATTTATCTTTTTTAAATTTAAGCATTTCTAAGTTTACATTAAGCAGATTCCCTTTGACTGTCTATACCCCAGACCAATAGAGATACTGAAGCCTTCAGTGTAAGAGAAATCACCCAGTCTGCTATAGATTTCCAGAAGAGCAGCCCAGAAGGGAGAGCTAACTAAAGATTTTTGACAATCCTGAGAAATGCTATTCATCATAGCTTATGAGAAGTTGTGAAAGGATGCTCTGTTTACCCTCCGCACCAAAAAATGCTGAGTTGGTGTATCAGAAAAACAAATTCAGAGAAAATATTATTTCTGTGAAAGAAATCTGCAAAAGTCTAGAACTGGAGAAAATGGACAACTAACCAAATGTATCCTGGGGAAAAAAAAAAAGATAACAGGAATCAATTGGAGTTATTTTTCCTCTGGATCGTCTTATAGGGCCATGAATTATTTCTGATGTCAGACGGGCCTGAGATTAAATCCTGACTCTGTCATATAGTGTGTGACAAGCCTTGGTTTATTTATTGACCAATTACAGACAGGACTGAGCAAGATGACAGGTATTAAGACCTGATTAGCACAATGCCTGACACAAATGTTAGTTTTCCTTTTTTAGCAAGAAAAACTTATCAAACACCTCGGAGTGTCCCACCTCATACCACCAGCTGTTCATTTATTCAACGAATACTTACTGAGCACCCACTCTGTTCCAGGAACTGTCCGAGGTGCTAGGGAAAAAACAATCTGCAAAACAGGCAACAATCCCAGTCTTCATAAGGCTTACATTCTGGCACTTGTAAAGAGAATGCTCATTTCCATTCCTTCCTCCCGAGCCTAAACAAGTAAACTTATTCCTTTTTCAGTCAAATGCAACACATGACTTCACACAATGCTGGAAGCATCAACACGTGAACTATAATCTATCTGACAAACCAAGTTTCTTTAGCTGGGCTCAGAAAGTTCCCATTAGAGTTTTGAGGAGCCAGGTGTCAGCATCAAAAGACAAAATTCAGCATTCGGCAGTAGCAGGAAAAGTGATAAAGATCCAGAAATGAATGGGAAAAGTCCCTGAATCTCTATAGCAGCTCCTTAGAAACTGTTAGCTAGCACTGGGCTTTCTGTAAATCCTTTCAATCCTAAAAGGAGGACACGAGGTTTCTTATAAAGATGTGCAAGCTGTAACTGGAACACATTTCAAGGTGGCTTTTTCCAACTTAAAATTGGAAAGAAATTAACAAGATATATCTATGAGATGCCAAATGTCAGTGGGAAGAATCCATAGAGCACTAAAGTTTATCCATGGAATCACATTCTTCTACCTTCATTTATTCATCAGTTCATTCAGAAAGTAACTAGTATATTACAGGTGCTAGGCTGCGGATATAAAGATGAATCAGAAACAGCTCTGGCCTTTGAATAGCTCTTAACCTAAAAAATATGTTAAGAAAAAGTAACGAAGAGGCTGGACGCAGTGGCTCATGCCTGTAATCCCAACACTTTGGGAGGCCGAGGCAGGTGGATCACCTGAGGTCAGGAGTTTGAGACCAGCCTGGCCAACATGGAGAAACCCCATCTCTTCTAAAAATACAAAATTAGCCAGGGGTGGTGGTGCATGCCTATAATCCCAGCTACTCAGGAGGCTGAGGCCGGAGAATCATTTGAACCCAGGAGGTGGAGGTTGCAGTGAGCCGAGATTGTGCCATTGCACTCCAGCCTGGGCAACAAGAACAAAACTCTGTCTCAAAAAAAAAAAAAAAAAAAAAAAAGTAATGAAGATCCTGTTTGATAGGCACTCTAATAAGGTTTGACAAAGTGCTACTAGAACCCAGAGGAGGAAGCCTCAAAGTCAGCCATTAGAGTTTGATTTGATAAAGATGAAATAGCCAGTGATTCTAAATTCATTTTTCATACAATATCCAATCTACTCCTCACACCCAATCAATGGATCCTATGGGTTTCACCTCCTGCCCACATTTTCCATGTCCACCATTGCATCTTGTCTGGACTGCAGCAGCAGACTAACAACTGATGTCCCTGATTTGCTGCTACCTTCTGTCCCCCACTGAAACCAGAAAGATTTTTCAGAAATACAAACTGGATCTTATCACCTCTTTTAAAAATCTCATCAACATTTCATTTCCTACTGAATCCAAATTTCACAAGGCCTACAATGCCTCCCAATTCTTTTTCTCTCTGCGCTCAACACTCTCAATCTCCCACACTGAGCTCCAAACACACTAAATGCTCTTTTGCTTTTTGGTAACTCCAGGTTTTCAGTCACACTGCTCCAAACTCGTACATCAACCTCCTCCCTTCTCAGCCTCCCTCTAGTTTCTAATTCTATCTCATGCTACGGTCTCAGTGTGAATTTCCTATACCACCCCACACTTCTCCATCAGACATCCAGCATTCATCATAGTCACTGTAGTCCTGATCTTTCAACCCACCCCCTCTTGACTGGTATCTTTCCTGCTAACTCCAAGAATTAGCCCTCCCCTTCCTAACTACTCATTGACACACACCCTGAACAATATGTTTTAGGACTTACTTATATCTTATTGAACTTTATTATATTCAAATTTAACTAACACCTATTGTGTGCTGGATTCTGCCTTAAATCTTTTCATTCCCCTTAGTTCTTATAGCAATTTATTTTTATTTTAATTTTTTATTTTACTTTAAGTTCTGGGATATATGTACAGGTCGTGCAGGTTGGTTACATAGGTATACATATGCCATGGTGGTTTGCTGCATTTATCAACCCATCGTCTAGGTTTTAAGCCCTGCATGCATTAGGTATTTGTCCTAATGCTCTCCCTCCCCTTGCCCCCCACCCCGCTCCCCAGCAGGCCCCAGTGTCTGTTGTTCCCCTCCCTGTGCTCATGTGTTCTCATTGTTCAACTCCCACTTATGAGTGAGAACATGCGGTGTTTGGTTTTCTGTTCCTGTGTTAGTTTGTTGAGGATGATGGCTTCCAGCTTCATCCATGTCCCTGCAAAGGACATGCTCTCATTCTTTTATGTGGCTGCATAGTATTCCATGGGCTATATGTGCTACATTTTCTTTATAGCAATTCTTTAAAAAGACTACTTAGATAAGTATTAGCACACTAATTTTACAAAGGGAAAATGATGAGAGATGAAGTTCCCTGCTTAAGTTCACAAAACAATGATAAAGCCAGGATTTCTAAGCCAGGTACCCCAAATCTAAATCTAAACTTTCCACTAAACCTGTGTTATTCTTCTCTAATTGTTTACCCAGGCAAGCTTCGCCAGGAAGCTGAGTCACGGCAGGCAGTAACATACCAGCTGCAATAACAAGAGTACAATAAAAACTGAGTGAGTTCAATTCTCATTTCTGTCTGGATATTAGGTTTCTTAGAGATAGTTGAAAGGTATTATTTTTAAATAACCAAAAAAGTTTAAAGCGACTACATTTCTATTTCCATTTAAAGCTCTAAAACTTGGACTTGTCCCTGAAAAGCAGGGACGTTTTTCCCTTCTGTTTTTTTCTTCTTCTCTTCCTTCTTTTTGCTACATAAAAATGCTAAGCACTATAAATAACATAATTTATGCATAATGTCTTTCAAGGAGATATGCTAAAGTCCTAAAATATTATTAAGTGAGCCAAAAAAATGTCTCAGCATGATTTTTTAAGGTGAAGGTACATCACTAAAAAATAATGTAAGGCCATACACATAGGCTTGGCTTCTGGGCACCATCCAGCCACAAGCAGAGCAAGATAGATTCACCTGGAAAAATGCCAGGTATCTGAGTTATCAGAGGGAAGACATGATCAAGAATCAGATGCAGCCTGACTGCGAGAGTTTGGGGACAGACACAAAGCAAGGCCATGCAAGTTCATTCTTATGACCTCAACGATGCTTTATCTCCTTCTTACCCATCATAGCCATGTTTGAAAATTCATCGAGACAACAACTATTTCATTGAGGATGAGATGAAAATAAGCATAAATAAAAGTTCTAATTTTTTTTTCCATAACCCAATGGATCCAGTTTTGCACCCACTGTGATACCAGCATCCTATATGTGTATATACTGGCCCACAAAAAAAAAAATTTAGACTTCTTAGCACATTCAAAATGCTTTTCCCCATCCAACTATCAACCATATCTTTACTCTCATCTCCTACCAAAATCCTTTGGTCCAGCCATGTCAAACTTCTCACTTTGAGCTTTTGTATCTGCTGATCCCCCTACTGAGAATGGCCTTCCTGCATACCTCTTCTTGCAGAACATCTTATTCTTAAGAACTCCGTTCAAATGTCACTTCCTCTGGGCAGCCTGTGCTGACTCCTATTGGCAGAATGTATTGCTCTCACCATTGTATTCCTACAACACTATTTAAATCCTAGGATAGAACAAATCCTATTGTAATTTTCTTATCTGATACAAGGCTCTTTTCCCCCTTTTAAACTGTTAAGCTCCTTGAGGATACGATCTATGGCTTAATCATCTTTAGCCAACACAAGACCCAGCCACAATAGATGGTCAATTAATTTTCACTTAAAGAATGAGACAAGACTCTGGGCCTGACCCTTTCCTTTATGCCTTTCGTAGGGCTGCAGTGTACAACCTTGCAGACTTTATACTGCATAATTCCAGCAGCTGCCACTCACCTAGACAACTACATAAATGATGCCCCATGGAGTTGTACAACACAGAAGCCCCACTTTTATAAAGCCCACAATGACTCTACACAAACTATGGCTCAATATACATGTTGGTAGATATATCTCTATGTTCAGAGTACGGATGGATGGATGGATGGATGGATGGATGGATGGATGGATGGACAGAGAGATAGATTAGATATTTATATACGCCATGAAGATCTAAAGACCTGTGTTCTAGTGTTCTAGAACAAATACTGCCAATGACTAAAATAATATTGTTGGTATAATAATGCATGATAATATAATTATAAATAATGTTACAATACATAGCTATGCTGCTTTAGCCTTTGCAAAATGCTTTCACATTCAATATCTTATTTAGCTTCCACAACCAATTGGTAAAGTAAGGCCTTTATTTTGGCCTTGTTGAAAAGTCCTGTTTAGATCATGAAAGAAACCAAAACACACAAGAATTGGGTGACTCTCCAATGTTACCCGGCTGCTAAATGATAGAGTCAGGATCCATCAAAATCTTCTTGTCCCTATTTCAATGTTTTTTGCTTTGTTCTTTACTACATCACTCCCCTGAGAGTTGTCAGGGGAAAAAAATGGAGGGAAGAAAAATGTTAGAAAACAGAAATATTTGAGGATAGCTGACCACCAAGACCAACTCCCAGGCAGAGACAATCTGCTTAGTCCTCTAAGCAGTTCTATCTTCCATGTTCACATTACTTTAATTTTTACTTTCTTTTGCTATGTTGCTTGGAATTTAATGGTTTGAAGACTCTCTTAATTATAAAGCATCCTCTTTAAAGAATACATTTACCTCTGGTAGTGTTAGCTGGATATCAATCATTTACAAATGTGTGTAAGCTTGTTCCATGAATTGCTTTCTTTCTAGCACAAAACTCAGAACTGCAGCACAGGGGAAACTGTGAATTTTGCTTGGAGAGAAAGGAGATGGGTCACCTTGAGACATAAGGAATATTGAGGATAGAATAAATCCAAATGAGATGATACAGTGGGGGGCACAGGGAAGCCTGGAGATGATACAACAGGAAAGTGAAAAGGGCATGGTTAAGTAGTCAAATCCTATCTGGTCTCCAAGTGAGCAAGCTTCAGCACAATCAACTGAAGCTAGAACTCATTTATGGGAAAAAGGAAATAAATAAAAAGTAAAACGCTTATAATTAATGAGGAGATTTTTTTCATTAAATAACTGGAAAAGCTGGCAAGATCAAAAAGCCACTCACCAAAACAGATTTTTCTTTCCTCCTGGGAACACAGCTAGACGAAATTTACCAACCCCTCTTGCAGTTAGATAGAGCCACCATCTGAGTTCTGGCCAGTGAAATGTGAACAGCCCTGGCCCATAAAAACCTCCCACTGGTAACCTTCCATTCTTTTCCCCTTCCCTGGTGACCTTGAGAGGCACATACTGCCCATGCTAGGACCACAAGAGGAAAGGAGCCAGGGTCCCTGAATCATGGTTTTGAGGGGAGCCACGTGTTAAGCTGGAACATCCATTTGAAAATCTATAGAAAACCAATTTTCTATAAACAGCTGATAAAATGATTTTTTGAAAAACCATTATCTTTTTATCAAAATGAAGGGACAGCTACCCTCTTGTCATGTAGTGAAGGAAAGGCATTCCGTAGCAAATAAAGGCAGTGACGTTCATATGAAATAAAGTTAACACACAGCGTTTCACCATTACATGAACTGAGTATTAGCAAAAGTGGGCAGAAGCAGCCCCTGACCTACAGACTCTGCACTTTAAAAAGCAGCCCTTGAGCAATGCTAGTAAAATGAACTTGACATAAGAAAACAGTGTCAGATACAGAAAAGCACTGTCTTCCTTCCTTCCTTCCTTCCTTTCTTTCTTTAAGCAAATGTTTGTGTGTCTATAATGTACCATGCACTATTTTAGGTGCTAGAGATAGTGAATAAAATAAAATTGCTGCCCTCATGCAGTTTATATTCCAAAGGGTCAGATAATAAAACTTTAAACAGAAAAACACACATAAGAAAACAACACAATTTCAAAGAATAAGTGCTACAAAGAAAATACATTAAATCAAATTCAAATGGTATAGGGGGTAACTGATGATAGCAGCAGAGCTAATTTAGCCAGCGTGGTTAGGAGAGATCTTTCTAAAGAAGTGGCATTTGAACTACATATTGAACAAGGCCTGGAAAGCAGATTTGGAAAGATCTGAGTGAAGGGCCTCCCAGGTTGAGGAAAGAACTACTGCACAGGCCTATTGGAGGGATGCAAAGAATTCCAGTGTGATGGGAAAAGAGTAAACACTGGAGAGAGTGAAACAAGATGAATTTGGAGAAGTAGGCAGGTTCCAGTTCACATAGGGCCTGACACAGGACCAAATTTGGGTATTATTCTAAGAGGCATGGGAGCTATGAGACAAATTTCAACAGGAGAGTAGCATAATCTGCTTACACTTAAAAAGCTCACTTTAAATATGTTTGAAGATGGACTATGGTGGGCAAGAGTGGATGCTACTGGGATCACTAGCCAAAAGATAAAGGAAGCTTGGTCTAGGGTGGTAGTGGTGAAGACAGCAAGACATGAGTGAATTTGTGATTAATTTTGGAGGTAAAGCTAACAGGACTTTCTGATGTAGCAGATGTTGGGGATAAAGAAAAGAGTGGAATCAAGGATGATGTCTATGTCTTATGACCTGAGCAACTAAGTGGATGTACCCTTACCCGAAATTGGGAGAAAAGTACCTGATTCTCTGTTTTCAACACCCTGGAACTCAGGATATCTTTGTAGTACAATACTTCAGCTACATGAAGATCGTGGTGCTACATAGATCATGATGTTCACACATTTTATAAAATGCAAAATATTTAAATGTAAAAAATGTAAAAAAAAAAAGTTACCTAAGTATTGGAATAATTAGAAGCATAATTAAGCAAACTAGCCCATTTCTCCTATACAATCTCTTAACTAAGAATTTGCAGGGTCTTGTTTCCACAGAAGTTCATTCACACGAGTCTCTGTGTCTAGTAAATACCTATGCCCTGGGCTTCTATGAACTGGCCTGAAAACCTAATCAATGCCTACACCACTTCTGTCACAAAGAAATAACTAAAATTTCTGCATATATCTTGCAAATAAATTTTTGAAGCATGAAGCGTGGTAAAAAATAAATAAAATAAAACAAAACAAAAACAAAACAGTGCTATTTGAAGTTCCATCCTGACCATTGCCCCGGTTAGTTTGACTGGGGTTCATTCCTAAGGGCAGAGCTTAGGAATTTACCCCTTCTTTTAACCCTAGGTGAAATAACCAGGATTTGAATTTGAACTTTATTTTTCTTTGTGTTATACTTTCAAGAAGAAAATCGTGTGTGTGTCGGGGCAGGGGGCGGCAGGGGGTGGGGAGGTGATGGTTAAGAAGATTTCAAGTGGGTAGGAGAGCAGGAATAGATGCACTTTGGCTAAGTAGCCTAGGAAATAACAAAGCAGAGGCAGAGAAAAGCCAGGCCCAGGAACAAGGCTCAGCTGCATCTCCTGCTGGGAGGAAGATGACATGTTAGTTATCCAGAACAAAGCAAAGGCTAGGAATCTCTGTGCCTTGGAAAGGGGAGGTGGGGATTGACAGATACCTGGGTACTGGAAGATCTCTCCATTAGTGAGGCAGGCTAATGAGAAAACAGAAAAGAAAGATACCCCAAGGTATTCTTATCTCAAGCATTCTGAATATCTGGAAATAAATGGGAGCAGGAACTAAGAATTAAGGTTTTGCTGACAATGACCAATCAGAAGAGGCTTTTGATCTCTACTATGGTTTGAATGTTTGTCCCCTCCAAAATTCATGTTGAAATTTAGTCACCATTGTAACAATATTAAGAAGTGGAACTTTTAAGAGGTGATTAGGACATGATGGCTCTGCCCTCATATAAAAAGGCCAGTTCTGCCCCCTCTTGCCCACTTCTTGCTCTTCTGCCTTTCACCTGTGATGATGAATCAAAAGGGCCCTCACCAGATGCTGGCACCTTCATTTTGGACTTCTTAGCCTCCAGCACCATGAGAAAATAAATTTCCATTCTTTGTAAATTACCCAGCCTCAGGTGTTCTGTTACAGCGGCATGAACGAACTAAAGCAATGCTTTGCTGTCTAAAGTAGAGCTTTAGGAGACTGAAGCCCACACTTGAGAAGAAACTGGGCTATGTAGATCATGATGTTCACACATTTTATAAAATGCAAAATATTTAAATGTAAAAGAAGTTACCTAAATATTGGATAATTAGAAGTGTAATTAAGTAAACTAGCCCATTTCCTCTACACAATCTCTTAATTAAGAATTTGCAGGATCTTGTTTCTATAGAAGTGCATTTACATTAGTCTCCATGTCTAGTAAGTATCTACCCACTTAGGTATTCTGTGGGCTGCGTTCTGTTTGAACTCTGATCTCTCTACCACTTTCCCAGCCTCTTACCATTCTAAGGGTCAGACCCTTCACCACCACCTCTAGTCATATGAAAGAAGTTATAAATCACCTTGCTAATCAGCTGCTCTGTTTCAGACATGTCAGTTTTGTTACATGAAATTACTAAATTCATACCAATTCAGGTCATTTTTTTCCAAAATATTTCCTTGAATACAATTCCACTTGTGTTTTTCCAAGGAAGGAATGAGTTCACCTATACATTATTAGGCTTAGTGCCCCACTGCTAACAATATGCACCTGGAAGAATTGATGAACCCTAGTCCTTCCATCTAAATGTATTCTCCCCTGCTACCTGCCAATTTGGTCTCTTTCTCTTTCTCAAAGTATTGGTCTCAATGAGCACACACTCCTGCAAATTCCAAGAAAGATCCTCATAAACATTAATGATTTAAGTAAATAATAATGGTAATAATAACTGTGATCTATTCAATATTTAGTGAATACCAGACAATTTGCTAAATTTCTGACATGCACTGTTTCATTATCATCTTAATTGGGAAATCCATTTACCATGTTGAATTTGGCATGACAAAACATTGCTTTATAACTTGTGGTCTGTAAAAAATCTGTTGCTTGGCAGCAGTGCCAGAGCAAACTCCTGATGACTCAACAATTTGTACCTTGGTAACTCTCAATGCTTGCTCTATTAAAAACTGCTTTCAGTTGTTAGCTCTGAATTTTGGTATCCTTCTGAACCCACAAGAGTTGGATCCATTAATTCAGGGAGACATATCGTAGGCTTACGCTATTACGCACAAGGTAGCATAACTCCCCACCCCCAAATCCTACCAATGTCAGTGGCATACAAGATTATTTCTCACTCATGCCACATACCCATCACCTGTCAGTTGTCACACGGTTCCATGTCATCTTCATTCTGGGATGTCAGCTAAAGGAGAAGCCCTGACCTGGAACATTGCCAGTTTTTGTTTCAGAGAGAAAAGAGAACGATGTGGAATTCTGCAAAAGCTCCTTGAGGTTCTACTCTGAAACTACATGTCACGTCCACTCACATTTCATTAGCCAAAACTGATGTCGGCAAAATCGGGAGGGCAACCAACATTTTGAACACTAGCACAGTATTGGAACAGTGTGGGTAGTGGAAGAAGAGGGAGCATTTAAGTCAGGCAGAAAGCTCTAGAGTAGAAATGAGTTGAGGATCATCTTTTTACTTCATTTCTCTGAATCCTCTTGTCTGTACTCATAAAATGGAGTTAATGTGGCCAATGCCGCAACTTTCTCAAAGATTCATTGTAACGTTCAAAAAGTGTAACATATATAAAAGGAGTTTGAAAAATTTAAAACACTCTGCAAGTAAAAGGTATTATCATTTAATGTTAATTGTAGTGCTTTCCACACCTGACAGATGGCATGATGTGTATGATATTACATTGTTCTTTATGCTTCTAAGTAACTTTTTATCACAGAAAGAAAAAGTTTATGAGACTCTATCTAGGTAGACTCCAAATTCAAGAACTAAGATCATGAGTAGGGCCCCTATTGCTATACTTTCCTCAGACACTACTCCTAATGCATCAGAAACTACTTAAGACCAACCTGTTGAAAATGTCATTAAAAAAGGAAAAAGCCTCAGCCGACAAGATTCCTAAAACATTAAAATCCAACTAGAGCAGTTTTCAAAATGGAGAATGCTCCTCCTGGAGTCAGAAAAGGCAAAATGAAACAGCCTCCTGTGAATTGTATCATAGCTGACAAAAGGTCTTATTATCTTCTATTGATTGGCCAGGAGTTCAGCTATCTTCTCTACGGCAGTTTCTACGACAATCTCTACAGAGCAGGAGCCAATATGCCACCTCTCTGCTTCTACCTTAGGAAGTTAAGAAAATTGAAAGCCTTTGGTGCTTCCTTTTCCACTGAGAGCCTGAACAGGCTTTTCAAGATGGCCTGGACAATGTGTGTAATATTTTGTTTTAATTTGCAAGCCAGTCTTGTTCACTGTGGTTTTTATCGTATGAGTCATTTTCATCCCATTTACTCAGAGTAAAAATAACTTGCTTCAAGCAGCTCATAAGTATTTACTTCTTTCTAGGCTGTGGAGAGACAACGAATGAAGCCTCAGAGAGTCTCTGTTCCTAGGAGGGCATTTGGCCATCTGTAAGCTTGTCTACCCGATCACTTCAAAGGGCAATTCTTAGGAGAGAGCTGGGGAAATGGCCTGCATGACCATTTATCTCATTTAATTCATCTAAATGTAATCATAAAAGAATGGTTGCTAAAACCCTATTTTATTGAATAGGGTTAAAACCCTATTTTGTTGTAACCAGCAAAGCTCTTTTGGTTTCAGGAAGACAAACCTCTCCTCCAGCTCCAGGGAATAAACACAATTAGCCCAAAGCAGTGATGGCCATCTCATTCTCCTTTCTCAAACATCGGTCTAGAAGTGTGTGTGTGGTGAGGATAGAAGTGGTGTAACCTGGGTCTGAAAAATAACACAGGGGAAGTCTTCTGCATGTGGTTATGGTGGTAATAGGGGTAGAGTTGGGGAATGACTTTCTACGAAGGACTTTCTTTGAGCATAAAATGACAGAACCTCACACAGACAAGGTTTTTAAGCCCTGCCCCTTCCTCTCTTCCTTGCTTAGGATGCTGCTGTGAGGGTACCATTCTTAGAGCTATGGAAGTCATCATGCAATCACGGAAACATAGGCCCAAAGATCAAAGTTCAAATGCTGAAGATGGCAGAAGGAATGCGAGAAAGGCATCTGCTCTAAATGTTGGCATTCACTCTACTGGGTTCTCTGTGCCTCCCAGCCGGATGCCCAGTATTTGACCCCTGCTTTAACCCATGAGCTATGTTCCTACATGCTAGGAGGGGTCCAATGTTTAGCCATTTCTCCTTAGGTGCTATCCTTCTCTCCAAGAACACATCCCCTGGAGCTTATGGAAAGTCTCCATACAACAAGGAAATGACTGAAGCCCAGTCACATTGCCATTACCCAACCGCAATAGCACCACAATGCATACTGGCCTAAGGCCAGGCTCATACACTGAGCTAAACAGGAGCATGCCCAAGAAAACAGTGATTCAGACCTAAAATCCACTCAGCATTATAAAATAAGGCCTCATAGAGAAAGATCAGGTTGATACTGCAGATGGCTCCTCATGGAGCCAGTCTTTTGTAATAAAAAATGACATCAATGAGAAATGAATCAAAGAATCCCAAACAGCATTAGCACCAGCAGTTTTGTCTCATATTCTGCTGGGTCTCAATAGAGAAGTGGGGTCAGGAATGGTGGCTATGCTGATTTCAACAAACAACTAAAAGGTCTGCCAGTGGCGTAATCAGGATTCACATTGTTTTTGAGGTTTCTTCTATCATTTTTATAATTGTTCGACGTCTATCCCTGCATATAGGAAAAGGTAAGAAGGTAAATATTTTAGACCATTATGTGGCTTACAGGATTTTTCCATGGTAAATAGTGGGAATACTCACATTTTTAATTCTTAAAATTACTTAAATTTTCTGATAGAAAATAGCATAAGGGAAGATCTAAACATAAATATTAATATGAAGTATTGAAATTGATACTCCCATCACCCCAAATTAACAAATAACTAAGATGTATTAAAGGGCAGATGAAAAGGTTCATAAGCAAAGGGACAGTTTCATTCTCCCAAGTGACATGTCTCCTTAAAACTTCAAATCCATAAAACAAGCCAAAAAAACAGTGAAAAATAAGAAGACAAAATTATTATATATTATTAGAATATATTGTTAATAAAAATTATGGTAGTAACAAAGAAAGTCTTCCAGAAGAAATGAAAAAAACAGAGGGTTCCTACAAGGTACTGGTCTCTAGTAGTAATAAGATATATCCTCTTGATAACTAGAGGTCTTTAGTCAAAGCCAAAAAGTTAAGCAGGGATTAACAATATATAGTCATTCCTGGGTATATGCAGGGAATTGGTTCTAGGCCCCTGTGTATACCCAAATCTACACACACTCAAATCCCAAAGTAGGCTCTGCAGAATCCACTCTATAGGAAAAGATGGCTCTCCCATATAGGCAGGTTTTGCATCCCATGAATTCTGTATTTTTGACTTGTGTCTTGTTGAAAAAAAATCCATGTATAAGTCAGCATGCAAAGTTTAAACCCGTGTTGTTCGAGGGTCAACTATGAGATAGAGAATAGAAAGAATTTACCATTACTATCATCAGTTAATACTGTCTTTACCTTTAGAATACCTGACCTATCTGAGAGCCAGACCACTTAGAGGAAAGTGACCAGGAATTTGCAGCATTCATTGAAGACAACTACCCAAATCATCATGGTGCAAGGTATTATTAATGAAGACAGCAGGAATAATTGGAATCAGAACAAACAGAAAAATAGCCCAGCCATCACTTTGCTTATTAAAGCTTTTGCAAACTGATGGAAGGGAGCCATGAGCACGTTGGAAATGGATGGGCTCAGATATTATGGTACTATACATACAGACCAGGTCGAACTAACTCCCACTCCTCTGGCATGTTAAGGTAATAGATATATGCAATGCTCACCACTAGCAGGTTGCAGTACTAAGCCTGAAAAAACGGTGCTCTCTTAAGACGGAGGAGTTGCTTTCTCTAGAGCAGAAATGTGGGTCATTGATGCTTGAGGCCACCATCCCACTGTAATGGCATCAGCCCATGTGCCAAAGTTATGAGTCCCTCCATTACTGTGACTTTTAGTAGAGATTGGGAATTGGCAATGCATGAACCAGTCACGAAGAAACCCACTAAAAAGAATAAAAACCTGATCTTGTCAGGTCAAGGAGACAGCAGCCTAGTATGAGTTAATGTCAAAGTATCATTTGAAAACAGAAACCACCCTGTACATTTAATTAAATATGAAGATGGCAATCTCATCAAATAAGAAAACAGAATATGATGTGTCTATGGTTGATCTAGTGATTGTTATGTGCACAGCAGCAGAACATGGGATTTGATATGTCCCTGTTGCCTTTGCTTCTTTGCCGTGCTTCATAACGACCTTCAAAGGTCTTGCTTTCTCATGCTACTGAGCAGCATGGATAAACCAGGAGAACAGAGAACCCTCAGCAATTGATATGATTTCTTATAGGATTGCATAGGACCACAGCCAAGTGATAGTTTTCACTCTTTAACCACATCTACCAGGCATACACTTCTCAGTCAACCTCTCACAAGTGACTTCATTAAATAGCTTACTTACCTTCACAGTAGGCAGAGTCTCCCTGGACAGAGATGTAACCACTCTTGCACTCACAAGTAGCTTTTGTATTCCAGTTTTTGCACTCTGAGTTTTCACCACATTTAGGTCCTTCTGCACAAAAGTTATGACCTAGAAAAAACAAATAAAAACGTACATCAGAAAAGGAGGAAATAAAGTAACTCCCCAAAATAAAGTATGTAACATTTTTTATTATATGTCACTATGCAGGAAAATACACTTTGGCAGTATGCACGGATAAACTGGATAGGAAAGTGGCAGAATAGATATAGGAAACTTTGGGCTGTCCAAGGCGTAAGAGGCTTTCCCCCACCCATACTCAAATTTGCTGAGGCTGTTCCTACCTGAATGCTTTTATCCATGCTGATCCTGCATCCTCTTCTCACTACATTCTTACATGACTACTCTTTTTATAATTTTGTTTTCTTGTAAAATTTATAATACAAAGAGTAATAAAATTAATATATATGAATATATAAAATAAAATGAATACAACCAGATTATCAAAACTCCTTAATTGTACCTCCCCAATGAATCTCCCTCCCAGCCACTAGAGATAACTATCCTCAATTTTGAGCTAATCACTCCCTTGCAGCTTTTTATAGCTTTACTTCATATTTGTGTTTATGCCTAAACAATATACCATTTAGCTTTGCCCATTTTAAACTCCATATGAGGGAAATCTTACTGTATATATCTTCTATGGTATGCTTTTTTAAAAAATATTTCATATCCATAGGTTTTGGGGAACAGGTGGTGTCTTGTTACATAAGTTCTTTAGCGGTGATTTGTGAGATTTTGGTGCACATATCACCCAAGTAGTATACTCTGCATCCAATTTGTAGTCTTTTATCTTTCAACCCCAGGCACCTTTCCCCCTAAATTCCTAAAGTCTATGATGTCATTCTTATGCCTTTGCATCCTCATAGCCTAACTCCCACTTATGAATGTGAACATATGAGGGTTGGTTTTCTATTCCTGGGTTACTTCACTGAGAGTAATAGTCTCCAATCTCACCCAGCTTGCTGTGAATGCCACTAATTCATTCCTTTTTATTGCTGAGTAGTATTCCATCATCTATATCACAGTTTCTTTATCCACTCTGATTGATGGGCATTTGGGTTGGTTCCATGTCTTTGCAATTGTGAATTGTGCTGCTATCAACATGCACGTGCAAGTGTCTTTTTCGTATAATGAGTTCTTTTCCTCTAGGTAGATACCCAGTAGTGGGAATGCTGGATCAAATTCTACTTTTAGTTCTACTTTTAGTTCTTTCAGGAATCTCCACACTGTTTTCCATGGTGGTCGTGCTAGTTTACATTCCCACCAGCAGTGAAGAAGTGCTCCCTGTTCACCACATCCACGCCAACATCCATTTTATTTTTAGTATACTATGGTGTGCTTTTCTCTATTCATCCATGTGAATGCCTTTAGCTATGGGTTCATTCATTCAACAAAGGATTTAGAATATTATATAAACTTAGCTGACAAAGCAGGAGGATCAGCACCAATTTTGAAAGACATTCCAGTGAGTAAAATGCCATCGGACTGTACTTTTAAACACATTGGGAAACAAAAATAATTTGTGTGACTCATTTATTGCAATATTCGCTTAATGGCCATAGTCTGGAACCGAACCCACAATATCTCCAGGGTATGCCTATACCATGGATGGACATTTGAGCTATTTGCGGGTTTTCACTGAGAAACAAAGCTGCTAAAAAACCTTCTTAAACATGCTTCCTGGGGCATATTCTCTAGCCACATGTTCAACATTTTCTTAGCTTAACAGTCTTTCTTGTTCCCTGCTACTTCTTCCAAGAAATTTTTCTTCCTAATATAGCCTTTAGAAGTTCCTTCAGTATCTTTTGATAGTGACTGTGCTCAATTTCAATTTGTCTAAATGTGTCTTTAGACTATCTTCATACTTAAAAAATAGTTTTACTGGGTATACGGTTATTTTATCTCAACATTTTAAAAATGTCATTCCATGTTTTCTGGCTTCTATTATTGCTGCTGAGTCACTTATTAATCTAATAGTCATTCCTTTACATGTGGCAACCCCTTTCTCTGTGGATGCTTTTAAGATCTTTTTTATTTGTGTGTTAGCTTGGGTTTTGTTGTTATTTTGAGACAGAGTCTCACTCTGTTGCCCAGGTTGGAGTGCGGTGGCACAATCGTTGCTCTTTGCAGCCTCGGCCTCATGGGCTAAAGTGATCCTCCCACCTCGGCAACTGAGTAGCTGGGACTAGAGGTGCGTGCCACCAGGCCCAGCTAATTTTTTTTTTGGAGAGATGAAGTCTCACTATGTTGCCCAGGCTTGTCTCAAACTCCTAGGCTCAAGCGATTTCCCCACCTCGGCCTCCCAAAGTCCTGAGATTACAGGCATGAGCCACCACACCCAGCCTTGTTGGGGTTTGTTTGTTTTGTATTTTTCAGTTTTAATCTAAGATATGTAGGTATAAATGTATTTTTATTTAGGATTTGGGGAGATTCTTGAATCTGAAAGATGATGAAATCTTTCATCATTTTGGAAAATTCTTAGATATTCTCTCTTCAAACATTCCCTTTCCACGTTTTTCTCTATTTTGTCTTTGTGGAATTCCAATTAGATAAATGTTCTTTCTTCTCAAGCTCTCATCTGTGTTATTTAGACTTGCTTTCATATCTTCTGTTTCTTTTCCTTTATGGTGAATTCTGCATCATTTTGAGATGTATCTTTCAGTTTATTAATTCTGTCTTGAGGTGTGTTATATTCTCTTTCAGTCACCCACATCATTTTTAATTTCACTTACTGTATTTTTATTTTTAGAATCCTATTTGATTCTTTTTCAGTCTGCTTAGTCAAATTTGATAGTCTCTTATTCTTTCATTTTTTTAAATTTCCTTTTTAAAAAATGTCTTTAAACATGTTACATATAAATATTTTATATTGATAATTCTAATATCTTCAGGCTTTGCACATCTAATTTTGCCATTTGTTGTTTATGCTGAATAGCATGCATGATAGCTTATTCTCTTGTGTTTTGAGTTATTCTTTTATCTGTAAGCTCGTATTTTTTGGAATTTAATGTGTGAGATTTGAGGTTTTGGTTTTTAAACTGCATTTCTTCAGAGAGGATTTGTGTTTCCTTCTGTCAGGGGTCTGAGGGAACTATCAACCCAAGATGACTTTCAACTACATTTTTGTCTTAGTGCTTGAAGGTTGAGCCACACAGGTGGAATAAAGTCTAGCCCTAAGCTTTTAGGAATGCAAGATTTTCTCCTCTAGACCTCCATCTAGAGTCAAGACTGACAGGCAAGTCTCTTTGGGCAGAGTGGATTTTTCCTAGTTCACCCATGGAGGGATTCACCCTTTAAGGTTCTTGATTTATGTTTCTCATACTAGCCCCAGGATGTCTCCTGTCTGCTTACACAGTGTCCACTAGAAGCCATATTTTAAACCACCAGAGACTCGAAATTGCACTCAGGGCAAACGTCAACTCCACTGTACTTGCTTATTTCAATGGAATCACCCTCTTTCTATATTCTGGTCTCCAGTTGTTTTTTTTCTCCCCCTTACTGCCATCTCCACCAAATGTTCCAGAAAGTTGTTTCTATATTAGGCAGCATTTTAGATGAACTAGAAGGAATAGGTAACATCTACCATAAAATTTGAGAAGTTCAAATATGATAAAGTATATAAAGATGCTTTATCATCTTTAAATCAGTACTTTTAGTAAACAATAATTATGCTATATCACATACTGTGTTCTCACAGAAAACAATGGATCTAGAAGTCAGGAGATCGAATTTATAATTTAGGATCTGCAGCTAACAAACAGTATAAATCACTTTGCTTTTCTAGGTATGCATATGGCGAACGGATGAGATTAGTAATTTTTTTTTTTTTTTTTTGAGATGGAGTCTCGCTCTGTTGCCCAGGCTGGAGTGCAGTGGCGTGATCTCAGCTCACTGCAAGCTCTGCCTCCCGGGTTCATGCCATTCTCCTGCCTCAGCTTCCCAAGTAGCCGGGACTACGGGCGCCCGCCACCATGCCCGGCTAATTTTTTGTATTTTTAGTAGAGACGGGGTTTCACCGTGATAGCCAGGACAGTCTCAATCTCCTGACCTCGTGATCTACCCGCCTCGGCCTCCCAAAGTGCTGGGATTAGAGGCGTGAGCCACCGCACCCAGCCTGAAATTAGTAATTTTTAAACTGTGTTCCTCAGGGCCCTAGGCACAGATGAGTTGTTATACAGGGTTCAAGTCCTCTGCCTCTGATTCAAATAGAATAATCTTTTATATTTTTGACATATTGACCATGGTTGTTTTGTTTTGTTTTGAGACGAAGTCTCACTCTGTCACCCAAGCTGGAGTGCAGTGGCGTGATCTCAGCTCACTGCAAACCCCACCTCCCGGGTTCAAGCGATTCTCCTGCCTCAGCCTCCAGAGTAGCTGGGACTACAGGCGTGTACCACCATGCCGGGCTAATTTTTGTATTTTTAGTAGAGATGGGGTTTCACTATGTTGGCCAGGCTGGTCTCTAACTCCTGACCTCATGATCCAGCCACCTCAGCCTCCCAAAGTGCTGGGATTATAAGCATGAGCCATCGTGCCTGGCCCATACTGATCATGTTAATTACAGTTCCTGGCTTAAAAATATGGAAATCACTCCACTAGATAAAGTCAAGTTAATTCCTTTCAGTGATAACATTCTAGAATTATTTTTGAAATAAAATTTTAAACCAACAATATTTGGAGAATTTATTCTGAAAGATAATAATATTGTTATTAAATAATAATGATAAGTTTCATGCACTTATAATATGCCTGGCATGCTAGGTGTTTTAAATGGGAATAATAATATATACCTTTTAATATGTTGTTGAGAAACTTAAATGGGCTAATCCATGTAAGGCACTTGAAACAGTTCCTTATACCTGTTAAAGAGGTCAGTCAATGGTGGCCACTAATAATGATGATGATATTTTCAACAATCATGACTAAAGTTCAAAATAACTTAATGCTGTTATCCTCAACTTCAAGATAAAAAGTACAAATTCACAAATCTCTAGGTAGTTAGTGGAAATGCCAGGGTTCTAAATAATGTCTGGCTAACTCCAAAGCCCATGTGCTTCTCACTATGTCATATATCCTCTCAGATAGCAAAACCTGGTTATGAAAAGTGAAAGAGGTAGCCACTCCTTGGGACATTAGAGAGTAGATGCATAGGCCTAGATGAGTTACATCCAGCCTCACTACTTATGACCTGTTAACTGGTGATTGCCTCAGTCAAAAATCAGAGCAAGAGTCTAACTGGCTGGAAATCTGAAACCTCTGACAGTTGACAACACTTCTATAAGGGCTTGAGAGGCTTACAATAATCATTAAAACTAGCAGTGCTTGATGTTTTTTCCTACCAAAGGGGTACTTTTAGGCATCACGTGTCTCTCTTCCAGAGGAGGAGCCTGGACTTCACTTCCCATGTCTGAATTGATCAATAATTAGATTAAATGGTCACATTTTCCTTCATTAGGAAGCTTGACTCAACGGCACATGTGCATCCTTTATCACACGTATTCCTTGTCTGTGTTTCTTTTCTCTTTCTTTCCAGTAGACTTTAACTGTCCTTTTCTTTCCACATGCATCTGACAGCCTGGAACAAAGCCCTTCAAACAGTGTTGATTTTCCAATGCATATGTTTCTATTAAGCATGTACCATGTCAAATCATGATGCCCGGAGTTGAGTAAATTGTATTTCAAGGACAGTGAAGGGCCGGTGAGACAAACTCACCTTCAGGTCAAATCCACTTTGATTATGCCTAACCATTCTTCTCAAAAATGTGTTTTTTAAATTAATGGAGGCCTTTATTCAAGCAATATTCATTCCATGCCCACTTACCTTTCTGCACAAGTGAGTGAATAGTCATTCACTCAATATTTATGGGGCCTCTACTCTGTGGGCTGCAGCACCACATAATTATCTGGAGACACTTCAAAAATGTTTAAGATATTCTCTGCCCGCAGGGAAATTATAATCCCTAAGGGGCAATAAACCACCTATGGCCTCAATCAAGGCAATCTTTGTTAAGTCAGATGTGAGCAGGAAAAAATGTCATAGTGTTTCAGAGAAGGATAAATCATTTCAAGATAACAAAAAACTGTAATAGGTAGAAACTTGATAGGAGCAGGACACAGATCCTAGTGGGAGAAATGGAATGACAACCAAAGAGGAAGAAGAAAGAACAAGGAGTAAGTTTGGAGAACCCCAAATAATCTGCTACAGATGTAATAACAGCAATAATTAACATTTATTGAACACATACTATGTGCTAGGCACTTGGCTAAGTGTTTTACATACATTATCCCATAAAATTACATACATTATCCCATAAAATTGTTATAAGAGTTTATAACAATTATATGAAGCTGAATTATTATCCCCATTTTACAGATGTGGCAACTGAAGTTAGAGGAAGGCAGTGAACTTGTGGAAGGTACACAGAGCCATAGTCCGACTGAGGCTGGAATTCTTAATCACTGTCCTCTTCCACTGTCCTCCTAAGAACAGCAAATTTTAAGCACCTAGCACATGTGCAGGCATTATACCAGACAATAGGAATACAGCAAAAAATACCATAAACATGTCCGCATTCATCCTACATTCTAGCAGGGGTGACTGTCTTTGAGCATTGGGTTACAAGGGGATATCATGATGGAGAGGGGCAAGGTGCTCTAGGAATGTATGCAGAGAAGAAACCTAACACAATGTTTTAAAGAAGAGATTTGAAGGATGAATGAGGTTGGCTGGACAAAGAATAAGAGTTCCAAATGCTTACAGCAGCATGGGCCCGTGATATGTACAAAGAAATTAATGAAAGAAAATGTAAATGTTGGGGTCACACTTTCTCCTCTGGTTGGAAGCAGCCTAAAATTTGGATGCAGTGGTGGTCCTGTATCGAGCTCTGTTGCCATGAATGACCAGTAACACTAGTAAAATGATTTACTTTCATTAAATTCATTAGCCTAATCTGCATATAATAAGCTCTGCCTATTACACTGAGGCCCCCCCACACTGCCACTCTCCAAATCCCACTTTATGTTGTTTATAGTTATCAAGGAATCATCACTGATTCTGCTTAATCTCTTGCTTTTGCAGCCAATGATAGACATACATCGTTATGATTCACTCCCGTAACTTCTTCCACAGCAAGGAATACATGGGTCACTAATAGTTCCTCAATCTCCTGCCCCTAAAGTATACCCCAGCAGGTCAGGCAGGTTACCTTTGAAATTATATACCTGGACAATCTCAAAGTGCACTCCAGAGTCCTCTATTCTAAAATCTTAGAACGTCAATACCTCTCATATTCACTACTGCTTACCCAACCTTGAAATTCACGTAAGGAGCAATGGTATAGTGAGGGCAGCATATTCCATGTGCCTCAGATGTACAGTCAGGTCCACCCATGGACTGGTTAAGAAGGATATGGCCAAAGGGTCTTTTATGAGAACTGGATGCCTTTATGTACTCCACAATCAATACACATAACACAGGAGAAGCCTGGGCTCTTGAAAGTGAGAATAATCCTTAAGCTTTTGTGGACAGAAGGTAGGGCCATCAGGACAGGCCTAATAGAGACTGAACTCCCGACTCTCACAGGTTCTAGCTTAGAAAGCAATTGGTTTCTTCCACAGTAGTCAACATTTAAGGGTCTTCCCTTAAGGTCTGAGGCAGCCTAGCCTTAGTGTCAGGTTTTCTCTCTGGGAAAATGTGCCTCCTTTTGGAAGCTTCATAGACCTTGATCCACTGTAGCACGTTTAGGACCATGAATTCATTTACTCACTAAGACTATCCTCTGTTCCCAGCCCCAACAGTTGAGCATATAGCCCTGTCTTTCCAGTCCACTTTAGCCCACAGTTGATGGCATTTTGATCAGATCTCATCTATCAATATGCAGAGGAACTGGTCCATCTGTGAACTGCCAGTTCCTCTATTTAGGCACTAGTTTACACTCTCATTAAGTGCCTTTTTCTCAGGTCTCTTTTCTTCTCAAATTCCCTGAAATCCTTTCTCTAAAACCATTTCAATTATAAATTCACCCAAAACAATGAGGAAGACTGGGTGGGAGGAAAATCATTTGATGCCAAGACTCTTAGGGAGGGTTTAATTGAAGGACATAAAATCTTTAACAGTACAAATAATCTCAACTAATTTCCGTCCAGGCCAGATGACAAGGCAAGTGAGCCTGAATTAAAATTACAGATAAACGCATTTGGAACAGATGTCGGAAAGAACTTTTTCCCAACACTAGAAGTCATAAACATGCAGCAAAATCCTCCAACGTCATTGGCAACATTAAAGATACAATTAGAGCTGATTACCAGGGGAATAAAACCCTGAGGAGTATGTCAAGAATTCCGGGATGGGTCAAATGATGGGTCTGTTTTCCTGGAGTGGTCCTGAGAATACATGGTCAATATTGTTGACATTTTTTTTTTTTCATCCTTTAACTGAGAGCACCAGAAATTCACGAGCAGTCTTTTTCTGCTGGGTCTATATTGATGCTTTTATTACTTCTTCCCAGGCAGGAGCCCAGATGTTATTCCAGTGCACACTCCCCTTCTCCACCTAATGGCCTCACACTTCAAGTGGTCAGGCTCCTGCTACATCCATTACCTCAAGGTAAAGAGGAGGGTAAATGAATTTCATGTTGCCAGCACAAACTGTCCTGAGGTATCAGAGAAAAGCTGCAGTGGTGATTAAGGATGTTCTGGGTGGTGCTGTTGTGTGACTGAGACCATGAGTCCCACAAACTACAAAGTGGCCTCTCCCCGCCAGTATCCATCACCTTGATTCCCTTTGCGTGTTTCTTCCCTACCAATTCTATAGTTCTTCTCCTATGGGTGTCCCAGCTGCTCCAACAGCCCTGTGGATTAAACCCCCTGTTTACTTGGTTATATTCATTTTTCCCTAAAAGACAAGGGAATTAGTTACAGCATTTGACATGACACAAAATTTGAAGAGGCAAGGTATCTGAGCCCCTAGCTTGGAGACCAGTTTGTTGATACAGTGAACACCATAAGTCAGTCAGAACCTGTTCTTACTAACTTTAAAGTCTTAGGTTTAATTCAAACAAAGAAAAAAAATCAAATGTAAAGATGTAGCCTGTATCTTCCATCTTGATTAGTCAATAATTGTGGGGTGGGGGACAGTAACCATATGAGAAAATTTGGTAAGACTAAGTTAAAAAAAAATTAACTTCATAATCAAGCTAGCAAGCTATAACTTGAGGAAATAAGTTATAACTCAGAAAAATGGGTTTTAACCTTATTTCATATGTAAAATATATAAAGCCTATCAGCTAGTGCTGAAAATAATGTCATTCATTCATTAACATGACAATGACAGTGAGCAAAATCCACTCTCTGGAAGTTTTCTCAAATTCCCAGTCTAGGCCTCCCCAGGTAAGGTGACTCATCAGAGTCCTAAAGAAAATAAACCTTGGAAAACTTCAAATTCTCCAGGCAGGCATGAGAAAGGTTTTGACTTAGACTTCTGAGGAATGATACCGTCATAGGGTAATTTCTCTCAGACTAATGACCGGATGGTCACAGTAAGAGAGAGATGATAAATATGCTAATTGAAAGGCCTTCGGTGCAGGTGTTGAAAGGCCACAGCCACTTTGGTTTTTGTAATCAACAACATCAGGGTGGCAGAAGCAGTACAGCTATAGCATACCACAGTGCTCATTTCCTAAAATACACACTTCAGCTCATCTCAGTCCCACCTCTCTGCTTCCTTGCTGCCAACCAGTCTGTGGACAATCAGTCCACAAAGCAAACGATGCTGCTGCCTTTCCATATGCAGGATACAAATTACTTTACATAGAAATTGAGTGTTTCTCGACTTTTCATTACTTTCTGTTTCAGAGAAGGGGAGAAGGGGAGGAGGCAAGAAGAACCAAATAATTTGCTTTAGAAGTCCACTGGGCTTTTCAGGTCTTGTCAGAATAGTAATTGTCCAACCCCCTTCTCCTGTGAGTCCACTCAGAAATGCAGAGGAAAAGGCAAAAATAAGAAGAAAAGTATTTCTCACAAAATTGTGAGAGATGATTATGTTACTTTTAAAGACGGAATTAAGAGATGTGGAGCAAAATTCATGGGGGGCTTAGTTCAAGATGACAGACTTTTGAACTCATCTGTATTGCTCTTTGTTAATTGTCATTTAAATTGCAGGGTTTCATGAAAAAGAGACATCTCACTAAATATGCCTTTCATTTCCTGATTGCCTGATGGGAAGAGCAGGCCCTAGCATGTGGACAAGTGGGCTGGATGTTCTGGGATTCTCTCTGCTGTGGGTCAGCAAGAAGGAAGAAGGTTATGATAGTAGATGTTTCTGAAAAGGGCCTCAGTGAACAATGCTGCCTCCTTTACTTCAGAGTCTGACTCTGAGATGGGAGTAATATAGAAGAAATCCAAATGGTTAATTCACCTACCTCCCGGGAAAACACCCTCCCACCACCTCTTTTCTGAAGACATGCTCTAGTTCCTGTCCAAATGTAGAGCAGTCAAAGAGCATAAAATAACTTTCTCACACACACATACCTCCAAAGAAAACTATTAGCTTCCAAGTAAAAGAGCTGGCTGTTTCCTGGCTGAGAAGGAACTGGTATGAAAAAGAAAGCCCTTGATTTCATAGACGGGCCCTGCCTAAGATCAAATCTATGAAGTCTTCCTCCTGCCTCCCACTCTTCCCTCAAAGTTGAGTCAGGTTTGGTAAATGCCACTGCTTGCTAGCAACGGGAACCTTGTATGTCTGCTTCTTGTCAATGAGATGTCACATCTCTCAGCATCTTCATTGGTAATGGACACATTCCAGACAAGTGCTAACAGAAGCAGTGGCACCTGTTCTATTGTAAATTGGGTCAGGGCAATGAAATCCCTCCTGAATTTCTGTGGCCTAATTAATGATTCTGCTCTAATGAAACCATAAATCAGAAAGGATTTACATAAACTGAGTCTCACTTGGCACCCCAACAAATAGCAAGTGATGAATTTTGCATTAAATTATAAGACCTACCTAACCATTCTATCTAACCAATAAATGCATCACTCTGAAAATTCCACTCAATCTTTAGGTATTTCCAAAACATACCAGCTGCAGATAATATAGCCATGAAAGCAGATAAATCAAGGAAGATATTCTGATGTCATAGTTAGCCTATCACTAATTCTAGGGGCCATTTCTGGCTATCAACACACTAAATTTTCCTAAGAATTTTACCAAAGCCCAGAGCTCTCATGACCAAACACAGAAAGCCTAAGCTGAAAACATGCAATGGTGAAACATACAACATTTTCATACACCAGAAGGTGCTAAGGGAGGGGTCAACAGTTACAGGCTGCCACCTGTTTTTGTAAATAAAGTTTCATTGGAACATGGTCACACCCATTTATATACCTATGATCTATGTTGCTTTCTTGCTAACTTTCTTCTGTTAGTTGTAACAGAAACCTCTTGTCGGCAAAGTCAAAAATATTTATTTTGTAACCCTTTATAAAGAATTTTTGCCACCCCTCTGCTACAGAAAAGATAGGAAAAAAAAAGCAAAATATGAGGTTACCTGAGCTAAATTGCTATGCTGCAGGGACCTCCTTAACTCTGGAAGCTTCAAAGCTCAGATTAAAAGGATATCACTTACTGGGTATTTGAGAATCTGAAGTATTTATGGTAGATATAGTTTTAAAATAATACCTATGAGTTTAACTGTTTTTTTTTTTTTTTTTTTTTTAAGATTTTGAACAAATCCTAGGATCTCCTAATTCATCTAATTCTGCTTGGGTGAGAAGCTGCAGAGAGGAAGTGATACTTGAGCTGGGTTTTAAGACATAGGAATCAATTTAAGAGGCCGTGAAGGGAAAGGGGGAGGGAATATGAAGAGAATTTGGTTAATGGGTACAAAAATACAGTTAGATAAAAGGAATTTATTGGATAGTACAGTAAGGTAATTATACTTAACAATAAACTATTGTCTTTTTCAAAATAGATAGAAGAATTGTAATGTTCCCAACACAAAGATCAATTTTGAGGTGATGGATATCTCAATTACCCTGATTTGATTACACATTGTATACATGTATCAAAAGATCACATGTACACCCAAAATATGCACAACTATTATATAACAATTGAAAAATAAAAATAGGCTGGGCATGGTGGCTCATGCCTGTACTCCCAACACCTTGGGAGGCCAAGACAGGAGAATTGCTTGAGGCCAAGAGTTCAAGGACAACCTGGGCAACATAGCAAGACCCAGTCTCTAAAAAAAAAATAAATAAATAAAAATTAGTTGGGTGTGATGGTGTATGCCTGTGAAGTCCCAGCTACTTGGGAGGCTTAGGCAGGAGGATTGCTTGGGCCCAGGAGTTCAAGGTTACAGTGAGCTATGATCGTACCACTGCTCTCCAGCCTGAGTGACAGAGCGAGACTCTAACTCTAAACTAATAATAATAATAAATAAAAATTTAAATAAAGAATAAATTTTGGGATGAAGGCAATTCCAGGAAGATGAAGCAAAACCATTTCTGCCCAATAATTAATTAGCAACCAAGTGTTATTTATCTGATGCATTTTTCCTTGCAGGGAGTAAAAATGTTGCATAACAATCTAACCTATGAGTAAGGATTCACCATACATCATTCTCTACCAGAGTATGGGAACTGGCCCAACAAGACGGAGCTGAAAAGAATGCTTCCCAATCTCACTCATGAGAAAAATGTAATAATGATGATAATGGTTATTATTATAAGAACTAACATTAGCATTATTATAGGAACTATCATTTATTGAACATTTGTCACATGCTAGGCATGATGGTAGGTGCTTATGCATTATCCCATTTAATCTTCACAGCAGTCTTACAAAGTAGATACTATTATTATCCTCATTTTATAATTGAGGAGACTATGACTGAGAGAGGTAAATAGGATATGCAACTTTTTAAGGAGCAGCGCACAGAGTTTTGGACCCATGTTATTATCATACTATTCATTAAAATCTCATGCCCCAGAAGACCAGCCCCAGCCTCACCCCACGCATGGCCCACCACCAAGCCCACTTACCTCTACAGACACGGCAGCACTGATTCTCAGGAAGAATGTGATCCTTTTCTGAGCAGTTCAAAGGAGGACACATTTCTGTAATTTTTACTAAAACTCCACCCTGGAAGCCAAATATTAGGGAAAGAAAAAGATGTTCACATTTTTAGTCAATGGAACAAACTTATAATGTTCTTTGTTAATAGCCTGCAGTGATAACAACATACAATAATTAATACTCCCAGGGATTCCACTAAAAACGATAATGCCACAAATTAAATTAATGAGACCCCTGGAATATAAGGTAAATTTCCCTTTCTATATCCTAAAAGCCTCAAATTCAACAGTTTTGAAGTATCTTCTATGGAGCAGAAGGATTCTAACAGCAATGCACTGATAAAAGTCTAACAATCGACTCTTGGTCCGGTGGGGCCTAATTTATAACATTTCCTAATTTCTATGATGTAAATACTCCAGTGATGGCTGATTTTGAGCTACTAACATGGTATCACTGAAAGCAATGTTCAGAAGTTATGTATAATTGAGCTTATGTGAGCTCTGGCATGCCCCTGGATAACAGGCTTTGTGAACCCAGTGATAGACAGCAAATCTTCCTTGCTCTTAATGAATTCTCAGTTTGGATGGAGGGAGGAATAAAGCCTCATAAACTAGAAACCACAAAACATACAGCACAGCATAAGCCTAAAAATGGGCTCTAATAAAAGTATTATAATGTGTCATAGAATAATAATTAACTCTGCTCAGGTGGGGAGAAATTATGAAGACACCAGCTTTGAGGGAACTTGATTAGTGGAATAAAGGAAGAAGGGACTTTCCTGGCAAAGAGCTGAAAAGAGCCAAGGCATGTAGGCAGGAATGAACTGAAAGAGGATCAGTTAGCTGAGCATTAGATTTTCCCTAGATATAAAATCACTTACAATAACGTGTGTAATATTCAGAAGGTGAATCTTTATGACCTTACTTCATCCAAGGTCTTTTTGGTTGACATTACTAGCATCTGTATTTAGTATGATGCCAATTTGTAAAAATTATTCCATTAATTACTATTTTTTTAAAAATGCTGAGAGTTCCTTATTTTATCTAAAACATTTACTTTTTCTCTCCCATTTTTAAGGGGATGCTTAAGTCAACCAGGAAGCAAGCTCAAGAAGAGGCATCTCATTTAAGGCCAAAAGGTAGTTCCCAACACAGGTGGAAGAATAGGATGAAGGTGTATAGTCAAGAAGGGTGCAGGAGAGACTGAGTTTTCCGTCTTCATGAGACCGTCATCCCAGTGGTTCCACATTTCTCTGGTTTGGCAAGAACTCCCACTATATCAGGAATACCCATTCTTAAATTGGAACAGTAACATAATTGTATATGTCAAATATAAATTTCCAACTGCTCATCTTTTGGATTATTTGCACCATGGCTTCCTCTCCTTTCTCAGAATTTCCAGTCCAGACAGGCCAGCCTCTGGCATTCTTAGTCTTGTCTTTTCTTCTCCTTTTATCTTTATTCCCAATCTTTCCCAAGGTAACTCTTAACTTTCTCCTGACTATCTTACAATTGTCCCTAAGACCTGAGAATCGATCCTGCTACTCACTCTGCCCCACTTTGCAACTGCACTTCATTTTTAATCCTCAATCCAGACCATGATGGGTGGTATCTAACCTCAAAAATTAGCTCCAGTCCTAAGGCAAGTGTCCCTACCTGATGTGCCTTACTTTCTACAACAGGGAATCAAACCAGTTATTACCAATCAATGGAAGTTAGTAACCTTACTATCAGCAGCTAAATGTAGAGGAAATCACAATGCTGAATTACTTACCATTATTGCCTCTAAGTCTATCCTTCAATATTAATATATTTATTCATGATCTGCTGCCTCCTGGCATAAATAAGAGTGGCTGACACTGTTGAATCCTTTTGTCAGCTCTATGTGCGCACCTCTAGGTTTATCAATGCTTTGCTGCAACTGGCTCACCTCTGTCACTCTCAGAGCACTGCCCTTGGGCAATGGAGCCATTTTGCCCATGCAGAGAGCCGGAAGTTACATGCAAGTTCTACAACTCCCATGCGTATGACCCAAAGCCAGTGAATGAATGGTATGGGATATTCTTTACCTCGAAGAGAGACAATCTCTAGGGTAAAATGTATGCTCCAGAGCCCATGGTGGGATTACGGTATGTTTGACCTTTCATCTAAAATTGTACCTCTTCTCAGTTTCTTCCCCTTCTCCATCTGGCATCCCCCACACCCTCACTGGTTTCTCCTGGGGGCACTACCTTAATAAATCACTTGTACTGAAATCCTTAGCTCAGGGTTCGCTTCTGGGAGAACCCAAACTAAGACAATTAAAATAAATTTCACTCTTGCTGTCAAAAATCAAACTGTTAAAAGATTATCTCTAGGTGGTGAGATTCGGGAGTGATTCCCATTTTCTTCCTTACATTTTCCCCTCTATATTCCAAATTGTATAAGTATATATTTTTGTAAAAACAAAATATTAAAAATGCTACAGAAGATTTTTTAAAAATAATCATTCACAAATCTTCTATTTTTATAAAAAGGGTTTGCTTCGCTGATTAAATCAGTCACCAGTTCTAATCAACCTTTAACATATTTAATGAGTAAGATCATAATCCCAAATATTTAAATGGAGACAAACCTTTTTGCATGAATTTGAAAAATAATATGAACTGTGATTACCATTGCATAAGTGCCACCAAATCCATTTAATCCAGCTACATAATTAGGCACAAACCTTTTATAGCTTTATTTTCAAACCTATCTCTAGTAAGAAGTACCTGATAATTAACATTTTAAGTCTTTCTGATTATAGTATGTTATTTTATGACCCCTGGAGTTCTGCGCTGGTGGAAAAATACAATTCCTTTTTTCTTTCTCATTTAGAGTGGCTTTCTCCATGTCATTGGTCAAATACATACACTTTCAAGTTCTGTACTAACCATTGTGCACTAACCTGAATTTCTAACAACATATAAAACTTACAACTTCAAGTAAAAAATTGTTGCTAGGATAAAGAAATTCTGCAGAAAAGCAATAATTGGGCAAAATTAATAAGACTGCTAGGAGAGTTTATTCATGTTGATTTTTTTTTAAAAATTATGTTAATTCCTGGAAACACTTGGTGAAAATATTTGAAACAAGAGTTTGTTTTTTGACTAATTGGTGTTGCTGAAGCTTTAAAATGATCCCAGGAAAATGAAAATGGGTGGATCTCCAGGCATCCTTTTGTCAACTGAATGACAGAATATCAAAAATTATTTTAGCAATTATTTCCTTAGTCCTCCCAAGGATAATACTTCATAATACCATTTTAGATGCCTAAGAGGAAGTTTAATTTATTGCATACAACAGATTCCATAGGGCATTAGTGCTTACATCTTGAGAAAAGCTGCCTGGGAGAAATAAGAGGCCCTTTGATCCTATACCCATTACCCTCACTCTCTGCTGACAATATCCATTAACTATGTCCCAAAGCTCTTCCATGGCCTTTTATAAATGCTACCTTTATCAAGGGAATCAATGGGCCATAGCCTGACCAATCTGATATTCTCAGATAGACTGAAAAATGATCAAACAATCCTTCTCAATCTACCCCTCTAAAATTCAGAATTGAGAATTATTTCCAAGTCAGTCTAACAATAACAGGAGTGGCAGTAGACAGGCTAAGAGAGGAGACTGTGGGGCCAAACCACACAGGTTCTGATCCCAGCTGGCTCACTCACTACCTATGTGGCCTTGTTCTTCTGTGCCTCGATTTTCACATCTGGGTATTACCTTCTGCACAGAATTATTATGAGGTTTCAGTGAGATAAATATGGTTTTTTGTTTTGTTGGGTTTTTTTTTTGAAATGGGGTCTTGTACTGTCACTAGGCTGGAGTGCAGTGGCGCAATCTCAGCTCACTGCCACCTCCGCCTCCTGGGTTCAAGCGATTCCCCTGCCTCAGCCTCCCAAGTAGCTGGGATTACAGGCATGTGCCACCATGCCCGGCTAATTTTTTGTATTTTAGTAGAGACAGGGTTTTACCATGTTGGCCAAGATGGTCTCAATCTCCTGACCTCGTGATCCACCCACCTCAGCCTCCCAAAGTGCTGACCCGCATGCCCGGCCGAGATAAATATGTTTTAGATGCTTTAAATTGTGCCTGGAAGATAATAAGTGCTCAAGAAATATTAAAAATTATTGTCAATAACTCTTTCTTGTATACAAAGTAATTAGTAAATAACTATAGAAAGACAATAAATGGAAAAATAACTTTTTTGCACAGAATAAAATTATTCACATGCACTCACACATGCACACACACACTACCTGTGCAAGAGAATAATCTGTCTGCCCCAACTTCTTTCTAAATTATTAAAAAAAAAAAAAACAGTAAAAGATGAACCCAAGTGTGTAGAGCAACTGCAATGTGCCAGTAATAGTAGTAAGTGATATTTAAATAAGCTGGCATTCAAATCCATGCCCATATCTTCTAAAGGTCTCAAATGGTGTCTGCCTGGCTCCTCTTTGATAATAGACATTGAATCATAATAGTGACCCTTGCTAGAGTCACCCACAGCTTCCATTCAAAATGGAAAAGGATTTGCTAATTTTAAGTGTTATGGCTGATTCTGGGACCATCACCACAGTGAGCAAAATTGCCTTTAATCATCCCAGCTTTCCCTGAAGTCAAAGACAAAAGCAACAATTTTAGAATCCAACTGTTTTCCCTTCCTAGAAGTAAAACAATGTTCAGAGAGAATGGTATCTGTCTTAAATTCAAGAAGGACATGTATGGTCATATGGAATAACAAAAATAGCTCACATTTATTGAGGATGGTCTTTGTGGTAAGCACTCTACTAAGTTCTCCATGTGTTTTATCTCATTTAATCTACACAACATCCTTGTGTGATAATGTGCCAGCTATAGGTTATTGACCACCCCACCTGCTCCCCTACTCCCCTACTCCCCTACTCCCAACCCTGGGAGCCTCCTTGTCAGTCAAGAGATCATTAAAGCCCTTGTTGTCACACCATCCTTGCCCCTGCCACAGAGTGGAGAGCCCCTACACCCAGTACCCACTGATGCAGAGAGACCACCACACCTGCATGCCCACCAGACCACCTGGACTCATGGAATCTCTGGCATTCCCAGCAGCAGCCAAGAGGGCAAGAATGGGAATCAAAATAGGGAGGTTCAAGGAAGCTAACCTTTAGGGTACAGTCTGGCCAATGAGAGACAGAATATAGGGAATGTCTTTCCTTCCCAGCTCTCCATAAAGAACAAAATTCAAGCTCTTCTTGTATTAGTATCTCCTTGAGTGCTTCTGCAAAGTCTCTAAATGCCTCATTCTTTTCAATCTTTAAAACACATTCCTGTCTTTTTTCCAAGAGGTGTGTTGAAAAGAAAATGAAACAATGTAAGTAAGAGCACTTGCGAGGATGGTCTTTTCTGAGACACAGTGATTTCTGTCACCTTCTCAGGAGATGCCTCACAAAGCCAGCTGTGCTTTGTTGTGGGGTTCTGACTTTTCTGTGATGCACCATCTTGTACTTGCTCTCCTGCCTTTCCTTCCATACTTCCTTCTGTCTGTGCCTCACTCTTGCATTCCTAGGACTATACCCTTCCCCTTCCTCTATCCACGCCCATGACCACCAAAGAATAAATAAATAAAGCATCAACACAAATACCTAGGCCTCGCGTTCTATTTTCTAGAAATCAGGATCAGATAGGTAAGAAGTGTTGCTATTCTGACTAGTGTGTCCCAGCTAATGTTAGGCAGAAAAGGAATAGGTTTGACAGTTCGGCACAAGGCACTAGGCAAAATGTTCCACATTCCTCCAGGGCTGGTGATTATGCCTATAATTGTCTTCCGTTATGTTGCAGTGGGAATGGTGAGGAGAAAAAAAAATATCATGTAGGAGGAAGTAATAATCTCAAGTTATGTTCTCCAACCCAGCTCTTACTGGAACCCAATGGGGGAAAAGAACGCAAGGAACTCTGAACTTCACTAACAGCTAGGTAAAATTTCAGGATTTAAACCCAGATCCACCTGACTGCAGATTTTGACCTTTCAACCACAATGCTATATTGTAAGAGTAATTAGACTCACCCTCTTATCCTCCAGAGGGAAGAAGTAAAGCCACTGGACAGAAGTTACAGGGGGGTAGATTTTCACCCAATTAAAGGAATTCTCTGATTCCTAATGTTTTCCAGCCATGGAAATCCACTAACCTATTAGTTTAGTAACTTCCCATTATGATATGTTGGAGGTGGGTTTTGTTTTGTTTTGTTTTACTTTTTTTTGAGATGGCGTCTCACTCTGTCGCCCAGGCTGTAGTGCAGTGGCACAATCTCAGCTCACTGCAACCTCCGCCTCCCGGGTTCAAGCAATTCTCCTGCCTCTGCCTCCCGAGTAGCTGGGATTACAGGCATGCACCATCATGCCCAGCTAATTTTTGTATTTTTGGGAGAGACAGAGTTTCACCATGTTGTCCAGACTGGTCTTGAACTCCTGACCTCAGATGATCTGCCCACCTCAGCCTCTCAAAAGTGCTGGGATTACAGGCATAAGCCACCACGCCTGGCTGGAGGTGGGTATTTTTAAGTAGAAAATTATATCACAAAGTCTTATTATGACAGCTGGTCTCCAAAGATGCCTGTCTACCTAATGAATCATGCCTCCTGGTATTCATGCCCTTGTATTGTCTGCCTCTACAATAAATCTGGCCTGGGCCTCTATAGCCTTTAGAATGCAGAATGATGTTCCCGTTTCGGAGACCAGTTTATAAGAAATACTGGCGCTTTCACCTTGGTCTTTGGAAAGCTTATTCTGGGAGAAGCTGGCCAGCATGTGAGAAATCCCTGAGACCACCATGGTACAAAGAAGCCCAAGGGGCCAGGTGCAGTGGCTCACACCTGTAATCCCACCACTTTGGGAGGCCGAGGCAGGTGGATCATGAGATTAGGAGTTCAAGACCAGCCTGGCCAACAACCCGTCTCTACTAAAAATACAAAAATTAGCTGGGTGTGGTGGCGCAGCTCTTAATTCCAGCTACTCAGGAGGCTAAGGCAGAAGAATTGCTTGAACCTGGGAGGCAGAGGTTGCAGTGAGCCGAGATTGTGCTACTGCACTCCAGCCTGGGAGACAGAGCGAGACCCGGTCTAAAAAAAAAAAGAAGCCCAAGGTAGCCATGTCTAGGGGTTGCAGAGAACAAGGCACACTCACACACATACAGAGAGAGAGAGAGAGGGACGGAGGGAGGGAGGAAGGGAGGGAGAGAGAGAGCGAGCACACCAGACAGAGACACAGAGAGAAGTCTCTTTCTATTCATCTTTGTTGAGGTGCTAGACAGAAAAGTAAAGAAGCCATCTTTGATAGCCAGCCATGTCAAGCCTTCATAGGATTCTAGCTGCAGCAGCCACCAGATTGCAATTGCATGTGCGAACCCAAGTGAGAATCATTAAGCTGAGCCCATTCAACCCATGCAACCATGAGAAATAATCATAAAATACAGAAATAATCCTAAAATACTAAGTTTTAGAGAGTTTGTGTAGATAGCCAAAGTACAATCAAACTCAACATGCCTAAACCTGGCCCCATTTGCTCTTCACTCCCTCCTCACCCACAAAACATGTTCCTCCTCCTGAATGTTCCTCTTCCTGCACCAGTATCTCGTCATCACCTAATGAAGAGAGCATTTATCACATTTTGGCTTCTTCTGATCCAGTCTCCCTTCCCATGAGTACCACAGTGTTCTCTTGGGGAATTTTTTCTCCATTGCATGCTGTCTTAATGGGGTGATAATTCCAGGTAACTGGCTCCTTACACAGAGGATAAAGGGGTCGAATTCTTCCCCATCCTGAACAATCAGAGCTTGGACATATGATCCAAACTTTGCTAATCATATGTCCTTTCTCCAAACTTTAAATCTTGTATAAGTGACTCCAGGACAGTAGAAATGATTGAAAGTCACTCATCACAGCAGCAATGTGCTTGCCGGGATCCCCGCTACTAGGTCATTGCTATGGTTTCTGCTTCCTAACTTCTGGGACTCTTTGGTCTCTATCTAGTATCAAGCCTGGTCTGGCCTTCTGAGGATTCTGTGAGTCCCCCAATATCATTTCAATAACATTGTCATTTTTACCTACGTTAGCCAGGGGAGGTTTTGGCTACTTGGGAAAACAGAAACTGGTATTCCCTGCAACTCTACCAGGAACCTGGACATCATCTGGGTTTCTCCTCTCCATCATATTAGCCTTCCCCAAACCCAATCACTCGAGTCCTTTCAATTCCATTTTTTAAATAGCTCTTGAATCTCTTTTCCTGTACATCTTCACTATCACTGCCTTCAATCATAACCTTAGGTCATTTCTTACAATTATTCAAATTAATCTGGTGCTCCTCCAATCACTCCTCCCATTGCAATCACAGTGACCTTTGGAAATGCACAGCTGCTCGTGACATACACACGTGCATGCACACACACACACACACACACACAGAGAGAGAGAGAGAGAGAGAGAGAGAGAGAGACAGAGAGAGAAGAGAGAGCTTCAATGAATTCTCATCTCCATTAAGATCAAGTCCAAACTAGGTCCATTGTCACCTGTTCTGTCTAACTGTCCAGGTTCATCTCTCATCACTCTCCCACATGAGCTCTAGAACTTCACCCAAGTCAAATTATTTGCAGGTCCCTAAGTAAAACCTGCTCCCTTTATTGCTTTAGGCATTTATAAGTGCAATTCCTTCTGTTTGGAACGTGCCTTCTCCCTCATCTACCTAGGAAGCAATTATTGGTTAAGTAATCACTCACCCAAATACCTGCATGGCTGGCTCCCACACCTTACCCAAAATGTAATTTTGGAACAAAATTACATCTCAGAGAGATCTTCTCAGTCCACCCATCCCCAACTCAGACCTCTCTATTCCTTCAGCCTACTTCATACTTTTATAGAATTTGGCATTATATTATACGTTTGTTTAATTCTTACTGTCTCTCTCCCTCACTAGACTGCAAGTTCTATAAAGACAGTGACTTTGTTTTGTTCACTGTTGTATATCCAGAACCTACTATAATGCTGTCATACAGCATTTGCTTAATGCATTTTTGTCGAATGATTATTGAATGAGATCTATGATCTTATACATCTTATTTCAAGTAATGCATGGGAGGGGCAGGCAGGAGGAAGAGGCATTTTTAACAGTATATCAGCCCTCTGGGAGTAGAGTTAGTATTATCATAACTAGCATTACAGACTGATTCCCCTAATACCAACTCAAAACCCTTTCGCAGGGCCACCCACCAGCCTCCCTAACTAATAACAGCTGTTAGTTCTTTCTCCTCTCACATCCTTGCCTTAATAGCTTCTTCCAAGGCTACCTGATCCACAGCTGACCACAAGCTAACCACATAAATGGCCTGGCTGGATCCTCGCCATCATGTAATCCAACCCACCGCAGAGAGTTCCACCCCTCGGGGCCCTATCCAGGCCAATATGCCCCACTCAAGAACCTCATCTAAAGCCCACACATCTATCTATTCATTTTCCAGAAGTGATAGGGACCATAAAATTAACACTTACTCGGCATTCCCGACAGCTCTTGGTTAAAATCCGCTGGCCTTCTGCAAGAACTTTTCCTCCATAGATACATTTTGCTGTAATAAAACATAAAAATGGGTCAGACAGTCCTGCTGTGCCACAAAATGACCTCAGAGGTACCTTCTAACTCCAATAGATTCCACAGAAACCTAGATTCTCTGCTTCTGAGCAATACAAATCTCTTTGTCTAAAGTGAAAGGAATTGTGTGGAGGATAACCCTTAAATCTCCCAGGCAGACCTCATCATGATTGTGTTTGCCTGGCCTTTACAGCCAGGATATACAATTATTTCAATGTTACAGTTGCCAAAGGAACTAGAGAATGAACTGATGTAGTAAGAAGCTAAAACAAGAAAGAACTGGTGGCAATCGCTGTGGAGTACAGTTAGCAGTAGCTTTGATTCAGACACTCCAGCTAAAATGAACTGGGTGAAAGGGGACTCACATATATTCCATTCCTCAGAACCTCAGCCACAATGGAGAAGGACACCATTTCTTCTTCCTTGTGATCATGGGAGTGGGCGTGAGAAATACACATGTGAGACAAGTGAGAAATACAAGGAAAGCCTGTAAAGTGCTAGATCAATGCACTAGAGAGAATGCCTTTGGAAAGGTGAGTTCAAAAGGCTGCCAGGAAGGGCAGCGGGGGTGAACTTGTAGAAAATTTCAAAGAGAAACATAAACGGAGCTCCTACCACTCAATTTAGATTGCACTGAAACTCATTTCTTGACTTAACTGGCTGACTCACTTTTAAGCAAGTACAGCATATGTCAATTTGATATGATCCTAATATAACACCACCAAATTCTCCATCCACTTCAACAGGAAAAAAAGAAGCAAGTATCTGGTCACTCCCTCTCCTGCCCTGATGAGGACCCTTCTAGCCCCAGCTCTAGGAGGAACAGAAGCAATAATACGCACTCTAAGAGATCTCACCCACTAATTCGGTGTTGGTCTTATAGAACCACCTCACCTTTCAGAGCCTCTATATCTGTATCTGCTAAAAATGGGCTGATTAAATCTGGTGGTTTACTAGTTATAAAACCCTCTGATTCTCACGGGATGCTCAGTTATTCTTCATTCAAATAATATTCTAGTGTTACTAAAGGGCAGGCAACATGCTAACTGGTAATATAGTGTTGCAAGAACCAAAGCTTTCTTCTCATGGAGCTTACAATCAGGGAAATAGACAGTAATTACATAATAACATCAGTGAATGTATAATTACTAAGTGAGGCAAGTGCTGTGTTTGCAGATAAAGAACCTAGACCCCCTTCGATGTTGAGGGGCAAGATCTGAAAGGCAAAGAGGATGACCAGGTGAGAAATGGGGCTTTCATTCCTCCCTTCCAATAAAACAAACAGTAGTCATCTAGTCCATTTTAGCCACAGGAAGAAGAAAGTCCAGGGACATGCCTAAGTTAACGTCATACCCTGTAGTGGATGCTGTGGTACATGGAGATCCACTTCCATGAGCAAAGGATACATTCTTACAACTGCTGTGACAGTTGGCAACTAACGGCTCTCCCCTGAATGGAGATCTAAGACTTGTATAGGGCTGTAGAGAGCCACCTTGCCCAAGGTGAAGTTCTCTTGATGGGTGAACATGGTACACAGTCCTGGCCCCCTTTCTCCAACTGAGGACAACTCCGAAGGGCCATTCCAGCTCCAAAGCTCCCTGTAGGAATGAGTTCGGCATTTGCTGTAACCACTGCAGCTTAACTTCTCCTTCTGCCCAATTCTTCTTCCTTCACCACCTCATTCCTATCCCAGAATTGATCCTGAGAGCACTTCCTAATAAAGTACATGTAAATCTCTATGTCAAAGTCTGTTTCCCCTCAGAACCTGACCTGCAGCAACCTCACTCCCCACCCAAATATGTTCCACTCCTGTATTCTCCTCTCAGTGAATGGCAATGGCATGGGTATCCATCCCAGCTCCCACACCCTAGTGCCTGGCAACCTTCTAACCTCTCCCTCTTACACAACTCCATGTCCAATCAGTGTCCAAATCCTATCAATGTCCCCTTCTTAAGTTTCTCAAGTCAACCTCCTCCTCTCCATTCCTCACCCTCTGCCCCCAGACACTGTCTTTGTTCAGGCTGTCGTCATCCCTCTTCTTCAGTACCACCACAACTTCCTAGCTCTCTCATGTTCTAGTCTCAATCTTCACCAGTCCTTCCCCATAAAACAGTCAGACACATATTTTTTAAGTGCAAACATGAGGCCCTGCTTGAAATCAGGGTCCCTAAAGCTCTCAGAATAAAGTCCAAAATCCTTAGTTCAGCAAACAAGGCCATTCATGAGGCTTCTTATCTCCCAAGGTTCACAGCCCACCATTTCCCGTGATTTCATTCACCCTACAAAACATCCACACCTCCACATATGTTCTAGCCATGCTTTATCTCTCACTTCCGGGCCTTACATATACCGTTCTCTTTCTCAGAAACACGTGCAGAGCACCCCATCCACCTTCCACTGGCAGCCTCCCACCCTATACACCCATGAGCTTCCGCTTAGGGCTGACTTCCCTCAGAACTTGTTCTTACCCTTTAACACTGGTTAATCGTCCTCACTTTTTTATTCTATTGTACTTTGAACCTAATCCCAACAGAATATATATCACATGACATCCTAATTTCCCATTTAATTGTACACCCCACCATGTCCCTGCTGCTAATTGCAACCCCCATGAGGGTAGGGAAAATGTCTATAATTTTATCTCCAGCCCAAAGCCCCATGCCTTAGGATTTATTGAGAGTAATAATAATTTTCCAATTAATGAGCCTCTAGTAGGTGGCAAAAAACAGTCAAATTTCTTGATCCACAGATAAGAGTTATTTCTGGCATTCAATACAACTTCAAACATTAGAAGTAGAGACCAAAAAAATGGAGAATTAATATAATTGTCTGGATAGGTCCTTTCCTCCCTTCAGTAAACAAAAATCTATCCCTGATCATCTTTTATGCCTCAATTTTGTAGATAAATCAGTTGACCATGACTCGTTGGTCCTAATGAGAGCTAGATTTCCCAGTGTACTTGCATGGAGAGACCACACCTCCAAGGTCTGGAATTCCTGTCTAATAAATTCCCACACTCCCAAATGTGCCTGCTGCCAACTTGGCAAGGCAGCTTGTTCCAAAGTGACAGTTCTGCTAAGTGCACTGTTGTCAAATCTGCCATCTGCTTCTTGGCCCAAGCTGTGAAGCGAAGAAATAGACATTTTTTCTTCCTTTGCCCCTTGCCACTCCCACAATGGTATTAACACATTTGATCACCTGCCTTAAGGCACTTGTCCAAATCCTCTCTTCCCCTTTGACAGGCTCATCCCAAAACTCCTAATCTGGAGATAAAAATGCCTCATTGTTTACATTCACACCACACATGGAGACACATCCACCCCTCGAATCCACCAGTCTCTTATAAAAATTAAATGTCCACTGAACTTTATGTACTCACATAGCAGGGTGCTTTGGTGCTGGTGAATGAGATCAACATATTACTGCACGCCTCAACCATCTGCAATTTGGCACTAGTGCAGAATGTATGTATCTATGAAATTATCTTAGGATGACTTTCAGGATCACCACTGGAGGTCACAAGAATTTCTCCTGCTTTCTCATACTCATCCTCACTTCTCTGACAACAGCCCTCCTTCCCTGCCACTGCATTCCTATGCCTAATATCAGCCCTTATTATCCAACCTCTTGATCTATAGCCAAAAGGCTTATTTTTTATGTCTGAGGAAATTCAAGCATAAGGTGAGTCAGGCTCTGGTGCGTTTGGCTGGGGCATTTGGGACTCCATTCGAACATCTTTCAGGGTGATTAGAAATGTAAATGGATACCTAAAGCTCTTCATATCACACTGGTGACATGCAAACTAGAATATTTCACAGTGCCCAAACACAAAATTGAAACCTAGCACCAACACACACTTCTCCATTATGTCAGAAACAAAATGTACTGAGGATATAAAGAGTTATGCAGCTGTATCTTTTTGCACCGACAGACACCTGGCCCTTCAATTTTGACCTTGATTTTTCTGGTGCAATGATTGGACAATTTTGCCATTTGGGTGCACACTGAATAAACAATTGACAAGTACAGCTTGACATCCCTGTCAGATGTGGATACAAGGTTTCCCTATCTTTATTTAGGTATTTGTACCCTGCACACACTCCAGCCATCCCTTGGTACTCAGCGGCCTAGAATGTCAAAATCAGCACACTGTTTTACACTTTAAAGGAGAGTGGCAGATCAGAGAGACTGAACACCCAAAGATCCTTCCTCCCTCAGTGAGCTAATTCACAGCCTTGGCTTCAGATACCACCTCTATGAGCAAGACACCCACATCAAACTAGTTGTACCTCAGGCATCTCTAACTCAAACATGTCAAACGGAATGTATTGCTCCCCATACTGCTTTCTCCACCTGTCTTATTTCTGTTAATCACACCGTGAGTCTCCCACAGGCTCTTGTTCAAAACCTGGCAATTTCTCCCTTACAGACGCTCTGTCCCTGATCCATTTGTCTCATGCAAAACAATACCTGTGGAGTATCTCTAATGTGCCAGCTCCTTTGGCTGTCACCCACATCCTTCCCTTCCTTTGCATCTTCCCAGGCTGTGCCTGCCTGCCAGCCTCAACACCTCCACCTGGAATATGCCCAAGTCCCATATCCCCCACCACCTCCAGCTCTCTTGATGCAGTAGCCTTTCTAAAAGCACATCTTTGATTATGCCACAACTCTGCATTAAAACCTTGATTGCAGTACCAAAACCAACACTGGTTTATTTCCATGATTTTGTGTATGCAATTCCCTCTGGCAGTTATGTTCTTACCTACTTTGTACACTTGGAAAACTCCTCTTCATTTGTCAATACCCCGCTCAGCTGTTACCTATGACGTTTTCCTAACACACACATACATATGTACATTTCAGATGGAGTTAATCACTCCCTTCTCTGTGTGACTTCTGTGTCTTCCATAGTGTTCATGTGAAATAATATTCTTTATTGTAACAGAGATCTCTCTGGAGAACAATGGTTAGAGCCAACAGGTCAAGAGCATCCCACTGGGTTCTGAAGCCAGACTGCCAGGGCTTTATTTTGGCTCCCCCAAAACTGGGAGACCTTGGACAAGTTACTTCTCCTCTCTGTTTCACCTCCTCATGTGTAAAATGGGGATAATAGCGGACCCTACCACTTAAAGTTGTTGGAAGAATTAAATGAATACATATAAAATGGTTAAACACAGTGCCTGTCAGAGTAAATGATCCATACGTGTCCACTGTTGCCCCCAGAACTGACAAAGTGTTTGGCAGAAGGACCTCGGTAGGGATTACTGAATGGCTTCATTGGGATACAATCTTCATCATCCATCCGCAACTCACGTTTGCAGCTCTATTTCAACCTCTCACCTACATAAATCCTGTGTTATCATCAAACACACTATTCCCCTTTCCCTCTTTCACTCTTATTCCTTCACACATACTGTTTTGCATAGAAGAAATATTTTTTTCTCCATCTTCCTCCCTCCTTCCTATCTCTGGTAGATCTCAAATCTGTCTACCAAAATAATACAGATTTCAGGATGTTGATGCCTGGAGATTGTGATTATGTAGGTCTAGGTGGAGCCCTGGAAACCTCCAAGTTTAAGAAGTTCACCAAAGGATTTTAATGTGCAAATAGGTATATTAAATATGCCTTGAATAGTGCAGACACCCAACAAGTGTTTGAGGAATGAAACTCCCTCACTATTTTCGGTACCGCCATGGATGCTTAGATAAATTTCTTCCCTATTTCCAAACAGACGCCCTCATCTGTAAGTGCTGCAGTTCCCAAGGCCAAGAGAAGTCCGTGAACACTCAGTGAGTGAGCAGACAACACAATCTGCTTTTACATATTGGCTCATTTTGCCTTTGTCATAGCCCTACCTTTACCTGGTGTCCCTAGAATACTACCCCACCTAAAGTCAGAGAGAAGCTTGGGAATTTTTCTTTAAATTCACATATAAGAAATTTACTTCAGGCAGCTCCACAAAAAAAATGAAAAAAAATCAAAATAAGGAACCAAACCAAGGAAAAACATGGTATTCAGGAAACAGTAGTTTCACTTATATCCCTCACAACATTAAATGTGAATGGATTAAATGATCCAATCCAAACAATACAATCCAGACTGTCAGACTGGATTAAAAAACAAGATTTGACTATAAGTTATTCATACAAGATACAATTTTTTCTTTGTCTTTTTTTATATTTTATTATTATTTTTTAACTGACAAAAGGTATGCATATTTACGGTCTACAGCATGATATTTTGAAATACGTAGGCACTGTGGTATGGCTAAGAACTAACTAACATATGCATTACCTCACATACTTATATTTAAAAGGGACAACCAAAGTAAATATACTCTACCATGTTTCTGATGTGAAGACATTGGAAACATCTAGAAATTCCACTGATTAGTGTTAGAACTCTGCTCTAGCAATCCTCATTCTCTTCTTCTCCACCCCACTGCTTAACCCACAAAAGTCAACTTCTAGAAGGTTCAAAATATTTAACTTGGCTCCATGTCCTCCGGGAAGCATCCCAGGCCTTCCCCCGGTATTCTCCCCCTCCCTCCCAGGCCATTCTTCTGTACTCCAACACATGCCTAATGTTAGTGCACTTACAGTTCCAGACACTGTAAACCACGTCTCTACCTTGAAAGTGAGCTCCTCTAAAGCAGGGAAGGATCCCTCATCATTATTCCAGGCATCAGTACTCAGTAATCACCTAATGCATATTTCTATTAAAAACTAGTGAGAAATGAAAGCCCTCCAGCCCAGAAGTTCTCAACCTTTTAATTACCAGAGGTGCCTTGTATCATTTCTTTTTAAGTTTGTCTAGAATAGTGTTTTAATAATTTATTTGTATTCCCACTTTATTAAACTCTGAACACATCAAACTACCAATCAGAGCTGTGAGAAAATTAGTGCTACCTAACTAAATTGCTATGAATTCCATGCAAAGGGAAAAAAAAAAAAAAAACTGATGTTTTAGTTAGTGTGTGTATCAACATTTTAATAAAATTGAGTTATTTTCTGAAATAATTTTAAAAACCTAAAACTATCAAACAAATTAGCACAAAGAAAAATGACCGTCCCACACACGTCTAGTGAGAGGGCAATTTAACTGTATGTATCCAGGGCCTTGAAAATGTTCATCTTTGGCCCAGTAATTCTGGCCTGAAGAATTCTATTTTCAGGAAATATAAAATACAAAAATATACAAAAATGTGTTTTCTATACAAAACATGTTATTTAAGCGTGCTTTATAATAGTGAAAAGTGGGAAACAATCTAGATATCAATGACTTGGGACTGGTTAAAAAAAAGTTATGCAACAGCCAAACAATGGGAAACAATGAAGCTCATGAAAATGACATTTATGCAGAAGTTTTTAAAACATAATAATATATTTAAGTGACAATGGCAAGTTAACAGACTAGAATAAAAAATTGCCCACACAATACAACCTCAACTGCACACAAAATGTAATTTTTCTTAAAAAAAGGACACATCCACTAAAATTTCAAGAGTGTTTCTAAGTGGAGCTATTATGGGTGAACTTTCCATCTTGATCTTTATGATTCTCTGTGTTTTCAAAATGTTAAGCCAAAAGCACAGTGCTTTTATAATTTTAAAAAAACGTCAAAAAGTTAAGACACAAACCTGCCGAAGGACTCATTACTTCCATGTCCAAACAACAACTTTCAAGAGATGGCATTCAGAGATCTATGCAGGAACTCTAAATAATAGACTAAAACATCTCACATTTTTTAATACATCCCTAATAGCCTTTTTTTTTTTTTCTTTTTTTTTTTTGAGACAGACTCACTCTGTTGCCCAGGCTGGAGTGCAGTGGCGCGATCTCAGCTCACTGCAACCTCTGCCTCCCGGGTTCAAGCAATTCTCCTGCCTCAGCCTCCAGAATAGCTGGAATTACAGGTGCCCACCACCACACCCAGCTAATTTTTGTATTTTTAGTAGAGACGGGATTTCGCCATGTTGGCCAGGCTGGTCTCAAACTCCTGACCTCAGGTGATCCGACGGCCTCGGCCTCCCAAAGTGCTGGGATTAGAAGCGTGAGCCACTGTGCTTGGCCCCTAATAGTTTTTCAACTTCTTCTGCTGAAGAATGTCAAGAATAAAAACAAATAATCTGTACCTACTAACAACTCTCTCCATCATGGGATCAAACTATAATTCAATATCCAGACACTTGAGCTGCCTATATTGCCAGACATGACTTCCAAAAGTTCTTGAAACAGAAATAAGAAAGTTCTTCTCTTTAGAGCAACTCCAAGTACATCCCCCAGAGCAATGGGTGCAGTGTGCCAACCATAAAAAAAAAAAAAAGGAAGATTACAAAGTTCCTTTTTGAAAAGTTCAACAATTATTTGGGCTGCTGCAACCCACTTTCACTGCTATTCCCACTTTCAGTGTCATAATAGGTGACATGCTGTTCCTGGCAGAATGATAGACCACTGTGCTTTGAAGGCTACTGACATTGGTGTGTTTCTTTTGGTAAATAAATGACCTTGAAAATTATCCATAGCACACATTTCTGACCAGAACTCTCCTTTTCTGTAGAGGACCATATGGACTGATAAAAAGGCTATGGGCTTTGTAGTCAACAGAACTAGTTTTCTGTCTCACCTCTGCCACTCACCAGCCTCATGATTTTCGTAAGCTAATATCCCTAAGCCTCAGCTTCCTGTAAAATAGGGATAATAATAATACCTCCCTAAAGAGTTGCTGTGAGAATTCACTAAGCTAGTAGATTTAAAGCATCCAGCACAGTATATGGAACATACCACATGTTCTAAACGACAGCTTCAGTATTTTAACTGAATTTCATCCGGAAGTTCCTAACAAAGGCCTCTTAATAAGAGGAGAATCTAGCCAAAACCTCAGAAAGCCAAAATACAGAATTTGGCCTTTAACTTGATCATTTAGAATGAGGGGACTAAAGCCTATGGAGCTTTGGAGTTGTAAATTCACAGATCAGCCTCACCCACTTGTTGGACAAGTGACTTAATCCCTGTGAACACACGTTCCTTCCACATAGAATGAAAGAAGAATAGTAATTACAGGTGATGTGAGGATTTAAAAAAAAAAATAGCCCATGTTAAGTGTCTGCCACATTGCAAGTGATTAAAATATTGTGGCTCTTCTTACCATATATTTAATGTTACATCAACTGCCAATGTTTCATTTCATCAATGTCAATCAGTTGAGTCCAGAAAAACAGGGAAAATAAATAAATAAATCTCAAAACACAGACAGCCAGTCTGACCCTCAGTCAGTACTTACGTCGGCAGACCTTACAGCACTGGCCAGCAATGTGCACTGGGAGGGAGTCTGGGGAGCAATTGAGAGGGGGACAGGACATCCTTCGGCATTCCACGGCACCACTCTGAGGAAGGAAGGACATGGAACATAATCTCAGAAGTATCCTTTGATAGCTCCTGTTGTGGAGATCATTGAAATCTCATCCCAGAAACCTCATCAGGGAAACAGAAGCAGTATTCGAATTCCCAGTCCACTCCAGGACCACAGATGAAGTGTTTTCTCCGGCCCGAATGACCTGTACCACCTCAATTACTTTTCTGAAATACATCACTGGTTTCATCCTACCTGCCCATGTGTGCTAACTAGATTATGCAGAAAACAAAAAGTCTATTTTTATAAGAACATAAATAACACATTTGCAGACTCTGTCAATCATTTCTGAGGCTCTAACAATCTGTTTTGTATTTTCCTAGACAAACAATGGCATTCTTCAGATATTTATCAAGTAATTTCAACTGGACAGGGTTTCCATACTAATTTTTGGAGGGGGATGTTGTAATTCACTGAAACAGATGAAGGGATATACAAATAATGGATATCCTCACACTGACAGTGAGTCAGGGAGGAAATGCCTTGCAATTATTTGAAACAGGTGATGGATACACTTTGCAAAAGACAATAAAAACATGTAGAAAATAATTAAACTCCCCTTTTAAAGTTATTCTGGTTGTGAATAAGGATAACCATTAGGTTGTTTGAAAATCAAAGGAGTCCCTTCTTTCCACTATATCCCAACCTTCAAACTCCAAACATTGCCTATTAAATCAAATTAGGGTGTGTTGGCAAGGGAAAGCAGATTTTAATTTCCAAGTATTCATATAAGACATGACACTCTTCCAGCATTGCTTCACAATTGCTCGTATGGCTAGTGGGTGCTAGGTAAAAACCTAACAATTCTCAGAGTTAATATTATTTATTAAAGAACCAGGTTACACTCTAATTATCAAACCTCTCCCCTTAAAACTGTTTTTACTGTATTTATTTACAAAGAGGCTTACTTTGCAAGTGCAGTTCCTGCAATGGTCACCATCTACCCAAGAGTCTTGATCTCGATAGAGCAGTCCACTCACTTGACAAGTCTTCTCACAATGACAGTTTTCCAATTGACTAAGTCTTGTCTCTGCATAATTTAGCTGCAAACAAGAGTTACTGAATGTAATTTCTGTAATTCAATTGCATCATCCTAACAAAGCTAATAGCAACAAGAAAAAAAATCCTTCTGAGAAGAGAAAAAAATGCTCAGAGCAGTTCACTGATTCTTAGCATTATCTGTTTTTTGTTTTTTTTATTTTTTTTACACAAGGTGGAATCACTCTAAATTGAAGAAATATTGGCTGTCATGGTCTAATGAATACCAAATGAGACATTAAACTGTAACTCAGGAACCTCATGGGTGTTCATAAATGTGTGTGCTTTCCATTCAAGCCCACACAAAAACACTCATAATGAATGTGTTCTCAAGGACTCATTATGATGTTTACAGGCGATCTAATCAGGAACTCCGAGGCACTTACATTTATCTCCCACTATCCTCTCTATGTTCTTCACACACTAACTAGAATGTCGTGGTTTACAAACTAGGAAGTCACTGCCTTCTGTCTGATGAAAAATTCTGGAGAGCTGGGGTCAGAAAAAAAGAAAAGTCGTAAGCGGATCCCCCAAACAGAATGCCCCAGGAATTCACTTTTGTGCTTAGAAGAAGGACAGGAAAAGTAACCAAAACCCCAGGTAAGATCAGAATTTTGTAAAATAACCTTTTTTATTTTTCTAGGCCACCCAGTCATTGCCAATAATCACAGAGTCTTAGACTCTCCTGCTGGAAAGGGATTATAAAGCTTGAATATCCTCACAAGAAACCTCAAGTGATTATCTAGCCTTTGTACATCTCCAGTGGAGGAACATGTATTATCTTCCAAGGAAAGCCACTTTTCTCAGTTAGCTCTCTTGTTTGAAACATTTTTCATGGTTTTGGCTGTGAAATCTTTCTTTTTTTCCTGCCATACCTAGGTTTTCATTGTAATCCATCCTGAGCAAACCTAATCTTCAAGCATTTGAGGTTATCCTGTCGTCTTGACCACACTTGGCACCACCAGGTTCCCTTAACAGCTCCTCATGATATGATTCCAAGCCTCTCTTCTGATCACTTTTCATACAGCCTACTCCAGTTTACCTTCAAAAATATGGTGCAAAAAAACCCTAAATACAGCACTTTGATATGATCTGTCTACTGTCACATCCACACGAAAGAGTAACTCAACCTAGTAGTGATATTACTCTTCCTTTCCTTTCCCTTACATAGAGACCACCATGATTGAAAAACAAGTATCGTTTCCTAGAAAATTATCTGAGTTTCTCTTTTCCTTCTCAATCATGTTTATCCTTTCATGTCTTAAGTACTTTCCCCATACAGGAGATCAATTCAACCTTTGATCTAACTAAGATTATTTTGAGCCACTATTTTAGACATAATAGATAAACCTAGGGAATGACTTCCACCATCTTTCTACATTAACTATGGTTCCATTTCATACACCTTCCTCTGACTTACTCATACCAGAACTACTCTCTGGAAATGGAATCCACATGTAATTCTAACCTTTGTTTTTGTCATTTATTTCATCCTCTTCCTCCAAGCTTTTGGAATTTCTCAAGAAAATTTACCCCTTGTCTGCCTTTTGTGGGTGGTAGCAAAGGGTAGAAAAAACAAAAAATAGGATCTTAGACCAACCACCATGCACCATGAGCAGCCCCTAAAGAACTAAGAGTTGACGCTGCCTGAAATATTAGCTTCCTATCACTCCTTCTAATATGCATGATCTTCTAAAAATCCATGTTTCATTTAAAACTCCAGCCTAGGTCAAGTGCAGTGACTCACACCTATAATCCCAGCACTTTGGGAGGCCAAGACGAGCAGATGACCCAAGGTCAGGAGTTTGAGACCAACCCAGCCAACATGGCGAAACCCTGTCTCCACTACAAATACAAAAAAAAAAAAAAAAAAAGCCGGGTGTGGTAGCGGGTACCACCAGCTACTCTGGAGGCTGAGACATGAGAATCTCTTGAACCTGGGAGGCAGAGGTTGCAGCAGGCCAAGATCATGCCAGTGCACTCCAGCCTGGGCAACAGAGCGATACTCCATCTCAATAAATAAATAAATTAATACAACAAAACTCCAGCCTAATCATAGAGTTTATAGAATCTATGATAATTAAGTTATTTGGCAATGCTTTAGGAAACGGATAAAATACACTGCTGAGTTTGGTGATACTCTTGGACACTGAGGGATGATGGCATATGGTTTGGCCACTTGCAGATACCAAAATCTGAAAATCTTCAAGTCCTTTATATAAAATAGTATAGTTTGCATATAACGTATGCACATCCTCCTATACACTTTAAGTCATCTCTAGATAACTTATAATAAGTAATACAATGTCTAAACATCAATTCATTCACATGGATTCAATGCAGTACTCGGTACATGGAAAATTCAAGTTTTACTCTCTGTAACTTTTTGGAATTTTTTTCTGAGTATTGTTGGTCCATGGTTGGTTGAATCCACAGATGTGGAACCTCAATAGAAAGAAAGTAACAACTTATCACTTATCTTTACTTCATTTCCATAGCCCCAGTAGTTCCTACACAAGGCAGTAACAGATATATGACCTTGGATTGAACAACAGAGTTGAACCAGATCTGCATTCCTCCTAAAAGGGTCTCAGAATTGTGTACCTTTGTGAGAGGACCCATACGTGCCTTACTCTGAAAATCTGGAACAATTCTGGTGTCTATATCACTCCAAGAAGGGAACTTCTTAAGGACTAAATGGCCCAAAAGGCAACTCTATATCTATCTGAGCTTTCTTAAAATCCAGGAGCTTGCCTAAGGGAAATAGTGGCAATTTCTAGCACTGTCCCACAAAGCTGAGCTGTGCTCACCTACAAAACTCAATTCCAAAGAAAATGTCAGTTTTAATATAATGAATGCTATTCTCAAGGCTGATTTTGTTTCCCTTCTGAATGTGGTTTTTATTTTTAATATTTGTAGCCTTTTCTGACAACATTGAGAAGTCCTATTGTCTGTAATAATAAGAGCACACCAAATAGACACAAAGGCAAAGGGATGTTAAGGCAAAAAGCTAATTTTTCAAAGAACTTCATGTAACCTCTTGCCTTCCCTTTTACTCCTGCTAAATCCTAAAACGGCAATAAAGGAGACAAACAACTGTGAATCAAAAAATGAATTGCATTTTCTGTCACTGGTATTAGCATGCTGAATTTATACACATTCATTTTCAAAAGCTATTTCTATACTACCTGACACTTTCTCTAAGATTGTCTGCAGATTCGAAATAGATACGGTATCACATCTACATCTCTATTCTGTCTACCTCTTGTTTATGCATTTATCTAAGCAACCATGGACCAAATCATTTATTCTGAACTCTACATAATGAAAGATAGACAGCAGAGGCCTTTTTTATCATCAGAGGTCAATGAACAGATCTAAGTACATTAGTTGTGTGGTGGATTGCTTCTTTTCTTTGAAATACCATTTACTTGGCATTTGCTATATGAAAGGAAAAAAGAAGCTTCTATTGTTAAACATTTAAGCTTAATCAAAAAATCATTATTGAATTCCTCAAAACAATGAAAGTCTCAAAATTAAAGATGTCACAAGCTTAAATGCCACTCCAAGTGTCGCTTGATTTGCATACATAGATTTGTCAAATATTTAAACAGAAGTAATCAAGAAAGTCCCAGTCTTCAGTATCTCTTCTTTCTGAGATTGAAGTCAGAATGGGATTACAGTGCAGTTGGGATCTGATAGCAGGACAGAGTCTGACCCTATCACAATGTTCCCAGCAGGTAGGTAGTTCCCACAATGTCAAAACCACCTGAGAGAACCTTGAGAGTAAGCCAGGGGAGTGGCTGATGCTTGTAGATCACTAAGGGAAATGTAGGAGGACAAAAAAGGTTTATTACTTGAGGTAGCAGCCCCATCTCTTCTCTGCCTTAAAAAAAGTATAGTTTTGCCAAAATGCCAGAATTCCTCAAGAGAGCTCTTATCTACCCTGACCTCTGTCACCTGAATGTGAGTGCAGGCTGCTCCCATGATCAAGCAAGGGCACAGTCACTTGCCAGCATGCCTAACCCTAAAAGGAGAAAAGGATCAATGAGCTCTCCTACACAGACCCCTGGGCTGATCTGGTATCTACATCTGTTTGGTTCTGACTTTGACTACCAATTCCTCTCTAGCTTATACACGGAGCTTCTTCTCTGGAAGGGCTCCAGGGTTTCCACCTCGACCCAAGAGGAAGGACTTCCTGCTGTTTTCCAGGACTCCTAGACTAGGGTCTTGACAGCAATGCACAGGCTCTACCAGACTTTGTGATTTCAAGTCACTGGGGAAGATGTGCATTTTCTTAAGGACCATTTTCTCTAAGGAACCATCATCCCACCATGGTTGTCTATATTTTCTAGGTTTAAGAGTATAAACAGCAGCAGCCACCACCTATTGAATGACATTTGTGTGCCGTGCAACAAACCTCATTTGCCTGGGCTCACGGAATCTTTACAAGAGCAGGAATAATTGTCACCATTTTACATATGGGGAAACAGATGCTGAAACAAGTCGAATAACTTACTCAAAGCTATAAATATCCAAGGAAATTATAAAATAGTGACTCAGAATCATATCAGCCTGACTTTAAAGCCCATTCTCTATCTCCACTATGACCTATATGACTGTCTACCCATCTTAATCGGAACTGCTGGACAACTCAAATCAAAACTCCAAAAATTACCTCCAGCCCTATTAACTGAATTCTGCCACAATCGGCCTATTTAATTAAAAATAAAGACTGGGCCCAGATAAATTTAGTGCCATAGAATTCTTTTTGCATCTGCGAACCATATTCAACTTCAAGTTTGCCTGACATTTCCAGACTCCATCTCCTTCCACCTGCCAAAAAAGTGAGTTACATTTTCGCCTCCACCAAGACGGCAGACTACATACCCTGAAGGACTTCACCAACTGAACCAACTAAACTGCTGTATTCAATATATAAATAAAAACTTTTGAAAATTGTCACAGAGCTAATACAAAAGGAAGAAACAAAGTCACAGAGGCCAAAACAAAGTGACTGCAGGGATCCCAGGAAATAAGTGAGCACCAAAGACAACAACATCCTGAAGATTTTTGATGCAATGTAGAGCCCCTGAGCTTCCACCCTGATGGTTGCACAGGGTATAGGGGGACAGAGTTGGGGAAAAGTATCTTCCCAAGATGGGTACCTTAAAGCAAACCCCTATATAAAGATTTGGCCTAACATGAGATACCCTCAGTGTTAGAGTGAACAAAAAGAAGGAGGCTTGCTCAAGGCACAGAAAGAAAACTTTCATGTTCAGACCTTGGCACCAGCTAGAAGGAAAAAAAAATCTTCCTTGAAAATCCTTAAAGAATCCTTTCCTGAGACTTCACCTGGCCTTTCCTAGGTGTAGCAGTCTGATTCTGAGCAATCTGGTTTGAAAATACTTAAGTAAATAATGTCAAATAATTTTCACTATTTCCAAGGAAAACAAGCAGCTCATAGCCAAAAGCGTGCATTAAGAGACACTGTTCTTAAAAAAAAAAAAAAAACACACACAATAAAAAAGAGACCTTGCTCTTGCCATAACCTTCTTCTTTGAAAAGTTACTACAAGTTCTATGTTCACACATTTCATTCCAAACAGGTATGATCTGAAAACTTTAGTTCAGCTCAATAAAATGATCAAACATTCATTTCTCTTTTCCTTTCTTTTTTATTTGCTCTTTCTTGGTAATATCTCCATCCTCCTGCCAGTGGATGGTGAGGGTTAGAAAGAGTAATATTACTCCCTATTTATAGCTTTTATCTCTCTTCTTAACCCTTTCTTGTCAAACCATGAACTTTCTCAGCCATGATTCAACTTTCAGGATCTAACTACCTGAGTTTAGGTCCCAGCTCTGCCATCTACTCTCTTAGGAAAAGTTATCAGACCTTCCTGGACCTCAGTCATCTCATCTGTAAAGCAGACTAATGAATTAAAGCAAGCTCAAAGGATTGTGGTAAAGATTAAAGTGACAGGGGATATAAAAGCTTAAGCATTTTAACTAATACATAGTAAATGCTTGTATTACTGACTTTTCCATTTCTTTTAGATCAATGGTTGACAAACTAAGGCCAGTGGACCAAATCTGGCCCTCTACTTACTTTTGTATGTCCTATAAGCTAAGAATGGTTCTTATAGTTTTCAATAGTTATAATTTAAATTATTATACTTAAATGAACTAAGTCTACACATAATATCCTTGATTTTGCCTCTTGGCTTGCAAGGCCCAAAATTTACTAGCTGGTCCTTTACAGAAAAAGTTTGCCAATGCTTATTCTAGATGATCATAGATTTCAAATTACACAGCAAAGATGGAAGTACTCAGTTTTCAAATTGTAATTCTATATACTGTTTGGAAGGAACAGACCTAAAAATCTGCCAAAGTGCCAAAGGGAGGTTTAGAAGATGGATTAAAAAATTTGCTGTTTGCAACTGCCCACAATTAAATACCTACCTCACAAAGGCCCATTTTACACAATAACGTTTTGAGAATAGAGCTCTCTGTGGCTCCTAGATGATGTGTGGCTAAAAAGAGAAAAATGACATTCTCTGCAATGGGAAAGAATGAGAAAGCAAACGACGCCCTCGAAGCTGGAGAATGAAGAACCACAATCACCTGAGACAGAGTGGCATGTTTCTTGTTCCAAAACTTTGGTAGCATGCTAAAATATAATTAACAGTATTGAGATCAAGCTGCTCCAGACAATATGAAATAAAAGCCTCTCTATAACACAAGCTGGGAAGGTAAATAATCACCTGCGTTTCACATTCCCACTATACTCTGAAGCGAAAAGCTAATGCTTCAGATCTGGGCCTCAGTCTCAATTGTTTTCTTACAAAAGTTTTCCATCTCTCCTTTCCAGACAAAAAGGGGTTTGCCTTAGCCAAAAACCCAGTTTGAAATAGAAACATTGTCTTCAGCAGCACAATCCATGGGTCCAAACTATAGCCTTATCTTGCAAACACTTATCTACCCACCAATTTTTTTGCACATGCCATGGCTGATGGTAGGGAGCAGTCTTAGCTGCAGGTACAATAGGATTAATGTATCATTTTCATTGTTATTAAAATTCTTCTTTTGCAGAGTATAATGTCTCTTAGGCCCAACCTAATTCTTTCTTCGCCCTAGGCTGGAACTCATGTCCACAACTGATTGGTATCATAACAACAGCATTAGCCATATTTTCTATATTTTCAGTGTCTTTTTCAACAAGGCTCAGGGCTTTTCATTATGAATATACACTTTATGAATATATATTAAAGCCCTTAGTTGTTTACACATTTGGCTCCGCCACTCAGTATGAACATATCTAGGGTAGAAAGCGTGTCTTTTTCACTATTGCCTCTTTGTGCCTAACACAGTGCCCAGCAAACGGCAGGTCCTCAAAAGATGCTTGTTAAGTGGATGATGGAATGGAGAGGAGGAAAAGGTGCGGAATTATAAAACCGAAGGTGTTGAAAGGCAAACTTTGCCTCCTTTGCTATTTAACTCAGGACCAGCCTTGAAATAAATTATACATTAAAAATGTAATATAATGCCTTCTTTTGACAGTAATCTGTTCCTAACAATAGCTATTTTGCCCCTTCCGATTACTGGCAATTATTCTTACATCCAAAATGCATTAGCTTATAAGAGCAGTGGCTCTGACCATAGATCATCTTACAGTGTTACTACTTTAATAGCCAATAGGAAAATTCCTTTTCCACTCCCATGGAATCTACAGTGATACATATTGCCTCTTGCTTCCAAGCATTTTTCAAGTAAACATTATGATACAGCTTAATAGCATCAAAGACAGGAATGGTTATGTTTACTATTGGTAGTCCTATTTTGAGTAAGAATAAAACATTTTTGTAGTAACATATAGCAGATGCCGAGGCTAAAAATGTTTCCATTATAACATATCACTCCAAATTCCAGATAGGACAGAAAAAGAAATGAAACATCACAAATGAAATTTAGATACCTACTTTTGCAGTCATCTTGGCCAAAAGCTCTTGTAAATCCATTATTCCTTGCACCAGGCTTAAGAAATCACTGCAGGTTGGGCAAGCTCAATAAAGAAAATATAAAACATATATATTTATATTGTGCTAATATAAGAAATAAAATTTTAAAACAGTAGATACGTGACTATGTAGAAGAGTTTTTGGGGTTTTTTTGGTTGACATTGCTTTGAAATTTGAGTGAAATCACAGAGGATTTCAGGTCTGGATCTTTTCCTACTTTAATAAGCAAAAAGAAAGGAACAGGAAAAAGGCATTGTTAACTAAAAAGAAAGGCAACATGACATTTTAAAGTTAAAATTAAACTCTCATTTTTATAGGGAGGTAACTTAAAAAATGTGAAGTATCATAGAAGAAGAAAAAGTAAACTCTCATCCAGGTCAAGAATCTTAAGGAATAGTTTTTAAAAATATATATTAAACATATCTTTCTATATCCACCTATAGAATCTGCTAATGTAACCCTCTTCTTTTCAAATTTTAGTTCAATAAATGATATGGGTTGGCTGCATCCCCACTCAAATCTCATCTTGAATTGTAGCTCCCATAATTCCCACATGTGGGAGGGACCCAGTTGGAAATAATTGAATCATGAAGGCAGTTACTCCCATACTATTCTTATGGTAGTGAATAAGTCTCACAAGATCTGATGGTTTTATAAGGGGTTTCACCTTTCACTTGGCTCTCATTCTCTTTGGCTGCCACCATGTAAGATGTGACTTTGCTCCTGTTTTGCCTTCCACTATGATTGCGAGGCCTCCCCATCCATGTGGAACTGTGAGTCAATTAAACCTCTTTCCTTTATAAATTACCCAGTCTAGGGTATGTCTTTATCAGCAGTGAGAAAACGGATTAATACAATAAATGATACATATTTTTTTAAAGACACAGAATTATATAATGTAGATAATAAGTTCTCTTTCACTATCTCCAGCACCTCAGAAGTCAACACTGTAAACAATTTGGGTCTATCTTTCCAGATGTGTTTCTCTGATACAATCAACAAGTTATATAATATATCACAATGCTTTAAGTTGCTACTTACTGTGATTTAGATTTGGACACTGTGTTATATATCCATTCGGCATAAAGATGATCTTCCCATCTTGGATGATCCCCTTGATAATAGAAGAGACAGGTGGCAATCAAGATTACAGTCACCAGCTCAAATGTCCCCTATGCAATCACATACTCTTGGCAGGTCAGATTATTTTTCAACAAAATTGATTCATTCAAAGGGTGAGCTGGCCTTAGTATATACTGAACTACTCTAAAGCATCCTACTTTAGGAATCTCAAATTGTACATTTATGTGGAGAAAGCTCCAATTAGTTACCACTAGTTAATGCCAATTATAGATTATAACACCAAAGACACATCAGTAAAAAGCACTGATTCAATAAAAATTCTCCTTAATGCCCTAATCATCCTGGAATATTAAATATTGCTGATTTACAGGATTTTTTTAAAGTGGGAAGAAATATAATAGAAACATATTACGCTAAAATTTTTCTACTGATTCATTTAGCGAAGGAAATAAAATTAGACATTGGGAAAATTCCATAACAATCCTTGCTCTTCAACTAATTGAGTAACATGAGTCTTTGTTGATGAGTCTTAAGAGTAAAAGGTGGTCTTTTAATTCTGTAATTCAGTCTGGAAGAATAGCTCAAATTTAAGAAAGTCATCAGGGCTGTCATCTCTCAATGAAAATATTGACTTGACTTTTGAATTTTTCAAGTTGAATTTCAAGATTCTGTTGTTAGGGTTTTTTCTGATTTGATGGCAGAGATATTACAGAACAGATGGAAGATGTAGAAGCTGGTTCAGAATACTGAGCTTATTCTATAAATAAAATATAGACTTAAGAGAGTGCTGCAAGTCTTTCAGAGGGAGTAACATTTAACATATATGTGCTTATCTTCTAAACAGCAGAAGGCAATCAGCAAATGCAGTTTTTGGCTTATTATTTCAAGAAAAAAATATTAATTGGAAATATTAATAGAAATAACAGGATCACAGCACCTCTTCCACAGAATTATATGTTTATTAACCTCTTCCTCTTCAAGGATGATGCAGTGTTTGCGATTATGAGAGAAGACAGCCTCCCCATGGGGAAGAAGTTTCTGCCACTGCTCCTCAATATTAATTCATAATCTCTTGCAGAGGAATACCAGGGAGCAATTAATGGAGCACAATCTAAATGAATTAACTTCTCTCTGGGATGAGATTACTCAGTCTTTCAAAGCAAATTAACTCTTTGAGAGGCTATCACACCTTCAAGCACATGTGGCAATTTGAGACAAGCATGGATTAGAAGTCAGGGAACCTGGTTTCAAGTTCTGGATCTGTCTCCAGCTAACTGCACAGACTTAGGCAATAAGTTAGCCACCTTCTATGAGCCCCAGTTGCTTCATCTGGAAAAGAAGTGCTAGATGAAAAACCTAAAGATCCACCCAGCACTCATGTTCTAGGTCAATGAAACAGGCCTCCAAACTGAAATTGTCACATTTTAGACATCTATGCTTTCATTACTTTTCAAATAATAATAATAATAATAAAAGAATGTAAACAGACAAAACTATAGATTTCCATCTTATGGATTTCCTGGAACATGGAAAAATTCAGCGCTAAAACAGAGGCTCCTAGGCAAACCAGGACAGCTGGTTACCCCAGGCGATGCAGAATTGGTGGAAGTATATGTACAGAAAAGGATAGGATCCATACCTGTTCATCAGAAGACCCTAGATTATTTTTATTTTTATCATCCATGGAAAAGGGTACCCAGAATCCTGGAGCACATGTGTCATGGTGTTAAATACCTTTCCAAAACCAAACTGAAAACTCATTTTAAAATAATACCCCATCCCGCTAATCCTAAAGCAAGAAAATACAGCACACAGCAGTTTTCCTTTTCCTTTTCAAGTGATCTTACTCATTTTAGTGACATTATGATTTACAAATCACCTGCTCTCACACCTTTCCTCTATGGGCATCTCTCCTTACTTCCCTGTCTTTCCACTTTTAATCTGTGGTACCTGCGTGTGTATGTTACATAGATCATTAGGTGAAGGTCAATGATGTTGACTTGAACAAAAAACAGAAATAAAAGCTGACAGCTTCCCAATGCTCATTAACACAAAAACCCAAAGCACTTGGTATTTTTTATAAGGAAAGGTCATAGAGGTGAGCCCACATACTGGCATGAAAATGTGTTCTTACCAAATGAATCAAGATGGGAATGTTAATTTATTTGAATGGTTGTAAGTCAATGCTGGATTAAAAGAAAAGTGGTGATACCCTACAGATACCACTTATAATCTAAAGATGTCTGAGTGCATGTGTGTGTATGCATGTGACTACACACATTTATGTATATCCCAGCACCTTCCCCAGAATAAGAATCAGAAGGTCTGGCATTAAATTGCTATATGGACAATTTACTGCCAGGACATTTGCTGATAAAAGAAGCATTTGCTAAGCATGTAGTTTCCTTCATAAAACTACAAAAGGGATTTTATAATGCATAAAACTACAAAGGAGCTCAATCAGCCTTATTCCTCTCAAAAAAAAAAAAAAAAAATATATATATATATATATCATCTATGAGGATTTCCACAGATGAAAATGTGCCTTTCAGCACTACAACTTCTCCCAAAGGAGATAAGGGATAAAAAGACAAAATTTTTATTATTTCTCCTCATTTAACTCTAAATGTATCTACATTTAACTGAAAAATGCAACTCTATCTGGGCCTGTATTAGCTGACCTCATTTGATCTCCTTTTTTCAGACATATGCTTTATTTCATATTATTCATTTTGGCAGTGTTTCTCAAACTTCAAGTTCCTGAGAATCACCTTGAGTATCTGCTTAACATTCAGATTCTTGTGTCAACCCAAAGGATCCTGTTTCAGTAGGATTGGAGTGGGCCCAGGAATATTCATTTTTTAAACAAAACCTCTTCCAGATGATTCTGATGAATGGTAAAAGGACCTCACTTTGAAAAATTCTGCTTTATTGTCAACCATTTGCTTCTTTTGGAGCAAGAGCATTTACTCATTAAAAGTTCACAATGGTTAAAATTATTGCATCCAACTCATATATAAATAGAGTAAAATCTTACTGATTTGGAACTGAATAAAACCCAACAGAATTACTAGACTGTATTATAAACACCAAAGATAATAGATTTTCATCTTAGTATCCCCTGAAGTTCCTATTGTAGTAGATTTCACATAGTAAACACAATAAATATTCTAAAGCATCAAATTATTGAAAACTATGAATTATACAATACTGAACCACATAATTTTGAGCACAGTTAGGATCTGTGAAGATCATGTGGGGCAATAGTTTTTAATTTAGGGTATATATCAGAATTTTGGAAGAGGTTGAAAGAACAGTCATGACTATTTTGAAAACTGTCTGAGGTCATTTTGATACTTTCCATAAGAACTACTTATCTAGGACCAGATTACCTGGTCATATGACCTATGAGAAATTTAAGGCTTTGATACTCTAAGTAGCTTTTCTAAAGGATACCTTAATCCTAGGCTATATACTACAGGGCTACTAACTCTTGAAAACCAAAAATAAAGTTCTAAGCCCCCAACCATCTGAATGAACCCCCTTCTCTCCGCCAAGGGCATTCCAGAGTTAACCCGGAAATCTAGTTCAGACCATGATGGAAAAGGAGTTGAACATGCTTCATTAAACCTCTCCAGCATTTACATCAACACAGACCTTAAGTCTAATGATACACATTTACAATATATTCTCCCTGAAGCCTGCTATTTAGAGGCTTCATCTGCATGATAAAAGCTTCTTCTCCACAACCCCTTATCAGAACCCAGACATTCTTTACTACTGATAACGCTTTCAACCAATAGCCGATCAGAAAAATTTTAAATCTACCTATGACCTGGAAGCTGCCACCCTTCTGGTTGTCCTACCCTTCCAGATCAAACCAATGTAAATCTTACATGTACTGATGGAGGTATTATGTCTCCCTAAGATGTATAAAGCAAGGTATACATGAGGACCACCTTGGGCACATGTCCTCAGGACCTCCTGAAGTTGTGTCATGGGTGCATCCTTAACCTTGGCAAAATAAACTTTTCTAAATTGATTGAGACTTGTTTATCATTAGCTAGAGACAGATCCAGACACTTTTCGATTAACACTCCAAAACCAGTGCTGGGTCACTACAATATGCTGTAGGTAAAAATATATAATTTAAGGGATCCCCTTAACATGAACCAACAACATGTTGCTACAAAGAGGTCTTGTTATCAAAATGAGATTTTATCTTGATTGCCTTAATAGATAGATACCAATCAAACATGCAAAACTATTTGTATTAGATAATAATAATTTGCTAAGACAGTTTTTCAGTGCTAGAAAACAGAAGTCTTTTTAGGTAGCCTAATATTCTTCCCCCCATCCCCCCGCCCCCCGTAATCTTATTTACACTATTAATTTGCTAAACAATCCATTTTCTTATTGTTAGTGTAATGATGAACCTCAGCTGATCTGAGGCCTTAAATAAATCCCTAAGGTGCAGAGCCCAAAATTAATAAGCTTACTATTTAGTACGGATGGACGGCAGAAAAATGGATTTTTTTTCCTTTTGTTTAATCCACCTGTTGCCACCCTGTACCTCCTGCTGTCAGCTCACCATGCACTGAAAAATAAATTTGCACCAGGTACATTGTATATTATGGATTTTTAATGTTTAGGGAACTAATGCCCATTATTTCTATTATTCCTAGAACGTTTCTCATTTTGCATTAAGAAATATAGAAAGATGCAATTAAAAAATTAGAAAATTATCCAATTAGGTCCCTCTTGTGTATGGAATAACTAAGATTAAGCAAGCTCTTCTAAACATGCAGAGCTTTCTGATACAAACAAAAGCAGCTTCACCACCAAACAAATGCTAATTCTTTTTTAACGCTCTTATTTCCCTGCAGATCTCTGTTTACATTGAAGAAAATGGTTCTATTTTTTTGTATGCTAAAATACTGAAACAAATTGCTTTGAAAGAGAGAGGAAAAAGGGGTGGGAGAGTTTCCTGCTGGGCATGTAAATATATGGATGAAGATGTGTTCTGTTTATAAACTGGCAGGGACTCAAGCTTTGGAAACAGGCTAACAAAAAGTAGGACCTGTAAACTCACAGGGAGGGTTTTCAAAATGCAACCAATCATGTACTTCTGCCCTGAAGACGTTAATAAAATATTCCAGCATGCAAAACCGCCAAGAAAGACACTTGTCGACTTTCATTATGATCAATAAAAACTGTCAGCTCATTAGCATATCATTAGCTGTCCTGCTGTTTCCAAAGTCTTAATGCACAGAAATATTAATCTTCAAATGTGTAAGATTCCCCAGTTCTGTGACTTTGACTTTCTGCATGAAAGGAAAAATAAGAATTAAAGATGGGAGGCATCCAATATAGCTTCTTTTTCAATGTGCCTATAAACATATGTTTACCATCTGTGGAATTATGGGAAGCAGCTGAGGTAAAAACGACAGCTGTGGAATTTTTAAAAAGTTGTAATCAATTTCACTTCCCAGTGACACCTCAGCTGTTAGAGGAGACAGTGATGTCCAGGTAAGGGAAAGGTTTCAGACCCAAGTTCACCAGACAGACACAGAGACAGAGAAACAAAGACAGGAGAGCCTTGGCCTCTGTGAAAGGCTTTGGAATGAAGTCTCCCTGAGGCCTCAACTATTTAGAAACTGTCAGAACACTCAACCCCTGAAGCATCCTTATAACTTATTTTGGTTCACCTCGGCTCATTTTTTTATTTTTCACCCTCTGAAATTGTAACAGCATAATCAGCTCAGAATGCATCAAAGGGAAATTGAGTGGGTAATCAACCATCCTGATAATGAAAATCTATGACAATCAGAAGATTCAGATAAGCCTATCACTACTGGCCAGCTTTTCTCAAATGGATGCTGTTTTGAAGTGAAAAAATTCCCAGCTTGTGTTCTGTGTCTCAGACAGGAATTACCTAATGCTAGAGGCTTATGTACCAGGCACCAAGCAAGTGATTCCATCCTCTGCTATTTAATCAGCAGCACTTTTTTTTGCACTATCCACAAGGATCCACCAGGGTCCAGAAATTAGGTTTGACAAGTGAGGAGCTTTTGCTTTTACTTTGCCTATAAAGGCAACATAATAATATTTAAAATAGAGAATAATGTTATTTTAACCTGAAAGCACATCACAAGCATTTTTAGTTCTGGAGCAATTCAGCAGATGTGGTTGTTGAATCCATGAGGCAGCATGTACAAGATAAATATTAAAAGCCTGGAGCTATGCTGACTCTCACCTGAGAAGTGGCTGCCTCTTTTTCAGGGAGATTTTTGTAGTGTTGAATTGATCAAGAGGTAATTTCTGTAATGAGACACTGACATATTTCCCCTACCCCAGCCATTTCTTCTCATAAAAGGATGGCCAGAAGCACTGCCTGGCATCCAGGATTCTAAGGAGAAGATGAGTTTTGAAAGCTGCCCCATGGAAAGTATCTTTGTAATGAGCCATTCCATGAGGCCACTCCTATTAGGAAGCAAGAAGAACCGCCTTGCTCTCTAGGAAGATGGACTGGGTGAAATTGCCATCACCTTTTGATGTTTCCACTGGGATCACCTATTCTTTGAAGCTGGAAACCCAGAAAAAGACAAATTCTGTCTCCTGATGGTACTTGGTGTACCACATGTAAATATCATGTCTCCTTAATCAACACAGTGGTAACTGTGGAAACACAGGGTAAGCCCTTAATAAATATTTGTTGAATGAAGGAGCAAAGACTTTGAAATCATAAAGACCTGGGTCTAAATCCCATTTCCATCACTTCTGGGCTATATAAGGTTGGCAACTTACTTAATCTGAGTCCAATTGCCTGACCTACACAATGGGGATAAAAATCACTAACTTAGTAGGATTTCTCTGAAGGTGAAATGTAATTAACTGAGATACTATATGCAGGGCCAAAGTCTGTAACATAGGAAGTATTCAATAACTGTTGGTTCTGTCCTCTACATTCCCATAACCCACCTCTGCAGCAAAATGATTGTCCAAGTCTCTGAATGTTCTTTGTGTTATCTGTCTGTACCAGGTATTTGAGCTCAAGCACAAAGTTCTTTATATCTACAGAGAATCATACACTCATCAAGCTGGAATAGATAATAGGAAGAACTGTTCTCTCTCTCTTAATCATATCCTCATAACTAAAACAGAAATTCCTAAAAGACAGGAAGAGTGCCTTCATTTCTACAGTATACAGTTAAACATACAGGGAGCATTAAATGCCAAGAAATGCATTTTTATGTGCTTAAATACTAAAAAGGGATGGAGACATGTGTTACAAATGTACTATGTGCAAGTTGCTTTTAATACATATTCTTATATAATCTGCATTTCCTTCAGGAAAGACATCTCTGGAACTTTACAAATAAGAAGATAAATTCATAACTGGTACATTCATTCATTAACAGTATATTGTCTGCCAGTTATGTACCTGGTACTTCTAAGCACTTGCTGAATGAGAGCTAGTTCTGACCCTGGTGAAGCCTACAATCTAGAAAGACCAATGATGAACAAATAAACACCCACATAAACTATACTTAGAACCTGCTACATAATTTGCAGAGTCCCTTGTTCAAAATTTACTAAACAATTGAAGAGGGCAACAGCAGGGCAGTAATCTAATCACAGGACCTTTCTAAGCACGGCCCCCCTGGGACTGCTCAGGTTGATGGCCCATGAAGCCAGCCCTGCCTACACTCTCAAACTGTGGTGAGTGCGGGGCCGGAAATGGAGATGTTTCAGTTGGAAAGTATGTGATAGAATGATTGCAAATTGATTCCCCATTTGTACTCACACATTTTGAACAGTGACTTTGTACACCCTCACTTCAAGAGGGGGAGTCTGTTTCCCCATCCCTTAAGTCTGGGGCTAGTCTTGTGACTTGCTTTGATCAGTAAAGCACTGTGGAAGTGATGGTGTGCCAGTTCCCAGCCTAGGCCTCAAGGGTCTTGTGAACATCTACTCTACCTTGAAACATTGCCGAGCACCACGGGAACAAGCCCAGGCTGGCCTGTTAGATAATGAAAGACACATGGTCCAGTCGTCAACATTGCCCCAGCCAGGAGTTAATCACCATGGCACTGAGACTATCCCAGTTAAGTCAGCCTTTGGCCAACTCCACCAGCCAGCTACAGGCATATGAGTAAATCTAGAGGGGATCAACCAAGACCGATCCTTATCAACACAATTTTTGAGCAGACCTGTGAGCTTACTGACATAAGCCCCTGAGTTTTGGGGGTTTGTTGTGCAGCAATAGCTAACCGATATATGCAGTAATGGTGACGGACCTGCAAAGAGAGGGTGCTCCAGGAAAATATCCTGCACATGTACCCTAGCACTTAAAATACAAATTATAATTAATTTAGAAAAATAAAGAAGACAACATTTCAAACAACCGAATGAAAACTGTCCTGGGCACAAGCAGGTGAAAAGGCCCTGTTATGTTCAAGGAACTGTAAAAAGAGTAGTGTGGCTGAGGCATGGTGGGCAGAAGAGAAAATGGCATGAGAGAAGGTTGCAGAGGACAGCAAGGACCAGATCTTACGCTGGTTTGACATGCAATAGAGAGTCACTAAAAGAATTTAAGCAAGAGAGTAACTTCATTGGCTTCAAAAAGCAAAGCAACACAAGTTCAACAGCTATAATAAAGAGGTATGTTCAGGATTCAAACTCAGATCTCCATCCCTTGAAACCAAGATTCTTCTTCCCGGCCCTGGAGTTCTTGTTATGTTTCTGTCTAAAGCATGTCTCAGAACCAGCAGCATCACCATCACCTGGCAGCTTGTTAGAAATGAAAAGATTTGGGTCCCAACCTAGGTCCACTGAATCAGACTTTGGAAATAGGACCAAGCTACCTGTTTTGTTTTGTTTTTTTAAAATTTTCCATTATAAACATTTTAAGTGCACAATTCAGTGGCATTAAATACATTCACAGTGTTATGCAACCATCACCACTATTAATCAAACTTTTCTATTGCCTCAACAAAAACTCTGTAACCATTAAGCAATAACTCCCATGACTCCCGCCACCATCCCCTGTTAACCATTAATTTACTTTCTGTCTCAATAAATTTGCCTATTTTTGATATTTCATATAAGTGGAATTAAAGAATAGTTGTCCTTTTGTGCATGGTTCCTTCACATAGCATAGTTTTTAGGGCTTATCCACACTGTAGTACGTATCAGAACTTCATTCCTTTCTTATGGATGAATAATATCCCACTGGATACATATACCAAGTTTTCTTTATCCATTCATACATGGGTAGACATTTGGCTTCATTCCATCTTTTGTGTATTTTGAATAAGGCTGCAGTGAACACTGACATACAAGTGTCTGTTTGAGTCCCTGTTTTCAATTCTTTTACCTATAAACCTAGGAGAGGAATTGCTGGATTACATGTAATTCTGTGTTTAAATTTTTGAGGAACCAACAAACTGTTTTCCACAGCAGCTGCGTGATTTTATTTTTTAACTTTTTTAATCAAAATTTTATTTTTACTTTAAATTTTATTTTTAAATTTTACTTTAAGTTCCAGGATACATGTGCAGAATGTGCAGGTTTGTTACATAGGTATACGTGTGCCATGGGGGCTTGATGTATTATTGACCTGTCCTCTAAATTCCCTCCCCTTTCCCCCATCCCGCAACAGGCCCCAGTGTGTGATGTTCCCCTCTCTGTGCCCATGTGTTCTCATTGTTCAACTCCCACTTATGAGTGAGAACATGTGGTGTTTGGTTTTCTCCTTCTGTGTTAGTTTGCTGAAGATGATGGCTTCCAGCTTCATCCATGTCCCTGCAAAGAACATGATCATGTCCCTTTTTATGGCTGTGTAGTACTCCCTGGTGTATATGTACCACATTTTCTTTATCAAATAGTCTATCATTGTTGAGAATTTGGGTTAGTTCCATGTCTTTGCTATTGTGAATAGTGCTGTAATAAACATACGTGTGCATGTGTCTTTTCAGCAGATTGACTTATATTCCTTTGGCTATATACCCAGCAATGGGATTCCTGGGTCAAATGGTATTTCTGGTTTTATATCTTTGAAGAATTGCCATACTGTCTTCCACAATGGTTGAACTAATTTACATTCCCACCAATAGCATAAAAATGTTCGTATTTCTCCACAGCCTCACCAGGATCTATTGTTTCTTGCCTTTTTAATAATCGCCATTCTGACTGGCGTAAGATGGTATCTCATTATCATTTTGATTTGCATTTCTCTGATGATCAGTGATGTTTAACTCTTTTTCATACGTTTTTTGGCCGTGTAAATGTCTTCCTTTGAGAAGTGTCTGTTCATCTCTTTTGCCCACTTTGTGATGAAGTTTTTCTCATAAATATGTTTAAGTTCCTTGTAAATTCTGGATATTAGACTTTTGTCAGTAAGTAGACTGCAAAAATTTTCTCCCACTCTGTTGGATGCCTGTTCACTCTGATGATAGTTTCTTTTGCTGTGCAGAAGCTCTTTAGTTTAATTACATCCCATTTGTCAATTTTGGATTCTGTTCCAATTGCTTTTGGTATTTTCATCAAGCTACATGATTTTATATTTCCACCAGCAATATACAAGAGTTCCAAATTTTCCACAACCTCACCAACACTTATTTTCCCCTTATTTTCTAATAGGATGGGAATTTTATTTAAAAATTATAACTGGTGGGGTATGAAGTGATATATTATTGGAGGTTTAATTTGAATTTTCCTAATGACTAAAGATGTTGAGTATCTTTTCATGTGCTTATTGGCCATTTGTATATCTTCTTTGGAGAAATGTGTATTCAGATCATTTGCCCATTTTTCAGTTGGGTTGTCATTTTGTTCAGTTATAGGAGTACTTTGTATACTCTGGACATTAAATTTTTATAAGATACATAATTTAAAAATACTTTCTTCCTTTTTTTGGTTTTGTTTTCACATCCTTAATAATCTCTTTTGATGAAGAAATTTTTTTTTTTTTTTTTTGAGATGGAGTCACAGAATCCATTGTAAAATGCAAGCCCATAGATATTTACCTCTACTTTTTATTCTAAGATTTAGTGGTTGTAGCTATTATATTTAGAATGTTAGTTGATTTTGAGATCATTTTTATATGTGGTGTGAAGTAGGGGGTCTAACTTCTATACATAGAATCATGGCATCTGTGAGTAGAGATAGTTTTACTTCTTTTCCAATTTGAATGCATTTACTTATTTTTCTTGCCCATTTGCACTGGCTAGAAATTCCAGTACAGTGTTAAATAGCAGTGGTGATATCTTTGCCTTGTTCCTGATTTTAAGAGGAAAACTTTGAGTCTTTCACTATTGAGTATAATGCTAGCTCTGAGTTTTTCATTAATGCCCTTTATTACGTTAAGAAAGTTTCCACATGTTGCTCATTTTCTTAGTGTTTTTATCATGACAAGATATTGGATTTTGTCAGATGCGTTTTCTGTGTCAATTGAGATGATCCTGTAGGGCTTTTTTTCCTTTATTCTATTAATGTGGCATATAATATTGCTTGACTTTTCTTATGTTAAACCATTCTCCTGGGATAAATCCCACTTGGGCATAGTGCATAATCCTTTTAATACACTGTTGGATTCAGTTCATTTGTATTTTGTTGAGAAATGTTGCCTCTACATTCATAAGAGATACTGGTCTGTAATTTTCTTTGCTTATGATGTCCTTATCTGCTTTGGTATTATAGTAATTCTGACCTCATAGAATGAGTTAGGAAATGTTTCTCCACTTCAATTTTTTGGAAGAGTTTAAGAAGGATTGATGTTCATTCTTGTTTGAATGTTTGTTGCAATTCACCAGTGAAGCCATCTGGTCCCAGACTTTACTTGATTGAGAGATTTTTGTTACCAGTTCAAACACTTTACTTATTATAAGTCTCTTCAGATTTTCTAATTCTTCATGATCCGGTCTTCTTCATGATCCAGTCCTGGTTGGTTATGTGTTTCTAGGAATTTGTCCATTTCATCTAGGTTATCTAATTTGTTTTCATATAATTATTCATAGTCTTCTATTTTAATCCTTTTAATTTCTGTAAGGTCAGTAGTAATGACCCTACTTTAAATATGACAACCCATTGCCTTCTGGTCTCCATGGTTTCTGATGATAAATTTACTGCTAATCTCATGAAGAAGTCCTTGTATTTGACAGTCATGTCTTGCTTTCTGCTCTCAAGATTCTCTTTGCGTTTATCTTTTGATGGTTTTATCATAACGTGTCTCAGTGTGGATACCTTTGAGTTTATCTTACTTACAGTTTGCTAAACTTCTTGGATACATAGATTCATATATTTCATCAAATGTTAAAAGTTTTAACCATTATTGTTCCAAATTTTCTTTCCAGTACTTTCTATCTTCTCCATCTGAGACACCCCCGGTGCATACATTAGTCTATTTGATAATGTCCTACAGATAGATCCCTCAGGCCTTGTTCATTTTTCTTTATTCATTTTTCTTTTTGCTCCACAGCCTTGTTAATTTCAATGATCTTATCTTTAAGTTCCATTACTCATTCTTCAGCCTGCTCAAATCTTCTCTTGCATCCCTCTAGTAAGTGTTTTATTCCAGTTGTACTTCTCAGCTGCAGAGTATCTGTTTGGTTCCTTTTTATAATTTATATCTCTTCATTGATATTCTCATTTTTTTATACATCATTTTCGTGACTTATTTCTTTATCCATGTTTTCATCTAGCTCTTTAAGCACATTAGAGACAGTTATTTTAAAGTCTGTACAGTAAGTTCAACATCTGTGCTTCCTCAGGAATAGTTTCTATTCATTTATTTTGTTCCTTTGAATGACAATACTTTCCTCTTTCTTTGTTTGCCTGTGACTTTATTTGAACACTGAACATTTGGATGTTATAATGTATTAACACTGGAGAACAGATCTGCCCCTTTACTGGGGTTTGCTGAGTTTTGTTTTTCTTTGTTTTTTATTGTTGAATACTACAGTAGTCCATTTCTTTAGTGGCTTACCAAACTATTTTTGCAGAGACTGTATTTCTAGTCATGTGTAGTAACTGAAATCTCTGTTCCTAATCTTATGTTATAAAGTATTTTGGGCCAGGCAAGGTGGCTCACACCTGTAATCCCAACACTCTGATAGGCTGTGGAAAGAGGATTGCTGGAGGCCAGGAGTTTGAGACCTGCCTGGGCAACACAGTGAGACTTTGTCTCTGTGAAAAAAAAAAAAAAAAATTAAAAATTAGCCAGGCATGGTCACATGTGCCTGTAGTCCTAGCTTCTTAGGAAGCTAAAATGGGATGATTACACGAGCCCAGGAGGTCAAGGCTGCAGTGAGCCATGATCATATCATTGTCCTCCAGCTTGGGCAACAGAATGAGACCCTGTCTCAAAAGAAGAAAAAAGAAAGAAAGAAAAAAAAACTTAAAAAAAAATTTTGACAGGGATTTCCTTGAATGTCAGCAACCAAAAACAAGAAAGAGAGAGAGACTCCTCCAACCTTTGCAGATTTTCTCCGTGCTGGGACCCTCCTTCAACACTTAGCCAGGCTTACACTGATCCTAGGGATCAGCCAAAGATGAAAGCTTTGGGTGTTCTCAAGTCTTTTCTGACCTTACCTCTTGCCCTAGGCATGCATATGGCTTTCTAAATTCCTTGAACACACAGGTGATTTTGAATGTTCTAATTGTCCAAAGAAACCCTTTTTCCAGCATTTTCTCTTTGCTTTACATGATCTACTATATGTCTCAACCATACTCTTTGGCCCCAGGCAGACACATGGTGTTTGTTAGATTTGAAATGTTTTCTTAAATTAACACATAATAATTGTACCTATGTATTGGGTACATTTGATATTTGGTACGTGCATACAATATATAATGATCATATCAGGATAATTGGGATAACTGTCACTTCAAACATTAGTTATTTATTCGTGTTGGGAACATTCCAAATCTTCTCTTGTAGCTATTTTGAAATATGCAATAAATCAATGCCTGCCACTTTTTTCTTTTTTTTTTTATTTATTTATTATACTTTAAGTTTTAGGGTACATGTGCACATTGTGCAGGTTAGTTACATATGTATGCATGTGCCATGCTGGTGCGCTGCACCCACTAACTCGTTCTGAGTTACAAGTACCTTTTATCAGTTCTTCACATAGTCCCAGATAGTTAGAATAGATATGCAAAATAATTTGTGAATAAGGTCTGCTCTGCTCACTCCACAACCAGAGACTGTTGTCCTACACTAGGAACATGGGCTGAAATCTTTCAGGACTGCCACTGGGTTATAAATGGTATGGTACAAAAGGCAAGTAAACATGCCTCACAGCTTTCCTACTGTTTTAAGGTTGCCTTTTTCTTGATTCAGCATTCACTCGGTTGCTATAAACCTCTGACTATTTTCCTAAGTTCCAACAAAGTTGGTTCTGACAATTTCTGCTTGTTTTTCAGTGTTTCTGTCGAGAAACAGCAGCTTCAGGTTTTCTACTCTAACATTTTGTTGACATCCAGCTACTTGTGTTTTAACAAGCCTTCCAGGATATTTGTATGCAATCTAAAGTTAGAGAACAACTAATCTAAAAAGTCACTAATTAGAAGCTAATTACTGACCATATGTTAGATTTGTGGGCTCCTTATAGAGATAAGGCAAAACCATAATCTAGGCCATCAACACATATTTCCTGTATGTCAGTGCACTCAAATTTGAGCCTTCAAACTGAATAAATCAAAACCAATAAGAAGGTTGTGAAAAAAATGTGTCAGTTCTTAGACCCTACTGTTCAGATTCTCAATGAGGAGGTCTAAGTGTACACAATAATTTGATTTTTAAAGTCTTCTAATATGATTTTAATGTCTTTTCAGGACTGAGAACCAGTCATTGCCCTTCATTACAGATCCAGGACCCACAAGAAAAGGAGAGCTTCACCAGGAAGTAACTAGCTACAGAACAAGACACACCATTGCATTGAATGTGAGTTCAGTTTTAAACTGAGACACTTGGATGAATTTCTGTTCATTCTTGGAAACATGGCAAAATTATATACATATACATATATACACACACACATATATACATATATTCACATATATATGTGGATTATCACCCTGAAAAAGTATGCCATTTTAAACATTTTGAATATTTATGATGTACAAAACAACATATAGCAAACACTTGAGAAATAAAATATCCTCAATATAGTTGAAGTCTTCTGGGTTCACAACCCTAATAAAACTCCCATTTCCTCCTCTCAGAAGTAAACTATTCTAAATTTAGTGTTTATCACTTCTATGCATTTTTCTTTGTATATATATGGATGTATCAATAAGCTGTATATGGAATTATCTTGCATTTTGAAATATATACATGATTTAATACTGTAATTTTATCCTTCTGCTAGCTTTTTCATTTAAAATTACTTTAGCAATTCATCAATTTTTGTTCAATTTCACTGATTTTTATGTTTCTATGTCTCTACTACAACGTATTTAAACATTCTCCTATTGATGGACAATTAGGTTTTTTCCAAGTTTTTGAAATTACCAAAACAAAAAAAAAAGTCCTGTGATGATGCTTATACATATATACCTGGGTATATGACCAAGAGTTTCTTCAACGTTTATACCAAAGAGTTGGGCTCCTATGTCCAAATGTATGCACATTACAAGGATCCCCAAATTTCCCTCTCTATTGGTTCCACCAATTCAAGTTTCCAACACAATGGGTAAGAATCCATTGCTCAATGACTTCCCCTACACATAGCATTGTCAGATGGTTTTTCACTTTTGCCAGGCTAATGGGTGAAGAAATGGTTTTTCATAATGGTTTTAATTTGCATTTCCAAGATAACTAGTGAACTTGAATTACTTTCAATATGTTCACTGGTTATTTATGTTTTCTACTTTGGAAAACCATCCTTCTATATCTTTTGTCTGACTTCCTATTGAGTTAAAAAAAAAAGGTTTCTTATTGATTTGCAGCATTTCTTCAATGAATACTTTTTTTTTGCTAATTGTTGTCAAGATCTTCCTTGATGTATTGTCACACTTTTTAGAATTTTATGCAGTAAACCCATCAGTATTTTCTTTAAGGACTTGTGCATTTTTTTATCTTGTCTAAGAACTTCTCTATCCTGACTGAGATCGTGAAGATATGTTCTTATGTTGTCTTCTAAACCTTTCAACATTGAGCTTTCAGTTAGGTATTTAATTCAATTGTACTTGTAAGTGATTTTTATGTATGGGGTCCAGGTATATATTTGAAGCTTTTCCTTATACTGTACACAAAAATCAATTACATCACTCAATGTCTGTGTCTATAATATATATATAATGTTTTTAAATAACTGATTTTCCTAACCATGTATTGATGAATCCATCCTTTCCTCATTGGTCAGGAATGCCACATCAGTTATGTGTCAAGTTTCCAAGTTTCCACACATGACGAAAGGGTCATTTCTGGCCTCTCCATTCTGATCTCTTGGTTCATGTGCTGATTAATGCAGTGATATCACACTCTGCTGATTGCTATAACTTTACAATAAGCCTTCACATCTGGATGGCTAAGTCCCTTCCTTTTTCTCCCTCAGAAAATGTCTTAGTTATTCTTGGCCTCTGGTCTTCCCTAAAAATTTTAGCATCAGCTTGTCAGAGTCCATCAGGAAAAAAAAAAAAATCCTCTTGGGAACTGATTACAAGTTCATTGACCCTAGAGAGCAATGTGGAAGAAGCAGACGTTTTTATTATTTTAAGCCTTCTTCTCCAAGAACATAGCGTACTTCTCCCCAGTTAGGTCTTCAGTGGTTTTTCATAAAATTTCATAATTTTCTTTATAGGTGTCATGTATATATTTTATTTGATTTGTTCCTATTTGATTCACCTTTTGATATTATAAATAAAATATTTAATTGCAGTTTTTGTTATTGCTGTTGCAGCTGCCACTGTGCTGCTTTTGCTCAGCAATGCAATTGATCTTATCTTTGGCTTTACATCTAGTACTCTTTCTGAACTCTCTTGCTAATTCTAATAATTTGGTGATCATTTTTTATATATAGGCAATATATAAGTTAATAACTACTTTTTAAATTATAATCCTTAAGATTTTTACTTATTTTGCTGGTAAGAACCTCCAGTACAATGTTGAATAGAAACACTGATAATAGTCATTCTTGTGTGGTTCCTGATTTTAACAGGAATTCTCTTAATATTTAAACCGTAAGTATGATATTTGATGTATGTTTACTTCATGTACTTTTATCAATTTAATGAAGTTTCCTTCTATTTCTAGTTTGCTAAGAATTTTTAATGAGTCAGTATTGAATTTCTTCTAGTGCCTTTTCTGCCTCTTGAGAAGACCATTGGATTTTTTTCTCCTTTAATGTAGTCAATTTCATTAAGAAATTTTCTGAAGATAAAAACAAATTTTCACTATTGAAATAATCAACTTGTTCTCTCTCACACACCCAGACACACACGCATACATACACTCTGCTAATAAACAGGTTGCTAATAATATTTTGTTTAAATTTTTTAATCTAATCTGTTCAAAAGTAAATTGGCTTAAGCAATTCCCTTCTCATACGGTCCTTGTCTACTCTGCAAATCAAGGTGACCTATGCTCATAAAATTAGATGAGTGGTATTCTCATTTATTCTCCTCTCTGGAAGAGTTTATTTAAGATTGGAATTATTTCCTTGGATGTGTGCTACAACTCCCCTGTAAAACTGTGTGAGCCTCGTGGTTATTTGGTGGAGGGACATGGTAGACTGCCAGAATGATCCCAGTCCTTTGCTCCTCACTGTGTCCATACCTTGTGCAATGTGAATTTGTAGCATATCCCATCAAAAGGTCAAATCTATTTCCAGTACACTTGAATCTAAGCTGGGCTTGTAACTTGCTTTGGCCAATATAATGAAGCAAAGTAATCTAGTGCAAGTTTCAAGCCTAGGCCTCAAAAGGCCATGCACATTTCTGCTCTGACTCTTGAAACTTTATTCCATGATCATGTAAACTAGTTTGGGCTAGACTTCTGGAAATCGAGAGGCCACATGAAGCAGAGATGAGCCATACCAGCTAAGGCCATTCAAGGCCTAGTACAACTAGGCCCCAGAAACCCCAGCAGCTGATCAAAGATGCACAAATGAACCCATGGAGAATAAAATCCAGCAAAGTAAGCCCAGCTCAAATTGCTAATGCACAAAATTGTGAGGTAAATAAAGGCTGTTGTTTTAAGCCATTAAGCTTTGTTTTGATTTGCTGTATATCAAAAGCTAACTGGTACAATAGACTTTCAATCATAAACTCATCACTTTAATGAAGCTAAGACTACCATAGTTATTTGAAGTCCATTTTGGCGATTCATGTAGCTTTAGAAAACTGTCCATTTTTCTCTAATTTTCCATTTTATTGGCATAAAGTTGTTAACAAATGGTTACTACTGTTTTAATTTTTGCAGCATTTATTGTTATATGCTTTTTTTATTTCTAATATATTTATGCCTTCTCTCATTTTCTTCTTGCTCAAACTTCCCAGTGTATTTTCAAATGATCAAATTTTGGCTTTCTTGATCTTGCCTATTATACCCTACTCATTATTTTATGAATTTCTGTTCTTACGATTTCATGCTTACTATTTCATTCCTTTTACTTTCTTTGTATACATTCTGTTGTTCTTTTTCTAACTTCCCTATTTGGATGTTTAACTCATTAAATATCTACCTTTTCCAATACAAGCATTTAAAGATAAATACTGCTAAGAATTGCTTTAGCTGCATCTCACAAATTGTGATATTTATTATCTTTCTGAGTTAGTTATTAACTTATACTATTATTTTCCCCCAGACTGATTAGTTACTTTAAATGATACTGTTTATATTGCCAAACATACAAAGGTGGGAGGTTAGTTATCTTTTCACTATTTATTTCTAACGTAACTGCACTGTCATCAGAGAATATGGTCTATGTATCATTTTTTGTAATTTGTGGAGATTTCCTTTTTATGGACTTTTATGTAGTTAATTTTCACAAAGATTCCATGTGCTAGATGTGTTCATTGTTGGTAGAGTGTGTATGTGTGTGTGTATATATATATAGCCATTAAACTTGTTAAGTATGTTTAAATCCATACGCTTACTAACTTTTCTGCTAGCTTGATCTATAAGTTATTGCGAGAAGTATGTTAAATATCACTCAGTATGATGGCAAATGTATCCATTTTCCCTCTAATTACCTACTATGCATATATGTTTAGTAAACATTTTTATTAAAGAATAACATATATACAGATAGTTACACAAATCATAAAAGTACATATTGATGAATTAACTTGACATAAACACTGTGCAAGTGCCACCTAGATCTGTAAATAAAACTAGGAGACTTCCCTAGTTTTATTTATAGATTTGTGAAAGCAAATATTATTTACTTGTGAAAGCAAAAATATGGAATCACCCTAAGTGTTCATCAATGAATGAATGAATAAAGAAAATGTGATATATACAAATGGTAAACAAACATATGAAAAAATACTCACATCACTAATTATCAGGGAAATGCAAATTAAAACCACAGTGAAATAGCATCTTAGTCCTGCAAGAATGGTCATAATTTAAAAAAAAAAAAAATAGATGTTGACGTGGATGTGGTGAAAAGAGAACACTTTTTTTTTTATTATACTTTAAGTTTTAGGGTACATGTGCACAATGTGCAGGTTTGTTACATATATATATATGTGCCATGTTGGTGTGCTGTACCCAGTAACTCATCATTTAACATTAGGTATATCTCCTAATGCTATCCCTCCCCCTTCCCCCCACCCCATGACAGGCCCTGGTGTGTGATATTCCCCTTCCTGTGTCCATGTGTTGTCATTGTTCAATTCCCCCTTATGAGTGAGAACATGCAGTGTTTGGTTTTTTGTCCTCGCAATAGTTTACTGAGAATGATGGTTTCCAGCTTCATCCATGTCCCTACAAAGGACATGAACTCATCCTTTTTTATGGCTGCATGGTATTCCACGGTGTATATGTGCCACGTTTTCTTAATCCAGTCTATCATTGTTGGACATTTGGGGTGGTTCCAAGTCTTTGCTATTGTGAATAGTGCTGCGATAAACATATGTGTGCATGTGCCTTTATAATAGCATGATTTATAATCCTTTGGGTATATACCCAGTAATGGGATGGCTGGGTCAAATGGTATTTCTAGTTCTAGATCCCTGAGGAATCACCACACTGACTTTCACAATGGCTGAACTAGTTTACGGTCCCACCAACAGTGTAAAAGTGTTCCCATTTCTACACATCCTCTCCAGCACCTGTGTTGTTTCCTGACTTTTTAATGATCGCCATACTAACTGGTGTGAGATGGTATCTCATTGTGGTTTTGATTTGCATTTCTCTGATGGCCAGGGATGATGAGCATTTTTTCATGTGTCTTTTGGCTGCATAAATGTCTTCTTTTAAGAAGTGTCTATCCATATACTTTGCCCACTTGTTGATGGGGTTGTTTGTTTTTTTCTTGTAAATTTGTTTGAGTTCATTGTAGATTCTGGATATTAGCCCTTTGTCAGATGAGTAGATTGCAAAAATTTTCTCCCATTCTGTAGGTTTCCTGTTCACTCTGATGGTAGTTTCTTTTGCTGTGCAGAAGCTCTTTAGTTTAATTAGATCCCATTTGTCAATTTTGGCTTTTGTTGCCATTGCTTTTGGTGTTTTAGACATGAAGTCCTTGCCCATGCCTATGTCCTTCCTGAATGGTATTGCCTAGGTTTTCTTCTAGGGTTTTTATGGTTTTAGGTCTAACATTTAAATATTTAATCCATCTTGAATTAATTTTTGTATAAGGTGTAAGGAAGGGATCCAGTTTCAGCTTTCTACATATGGCTAGCCAGTTTTCCCAGCACCATTTATTAAATAGGGAATCCTTTCCCCATTTCTTATTTTTGTCAGGTTTGTCAAAAATCAGATAGTTGTAGATATGTGGCATTATTTCTGAGGGCTCTGTTCTGTTCCATTAGTCTATATCTCTGTTTTGGTAACAGTACCATGCTGTTTTGGTTACTGTAGCTTTGTAGTATAGTTTGAAGTCAGGTAGCATGATGCCTCCAGCTTTGGTCTTTTGGCTTAGGATTGACTTGGCAATGCGGGCTCTTTTTTAGTTCCATAGGAACTTTAAAGTAGTTTTTTCCAATTCTGTGAAGAAAGGCATTGGTAGCTTGATGGGGATGGCACTGAATCTATAAATTACCTTGGGCAATATGGCCATTTTCATGATATTGATTCTTCCTACCCATGAGCATGGAATGTTCTTCCATTTGTTTGTATCCTCTTTTATTTCATTGAGCAGTGGTTTGTAGTTCTCCTTGAAGAGGTCCTTCACATCCCTTGTAAGTTGGATTCCTAGGTATTTTATTCTCTTTGAAGCAATTGTGAATGGGAGTTCACTCATGATTTGGCTCTCTGTTTGTCTGTTATTGGTGTATAAGAATGCTTGTGATTTCTGCACACTGATTTTGTATCCTGAGACTTTGCTGAAGTTGTTTATCAGCTTAAGGAGATTCTGGGCTGAGATGATGGGGTTTTCTAGATATACAATCATGTCGTCTGCAAACAGGGACAATTTGACTAAAAAGGGAACACTTTTACACTGCTGGTGTGAATGTAAACTATTAACCCCTATGGAAAACAGTATGGAGATTCTTTAAAGAACCAAAAGTGGAAATACCATTTGATCCAGCAATCCCACTACTGGGTATCTACCAAGAAGAAAAGAAGTCATTATATGAAAAAGACATACACACGGTTATAGCAGCACAATTCTCAATTGCAAAGACACGGAACCAGCCTAAATGTCCATCAACCAATGAATGGATAAAGAAATTGTGGCATGTATATATAAATACTACTCAGCCATAAAAGGAAATGAAATAATGGCATTCACAGCAACCTGAATGAAACTGGAGACCATTATTCTAAGTGAAGCAACTCAGGAATGGAAAACCAAATATTGTATGTTCTCACTTATAAGTGGGAGCTAAGCTATGAGGGCACAAAGGTATAAGAATGACAGAAGGGATCCTGGGGACTTAGGTGAAAGGGTGAGAGAGGGTGAGGGATAAAAGACTACATGTTGGGTACTGTGTACACCACTCGGGTGATGAGTGCACCAAAAATCTCACAAATCACCACTAAAGAATTTATCTATGTAACAAAAAACCACCTGTGCCCCAAAAACTAGTGAAATTTTTTTAAAAATATAAAAAATAAACACCAAATCATAGAATTTAAAAAAAAGAAAATGTGGCCTATATACACAATGAAATACTATTCAGCCAAAAAAAGAAAATGAACTCATGTCATTTGCAGCAACACGGATGGAACTGGAGGTCATTATCTTAAGTGAAATAAGCCAGGCATAAAAAAGGCAAGTATCTGGCCAGGCGCAGTGGCTCAGGCCTGTAATCCCAGCACTTTGGGAGGCCGAGGTGGGTGGATCACGAGGTCAGGAGTTCAAGACCAGCCTGGCCAAGACAGTGAAACCCCGTCTCTACTAAAAATACAAAAAAATTAGCCGGGCATGGTGGCACACACCTGTAATCCCAGCTCCTCCAGAGGCTGAGGCAGAGAAATGCTTAAACCTGGAGGGGCGGAGGTTGCAGTGAGCCAAGATCGCGCCACTGCACTCCAGCCTGGGCAACAGAGCGAGACTCCGTCTCAAAAAAAAAAAAAAAAAAAGGCAAATATCACATGTTCTCACTTATATGTGGGAGCTAAAAAATTTGAATACACAGCTAGAGAGTGGAAAGATAGAGAGCGGAAAGACAGATAACAGAGACTGGGAAGGGTGAATGGGGTACATGGAGCAAGGATGAAGAGAAGCTGGTTAAAGGGTACATATACACAGTAGGACAGAAGGAATAATTTCTTTTTTTTTTTTTTTTTTTTTTTTTTTTTTTTTTTTTTTTTTTGAGACGGAGTCTCGCTCTGTCGCCCAGGCTGGAGTGCAGTGGCGGGATCTCGGCTCACTGCAAGCTCCGCCTCCCGGGTTCACGCCATTCTCCTGCCTCAGCCTCCCAAGTAGCTGGGACTACAGGCGCCCGCCACTACGCCCGGCTAATTTTTTTGTATTTTTAGTAGAGACGGGGTTTCACCGTTTTAGCCGGGATGGTCTCGATCTCCTGACCTCGTGATCCGCCCGCCTCGGCCTCCCAAAGTGCTGGGATTACAGGCGTGAGCCACCGCGCCCGGCCAGAGGGAATAATTTCAATGTTTGATAGCAGAGTAGGTTGACTATACTTAACAAAAATGTATTATACTCAGGCAATGGACACCCTAAATACGTTGACTTGATCACTATACGTTATATACATATAACAACATTTACATGTACCCCACAAATTTATGCAAATCTTAAAAATTCTGTGCATGCCTTTTAGTGTATACAAATGCATATCTCTATTAGACATTAGGTACCTAGAGTATTCTTTCTTGGTCATAGGACATATATATGTCCATTTTATTAACCATACTAACAAACAGCTTTCCTTAGTACTTAAATCAATTTCATTCCCACCAGCAGTGAATGAAGGCTCCAGTTGTTCCACATCCTTGCAAATACATGGTATGGTCTGTGTTTTTAATTTGACCCATTCTGATGGATATTCAGTAGCATCTCAGTATGGCTTTACTTTCCCTGATGACTAATCATATTGATACCATCCCCTTTGTTTACTGGCCTTTTGGACATTCCCTTTTGTGAAGTGCCTGGTAGCATTTTTCTCAAATGTTTTTATTGGATAGACTTTTCATTATTGATGTAAAGGGGTCCTTTATACAGCTTGGATAAAAGGCCTTTGTGGGACACAACTACTTTGAATAGCTCCTCCTATTCCTTGACATGCCTTTTTACTCTCTTAGTCATCTATTTTGATGAGAAAAGTTCCAAATTTTAATATATTCCAATGGATCAGTCTTTTCCTTTATAGTTATTATTTCTTACATCTTATTTAAAAAGTATTTTTCCTACATCGAGGTCATAAAGTATTCTCCTACATTATCTTTTATAAGCTTTGTCAGTTTAACTTTTTGATCTATAGCCCACTTGGAATTGATTTTGCATTATCAGTTGTGTGAAACAGGGTCAGGATTAGTGCTTTCCCCATGGGGATATTCAGTTGACCCAGCACACTGTAGTGAGTAGGCCATCCATGCCTGCTATTCTGCCAGGCTACAACATACAGTTTGAGATTATGTTATTCAGTACATACATCTTTAAAATAGCTTATTATTATGTGGTGACCTTTTTGGCCTTGCAGTTTGAAATCAGCAGTTTCTCCAGCCTTCTCATGTTTAGTTTGGCCTATTTTTCTTTTTTTTTTTTTTTTAACTACCTCACTATCAACATTTATGAGTCCTTATTTTTTATTGTTTCACTGTAAGCAATATACAACAGGCTTTGGGTTTTATGAATTCAATATAATACTCTTATTTTTCATTCTAAGTGTAAATCACTTAAATTGATAATAACAATTGTGAAATGGAATTATATATGGTATCTTATATTAAATATTTCTCTTCTTACCTTATTTTGGGTTGATGAGGCTTAAAAAAAATCCCCTTTTCTCTTATACTTAAATGTCAGAGTTTGGGAGTTAAACATGATTTCTATTATTTTGATATTGTTTTAATTCTAACATGTAGACTTAAAGTCTAAAGTTAATCAGTTTCTCCATTCTTTTTCTGACCACTTAGAACACTTGAAATCAGGCCTTAGAACACTTTAAATCAGATCACCTTTACTAACATTTTATTGCTGTCAATATTTTTTTAATTTTAATTTTAATTATTTTTTTATTTATTAAAAAAAAAAACACGGGATACATGTGCAGAGTGTGCAGGTTTGTGACATAGGACATGTGTCATGGTGGTTCGCTGCACCCATTGATCCATCCTCTAAATTCCCTCCCCTCACCCCTCACCCCCCAACAGGCCCTGGGGTATGTTGTTCCCCTCTCTGTATCCATGTGTTCTTAATGTTAAACTCCCACTTATGAGTAAGAACATGCAGTGTTTGGTTTTCTGTTCCTGTGTTGGTTTGCTGAGGATGATGGCTTCCAGCTTCACCCATGTCTCTGCAAAGGACATGATCTCATTCCTTTTCATGGCTGTGTAGTATGCCATGGTGTTTATGTACCACATTTTCTTTAGTCTAACATTGATGAGCATTTGGGTTAGTTCCACGTCTTTGCTATTGTGAATAGTGCTGCAATAAACATACATGTACATGTGTCTGTTTTTTTTTTTTTTTTTTTGAGACACAGTCTCTCTCTGTCACCCAGGCTGGAGTACAATGGCACAATCTCAGCTCACTGCAACCTCCACCTCATGGGTTCAAGCGATTCTCCTGTCTCAGCCTCCCAAGTAGCTGAGATTACTGGCGCGTGCCGCCACACCCGGCTAAGTTTTGTATTTTTAGTAGAGACAGGGTTTCACCATGTTGGTCAGGCTGGTCTTGAACTCCTGACCTCATGATCCACCCACCTCGGCCTCCCAAAGTGCTGGGATTACAGGTGTGAGCCACCGTGTCTGGCCTGAGCCACTGCGCCCGGCCGCATGTGTCTTCACAGTAGAATGATTTATATTCCTTTGTGTATACACTCAGTAATGGAACTGCTGGGTCAAATGGTGTTTCCGGTCATAGATCCTTAAGGAATCACCATACTATCGTCCACAATGGTTGAACTAATTTGCATTCCCACCAACAGTGTAAAAGGATTCCTATTTCTCCACAGCCTCACATAGGATCTATTGTTTCTTGCCTTTTTAATAATCACCATTCCGACTGGTATGAGATGGTATCTCATTGTGGTTTTGGTTTGCATTTCTCTGATAATCAGTTCTGGTACATTGTCTCTTTGTTCTCATTGGTTTCAAAGAACTTCTTGATTTCTGCCTTAATTTCATTATTTACTCAGGAGTAATTCAGGAGCACATTGTTCAGATTTCATGAAATTGTGCGGTTTTGAGCGAGTTTCTTAATCCTGAGTTCTAATTTGATCGCACCGTGATCTGAGAGACGGTTTGTTATGATTTCAGTTCTTTTGCATTTGCTGAGGAGTGTTTTATGTCCAATTATGTGGTTGATTTTAGAATAAGAGTCATGTGGCACTGAGAAGAATGTATATTCTGTTGATTTGGGGTGGAGAGTTCTGTAGACATCTACTAGGTCCACTTGATGCAAAGCGGAGTTCAAGTCCTGAATATCCTTGTTAATTTTCTGTCTCGTTGATCTGTCTAATATTGACAGTGGGGTGTTAAAGTCTCTCACTATTATTATGTGGGAGTCTAAGTCTCTTTGTAGGTCTCTAAGAACTTGCTTTATGAATCTGGGTGCTCCTGTATTGGGTGCATATATGTATTTAGGATAGTTATCTCTTCTTGTTGAATTGATCCCTTTACCATTATGTAATGCCCTTCTTTGTCTTTTTTTATCTTTGTCGGTTTAAAGTCTGTTTTGTCAGAGACTAGGATTCCAACCCCTGCCTTTTTTTGCCTTCCATTTGCTTGGTAAATTTTCCTCCATCCCTTTATTTTGAGCCTGTGTGTGTCTTTGCATGTAAGATGGATCTCCTGAATACAGCATACCGATTGGTCTTGACTCCTTATCCAATTTGCCAGTCTGTGTCTTTTAATTGGGGCACTTAGCCCATTTACATTTAAGGTTAGTATTGTTATGTGTGAATTTGATCCTGTCATCATGATGTTATTTGGTTATTTTGCACACTAGTTGATGCAGTTTCTTTGTAGTGTCATTGGTCTTTATATTTTGGTGTGTTTTTGCAGTGGCTGGTACCAGTTTTTCCTTTCCATATTTATTGTTTCTTTCAGCAGCTCTTGCAGGGCAGGCCTGGTGGTAACAAAATCCCTCAGCATTTGCTTGTCTGGAAAGAATTTTATTTCTCATTCTCTTATGAAGTTTACTTTGGCTGGATATGAAATTCTGGGTTGAAAATTCTTTTCTTTAAGAATGTTGAATATTGGCCCCCAATCTCTTCTGGCTTACAGAGTTTCTGCTAAGAGGTCCACTGTTAGTCTGATGGGCTTCCCTTTGTAGGTGACTTGGTCTTTCTCTCTGGCTGCCCTTAACAGTTTTTTTCCTTCATTTCAACCTTCGTGAAGCTGATGATCATGTGTCTTGGGGTTGATCTTCTCGTAGAGTATCTTAATGGTGTTCTTTGTATTTCCTGAATTTGCATGTTGGCCTGTCTTGCTAGGATGGGGAGGTTCTCCTGGATAATATCCTGAAGTGTGTTTTCCAGCTCGTTTCCATTCTCCCTGTCTCCTTCTGGTACTCCAGTCAATGGTAGGTTCGGTCTTTTTATGAAGTCCCATATTTCTTGGAGGCTTTGTTCATTCCTTTTCATTCTCTTTTCTTTATTCTTTTCTGCATCTTTTTTCAGTAAGGTGGTCTTCAAACTCTAATGTCCTTTTTTCTGCTTGGTCAATTCAGCTATTGATACTTGTGTATGCTTCACAAAGTTCTTCTGCCATGTTTTTCAGTTCCATCACGTTGTTCATATTCCTCTCTAAGCTGGTTATTCTGGTTAGCAATTCCTTTAACCTCTTATCAAGGTTCTTAGCTTCCTTGCATTGGGTTAGAACATGCTCCTTTAACTCAGAGGAGTTTGTTATTACCCACCTTCTGAAGCCTGCTTCTGTCAATTTGTCCATCTGATCCTCCATCCAGTTCTGTGCCCTTGATGGAGAGACATTGAAATCATTTGGAGAAGAGGCACTCTGGCCTTTTGGGTTTTCAGAATTTTTTCATTGATTCTTTCTCATCTTCGTGAGTTTGTCTAGTTTCAGTCTTTGAGGCTGCTGACCTTTGGATGGGGTTTTTGTGGGGGCCTTTTGTTGTCATTGATGATGCTGTTGCTGTTACTTTCTGCTTGTCTTTATTTCAATAGTCAGGTCTCTCTTCTGTAGGGCTGCTGCAGTTTGCTGGGGATTCACTTCAGGCCCTGTTCACCTGCTTCACTCCCATGCCTGGAGATGTCACTTAAGGAGGCTGGAGAACAGCAGAGTTGGATTCCTGCTCCTTCTGGGACCTCTGACCTCGAACGACACCAAACTGATGCCAGTAGGATTGCTCCTGTATAGGGTGCTTGACAACCCCTGTTGGAGGGTCTCACTCAGTTGGGTGGCACAGGGAGCAGGACCTGTTTAATGAGGCATTTTGGCCATTGGTGGAGCGGGTGTGCTTTGCTGGGGGGAAACCTACTCGTCTAGACTGCCCGGATTCTTCAGAATTACCAAGACAAGAGGCTAAGTCTGCTGGTCCACACAGACTGTGGCCACCTCTCCCGCTAGGGGCTCAGGCCCAGGGAAATCCGAATTCTGTCCCTGAGTCTCCGGCTGGAGTTACTGGAAATCTGCCTCCCTTGGCTGCAGGGAGGGGGCTCCCCTTTCCCGTGTGGCTCTCAGATGGGCCGTCGCACCGCACTGTTCCTCCTTCTCTCCATGAGTCACGCCAGCCTTCTAGTCAATTTTGATGACAGAACCCGGATATTTTGGTTGATGGTGAAGGATTCCATTGTCAATATTTTTAATATTATTTTTCTAAAATTAAGCATTATTATATTTTAATCAAACAAGGATAATGGCAATCATTCAGAATAATAATCACTGAGATTTGTGCATACTGTCAACATGCATTTGCTCTCCAATTCTTCTTGCACTGTATGTCTTCCTTCCAGGAAGTTTTTTAAATGAAGATCTATTGGTTATAAACTGAGAGTTTCATTTCTCTACTAATGTCTTTATGTCACACTCATTCTCAAATGACAATTAAGCTTGGTATATACTACTACATTTGAAAGTTATTTTCTCTCAAAACTTGGAAAACACTTTTTCTACTGTCTTTTGACTTCTGCTTTTACTGTTTAAAAACCAGCTGTTCAGTTTGTTATCCTTTTGTGAAAAATTTGTGTTTTGTCACTGGCTATTTTTAAGATCTTCTCTGTGTCTTTGGAGTTCTGCTATTCTGCCAGTATATCTAAGTGTGGCTGTCTATTTATCTTGATTTGTATAATAGGTTGCTGATGTGGCCAAAAAAAATTCTTCCCTCCTTGCATCCATATCCTTGCAATGTGATATCATGGAGCAGCCCTTCAAGAGATGAAGTCTATTTATTTACATTTTGACTCTGGAGTTGGCCATATGACTTGCTTTGGGCAATAAAACATTAGCAAATGTGATCAAGCAAACAAAGCCTTGAAAATATTAGTACTTTAGGGATTGCACTCTTCCGATACTTGGAATCCCAGGGATGACATGTAAATAAGCTGAGCTAGGCCATTGGAGATGAGAGACCATGTGAGGACAACTGAGGAACAAGAGTCAACAGCCAGCCAACCCCCAGAGAGGTGAAGAGGCTCTCAGATCATCCTGCCACCTGCTAGCATGCCAATTAACCACAGACATGGGAGACAGCCTAACAAGTATCAGCTTAGCCAGGTCAAAGCAGAAAAAAATTGGTTTTTGAGCTAAATAAAATGGCTGTTCTGATGCCTCTATGTTTTCTATGATTTCTATGTGAAATCAACAACATATACTTTTATTTCATTGTTCTTTCAGTAATGAGAATTAATGTCTTTTATTAAGTTTAGAAAATTCTTACCCGTTATACTTATAATAGTGCCCATAACCTTTATCTCTGTTTACTATCTGGAATTTTCAAATATATATGCATATATAGACATAATATATTCTTTATTATCTTCCTTAATTTTTAAATATATGTATATTATAATAATATACATATCTAAGAAGCTATCTATCTCAGCTATCTAAGAAGCCACTTAGAAAACATAGAGGCATCAGAACAGCCATTTTATATAGATATGCATACATATTCACACATATTAAACAGATACGTAAACTTTTTTTATATACATGTATCTGTTCTATATTTTAACCTCCTTCCTATTTTCTTCTCTTTATCTCTGAAGCACTACTATTAGTTTAATTATTTTAACAATATTTTCCATTTCACAAATGCTCTTCCTACCTGTGTCTAATCTGTTTAGCAGGTTCACTGAGGTTTTTGGTTTTTGTTTCTTTTTTAACTTCAACAACTGTATCTTTCATTTTTGGAAGTGCTTTTTAGTTCAACTATCTCTGGGCCTATTTATTATCTCTAGTCATCATACATTCTTTATTATTTTGATTCTTCAAACATTTTAAACAGAAGTTTTTTAAAAAATTAAAAAAAAATTCTTTACCTGCTAATTTCATTTTCTGTAGCCCTGTGAGGACTAACTGAGCATTTTTTTGTTTCTTTCCACTGTCATTCGTGATGGCTTTAGAGCTCCTATTTTATGGACTTAATCTGTGGGCATCCTTTGAGGTCTACATCAAAAGTGACTTTCTCCAAAGATAATTTGTATTTTCTTCATCAGGACTCCCAAGGTACCTAATCCAGGGCCACTTTAATATACTTTATTGAGCTTCATGGGTAAAGTAAATCTGGGTGTCAAGTCTGCAACCCTTCAAGTGCTGTGGTTTACTAGTTCTCTGGGAAGTATTATTTTTTCTCATCTGGAGATGAGATGCAGACAGGATAGTTTCTGGATTGCCTCCTTCTGCTAGATAGTGGACTGGCTTTACCTTAAAAATTTCCATTCCAACACTCAGTCACGCATGGGATCTAAGTAATTTCTCCCATCCCACACAGACGGTTGAAATTTAAAGCTCTAACTGAAATTTTCATAGATTGCTGGTGGGAATGCAAAAACTGGCACAGCTGCTTTGAAAAATGGTTTAGCAGTTGCCTGTGAATTTAAACATACACTTAATATACAACCCAGTAAGCCCACACCTACACACTTACCTAAGTGAAATCAAAACCGCTGTTCACACAAAAACCTGTATGCAAATGTTTATAGTGGTTCTATTCATAATTGTTCCAAACTGGAAATAACCCAGATGTCCATCAACTGAAGAATGGACAAACAAAATATGATACATTCATACAACAGAACTGGAATACTACTCAGCAATAGAAAACAATGAACCACTGATACACACAACAACTTGGTGAATCTCAACATAGAAACTTATGTAAATACACACACACACATAAATGATTCCATTTATATAACATTCTGGTAAAGACAAAACTACAGGGTCAGAAAACAGACCAGTGGTTGCTAAAGGCTTCGGGTGAGGAGAAGGGTTTAATACAAAGGGGGATGGAAATTTTTGGAGATAAAGAAATGGTTCTTTATCTCAATTACAATGATGATTATAATACAGTGTAGATTTTCCAAAACTTGTGACACTGTACATTAAATGGAATGAATTTTCCTGTATGTAAATTACATCTTACTTTTTTTTGGTATTATTTTATTATACTTTAAGTTCTAGGGTACATGTGCACAACGTGCAGGTTTGTTACCTTGGTATACATGTGCCATGTTGGTTTGCTGCACCCATCAACCCGTCATTTACATTAGTTATTTCTCCTAATGCTATCTCTCTCCCAGCCCCAGTGTATGATGTTCCCCACCCTGTGTCCATGTGTTCTCATTGTTCAACTCCCACCTGTGAGTGAGAACATGCGGAATTACACCTTAATTTTTTAAAAATAAAAAAGAAGGAACCTAAGGCTCTAAGTTCTGGTACTGATACCCCTCTGGCTTTCTCTCCCCTCCATATATTTGGTCCCCAAGGAATTCCTTTCGTATAAGTACAATGCTGAATTTTAAAATATTTTTGTGGTATTTTATCGAGCATTATAGTCATTTTGAAGCAGAAGGATTTTTAGAATATCTAGTCTGCCATATTGCCAGAAGCAAAAGTGTGTCATTCTTTCAAAGAACAAGACTGTCTTAAAATTTCATGGTATTTTTAAGTTTTTAAATTTATTTTATCACTGTATCCTTATGTTTCTGTGAAGTATAATAATGCAGTTTTTTTAAAAAAAATTTTGGATGTAGGGGGTACACACGCAGGTTTGTTACATGGGTATACTGCATGATGTTGAGGTTTAGGCTATGGATGGTCCAGTCACTCAGGTAGTGAGCATGGTACCAAATAGTTTTTCAGCCCATGGCTCCCTCTCTCCCTCCCACCTCTAGTAGTCCACAGTGTCTACTGCTCCCATCTTTGTGTCCATGTGTATTCAGTGTTTAGCTCCCACTTATAAGTGAGAATATGCAGTATTTGGTTTTCTGTTCCCAGTAATGCAATTAAACCAAAGCTCAAGGAAGCAGAGATGTATTTTTCATATCTAGACATCTACTCTAAACTGAATTAACATATAATCTGAGAAGGGAAACCAGTTTGAAGATTATCGTAAATCCTTCAGAATTGGGAGGTCAACATTTTGAGGATCATTTGCCTTCTGGATCATCCATCCCTGGCAGCAGAGTGAACTGGATAACCTTGGGCAAGTCACTTAACTCTCTGCCTGGTTTCAAAGCACCTACTTCACAAATTACTGTGACAAGTAAACCAGTTTATTCATGTCAAGCACATAAAAAAGCATGTGTCACAAAGTAAGTGTTCAATAAACATTAGTAGCTATTATGCCATGCCCTTCCCACTAATGTAATTATAAACACGGCTCCAATAAATAACACAGAAAACTGAGCATCGCCTATATATATACTTCAATAAAAAGAACGTTAGTGCTTACTTTGAATAAGCCATGCTTTTGGTTGCGCTGGCCAAGCCATAAATTGATTCCTGGGGGAAGGTTGGTATCTGGAGGGTCTATCACACGCTCATAAATCCTGTAAAGGCAAAGAACACAGTTACTAATAGAGAGGCTCAAAGCAGAACCAAAAGGTGCATATGCTGTTTGAAGTATGCATGCCATTAGCTGCTGTATGAAGAGAAGCCAATATGTGGCACACTTTACATGACAGATAACATGAATGTAGAGATCTAACACTTGGACACATCATCTGGGCCCCTCCTGCTTTTGTCTCCCTTTTGGCAGGGGAGGGAGGAAGAAGGTGACATTTTTGAGTGTCCACTCTGAGCAATGAACTGCCCACAAACTCTGTGGGGAAAGTGGTTTGATACGCATGTTATAGGTGCGAAAGCTCAGATTTAGGAATCATAAATGAGTTAACCAAGTGAAGACAGCAGTGAGTAGTAGAGTTGGGATAAGAACTCTTATCTGCCTGGCTCTAAAGCCACTGTACTTTCCTTTGCACCCTGCTATTCTCCGACTTCGGTTTCTTTAGGTCCTACTCATTTCTGCAGTAACCTGAGAGAACCCTTTAAACAAGTAGATTGCAGCTGCCTAGATGATCATGTTTTTAGTCTACAGAACTACACAGCTTAAGTCATCGTCCAACCAACAAATATTTATTGAACACTTTTTATGCTCTAAGCTCCACACTAAGCAACAGAAAATAGAGCAAGAAACCAGACACACAAGGTCCCACTCTCATGGAGGAAAAGTAAGATAAAAATTCTATATATGAAGAAAATCCTCATCTGATCCATACAGGCACATAACTAATACAGAAGATGTCAGAGCCCTACCTAGGATCTTTGAAGTTTCTAGCAGAGCCTACCGAACAATTAATGTCTCAGTTATTCCATCCTACCAAGGTCCGGTTAGTTGGTCCCAAATCTTTTTATTCGTGCCCTCTTTAGAAATAGTCCCTGCAACCACCCACTGATCACGAGCTTCCAACCTCACCCCGGGCAAGTACCTCTCAGCATTGGATGCTCAGAAGATTCTGGGTGGGATGAAACACAGTGATCTGTAAACGAGAACTATGTCCATTTCTTGCTTTCCTGAGTCCTCGCTGAGGACTGAGCAACGGCTGCGGAATCATTCCTAGGTGTGTCCAGAGGTACGGACAGCTCATCACTCCTCCCTGCTGTGATGGAGCTGACTGCCTCCTGCCAGAGGGCGATGTATTCCTCCGGTGGTTCTCACAAGGAAAGTGCAGAAGAACTGAAAGACTGTCCACTTGTGTCAAGGAAAGTGAGTGATGGTGAGCCTGCTGCAGTTGGGAGCTGTCGCGCTGCAGTCTTATATCTTAGCTGCACAGTCCATTACTCTACTATTCCCCACTGGAAACCTGCTGTTTCCTAATACATGCAAGGTTTTCAGCTGGCAAAGCTCCAAGCACATCAGGTCTTTCTCTACTAATTATCCTTCCATTATAAGTGGACACTCAAAACATAATCAGGAAAAAATAAGTTTTCCTAAAAAGAAGACAGAATGTGTTTTCTTTACAGGAATCTAACCTTTTTTGTATCTTAGAATGAACGATTTTAGACGAAACTATTTGTCAAAACTGCCTTAACACAGGAGCATGATACACACTTCCTTTAAAATTTTTTCTCCTAACATTAGTGGAAAAACTAGACACAAGGCAAATTTACAACTTAAGAGATATGCATAAGTTATAGATCAGCTTGAAAGAATTTACTACAGTCATTAAGTGTGATGAATATGCAAGTTATGAAACAAGGGAAAGTATATACAAAATATTTTTCACTGGAAAAAAGGGAATGCAAAATTATTTATGCCCTATAGAGATAATGAGGCACAAATGATGTTCAATGTTGGTAAATACCAAAAGAGGCCAGGGAGAAATGGAAATCACTGTATTTGGGTGACGAGGCAGAAGCATGATTTCTATAAGGCTATTTTACTAATAAATTGAAAATGTTGAACCATTTACCTTAAGCTCAATTTTAACAACTTTGCCTCTGTCACAGTTAGACGAGCTTTCGATTCAAAAGTTTATTTTATGTATTCAATAGGCTAGAAGATAAGCTCCAATGAGCAGAGTAGGCCCTTAATCAATATTTATTAAATGCATGAATTAATGAAGGAAAAAACAATCAAAGAGATTAACTTCCTATCCTACCTTATCTTGCAAAGCATAATAGCTCCGTGTGCCTTAGAAATAGTTGAAGAAGCAAACATCTGAGGCCCACTATCACCAGCTAAAGCAGGGTGACCCAGGGCACATGTGTCAAAGTGGTGTTCTCATTTCCCATGTCATACAGCCCCCACAAAGACACCATCCTGATGCCAAGGAAGCTCTGCCGGATGCTGCCTTCCTGGCAGCCCTGCCAAATCTGTTCCAAGAGGCAGTCTGCATTAGGGAATTCTGTGCAGCAGGTGGAATCAACAAACTGGATACAGATGTATCAACATGAAGAGAGTTTAAAAACAGTATTTTTTTTAAAAAGAAAACTTGCTGAGGAGGGAGGAGGAAATCTAATCATGAAGAAACATCAGATAAACCTCAATTGAAAGACAGTCCACAAAATAACTGCTTGTGGTCTTTAAAATGTCAATGTCATGAAAAATAAAGAAAGGCTGAACAACAGTTGGAGATTAAAAGAGAGACTTTAAAAAGACATAAAAGCTATACGCAAGATGGGATCCTGGATTAGATGCTAGGGCAGGGGGAAATAATCCCATAAAGGACATTATTGGGAAAATTGGGAAAATTTGAATAAGATCTGTAAATTATGTAATAGTATTTTATTGATACTCAATTTCCTGATTTTGCTAACTGGGCAGTATATACTTAAGTGAAAGTCTTGTTCTTAGGAAATAGGCACTGAAGTATTTAGGGGTAGAGGGTCATGATGTTTACAACTTAACTCTCAAAGGGTTCAAAATAACAATACTGTTTGTATATATAAGTATACACATCTATGAATACACGCTTTCTCTTCCTTCCAAATAATGCAGAATCTGGGCAAATATGATTGTTCCTTGTATCACTCCTATAAGTTTTCTGTGAGCTTAAAGTTATATTAACATTAACAGTTTAAAAAATAGAGAAAAAACCAACAAGGTCCATAATGTATGTAAACTAAAAATTCACACATGCAAAACAATGTTATCGATTAGCTAAGGATACGCACAGAATTTTCCTATCACAGGCCTGGTGGGAATGGTGAGGCAAGAAAAAAGTGAATGAATGAAACAAGAAATGTGCACGGCACAGACTAATGCTGATAACACAAACTAAGAAATTGAATTATCACATTCCTACACGTACCCCTATAGAAGGGGAGCTATACATGCCAGCCAAAGTAAAATCAGAATCTTAGCACAAAGGCTGCTGGTCCCTGAGGGACAGTTTGGGTGGACTGGATCATGTAAAAAGGCAGGTAGGGCACAGTGATCTGTCACTTAAATCTGGCGTCACCCAAGTCAACTAAAATGAAAGTCACAGCTAATATAGTGAACTCCTTGCTCTCCAGTGTGGTAAGGAAACTGAGCTTTCTGATATATAGGGTACTCTGGTTAACGAGGTTTCCTTCACATCAGCAAATAGCTGATTGCCTGCAATGTGTATGACACTGTGCTGTGCTGTGCTGGCTATGGGGATACATACAGGCAAATTTAGAATGGCCAATTTCTTGTCTTTAGATCTAATGCCTGAGACAGACACATGCATGGACACACCTTATAATTCAATGCATTAAATTCAATGTTTCCTGGAAGCAGAAAGGGAAAAAAAAAACAAAACAGAATTCTGCCTGCCATAGTCAGAGAAAACTTTCCAAAGGAGACACTACACTGAGTTTTGAATGAAGAATAAAGTGGAGCTGAAAGAGCAGACATAACAGCCAGCACTTATACAACACTTAATGTGTGCCGACATTGTGTATTGAGGGCTTCTATATGTTAATTTACTAAATCCTCATAACAACACCCTCAGGTGGGTGTTCTTGGCTTAGCAAGGTCAAATAACTCGTCCTTGGTTAAGCAGCTTGTGAGTGACACCGCTGGGATTTGAAATCAGATCCTATAGTCTGTACTATTGACCACCTTGCCCTACTGCCTCTCTAGACAAGCAATGAAGGGCAGTTTCAGCCACAAAAGCCCCATCCAAGCTACTATTTATCAAAGAGTTAAAATACAGGAAAACAAAAACAGTAAATAATTTGGTAGAACTTTTAAATCAACACTGAACAAAAGAGGACATGATTAATATATCCTGGGATGTCCTGCTGTCACAGACAGGTTCTTTATTTCCTAATAGAGCAACGTGAAAACCTAACTCATTCAAATAAAGTAAAATTCCTAACTAGGCTTACTTATCAGAAGGAAAAGGGGAAACAAGTTCATGTATCAAAGCTTGAAGGCAAGACTGGTCAGCTCTCCTGGAACCCACTTTGTTTTCCTCCCAGATTCACAGCTCTACTACACTTCCCAGCCTCCCTTGAAGTTGAGTGTGGCTATGGAATGGAAGTGGAAAGGTTGTGCCCCACTTCTAAGCCTGCCCCTCCACCCCACCGAAAAATAATTTAAAAACTCCCTCAGGTATCTTCCATGCTGTCTCTTTCCCTTTATCTCTTTTCTCTTTCTCCCTTTCAGCTGCCTGGAGAAAACTCTGAGGGCTAAGGGGTGGACAGAGCTACAAGACCGAGAATCTTGAATCCCTAAAGGATGACATCAAAGGCCACTTGTCAGCTAGACACACCCAACTGGACTCTATTTAAATGAGAAATAAAATTCAGCTATTTTAAGCCACTGAGATGGAGAGGATATTCTGAAGTTGTGACTAGTATAATTTACCCTAAAAAATATACCGCACTGAAAAACAGAAAGGTTACTGTTGCCTTTTTCACGCCCACAAAGCCAAGAAGTATCTTAGATAGTGTGGTGTAGCAAAAACAACATAAATTTGGGATTAAACATGTTTGGGTTCGTATCGCAGTTCCGCAGTCTACTAAATGCATGACTTTAATCAAGTAATTTAATTTCTCTGTATTTCAATTTCCTCATTTAAAACATAAGGATATTACTGTTAACTGTATGGATTGTCATGAGGATTAAACAAAATACATTACATGCCCTTGGCACTTAGTCTGTGCTGACATTGTGTAAGTCTCATGGGTACCTAAGAATGTGGAGCTGCACAGGTCATGTGACCCAGTCCAGCCTACTTGCTGTAGCTCTCACCAAATGGACCCACTGAGATGGGAAGTCTCAATATCTTAGATGCTTACTTATGCTTTGAATTTACAGTTAAAAGAAATGACATCACTGTGACAGGGAATTTAAGGGTTTGATATTTCAATGTTACAATGCAAGAACTCATTGTCTATTTTTGCCATACATTTCGACAATTATCAAAATTTAAGTCTTAGGTTTCTTTTTTCCCTTTATAAACTTTAAAGCTAGAACAAGCTAATATGTAACAGAAAAAAAAATTCATTTCTGTTGCTGTTTAATCTGATATTATGGAGAAAACTGATGATCTATTTAGATACTAAACTTTGCATTAAAACAGAATTTTTCGATAAAGTATACTTTCTATGAATCCTAAAACTTCAGTATTTTTATTATTGTTGTTTTAAAGTATCATTTTTTTCAGCTTTCTTTAACTCTTTTTGGCCATAAATCGTAAACTTTTCTATGTAAATTACTCAAAATTCTAAGTAAATATCTTATTTCTTTTACATTCTTCCAAAAATGTAATTCTTTGACATTTATAAAAGTTTTATTTTTGTGGAAAGTTAATCATAAACTCACATAAGATTGGAAATAGGCTCAGGCAACAGGAAGAGATGGAAGAAACATTTTATAAGATTGTGTGCTTAAACACACTATCACCAAACCCCCGCCCCACCTGACACCCACACACACACCTGGCCATCAGTTAGCTTTTCTGAGTAAAATACGGCAGCACACTACTCTTAACACTTTCACCCAGTCCGGTAGTAAGCATTTTCCCTAGTCAATTTGGGACATTTAATTGGATTTAGCCAATTTATGAAGAATGTTTCTGGGAAAATGAAAACAGCAGTAAGCAGAGGCCCTATTTTTAAGTTCTCATCCAGGACTACCCTTACATTATACATTCTTTCTTTATATATTATTTTTATACATTCTAACCACCCTATATGTTGGTTATTTCCTGGTCTCTCAGAACCTCCCCATTTGGACGATCCATTCAGACGCATTCCTCAGCTCTTCAGCATGTGACACGGTAGCTTCCATGACCCACAGGGGTCTTCAAGACTCTGGTAGTGGCTGGGCCTGCCTTCCTAGATCACCTGGCTAAGGAAGGAGGAAATAGCTTTCCTAGTACCCTTGGGCCCATCATATCCATCCTGAAGTTGTGTGTGTACTTCCTGACTGCTGCTACCACCAATTATCTTCCGGGTCTGGAGGAAATGGAACACTGACCACAGCATTCCTGTACCTGCTTAGATATCTCCTGCACTAGACACCCTCCCTAAGCACCCTATATAAAGTAACTCCTAACCACCTGGTCAGTCTCCATCACTTAGCTTGTTTTACCCAGCACACTGTAAGCACCTTAAGATAAGGAGCCTCGTCTGTCTTTTTCAAGTCAGCATTTCTACTATCTGGAAGAGAACCTAGCCAAATTCAGATACTGAATGAATAAATGAATGAAAGTTCCCTGACTGTATTCAGAACAGGAGAACTACAGTCAGATAGCTATAAAAGTCCTACTATGGCAAAGCTTTATGATGAGCAATTTGCAAAAATTAATAATCCTGACTGAGAAAAATAGTCAAATGTGACACTTTACATTATGCTGATAATCATGAGATCCATGAAGTCAATAAAGATGAGTGAAATGTAATAACCCTTTTCAAGTGTTCTCCTCCACCATCAATACCTTTTGAGATTTATACAAGAAGCACCAAAGAAAGAACAAGATAAACTCCTCTCACTGTCTCTCACCCGGAAAAGAGATAGAGATAGAAAATTTGAATCTATCAGGCAGACAACTCACTAACAGAGAAATCAGAGAGATGTATTTCAGAAAGAGCAGGAAAAGCAGTCGACAACTTGAAAATTAATTAGATCAAATGGCATCTTTTTTTTTTTTTTTTTTTTGAGACGGGGTCTCTCTCTGTCCCCCAGGCTGAAGTGCAGTGCCGCGATCTCGGCTCACTGCAAGCTCCACCTCACGGGTTCACACCATTTCCTGCCTCAGCCTCCCGAGTAGCTGGGACCACAGGCACCCGCCACCATGCCCAGCTAATTTTTTGTATTTTTAGTAGAGATGGGTTTTCACCGTGTTAGCCAGGATGGTCTCGATCTCCTGACCTCATGATCCACCCGCCTCAGCCTCCCAAAGTGCTGGGATTACAGGTGTGAGCCACCGCGCCCGGCCCAAATGGCATGTTTTTTGAAAAGCACATGATTTACTGCTTAATCTGATTATGTTGTAATCAGTCTAAATGTATCACATTCCTATAGGCTATCAGATGCAAACAACGCATTTACTCTCCAACCATCAAAAATTTACCCTTTCTTTGGGCTGAAGAACACCCACTTCCCATTAGACATGAGTCTCAGGCTTTGTATTCACTTGAGCCTTTACAAGGTGCTACCTATTAAGCTGTACGGGGAGAATTATAGGAATTTTGCATGCCACTAGTATCGATCAATATTTTAAAGTGTAAGTGTCTCATTTCTAATATAATACCATGTAAAATTAAACATCTAGTCAAATGTAAAACCTGCTTGAGAGGACAAGGCAAAGAGTAACTGCCACACTCCTTGTCAAAGTCAATCATTGAATCAAGGGCTCACATTAGGAATTTTCTTCCCAAGGTGTAACCTCTCTTAATTTGTGACTTTGGTTTAAAACACTCTCCCTAACAAGTGTATTGTCTGCTTAAAAGACTAGTCTATATTCTGTGAAGAACTTGATTTTCTCATTAATAGATAAAACCCTCAGAGCTAAACACAAAGCAGTGTGGTGGTTCAACAACACTACTTATGAAGAAATACTGGATTTTTATTTACCTGGATAAAGGAAGGTTTTTGAAGAGACTCCACAGTACCTTTCCTAATTATATAAAAGAATGAATTTCCAGTGTAAATCATGTGAATTGACATGTATTATGCCACTGTTCAATAAGACAATATGAAGCCCAAATGAGACAGTAAATGAAGAGATTTATCTTGGGCTTTGCCAAGAATTGAAGAGAAGCTCTCATGCTCTTGCTGAAGAGAAAAGTTGGAATGACCTTCCTTAGTTATACAGAGCCTCATCTTTACTGCCTTTTAGCTGGCATTAGTGAATATCAAGGTGCTCCTTGGAGAAATTTTCCTATACAGAACATAAGTTCATTCCCATCCATTTTTCCCTGCCCAATATGGTAATGGGTGACCTTGCACATGAAGCTAAGCCCCTCTTTTGGCCTTATGCTAAGGGGACATAACAGACCCTTTCCCCTCTTAGCCTCATAAGAAAAATGTGAGAATTGTAACTTTCTTGAGCCCCACTAGAAAAGCAAAAGTCATGATGTCATCAGCATTATTTCTGACACCAACAAATATTCAGCATTCAGTCCATAGGTTGTTATACTCTTCAGAGCAGGTCCTCAAAGTTTACTGACTGTGACAGGGGGTTTTGCCAATTGTGTACACTGATGAGCTATCTGGGTTTTTTGTTTGTTTGTTTTGTTTTGTTTTGTTTTTGAGATGGAGTCTCCCTCTGTCCCCCAGGCTGTAGTGCAGTGGCGCGATCTCAGCTCTGCAAGCTCTGCCTTCCAGGTTCACGCCATTCTCCTGCCTCAGCCTCCCAAGTAGCTGGGACTACAGGCACCCGCCACTGCGCCCAGCTAATTTTTTTGTATTTTTAGTAGAGACCGGGTTTCACCGTGTTAGCCAGGATGGTCTCAATCTCCTGACCTCGAGATCCACCGCCTCGGCCTCCCAAAGTGCTGGGATTACAGGCATGAGCCACCGTGCCCGGCGATGAACTATCTGTTGAATTCCATATCAGGCTGCCTGGATGTTGTTAATTAACTGCTCACATGGAACACACAGCACACAGGGCTGAAACCAGGACATGAAAGGAATGGCCCAAAGAGGAACTCTGTAGTCTCCTCCTGCCAATCTGTTTAACAAATCCAGATGACACTCAGAAAATGACAAAATTGAAAAATGCACCTCAGGCATTATATCAGAAAACACAGACTGTAATGGGAAGAGAGACTATGGGGATGAATACAGTATGCCCCCAACAGGTAAGGATTGAATTCCAAGCTAAATCCACATAGAGCATGGGAAGAAGGGCTATAACAAGGCTCAGCAGGTTCCTTAACAACTGTCTGTAAATACAAACGCAAACAAAAAAGAGAAGGCACACAGTTGAAGTCTGCAAGGAGATGCCTTTGCTGTGATAAATGAGAAGTCAGAAGTGTTCAAATGAGATCAGCAAACACTGTGGGAGGGGGTTTGAGAGCAGGGTGTCAACACCCTTCACAGAGAGGAGAGAGGTCTTCTCAGAGATCAAGCCTGCGTGTGACCTGCTTCATCCCCTTAGGAAACCCTTGTCACGTTCATGCTTTTTCTTGCCCAGCAACTGAATTTCACTGTTTTCTTTTTCTCTCCTCATCTGGATCTCTAATGATAATAAGGGTGCTTTTTCTTCTTAACCATATTTTATGTCCTTAATATCACTCTTTCACTACTTCTTACCAACCCTTCTCTCTGCTTAAAATTCACGATCCAGATATCATTCTGAGATGATTGTGATTATGTACCAGGGTCAAATAACCAGATCATATAAGACTGTCCTCACTAGTATTTGTATCTGTGATTTGACAAAATAATAGAAAGTATGCTTCATTGTTTATTTTTAATTTTTTAAAATTTTTGTGAGTACTTAGTAGGTGTATATATCCACGGGATACATGAGATGTTTTGATATAGGCATGCAAAGAGACAGGGTCTCAAACTCTTGGGTTCAAGCAATTCTCCCACCTCAGCCTCCCAAGTAGCTGGGACTATAGGTGCATGCTACTATACCTGGCTAGAATATAGGCTTCTTAAACATGCTGGAAAATTTGAAGCTGGTGTGATGGTTTCAATCATGACAGATTTAGCACAACACTATCAGGATTAAAAGAGATATTAATAGGCAGGAATTAGGGCCAAATCAGATGAAATTTCACACGGAAAAATGAAAAGGGTCCAAAGTTAGGGTAAATATGCTGCTTAAAAACAGAATGTGAGATCTAAGGGTAAACAGAAATACATATTAAAAAAATTAAAATAAAATAAAATAAACACCTTTTTGGTCAACAGCGAGCTAAGATCAGCTGTCAAAAAGGATGTTGTGATCTTAAAGTGTACCATGAGACGAAAGTAATTATCTCATTTTATTCTGAGTCAATCTGTCCAGAGATAATCGCATTTAGTTCTAGGAACTTCTCAGATAATAAACAGACATACTTCAGAAGGAATCAGAAAAGATTGTGAGGGCATTGTGAGACAAATCAAGTGATGAACAGTTGAAGGAACAGAGATGTTCTGTCTGAAGAAGTAAAGATTAGGGAGGCCATAATAAGGTCTTCAAGTATTTGGAAGACCATCGTGTAGAAGAGGAATTGAACTTGCTCTGTGCAGCACCAAGAGGGAAAATTGATACCAACAGGTGGAAGCTATAAGGAGGCACTTTGAGCTCAAGATAGAGAAAATTTTCTAGCAGTCAGAACTATAGTATACAGAGGGAAGGGGCACTCCTGGAAGGCAGTGAACTTCCAGTCTCTGAAGGGTGTTTCAGCAGATGATGAAGGACAATTAGCCTCAAACTCAGAGAGATGGAGAGGCACTGTCTCAAAATTTATAAGAGCTGCCTTTGAGTTAGCACCTCCTATAGGCCAAAAGTTTACAGACTTTATAATCCTTTCAATAACCCTAAAAGACAAGCATTGCTATACTCAATTGACAGATGTTCACAGAGATGAAGTGACTCGACTAAATACTATTCAGTAAATGGTGAATTCTAAATTCAAATCCAGGTGTAAACTTCTGCCATGCCACACTGGCTAAAAACCCTCAATTAATTCTGCTATTAAAAAGTCTAGGCCGGGCGAGGTGGCTCATACCTGTAATCCCACCACTTTGGGAGGCTGAGGTGGGTGGATCACCTGAGGTCAGGAGTTCAAGACCAGCCTGATCAATATGATGAAACCTCGACTCTACTAAAAATACAAAAATTAGCCGGGTGTGTTGGCATGTGCCTATAATCCCAGCTACTCGGGAGTCTGAGGCAGGAGAATCGCTTAAACCCAGGAGGCGGAGGTTGCAGTGAGCCGTGATCGTGCCATTGCACTCCAGCCTGGGCAACAAGAGGGAAACTCTGTCTCAAAAAAAAAGTCTAAACTCAGACCGGGTTCAATGGCTCATGCCTGCAATCCCAGCACTTTGGGAGGCCAAGGAGGGAGGATTGCTCGAACCCAGGAGTTCAAGACCAGCCTGGGTAACATAGGAAGACCCACATCTCTACAAAAAATAAAAAAGTTAGCTGGGCATGGTGGTGTGTGCCTGTAGCCCAAGCTACTGGGGAGGCTGAAACAGGAAGATCCCTTGAGCCTGGGGGGTCGAGGCTGCGGTGAGCTGTGACTGCACCGATGGACTGCCTGGGCAACAGAGTGAGACCCTGTCTCAAAAAAAAAAAAAAAAAGTCAAATATTCAACCAGTGGGTTACACAAACAGCATCAGCCAGGGAAAGATCATCAGACTAGAGCCAGAAAATTCCCATTTGTGTCTTACCTTTACTTTTATGTTTTGTGACTTGGGACAAGTTACTAAACCTCTCTGAGTCCTTTGTTTCTTCATCCGTAAACCTTTAATAACAACATCTACCACACAGGATTTTCCGTGTAAGCACAAAACAGATCATCTGCTCTGTAAAAGTACTTTGTAAAGTCTAAAATGCTTTTCACAAACAGAACATTATTAATGTTTTTAGGTGAGATCAATGCCTTTATCTTCACAGAATAATCTAAAAGACATTTTAGTTTGAAATATTTTCAGACAAAATACCAAAAACCTCATTGAAGCCACTTGGCTCAACTGGTTAGAACATAGTATCTAGTGTTAGCTTCACAATTTCTATAAAAGAGGTGCTTAAAAGCCACAATCTTATAGGAAGAGAGGGGAGCATTAACCTGTGAAATCACTCCCTAGATGGCGCCATTGAGGTTACATCAAGGCCACAGTCGTCGGTCCCATCTTTTCCAGAGGTTCAGAGCAAAATGTGCTGCTCCTAGTGTTCAATTATACCCCAGGCTGGCTGCCTCCAAAACACTTGCTGATGCTCACAAATGGGTGATAATTTAGTGCAAACCCATATTATTATTCACCTAGATGAAGATTTAGGTGTTAGTTTCCAGTGATAATAAATCAAAAGCCTGCTGCTCACATAAAACAGACATTGGTAACCAGGACTCTCAGGGTTGGAAAGGACATTGAAGGTCTTCTGATCCAACCACTATCTGCTACTTGTTATATTAATATGTAAGAATCCAAAAGCCATCTGTCATTCAGTGAGCATGTGTGACATCCTCATGTACTAGTTTAAAGCTTCCCAGAGCAAATGAATGTCTCTCTAAAGGCCTGATGATTGACCATTCCCAAACAACCCATACAAAATATATCAGGGACTAGCAGTTATGGTAAGGAACACAGGAATTATTTTGCTCCCTCTCCATGAAGTCTTTGTACAGCATAGACTACACACACACACACACACACACACACACACACACACACACACCTCAAACACTGGCATCTCCACATTCAAGCAGGGATTAGTATTCTTTGACTTTCTGACTCTTTCAGGACTTTGGAAACCACCAAAGGTCTCTTGGCAATTCCCAAACTTTACTAGGCAGTAGGATAGCCTCATAAGCTTTTCAAAAATACAAATTCATAAGCCCCTCACGAAATCAGACTTATAGGTGCCAGCCTGGCCCCATGTGGCTCATACCTGTAAGCCCAGCACTTTGGGAAGCCAAGGTGGGCAGATCACTTGAGCCCAGGAATTCTAGACCAGCCTGAGCAACATGGCAAAACATCATCTCTACAAGAAATATAAAAATTAGCTAGGCACGGTGGCAGGTACCTGTGGTCCCAGTAACCCAGGAGGCTGAGGTGGGAGCGGGAGAATCACCTGAGCCCAGGGAGGCTGAGGCTACAGTGAGCCCAGATTGTGCCACTGCACTCCAGCCTAGGCAACAGAGTGAGACCATGTCTCCAAAAAAAAAAAAAAAAAAATCTCTGATAGAGGACTCATTTGGTATTATCTGCCCTTGAGCAGCAGAGTCAGGCTTGGCTGGGAGCTCCTGCCCCAGCCACAGGATATAGCTCCAAGCAAGCCTATGATGGAAGTAGTTGGGCCTCTTCTTTTTTTTTTTTTTTTTTTTTTTTGAGACGGAGTCTTTCTCTGTCGCCCAGGCTGGAATGCAGTGGCACGATCTTGGCTCACTGCAAGCTCCGCCTCCCAGGTTCATGCCATTCTCCCACCTCAGCCTCCTGAGTAGCTGGGACTACAGGCACCTGCCACCACGCCCGGATAACTTTTTGTATTTTTAGTAGAGACGGGGTTTCACCATGTTAGCCAGGATGGTTTTGATCTCCTGACCTCGTGATCTGCCCGCCTCGGCCTCCCAAAGTGCTGGGATTACAGGTGTGAGCCACCACGCCCAGCAGGGCCTCTTCTTAAAGCATCTCCGAGGCAAAGTAAGAGGCATAGGGAGGGGATTTTCCTCTGCAGGACAGTTTCTAGAGGTTTTTCTACATGAATAAAAAAAAAATGAGAAAGTAGTACAAATAAAAGAAAAATTCCTGCAGTGTCCCACCATTTTGCAAAGCATTATAAAGAAATGAAAGAGTTCTCCTGACTATGACCATTAATAATAGTTGTTTGGATGATGGATGAATAGACAGATTAGATAGATTAGATAGATAGATACATAGATAGATAATATATAGGCAGACACCAGTAAATTTATTTTGAAAATAATATTATATCCCTGTCCTCTTAGAGACTGCATTATAGGGCAGATGAACAGCAAAACAAATGACTTTATTTATTATAAAATTAAGGCGAGCTGAATATTCTCCATGTGTCCCAGCCAGATACACTCTCCACCCCTCTTTGCCTGGCTTTGGGCCACAGGAGACTGACCTGTATCAAAAGTTCCTCTCCTTTTGGTTCCACTTGGTTTCAGTCAAAGGGAAGTACTAGCAGGAGGGCAGGAAGGGATTCAGGTTGGAGTACTAATTAATTAATATATTAAGGGCATAGCACAGTATTAGCTGAATAATGGTAGCTACTTCTATTAAGAACAAAAACAAAAAGTGAAGAAGGTCCCTAACTACCAAGCGGTGCTTTTTTTACTCTTTCTCTCAGCTGCTGTCTACAATCTTCCCAATATAAATGTGCCAATACAAACTTGATTGTTTTTTAATAATGTTTACAGAGAGGATAACTTGTGTGCCTTGACTTCTGCTTTGTAGCAAGCACACCGAATTATTCATTTAGTTTGGGGCTCTTTCTTTTAAAAAGCAATCATCATCTTCTTGAAAGAAATTTTTATTTTTTCCAGCTATCAGTCCTGTCAGACTTTAGAAGTTCACAATCATGGAAGAAGAGCAAAGCAATTTAGATAAAATTTCCTGTTCTGAAGGAAGACTTTTGTTATTAAATGTGAGGCATTCAATAGTAACTGCCAGCTGTTTAATCAAAAAGTTATTGTTCATTGTGGAAGAAAAATTGAAGTTTGGAAAACAATGGGCTACAAGCTCGGAAAGTGTCTGATGAAGTTCCAAATCCTTTTCAAACTCCAACTCATCATTTAAACTATAATGGCCCATGTCTGGTAAGGTACTTCATGGATGATAATAAGAAAATCACTGAGATGACTGAGATCTCCCATCCTCTCTTTAATTATCTCCTTTCTTGGTGGCCCCTTCATGTTCAGGTTACAGAATATAAATTAGTTGCCAGAGATGTCTCAAATAAGCCTATTATTAAGGACACACAGGCGACTCCTTTAATTTCCAAGACCAAATGAATGATAAAATAAAAATTAAAAAGGTGAGAGAATTCGAAGAAGGAAAAAAACTGCATAGTAGTGAGACAAAGTTTTGAAGAAAACTAATGGGTAAAGAATAAACCCAAGAGTTAGAGACTGCTATTCTAAATTCTGGACTTAACCACTGAACTTGGGATGTAGCCTTAGACAAATCATTTCCTTTTCCTGGATTATTTCCTTACCTCTTACATAAAGAAAATGATGCCTGCCCTACTTACCTATTTATGTTGAGGCTCAATGAGGCCATGAACAGTAACTGCTTTGAAAATGTCACCAATACAAACATAAACAGGCATAAGTGAAGTGATACTGAGTCACCTGAATGTTTACTGATTTTCCACATCTTTCCATTGATCCAGCTACATCCTTTTCCTTATGTCCATTCCATGAGATAATCTGGTAACCTTTTAGTAACCTCACCTTCTTTGCTCAAGGTATTCAAGTTGATTTCTGTTACTTACAACTAGAGCATCCTAACTAACACAAAAGTATGCAGGAAGATACGCTATAAGGCAAGCAATTCTAAACTCAGATGAAGCACTATGATAAGTCTTGGCATGACCACTCAGCAGTACACATAAAGATAACAATTCTGTTCTTCTCACCATACCTGGTACTTACCTTACTTACACCCTGTGATGTAATCAGCATTTTATAGATTTAGGGCAACTGAAAAGCAGAAACCAGCTCTTATTTGCCTTGGTATCCCCAGTACCTAAAGCAGCTCATGTCACAAAATATATGCTCAAGAATAGTTCTCATTTCACCTATTTTTGCACTTATGCACTCAAATTGTATCCATCTGATCAGTTCCTGTACACAGCCATCTCCCTACAACTGTACAATGTTGATCAAATGGATGAACTGGCTCAGTTGTCTCTGCCTCTTACATAGATTAATTGTCCATCAGCACTTTGAATACTAGGTTGATGAAAAGGTTGAAATGCAAATTTTCATTTGAAAGAGGATGTTTGGAATAGCTGAAGAATTACTCAAGTAAATGCCATACATTTCCATGCATAAATGAAAATTTCTATGCACATTCCCCTAGTCTCTTTAACCTCTCCTCCTCCCTTTATATAGATATCATAAACAATGCTCTCTCTCTCTCAGTAACATATAACTGACTGGGCATTACTAGGCACTTAATACTAACACACTCAAGAAACATCAGTTAAGTAAACAAATGAATAAATGAACTACTTGATGAAATCTAAGGCCTTATGAGCCTCTCCACTTCACTTTACAGAAACTGAATTGCTAATTATTTGCAATTCCCAAAAGTTTCATATACTCTTTTGCTTCCAACCGCTGGACCCTTGGTTCCAGACACCTTCCTAGCACTTCACTGGCTATATAATACACCAACACTTAACTCAGCTGTCAAACAGGGAACTGCTTCCCACTCAATCTTTCCTCGAGTTTTCTTGAAAATGCTACTTTTGCCTTGTTTTGTACATTGCTGTCAAAATGTCTGATGGCAACCTGAATTTTTTTCCTTTGTGAGGTCTTTTTGCCTTAAGATCATGAAATTTCTTCTCTTTTATATAAAATTTAATACTTTTATGAGGATATATCTCAGAGTTTATTTTACAGATTGATTTTCCCAGATTTATAATGGACCTACTCAATATGTATATTTGGGTTTTCTTTTATTTCCTTGCATTGCGATTTTTAATAGCTTTATTGAAATATAATTATTTCATTTACTCATTCATATAATTCATGTACAATTCACCCATTTAAGCTATATATTTCAATGTTTTTGATATATAACATTAATTTTTTAAATTGTGATGTTTATAACAAAAAATTACCATTTCACCATTTTTAATTGTACAATTCAGTAACATTAATTACATTCACAATGTTATGCAATTATCACCACTATCTATTTCCTTAACTTTTTATCATCCCAAACAGAAACCCTATAACCATTAAGCAATAACTTTCCATTCACCCTCCCCCCAGCACTTGAAAACCTCTAATTTACTTTCTGTCTCTATGAATGCTCCTATTCTAGATATTTCATATAGATGAAATCTTATAATATTTGTCCTTTTGTGACTGGCTTATTTCACTTAGCACGTGAGAATATGATGGCTTGGGAGTCATGGAGGTCTGGGTTTCAATCCCACCTCTAACATGCCTCCTGCTTCTAGGACCTTAAACAGGTTAAACCTCCCTGATCCTACTGTCTCAAAGTCAAAATGGAAATGAAGATGCCTTAAAAACATCTGCTCTCACATCACACAGGATTGTTCTGAAGGTCAAATGAGATGCTATATGTAAACCCCTGACACACTGTAAACAACTGATAAATATTATTCGGTCCTTTTCGACATCCTCTTTCTTCTCTTCCACCCTCCCTCTATTTCTCTGTGTTTACCTAAGTATATATGAGTGAGGGTAAAATAAATAAATGTCTCATTCACAATTTAGAAATTTTAAAAATGGAATTTTGAGACTCTTTCTAATATCCAACCAAATAAGTCAGCCAAGCAACCAACGAATATTTGATTGGTTGCTCCTCTGTATCCAAAGTGTGCAGGTACTGGAGTAGAAGGATCTCAAGAGACATGTGATTATTTTCTCTTAATTAAATAACCTTTTGGCATAGGCAGAAACAAATAAAAATAAGAAGGAAAGTTATTCCTCCATATGCACACCGTATGCTCTTAAACACAAATACTATGCATCCTTCAAGCCCAACTCTATGCAAACTAATAATAATTTGAGGATACCCAGAGATCAGCAAGTTCAAACTCCTCATTTTGCAAATGATGCCCAGAAAACGGAAGTTCTTTCAAACATCACCACAGAGTTGAATAGCAAGACAAAAGCTGGAACGCAAGTCTTCTCATCCACTGGCCAGGATTCACTGAATTTTCGTTCATAAACGTTTCCTCCTCTTTCTCCTCCTCCTTATCCTACTACTGCTGCTAACAATAATAATAATTAACATTTGCTGACTGCTTACTATGTGCCCAGCTGCTTTCCATGCATTACTTCAGTTAAACCCATGACGTAGAGTCAATCATCATCTTTTTTTTAATGAGAAAACTGTGGCCCAAATAACTGAAGCAAAAGGAAACCATTGAGAAATTAGGGATCTGAATATAAACACAGCCTTTCTCTTAAACCTCTGTTCATTCTACTTTCCCCTCATTTCCACTGGAAGTCAAGTCTCCCATTTTCTAATCCTATAACAGTTGATCTGTGCCTTTGCTTCTTTTGGGGCCCTGAGTATTTAATGTCTTGGAGTTGTGGGTTTATGTCCATTGCCCCAAAGTTGTGGAAAGATATTAGACGTTAGATGTGAGCTCCTTAAAGACCCAGAATTCTGTCTTGTGCCCAACATAGCCAGCTATGCATAGTAATCCTTCTCTCATTTATTCATTCAACAAATATTGTTGAATGTCCACTCTGTGCCAGGCATTTAGCCAAGTGCTTGGAACTCAGCATTAAAATAAGTTCGAGGAGCTGATTTCCTTATTGGAGGCAAGGGTTACAGGTAGGAAAGAATGAGAGACATCATAAAATTGTAAACAGGTAACTGATCAAGATAATTTTACACAATGAATAGTCCTTCAAAGACAATAAAAGAAGATGAGGTGATTGACGTGATAAAGAGTCATCTGCTAGAGGGGGTGCCACCTCCCTCCAGAAGCTCATGCACAAGGCCTTCCAAGGAAATTTCCAATATAAATGCCATGGCCATTTCCTTTTAGCAACAAGTGTCAGATTATCCAGACACAAATAACAGGATTTACTCTTGCCAATACTGTATTCTGTGAATGTTGAAAAACAAAAGGCCAGAAATTGGCCTTTTCATCTGTTTCTCAGCACCATTTTGACAGCTTCCTCCTTTTGGACCACATAACTTTATTTTCCAAAGGCCTTACCAGAGAGTCCATCTTACCAGAGTCTAATGTCATCCCTACATAATTTGTCTGTAATTAGAGGAGCTCTCATCTGTTTTCCAGATGAGTTGGACCTGTGGGCTAAGGTGAATAGAACAGGCGGTCCTGTGGCCTCAGCTTTGGAGGGTATTTTGTTAGGTCCTGTTCTCCTGCCAGATGTGCTTCTCATTGGCTGTGCTGAGGAGCAGGTGAGGATGCAGAGTCCCATCTGGGGACCTGAATGCTCTAGCCTCAAAGCCTTCTGCTTTCCCCAATTCCCACTTCAAGCTCCTTGCGCATCACAGAGATGGTAACTCCTCCTTTGTGCACAGTACATTACAGTTTACATAACATTTGTACACTCTTTGTCTTCTTCCTTGAAGGCAGGGGGCAGGAGGGTGGTATAGACAGAAGCAAGAATGACTGCCATCCCCATTTTACTGAAAAGAAACCCAAGATTCAAGGGAGTTGAGAAATACACCCAAGAGCACACAGCTAGGAAGTGGTGAAGCCAGAGAGTGAGCCAGGGTTTCTGACTTAGGATGTGTAACAGTCAGGGTCCTGTGGGAAACTCAGTATACTGTACTTTGGTCATTTGCAAAGAGAATAATAGATTAAACGGCATTGTTTACAGAAGTACAGGCAAGGAGTACATAAACTGTGAGGGATGGTGGCACCTCACAGTGTGTAAAAAGAAGATGGGAAAAGCTCTTCCCTTTCTGGCATTAAAGAGCAAGGAAGCCAAAAAGAACCACCTAATAGGGCCTGTGGCTTTCAGTCAAAGGTCACAGCCAGCCCAAGGTGACCCCACAGTGAAGAAGACAGGGGAATAGATACCTTCTCCTCCTCCCTTCCCCTGCCTGTTCTTCCTAATAAAATTCAAAAAAAATCCAGATGGCAAAGAAGCCCACAGATGCAGCCCATGCAGGTCAGCCTGCTCAGACACAGTAGAGTGAAGGGAGGGGAGAGAATGTTTCCCGAGAAGCCAATAGAAGATACTCAGCTCAGACTCCAAGGCTTTTCCAGCATCCCACCCGGCCTCCCACTTGAGGGATTATTGCAGGTGATACCTGAGCACACCCTCTTTTGAAGGAGGTGACATTTTGGTTAATCCTAGTGATTTTTCATCTTACAAATACTGGGTCACCTTTTTCATGTGGTGTTTAGCAGGAATGAGCTTTACAGCAAGCCTCAGTCATATAATTTGTGCATTTAACAGCTTCGTGGATCCTGCAAAAGTTGTATTCGTCTTCATCTCTAGAAACTGAAATCTAGATTTCAGAGCTCCTACAAGTGAAGCCTTAAGCTCAACTGCAGATAGAGATTTCCACTGCTGCATAGCTCTAACTCCAGAGAGGTCCAGAGCAACCCCCCAAAACTGTCATGGATCCAACTTGCAGTTAAAGGAGGGCAGGAAAATAAAAATATCAGTGTGTATCAAAAAGTCAAGGTCAAGGAGACTAGTAAAGCAAAGGTCAGAATCTCCCCTGAGGTCAGGAAGGGCTGTCCTGCCAATGAGGATGTTGTACAGGAGGACTGGCAGGAGCAGCCAGGAAGCTCTGAAGTCAGTAAACAGGGAAGGAATCCAAGCAAGTTGCCAAACTGAGTCAGTATCAAAATCTAGGGATTGGTGAACTAAAAAGGCAAGAGCTGACAGGATCAGGAGATAAAAGTAAGTGTGAAGTCAGGCTTGGGTAAAAGCTGCAATCAGGCTCTGGCTTAGCTGGGCCTGCCATGGCCCTTTATGTATAAGGAAGACCTGTGTTGAAAGGGCCTTTGAGAAGGCAGCAGCAACAGGCAGACAGGTAGAGGCCAGGTTTCCGAAAGTGAAGGCCAACAAGATTGACCCCTGCCAATTGGGACGATGGCCTATGGAGGCAGGAGGCACTCTGGCCTCTCAGACCCACTCATACTCTTTCCCCTCTTTGATCAAGGCCCTGGGTCTTTTGAAGATGCCCTGATGGCAGGAACAGCCATGTATCAAAATGATAAGGAGATGTCGGTCAAAGGATATATAATTACAGTTAGACTGTAGGAGTAAGTTCACAAGATCTATAGTATGGCATGGTGACTAGAATTAATGAAGTATCTTGCAGTCTTCGAAAAATGCAAAGAGAAGAGATGTTGTGTTCTTACCACAAAATTTATTACTATGTGAGAGAATGCATCTGTTAATTAGCTAGTTCTAACCATTCCACAATGTATATATATTTCAAACAGCCTGCTCTACACAATAAATACATACAATTTTCTATTTAAAAAATTTTTTTAATTGTTAAAAAATGACTCTCGAAATAAAAAAATTCTCTCCCTCTCCCTCTCCCCACAGTCTCCCTCTCCCTCTCTTTCCACGGTCTCCCTCTGATGCCCAGCCGAGGCTGGGCTGTGCTGCTGCCATCTCGGCTCACTGCAGCCTCCCTGCCTGATTCTCCTGCCTCAGCCTGCCGAGTGCCTGCGATTGCAGGCGCGCGCCGCCACGCCTGACTGGTTTTCGTATTTTTTTGGTGGAGACGGGGTTTCACTGTGTTGGCCGGGCTGGTCTCCAGCTCCTAACCGCGAGTGATCCGCCAGCTTCCGCCTCCTGAGGTGCCGGGATTGCAGACGGAGTCTCGTTCACTCAGTGCTCAATGTTGCCCAGGCTGGAGTGCAGTGGCGTGATCTCGGCTAGCTATGGCCTCCACCTCCCAGCCGCCTGCCTTGGCCTCCCAGAGTGCGGAGATTACAGCCTCTGCCCGGTCACCACCCCGTCTGGGAAGTGAGGAGCGTCTCTGCCTGGCTGCCCATCGTCTGGGAAGTGAGGAGCACCTCTGCCCGGCTGCCCAGTCTGGGAGGTGAGGACCGCCTCTTCCCGGCCGCCATCCCGTCTGAGAAGTGAGGAGCGTCTCTGCCCGGCTGCCCATCGTCTGGGATGTGAGGAGCACCTCTGCCCGGCCGCGACCCCGTCTGGGAGGTGAGGAGCGTCTCTGCCCGGCCGCCCCGTCTGAGAAGTGAGGAGCCCCTCCGCCCAGCAGCCACCCCTTCTGGGAAGTGAGGAGCGTCTCCGCCTGGCAGCCACCCCGTCCAGGAGGGAGGTGGGGGGCAGCCCCCGCCCGGCCAGCCGCCCCGTCCGGGAGGGAGGTGGAGAACAGCCCCTGCCTGGCCAGCTGCCCCGTCCGGGAGGGAGGTGGGGGGTCAGCCCCCGCCCAGCCAGCCGCCCCATCCGGGAGGGAGGTGGGGGGCGCCTCTGCCCGGCTGCGGCCCCGTCCGGGAGGTGAGGGGCGCCTCTGCCCGGCCACCCCTTCTGGGAAGTGAGGAGCCCCTCTGCCCGGCCACCACCCCATCTAGGAGGTGTACCCAACAGCTCACTGAGAACGGGCCATGATGACGATGGCGGTTTTTGTGAAATAGAAAAGGGGGAAAGGTGGGCAAAAGAGAAATCAGATTGTTGCTGTGTCTGTGTAGAAAGAAGTAGACATGGGAGACTTCATTTTGTTCTGTACTAAGAAAAATTCTTCTGCCTTGGGATGCTGTTGATCTATGACCTTACCCCCAACCCTGTGCTCTCTGAAACATGTGCTGTGTCCACCCAGGGTTAAATGGATTAAGGGCGGTGCAAGATGTGCTTTGTTGAACAGATGCTTGAAGGCAGCATGCTCGTTGAGAGTCATCGCCACTCCCTAATCTCAAGTACGCAGGGACACAAACACTGCGGAAGGCCAGGGTCCTCTGCCTAGGAAAGCCAGAGACCTTTGTTCACTTGTTTATCTGCTGACCTTCCCTCCACTATTGTCCTATGACCCTGCCAAATCCTCTGCGAGAAACACCCAAGAATGATCAATAAAAAAAAAAAAAAAAAAAAAAAGCAGCAGCTCAAAAGATTTTTAGGGCAGTGAAACTATTCTGTACGTTACTATGATGCTGTATAGATGACACGATACCTTTGTTAAAACCCACAAATGTACAATACCAAGAATGAACCCTAATGTAAATTATGGACTTTGGGTGGTAATAATGTGTCATAGTAGATTCATCAGTTGTAACAAAGTACCACTCTTGTGCTTTGATGTTGACAGAAAGGGAAGCTTGTGCGTGTGTAGTGACGGGGTATATGGAAACTCTCCGTACTTCCTGTTCAATTTTGCTATGCCAAAACAGAACTAAAATTGCTTAAAAAAAAATGACTCTTGAATAACCAGATACTGGTATTAGCTTCTGTATTTTGTCCTTCAGTTCACTTCTGCTTTTCTCAGATGAGAAAGAATCATAGTCAGATTTAGCATCCGAATCATCATGATGGCACATATTAAACACTTACTTACCAGACACAGTGCTAATTTTCCAGAGAAAAGCATCTAGAAACAATGCCAAGGAAGGCAGAATCAAAGGACACATAGGGTGTCCCTCCTGCATGTCACTTCTGAGCTACTGACTCATCCCAGGCACGGCTTTATCTAAACTTCTAAAGTAAACATTATATATCCTTATAGTTTCAGCCACTGTTATTAGCAACCAGGAGTGTCCTATTTGATCTAAATGCACTGTCACATTTAATTCTCACAATCACTTGAGGGAGGTACTCTGTCCCCATCTTATGATTGAGACTTAGAAAAGCTAAGTAACTTGGCAAGGGTAGCACATCTAGTGGCAGAGCCAGACTTGAAATTCAGTTCTGCCCAACTCCAAAAGCTCATGCTCGGAACCACTAAACTACACTGTCTCTCATTGTGCTCACCTGATGTCTAACCCTGGCCAGCACTAGCTCCATTTCAGCCACACAAAATAAGATTTAGCATTATGACCCTGCTCAGAGCACCTGACCCTCATCACAAACCCAGTTCAATCTTGTTACTCCCATCTCAGTGCAGGATAATTGCCGTGGTCTCACCTAGCTATGCAGCTGAGACAGGACATGCTGATTCAAGGGCAGGGGCTCTTGGCTCCCTGCCCTGTTTCTATAGTCACTGCTGTGTGACAGGAAAGAGAGATGTATTGTAGCCCAAAGCAGGAGGCTAGAGGCTTGCAGGTGAGTACTGCTCCACACACTACCAAGGGACAAAGCAGTCCCAGGCTACCCTGCAAGAAACAAAGCAGCCTCATTCCTCCTGAATATGTTCCCGCTGCAGATCAATAGTGAATCAGGCTGATATTCCGTTAAATGAAAACGCAAGTTGAAGAATAATATGTACAATGCTATATCATTATGGAGAAAAAAAATGTGTTTGTGTATGCAAAGAAAATATCTGAAGAACAGAAATAAAACTGCTAATAATGACCACTTCTGTGCAATACGATTAAGGGCAGGGCAATGGGTATTGTATATCTTTAAATACTTTGCACCTTACATAATTTTTAAAAATTAAAGAAAAACACATCCATTGATCTTCACACTAAGGCTACACCAATATAGCCTGGGAGTCATGAAACCCTGCCCAAAGAGGTTAGTCTAATGGGCTTGAATGAGGCCCTTACTGTGAGCTTCAAATTTTATGAAACAGATCCACAGAATTTAAAGATGGAGATATGTCCTGTGCAGGCAAAACACAAGTACCCAACTCTGTTTGTTCTCCAGCAGGGGCACACATCCCTTCACCCCACCTGTGATCAGTTTATGTTTGTACTCTATCTGTAAATCACCTTCTCCTCCACTCCTTCATGCCTGCCAGAGCTCCCGCTGACACAGGCCACATGTAAATTCAACTTGAGAGCAAGGCACGGTTCACCTTGTGCTGTTAATCAGACCAGGAAATCACCAAAAGCCTTATATAAATTAACTGCCTCCCTGAGAAAGAGAACAATACTCAAAAGTTCAAAGCAAAAACTGCTAGGATTACTTCGTCTTCACCTTTCCTTGTGCCTGATATTCATAAAGCACACTGAAAGTTACAGCACACATCCACATGCAGGCCCTCATTTGAACCTCATGATACCCCCTGTACAGGTGGACTGAGTAGAAATGATGCCTACACAGATGAGGAGACTGAGGCAAAGAAATAACAATTCACTAATGAAGCCATCGAGAATGTGAGGATCAGTGGCCACAAGCTAGGAATCCAGACCCCTAGAGAAGCTTTGCCATTTATTCATTCATTCAGGTATTTGCAAATATTTGCTGATTACCTATTAGGTGGCAGCTCTATGATTGGCATTTGTGAAACAATGGTGAGCTCATAGGGTGCTTACAGCCCATAGGAAAGGCAGACATCAATCAAATGATCAAAAATTACTGTGTTGAAAAGCAAACACTATTTTATGGTAAAAGTGTAAAACACAAGAGGCCCCTTTCTTTTAGCCTGAAAATTAAGGATGTATAAGAGTGAACTTGACATCCTAGAAACAGCATTGTGAAGAGAGGTTCTGTGGCTTAAGTGAATATGATACCTCTAAAGAACTCAAAATCAGAAAAAGGCAGAAACCAATGCAAGGAGAAACTACAGAAGGAAACGTGGACTAGACTATACACAATTTTTGTAAGCTATATTAAGGATTGTGACCTTTATCCTAAAGCTTATCAGAGGCTATTAAACAAGCGTAATTGTGTGTTGGAGTGGGTAGGGAATAGGATGACCAGGTTTGCAGTGTTAAGTCATTATGTATCAACCTAATGTCCATGAAAAATTGCCATCCATGAAAATTACTCAGAATTCAATATGTTCGCCTACCTCCTGTGCTCTCTTATTAGTTCCTGCAGGCTCTAGTACATATCTAATTAGGTGCCAATAAAAGAAGCAATAACGACAAATGCCCTCCTAAATGGGGGTCTCCTACTGCCCAACCCTTGATTTCACCACCAGTAGTTTATAATGAGACCTTCAATTGCAAAGTCCCCTTAAAGAATACAGAGAATTTGTCACCTTGAGGTAGCGAATATCAAAATTTATATTGGAGCAGTGTAAAACCACATACGTAACACTGGAGACTAGTGTAACGTCTACTCCACATTTGAAGAAATGGCTGAATGGCTCATTTGCAGTCAGTCGTGATGTAAGATTATGTCCCTGGCCATTACACATCAGCATCGAGACCCACACAAGGCATACAAATCTTACAAGGACAATGGGCCGTATCTCTGTAGTGTTGAAGTCATGAACCTATCAATACTTCAAATTCCAGGAAAGAGGGAGTCTTTGAATCTAAAAACAACACACATAAGCCTTCTAGCATCTAAAGACCAACTGATCAGCTATACTTGGAATTTATAACAAGGTGGATTTTGGCCTAACCAATGTCCGTGGAACCCCAAGTCTCTAGCTATGTCCAGTTCTTCACGGAAGCTGGAGGTGCATGCCAGGGCAAGCTGTCTGCAGCTGCTGTTGGAAGGGTGGTGCAGATCCAACAGTTTGAGACTTTGGTCACTTCAGTGTAGGTGTGGGCCTAGTCCACAATGCTTTGGAGCATGTCAACCTACAGCCGAAATGACGAAGCAGGCACAGGTACTAACAGGGGTAAATCACGTTCCTCAGGCAAAATGCAGGCTAATTTTTCATCTCTGGGTAATAATGCAGCCGCCAAGGCCTTCTGCCCTGGGCAATGGTACACCTTATCAGTTCCCCATGGTTCTTTTGGATCCTGTACCTGTGCCAAAGTCACAGGGGAGCTTCTAATAGGCCACACAGACAGTACACATGTGCCCTGGAGGAGGATCCCTTCCTTGGCCATTCCCCTACAAACGGTTAATTGTGGAGGCCACACATTAAATACCCAAGGAGTACCATGTAAGTTATACTGCAGTCCCTCCCCACCCCCAGGGGGCTATGATAGCCAACCATCTGCAAACAGCGGCTTGGAGAGTTTATGGATAAGATTAGGTTTTCTGTTCCCTCTGCCTTCAGGGGTGTTGGAGCAGGCAACAACAGATCATCATTGTCCTCATACCTGGTTGGAGAAGGTCATCCTTCCTGTCACAGATCCAGCCATATGGCCTGGTCCTACATGGGTTGGTGACTAACTAGCTAATTCTGTAACTCTTAGGTGATTTACCAAAAGGTTAAACCTTGATAAATTGCTCAGCTATCGGTGCAGATTACCATAGGTATTACTTCCTTGGTGATCATCATCCATATTGCCCTGAGTTCAGCTCATTAGCTACTTTGCCAACACTTGGTATCAAACTTTATAGTGTCAGTACTAGGCTGGACTGCAACAGCAGTCCAGGTAGCAGCAGTGCTCTGGCTAGACCTATCTGTATACTATGCCTCATCAGAAATAGGGGGGTGCACTTCCTTAAACGGTGATGGCTCAGGGTCTAGGGGTACCTCAGGCTCCATGGCCTTATCTTGCATTAGGACTACAGGCTTCAATATCTCTTGTAACTCTGCTGCTAAGGGACTTGTAGAGTACTTCACTGCTCTAAGTAGGTGTCCCACTTTGCTAAAGTGGATGTCTGTGCTGTCCCAGCCTGTGGGGTTGTTACCCATGAATGCACCCATCCTGCTATTGGGTAAGCTGTGCACATGACAACTGTAGCCCGTCCTGTTACGTTCTTACGAGCCTGAAGGGCAGCATATGCAGTTACTAACTGCATCTTTATCAAGGAATACTGGAGCTTGGCTCCCTTCCATAGTTGCGACCCAAAGCCTACTGGTGTATTCAGTGCTCCATGCACCGCTATAGGCCCTAACTGAAACTATCTGTGGTCACATGCACATCACGTTTAAATGGACACCCCTGGCTAACTACCCGTAGGGCTTGTGTCTGCTGAATTGCCTGCTGGCTGCCAGAAAGACTCTCTCACCTGCATCATCTCAATCCCAGGCATAAGGAGCACTGTCACTTCTAAACCTGGGCAGCGTCCTGCAGAGACTGAGCATGTACTTCCCACAGTGCAGTCAGAAACACCCATCCAACTCTGCCGGTGAAGATGCGTTCCTTCTTGGTGCTGTGTCCTTCCAGCTGCTTCAGTGCTTTCTCCACACTCACAGGAGACCTGCCCACTGCCTCTCACATTTCCACTGGGGATCATCAAAGCAGCACCACTGCCACTGGGTACCACAGCCCATGCTGAGGTCACATAGCCGAGCTGGGAGCCTCGGGGCTGAAGAACCACTCACCTTCTCCTGCCAGCTATGCCAAATGTCATGCCAGATATTAGGTTGCAGCCCATGCTGAGGTTCGAGGGGAGTGAGTGGATGGGTGGTGAATGGCTGAAAGAACACTCGGGGGGCTATAGGCAGGTGAAATACGGTTTTATTCAGCGACTCTCTCATCAGCAGCTCTCTCACACTGTTTGCCTTTATCTCGGCTGCCTGCTCTGGTTCTGCAGCTCCTGCCGCTCCCATGCTTACAGCTGCATTCCCTGGCCTGCAAGGCTGGCTCTCCCTTATACGGCCAACAGCTTCCCTCTCTCCCTCTGGATGCATGCTGTATGCACAGCATCAGCAGGGCAGTTATACCTTTTACAAACAATAATAGCGATGAGCCTTCCCATGTTATGGCTGTGATTATATAACAAGTGGAGTTATGCACCTGTACTCCAAACTCACTGAGTCACTCTGGCCCAGATGTCTGCCTCAGCCTATTCTTGACCAAAGCACATCCATGTACCTTACACTTAGCATCTCAAAACCTCCCATCTATAAGATGCAATCACATCCATCTCACAGAGCTATAAAGATCAAGTGAATGTATCAATCATCTCTAGAGAAACATAAGACACTAACCTCAACTCACTAATGATTAAGCAAAAATTCTACATTTTCCTTAGCGTGGTGTTATGCTTCTGAGGCTAAAATGTCAAAGAATACAAGAAATTTGAATCAGCATTTCCCCAGCCTCTTTCTTGCTTGTACTTCAGCCAAAAACAGCATCAGACCTGGAAAGCAGATATTAGCAAAAGTACATGGAAGGATTAGTCAGTCAACTGCTTTGCTGAGGATATACCAGGACTAATCACAGCCTAGGGCTGTTTACCTCCAATGATAATAAAATTCCATTCTGGGTAATACAGGCATTCTAGGTGTCCCAAAGAAGCCAGCTGATGGCCACAACTTGAAGCTTGTTAGTTCAAATGTGTGAAATTTGCTGTCAGAAAAGTGACACCCTCAGACTAATAGACTCTAATGAGTAGGGATGCGACATGGCATTCCTGAGGGAGAGTTAGAGACACCATTACACAAGCCCTTTAAAGAGAAGAGAAATTATTTCCACTCTAATTGCCAATGAAAACCCTCAGGTGTGGGTCCAGGCACATTAGCTGGCTGGCTCTGCAACTCTACAACCCTTGCTGGCAGAAACACTCACAACAAACTAAAAAGGATAATCTGGAGAGAAAAGTCACCTAGATTTGGGGTTTGTGCAGGAAAAAGAGTGCACAGAAACATTTTCCGTGCAAGCCTCTTCATCCTCACATCCTAACCCCAATATACCACCTAAAAGAGGAATAGCTGAGCAGATGCAGCTATAAATCTGTTTTCTTGTGTCCAACAGCTCTGGCTGCTATTATTTATAACATTAGTTTAATTAAAGTTTCCAAGGAGATAGATGAATCTTGTTACAGTAGTATAGAAAATCCGTTCTTTTCAACGACATCAGCATCCCTGATCTATCTGGAAAACTAATGCACTGTTTGGAATTCTTTGTTTTGTTTTTGTTTTTGTTTTTTCAATTAAAAAGTCCTCATGGCTCATGCATTTTTTATCCCCAATGATCTTTTCCAACAAGTGAAGCATAAAAGGAACAGAGAAAACTAATATATGAATGTGTATATGTTTTTTTCAAACAGAGTTTCACCAGGTGTATTGTTCTGGTTTACTTTCTTTCCTTGCTTTTCTCTTTAAAAAATAACCATGCATATCCATCAAAAATAGAGTAAAATTACAACAATTAAGATGCAAGCATCAATATTTTTCCTATCAGAAAATATATTTTTCTCTTGCAGCCTATTTTCCCCCTCCATTCATCTATATAGACCCATGTCCATGTAATACAATGACAACATGAGATGTGACTGAAGGCAGGTAGATGAAATCACTATGAGTTGGAAATGAAGTCTTATTTTCCTCTCTATTCTAACACATCTCAGGCCTCATGTATGCAACAAAATGCTTTCTTTTTAATCCACTCCTCGCCTCAGGTAGCCAACAAACCATCAGATAAAGGAAAGAGTCTATTGTATTTTTTCCCAGTTCTTTCTATTTGCAAACTTGAAAGCCCAGGAGTGCAAGTGGATGGAGAAAAATGCAGATCACTCTCTCATCTTCCATTTCAATTAATCCTTTCACCTTCTATCTCTCTTTGCCATTGAGGCAATCGTTAACGAAAGGCATATTTAAACCCACCAGAAAAAAAAAAAAAAGAAAAAGTTGAAGGTTCTTAAAAATTAGAAATAGGTCTGCTACTGATGTTAATAGAACATAGGACAAGGTTAACTTGGAATCCACCTAGCGAGGTTGATATGAATACGCCACAGGGTACATAGCATGAGTAGAAATGTGGGGGCTAAGTCAGAATGAGATATCCAACACTGTAATGGTCAGGCTGCCTTAGCAATTAAGCAGACACTCTCTATTTTGCCTGAAAATCTCATTTTGAAAGTATTATATTGGCCATCTATATCTTTAACATTAACTCTATTTCCTGTTATTTAAATCTCTGTGACTTAGCAGCATCCAAGGCTTCTTTTACTTCAGCATTCAGAGGATGTATGTCTTTCACAGCACAACTATCCATCATCTGCTTGCTACTGTGCACTGCCCTCTGTCTTGTAGGTCACCGAGCTACCAAGGCCTCCATGGCCAGAAAAGCCTGCATCCCACACAGGCTGTCCACTGTCACATGTCTGAGGCAGAGAACTCAGGAAGAAAGAGCACAAGGTGGAGAGAAGAAAAGGCCAGCATCCATTAGCATCCAAAAGTACATATTCAGTATCTACTCCAGCAAGTGATTTAAAAAAGAAAAAGAGAGAGTGAGCATCCAGGAGAAGTGGGCTTTGGTCTTTGCTCATCAGCAGCATGTTGCACTGCCAACTCACATATAAATTCAGATGACTGCAAACCCCTGTAGGTCCACTACAGAAGTGGCACTTTGAAAAGGACAAGCTAAGTTGCTCTCCATGGTGCTAAAGGGGGAGGGGAATGCAAGCCCTGAAATAAGACTTGTGATGAGATAGAATCAGGAGGTACACCCAGAAGGGTAGAGGTGGAAGAAGACTTAAAAGTCATCTAGTCCTAGCCCCACATTTTATACTTAGGAAGCTAAAGCCCAGAGACAGTAAAGGACTTGGACTTGCCCAGGGTAATACCAATTTCTTTCAGTTCAAGTTTTCAGTCAAGAGAATTTTTGAGCTAAAAAGCCAGACTTTCAAAGTAGAGAGGCAAATAGTACATATTTTGCTCATCCATGTGGGCTTTAGGACATCCAGAAAATTAGAGCAAATGAGTTCCCTCATTTGTAAAGTCAAAACTTTACATCCTTTCATAAAAGCCATGATAATTTTGCCTCATGAGTGGTGGGGAGTAAGTTTCTGAACCACTCCTCACAGGAATAAAAAGGGAAAGTGGGCATGTCACTTTCTCAAAGCCCTGCCAGGATCAACAAAAAATCTTACACAGGAGGAGGTGTTTCCTTCCCCACTCTGCCTCAGTTACAAATTTTTAAAGTGATTCTATTGGTGTAAAAAGCATGCAATACTGTGCTGCACTACAGACCAGAGAACTCAAAGACAAACTACTGGCAAACCTTGCTTAGGATCTGGAAAGTAGAATAACCTCAGAAATCTCACATTGTTCAGTGAATCTACATTACACATTATGTCCTGAATCCATGGGATATAAGCCACTATTTTTACAGAGGTAAAAATTTGACTAAATGTTACCCATTTTCAGTACAATATATTAAAACCTTCTCTATATGATGGTATACATCTGTTGTGCTTAATGATGTTATATGTTCATACAGAAGCTTAACATTTTCAGAGGATTTGGCCTATACCCTCTAGCTAAATTCCTACCACAACCCTATGGTAGAAGAATTCATATTACTGCCATTTTACAGATGCAAGCGCAGTTTCTGGCATATGAATGAGTGAATGAATGAATGAATGAGAAAATTAGACATAGATTTCTTGCTTTCACACTCCTGCATCGTTACATAAAAATCACATTTTATAAATGGCAAAACCAAGACTAGGGTCCAAAATATGTTTCCATCTAGATTAAACCACGGAGCGCAAATGCTTCAAATATGAAACATGGAAGACAAATCTTTCCTTTTCCTCTCCTTTCCCACACTTCCTTCTCTGTCTCTCCCTACAGACCTTCCCTCACTACCAACTCGATACTACTTACCCATACATGGTTTTCTCTCACCACACTAGAATTGGCACTGTTATGCCTGTGAGATAAACCTTGTTCTAAGCCTGACTCATGTGACTGGTACAGAATCAGATTCAGATCACATAATGGTGAAACTATAAAGCTGTAGAGATTGTCATGCATTTTCACCTAGGCTGGTAAGAAATTGAGAGGTTACTCCAAGTCCCCCAGGAGCTTCCCCTACTGTGATCTCCCAGACCTGATTGCCTCTACCAGGAATCTAGCAATACATCATATACTGACTGCCTTACCACATCTCTTACCTTGTGCTGTTACTTAAATTTACACATGAATATGTCCTATCTTCCTAGCTTGCTTCCCATCTCTTCCTAGACAACCTGAAGCTGCTTTGTTAGTTTGACATGAGGCATATGCTAGCTTCCAATTTTATTTTAATTAATTTTGATAATGAGTTGTGCTCTTGTATTTCTGTTTATGAAGCAAAGAACATATCAGTTGGAGAACCAGGAGATTGAGAGTCTCAGCCTGGCTCTCTTGAAAGCTGAGACCTTTGATAGTCATCTCTTAATTTCCCTCCGCATACTACAGCAGATATGCTTGTATAAAACCAATGTCATGCATTATACTTGTGATTTAACCACCTCAAAAAATACAAGGTTAAATAATATGTTGGTAAGTAGTTGTGGCGCTCTCTAGAAGGAAGATGCCATATCAACAGATTTCATTATGAAAAGTCTACACATATAAACAGATGCTCACATCCTGAAATTACTCTGAAATTTTAGATAGAAACCTTAAATTACTGACTCATTCATTGATTTGTAGCAAGTTTAGTTTTGGATTCTGCATGCTTTTCAAGATCAGTTGTATGCAAAAATTGGATGTGCTCTATGGATAATAAATAGCATGTGTTAAAAGTAAAAGATAAGTATGTTTAGTCTAGTCTAGACTAATCACTTGTTAACTCTCTGTCAAGGTGACAATCGGGCTGCAGATGTGTGTGTATGTGCCATACACATTTGAACAAGTCTGAAAAAATAAGAGCTAAGTTGAAATGTGATAGACTGCACTTAAGAGCTGAATTTTTCCAGCAATGAGGCATAAGGAGGTTAACACAGGGTAGGGATGCCGGCATATTACAAAAAGTGCTGGCCAAAGGCTGGGTGAATTAAAAGCCATCCATCTCTTAGCTGCTGAGGAGCTCAGCTCCACTGTCACTTCAGGACCAAGATGCTGGGAGTTCACTGTTTCCAGTTCTTTCCACTGTTCAGCTGCCATTGCGAGTTATCAAATCAGCCTGCTTACAGGGCTCCTGTCTGCATCCAGGCTTCCTCTGATACCCAGGGACTAGGCCCAATCACTGTGAGGGGCTCTGGTGGTTTCAGAACGAAGTTAAAATGACTAAATGAATAAGCCAAGAACTTCCTGGTGGCAAGGACTCTTATTTCCTTGTATCCTACACAGCCTGGCAGAGATAGTGTACCCAATAAATAAATTTGATGGGCTGAATGAAAATTAAAAGTTACAAATAAAGAGAAGGAAATAAAATTCATTTTGTTGTGAAAGGGAAAGGTTGCTTATGCACTGAATCCCAGATGTTGGTGGATTCTGTCCTTTGAGTAATAGAGACAGGCTGTAAAGTGAGCTGAGAAGGGAGAGGGTGAATCTAAGGAAGGTTTCTTCAGGTTCCATTCCAGGCTTTGTTGCCAACTCTTAATATAAAAGGTAGCCGGAGAAAAACCCAAGGCAATGGAGATAATCAGTCTCCCCACCCAACTGAATGGTTCCTTCTATGTTTCTAGCTTGAGGTAATCTGCTATCCACACATCAGGAACTTCTAACTAAGCCCAGCTAAACAGCTGAAACAAGGAGAAAAGTGTCTCCGTAGCAAGCAGAAAGTGTTGAACTACCAACTAAAATAGCGTTTGCTTTTCTTGTGACAATTTGTACAATTAGGTCTGAAAAAGCTGTTCCTCAATTCTGACCTAAAAAAATAATGTGCGAAATCCTGCCACATTAATATTCCTCAGAGCAATGGAATTATCTGGGAAATTTCTTCTCGATTTTAGAGTTCTCATGGTCCCTGAACCTTCTGTAGTATCTCTCCCTTGGGAAGACTCCCTGGTGTGGTTGTGACCTTGTCTTTGGCAGTACATGTCATTAGCACACTATGGAGGTGACCTGGAGGGTGGGTTAGACTAAGGTTTTGGAGATAGTTTCAGACTCAAAGTTTGGGTTATATGCTTATTATATTATGTGATTGACACCTAGTTATTTATCTTGAGCTTTTCTATTTCCAAATATGCAAAATGCATCTAGTAAAACTGTCCCCATATGGTTATCCTAAGGAATACTATTACTAGAACATTACCTGGCCTATAGTAGAGGCTCAATAAATGTATATCCCTTCTCCAGCACCAAAGTAAAGGGTTCCATCAATTAGATTTCACATCTTTCCAAGCAGCTCCCAGGATTAGCAATATAAGACATGTGGCAGGGAAATATTAGAAAGGAACAAACTGCTCACATTGAATCTTGGCCTTCCCTCATGTACCAAATAAAGTGTCAATGGTCCCCACTATTGGGCTAAATAGCTTAGTAGTAGCTAGATGCAGACACTCATAGGTCAAACTTGGGTCCAAATCCTGGTGCTGCCATTTATTAGTAGCAGGGTTACAGACAAATATATAACCTCAGTTTCCTCATCTTAAAAAGAGGAAAAACTAATAGAATGAGTATGGAATAAGTTAATCTATGTAAAGTACTCAGCACTGTGCCTAGCACAATCAACATCAAATGTTATCTAACATCATCTCCTTTCATACTCTAATCAGCAGAACACTACTGGGTGAGAGGTTGAGAAAAACTCTAAGAGTAACAGGGATCAAAAAATAAGAATCACAAAGTAGTAATGGATAGCTGAAATTCACTCTCTGTGAGGGTGGCTGAGACTAAAAGTGATAGAACCAGCATCTTGATATATGGGACAGAGCTTCTGCTACTGTAAAGTTGGCAAGTTCTGGCTGGGAAGAAACTTGTGAAGAAGGTAAAGTTTGTTTCGTGCATTAGACACTACCCTCTCCTTAATCCTTTTCTCCTTCTTACCCTCCTTCAGGTAACTGGTCTTCCACGACTTCATTTATTTGTTGTAGCCCAGCCTCTCCACCAAATTCCTTCCCCTCTTTCTAAACCAGTGGTTTGGAAATGCCAGTCCATTCACCAAGGGTAGACTGCCCGCATGGAACCTATATGGAGGGCTTGTTAAAAATATTGCTTCTCAGGTTCCGCCCTCGGGGAATCTAATCCAGTAGGTCAGAGGCAAAGCCTGGTTATCCATTTTTTTAATATGTTCCCCAGGTAATTCTTAGGTATAGTCAGATTTTGGAACCATGTTTCTAGCCTTTTCCTACATGAAAATCAAAATTTACTTTTCTTATGACCAGTCTTTGGGTCCATTTTTTCTCCTGACCTACCTGAAAAATGTATTTGTGTTTAGAGTCTACGAATCATTAACTAGCAGCAACTTCATAAGTTTTCCCTCCAAGATCTTACATAAAGGACATGTTATGCCACAAGCCAAAGTATGAAAAATATTAAGAAAACAGAAGGAATATTTGGAATACCCTCAGTCAATTCTTTATAAATGGCAATGACTCTAAAGAATACTGTGAACTACAGATCTCCTATCCTCTTCTCACTCTCCTGGTAGAGAGGTCATGGTTTCCATGAAGGACATACAGAGTATGAAAGTTTGAAGGCAGGGTCAAAGAGCTGCCATTGATATGCAGAGTAAATAACAACAACCACCACAAATGTAGACTGAGCACTGAAGGCCAAGCACCACCTAAGAACTGCTCCAGAGAGAAGAATGTCAGGAAACAGAGTAAAACTCTTAGAAGGAAGAAACAAAAAACTGCATAGCAAGAAAACAGCAGTATCTCCAGGACTCTTAAGTTGGAAATTACGAAACTAGGGTTTTGTGGCCTCTTTCTGTCCTGTGGCTTAGAAGGACAAGCAGGGCTCTTCCTCTGCAATCCCATTTAGACAGCATGTGGGTGGTAGGTCACAGTGGGTCATAGGAGTGTTGCCGGACAGGCCACTTTAATTCTAGAGAATTGAAGGGGGCAATGAGCTCTTGAAAGTGAAAATGGATATAGCAGCTAAGCATTGGCTTTATCCAGGCTGCCCAGCCCCAGTCTGCAGTGTACAAAGGAGCTAGTGGTTTCTATGGAAACTCTGTCCAGACATATTTATTATATCTGGTGGAAACCACAATTCTTCAGAAGTCTAAAAAGCACCTTAAATAGGTCATATCAAAATGGACCAAGACTCACCTCAAGATGGCAAACCTTCCCTTGAGCCTGACAACAGTTCCCTGCCCTTCCAACTCTTCTAAAAGAGACTGCAGAGCTAGAGTGGCAGGCATATTCAAGCATCTCCTCATGAGAAATGCGGTCTGAAGCTGACTGACCTTGGAATATCTCTCCTCTTGATGGTTTTTGGAAGGGAGGCTATCCCCAATATGCCTGTTCTTTATCCTGGGTTCAAGGGAGCAAGCCTTGTGTGGCTGAAAAGTCATTTTAACTTTGATGGCATCATTAATGAGAATCAACAATGCATGGGCACTGCTCAGAATGCAAAAAAAAACTCTGTAATTGGACTCGGGTCACTATCCATAAGGATCTTCAGTGGGTTATGGAGAGATAAAAACTTTCCCCTTGAACACCATTATCCAGCTGTCCAGCCATAAATGATCCAATAGAAACCAATGGACTCCCTCATTCTTCAATTTTCATTAAACCTGGCTCCAGTGACAGACAAGGGAGACAACATTTCCATCCCACCCCAACCCAAAACCTCCTGTGAAACCCCCTGGTCCCACCATCCCCTGACAAGCTGGAAGGCTCATTCCTCTGGAGAAAATACCTGGCATCAATTCCAAAAGGCTCAGAGAACAGCCTCTTTAAGAAGCCTCCATTTGGAAAAGATATTTAAGCAAAGGTGAGCTTGATGAAGTGAAATAGAATTAGCTGCTTCAGTGGCACAGGCTTCTCAGATTCATTCCAGGGTAGACAAGCTTATTCGCTTCCCAGTGGAACGAACTCAACAACAATACATCACCGTTAACTGTGATCACAGCTCCATGGAATTCCAGCCAGTGCCTGGAGCACACTGAGGTGCACTTACTATTTCCCAATCTGCAATCAACCTTTTGTACATTTGCTCCTAATCACGGGATACAGTTTCATCTTAATGAACTGTTTTCTTATCATATTACAGTTGGTCATTTCAGCATGCCTAAGGTCCCATTTGGTAGGTTAAATTACAATTAGGGTCCCTTGGTGTTTGTTTCCTGGCAAGTCTTGAAGGAATTTGATATTTTTTCCCCTTTTCCATTGCTTGATTTCAAGGGCAGAATCAGCAACACTCAAAGACAAAGAAATACCTGTTACAGTCGACATGGAGCAGGAGATGAGAGGCGCTAACTGACAGTGCAACCTTGTGCCATTGTCCATCTGCCATGCGGTAAGGAAGTGCCTCTGTCCTTGGCTTCCCATTGTGTATGTAGTGATACCGAATCTCATCCCTCAGGCCACTGCTCTCCAGTTCAAAATAGCTGTATGTAAAGGAACAAACATTTGTTTTATTTTAGTTCTGGATATCACAGCCATCATCAATCCCTCAACCCCTTACTACCAGGTCTCTCACAATCTAAAATTAGCTAAACATGGCACAAAGAGCCAAGACCTCAAGTCAATTCACTGTAGGACACCCAATGAATCTATTGTCTGAGAACCCTCGTGGCAACATCTTGAGCCTCTGAAACAGAGATCAATTGGTCCACCATGAGGTAACAAGCCACAGCTAATTAGCAAAACTCAGTGCAGTGTTTCTTAAATACTTCAAAGTACAAATCAGAACCCTCATTCCATGAATGTCTAAAACAGGCCATTCATGTGGAATGGATCTATTGATGGTTATTTTCAGAACTATTATCTTTACCTTTTCAAGAATTAAAGGGAAATGGAAGTCATGTTGGACATCAGGGATTGAAATACATTGTCAGAATGAAAAGATTAGTCTTTTTTCTTCTCTGTAGACAAAAAGATATAATTGAATAACAATTCCTAGATAATGAGTAGGGGAGAAAAGGTTGAAGCTAGTCACATAGGAATTAGTATTTCAAATTATCAGAGAATGAAATATGCAATTAAGTTTTTTCTTTTCCAGGATTATGATCCTGTTTTTCAAACCCATAAGAAATTCTTAGCCTTACCACTGTGGTCTGCACTTCAGTCATAAAATGCTACAAGCAACTTTGGGACACTCCTCAGGCACACAACAGGGCTAGTACTTTCACAGGTGCCAAAACTATTTTGTTTCCTATGCCTCTCTTCTGAAATGTGTCATTGTCATCAACGTTGGGCCTGATCTCACTGCCAGGGCTTGCACTAGGTATTTCACATATACTAATTTATCACTCAAAAAACCTGAGACTGGTATTATCTTTTTTAAAAAACTTAAAAACTGAGATTAAGGATTAAACATACCCAAACCAGACTTAAACTTAGATCTAAATTTGACAGTGTATGCACTTTCTGCCAGTTTGTTGCCCATCCCAGAGGCATGATGACAAAGTGGTGAGGATAGCCTCACCAGGCACTAACTCCAACAACTCATTCATATGGTCAACTCCAGAGCGATTAGCCTAGACAGGTAACTAGGCTTAACCCCTAGATTTGGAAGGGCCTGCTGCTTCTATTCTAATCCACTGAGCTGGCTAACCCCACAAGCCAAAGGGTATTTAATCTAAAAGACAAAATGCATCTTCTATGAGGAATGAAATGAATATATCAGGAAACTCAGCGTCTATTGTGCCTGAATCCCAAAAGTCATGCCAAAGAACAAATACATATTTCTTGCTCATCTTTCACAGATCTTTCCAAAGTAAACAGTGAAGGGCAAGCAGAGAGTCAAGACCAGCCTCTGACCCACCTCATTTGCACCAGTACAAAGAATCATGCCCAAGGTCATAAACTAAAAGAGGTTATTTATACCATAGCAGCCAGCTTCTAGGCCCAGGTTCATACTTATTAGTAATAATTTATGTAATACATACTTTATAAGACTGCACAAAAGGAAATGCTTTAACAAAGAAGACATTTATTTTAAGGGAATTCTCCAGTTTCTTCTAAGTTGTTAGAACACTGAAGAATCAAACAATCGGAGAACTTAGAGGTCAAGAAGATGTTACAGACTATTGGCCATTCATTAATTCATTCAATATGTCTTTACTGAACACATAATGAAAAACTAAAAAGGGGTTTAAAATATATATCCCATGTCTGAAGGTGCTTTGTGAACTAGTGAAGAAGGAAGTAAAATATGTCCCTCCCCACGGCCCCCCCAAAAAAAGGGTGAAAAATGGCCTAAAAGGAACAAATGAGGAGGCAAGAAAAGTCATTTAATGAATGATTGTCATGTGCCAGGAATATGGCAAGTGCTTTCATAGACATCATCTTTTTAATTTCTTTAAGGTAGATTTCATTATCCCTATTTTATAGATGATCAAAGATATTAAGTATCTTGCCCAAGACCATTTAGCACCTGTATAGAAATGCACCACGAGCTTATATTTGAGATCCTACCAGGATTCACACATCATGAGAAATCTCTCAATTACTTTACTTTGACCAATAAGCAATTACTTGGGGAAGGGACATGACCTTGAAAGGGCTTCAATCAATGACAATTAGAAATACTCACAGAAGTCACCTGCTGGAATCATTAAAGAGGGAGGCAAATACATTTAACCAGATTTCATCATTATTCTTGGGGTTGTGGCCTCATTGAGCAAGTGTTCAATGTATTATAAACAGATCTCTTAAAGATCACTTTATAAAGCACTGGAGTCAGTGATTACATTGGGGTAATCACAAATATATAGCTAGGAGAAAAGAAGTCTGTCCTAATGTCAGGCAAATGATACTTTTATCTTAGACTAAAGTTTCTGGCCACATCCTGCACATATTCAAAAAGTGCTGCATCTCATGCAACTTGGATGAAAATCAAGATGATATATTTTTGAAAACACATGTCAGATAACTGCTGAAGCAGCCTTAGCAATAATAAAAACACTGGATGGCTAAGTGACATCTGGATAAAATTCTTTCATGAGGGCTAGGAGGAAAATAAGGCAATATTTCCAGGCAGTAATGCTCTACAAATAAAGATGTGAGGCAACTCTGAGCAGAAAGTCATTTGGCCTGATGGGATTTGGCTGTAGCCTGGAGGGAAGACTCATGTTTTCTAGTAGAACCTTGTGACTCAGGGTGGTCTGTAGAACACCAATAGCAGCATCACCTGTGGAAATTCAGATTATTGGGATAACCCCAAGGTCTACTGCAGCAGAATCTGTATTCCAACAAAACTCCCAGATGATTCATGTTCTATGTTTACATCTGTGTTTAAGAAGCACTATAGTAGTATGCCAGGTGTTGCCTTACTTCCTGGCCAGCTGGTCTTGATGAAGGGAGCAGAAGTCTGACGCTACGAGCAAGTGAATAGGAGCCACGTGGCGCTGCCAGGTAGAAGGAGGACACTGGAAGTGACAGTAGGCTGATCTAGTGAGCAATCTACCCCTCACCAGTCCTCATTCTTCAGGACTCAGGTGTATTGGGGTCTTTTCAAGAGTCTCTGGGGAGGGCAGCTGTATAAATGATAAAATTATAAGCCAGATTTTGTAAGCAAAAGATTTTGCAAGCCCTTAGCCTTGGACCTCAGCCAAGTGTGTTGTTCCAACAAACTGCCTTCGCTCCCAGAAAAGTCTGCTCATCCTGCAAATATCGGAAAACAGCAGTGATATTCCCTCTTCTGTTTCAAGCCAAGCTTCCCTGGCTCCTTCCTTTATACTCCCATCTCCATCTAAACTATGAGCCCCTCCTGGACAAGGATTCTGCCTTCTTCCTCTTTGCAGCCTTCCCCATGTTGGTCACCATGCGCTAGGCATGGTCAAATGAATCAATTTTCCACTTAAATACAGCATCCAGGAATAAAGGCACTTGTACAGATGTGGTCTAATGCAAAGTACAGTGACACTATCACCTGCTTTGCTCTGAGCTGTGCACAACTACGCCTACACTGACTTTCCCATCAACTAACACCCCAAGACCTTGAACACAAAATGTTATGAAGGCAAATCTTTTCCAACCTGTATTTACTTAGCTGAATTCTGTAAGCCCAGGCCTTTGCTTAAGTGCAAGGTAGACCCTACCCAGAATCAACATGCATAATTCCTCAAAGGTCCACCCTTGGGTATCAGGTACAATCAGTATTATCATGAACTGAAGTCGATTTTCATGAGACTATCTGAATTCCTTAGTAGATCTGGAAATAAATTCAGGAACAATAATTCTAAAAATATAGGTAGATAAAGATCAATCAAGTTATTTTTATTAAAATTTTTATCATTTTCCCCAAAATTGATACCAAAGTATCCTATTTTGAGATTACATACATAATATTAAAATATATAATATAATTTTATATTTATATATTTATAATAAAATTTTATATTCATATATTTATATAAAATTTTATATTTATATAATATATAAAATATATTATATTTTATATATAGAACAGAAGGGCTAGATATATTCAAAATGTTAAAGTGATTATTGCTGGATGAATTAGGTGGCTTCTGTGTACAAGAGTGAAAACAGTAAAAGTTAATTTTAGATAGCATCCAGCACTAAATCACAAGTAAAGGTAAAACATTTCTTAGAAAAGGTCTCTTTTCCAGTTATTCTACAAGGATATATACTAGCTATTCAGAGAAATATATCACACCCAAAGAGCTCCAGAGTTAGTGCAGTACCTGCTTACATTCCAACAATGATTTTTCTGTGGCCCTGAACAAACCATTGCTTCCTAGGAGTCTGGGTGGGGAGGTCAAAGCAAAATGGATTTGGGAAACAAGAAGATACCCTTTCCCAGCGTGTACCCCTAGCAGGACTCTCCAGATAGAGAGAAACCCAGGCAGGTGTCCAGCTACTTTCTATAAAAGGAATAAGCCACCACATATAGAGAGAGAGTACCTGGGTAGATCATTTCCACAAATCCTGGAAAATCCTAAAGATGATGAAAAAAATAAGTTTCCCAGCATAGTGCCTACAATTTTGTAAGACCTCAATAAAGGGTAACTCTATTTTTATGGGCAATAATAATAACTATGATAACAAAAACAATATAGCTAACATTATTTATGTAATAATAGCTAATACTTAGTGAGTACTAATCATTACTAGGAGAACTGCCTTTAGGTCTGTATATTTCATATCAAAATAATTCCTACCACAAACCTGTAAGATATTTTACTTGTTTTAACAAATATTTCTATAGTAGTGACTATGGGCCAGGCACTAGTCTGCAAATATTTACTCATGTAATCCTCGTAACAACCTTAAAAATTACCAACTATTATCATCCCTATTTTATAAAAGATGAAACCAAAGTACAGAAAGATTAAATAACTTGCCCAACTTTGTATGGGTAGATAAGAACAGATTCAGGATTTAAACAAAAGCAGTCTAGTTCCAGGCTCACTAGGTACAGTGGCATGATCACATCAGAGTCAGAGGACAAAACAGTTCAAGTGAACTCAGGCAGCCTCCATTCATGGTTCTCATGATGCCCTCAGTCTAGGTATGCTGCCAAGTCAGACTACTGCAGACCCAGGTGCCAGCCCTCATTCTTTATGCTAATCTCATCACTCTGGAAAGAAATGCTACAGTTGTTCATGCTGAAGCTCTTTTTTTTTTTTTTTAAACGGAGTCTCACTCTGTTGCCCAGGCTGTAGTGGCACCATCTTGGCTCACTGCAACCTCCACCTCCCATGTTCAAGCCATTCTTCTGGCTCAGCCTCCTGAGTAGCTGGGATTACAGGCACCCCACCACCATGCCTGGTTAATTTTTGTATTTTTAGTAGAGACAGGGTTTCACCATTTTGGCCAGGCTGGTCTCGAACTCCTGACCTCAAGTGATCCGCCCACCTCGGCCTCCCAAACTGCTGGGATTAGAGGCATGAGCCACCGCACCCAGCCCATGCTGAAGCTCCTGTCTCTTTCCTGGTCCTAAGTCCACTGTTTGGCTAATAAAGAGATTAAGCCAACAACACAAGGCAGGTATACCGTGCCCCACCTTAGACCAGGGGTCTCAATGGCTATGTGTCCTGAAAAAGAGGCAGTACCACAGCTTTTAAGTAAATAGTAGTGGGACTACTGAAGCTTGAGTTGCAATCTTAAACCTGCCAGACAAACCATGTAATTTTTGGCACATCATGTCCCTGCCCCTCTGTGTCTCAGTTTTTTAATGTGTCTTAAATAAACTAATTATATCTGATCCGCAAAGCCCTAGGATTCCTCAAAAGGCTCTTAGAGTGTATGGCAGAGGGAAAAGATGAGGCCTATAACCTTTTTTAACCAGAGCAACTTCACTGCCATCTATTACATAAATTGGAGTTTCCTGTAAGATTTCCTCTGGCTAAAAGAGATCCACCTCCAAAAATAGTTTTAAACTATTGAACTAAATAATTTTTAAAGTCCAGCTCAGGTCTAAATTCCTAGAATTCTTATGCTAATTTGCATCTGATTGGTCAATTCGTTTCATTCTATTCCTGATATTATGTCAGCATTCAGGCTCCTGACTCCTTATCAGCCTGGAGGAGAGAGGAAGGAGAGGTAAGTGTAGCAGATGTAGCCAATATCTATACCCCGCCTTCTCCCTGGGCACTGGGCACATACTAAAATATATTCCCCAGTTCCCTTGAATCTAGGAGGGACCACATGAGTAGCTGTCACCAAAAAAAAAAAAAAAAAACATGAGCAGAGGTGCTGTGTATTATGTCCAGGCCAAAACAGTTAAGAGAGGATGTGCCTTATCCACACAAGTAGCAGACGTCCAGTGGAGAATTCTGAGGCCTTATTGGGTGGTGGCACCATATGGTGGAAAAAGTCTGGGTCTATAAATGACTTCATGGAGCAGAGATACCTTTCCTCACGCAGATTAACATTGAACTGGGAAGTAAACAAAAATAAACTTTTACTGATAATAACCAGTGAAATTTAGAGATTACTAGTCTACCTTGAGTCAGTAAAGAGAGGTACAGAAACATGAAACCGAAGAAAGGCAAAAAGAAGAAGTGCTGAAAAGTAACAATGGGCACAAGTTATTGCTAGTCTATAAGTAAAAAGAAATGGCAGCAGGCATGAACACTGTCATCTCCTGTCCTGTGTATCACAGATAACCTGAATTACATGGCTTAATATTCTGTTGGGAAAACTGTATTTTGAGACACAATATCTCCCATCTGGCATACTCTTCTACAATGCGAATTTCACATTCCTTACCTTGAAAGGTGGGAACTGTGTCTCCTCCCCTTGAACCTGGATGAACTTGTAAGTACTTTAAGGGCAAAAGTAATGCTTGGTGAATTCCATAAATGTAAAAATGCAGTTTCTGTCTTGTTTACCAGAACACTTGTGCTTTAATCCCTAAGTCACCTTGTAAGAAGTCCAACTACCCTGAGGCCACCTTGCTGTGAGGAAGTCCAGACCGTACTGGGGAGGTGGCATGTAGGTGCTTTAGTTGACAACCCCAACTGGGATCCCAGCCAACAGCCATTATAAACACCAGCTTTATGAGTGAAAACACCTCCAGCTGGCCTGCCCAGCTGTCCACTCTTCTCACTGAAGCCACAAAAGTGGTAGAATAGAGATAAGCCATCTTTTCTGGGCTCTGTCCAAATTCCTGATCCACAGAAACTGTGAGCAAAAGTTTTGGGGTAGTTTTTTTTATACATCAATAGAAACTGGAACACTCTAACTTCAGGTATACAGATTTTTATTATACCTTTAAAAATAAAAACTATAACTTAAGTATGTTTCTACTAAATGCCTGGGTCATTGGCCAGATAACCAAATCTCAAAATGTTGATTTTCTGCTTATAAATAGCACCACAGATATATAACTATACATTTTCTTTTAACTTATAAAAATGGAATTCTACCAAAAATGTAATTTAATATAAATAAACCATTATATGTTTTAAAATACATGGTTTTCAGAAGCTACTTAAAGAAATAAATACCTTAGGACTACTTTGATACCTTTCTCATTAATCTATTATTTTTCTTGTATCAAACCCAAACATTTTGGCCTCAAGCCTCTTGTTTACACAAATGGAAGTGGCCCCGTTGGTGGTTCTTTCACAAATCAGATATCTTTGGGTTCCAGGTCCATGTGCCCTTTAAGGCTACAGAGCTATTTGACTAAACTAAAGTCCTGATTTTCCCAGACAAACTTCTGGTACTCTCAACTTCTGTTTCCTTTATTCAGAGCAATATGGAAACAGAATATATACCAGAAAAAAATATGCCAGATGTAAAGAGGCTTCAGAACCCAGATATCTTGTGATCAATCCCTCCCCTCTGCCATTCAATCCATGTGTGAATGTGGGCAGGACACAGCATTTCCCTAAGCCTTCTTTTCTTCATCTAGTTGAAAATAAACATCTACTTCACAGATTTCTTTTGAGAATAAAATGACATACGTTTGTAAATTGCCTTACAAACTGCCTAGTATCCAACACTGATTATGATTTCCCTTCATCTTTCTATATACATGAAAATTAACTGCCTTACAAAGGTGTGATGCTGCTGAAAGCATACGCATTCTGCCTTTTCTTAGAAAGAAGTGCTTTTCTGTCTCTCCCTTTCTCTTGTTTAGACTAGACCTGGTGATTTTTACTTGTAGTTGTAAAGTTACATATTAGTTCTGTACTCAATCCTCTTAGCAAACATATAGCAAGAGATTAATCGTGACAGCAATTACAAACTGCCTTTGTTATTGAAAATAAAACACTCACTGTTAAATGAAATGTAAAATTCAGGCTCTTTATGCCCATTCAAAACTGTTCTATTACACTCTTTAAAAATCCACATGGTATTAGCCATGCTGTATTTAACAAAGTAAAGGCTGGCTTCTAAATTCCCTAGAGAACCAGGAAAAATACATGAAACTTCAGGCAAGTTAAGATAGAAAAATAAAATTAGTGGCAGAATACACTTTAAAAAAAAAATAAGCTAATTTAGCAGGACAAGGGGAGAGGAATCATTTGGTTTTGATTGTCAAGGCCTGCAAATAAAGTCAAATAAAAACATTTATTAAGCAACCAAGCCGAAGGCACTAAGCTTGGAATTGCACAACTGCATCTTAAGACTAAGGTATAACTTTGGATCTCCAGGAACTCAAAATTAAGATGTTTATGAATAGCAAGATTTAGGAAATAGGCACTAAATATATAGTGGTGGTTGTAGTTGTAGTGGTAATGGTAATTGTACTAATGACCAAAACATATGTAGCACTTTCTATACTTGTTTCTAAATTTTATCTAAAATGCTTAAAGAAGAAATATTATTGTTCCCAAACAAGAAATATAATCTTCAGTTTTCTAAATTTTTTTATTTCTATTGTTGAGAAATAAACTGATATATCTATAAAGGTACTCAGTGAAAAATTTCCCTCCCATCCTGTACCCAGTCTTCTCAGTATCCAACAACCCTCATAGGCAACTAGTGTTGGCGTCCCATGTATTTGTACAAAGTTTTTTATGATAAACTCTTTTACAATAGTTTTATATTTGCAGAAAATTACAAAAATAGAGTTTCCACATAGCCCACACCCAGTCTGCCCTATTAAGAACCAATATTAATAGATTATTAACCAAGTCTATATTTTATTTAGATTTTCTTAGTTTTCACCTAATACCCTTTTTAGGTTCCACACTCTTATCTAGGATGCTACGATACATTTGTTTGTCATGCCTCCTCAGGCTCCTTATAGCTGTGCCAGTTCAGACTTGCCTTGTTTTTTTATGACCTTGACGGTTTTGAGGAGTACTGGCCAGATATTTGGTAAAATATCTGACAATTGGGATTTGTCTAATTTTTCTCATAATTATACTAGGGTTGTCACTTTTGGGGAGGAATGCCATAGAAGTAATGTGCAATTCTCACAGTATCGTATCTAAGAATGCATTCTACTACATGACATCACTATTGATGTTACTATCAGGGTTCATCTCCCTGGCTAAGTGTTGGTCAGTTTTCTCTGTTATAAAAATACTCTTCCCCCTACCAGTTTTATACTGTCCTCTTTGGAAGGAAGACACCCTGTGGAGCTCACACTTAAGGAGTGGGGAGTTATATTCCACCTCCTTGAGGATGGAATATTGAAATGAAAAGATTCATTTTACATAAATTACTTAGAATTTTACTGCATGGGAGATTTATCTATTCTCATTTATTTATTTATTCAAACACTTATTATATCAGTGTAGACTCATGGGTTATCATTTTTTACTTTGGGTTACAATCCAACACTGTTTATTTTTTTGCTCAAATTGTTCCAGCTTTAGCTGTTGGACGTTTTTCAGCTAGTTTCTTTGATTTACTCCCATCATGTTTCTTGTTTTGTTTTATTTTGTTTTGAGCATTTCCTTACTTTCTAGTACTACAAGATGCTCAAGGCTCATCTTATATATTTCCTGACCCAATCCTAAAATCAACCATCTCTCCAAGGAAGGCTTGTTCCTTCTACTGGAGAATGGTATGCGAAATCAAGATTTGGCCACTATGTGTGCTCATGGCTACAAGGTATTGCTGCTTCTGAGCTCTCTCAGCCAACAGAACAAAGAAATATATGTGTGTGTATAACAATCAGTATATATACACATATCTATAAATATTTCTATAAATATTTCTATATGTATCTATTTGTATCTAAAGTAAGCTAAACATGAATTCATACTGATGTCTTAAACTCTAATCTGTTATCACATAGATAATTCTAGTCTCTGTCTCATGCTTATCTGTAATCTCCCATGATCTACCATCAATTTACTTAATTAATTATTCACTTTCTGTATACACGTATAGTGGTTTTAATATCATTAACCAATACCCTCAGGTAAACAACTTTATCAACTCAAGTGAAGTGTCTATATACAGTTCCTTCCGCCTTTAGTCCTACATACGCCATTAATTTCCAAAGTTCCGGAAGTCAGCTCCTATTTCCCCAATCCCCGTTGTTGAGGTTATTTCACACATTTATAATACAGTTAGATATTCTGTTACATTCTGAATTCCATCCTGGGATCTCTTAACTTCCTAAATGATTTTTTTAAATATGTACACATTGAGGTTTACTCTCTGTGCTGTAAGGTTCTGTGGCTTTTGACATATGCATAGTGTCATGTGTCCACCATTACAGAATTACACCCAATAGTTCCACTGCCTAAAAAATTCCTCTGTTTTTCACCTATTTAGCTCTCCCCTAACTCCCAAAGCCCTGGAAATCATTAATCTGTTTGTTATCTTTTTTTAATCTTTTTTTTGGCTTTTTCCAGAGTGTCATATAAATGGAATGATACAGTATTCAGCCTTTTCAGATTGGGTTCTTTCACTTAGTAACATGCATTAAAGATTCATCCAAATAGGATCAGCCATAAAAAAAAAAGTTTCACCTGTGTCTTTGCATGGCTTAATCATGCGTTGTTTTTTTTTATAGCTGAGTAATACTTCATCATATACATGTACCACAGTTTATCCATTTACTTATTGAAGGACTTGGTTGCTTCCTGTTTGCAGGATTTTTTGTGAAAATACATTTTCAAATCAACTGAGTAAATACCTAGAAGTGCAATTCCTTGATTTTGTGATAAGACTATGTTTAGCTTTGTAAGAAACTGCCAAACTGTCTTCCAAAGGGGCCGCACTACATTACACTCAGACCAGCAATAAACAAGGATTCCTGTTGCTATTCATTCCCACCAGCAATTGGTATTGTTGGGGTTTTTTTTTTTTTTTGGATTTTACCCATTCTAATTGGTGTGTAATGGTATATCATTGTTTTAATTAGCATTTCCCTAATGATAAATGATATTGAGCATTGTAATATGCTTATTTCCTATTCACATATCTTCTTTAGTAAGATGTCTATTCAGATATTTTGCCTATTTTTAAAAATTGGTTTGTTTACTTATTGTTGAGTTTACTTATTGTTGAGTTTCAATTGTTCTTATATATGTTGGATATAAATCCTTCCTCAAATGTGTGTTTTTCAAATATTTCTCCCAATCTATAACTTGTTTTTTTAATCTCTTAATAATCTTTCTGGTAGAGCAGAAGGCTTAAGGTTTAATAAAAATCTAACTTAACAACTTTTTCTTCCATGGATCATACTATTCATGTTGTACCTAAAAGCTCATCACTGAACCGAAAGTTATGTAGATTTTCTCCTATGTTTTCTTTTAGGATTTTTACAGTTTTGCATTTTACAGTAAAGTACATAATCTATTTTGAGTTAATTTATGTAAAAGGCATAGGGTCTTTGTCCAGTTAATTCTTTTGAATACGAATGTCCCATTGTGCAAGCATCATTTTTTAGGAAGAAAAGAACGTTTTTTCCAAAGGTTTCTTATGCTATGAAAGCAAGTATAAACATACTATTTTGTCCCACCTCTTTAACACAAATGGTAGCAGAGTATTCTCACTGTTCCATACTTTTTTCAATTAATGTAATAAGAAAACTTTCTTATACACAGAGCATTTTCTTTATTTTTACTGTTTTCAATTTGATACATATTCTCCCACTCAAAATTAAAATCACTCACTTATCTACAACACAAATTCAAATTACAACTAGGTAAAGGCCCATTTTCTCAAGGCTAAGCCAGGCTTACATACTGTGAAAGCAAGATTGAAAATCATATATGCAAAGAAGGCACTAAGTGTAAAGATAAGTAAGCAACAAGCACTTACTTAATACAAAGTATGCCTCTTGTCAAAGAATTTACATGTCACTCGATAAAATAAAAACTTACGGAAAGATAGACAACAATACATCCTTGACCTTTAAAACGAGGAGAGGAGATCCAATCTTGAACGGTGATGTGAGAACGTTTCAAAAAGAAGCTAGATGTAGAAGAATGACCTAAACTGGAGTGAGATGGGTAAGAGAAGTGCTTCAGGAGTGGGGAAAATGTAAAAACATGGAGGAAGAAATGTGTCTGGCATGCTCAGGCAACAAAGAAAGAAGAGGTATGAACAGCACTGACGATGTACACAAACAGATCAGAGGAGTTGTGAAGCAACAGAAAGGTAAGTTGGGGCTAGATTCATAGAACCAACCACTGACATATGGCCCTTTTCCTACAGCCTAGCAGTTCTCAAACCATTTTATGTTAGGACTGATAGGCAGGTAATGTTCAAACACTCCCACGGGTGTCACCAGTTATGCAAAATTTGTTTTCTTACCTCTAACTCCAGTCCTTTCTCCACTTCTCAGAAAGTGCATCATATCAGTGGCTCTATGGACCCTGACTCCACTCTAATAAGTTAGGGTGGGTTTTTTTTGTTTGTTTTTTGTTTTTTTTTTTGAGACGGAGTCTCTCTGTTGCCCAGGCTGGAGTTCAGTGGCGTGATCTCAGCTCACTGCAAACTCTGCCTCCTGGGTTCACACCATTCTCCTGCCTCAGCCTCCCTAGTAGCTGGGACTACAGGTGCCCGCCACCACACCCAGCTAATTTTTTTGTATGTTTAGTAGAGATGGGGTTTCACCATGTTAGCCAGGAGGGTGCTTTTTTACATAAATAAATCACAAATTTATATCTCCAGTCTAGACCTGTCTTCTGAACTGCTTACTTGCATAACCAACTACCTACTCAACATCTCTCCCGGAATACCCCAAACTCAATACTCGCAACACATAACTCCTAATTCTTTCCCCAAAACCTGGGCCTCATCCATTATATCCTATATCAGAACAGAAGCTAAAAACCTAAGCATTGTCTTTGACACCTTTCTCTCCCCAGCACCTGATGTGCACACCATCAGCAAGTTCTATCGCTTCTGTTCCAAAGTATCTACCACATTTATCCATTCCAAATCTCCTTCACAGCTATCATCCTTATCTTATCCACCAACATCTACTACTAGCAACTATATAGATTCCTATCAGGTCTCACCGAATCCACGCCGGCCCATTCCAATCTATTCTACAGACAAAGTTACCTTTTTAAAACAAGAATCCAATCATATTATCGACTTCTTCCAAGCACCCCCACTTCCAAGCTTAAAATCCATCAGTGTCTTCTTATTACTATTGAGCTCAAGCCTAGAAGTCTTAGGCATGCGCTTCAGGAAACTACATGCTTTAGCCCCTGCCTATCTTTCCAGTGTCAGCTTTCTCACTCTCTATCTTGCCCTCTACACACCAACGTTCTTTCAAGTCTTCAAACATACCACGATCCCTCCCACTACAATGCACTTGCTCCAACTACCTGGAAGGCTCTTATCCCATTATTTCCCTAGCTAACTTCTACTCATTCAGCTCTCACTTTAAATGTCACCTCCCCAGGAAGTCCATTGACTTGCACTCCCCACCACCACATAGGGTTTTTTTAAATAAGAATATGCTCCTTTCCTTCACAGCTATCTCTGTACTTAAATATTTTTCTCATTATTTTGTTAACATCTGTCTCCCACTGGATAAGCTTTAGGAACACATGGACTATATCTGTTTTTCTCACCATGTTATCTTCAGAGCCTAGCATAACACTTAGCATACTTGTAGTGACTTAATAAATATTTTTGGAATAAATGAATAAATATAGTAATATCTGGTTTGTAGTAACAGTAACAAATTACAGGTGGCATGCCTTAGTGCTGATTGTGATACAACAAAGGGTTGTGACATTGCAGTTCACAGTCACTCTTATAGAAAACAAGTTACTCATCAAGGAGATAATTCAGTAAAAGCACCATTTAAATAATAATAATAATAATAATGGCTAACATTTATCAAGTCTTACCACATACCACTTTAGTTATTACTTTATATACAATATTGAAGTAAATTCTTGGAACAACCCTCTAGAAGGAGGTACTATTATCATCTTCATTTAATTAGTGAAGAAAGCAAGTCAGAGAGAAGTTAAATGATGACCAAAGACACAAAACTAGGACAATGATGCCTAAGCCAGGCCCTCTTGGAAGAAAGAACTATAAGAATCAACACAGACCACTCTGTCCCATAACTGAAATTTCCACTACCCATAAGAGTCACTGGGAAGGCTGACATCATTAGCAGAGCGTTCAGTGGGATATGAGGCCAGCCACCATGAGCTGGAAATGAACTACCCTTAACAGAACCAACATGGAACCCTCCTTTGTTCCTGGTGCTGACGGCTCCACAGTACTGGAGGATGAGAGTGGGGGTTGTAGGAAACGTGTTCTAGTGGCTGCTTCTGTTAGGAAGACTTGAGCTCTCAATAAATATAGTAAGATAAATTTTATGGTAAAGTACTTATCATAACTAGCATGCTATAAGAACTCAATAAATGTCAGCTATTATTATTGTCATCATTATTTAAATGTTAATTTTCCTGAATTGCCTCCTTGATAAGAAACTTTTATTTTCTACAGTGATTCTCAGCTTCTATGTCAAGGCAGTTTGATGTATCACCATCATCTGTGAGATGTGCCATATGTAATTTATTACTGCTAATAAAAGCCAGAGGTTCATTAAGGTATTCATTCATTTATTTCAAAAATATTAAGTCTCTACAATTTGCTAGGTGCTTTGCTAGGTTCTAAAGACACAATGATGAACAAAAACAGATATGATCCATGTGTTCACAGAGCTTACAATCCAGTGGGAGACAGATGTTAACAAAATAATCACACTAATAAATGTAAAATTGAAAACGGATAAGTACCGCGAGAGAACAGAACATGGTTCTGTGACAAAGCCTGGTTCAGTTTAAGTCACACTGGGATAAAGCAACCCAGCATGAAAAGCCCAGGCTAAACATGAGCATTGTGAAGAGTCTCATAAAAGTGTACGGTCACTAAGAAGAACAGTGCTTAGGAATGAGCTTAGAAGATGCAGCCCAGATGGGCCTAAGTGGTAACGGTCATTCATAGTGAGACACTGAAACAGGTGAGGGCTATGTAGTAAATATCTCAGGGGGCCATTAGTAAGACCAGTGTAGCAAGCTCCCACCCAGCCCACTTGCTATTACAGGAGCCTCCTCCACACCCAGTATCACTGCTAGTGGAAATAATGACTAAACATTCCCACCCCCTACGCTGAATTCCCTGTTCCCTCCTCAGGAGAGGACACCTGGATCAGGTGAATTCATCTATAAAATCTATTTGCCTAGAGCTAATATATGTAAGTGAACATTTGCCTAAAGCAGCTCTATCTGAAACCAAATTTGACAAAAACCAATTTACCTTCCTATCACATGTGAATTCTTATAAATTTCACAAACATGAATTTTTATGTTAATAGTACTATTAGGGGAAATTACCATTAAGTAAACTGGCCGTTAGGTAAATTGATTTTAGAATCATTTATTTTGGGCAAACTTGAAACACCTAAGCCCAATCTGCAGCAGTTCAAAAAAGTAGATGAGATGGCTCTGTGTCATAGGGCTTTCTCTCACTGTCAATAAAACCCTAGAAAGCTAATATATCCAGGGTCCCCCCCACCTTCCAAAACAACTAGTGGGCTTCAAAATTAATCAACTTATCCTGTGCTACCATAATTCCTGTTATGTTCTTCATCTCCACAATGTCCACTAAGAGCTGAAAGAGCTTCCTGGCCACCATCATCATGAAGCTGCCTTTATCAAATTTTTGATAAGCTCAATTCATTCAGGTATCAAGAAGGCAGAGCCATTGTAAACACTTTAAAAGTGTTCCTCGAACGTGAAGGTGCACATGAGTCAACTTGTCAAAATGCAGGCTCTGATTCAGAAGGTCTGCTGGGGTCTGAGATATGGCATTTCTAGTAAGCCCCAGGTGATGGTCTTGCTGCTGGTTTGCAGGCCACACCATGAGCAGCAAGGTCTTACAAGATGAGTACGATTGTTAAGATGTGCAGGTTGAACTGGAGATGAAATTTCCTAGATATTAGAAGGTATTCTTCTCTGATCTTGGACATAAGAATGCAAGAAGATATCAGAAACTTACTCACATGTTCAGTGGAGTTTGAAACAGTGACGCAAACTTTCTCTGAGAGAGTTTGCCAAACAATGACTCTCAAACACTAAGAAAGCTTCAAAAGTCAAGTTCCCTAAAAAGGTGATTGCTATGATTGGATATGGTTTGTCCCCACCAAAACTCATGTTGAAATTTGATCTCCAGTGTGGTGGTGTTGGGGGGTGGGGCCTAGTGGGAAGTGTTTGGATCATATGGGTGTATCTCTCATAAATGAATGGGTGCCTTTCACATAGTAGTGAGTTCTCGCTATCCTGAGACTGGAAAAGTTCTCACAGGAACAGATTAGTGATGGATTTGTGATAGAATAATTGTTTTCCACATAAGGAATTTTACAAATCACATAAAATATATCCCTGTCTACCTTGGAAATGCATTCTTAAGAAAAGAGTTCCCCTCTTTTTATTACACCAAGAGTCTACAAAAGCTATTTCAGGAGTCAGGTGTGGTGACATGCCTGTAATCCCAGCACTTTGGGAGTCTGAGGCAGGCAGATCATCTCAGGTCATGACTTCAATACCAGCCTGGCCAACATGGTGAAACCCTGTCTCTACTAAAAATACAAAAAATTAGCCAGGAGTGTTGGCACACACCTGTAATCCCAGCTACTTGGGAGGCTGAGGCAGGAGAGTTGCTTGAACCCAGGAGGCAGAGGGCAGAAGAGAGAGCAAAAAGAAGACCAGGTATTACTGAGGTGTTGCTCTCCATTCTTTCTCCTTCTTCCATAAACAGACCCACAGGAACACACCTTCTCACTTCAGTGATTCAAAAGCAGTTTCTCAGTTGAGGGCTGGAAAAAAACTTTTTTTTTTTTTTGAGATGGTGTCTCACTCTGTCACCAGTCTGGGTCTTGGCTCACTACAACCTCCATCTCCCAAGTTCAAGCAATTCTCCTGCCTCAGCCTCCCAAGTAGCTGAGATTACAGGCACGCACCACCATACCCAGCTAATTTTTGTATTTTTAGTAGAGACAGGGTTTCACCATGTTTGCCAGGATGGTGTCGATCTCTTGACCTCGTGGTCCACCTGCCTCAGCCTCCCAAGGTGGGGGGATTACAGGCATGAGCCACTGCGCCCAGCCAAAATCCTTTACTACTAATTTCTTTAATTACAAAATGAAAAATAAGAACTTCACAGTGAAGAATCCTGGCAGGCTCCACCTTAACCAAGCAATCAAGGATAATATCATCAGTAATAAGATATATCAATATAAGGAATCCTTTCACGTGATGCACAGAGAAAAAGCAACATCATTTCTATGGTATCCTTGCCAAAAAAAAATAATAATAACTTAATCATGAGGAAATGTCAGAAACTCAAACTAAGGGCCATTCTACAAAATAACTGGCCATACTCTTCAAAAGTGTCAAAGTCATGAAGATAGGAAAGTCTGACAAATTGTAACATTTTTGAGATTAAGAAGAAATAGCAACTAAATGAAATGTGGGCTGGACAAGATCCTGAAACAGAAAAAATCCTATATTCATTAAAAAAAAACCTGGCAAAATTCAAACAAGATGTGGAATTTGATTAATAGTCCTGCAGCAGGCCAGGTGCAGTGGCTCACACCTGTAATCCCAACACTTTGAGAGGCCGAGGCAGGTGGATCATGAGGTCAGGCATTGGAGACCAGCCTGGCCAAGATAGTGAAACCTCTTCTCTACTAAAAAATACAAAAATTAGCCAGGTGTGGTGGCGGGTGCCTGTAATCTCAGCTACTCAGGAGGCTGAAGCAGGAGAATTGCTTGAACCTGAGAGGTGGAGGTTGCAGTGAGCCGCGATTGCACCACTGCACTCTAGCGTGGGCAACAGAACAAGACTCCGTCTCAAAAAAAAAAAAAAAAAAAAATAGTCCTGCAGCAAGGTCAATTTCCTGATTTTCATAATTTTATCATGGTTACGTAAGATGTTAATATTAGAGGAAACTGGGTGAGAGATATACAAGACTTGCTGTATCATTTTTGCAACTTCCTAAAATTAATGTAAAAGAAAAAGTTAAAAAAATAAATCACTGTCTTCTCTCCTAAGAGGCCTAGCCAAGGAAGCCAAACCAGTGATCGACATCCCAATGGAAAAATGTATTTTATCTTTTGGACTTGCAAAAAAGGAAAGACTGGATCCTCTGGACTTTCTCTTTTGAATCATAGTTTTTTCCCAATAAAATCTTGGCTCATGGTTCTCATCTTCCTCACGGATTGAGTTATTCTTATAATAAATTAACAGAAGCCATCCATTCACCCAGGTTAGAATTGTGAAATCCACCTTCTACCTGTCACAGTTGCAGAAAAATGAAAACTTAAGAACAGATAGAAAGTGAGACACTAAAACTGACTGAAAAGAAAAAACAAATGATGAGCATAAAACAGCATTAAAAATATTGAGTTCTCCTGTCCTACGTGAGACTGGGTGGACATCTCAGAGTGGGAAGGCCAGAAGGCAGGCAGAAGTCAGAATATAGTAGATCATGAATTACTGGGTAAGAGGAACCCCAAGACAGTTCCACAAATCCCTTACCTGCAGCGATCCCAAACAAGAATTGAGCATGAACAAGCTCCCTAGGTTAAATTTTAGAAAAGTGCTAGGAAAATGGCTCCTCATACCAATCATTAAGGTAATGACAAACTTGAGAGTTTTTTCAATTATTAACTCTCTTCTGGGTTTCTAGTGTTTGCAAGTTATATGTGGAGACTACATTTCAAATATGGCTAATTTTAATAGATATTCCAAGAGTAGAACATGCAAGATTAACAAGATATTCAGAATATCTCATTTAAATCATGCCCTTTAAACTTAGGACAGAAAGCGTGGGATCTAAATAATAATAACATTTGACAATTATTGAGTGCCTATGTGCCAGACATTGTCTTAAATCCTTAAAGTATGCCCATTGGGCAGATATGATTATACCTAGTTTACAGATGAAGAAGCTGAAGTTCAAAGATATAAAGTCATCCAAGAAAATACAACCAGTAAGTGGTAGATCCAAGATAGAAACCCAAGTTTATATAATACTAAAGATGCCCTTTCTGCTCCATGACACTATGTCTAGGATGTTGTAAAGGAAATGAAGTTTCTAGCACCAATAAAGAGATGCTGAGGCTGTTGGGAGTAGGTAGCATAGAGTCAACAGCGGTTAGCAGTCTCCCTTTGGGACTAAGATATTTTTAATCTATGGTGCCCATCACAACAGAAGGAAGTCACTTAAACAGTTTTGCACAACCTCATCACTCCCCCACAGAGAATATTGTGTTTTTAAAAATAAGATAGTACACATTAACTTAGGGTGGAAGAAAATCATAACCAATTTACTTTTCTTCTTGGCACAGAGCTAGGACTCATTTCCCAGCCTTTCTTGCTAATAATACTAGGTGTGGCCATATGCTTGAGTTCCGGACAATGAAATGTCAGCAGAAGTAATTGATACATGTGTACTGCTTCCAAGGCTGACCCTAAACCTCCTACATGCAATCCTCTTTCTGGTTGCTGGAATAAAGACAACCCTCAGAAACACCTGGAATACCACATGTTGAAGATGGAAGAATGACGAAGTGGACAGAGTCTAGGCCTCTAACTTTCCACTAGAAGAAGAGCTTCCCAGGACAGATACCTAGCCAGAAACACCTGAATTGGTCTTTTATGTGAGCAACATATAAATATGGTACATCCCTAGCTAAAACCGTCAATGAGAAATAGTTCCTAATTATAAGCCTTGAAAATCCCTCCAAGCCATACAGAAAGAAAGACTTACTTTCTCCTGCTTCATTTGATAACACAATAATGAGCACTGACAGTATCTACAGAGCTTTGGCACAAGAATAAAAACATAAGTTTACTTTGACACTGGTCACTCAGGCTCTTCCAATCATAGTATAAGGGGGTCCATGGAATTGGAAATTAGACATTAATGTTCGTGTCTTGGCAGGCACTATTAGAATCCCCATCTTAACACATGAAAATATTTCGACTCAGATAAACCAAGCCATGGTTCTTTCCGCACTCCTATTGCAAAACCAGGGCTGTGTCTTGGCAATTCCAGCATAAACCTCTCAAAGGTATTATAGTTAAACTAACTGCCAGTGAGCAATAGAGCCAGATCTGACACTCAGGTCTTCTGGGTGAATGTGTTATCGCATATCGAAAACAATTAACACACAAAAGTATACCTTCAGCAAATGTTAGTTCCCTTCCCTTCAACTCAGCTAAATATAATCTCTCTACTGACGTCCAGTCTGTCTCACTCCTCCATGCAAAGGTCTTGTTCACCTGAACAAGCAAATTTAAGATGTATCAGGCAAATACCGAGATTAGTTCCACTAAGGCTGATTCTTGCTTGGAGGGGTTTTTATGGCAATAACTTCAGGGAAGGCCAGCTTCTATAGGTCAGCCTTTGGGTGATTTTCCTGAAGGGGTGTCAATCCCCCAGCCGGTTCCTAATCCAGAATTGTGCAATAAAAAATAATTAACCAGAGAGGAGTGTCCAGAGAGGAGTTCAGGACCCTGTGAGTGAAAATCTGAAGAATGTTGGAGGCAGAGAATGCCAGCTGTCCCCTGGTGTGCACTCTCCCCTTTCCTTTAGTAATTGAATCTTAGTGAAGCACACGGCCATCTAGAATAAAGGTCACATTCACCATCTTCCTTACAGCTAGGCGTGGTCATGAGATTAAGCTCTCACCAGTGGGACATGAGTGAAAGTAATGCATGTAAGGAGAATGCTCTTGACTTCTTCTTGTTCTCCTTCATGCTGGCATAGTGAGGTAATGGGACTGAATCATCAAGGACTACAGGCAGAGGGCCATAATATAGAAGAACCTAGTTTCTCGGTCCTGTAAAGTTGTCACATAAACTCTGGACTACTATATTAGTCCATTCTCATGCTGCTAATAAAGACGTACCCGAGACTGGGTAATTTATAAAAGAAAGAGGTTTGAAACACAGTTCAGCATGGCTGGGGAGGCCTCAGGAAACTTATGATCATGATGGAAAAAGCAGCAAACACATCCTTCTTCACATGGTGGTAGGAAGAAGAAGTGCAGAGCAAAGTGGGGAAAGCCCCTTATAAAACTATCAGATCTTGTGAGAACTCACTCACTATCACAAGAACAGCATGGGGGACCACCTCCATTATCTAATCACCTCCCACAAGGTCCCTCTCCAAACACATGGGAATTACAATTCAAGATGAGATTTGGGTGGGGACATAGAGCCGGACCATATCATTCCACCCCTGGCCCCTCCCAGGTTTGAAATGTGTTTCTCACATTTCAAAACACAAATATGCCTTCCCAACAGTTCCCCAAAGTCTTAACTTATTTCAGCATTTGCCCAAAAGTCCAAGTCCATATTCTTATCTGAGATAATGTAAGTTCCTTCCACCTATGAGCCTGTACAATGAAAAGCAAGTTAGTTACTTCCTAGATACAATGGAGGTACAGGTATTGGCTTAATACACCCATTCCAAAGGGAGAAATTAGCAAAAACAAAGAGGCTGCAGGCCCATGCAAGTTCGAAATCCAATGAGGCAATAATCAAATCTTAAAGCTCCAAAATAATCTCCTTTGACTCCATGTCTCACATCCAGGTCACACAGATGCAAGAGGTGGACTCCCATGGCCTTGGGCAACTCTGCCCCTGTGGCTTTTCAGGGTACAGTTCCCTTCCCAGCTGCTTTAATGGGCAGGCATTGAGTATCTGCAACTTTTCCAGGTTCATGGCACAAGATGTCGGTAGATCTACCATTCTGGGGTCTGGAGGACAGTTGCCCTCTTCTCACATCTCTACTAGGCAGTGACCCAGTGGGGATTGTGTGTGGAGGCTCTGACTCTACATTTCCTTTCTGTACTGCCCTAGCAGAGGTTCTCTATGAGAGTTTTGTCCGTACAGCAAACTGTGCTTGGATAAGCAGGCATTGCCATACAGCCTCTGAAATCTAGGCAGAGGTTCCCAAACATCAATTTTTGACCTCTGTGGACCTACAGGCCCAACACCACATAAAGTCTGCCAAGACTTGGGGCTTGCACCCTCTGAAGCAATGGCCTGGCTCAGGGAACCATTTTTCTTTCCTAGGCCTCTGGACCTGTGATGGGAGTGGCTGCTGCTAAGGTCTCTGACATGCCCTGGAGACATTTTCCATATTGTCTTAGTGATTAACATTCGGCTGCTTGTTACTTATGCAAATGTCTGCAGCTGGTTTGAATTTCTCCCCAAAATGGATTTTTTCTATCGCATTGTCAGTCTACAAACTTTCCAAACTTTTATGTTCTGCTTCCTCTTGAATTCTTTGCTGCTTAGAAATTTCTTCTGCCAGATATCCTAAATTATCTCTTTCAAATTCAAAGTTTCACAGATCTCTAGGGCAGAGGCAAAATACCAACAGTCTATTTGCTAAAGCATAACAAGAGTCATATTTGCTCCATTTCCCAACAAGTTCCTCATCTCTGTTTGAGACCATCCCAGCCTCGACTTCATTGTCCATATTACTATCAGCATTTTGGGCAAAGCCATTCAACAATTCTCTAGGAAGTTCTAAACTTTCCCACATCTTCCTGTCTTCTGGGCCCTCCAAGTGTCTAGGAAGTTCCAAACTTTACCACATTTTCCTATCTTCTTCTGAGCCCTCCAAACTGTTCCAACCCCTGCCTGTTACTCAGTTTCAAAGTTGCTTCCACATTTTCAGGTATCCTTATGGCAGCAACCCACTCCTGGCACCAATTTACTGTAGTAGTCTGTTCTCACACTGCTAATGAAGACATACTTGAGACTGTGTAATTTATAAAGGGAAGAGGTTTAATTAATTCACAGTTCAGCTTGGCTGGGAAGTCCCCAGGAAACTTGCATTCATGGCAGAAGGAGAAGCAAATACGTCCTTCTTCACATGGCAGCAGGAATAAGAAGCACAGAGCGAAGTGGGGGAAAGCCCCTTATAAAGCCAGCAGATCTCATAGAACACATTCACTATCATGAGAACAGCATGGGGGGAATCACCTCCATGATCTAATCACCTCCCACCAGGTCCCTCTCCCAACACATGGGATTACAATTTGGATTACAGCTCAAGATGAGATTTGGGTGAGGATGCACAGCCAGACCATATTAACTACCCACATTCAAACTGCTGCATGAAAGAGTATTACCCTTCCATCTTGTTTAAATCATTGTTGTTTGAGTATTTGCTTCAGTAGTCACTCCTGTATCCTAACCAATTTAGATTGTGTGAGGCTTTCTTCGGGGCAGGTGCAGGGGCATTTCTGAAGGATTTCCATGAGCCTTGGCTCGCCTTCCACCACTGGTTGGGTGGCTGTTTCCTCTCTATGGCCTTTTTGAGAGAGGGCATACAGTATAGCTACCCTCCTGTGATTCCCACATACTTGGCAGAGTATTTGCATTAGAATCACCTGGAAACTTATTTAAAACTGACATTCCCAGACCAAATTCCCAAGCACTCAGATTCAGGAGATTTTATAACAATTTCCGAATTTTATATTTAAAAGCTCTCCAAGCAATTAAAATATTCAGCCATGTCTTCTGTGCCTTCTGAAGTCCAAGGGGATTTGGCTGCATGTGTGGAAAAAGACTCAATGTTTCCATGTGACCCTCCCTGCAGTCCTACTGCTGCTGCCCCTTCCAGACTGATATGGTTTGACCCTGTGTCCCCACCCAAATCTCACCTTGAATTGTACTCCCATATTTCCCACATGTTGTGGGAGAGACCCAGTGGGAGATCATTGAATCATGGCGACAGTTTCGCCCATACTGTTCTAGTGGTGGTAGATATAAGTCTCACGAGATCTGATGGTTTTATCAGGAGTTTCTGCTTTTGCATCTTCCTCATTCTCTCTGCCTGCTACCATTCATGTAAGATGCAGCTCGATCCTCCTTGCCTTCCACCATAATGAGAGGCTTCCCCAGCCATGTGGAACTGTAAGTCCAATTAAACTTCTTTCTTTTGTAAATTGCCCAGTCTCAGGTATGCCTTTATCAGCAGCTGGAAAACAGACTAATATACAGACCTTGTATTTTCTGCTGTTTACTGTACTGTTTTCCTTCATGGTTCATTTATGACCCTTGTCACTGGCAGAACTGTTCTCTTCAGCTTTCCAAGCCAAGCTCTTAGGTGTACCACCAGAGCTCATGCTCCCCACTGCAAACTACACTTACTTTAGACCTCTTTACTCCCCACTGCATCATTCATTCATTCAGTCTATCTTACTACAAGACCAAGGTCTTTAAGCAAAGCTGAGCACATAAGACTTCCAATGATCTTACCACCTCCAATCTTCCAGCGTTCTCTCCAACCTTTACCTCCCCATCCTGCACTGGTAACCACTGTTCCTGGTGACTGGAATGTTTTTCTACTCCTGGACACCTGGCAAATCATACCCACTCTTCAAGACTCACCTACATCATCCACATGAAGGACTGTAAGAACTACCTTGCTACCCCTGACACTGGTGAACTGTCAAAATCTGCCAAAAATCAAGCTCCACAATTTTCATTTTAAACAGATGAATCTATTAAAACATCTCTGAGGTGTTTCACCCACCCACACCTGCAGGCCCTGGGCATACCTGCCCCAAGAATGACTCTTGCTCTACAAAAGGCTTCCTGTCTCCGAAGAAAAAAAAAGTTTGTCGCATTCATTCAACCAAAATATACTAGGCATTTATGCTATATCAAGCCCTGCCAGGAAATGAAGGTAGAAAATTTGATCATCTGATTGCTAATGGCTTCCATCTGCTATACCATCTATTTGATTTCTTTCTGTGAGGACTTAATGTCTATTACCCAAGTGCTCTCTGAGTCCTGATTATGCCAGTTTACCAAGCCATTCCCTTGAGCTTACCTCTTCAACTTCTGCGTGTCTCCTGGAGTCTGTCTGCCTGGTTTCCAACCTACTATTTTGCCTATGAGTCATTCTCGTATATGCCCCCTGACCCTCAGTCTACTCTTCACTGCTAGTTATCATCTGCTCCTGTCCACTCCTAGACTGACTTGGGGACACTCAGGGACCCAGTATGAACTTAACTAAACACAGTGGCCTGATTAAGCACTTTAATATCCTTGGTAGAAGCCTTTCAGAAGAAAAGAGAAAAATGGAAAAGAACTGGACGTAGTACTACTGCCTACCCAGTGGGAACTAGAGAGAGGCCCTCAGCTAATCTCTTTGAGGGTATTAAATAAGAGCTTTCTGATGGCTCTTCTTCATTTGCTAAGCAAGTGCTCCCCAGTAACATACAAATGAACAAGAGAGAAGCCCTGGTACTCAGATTAAGCAATATGTGAATCACTACAGAACCCAGGCTGAGCCTGTTGGTATGTAAGTTATTGCTGCCCTTTTCAAAAATTTAATTAAAGTGTTTGAACATTATCTCACTTTAAAGATCTAGCTGCTGAGGCTCTATTAAAATTCCAATGTGTCAGAGTGAGAAAAAGCCCCAAGTGGAGATCTAACTTCATCCTGAGTTTTAAACATATGAAAACAGTTGGACATATTATAATCATAACAAGTCCTTTTGGAGATGGACATTATTACCCTACAATCAATTCAAGATGTTTTACAATCCCTCTGCCAGCATGTGAAATCCCTGTGTACTTCATATAAGGAGCTGGTTATGAGCTGATAATGTCACTGCAGAAGAATGAATACATCCACACCTTCCTCAACCTCATCATAATCATACTTAAGCTCAATCAGGCACTTGACACATCTTACTGTAGTGTAGGAGCCTGAGAGCAAGCTGCTCAGTGGTAAACTCTCCCAGAAATTAAGCTGGATAGTAATTTGTATTCTAGAGACAGGTAGAGGAAGGAGAAGGGTGGAGGAGGGAAAGGAGTAATGCATCGTGCCTTTGTCTTTGATATCATGACCATAATCGTTCCCTCCCTCCACCTACCTCTGCAACCCACAACTTCTCCACCTGGTAAACTCTGACTCATGCTTCAAGTCCCAGTTTAAATGCCATCTCCTCTATAAAGCCTCCCTTGACTTTCCCTGGAAGGGTTAATGGCTTCCTTCTCTTCCTGCTTCTCAATAGGGCAAATATTGATGGGGCATCTACAAGGTGCCATGCATTGTTCAAAGTGCTTGGGATATAGCAGTGAACAAGCCAAATAAAGTTTCTGCACTTGAGTTGTTTATCTAACAGAAAAGAGAAAGAAACAAAATAAATATATATTGTTAGGTGACAAGTTTATAAAACATAAATCAGGGTAATGGGGATATAGCATGGCAGGGGCAGAGAAGGGGCTACGCTAGAGACAGCTATCAAGGAAGGCTCTCTAATAAGGTGTAAATCTGTGAAAGGAGGTCTGAATAAGTAATCAATGAGTCCTATGAGGAAAAGGGTATTCTATTCTTTGACAAGAGAAATAGGTACAAAGGGCTTGGGGCAGGGTAAGAGGAAGCTGGACATGCCTGTGAACAACAGGGAGGCCACTGTGGCTGAGCTCAGTGACAATGTAGTAGGGGCAGGAGATGAAGTCAGAAGGGCAGGAAAGAGCCAGATCTCACAGAAACACAGCCTTGGTAAGGACTTTGGATTTTATTATGAATTAGTGGAGAAGAAATTTAAGAGTGCTAACCAAAGGAGTGACATGATATTACTCATTTCTTTTGTAACACATATTATGGTGTGCTGTAACTGTTGAGTGACCTGCCTCTCACAAGGGTACATCTCAATCTCCCCAGCTCCTAGCACAGCACCTAGTTTATAATAGGTATTTAATAACATTTTAGAGAAGAAAAGAGCAGAATGGGTGTAAACCGGCCACAGGCCTCCAGAGCATACAGGACTGTCTGCCTTCCACTAATATTTGTCAGGGAAGGATTAGCCTCATACATTCTGTATATACCTGTGGTTACCTTATGTCAGGCTTTCAAAACATCACTGTTCTCCAAGCACAAGAATAAGCAACTATTCTAGTCTCCCAGAAACAACAAAGCATTAAGAGTTGTCACTGAAAAATGCTGCTTAACATTCCTGTAACCAGAAATTTGGGGCCATAAAACCAGCCTTCAAAACTGATATAGGGTCCAAGTTCCATTGTCACTACAGTCTAGATTGAGAACCTTATCTCACTCTCCAGTAAGACTTACTAAAGATCCTCCTGAAGTCTGCCTGAAAGGAGCTCAAGGAATCAAGCGGATCATCTCTTTGTCCCTTAGGCACCATACAACTACAGTTAATAGTGCTTTATGTCCCCAGAGTCCTCTGAAAGATGAAAAATGAAACTATTTTTAACCCCTGGAGTTGCTGTACTTACCATATTTCAAATCCTTTGCAAAAAAGTGGGTAAAGATATTGACAAATTCTCATGGCTTTCTTCAAGTTTTAAGGTGCCTGAATTTCAACCAGATATAACCCACCCATTTCTGGGGTCTACACTGGCTTAAAGAAGGGGAACTTATCGATAAAGGCTGAATGTTATATTTTTCATTTACTGGACAGCTCAGAGGTTATTTATCTTACCCTCATCTGAAACTTTTAGACAATTTTAAAAGTCTCATGTAACAATTTAGAAACAGACATTGCAGTTGTCCAGCCCCCTTTCTGCCTCTGAATCTTGACAAGTAGAGAGCTCCCACACATTGCCCTCAGTGGACCACAGGCCCAAGTGGGCACTGGACATCTTTGCAGCATGTAAACAACGGCCTTTTTCAGGAGATGTTTTATTACTGACCTCAGAAAGACAAAGTACAGGTACCAATCATGAATGCAACACTGTAATTGGGTTAAACGCCACCAAGCCTTTCCTCTCACTGACTGTTCTCTGACAACCTCACCTGTTCCACTATGTTCAGGGGTCCAAGACTCTGCCGCTTTTATCTAGACTGAAAGTCCATCATGGCCTCGAATCAATGCTGTACATGCAGCATTTTCCAGTGTTTGTTAGCACGCTAGGTCAAATAAATGGCATTAAAAATACCACCAAAGCACTGCATGATAAAAGTAAGTTTGGGAAATGCTGGGTAAGTAAGTTTAAAGAGCCAGTAAAATATACTGTTTAAGAAAATGTGCTGAGGAGCCAGATACCTGGGTTTGACTCTGAGATCCATCACTTTACTAGCTGGGTGACTCTTGGCAAAGCAGCCAACAATCTGTGCTTCAGTTTCCTCATCTGTGATGCGAGGGTAATAATACCTTACTGTTTTGTACAGATTAAATGCCACCACACATTTGAAGTACCTAGCACAGGGACTAATACTTTATGACATGATTTGAAGAGCTCTCAATATGCTAATATTTATTGTGATTTTCCAAGAAAGAGAGTCATGCTTCCCAAATGTATTTAATCTTATAACTCTTCTTTTCTAAGGGCGGCTTACATGCCCAGTGGCCCTTGGGACCCATTTGGGAAGCTCCCCAAGCTAGACAATGATAAGTGCCCTAAGTCAGGCTAGAATTACATCAATCTCAACATATCCAACTCAGCAAAACTGTAATTACTACCATGAAGTAATACTAAAGGTAAGAGATGAGAAATGATATTTAAAGATAACTCACCAGTTCAAATATTAAATGTCTTCCCAATCTGATTTCAAAATCTTCAAATTTTGTTTTGCATTGTGGCTCTGCCATTTTCTATCTGTATGACTTTGGACAAACTACTCAATTTCTCTGAATAGCAGTTTCCTGATTCCGAAGACAAAAAAAAAAAAAAAAAAAAAAAGCAGGGGTTGCTTCTCTTATATGGGATGAAACAGACTTCAAACCAACCACATTAAAAAAGGACAAAGAAAGACGTTACGTATGCTGAAAAGTTCAATTCAACAGGAAGACTTACTTATAATAAATAGATATGCACCCAAAAATGGAGCACCCAGATTCACAAAACAAGTGCTTTTAGAGCTACAAAAAGACTTAGAAAGTCACACATAATAGTTGGGGACTTCACTCCACTGATAGTATTAGATCACTGAAAAAGAAAACTAACAAAGAAATACTAGACATAAATTCAACACTTGACTGATTGAAACTAATAGACATCTATAGAATACTCCATCCATCAAACACAGAATATACATTTTTCTCATCTGCACGTGAGACATTCTCTAAGATCAACCACATGCTTTTCCATAAAGCAAGTCATACCAATGATACTCTCGGACCACAGTGAAATAAAAATAGAAATCAATACCAAGAAGATTTCTTAAAATCATACAACTACATGGAAATTAAACAACTAGTTCCTGAATGACTTTTGAATAAACAATTAAAACAAGGCAGAAATCAAAAAAAAAATCTTTAAAACAGAGACACAACATATCAAAATATCTGGGAGGAAGCAAAAGCAGTATAAAGAGGAAATGTCTACACCAAGAAGTTAGAAAGACCTCAAATCAACAATTAACATAACAGCTAGAGGAATAGAAAAGCGACAACAAACTAACCCCAAAGCAAGCAGAAGAAAATAAGTAACTAAAATCAGGAGAGAACTAAAGGAAATTGAGATCCAGGAATCCATACAAAGGATCAACAAAACCAAAGATTGGATTTTTGAAAGGATAAAGAAGATTGATAGACTGCTAGCTACACTAACAAGGAAAAAAAAGAGAAGATCCAAATAAGCACAAACAGAAATCACAAGGGTGACATAACAACTGATATCAAAGAAATACAAAAGATCCTCAGAGACTATTATGAACACCTTTATGCACACGAACTCGAAAATCTAGAGGAAATGGATAAATTCCTGGATACACACAACTTCCCAGGATTGAATTAGGAAGAAATTGAAATCCTGAACAGACCAACATCAAGATCTGAAATTTAGTCAGTAAAAAAATTACCAAGCAAAAAAAAGCCCTAGACCAGACAGACTTACTGCCAAATTCTACCAAACATACAAAGAAGAGTTGGTACCAATTCTACTGAAACTATTCCAAAAACTAGAGTAGGAAGGACTCCTCCCTAACTCATTCTAAGAAGTCAACATCACCCTGATACCAACATCTGGCAAAGACACAACAAAAAATGAAAACTACAGGCCAATATCACTGATGAACATAGATGTAAAAATTCTCAACAAAAAACTAGTAAACTGAAACCAGAAGCACATCAAGAACTTGATTCTTCATGATCAAGTGAGCTTTAATCCTGAGATGCAGTTGTTTCAATGCATGCAAATCAACAAATGTGATTTAACACATAAACAAAACTAAAAACAAAAATCATATGATCATCTCAATAGACGTAGCAAAGGCTTTTGGTAAACTCCAATATCTCTTCATAATGAAAACCTTTAACAAGCTAGACATGGAAAAAAATATACATCAAAGTAATAAGAGCCATCTATGACAAACCAACAGCCAACAACATTCTGAACAGGTAAACACTGGAGGTATTCCCTTTAAGAACTGGAATAAGACAAGGATGCCCATGCTTACCACTCCTATTCAACATAAGACTGGAAGTTCTAGCCAGAGCAATCTAGCAACAGAAATAAATAAAAAGCATCCAAATATGAAAAGAAGGATTTAAATTCTTTGTTGACAACACGATTCCATACCTAGAAATCCCTAAAGACTCCACTAAAAGACTCCTATAACTGATAAATGACTTCAGTAAACTTTCAGGATACAAAATCAATGTACAAAAATCAGCAGCATTTCTATATACCAATAATGTTCAAACTGAGAGCCAAATCAAGAACTAAATCTCATTTACAATAGCCACAAAAATATAAAATACCTAGGAATAAGTCTAACCAAAACGAAAGATCTCTACATGGACAACTATAAAACACTGTTAAAAGAAATCATAGATGACACAAACAAACGGAAAAACATTCCATGCTCATGGATTGAAGAATCAACATTGTTTAAATGGCCACATTGCCCAAAGCAATCTACAGATTCAACGCTATTCCTAACAAACGACCAATGTCATTTTTAACAGAATTGAAAAAAATTACTAAAATTCATATGGAACCAAAAAGGCCCAAATAGCCAAAACAATACTAAGCAAAAAGAACAAAGCTGAAGGCATCACATTACCTGATTTCAAACTATGCTATAAGACTATAGTAATAAAAACAACAAGGTACTGGTACAAAAACAGACACATAAACTAATGGAACAGAATGGAGACCCTGAAAATGAAACCACACACCTACAATCATCTGATCTTTGGTAAAGTTGACAAAAATAAGCAATGGGGAAAGGGCTCCCCATTCAATAAATGTTGCCAGGAAAAATGACTAGGCATATGCTGAAGAATGACACAGGACCCCTACATTTTACCATATATAAAAATTAACTTAAGATGGATTAAGGACTTAAAAGTAGGACCTCAAATTATAAAATTCCTAGAAGAAAATCTAGGAAATACCATTCTGGACATCGACTTTGGCAAAGAATTTATGGCTAAGACCCCAAATGCAATTGTAACAAAAACAAAAATTAACAAGTGGGACCTAACTAAACTAAAGAGCATCTGCACAGCAAGATAAACTATTAACAGCGTAAAAGACAACCTACAGAATGGGAGAAAATATTTGCAAACTATGTATCTAACAATGGTCTAATAACTACAATCTACAAGGGACTTAAATCAACAAGCCAAAAACAACCCCATTTAAGAAATGGGCAAAGGACACGTACAGAAACTTCTTAAAAGAAGACATGCGAGTGGCCAAAAAACATAAGCAAAAATGCTCCACATCACTAATCATTAGAGAAATGCAAACCACAGGCAGGCACGGTGGCTTATGCTTGTAATCCCAGCACTTTGGGAGGCTGAGGCGGGTGGATCACCTGAGGTCAGGAGTTTGAGGCCAGCCTGACCAACATCAAATCTGTCTCTACTAAAACTACAAAACCCTGTCTCTACTAAAAATACAAAAATTAGCCAGGTGTGGTGGCAGGCACCTGTAATCCCAGCTACTTGGGAGGCTGAGGCAGGAGAATCACTTGAACCCGGGAGGTGGAGGTTGCAGTGAGTGGAGATTACACCACTGCACTCCAGCCTGGGCGACAGAGAGAGACTTTGTCTCAAACAAAAAAACAAACAAACAAAAAGCAGAGAGAGAAATGCAAACCAAAACCACAATGGGCCCATCTCACACTAATCAGAATGGCCACTATTAAAAAGTCAAAAAAATAATAGATGCTGGCAAGGTTGTAGAGAAAAGAGAACATTTACACACTACTGGTGAGAACGTAAAGAATGTAAATCAGTTCAGTCACTGTGTAAAGCAGTTTGGCGATTTCTCAAAAAACCTAAAACAGAACTACCATTTGACTCAGCAATCCCTTTACTGGGTATATATCCAAACAAAAACAAATCTTTCTAACAAAAAGACACATGAGCTCACAAGTTTATTACAGCACTAGTCACAACAGCAAAGACATAGAATCAATCTAGGTGCCCACCAACAGTGGACTGGATAAAGAAAATGTGGTACATAAACGCCACGGAATACTACGCAGACATAAAAAAAAGAATGAAATTACGTCCTTTATAGCAACATGGACGTAGCTGAAGGACGTTATCCTAAGTGAATTAACACAAGAATAGAAAACCAAACACTGCATGTTCTCACTTATAAGTGGGAGCCGAACATTGGGTACATATGGACACAAAGATGAGAACAATAGATAGTGGGGACTATTTAGAGCGGTGGGAGGGTGGAGGCAAGGGCTGAAAAACTTCCTAGTAGGTACTGTGCTCAGCACCTGGGTGACAGGATCAGTTGTACTCCAAACCTCAGCATCACACAATATGCCAATGTAGCACACCTGCACATATAGACCATGAACCTAAAATAAATGTTGAAATTTTAGGCTGGGTGTGGTGGCTCACGCCTGTAATCCCAGCACTTTGGGAGGCCGAGGCGGGCGGATCACGAGGTCAGGAGATCGAGACCATCCTGGCTAACACGGTGAAACCCCATCTCTACTAAAAATGCAAAAATTAGCCGGGCGTGGCGGTGTGCGCCTGTAGTCCCAACTACTCGGGAGGCTGAGGCAGGAGAATGGCATGAACCCGGGAGGTGGAGCTTGCAGTGAGCCGAGATCGCACCACTGCACTCCAGCCTGGGTGGCAGAGCAAGACTCCATCTCTACAAAAAAATAAATAAATAAATAAATAAATTTATTTATAAATAACAAAATAAATAAATTAAATTAATAAAAGTTGAAATTTTAAAAAATACCTACATATCTTGGTTGTGATAAAGACAAAATTAGAGAATGAAGGTAAAATTATTAATAGATACTAAGGATCAATCAAATTCACTTCCCTTTTCATTATGTCTCAAGAGAAGTGCAAATTCACCCTGAAAGCTGATACCACTTAAGGGTACACAGACCAACAGCTCCAGTTTTTAGCTCAAGATTCATCTGTGAACAATGCTGGAGTAAAAAGGCACAAAATGAATTCATTTTCTCTTTTTAACAAATACATAATCATGTTTTGAATGCTGGAAATAGCTAAGGAGCATTCCCACCTCTTGTTGGTTTGAATCAAGATAAACTCAAGACACTGAATATATAATACTCAGAAAGAGATAAATTATTCCATATTCCCAAAGCTGAGAGCTGAGTACCCAGAATCAAATCGGAGCAGAACTAAAAGAGACAAATGAGCCAGCAATGGTTTTTTTTTATCACGTCCTCTTCAAACTCATCATGTATATCTACTAACTATTTCTACAGGGCCAATTCTGCTAAACCTACAATGACTATACAGACTTTCAAGGAAAGTTATTCTAGGATAATGTATTGTCCTATTTTCCAGTTAGTGAACAACACATCCCAAGGATTCCATGATTTCAGAGACTAAACCCAATCTTCTGGATTAAGAATTATCTCTAACGTCAGCCTAAAATTATTTATCAGAGTATATGTTCCCCAGACTCTGACTTTAGAAAATATGGTCACCCATGGTCATAAGAAAAATGAAATGTCCTTGGAGTAACCTGCAGAAAACAATATAATGAAGCTTCAAAAATAAGCTCTGTTTTGAAGGTGTGATACATGGAATCAATTTAGCTTTCAGCTAGTTCCATCTCTTTCCTCTGCTATTTCTTTTTTTTTTTTTTTTTTTTTTTTTTTTTTTTTTTTTTTTTGAGACGGAGTCTCGCTGTCGCCCAGGCTGGAGTGCAGTGGCTCAATCCCGGCTCACTGCAGGCTCCGCCCCCTGGGGTTCACGCCATTCTCCTGCCTCAGCCTCCCGAGTAGCTGGGACTACAGGCGCCCGCCACCTCGCCCGGCTAATTTTTTGTATTTTTAGTACAGACGGGGTTTCACCGTGTTAGCCAGGATGGTCTCGATCTCCTGACCTCGTGATCCGCCCGCCTCGGCCTCCCAAAGTGCTGGGATTACAGGCGTGAGCCACCGCGCCCGGCCCCTCTGCTATTTCTTTTAGGTACAATTTGAAGAGTACCTAATCCAAACCATGATTTCTGAACTGACCTCCTCCTTTAATTAACAACATAAATGCCAGCATGCTAAATTAATTATTTGCACAACTACCTAAGAGCTCTCTCTAAAAATAACCATCTTAGCATGTTGCTTTACTGTATAAAGAAGAATTAATACCAATTCATGTCAAAATATTTTTTAAAAAACTGAATTAGAGGGAATTCTTCCAAACTCATTCTATGAGGCCAGCATTACACTGACAAAGCCAGAAAAGGATACACATATACAAAATAACAAAAGCAAAAACAATAACATAAACTACAGACCCATATCCCTGATGAATATAGACACAAAAATTCTCAACAAAATACTGTCAAAGAGAGTGCAACAGTACATCAAAAAAGATCCTTCACCATTATCAAGTAGGATTCATCCCAGGGATGCAAGGATGGTTCACCATGTGAAACACAATAAGCATAATGCAGCACATGAGCAGAATGGAGGAAAAAAAAATATGATCATCTCAATAGATGCAGAAAACGTGTTTTATAACATTTAACACTCCTTTATGTTGAAAATTCTCAACAAATTAGGTATAGAAGGTATATACCTCAACATAATAAAGGTCATATATAACAAATTCACAGCTAATATCATACACAATGAGGAAAAGCAGAAAGCTTTCTCTCTACAATCTGGAACAAGATAATCTGGACAATCTATCACCACTTTTGTTGAACATATTACTGGAAGTCCTAGCCTAAATAATAAGGCAAAATAAAGAAATAAAGAGCATCCAAGCTAAAACAGAGAAAATTAAATTGTCCTTGTTTGCAGACAACATAATTTTATATATATTATATAAAACCTCAGAGACATCACCACAAAAACTATAAGAACTAATAAATTTGATAAGGTCTCAGGCTATAAAATCAACAGGCAAAATTAGTAACACTTCCATATGCCAATAATTGATTATTTGAAAAAGAAATCAAGAAAGCAATCCAATTTACAATAACTACCAAAAATATTACCCAGAAGAAAAGTTAACCAAGGGGGTAAAAGAACTCTACAATGAAAACTATAAAACATTGATGACAGAAATTGAAAAGGACACAAAAAAATGGAAGGACAAATTTCATTAATTGGAAGACTTAATATTGTTTAAATGTCCATACTACTTAAAGTAATCTACAGATTCCATGCAATCCCTATCAAAATACTAAGGACATTCTTCACAGACATAGAAAAAAAAATCCTAAAATTAATATGGAACCTCAAAAAATCTCAAATAGCCAAAACAATCTTGAGCAAAAAGAAAGCTAGAGGCATCACACTACCTCACTTCAAAACATACTACAAAGATATGATAACCAAAACAACATGATACTGGCATAAAAACAGACATGCAACAATGGAAAAGGATTTGAAACAAAGGTGTTGAGTAAACACAATGGAGACAGGACAGTCTCTTCAATAAATGATGCTGGAAAAACTGGATACCCAAATGCAAAATAATAAAATTAGACCGTTATTTCTTAACGTATACAATAACTAACTCAAAATGGGCCAAAGACAGAAGACCCAAACTATGAAACTACTAAAAGAAAACACGTGAGAAATCTCCATGACAGTGGTCAAGGCAAGGATTTTTTGGATAAAAGCTCAAAAGCATAATCAATAAAAGCAAACAGACAAATAGGATTGTATCAAACTAAAGCCTTCTGCACATCAAAGGAAACAATCAACAGAGCAAAGAGCCTATAAAATGAAAGAATATATTTGCAAACTATACATCTGATAAGGGGTTAATATAAAAAATATATAAGAAACTACAAAAACTCATTTAAAAAAAAAACCCAGTTACTTCTACAGTGCTGGTGGGAATGGAAACTAGTAATGCTGCTATAGAAAAGAGTGTGGAGATTCCTTAAAGAACTAAAAGTAGAACTACCATTTGATCCAGCAATCCCACTACTGGGTATCTACCCAGAGGAAAAGAGGTCATTATACAAAAAAGAAACTTGCACATGCATGTTTATAGCAGCACAATTAGCAATTGCAAAATCATGGAACCAACCCAAATGCCCATCAATCAACAAATGGATAAAGAAACTATGGTATATATATTATGGAATATTACTCAGCCATAAAAAGGAATGAATTAACAGCATTTGCAGTGATCTGGATGAGATTGGAGACTATTATTCTAAGTAAAGTAACTCAGAATGGAAAACCAAACATCATACGTTCTCACTGATATGTGGGAGCTAAGCTATGAGGATGCAAAGGCATAAGAATAATACAATGGACTTTGCGGACTTGGGGAGACGAGTGAGAGGGGGTGAGGGATAAAAGACAGCAAATATGGTGCAGTGTATACTGCTCAGGTAATGGGTGCACCAAAATCTCACAAATCACCACTAAAGAACTTACTCATGTAACCAAATACCACCTGTACCCCAATAACTTATGGAAAAATAAAAATAAATAAAATAAATGAAAAATGTTTTAAAGCCCAGTTAACAAATAGGCAAAAGACCTGAGTAGACATTTCTCAAATTTGCATACAAATGGCTAACAGATATATGAAAAAAAAAAGAGCTTGACATCACTAATCATCAGGGAAATACAAATTAAAACTACAATGAGATACAATGGATACTCTCAAAAAATTAAAAGATAGCAAGTGCTGGCAAGGATGTGGAGAAAAAGGAATCCTCACACACTACTGGTGGGAATGCAAATTAGTACAGCCATCATGGAAAACAGTATGGAGGTTCCTCAAAAAACTAAAAATATAACTACCATATGATCCGGCAATCCCGCTACTGAGTACATATACAAAGGAAATGAAATCAGTATGTCAAAGAGATATCTGCACTCCCATATAGCATTATTCACAATAGCCAAGATATGGAATCAGTATAAATGTCCATCAATGAATAAATGTGTTTAAAATATGTGGTATATACACACAATGGAATAGTATTCAACCATAAAAAAAGAATAAAATTCTGTCATTTGTGGCAACTTAGAGGAACCTGAAAGACATTAAGTGAAATAAGCCTGGTAGACAGAGACAAATACAGCATGATCTCACTTACATGTAGAATCTAAAAAGCTGTTCACAGAGAAGTAGAGAGTAGAAGAGTGGTTACCAGATTATGGGAAAAGGAGAAGCAAGGAGAGAGGGAAAGAGATTGGTCAACTTTTACAAAGCTACAACTAGATACGAAGAACAAGTTCCGGTGTTCTATTTTATAGTTGGATAACTAAACTTAACAATAATGTATTGTATATTTCAAAATAGCTAGAAGAGGTTTTTGAATGTTCTCATCACAAAGAAATTATAAATGTTTAAGATGATTGATATGCTAATCACCCTGGTTTGATAATTACATAATGTATACATATATCGAAACATCACATTGTACCCCGTAAATATGTACAATTATGTGCCAACCATACTTTTTTAAAAAGGATTTTAAAAATATTTGTTGATTCAGTTAGAATATCAATAATAAAACTACTTAAACAAAAACACTTCACCAACACCCAAACCCCTATTCACTGGTAAAAATCTCCAAGTGCCCTTCCAATCCTATTTCAAATTCTTCAGGAGGAGGTGAAGCAAGATGACCGAATAGAAGCCTACAACAATTATCTTCCCTGCAGTAACACCAAATTTAATAGCTATCTACACACACACAAAAAAGCATCTTTATAAAAACCCAAAATCAGGTGACCAATCACAGTACCTGGTTTTAACTTCATATCACTGAAAGAGGCACTGAAGAAGGTAGGAAAGACAGTCTTGAATTGCTGACCCCATCCCTCCCTCAGCCCCCAGCAGCAGCCACATAGCAAAAAGAATCTGTGCACTAAGGAGAGAGGGAGTACAATGATTGTGGGACTTTGCATTGGAACTCAGCGCTGCCAACGGGCAGAATTCAGCCAATGCCCACAGTGAGAGCATTTAGTCAAGCTCTAGCTAGAAGGGAATCCCCAATCCCAATGGTCAGAATCTGAGTTTCAGCAAGCCTCACCACCATGGGTTAAAGTCTCTGGGTTCCTAAATAAACCTGAAAGGCAGTCTAAGCCACAAGGACTGCAACTCGTAGGCAAGTCCTAATACTGTGCTGCACTCAGAGCCAGCTAACCTGGGGGCCATGTGACCTAGTTAGACACCAGCTAGTGTGGCCAAGGGAGTGCTTGCACCAGCCCTCCCCCAACCCCAGGCAGTGCAGCTCACAGCTCCAAGAAAGACTGCTTCCTTCTGCTTCAGGAGAGGAAATGGAAGAGTGAAGAGGACTTTGTCTTGCAACTTGGATACCAGCTCAGTCACAGTAGGATAGGACACCAGGCAGAGTCCTGAGGCCCCCATTCCAGGCCCTAGCTCGCAGATGACATTTCTAGATATACCTTGGGCCAGAGGGGAACCTGCTGACTTGAAATAAAGGACCGAATCCAGGCAGTATTCATCACCTGCTGACTAAAGAGCCCACGGACCCTGGATGAGCCTTGGATGAGACTCTGAGACATGCTGGCTTCAGGCATGACCCAGCACATTCACAGCTATGAGGAGAGACTCCTACTACTTGAGAAAAGCAGAGGAAAGAGTAAAAAGGATTTTGTCTTACAGCTTAGGTACCAGCTTGGCCACAGTGGGATAGAGCACCAAGCAGGCTATTGGGGTCCCCAATTCCAGGCTGTGGCTCTTAGATGGCATTTCTGGAACTAAGCTGGGCCAGAGAGAAGCCCATTGCCCTGAAGGATGAGTCCCAGGCCAAGCAGCATTTACCACAAGCTGACTGAAGAGACTTTGGGCCTTAAGGGAACATCAGTGGTAGCCTGGCACTACTTCCATGGGCCTGTGGTGGTGGTGGACAGAGGAAAAGATTCCTCCACCTGGGAAAAGGGGAAGGAAAACTGGGACGATTCTTTGTCTTACATTATGGGTGCCAGCTCAGTCACAGGTAGATAATGCACTAGGTAGATTTCTAAGGTTTCTGACTCCAGGCCCTGGCTCCCAGATGGAATCTCTGGACCCACCCAGGGCCCAGGGGAACTTGCTGCACAGAAGGGAAGAACACAAACCTGGCTGGCTGCACCACCTGCTGAATGCAGAGCCCTAGGGCCTTCAGCAAACATAGGCAGCAGACAGGTAGCGGTTATAGTAGGCCTTGGGCAAGACCCAGTGTTGTGCTGGCTTCATTCTGACTCAACATAGTCCCAGTGGTGGTGACCACAGGGTGCTGTGTCTCCCCACCCACAGCCTCAGAACAGAGAGAGAGAGACTCTGTTTTTTGGGGGAGAAAATAAGGGAAGAGAACAAGAGTCTCAGCCTGGCAATCCAGAGAATTCTCCAGATCTCATCCAAAACCACCAAGGTGGTACCTCTATGAGTCTGCAAGAACTAAAGCATTACTGTGTTTAGGGTGCCTCCTAATGCAGATTCAGCTACAGTGAACAAAAACATAGATCACAACACCCAAGTCCCTTCAAATACCTGGAAAGCCTTCACAAAAGCATAGGTACAATCAAGCCCAGACTGTGAAGACTACAATAAATACCTTCAATGCCCAGGAACTGAGGAATAATCACAAGCATCAGGACCATCCATGAAAACATGACCCCAACAAAAAAAAAAAAAACTAAATAATGCACCAAGGATCAAACCCAGAGTGATAGAGATATGTGACCTTGCAGACAGAATTCGAAATAGTTGTTTTAAGGAAAGTCAAAGAAATTGAAGATAACGCAGAGAAGGAATTCAGAATCCTATCAGATTAATTTAACAAAGATTGAAATAAGAATCAAACAGAAATTCTGGAGTTGAAAAATTTAATTAACATACTGAAGAATGCATCAAAGTATTTTAATAGCAGAATTGATCAAGGAGAAGAAACAATTAGTGAACTTGAAGACAGGGTATTTGAAAAGACAGAGCCAGAGGAGACAAATAAATAAATAAATAAATAAAACACTATGAAGCACACCTACAAGATCTAGAAAATAGCTTCGAAAGGGCAAATCTATGAGTTATTGGCCTTAAAGGGGAGGTAAAGAGAAAGGTAGGGGGAGAAAGTTTACTCAAAGGGATAATAACAAGGAGCTTCCCAAATCTAGAGGAAGTTGTCAATATTTAAGTACAAGAAGGTTACAGAACACCAAGCAAATTTAACTGAAAGAAGACAACCTCAAGGCATTTAGTAATCAAACCCCCAAAGGTCAAGGATAAAGAAAGGATCCTAAAGGCAACAAGAGAAAAGAAACAAACATACAATGGAGCTCCAATACATCTGGCAGCAGACTTTTCAGTGGAAACCTTACTGGCCACGAGACAGAAGTATGACATATTTAAAGTGTTGAAGGAAAAAATCTTTTATTCTGGAATAGTATATCTGGCAAACACAAACACAAACACACACACACACACACACACACACACACACAAATGCTTCACACATGAAGGAGAAATAATGGCTTTCCCAGATAAACACTGAGGGACTTCATAAGCACCAGAACTGTCCTATAAGAAATGCTAAAGGGAGTTCTTCAATCTGATAAAAAAAAAAAAAAAGGACATTAATAAGCAGTAAGTAATCACTGAAGGTACAAAACTCTCTGGTATTAGTAAGTACACAAAAAAACACAGGATATTATAATATTGGAATTGTGGTCAGTAAACTACTTATAATTTAAGTAGAAAAACAAAAACATGAACCAAGCAAAACTAATAACTATAACAACTTTTCAAAACAGAAACAGTACAATAAGATATAAATAAAACAAAGCAAGATAAAAAGTGAGAGGATGAAGTTAAAGTGCAGTTTTTATTACTTTTCATTTGCTTGTTTGTTTATGTACTCGGTGTTAAGTTGTGATCAGCTTAAAATAATGCGTTGGCCAGGCACGGTGGCTCACGCCTGTAATCCCAGCACTTTGGGAGGCCAAGGCAGGTGGATCACGAGGTCAGGAGATCAAGACCATCCTGGCTAACACGGTGAAATGCCATCTCTACTAAAAATACAAAAAATTAGCTGGGCATGGTGGTGGGCACCTGTAGTCCCAGCTGCTCGGGAGGCATGAACCTGGGAGGCGGAGCCTGCAGCGAGCCAAGATCTCACCACTGCACCCCAGCCTGGGTAATAGAGCGAGACTCCATCTCAAAAAATAATAATAATTAAAATAAAATAATGGGTTATAAGACATTATTTGCAAATCTAAAAACACAGCAGATACACACAAAAAATTAAAAGCAAGAAATTAAAACATACCACCAGAGAAAACCACCTTCACTAAAAGGAAGACAGGAAAAAAAGAAAGATGAAAGAGAATAGCACAAAACAACTAGAAAATAAATAACAAATGGCAGGAACACAGTTAATGATGCTTATTTATCATTAACATTGAATGTGAATGGACTAAACTCTTTATTCAAAAGACATGAAGTGTCTGGCTGAGTTGTAAAAACAAAAACAGAAGCAAACAAAAACCAAGACCCAACAATCTGTTGCCTACAAGAAACACACTTCACCTATAAAGACACACATAGACTGAAAATAAAGGAATGGAAAAAGATATTCCATGCCAATGGAAACCAGAAAAGAACAGGAGCAGCTATAGTTATATCAGATAAAATACATTTTAAGGCAAAAACTATAAAAAAGACAAAGAAGTTTATTATATAATGATAAAGATTAAGCAAGAGAATATAACAATTGTAAATATACATGCACCCAACACTGGAACACCCAGATGTGTAAAGCAAATATTATTAGACCTAAAAACAAAGAGAGATCTCAATAAAATAATAATTGAAGACTTGAACACCGTACTTTCAGACAGATCATTCAGATAGAAATCAACAAAGAAAACATTGGACTTAGTCTGCTCTATAGACCAAATAGACCTAATAGATTTTTACAGAACATTTCATCCAAAGGCTGCAGAATACATATGCTTCTCCTCAGCACATGGATAATTCTTAAGGGTAGACTATATAACAGACAACAAAACAAGTCTTAAAACATTCAAAAAAGCTGAAATAACATGAAGTATCTTCTCTTCCCAAGATGGAAAAAAATTAGAAATCAGTAACAAGAGGAATTATGGAAACTATACAAACACATGGAAATTAAACAATAGGCTCCTAAATGACCAATGGATCAACAGATTAAGAATAAAATTGCCTGTATTCCCAGCACTTTGGGAGGCTGAGGCAGGTGCATCACTTGATGTCAGGAGTTCAAGACCAGCCTGGCCAACATGGCGAAACCCCATCTCTATTAAAAATACAAAAATTAGCCAGATGTGGTGGCACGTGCCTGTAGTCTCAGCTACTTGAGAGGCCAAGGCAGGAGACTTGCTTGAACTCAGGAGGCAGAGGTTGCAGTGAGCTGAAATCGCACCACTGCACTCCAGCCTGGGTGACAGAGCAAGACTCCATCTCAAAAATGGATAAACAATTAAGAATAAAATTGAAAAAAATTTTTGAAACAAATGATAATGGACACACAGCATACCAAAACCTACATGATACAGCAAAAGCAGTAGCAAAAAGGAAGTTTATAGCTATAAGCACCAATGTATTAGTAAGGGTTCTCTAGAGGGGCAGAACTAATGGAATATATATATATATGTTTATTAAATATTAACTCACACAATCATCAGGTATCACAATAGGCTGTCTGCAGGCTAAGGAGCAAGGAGAGTCAGTCCGAGTTCCAAAGCTGAAGAAACTGGGAGTCCGATGTTCGAGGGCAGGAAGCATCCAGCACAAGAGAAAGATGTAGGCTGGGAGGCTAGGCCAGTCTCTCTTTTCACATTTTTCTGCCTGCTCATATTCTAGCCATGCTGGCAGCTGATTAGACTGTGCCCACCCAGATTAAGGGTGGGTCTGCCTTTGCCACCCCACTGACTCTAATGTTAATCTCCTTTGGCAACACCCTCATAGACACACCCAGGATCAATACTTTGAATCTTTCAATCCAATCAAGTTGACACTCGGTATTAACCATCAAAACCAACATCAAAAGAAAAAAATAGAAAAATTTCAAATAAACAACTTAATGATGCATCTTAAAGAACTAGAAAAGCAAGACCAAACCAAACTCAAAGTTAGTAGATGTAAAGAAATAATAAAGGTCAGAGCAGAAACCAATGAAATTGAAACGAAGAAACAATACAAAAGATCAATGAAAGAAGAAGTTCGTTTTTGAAAGGATAAACAAAACTGACAAATCTTTAGCCAGATTAATTGAGAAAAAAGAGATAACAAATAAAATCAGAGACGAAATAGGAGACATTACAACTGATACTACAGAAATTCAAAGGATCATTAGAGGCTGCTATATGCCAATAAATTTGAACACCTAGAAGAAATGGATAAATTCCTAGACAGATACAACCTCCCAAGATTGAACCATGAAGAAACCCAAAATATGAACAGACCAATGATATGTAATGAGATACAAGATGTAATGAAAAATCTCCCAGCAGAGAAAAGTCCAGGATCCAATGGCTTCACTGCTGAATTTTGCCAAACATTTTAAAAAAAACTAATACCAATCCTACTCAAACTATCCTGAAAAATAGAGGAGGGAATTTTTCCAAACTCATTATATCAGGGCAGCATTACCCTAATACCAAAACCAAAGACATGTAAAAAAATAAAGAAAATTACAGGCCAATATCACTGATGAACATTGTTGCAAAAAATCCTCAACAAAATACTAGCAAACTAAATTCAGCAATACATTAAAAAGATCATTCATCATGACCAAATGAAATTTATCCCAAGTATGCACAGATGGTTCAGCATACATAAATCAACCAATGTGATACATCATATCAACAGAATGAAGGAAAAAATTATACAATCACTTCACTTGATGCTGAAAATAATTTGATCAAATTCAACATCCCTTCATGATAAAAACCCTCAAATAACTAGGGATAGAAGGAACATTTATCTCAACACAATAAAAGCCATGTATGAAAGACCCATAGCTATCATAGTACTGAATGGGAAAAAACTGAAAGCTTTTGCTCCAGTATCTGGAACATGAGAAGGATGTTCACCTTCACCACTGTTATTCAACATAGTACTGTAAGTCCTAGCTACAGCAATTAGACAAGAGAAAGAAACAAACGATATACAATTTGGAAAGGATTAAGTCAAATTATCCTTGTTTACAGATGATATAATCTTATATTTGGAAAAACCTAAAGGATCCACAAAAAGATTAGAACTGATAAACAAATTCAGTAAACTTGTAGGATACAAAAAAAAAAACAGCATTTCTGTACACCAACAATGAACGATCTGAAAAAGAAATCAAGAAAGTAATTTCATTTACATCAGATACAAAAAGAAAATACTTAGGAATTAACCAAAAAAGTGAAAGATCTCTATACAGAAAACTTGAAAACATTGATAAAAGAATGTGAAGAGGACAAACACACACAAATGGAAAAACATTCCACATTCATGGATTGGAAGAATTAATATTGTTAAAATGTCCACACTACCCAAAGCAATCTACAAATTCAATGTAGTAACTCCTATAAAAAATACCAATGACCCTCTTCACAGAAATAGAAAAAAAAATCCTAAACTTTATATGGAATTACAAAAGACCCAGAATAGCCAAAGCTATCCTGAGCAAAAAGAAAACTGGAGGAATCACATTACCTGACTTCAAATTATACTACAGAGCTATAGTAACCCAAATGGCATGGCACTGGCATAAAAACAGACACATAGACCAATGGAACAGAATAGAGAACACAAGAACAAATTCATACATCTACAGGAAACTCATTTTCTATGAAGGTGCCAGGAACATGCATTTGGGAAAGAAAGGACAGTCTCTTCAATAAACGATGCTGGGAAAACTGGACCAGCAGATGCAGAAGAATGAAACTAGACCCCTATCTCTTGCCATATACAATAATCAAATCAAAATGCATTAAAGACTTAAGCCTAAAACCTCAAACTATTAAACTACTAAAAGAAAACATTGGGGAAACTCTCTAGGGACATTAGACTGAGCAAATATTTCTTGAGTACTACCCTACAAGCATAGGCAACCAAAGTAAAAACGGATAAATGGGATTACATAAAGTTAAAAAACCTCTTTACGGAAAAGGGAAACAATCAACAAAGTGAAGAGACAACCCACATAAAGGGAGAAAATATTTGCAAACTACCCATCTGACAAAGGATGAATAACCAGAATATGTAAGGAGCTCAAACAACTCTATGGGGAAAAAATCTAATAATTTGATTTAAAAATGGGCAAAAGGTCTGAAAGGGCAAAATCTTCAGATGGGGCTTTGCATTCTGGCTCTGCCATTTTGTATCTGTATAACCTTGAGAGGGAGTCAAAATCTTCAGTGGCTACAGGGGCCAGGCAGCATCTTACATGACAGAAGTAGGCTAGAAGTCTAACGTATTTTTTAAAAAACAAGCTACCTTTTAAGTCCCTTTATTTTTCTTCTTTGAATAAAGAAATGAGTTTAAGAATTTCACTTTTCTCCTAACTTTACATTCATTAAAAAGGAAACCACACAGCAGCAATTGACACATGACCTTATGGTGATGGGAAGACAACTGAGAGAACTAGGGACTGTGGCAATCTGAAAAATACATACCTATTTTTGATGAGAAGGTGGAAAGCTGGATTTTTTAGACCAAATCACTTCAATTTTCAAATGTTGGAAACTAACTCATGGTTTGTTTGTTTTTTTTAATTGTGGAAGGATACTGTGGAAGCCATCACAACCAAGGAAAGCCCTTCTACAAGCCAACTATGGCCTGCAGTTTCAACATTTAGTCACTGCTTATTAACAAATCCAGACAGGATGCCTATCACTCTCAATATCATCAGCCCCATCTCTTTGCAGTTCCTGCCCTGCAGGCTGCATTTTCCAGCCACGGGCACATCCTCATCGTTTCTCATTCCCACACACCACCTACTTCCCCCACTTTTGTGCTGCACCCATCTTAGAGATGAGGCTCTCCACCTCTCAGGAGAGGCTATTATTGGCAAGACAGCCTACAAAACAGGAGAAAATATTCACAAACTCTGCATCTAACAGAGGTCTAATATCCAGAATCTACAAGGAACTTAAATACATCAACAAGCAAAAAACAAATAATCCAATTTAAAAATGGACAAAAGACAGGAATAGACAATCCCAAAAGAAGACATACAAGCAGCCAACAAATATATATTAAAAGTCAACATCACTAATAATCAGAGAAGTGAAAAATCAAAACCACAATGAAATACCATCTCATACCCTTCAGAATGCCTATTATTTTTTAAATGTCAAAAATAACAGATGCTGGTGAGACTGTGGAGAAAAGGACATGTCTATATGCTGTCAGTGGGAATGTAAATTAGTTTAATCACTTTGGAAAGCATTTTGGAGATTTCTCAAAGAACTTAGAACTACCATTTGAACCAGCAATCCCACTAGCATTCAAAGGAAAAGAATTCATTCTATCGAAAGGACACATACACTAGTATGTTCATCACAGTGCCATTCACAATAGCAAAGACATGGAATCAACCTAGGTGCCCATCAATGGTGGATTGGATAAAGAAAATCTAGTACGTATACACCATGGGATACTACGCAGCCATTGAAAAGAACAAAATCATGTCCTTGGCAGCACCATGAATACAGCTGGGGGCCATGATCCTAAGTGAATTAACACAAGAACAGAAAACCAAATATTGCATGTTCTTACTTATAAGTGGGAACAAAACATTGAATACACATAGACATAAAGGTGAGCAAAACAGACACTGGGGACTACTAGAAGGAGGAAGGAGAGAGGGGGATATGGGCTAAAAAAACTACCTATTGGATAGTATGCTCACCACATGGGTGATGGGACCATCTGTATCCCAAAGTCATTCATATCTCCATATCCCTCAGCATCATGCAGTATAACAGTGTAACAACTCTGTGCATGTACTCCCTGAATCTAAAAATAATAGTAATAATACATACATACATACATACATACACACATACATACTTCTGGCTGTCTCCAGATGAACTGATAATGCTTCAAATGGTGAACTACCAATTCACTCCTACCAAAGTATTATTATTATTTATAATCAAGTCAATCAATAAGAAGGGGGAAAGGAGAACTAAAATGTCCTTTAGAAAAAAAGTGTGTGCATTTGCTCTAAAAAATGTAATTGTTATAGTTTTATAAATTATGAAATTTGGATTTCCAAGGAACACTATGGATGGATGGGTAGACTTCCTTTGCACATAGCCTGCACTTAGTAAGTAACTGTTGTCCTGAAATAATATGGCCTTGTATAAATATCACACTTTGTCATGATACACGGTCTCTCACACTGTGAAATCATCAAGGAAGCTATTGCTGTCAGCATCTCCTCATCTAAAACCACTCCCTTTCATCACCCTCAACTAACAAAGTTTTAAATGCACTAGCTCTTGGTCTGTCTCCTAAACATACCAAACTGGATCCTTCACAGAGTCTTTGTACTTACTGTCTCAGCTATCTGGGACACTCATCTTTCTGATTTTTTCATAGCTGCCTCTTTTTTAGATTGAGGACAAACGTCCTATCTTCATAAAGCCCTCTCCAGCTTCTCTTCTCTACTGACCTATCCCTCATCCCTCTGTTTTATTTTCTTCCATGACGTTTATCATTAGGTTTAATTTTGTCCGTATTTATCATCTGACTCACCCCACTAGAATAAAAGCTCCCTGAGGACAGGCCCCTTACACACCTTCGCTGCTAAAGAATCCACCAATGTTCCTAGCCCACAGATAAGTGTCCAAAGCAGATTAGTATCTGATGAATAATTAATGAACTATAATTTGACAGAGAAGTAAACTGAGGTCCAGGGAGGACCTGTCTGGTCTCATGGATATTCATTGACAAAGCAGAGCCTTGAGTCCAGGTCTTCTGACTCCTGGCCCAGAATCACTGTCATTGCACCACCCTCACCAATGTTCTGACAGCCTGAGGTGCCTTTCACCCAGAAATCAGCAAGTCAGGAGTTAAATCTATCTTTCATCAGCAACAACATTCTGTCCACATTTCTCACCACAGAACCAAATGAACGAATGCATGTTACCCAGAAATGCAAGTGTTTCACAACTAATTCCAAAGGATGTCAAAGAAGAGTTTTTTTAAATTCTCTAGGAGAATTCCATTGAGCTTAAATGATTTTATGCAAAAATATTAATGAAATTGTGAATTTATACTAAAAAAGTAAAGGTTAATGGCTACATTAGCTGTTTTTTCATTTCTCAAACACTAGGCAATCCAAAATCTAACATGCACATATACAAGCAAGAGCAATTTGCCCAAAGTATTATATTCTATTGCTATGATACTTCTTGGCTTCAATTAAGGTCAAAAGTCATCTGAACAGCTTCATTTCTTCTGACGAAGATTTAAATTTTACTTAATTAGTGTGTTGCAGAAAACATCCTCATTTTCTGGACATCAGATCCTTCCACTCATTTTCATTTCTGCCTGAAAATTGCTACTTCCCAATGCACACCATAGCCTAACTGTCCATCCTCAAGTATACATCCTTTAAACGTTTCCTTGAAGCTATGTCTACACTGTGCTAGGCATAAAGATAAAAATGATGGAATCTCAGAATCCAGATGTCTTGTCTCCTAGCATTTGGCAGCATCTCTAGATGGCCCACATTTTCAGCTTTTAACCATTTACTGGAAAATACATCCCATCTATTATTACTCCTTTCTACTTTTCTGTATTTGTGGTAATTTATTCAACTGAAAACTTGGACAAAGTAAATGCAAAGAATTGGCCATATGACACACACAGCACAATGATTAAAGAAAAAAGCTATTCACCACCCCACTCTATCTGCCCAGGGCACACTAACTTCCAGTAGCACAAGCCAGAACCCTGGGCATCACCCTTGACTCCTCCTTCTCTATCCCCTAATATAGAACTACATCCAGTCTACTCCAGAATTAACTTCCCTCAATTGGCACCACCATTATCTGAAATAGTGCAGGATTCTGTCCTCTTATCTAGGATCTCGATTCTAGAATACTGCAGCAACCTCCTGTCTTTTTTTTTTTTTTTTTTTTTTGAGATGGAGTCTCGCTCTGTCGCCCAGGCTGGAGTGCAGTGCCGCGATCTCGGCTCACTGCAAGCTCCACCTCCCAGGTTCACGCCATTCTCCTGCCTCAGCCTCCGAAGTAGCTGGGACTACAGGCGCCCGCCACCACGCCCACCTAATTTTTTTTGTATTTTTAGTAGAGACTGGATTTCACCGTGTTAGCCAGGATGGTCTCGATCTCCTGACTTCGTGATCTACCCGCCTCAGCCTCCCAAAGTGCTGGGATTACAGGCGCGAGCCACCGCGCCCGGCCAGCAACCTCCTGTCTTTATGTCTCCAATTTTGCCCCCTCCATGCCATTCTCCACTAAGCAGCCAGTGTGGTCTTTCTAAAGTACCACCCTAATCATGCCACCAAGCCTGTGCTTATATCCTTTCCATGGCTCCCAATGCCCTGGGCCTAAAGGCTAAACCATTACGCATTGCTTACAAACCTATTCACAATCTGGCCTCTTGCCTGCCTCCCCAGGTTTATTTCTTGACACACCTTGCCTCTTCCTTACCTATGCTTTCTCCACTCTCCAATAATAAATTTTTCTTCAGTTCTTTTAATGCACTGTCATCCCTCATCTCTCACCTCTTTGCTCATGCTGCATTCAGAACCCTCTTCCATTCATCTTGGCTGATATCTGCTTATCCTTCTATTTAACATATTAAGCATAACTCTTGGTGGAAAGAATTTCTGACTCCTTTTGGTCGAGGTAGGGTGCCTTGCTCCCTGTATTCCTCCTATCAGGGCACTAACAATACTTGGCAGTGTTTCTTTGACTGTCTCCACTCTTGTATGTCTCACAATTGTAGCCCAGCATCTATGACCACACAGTATTTGATAGTTTTGCATTGTTATCTCCAGAATGATGCTGACAAGACAGCTTACGGTCTACTCGGATCATAGTCCTAACTCTAAAGACTCTCTAATCATAGACACCCAATATTTGTTTGAAGTGTGGAGACTTGCTTGCATACTTCAAAAGCAGGATAGATTTTTTAGGGCAAGTCTCCAATTTGCTCCCTTCATTCCCAAATGAAAGTAATTTAATAATTGAAAATATCTACTTTATAATAATATAAGCCAATGTTGTATCTCATTGAGGAAAGAATTACCCAAGGAGAAAGTTACATGGCTTCAACAAACCATGTAACATACTTCTGGAATTTTCTCCCCTTTCCTCCTACCCTACATTCTGATATTCTTCAATCAATTTTATAAAAGTTCAAAATAATTTAAATATGAGCTTAAGTCATCTGTAATTAAGAAGGTAAACATGCTTTTTTAGGAATTACAGAATGCATTCCATTTGGGCAATTCATTGTTTTAGATTATCTATAACAACATCTTGATGTGAAAAGCTAATTACTATTTCAAATGGTGGGACGGTCCCAACATCTACCTTCTTCCCTTATGAAGAATTTTAGGAAGAAGTAGGAAATATCTAAAGCAGCCATGAGGACAGGAAGAAAAATGACATTTACTGAGAGCCTTGATATACGAGATGTATGAGGAACTGCTCTTGTTTAATCCTTCCAATAACTCTATGATGTGGTAATCAATGGATACCTTCACTTTACCTAGAAGAACCCTGAGTCTGAGGTAAATTAAAGATAACTGCAAACGCTCAAACATCTAGCAATTGATAGATCCAGGAAATGAACCCAAGTCTACTTGGCATCACAGTAGAAAGTTATTTCCACCATGAGAGCTCAGAAAACTGAAGAGTATCTTTTGAAAAACAAAAATTTTGTTTAAAAAAAAAAGGAGATGCCTTCTTAGGAAGCCAAAAATGTCTTCTTCATCTCCTCAGAAAAGGATTCCATGGGAAGCTTTTTCTTAGAACCCTAGCTTTCAACTTCCCATCTAATTGTGCTTCAACTTAATTTTATCTATCATTTAGAAATAAAATTAAAAAACAGAAGATTTACCATTATATCTTATAGAGTTACATATACTGGCAGAGTGTTCAATTAGATTTAATCTGCATTAATTAAGCTTTCCATTTTAACAAAGCTCTATATTAACACATTTGAATCCGAAAAAATAAACATTAAATCTGCAATGTCATTAAGATAGTTCAGCAAGACAGACTCATCTTTGTTGCTCTGCTAATGCACTCTATTGCTACTGTAAAAAATAATTTTATCACATTAGAAATATACATTGGAATTAATAACAGAGTACCCATTCCATTACATAAAAGAGCCTATTTCAATTACTACCTCCAGGTACATTTTTAATAGTCTTTATATTTCAGTTTTCTGTTTCGTTTTATCTGCCCACTTAAGATATCCATGGGAACTCAATTGGCTCAGTTACCTAGGGAGTTTCCAGATACTGCTTTGCCAAGAAGTTCACTCCTCGTTTAAAGAAACACAAACTCCCAAGAGTTCTAACTCTGGCTACTGGGTTCCCACCAGGTGAGAGAGATGTCTGCCTTTGGCCAGAAGGGAACTCAGCCACTGAATGAAGTCTTCTAATTCAATAATGGCTGTGCCTGAGAGTAGCCCGAAGCCTAGCAGAGATTGGAAACAGTGATTTCCAAAACAGTAAATGAAGTTTCTCTGGTTGACAGCTTTGGAAAAGGCAGGGGCATGATTACTTCCTGTGGTGCTCATGATGATTAGGGAAGGTGATCAGATCCAGAATGCTGTTCCCTCATTGTGCTTCATCAGCAAAGATGACTTTTAACTGAAAATCGAACATTACCAGGTTTGGGTGATAGTCATTATTTTCCTTTAATCACCGAACTGGGGGTGGTGTGTGGGATGACTATTTTCTCATCTGGCCACTCCTCAGCACCCTGTCTCCCCTCAGCATCAAATTTCCATCTAGATAACATCGTCATTATCAGTATCATCAGCATCATCATCATTATGGCTTTTTTATTGAGTTTCTTTTGTATGCCAAGCACTATGCTAGGTATTTTACAAATACTAATCCTCAGAAAAATCACCAGGTATTATCAATTCAGCCTCCAGATGCCAAAACCTTTGCCCCCTTCACTATCCTGCACAGCCTCCCATGTGTAGCACACCCAGGGCAATACCTTTGTCTGGTACAATGTATTCCATGTGAACCTTTGAAACTAGTCATGAAAATTCTGAGCAGCTCTAACTGGAGATGAAGAAGACAAATCCTTTTTTCATTTAAAATGTGTTTATTGAGTGCATACTATGTGCTTGAGATTATTACCTGGAGAAACCCCTATTTGAGGCAGTCTGTTACCTATGCTATTTCCACGTATTTGGGTTCAGACTCAATAGGTAACACCTCAACCAATCAAGACAGAGACTGCCTAATGTTTCCAATATCCATGTTCTCTCATCCTTGGCACAATGCTAGGCTGAATTTCCCAGTACTGTTCAATGAAATGGGATACAGATTATACATGACATTTTCAGCCTGACCCTTAAACCTATCCAAGGAGACTATGAAAAAATGATAATTACAATACCTACGATGCTTACATAATTACAATAGGAGCCATTAACCTACTTCTCTCAGACTGTCATGGATTGAGCAATCAATCAGTTAATCAATACACATAGAAGTTAAATAACACAACTCAAAGTTGCTACATATAAAGTCATATGTCTGTATTTATCTATACATTTTCAAAAGCAATCCATTATTTTTAAATGTATCAAAAATATTGAGCATGTGAAAGATCACCAGGAAAAAAAATTCTGCAACTCAAAAATCTAAAAATCTGACGCACATATTTTATGCCCTCAATTAACAATAAAACCAGAAATCACCCATTAAGCATTTTTAATTTAATCACTTTGGAATATTTAAACACTGCTTTAACCAGGGTTAAAGAGGAAGCCAAAATGAAATTAAGAGCTATAGAAAAGTACAGAAAATAAAAACACTATATAGCAATATCAGTGGGCTGTATTCAAAGCAATATTCACAAGGAAACATAAAACCATCAGTGGTTTTACCAGTAAACAGAAAATACTGAAGACAAATGAACTAAACATGGAAGAAGCTAGTAAAAATACCAACAAGATAATCCAACATAAGGTAAGAAGTAGGAATCAATGAATTTGAAATGAAAAACAGTCCACTTGATCAATAAAACTAAGAACTGTTTCATTTAAAAGATCAATAAATTACATGATCCCATGATGAGCCTGGCCAAGAAAAGAAGAAAACACACATATCACACATTAGAAATAAAATGAGATAAAAATCACAAATATAAAAATTTTATTAAGTAAAAGAGACTATAACGTCCAACTACTTGCCAAAAAAATCCCAATATCAATGAAATATAGGATTCTTAAAAACATAAATTGATCCCAAGAAGAGCTCAAAAGTAATTAGATAGAAACCATACCACAAAAGAAGTGGAAAATGAACATTTCAATAATAAAATATTTTCCAGCTTCCCCAAGACCAAATTATCAGCCTAAATATTTTTTGTACTTTTCAGCCCAAATATTTTCTATACAAAATATTTTCTGTCCTTTTCTAATTATGTTTACATGTAATTATTTACATCTAATTACATTTGCATCTATTTTCAGGCTCATTCTATCAGAAACACTTGTAGAAAAGATACAATGTATATTTTTTAAATAGTCTAGCACATAAAAAATTCAAAAAGCCTTGAATTAACTCAAATACACAGAAAAATCTATGGCATCTCACTTATTAATGTATTAAAACATTTAAATGTTTAATAAGTTTAAAGTATTTAAAACAATGCCTATAATTCTTCAGTGCTTAAACTAATGTAGTTACTACTACTGCTTTTATTAATATTGCTATTGCTATCATTATTTAATGATACAAAGATCCTAACTAAAGCATTAGTTAATGTAAGTTTATTCAAGGATTTCAGAAATAGCTCAACATTATAGATTCTATTAATGTAATTACTTATGTTAATAGATAAAAGGGGGCAGACACAAAAGTATCTCAAAATGCACACTGAAAAGATATTTAATAAAATATAACAGCTATTCTTTTTTAATCTTTCAGTAAAATAGGAATAAAATTAGATTTCCTTTACATGATGACTAGATAGATAAAGACAGATAGAAACAGTGATAGATATTAGAAAGTACTACTAGACAGTTTATTAAACAGAGGACCTTATTAAAGTTGGAAAGAAAAAAGGATTATCTGTTGCCCTCTTCCTGACTTTAATGAACACCTTTGATTTGTTCATATATTATTTACCACTATTATGGAGATTCCAGACCATATCATAAAACAAGAAAAAGAAATCGCTAATATAAATATTGAAATTGAAGAAAGGAAAAATTTTCAATATTTTCAGCTTACACAATTATATACCTAACAAGTCAAAGGGGATCATCTAAAAAAAATTAATGTTTGGCACGTGGTATGCAATCAGCAAATGTTAGCTTAAAAAAGCTATTCAATATAGCTTAAAAATCAGCTAAAACTCAAAAGAAAGATATCAAAATCATATTAAAACATGGAAAGAAAGCAAGCTGCAGACCAATACCTCACTTATGGATATAGATACAAAAGTCCTCAACAATATACTATCAAATCGAATCCATAAAATAGAAAAAGGATTATGGAACATAGCCAAGTGGAATTTATCCCAGGAATGCAAGTTTGGTATAGCTTTCTGAAAATCAGTTAGTATAATACACTACATCAACAGAATAAAAGATTAAAACTATGTTATCATCTCAGTAGATATAGAAATAGCATGTGAAGAAATTCAACACCCTTCATAACAGAAACACTAACCAAACTAGGAATAGAAAGAGACTTCTCCAATATGATAAAGAACACCTACAAATAGAAAAAAAAAAAAAAAAACCTCCAGACTGGTGAAGAGTACCTGTGAAAATCCACACAGCTGACATACTTCAAGGTGAAAACTGAAAGCTTTCCCTTTAAAATCAGAAACAATACAAAGATATCTGCTCACCATTTCTATTCAACATTGTACTGGAAGTTCTGGCCAGGGCAATTTGGTATAAAAATGAACTAACAGGCAGCAGGTAGGACAGGAAGACATAAAACAATCTCCATTTGGAGATGACATAATCTTATATGGAAAAATTCTAAGGAATTCACTAGAAACTATTAGAACTAATCAATAAGCTTACCAAGGTTGCAGGATGCAAAGTAATAGGCAAAAATTAATTTCCTTTCTATACAGTAGCAATGAGCAACCAAAAATTGAAATTAAGAAAATTATTCCATGTATGATAGCATAAAAAAATACACCTAGGAATAAATTAACAAAAGCCACGAAAATCTTAGATTTTGAAAACAAACAAAAAAAATTGAAAGAAATGAAAGACGACCTGAGAAAGTAGAAAGACACCCCATGTTCAGGAATCAAATTATTTGACATTGTTTTGATGGCAATGCTTCCTCAGACTGACGACCTACAGATTCAATACAATCTCTATCAAAATCTCAACTGACTTATTTGCGGAAACTGACAAGCTGGTCCTAAAATTCATATGAAAATCCAAGGGAAATAGAATAACCAAAACAATCTTGAAAAGAAGAACAAACTTGGAAGATTCATCAATTTCCAAACTTACTACAAAACTGCAATAATCAAACAGCACTTCCATATGGATAAACATATAGATCAATGAAATAGAAGTAATGATAGTAGCGGCAGGCTGTCTGGAGCAGCCGCTACCATCACACCAGGTGCAGCAGGGAGGCGTGGCCAGGCCTGCAGGCTTTGTGGAGCCACTGGGAGCCTTGAAAAAGCAGAAGCCCCGCCCCTTCCAAGTTGGGGTAGAAGTTCCCCAGGCATAGCTGCAGCCGCCCACTTGCAGCTACAGACCCAGGCCTCCTGCCCCGTAGAGCAGGCAGGAGCAGGGCCCAAGTCATGGCTGCAGATCTAGACCTCCCACTCCACAGAGCAGGTAGGAGTCCTACCTCGCTGGGCTCAGCTGCAGCTGCCCAAACTGTGGCTGCAGACCCAGGCCTCCTGTTTCACCAAGCAGGCAAGAGCCCCAACCCTTCCCTTCACAGCTGCAGCTGTGGGCCCACGCATCCCTGCACTCTTGGAGACCTGGGAAGGACCCCACTGCACTTGTAGGCTCAGAAATGCCTGCTCCTACTGCCTGGCTTCTGTCTGAAATAAGCACCTGCACCAATCTTTGAGCAAAGTCGGGGCCGAGTTCCGGCACTGTCACAGCCTGGCTGGGTGTGCACATACTCAGGGCAGTGCTGACACACCAGCCCTCTGCCACCTTAGCCCTCTCTGGATTTTGGGCACCAATGAGCATAGGAGGGAAGCTGAGGTGAGGCTGAAGTCAGCTCAGCATTTGCCTGCAGGTATCCCTTGGCACCTGCAGTCTGGGCACCATGAATGTCAGCAGGAGGTAGACAGTTCCTGGGTGGAAGTGGCTGGCTCCCCAGTGAGGCTTCGCCTTCAGGCCAGGGAGGGCCTGATGGCTGCCAGTGCCACAGACAGGAATGGGAACTTGTAGTGCCTTTTCGAGGCCTATCCATGGCTGCCCATGGGCCAACTGGCATGCACTTCCTCCCCTCTGAGGCCCATATAAGCCCCAGGCTCAGCCAGAGCTGAGCAGACATCAGAAGGACCAGCTGCAGAGAGGAGCTACCCAATCCAGGGCCTCCTCTCTGCTGAAACTTAAGCAGACATCAGGATAACCCGCTGCAGAGAGAAGCCACCCACTCTAGGGCCTCCTCTCTGCTGAGAGCTGCAGAGACAACAGCAGGACCTGCCTGCAGAGAGGAGCTTCCTACTCCAGGGTCTCCTCTCTATTAGGAGCTGAACACCTGTTGGGACACCCTGGCTGAGGAAAGGAGCTACTCCTGTGGAAGACTGAACTGTTCTATTGCTCAATAAAGCTTCTCTTCATCTTGCTCACTCTCCACTTGTCTGTGTACCTCATTCTTCCTGGTTGCAGGACAAGAACTTGGGACTCACTGAATGAGGCTAAAAAAGATGTAACACAAACAGGACTGAAACATTCTCCTTGCTTGCCACATTGGGGGCAAAGAGGAGAGAAGAGAAGAGCTGCAGCCCTTTGGGGAGCACAGACCTGGGCTCCCCGAGCCAGGGCTGTGACTCCCTCTTTGGGGCCTTGCAGTTCCTGGTGTCTCCAAGCTTCCAGGTGCCACCGTGTTCCCCGGTGCTGGTGGAAGCTGCTTGAGGTGTACCTGGTCCAGCCACAACCTCACAGAGAGTTGGTAACCCTGCCGGTACCTGGAGCTGCCCACCCCGTGGCAGCAGCCGGTGTATCTGAATGTGCAGGGGCCAGACCCCTTGCTCACTCACACACCCCTTGCTGCTCCATGCCTGACTCCCATCTCCCTTGGAGGCATGACACCTAGGCCAGTACCATGAGCTGAGTGCAGCCTGCCAGGCCGAGTGGGTAGAACGAGCCCAGTGGGCCCTAGCAAAACTCGGGCAAAGGCACCACCAGCCACAGGTTTCTGGTCAGAAAAGCAACACCCCAAAGATTCCATAGCAGTAAGAGACCAGAAATAAGCCCTCATATTTATGGTCAATTGATCTTCAACAGGGTGCCAATACAATTCACTGGAAGAAAAGCAGTCTTCAACAAGTGGTGAAGAAACAATTGGATATTCATATGCAAAAGAATAAAGTTGGACCCCTACCTCACATGATATATAAAAACTAACTCAAAATACATCTAAGAGATAAATGTGAGAGCTAAGCCTATAAAACTTTTAGAAGAAAGTAACTCAAAATATATCTAAGAGATAAATGTAAGAGCTAAACCTATAAAACTTTTAGAAGAAAACATAGGAGTAACTCTTCATTACTTTGAATTAGGCAAAAATATGACATCAGAATCACAAAAAATAAAAAATAAAAAAAAATTGGACATCATCAAATTTTAAAACCTTTGTGCTTAAAGGACACCACCAAGAAAATGAAAAGATCGCCCACAGAATGGGGGAAAAAACTGTAAATCATAAGTGACTGCCTCTAAAACATACATGATTATTACAAATCAATGATAGAAAGACAAAGAATCCAATTAAATGTGGGCAAATTATCTGAATATACATTTCTCCAAAGATACACAAATCGTCAATAAGCTTATGAAAAGATACTCAACATCATTTAGCCATCAAGCAAATGCAACTCAAAACCACAGTAAGGTATCACTCCATACACATTAGAATGTCTATCATCAAAAAGAAAGATAATAACTAGTGTTGACAAGGATGTGGAAAAATCGAAACCCTCAAACGCTGCTTCGGGGAATGTAAAACAGTGTAGTCACTTTGGACAAGTCTGGCAGTTCCTCAAACAGTTAAACAGAGTTTCCATCTGATCCAGCAATTCCAGTCCTAGTCATATACCCAAGGAAATAAAAACATGTCCACACAATAGCTTGTACATAAATGTTCATAGCAGCATTATTCATAATAGCCAAGAGTGGAAACAATTCAAATGTCCACCAACTGATAAATGGATATCTATAATGTATTATATCCAAACAATGTAACATTATTCTGCAATAAAAAGAAGTGAACTACTGACATAAGCTACAATATGAATGAACCTCGAAAGCATTATTCTAAGTTAGAGAAGCCAGTCAAAAAGGGATACACAGTGTATGATTTCACTTATATGAAATAACCAAAATAGGCAAATCTACAGAGACAGAAAGTAGATTAGTGGTTGCCTAAGGCTTGGGAGCTTATGGGGAAATTGTGGGTGACAGCTAAAAGGTATGGGATTTCTTTTGAGGGTAATGAGCATTTCTAAAATTGATTGTGGTGATGAATGCACAATTCTGTGATTATACTAAAAGCTACTGAATTATAAAAATAAAAAATTATCTAGGAATCTAATAATGCCCATCACATCCCAATTGTTTCAAATACTTATTTAACTTATCTTCATCACTAGTAATACAATCAGAATCACATAAGGGAGAATCACAAAAAGAACCTGGGTGTCTGATTTTTAAGCCAACAATCTATCTACCACATACCTGGATCTTCTGCTATTGAATAAAGAAAAGCCCCAAATCCTTGGTCAACTTATATACGTGGTCAAATGTCCATGCCAAATTTCTACAGGATAATTTGCTCCTCTAGATACTTTTATCCTGGTAAATAATAAAAGTAACCTGAAAATTATGAAAGATTCTCACTTATTGCAGATGGGAACATTTGGCGAGGGGAGGAGAGTTATAATGAATAGACTAATTTCTAAATATATGCCATTATATATTCTTCTCTATTTTCTTACATTCCAGTCTCCTTAAGTAGATCTTCTCTACTAGAGTAGAAACCAGGTTTTCTCTATTACCCCCAGCCATTACATTACAAATCCACAGTCTTTCATACCTTGCCTTGTCAGACTACACACACATGGAACAGGGCATCATAAAGTCCAGAGGGAGAGGGGATCTAGTATCTACTTCTTCATATTTATTTTGTTTAGCAGTCAGGATCTGAGGTTTGAGATTTTTCGTACTTGTCTTTCATGGTGCCTGCTTGGCTCTCTTGCAAGTGTACTTTCCTTCCTTCCTTTTTTTTTTTTTTTTTTTTTTTTGAGACGGAGTCTCGCTCTTTCGCCTAGGCTGGAGTGCAGTGGCGCCATCTCGGCTCACGGCAAGCTCCACCTCCCGGGTTCATACCATTCTCCTGCCTCAGCCTCCCAAGTAGCTGGGACTACAGGCGCCCGCCACCATGCCCGGCTAATTTTTTGTATTTTTAGTAGAGACGGGGTTTCACCGTGTTAGCCAGGATGGTCTCGATCTCCTGACCTTGTGATATGCCCACCTTGGCCTCCCAAAGTGCTGGGATTACAGGTGTAAACCACCGCGCCTGGCCTCTAAAGCTTTTTAATAAACTTTCACTCCTGCTTTAAAACTTGCCTCGGTCTCTCCTTCTGCCTTATGCCCCTCAGATAAATTTTTCTTCTGAGGACACAAGAAGAAAATCCATATGGGTCTTGCTGTAGACCCATATGGATTTGCCCCCAGTAACATATTTTGGTGGCATGTAACTTGGATACCCTCCACTGCCAACACACTTTGGTGTCTTGTGACTCAGATAATTTCTACTGCTAATATACTTTGGTGCTGTGTGACTCAGATATATTCCCTAGTGGTAAGAGACCTCTATGCCTCACCTTCTTTGGCTAAAGGCATTCAACCCCTGTACACGGTTTTCTTCTCCCCCCGCCTTTTTTTTTCTTTTTTTTTTTGAGATGGGGTTTTGCTCTTGTTGCCCAGGCTGGTGTGCGATGGTGCAATCTTGGCTCACTGCAACCTCAGCCTCCTGAGTTCAAGCGATTCTCCTGCCTCAGCCTCCCGAGTAGCTGGGATTACAGGCATGCACTACCACACCCAGCTAATTTTTGTATTTTAAGTGGAGACGGGGTTTCACCATGTCGGTCAGCTGGTCTTGAACTCCTGACCTCAGGTGATCCGCCCTTCTTGGCCTCCCAAAGTGCCGGGATTACAGGCATGAGCCACAGTGCCCAGCCTCTTCTCCCTTTCTCAAAAAAAAAAAAAAAAAATTCTGAAGTTTTTCTATTACAATGAAAAATGATCAAATGACTCTCCTATCAATCATCCTTGGGCTCTATTAGAAACCTACTAGGGATATAAAAGACAGCCTCACATGGCAACAAAAAAGTTTTTTTAAAACCTTTCCTATTGAAAAAAAAATCCAAAAGAGAAACCCTGCAAATACAGTTTCAAAACACACTTAGACAAGGAGAATAAATGTATATGTGTCAAGGGATGGCCACTCACCATGCACAATCCTTTTTCTTCCTTAGAGCAGCCCGGGAAAATAGATTATTACACACATTTTACAGACAAGGAAATTGAAGTTCCAAGACATTGAAGAGCTGGTGTCACAAAGCTAGAACTGGAACTCCAGCCTCCATCAGACTGACTCTGAAACCTGTGCTCTTTCTAATATAATAGCAACTGTTTCACATGCTTCTCACCTGCTGTGGGAAGCTCTCCTCTGCATTCATTGAGAAGTATCTCAAGATCTACCTCCTACTTTGGGCATTTGTATAACCCTCATACCAAAGAAGCATTCACACCCAACCCCACAAGGCCAATAGGGCAAGGTAGGGTTGTGAAGCTGAGACTTGCCTTGACACTCAATCCTTGGAAAATGAGAACCTATACCTTTCTCCAGCATACAGAACACCTTTGAACGAACCCATATCTCTCACAGACATGTACATCACCTTGCTTTCTCTGGGCTGACCCAGAACAGCCAGATTGTAATGACAACACCCCCACAAAATGATCAGGGTCCATCACCACGCTTTGAGGCTGAGAACAAACAACCATTAAAGACAAAACTGTTGATCCTTACAACTACCAAAAGTCTGCATAGAAAGAGCCTCTGTTCCAGCCAAATTGGTCTGTTTGCTGCTCCCACTCCCAAAATTGCATTTCTCTATATTTCTTCACCTCTGTGACTGTGCACACTGTTCCTTCTGTTTGATGTAACACCCTTCTTCCCTTACCTGCTGGAATTCTGCCTGTGCTTCAAGAGCACTCTCTCTGTATGGTCTTCCTCAACCACTAACCTAATGCATTTAATTCAGTGAACTTAACACATTTATGTAATTTTGAAATTAGCTCCATACTTCATTGTAACACCAATCTACTATTTCTTTATTATTGACTCTTTTTTATTCTTCAGCTTTTTGTGTGGTTATGCCTTGTTTCCTGCATTGCCAAACTCCACCATACATGCTTAGAAGATTTTGTTCCTTTGATTTCTCCACAAAACCTCGCATGGCACCTAGAACAGAGTAGGTGCTTCATAAATATTTTCAGTGGACTAATACAGAGGAACCCAGTATTAAAAAATAAAATTGTTTAGGTTACCTAATGATTATTAATTTGAATTCAATGATTGAGTGATCTTTCTTAAACTTAAAACCCATTGCCTAGGGGACTTCAGTACAAGTTTTTAACATGGCATTGAAGCTTTGCGATGATCTGGCTTCTACCTACCTCTATAATACCAGCCCCATCGCCCACCCCAAACTCTCATCCCTTCCCCATACACACTTTTATGTTCCAACGACTTACCTACCCATGTGTTGCTTCTTAAAATCATAGCAACCTCTTTCTGAAATGTTATTCTTCCATCCCTTACTCCTTCGCATTCAGCATGTAGAATACTCACATTTTTTTCCTTATACAACTATCTTCTTTTCCAAAGCATTTCTTGGCTACCACAACACTTAGCAGAATGACTGCTCTTACCTTTATTTCCTGATTACAACCTTCTGGCATTGCATCTTCAATACTTTATTATATTTATTTGTCTATCTTCCCTACTAGCTTATGTGATCTTTGCGATGAAGATCATACACTATTCACCTTAATATTCCCAGTGTCAAGTATAATCCCCACATAAACACACTGTAAATGTTTATTGAAGGTTGTTAAACATAACTAACTAACTTGCTTGATGACTAAATATGACAGAATGTGATTTTATTCAAAGTCTACCAGAAGACAGACGAGAAAGATACTCATGATTGGTCCTTGGAGAGCAAACAAGAAAGCCACTTTGACCAAAGTAAATTCTTAATGCAAAGTAAATTCATGAATGTGTTCAACAGAAATGAGGCCTCAGTTAGATGAAAGTTTTCATGGGGCTACAAACTCTAAATCCCAAGACATTTTGTATAACCCATTAACTCTAAGGAGATTTTCAAAAGCAGAAAGAGCTTTCTTACCTGTGCTCCAGTTCTCGAATGGACAGTATCACTCCTGAAGTGGATGGCTTCTGCTGTACAGTGGCCAAAATGGTGAATTCACTCTTGTTCCGGAACAGCTGAATTAATTTCTCACTCACATGAGGAGCTGCATGGATCTCTCTTTCTATGTCTAGGAATCAAGAAGAAAAGCAGGAGGAAACAGGAGAGGAGAAGAGGAAGGAGAAGGAGTAGAGAAGAAATATAGGAGAAAGAGGAGAGGGGAGATGAGAAGGAAGAGGAAAAAAGATCCATGGTTAAAAATGTCATGTCCAAAGAATCCAGATTGCAAGTTTCATTTTCCTCTTCTGTCAATAGTTTTCATTTTCAGGCACCATTCCCCACTCCCTACAGCTGCATTCATTCAATGCAAATCCCGGAAATGCTGTCTCTGTCACCATGCCCACTTGTCACTTTGACAAGTTCCCAATTGGCCAGACAGTGATTTTCTGGCAGGAATTTTGACGGGACGCTGAGCAATTCAGTTTGCTGCAAACAGATTAGGTTGCTGTAAATAAGGTGAGAGGTAGTCGGATAAATGTGGTCCTAAATTCAGAGAATCTTGGGATAATAAGACCCAAATGCCACTCAGCATCCTCCAATTTCACTTTTTCCATGGACACAGCTTCCTTCTCCCCACAATGGATATAGGAAACCTGTCCTTGCTTTGTACCTAGCAGATATTTACTAGCACTAATAATGCCAGACAACTCTGCCTTTGCTTAACGAATAAATACAAGGCATGCTCATGCTCCACACCCGTGCCTGGAATTTCTCCATAAGCATGCAATGGATGACTTTCCTCATGAAATATTTATTGAAGTTGAGGCCGATTCAGCAGGCCTAGAGGTGTGTGATTCCAGCTAATCCTGCTCCTAGACAAGAATGTTTCTTTCTCCAATATCAGCATAACAAGAGACATCCATCACTTCATACCCAGACTCACCCTTGTCATGATAAACTGGGTGTTATCTCATTATTTTACACTACATTTTTCTGGCATCAGAAAGGGGCACTAAGGGAGCAAAGTTAGAGAAGATTATTCAGAGGATGATAAATGAACATTAGAAGTGTGTTTGGTGACCTCCTCTCACATCCTGACCATCTCCTCTGACTGCAAGATAACTACATGGTTATTTCTCCAGGACTACATGGGAAGCCCTTGAAAAACATAGAACTTCAAATGCTGCACTGCCCAAGCAATATCACAGACTGGTATACGGACCTTGAAGAATCTCATCCTAAAGAATGGCTTCTGAATAAGATATCCTTCAATTCTTGACCTCGGGCCTCAGTCCCCTCATCTGCAAAATGAGGGGGTAGACTAGGTGATCTCTTAGAACCTTCCCACCTTAGCCTTCTATAATTTTTTGAATTGCTGCTTCAATTTTATAACACAGAAAAGAACAGCACAGTCTTTCCCATCTGCAAGTATCTAGGGTATGAATCGCAGAAAGCAATGTTTGTCCTCCACCATGGAGACACCCAACCCAGGCAGACCAGTCTACCAGTATAAAACCTACCTGCACAATAGTAGCAAGGCCTTCGCTACTTAATTCTTAAGTGGCATGCTGTCAGCTTTTATCAAGTGTTGAGAAAAGAGATAGCATCTTGAAAAATGCTTCTATGCCTTCTACAAAATCCCAGCCAAAGATATTCCAGATGACATTTAAAACCTATTAAATGTGTGAGCAAATCACTCTGTAAACTAAAGAGTATTAGAAAATGTTTGTTAATATTATTTTTATTATCATTATTATTTTTTTTTTTTTGAGATGAGGGTCTCACTCTGTCACCAGGTTGAAGTGCAGTGGCATGATCTCGGCTCACTGCAACCTCCACCTCCCGGGCTCAAGCGATCTCCCACTTCAGCCTCCCAAGTAGTTGGGACCACAGGTGTGTGCCACCATGCCCGCCTTTTTTTTTTTTTTTTTTTTTGTATTTTTGGTAGAGACAGGGTTTCCCCATGTTGCCCAGGCTGGTCTTGAACTCCTGAGCTCAGGGGATCCACCCACCTTGGCCTTCCAAAGTGCTGGGATTACAAGTGTGAGCCACTGCACCCTATTATCATTACTTCTAAGCAAAGATCATCTTAATAAATTTACCTACAAGTAATGCCAAAAAAAATTCAAGTCTTAAAATTAAGTTATATGTTTACTTTTTACTTTTTTCTTCTTTACTCATCAATTAGAAATCAACTGATTGGTAGCAGATGCCTGAATTTCAGGATTGTAAAGCTTGGGCCCAAAGAAAAGACAGCCATAAGCGATCAGCAATGCCTGCTGGAGGAAATGGATATGAATATCCTATCAGCTATGGGTATCGTCATCTCTCACTCAGTTCTCCCTGAGTGATATCATCCAACCCCATGGCCAATGGCCTCCAACTTTATATCTGCAGCCCTAACCTCTCCCTTATGCAGTAAATTCAAACGTTCACCTTCAAGCATTTCAAATTGTAATGTGCCTACAGTGAAGCCTGTTCTCTTCCCGCCACTCTCAATTTTCTCACAAAGGTCCCAGTCTTAGTAAACGGTCACACCCTGTTCCTCAAGTCAAAAAACTAGAAATTGCCCTTGATTTTTCCCTTTTCTCCACTCTCCATATCCAGTCTAAAAACAAGTTAAGTGGGCTCCCATGTCTGGAATCTGTCCACTTCTTCCCAACTTCACTCTTAAAACTCTTGCCCAAGCCACTATCATTGCTCCCTAGGGCACTTCCAATGATCTCCTTCCTGCTTCCATACTGCCTTCTTTTCACCATTCTTCACACTGTAGTTAACGTGCTCTTTTTAAACCCTAAGTCCGAGTCATTTCAGCCTCCTGCTTAAAATCCTCCAATGGCTTCCCATTGCTCATAGGATAAAATCCAGTCCCTTCAGCATGCCTGCAAAGTTGCACACAAACTGATTCTTGCCTGCCTTTCCCACCCCATTCACACTCTTCTCCTTGGTTACTAGAGGAGCACACCAGGCCCACTCCCACCTCAGATCTTCATGCTTGTCCCTCTGCCCACAGTGCTCTTCTCTCTCCTTTTCACGTCCCTGACTCCTTCTCCTTCAGCTTTCACTGTAAATGCAATCTTCTGGCCTCTCCAAGGCAGACTCTGCATTAATGTCTCTCTAATGCTCCAGTCTGGGTATTTTCTTCATTTGACTTGTCATAATATATGTATTGTAATCCATTTATTATTTGCTGATATTATTTATCACAGTCTTGTTTCAAGCTTGTTACCTCATATTATTTCCTTTCTTTTCCCACTAGACTGTAAGTTCCATGAGGGCAGGCATACTTATTTATCCATTGTTTTATCCACAATTCTTAGTGCCTGGCACAAAACAGGCATCCAATAAAGGTTTACTGAATTAATTAATGTATTTTCCATTTATTTTTCTCATTTATATTGTTACTTCAAGTAACCATATATATTATAGTCAGAAAGTAATATATCTTTTGGAAAACCAGGAGATAAATGGGTCCTTCTCAAATGCTCATGGCCATGAAAATTTATTGTAATGATGTTTGGTGCTAAATAAACCCCACTTCTTTGCAGGACACCCCCACTTAACAGTCTGATCTAGTCCTACCAAACTTCTGCTCACTCAATCCTCCAAGAAAATGAAACATTTCTTATGTTGACTTTTCTTATTTCTTTTTAAAAATGATTGGCACACTGAAGTAAAGAGACCCCATTAGCACTCACTAGAGTGAAATGTAAGAAACACCTGTTTTGATACACTGAGGCTTTATGTGCATTCTCACTCTCAGAGAAGCCCTTTCAAGTAAATTTTGACCATGATCCAGATGTTAAAAAAACACCAACAAAGTAATTCTATTTCTTACAATATGCAGGCAGAAACACTGGACAGGTTTCAAAGGACTGAGATCACTTTGAGTTTTGCAGATGACTAGCTGTGTGACTTTGGATAAAGTACCTTACCTCTCTGAACCTCACACTCTACATCTGAAAATTAAGACCACTAAATTCCATGATCTCCAAGTTCTTTCCTAGTCTTGACATTTCATTTCAGTTAATCACTTGATCCTGCTCATAGCTGCATAGCAAAAGAGAGCACTGAGAGCAAATTCCATCTATTAAGAAACCTAGATTCTACAATTTTTCTCCTCTGCTGATTTTCCAAATTAACATAAAACATAAAGTTGTCAACTCTTAAAAATAGTGATATGTCACCTACTTTGCAGCAGCCTGCTTTTTTCCTGGAGTTAAAAGAGCAACCAATGAAACCCAATTAATGGGAACCTATAGTGAATATTGTACTTCCATATTCAACCACTACAGTATGTATTTGCTGTATTACTTAAGAATATTCAATTCTGCTAGAGATAACAGGAAAAACAAATGGGACAGATAAAGCCCATAAGAAGTGCTAAATATAGAGAGCAAGTTAGAAACCTGTGAAACATGCTAAACATAGATTGAATACGTGGAACATAAGTGTGTTGAACACAGATAAAAAGGATTGAATAAGAGTGTTACTTACAAGTACAATGGGATGGGAGGACCAAGTCATAATGTGCGTATCATGCCACCTTCAGAATGACAGTCATGTCATCCCTAAACCAACACCCATCATTGACATCCATTTCATTTCCATTCTGGCCCCACATATACTATCCTTGAGAAATGCTAATAAAACCCATCACTGCTCACCAAATTAACTGGTGAATTACAGTTGTAGCCAGGATTACTTGCTTCTGAGTATTTCCAATAGAGGAAGCATGTGGGCTCTGGAAACCTCCCATTTGCTGAGCCCCCTCCCTTTTCGTTAACCTCAGCTCCAGTCCTCATAATCACACCATCATCAAAGAAGCTGATGCAGCAGAGAGAGAGAGAAAAAAAACAGAATATATGAGCAATGAATAACACAGGAACTGGGTGGGCTGGTGCTTCCCACTGCTCACACTCAATCCTACATGTGTTAACCTACTCCATCTCTTTCCCCTGTTTCCTCCTAGATATTTTAAACATGATTCAAGTATTTGAATTTAGTCTGTCCGTGAGGCTTTCCATTTTGTAACCCTGGGGGTGTACTTGGAGGCTACCATTGCATAAAGGTAGTTTCGCACACAACAACCACTTAAAGTGAATATTTCACATTTTTAAAACGGGGGAAAATGGCGTTCCAAATGCTCAGGTTTTGCATGTTCTAGTTAAGAAGTGCTAACTCAGCAGCAAGAGTGAAGTGCTTTTTCTTTCCCAGGATAAGACGGCTCTACCTAGTCATTTTTAAAGAAAGACTAAAAATGCTAATATGATGATTAAACATCAGCAAAAAAAAAAAAAAAAAAAAAAAAGTGCTGGGTGAAGGGAGGAGATTGGAGAAGGAAAGAAATTAAATGAGGTAAACACACACTCTTCTCTGCCTCAAATAGAAGCAACTTCATTTCCCTCTTCCCTGATGTATAGAGTGAGGATGGTGGTGAATTTCATTGTCAACAAGCATATACCTTGCTTCCCCTATGCCAGGCACTGTGGTTGGCACTGGGGAAATAAAAGTAAAAACACAGTTTCTGCCCTAGAGGATAGACACGTAAGCAAGACAGTTTCCTTATGACAATAGTTGCAGAATAGGGCAGTGCACAAAAAAACAGAGGAGGCCCATAGAGATTGGGGATAACATCATGGAGGATATAATTGAACCTGACTCTAAAAACATGAATAAGCACTTACTAGGCAGGAGAGAGGGAGAAGAGGGCACTCACTGCAGCAGCATCGTATGGCTGTGAACTCACGTGTTATACATTACCCTGGCATTTTTCTTTTTCTGCAAGTGTATCTCTTACTACAAGTTCAGCAGAGAAAGCATCTACTTAACCTAATATTGGAGCAAATTCTCAGGCCCCTGATTGGCCAAGGGGTACCACATTAGCACAAAGCAGACCAAGAGGCAGAATCCCCACCAGTTCACAGCGAAGAATCAGCAAATCAAGGTGGGAAAAGCAGCAGCAGCCAGAAACATATAAACAAAAAATGCACCAAGGCAGCCCGCCTCAGCCTTGACTGGTAGAGAATGCAGGCAACATTTCAGTAATTACACTGTGAACCTCAAAATATAGCAAACTCCTGATATAGACAGGCCACAACCTTCTAGCCTGAGTGCCACATAAGCTCATGGTAAGAATGGCCCCAAAAGGTAAAGCAACATTTCTTAATTTGAAATGACAGTTGGCTTTTCATTTCTGAATGTAGAGGAAATTTGTCAATTCAGAACTGCCAACCATCAGTGAGGCAATTTCTGGTTTTGGAGGATGGGAGGCACATGTCCCACTATTTGGTCTTGTGACCCTTCTTTAAGGATGTCAGATGTTATTGATCCAAGCAGCTTTCAAAAAAACAGAAGTCACTAGAAGACTCCCAGTTAACGTGTAAGGGACTTTCATCTCCACTAACAAGTTCACAATAATATTCCATTAAACCTCCATTTGTTCCAGAAGCCGGAATGAGAGAAATCAAACCTGTATATCTTATTACTGTGCCAAGGGCAGGGCTAATGCCCTGCACATGTCATCGCACTTACAATAACTTTAGAAGACATTATTATTATTATTCCTACTTTACAGATGACCAAACTAAAGCTTACAGAATTTAAATAATGTTCTAAAGGACACTGGGCTAGGAAGGCTTGGTGCTGAGATTTCAACCTGGAAAGCTGGTTCCATGAGCTACACTCTTAACTGTGTTACACCTGCTATTCACCAAAATGTGTGATCTCAGTGCTTGATATAAATCAAGGGTAAATCACCATGATACACCCAGTGCCTGGCACTTTTGTGTTCACTCAGGAAATATTTATTGAATAAATGAATGAACAATCTATTTGTACAACCCTTATGAGGTAAATACCAACACATCTCCATTTTACAGGTGAAGGAACTGAGGCACAGAGAGGTTTCATGACTTGCCCAAGGTCACATGACGAGTGGAGACAAAGCTGACTCTTGCCCCAGCAGAGTCGACTGTGATATTCCATGGCATTCAACTGATGCTTCTGCTTATTTTTCATCCTCCTCCCTTTCCTCTCCCCCACAGCCCACACTCCCGCATTCTAGCACCACAAGCCTAACTAATATCCCTTCTTCCCAGGGCCACGTTCCTACCCATTTTGGTACACTCCCATCTGCAGCAACCTGTCTTCTCTCCCTCCTTTTCTGATAACAGTTTAATTGCTACTCCTCAGACCAGTTTTCTCTGACCACCCCAGGCCAACTCAGGTTCCTGTCTTTATTTATCTTCATTGTACTTATCACAATTGTCAGAGATTATGTATAGAATCATTTACATGTGTAATCATTTTATTAAGTGATATATATATATAAAATTTTATTTTATTTTTATTTATTTTTTTGAGACAGTATCTCACTCTGTCACCCAGGCTGTTGCCCAGGCTGGATCGTGGTGTGATCTTGGCTCACTGCAACCTCCACCTCCCGGGTTCAAGCGATTCTCCTGCCTCAGCCTCCCAAGTAGCTGGGACTACAGGCGCCCATCACCACACCTGGCTAATTTTTGTATTTTTGGTAGAAGATGGGGTTTCGCCATGTTGCTCAGGCTGGTCTTGAACTCCTGGGCTCAGGTGATCCACCCACCTTGGCCTCCCAAAGTGCCGGGATTACAAGCATGAGCCACGGCCCCCAGCCAAGTGCTATATTTATTCCCCACTGGACTGTAAGTTCCATGAAGAATTGCCTACCAACATGTACACTACACCAAGCACAGTGCCTGGTACCTGGTTAAGCCTCAAATCTTTGTCACATTAATAAACTACATCTTGGCTCCAAAGTCTGGAACACAATATAAGAAAAAAAGGTTTACCAAATACACACAAATATAACCCAAACCTGTTGAGAAAAAGTACATTCAAGTAATGAGCTGCCTAAGGAATAATAAAGCCAGTTCAATGTCCCTAACTCCTCCATTAGGGGACTAAACCTAAGGCATCCTGTGACACATGGTATTAACCAATTTTTTGTAATTACTGTGCCATTCGATCAAAAGAGATTCTGGTACCCCCATAATTTTGCTAATTAGGTACTATAAGGCAGATGAGCTCTTCTTAAAAACATTTGACAATACTAGTAGGAAAATCAATGCATTCCCTGTTGCTAAGAAATTAAACATGTGTAGCCACTCCTCTTTAGGCTGCCTCTCCACACTGCCACCCACCAGCAATCAAGTCCCCTTATCCCCATCCCCCTCATCCCCATACCTCCCACCGCATCTCAGTGAGAAACACAGGAATAAAGAGAGAGTTAAAGTATGAATGCCAGCTCCATCTGAATCACAAGACAGGAGAACAAAAAGCAAAAAGAGTGGTGAAAAGATTTTTATAATACGATTAAGAGTGCATTATATAGTCAAGAAGCTATCCAATGGTAGAGAATGGCTAAGTAAATTAGGATATATACACCCCATGGAAAATTATATATTGTAATATAATGATATGAAAGGCATTGAAATAACATAGGAAATGTCCAGCCAATACTCTGAAACAGGTATACAATAGTACATACAGCATCATACCAAGTCTATGGTAACATAAAATTTATTTTGTGATGCATAGCAGATAGATAGGCATGGCCTTCAATTTTGTCAGCAATTGGGAGCTAACATGGGTGAAATTTTTCCTCTTTCCACATGTCTGAATTTTCCAAATCTTCTCTGAGAGTTATTGTAAGAAAAAAAACTACAATGTTTATGCTAAAATATATGAGCTCATCATAGAAATGGGAGAAACAAGAAGGACATCCTACAAAAGAAGAAAATAAGCACCAATCACCTTGCTTTCAGTCCCACAATTGTGTATCCTTAAATCAGTGAGGACAACAGGGTTTTTTTTTCTTTTTTTTTGGCAATAACTGACCAGCAACCCTCCTCAGGTGCCATTTTAATACACACTGATTGTCAAGAATCTGAGAACCCCAAGGTGTACTCATCACATAGTGTACAAAACTCTAAGCACCAAAGGTTGCTGGGTGCAAGCAAGAACATCAGTTCCAGCAAGAGATGCTCTCGATGTTCTTATAAAGACATGAGGGCAGTCCTTGCCCTGCCCTCTGCTAACCACCCATCCGCTCATTTATTCATTTGTTCATTCATTCTTAACTTTAAAAACCCTTACTGAGCATTCCCTGAACCAGCACTGTGGACAAAAAACTAAGACACACCTTCTATTCATGAAGATCTAAAAGTCTAGTAATAAAGACACAAACAAAAGTGAATGGATCCTGCTCAGCTTTTCAGTTCAGAGATATAAGAAAAGTAGAGCCAGGCATGGTAGCATATGCCTGTAATCTCAGCTACTCAGGAAGCTGAGACGGAGGATAACATGAGCCCAGGAATTCTAGTCTATCCTGAGGAACATAGTGAGAAAGACCCTATCTCTAAGAAGAAAGAAAGGAAAAGAAAAGAAAGAGAAGGAGGAAAGAAGAGAGAGAAAGAAAGGAGAGAGAGGAGAGAAGGAAAGAAAAAAAGAAAGGAGAGGAAGGGAGGGAGGAAAAAAGGAAGGAAGGGAAAGAAAGGAAGGAGAGAAGAGAAGATGGGAGAGGGGGAGGAAAGGAAGGAAGGAAGGGAAGGAGGGAGGGAAAGTAAGTGGACTGGATGGGAGGGGAGGGGATGGGAGGGGAGGGGAGAGGGAGGGATGGAGGAAAGAAGGGAGGGACGGAGGGAGGGAGGGAGAAAGGAAGGGAGGGAGGAAGGGAGGGAAGGGGACAGGAGGGGAGGGAAGGGGACAGGAGGGGAGGGGAGGGGACAGGAGGGGAGGGGAGGGAGGAAAAAAGGAACGGAGGGAAGGAAAGGAGAGAGAGAAGAGAAGAAAGAGAGAGGGGAAAAAAAGGTCATGTTTAGGTCATGTCATCATAGGTCTGAAATCACCTGGAGCAGGACCAGAGAGTGAGTCCCTCATCAGGGACTTAATCTTCCAGGTAAGAGGCAATGTAGGGTAGTGGTTAAGAGCTCAGGCTCTGAAGCCTCACTGTTTGGTTAAGATTCCAGTTTCAAGCCGGGCGTGGTGGCTCACGCATGTAATCCCAGCACTTTGGGAGGCTGAGGCAGGCAGATCACTTAAGGTCAGGAGTTCAAGACCAGCCTGGCCAACATTGCAAAACCCCATCTCTACTAAAAATACAAAAATTAGTCAGGCCTGGTGGCATGTACCTGTAATCCCAGCAACTTGGGAGGCTAAGGCAGGAGAATCACTTGAACCTGGGAGGAGGAAGTTGTAATAAGCCAAGGTGGCGCCACTGCACTCCAGCCTGGGTGACAGAGAGCCAGACTCCATCTTAAAAAAAAAAAAGAAAAAAAAAATCCAATTTCACATCTTATCAAGTATATAACCTTGGATAATTTAATCTCTCTGTGCCTCAGCTTCCTCATTTTTACAAATGAGAATAAAACCACATCTACCCATGGGGATAGTATAAAGATTAAATCAATAAGTACATGTTAAACTCTCAAAACTGTCTTCCACATAAGCAGCACATGACATCTGTTAGCTTATTTGGTATACAGCCAGGACAGGCCCTGGGTCCTGTAGGATGGGTGGGGTACCAAGCTATGGCAGCAGCCACCATGCCAAAAGAACCCTGGTGCTGCAGCTGGGGCTGAAGTAAAGGTCACACTGATGGTTGGTTATGGTGGCCCAGCAGGAGAGCATTGAGCAGGTGAGCAGGGGTTGCCAGCCAGGGTTGGAGGCATGGTTAGTGGTCAGTTCTAACTCTTTTCTGTTAAAACAAAAATTGAAAATTGGGCAGAGACTATGGGACTTCCAGCCACTCCAATCTAAGTCCAGCCAGCCAATTTCCAAACAGTTCTGAATTTTTTATTTTTGCTAGATGTCAAGCTAAGGACTTTATATATGCTAATTTAATCCTCATAGCAGCCTAGTGGTGTCAGCATTGCTATCTCCATTTTACAGATGAGATACAAAAAGTTAAAACGTGTTCTACTAACTAGTCTAGCTGGAATTCAAACCCAGATCTGTCTAAAGCCAATCATAAGGCACCACTGTCCCTCAGCACCATCTATTGGCTCAGACAAACCAGTGTTTGAATCCCAGCTCTGCCAAGTACCTGCTGTAAGACCTTAGGTAGCTGTTTTCCTTCCTTCATCCTTGAGTTGCCTCATCTGTAACACTCACCTTCCAGGGTTCAGGAATGAATGAATGAATGAATGAATGAATGAAAAGTGCCTAATATTTAGGTAATAGGCACCTTATGACATTTCTGAGATGCTTTAAAAAAATGCCCATATCTAGACATTAAAGTCAGGACTTTAACATTTTCTAAGCATATTCATATACATGATAGTATTTCAAATTCATAAAACCAATTAAATGGGCATTAATAGCCTCACTTTAAAGATGAAGAATCTGTGGTTTATAGAAAATAAGTGACTTATCCAAGATCTCACCTCTAGCAAGTAGCAGAGATGTGTCTCTGACTCCAACTTTGTAGCTTATTGTGTATATTTCTGTTTGGCTTCCCTAGTCCCCAACACGAGAGCATCATTACTTCTCTACTCCAATGCTATGCCTCCCCTACGTAGCAACACTCCTCCTCCCAGAGTCTAAACTACTCTGTATATTAAGGGTGTCATCTCTAGCCTGCTTTAAAAGTTTGGTGGGCTGATCTAATTATAATTCATTCCCTTTTGTGCACGGTCCTAATTCTCAGGCATGAAAGAGACATTTTTAAATGCTGTATTGGCCCTGACCTTGCCACATCTACTCAGATTCAATAGTAAACAGTAGGGCATCATGTTCAACTGCCAAGCTCTGTAATTTATGATTATTCATTATAAATCATTTTTACATGTTACTTCAAATGCTGTTTTTCAAGAATAAAAATCTGCCTGCATTGAAAGGCACAGTGATTTTAATATGCAAACCTCCTACAGAGATGATGTCTCATTTTAATTATTGTTTCGGTTTAATGGGTTTTCATTAAATTAGAGGATGGAGCAATTACTAGGGTGAACAGCTAATGTTTCAAAGGTAAGCTCCTGTGGCTCCGCGGGCAAAAAGACAGTTGTGGCACACAGAAGCAGAAAGACACACTCTTCTGAATAAGCTTGTATTAAGCCTGACAGAAAACAGCACCAGATAGATTTTTCCCCAGCTTCAAAATAGAGCTGGCATCCCCTCTCTATGATACGCAAACAGCTCTAAGAGTATCTTTAGAACTTAGAGGTATCTTGGGGTATCTTAATCATATGACTTTTCTATCAGGAATCTAGGCTTCCCCGTCATCAGACTAGAAAGTGCTTTTAAAAGTCCATAGCCTGCAAAGCGATATGTCAAACCACAGGAAAATACTCCTGAAGAAATTGTCTTCTCTCACACACAAGTAATTTAGTTGGTTTAGTGGATTAATGTCTGACTTCCCACCCCTGGGAAATTGGTCCAACTTCAGCATAGGATGCAATGACCAAAATCTTATTAATTAGCAAACTGTCAGAGGCTCAGTGAGAAATGACTTTGGTGGCCTCAGCAATATTTCACCCCAGAAACTGCACAGATTTGACACTCAGGGACCAACAGGGCAGCATTACCTCAGATGGAGGCAAAGGAATTAATGAGAAGTAGGAAAGGAGTGGAGAGTGAGAAGTAAAGTTGGCTTTATTGGGGTCCCAGAGGTCAGTGGTGAGGGACATGACTCAGTACTTGGGGAGGGGGACCCTCTGCATTGCAGAAGCCTGCACTTGGGGAGATGGAGGGGGCTTAGTAAGCTTCAAATATGTAATTTCTTCTCTCCAGTTGAGCCCAAGGAGAGAGCCGGGGGGAAGCTAGAGGGGTCTTTCCAGAAACAACTGTGCAGGTTGTTTCTGGAAAGACCCCTCTGTCCAGTGCAGATCTGGCTACAATGTGTGCCAAATAAATAATACAGGAGCCTCTCACCTTGCTATCAGAAGGAGGGGAAAAATTATTTTCCACAGCAGCCAGGAGTCATGAAGCAATGTCAGTCCCTGATGAACCAGCAGGAACTAAGTGATGAATAGCTACCCTCATGCTCACCACCACCCCACCCTCCCAGCTGGTATTTCTGACAGGAATAATAATTCAGAGCTCCTCAATATAATGCTTTCTTTTCAGCTCCTTTATTTCCACTGTCCTAAAAAGCACATCATCAGCTCTTAGATCACATGCATTAATCTAATTACATGCCTTGTTAGCTAATTAGTTCCAGAGTCACTGCTGAGGAGGTCTCCCTCACTATTTATCTATCTGTGTTGGCCACAGGGTGTTTGTGCATTCAGGTTCCTGGGGAAACTATGCAATTATCAGCCTTCAACCTTGTGCTCAGGAAGGACAGTGAGGCTTTCCGGACAGGAAACAGGTCACCTGAAACTCCAGGCTTTGAACAGAAGCTCCAAGAAATGTGTGCATCTGTCCAGAAAAGGGGCTATGGATGTGGTGGATTTTTTTCCTTTGGCAGACTTGCTGTTTTTCTTTAAAAATGGACCTCCTCTTTAGAGATGTTATTCTGACTGTATTAAACATTAATGTCCCCCCTTAAAATGAATCACTGGAAATGCCACTTGCTCCTTGAGCTCACGGCCTGTTGCTATCTGGCTGCAGGATCTTTCTCAACCAATTTCCCACCTCAAACCCTTCCAAATGAGAGCCATAACTGAGGGCTAAAATGATAATCCTCATTTACTGAAGCTTTTTTAAAAGAAATGAAAATGTCAATTTGGGGGAAAATTGGTCTTTGATCATTGTTGCAAATAATTTGGTTCTTGCGTGTCCTAGGGTAAGAACATTGAATCTGTTTCGATAAATTATTCCTTCAGTGTATTAAATAAAGACTTTGTGATAATTCATTTCAAAGGATGCTGGTAGGCTCCCACGCAGTCTTTTCTACTTGGGTATCATCTAACTTAGACAACAGATATTCTTTTCAGCTCCCTGAACCACCCATACCAAGAGTAGTTGTAAGTTCATCCTTGTGCAACCCCAATTAGAGTACTTGTCAGATCTCAGAGCGCAAGACATGGGAAGGGTCTGAAGCACAGCCAGGCACAAGTGGGGGGCTCCGTGGGGACAACATCTCAACCCTTCTCCCTCCCAGAGTTCCAGCCATCTCCGTGCCTATCCAAGCCCTGCGCATCTCTCAAGGCCCAACCCAATTCCTCTAACTCCATGAAGTTCTAGCACCCCAGCTGAGGGTGATTTTCCTCCTCGAATCCAAAATTCAATCACTCACCCATTCAAAGATGTATTTGTGGAGTATGTTCTCTGTGCCAGGCTCTGTACTGTGGTGATTAAGATGGACTCAGTCTGGAGAGAAATATCTGGCCAGTATTTTTAGCTGCACTGACCAATACCACCCACTCTTACAAATCTTATTCTCTACATTGTGCCAAAGTTAATGGCCAGACGGTGGCCTGACCACTAAGTGAACCCTTGGTAACTTCCCAAACAGTCGTGCTCTGCCTCCTTTTGAAACATTCTGCCCTTTTGACACTGCATTCTTCCTGTTGTCCTCCTACCTCCGGGGCTGTCTAGAGGCTCCTTTATTGTGCACTCCTCTGCCTTCTGTCTTACTTGTCAGAGTGCCTCAAAGAACATTCATCCATCAGCAAGCCCTGAGCTCCATTTCCACTGTGACCCCCAATCTTCTTGACTAGAATATTGCATCAGCCCCTCACTGTCAGTTTGCCTCCACTTGTCTCTCCTCGCCTCCCCTCCTGTCCCCTCTCCTCATTTCCCCTTTCCTCTTAGTCTTTGTCGTTTTCTCTCTCTATCCCATGTAGCAATCAGAAAATCAGGAAGATCCTTTTCAAACTTAAATCACATTACCTCAATCCCTTACTTAAAGTCCTCAAAGAGTTGCTTTATTAGTTTCTTATGGCTGTTGTGACAAATTACTGCAACCCTAGAGGCTTAAGGCAACACAATTTTATTATATTACAGTTCTGGAGGTCAGATGTCTGAAACAGGTTTCACAGGACAAAAACCAAGATGGGGGCACGGCCATACTCCCTCTGGAAGCTCTAGGGGAGACTGTTTCCTTGCCTTTTTCAGCTTCCCTTGGGTCGTGTCTTCTTCCTCCATCTCCAACACAAGCAGCATAGAATCTTATGATCTCTCTCTGCTTCCATCTTCACATCACTTTTCTATCCGATCCTCATGTCTTTCTCTTATGAGAACCCTTGTGATTACACAGGCCCCACCTGGAATCCAGGATAATCTTCTCACCTCAAGACCCTTAACTTAATCACATCTGCAAAGTCCCTTTTACCATTTGAAGTAATATAGTCACAGGTTATGGAGATTAGAATGTGGCCATCACTGGGAAGGAGGGCAGCATTATCCAGCTCTCCACACTGCCCATTATGATTTGAATAAAACCCTAACTCCTTGCCATGGCCTGAAAGGCCCTGGCTATGCTCTCTGGCCTCCTTTGGTAGCTTCACCCACATGGGCCATCCTTGTGCCCTTTAAACTTGTTTGATCCAAGGGGCCTTTTGGCTGGCTGTTTCAAGAACAAGGGCTTCGGAGCACAACAGCCTGGATTCAACTCTCAGCTTACTGGACCTATACATAACCTTGGCCAAGTGATTTAACCTCTATTTTCCTTTCTGTGGCTCATAATACCTATCTCCTTTGCACAATTGTTATAAGGATTAAATGAGCTCATGAATATAAAGAATTTAGAATAGTACCTAGCATATGAAGTGTTCGTCATTAATAATGTGAGTGATTATTAATAATAATATTATCTTTGCATGGCTGGCTCCTTCATTTAGGCTTCAGCTCAAACGTCACCTCTGCGGGGAAGCCTTCCCCAATGTAAAGTCAACTCTCCCCCTAAGTCTCTCTCTCTCTCTTTCTCTCTCCAGTATAGCTCTTATATTTCCTTCATAGTATATATTACAATCTAAAGTTACTCATTTATTAGTATACTTGTTTACTGTGATTGGCCATTGGCCATCTTTGCTAGAATATAGGCTTCATGTAGACAGGGACTGTCTTTTCTCTGCTGCATCCTTAACACTCAGAACAGTGCCTGTCACATGATGTGCAATAAATATTTGTTGAGTGCATGAATGAATGAATGAATGAATGAATGAATATGATATATTGCTGGTTCCCTCTTCACTGTACCTAGGCCAATAGCCCCTCAAGGACAGGGTGTCTGTCATACTCTTACATAATCAAGACCCAGTGAGAGGTGAAGCCAGCTAGACTTCCTGGGTCGAGTGGGGACTTGGAGAACTTTTCTGTCTAGCTAAAGGATTGTAAATGCACCAATCAGCACTCTGTAAAAATGCACCAATCAGCGCTCTATGTCTAGCTAAAGTATTGTAAATGCACCAATCAGCACTCTGTAAAAACGTCCCAATCAGTGCTCCGTGTCTAGCTAAAGGATTGTAAACACAACCATCAGCACTCTGTAAAATGAACCAATGAGCAATCTGTAAAATGAACTAATCAGCAGGACGTGGGTGGGGACAAATAAGGAAATAAAAGCTGGCCACCCCAGCCAGCAGCAGCAACCCACTCAGCTCCCCTTCCATGCTGTGGAAGCTTTGTTCTTTCGCTCTTCACAATAAATCTTGCTGCTGCTCACTCTTTGGGTCCATGTCACCTTTAAGAGCTGTTACACTCACCGCGAAGGTCCGCAGCTTCATTCTTGAAGTCAGCAAGACCAAGAACCCACCTGAAGGAACCAACAACAGACACACCAGGACAGTGGCTGGCACACAGCAGCATAACAGACTATCGTGATTGATCAATATGTCAACAGCAGCCGTGCCCAGTGGCTCACACCTGTAATCCCAGCAGTCTGGGAGGCCAAGGCAGGCAGATCACTTGAGGCCAGGAGTTCAAGACCAGCCTGGCCAACACAGTGAAACCCCATCTTTACTAAAAATACAAAAAATTAACTGGGCGTGGTGGTGCACGCCTGTAATCCCAGCTACTTGGGAGGCTGAGGCAGGAGAATCACTTGAACCCAAGAGGCAGAGGCAGCAGTAAGCCAAGATTGTGCCACTGCACTTCAGCCTGGGCAACAGAATGAGGCTCTGTCTGAAACAAAAAAAAAAAAAAAATATGTCAATAGGAAATAGGATTTAAAGCCTCCTTTAAAGGTAAGTGCTCAAAATAAGAAATGATTTTTCTCCATCCAGTCAAAGATTGAGAGAGAAGGGATGCCAAAGTACATGTTGACAAAAGAGAGATTCAAAGCAGGACCCCAGGAAGTTGCTCTCTCAACCTTGCCCTGTCCCCATTACACACTAGAGGGTTTAGATAGTTCTTTAATCATGGTGAGATCTTCTGTTTAAATGAAATACCAAAAAAGGATGCTGTGGCAAAATTATACATAAAATATGTGGCTAAAAGCCAGTTGGTGGGGAAAACCTTGCCACGCCCTGAATGCCAACCACCTTGTGTCTTTCCTTTCCAATAAAACAAGCAGCTCATGCCCAGTCAGATGAGGACCTTCCTCTTTGAGGCACTATCTGGTTGCACTCCCTGCTTTCACCCTGCCTGCAGTTTAGAGTAGAAATGACATGACTTCACATGAAAATAGTTGCTCCTCTCACTGCTATAAAGTGCTGCACTATTACTGCCATCCAGCCCAGTGTTTGGGCTTTGACAGGGGGCCCAGGGAAGGGTCATTCTCGACATCAATCCTGAAGTATGGAGATGTCTACCTACACCTTCCTCACTCCCTTGAATAGCTTAGGTGCAGCTTACCTGTGCTTACAGCTCCTGGTACATACTTGTGTCACAACTGATTACGTATGCCACTGCCTTGTTCAAAACCCTTCAATGACCCCAATTGCCTCTAAGACAAAATCCAATCCTCCTAAAATATGGAGTTATTATTTAATGGATATAGCATTTCAGTTTTGCAAAATAAAAAAGTTCTGGAGAGCTGTTATACACCATGAATATACTTAACACTGCTGGAATGCACACTTGGAAATGGTAACAGTGGTCAATTTTATGTTGTGTGTTTTTTTATCTGCAATTAAAAATGCAAATTTAATAAAAATTGAATCCCCTTAATATGACCAACAAAACTCTACACAATGTACTCCTATAGACCTCACCAGGCCCAACTCCCACCTCACCTCTTCCCTCCTTCTTGGCCTCCTTCTTGGCCCTTCTTTAGATTCCACCAACTAATACACAAGCTCCTTCCTGCCTTAGGGTCTCCGGTCAGGCCATTATTTTGCCTGAAACACACTTTCGCCCACTCCATACCTGGTTACCTGCCATTCATCACTCAGGCTTCAGCTGAAACGTCATTTCCCTAGACCCCAGCCCCCAGCTAAAGCAGGCCTCCTGGTCTATGTTAATTACCATACCACAGCTTTTCCTTCTTTGGGCTTATCCTAGTGTGAGGCTGCATGGAAGCTCACCACTGTGCTGTGGTGTCTGGTGCCACACATAGCACAAAGAGCAGGTACTGAAGGACATTGGAGAAATGGATGGATGGATGACTGGTAATCCATTGGTAATCCTTGGTAATCCCTTCTGAACCTGTATGAACCTAGAAAATTAAGCCTTTCTGAAGCTATCTGTACGTTGTCCCTAAACCTACCATGCAAGTACAATGCCTACAGTATACAGTAGCATTAGAATTTCTCCTGTATCTGCCTCATTTTATTTTTTTTTTTTAACAAAGACAGGGTCTTGCTCTGTCACCCAGGCTAGAGTGCAATAGCATGTTCATAGCTCACTGCAGCCTTGAACTCCTGGGATTAAGCAATCCTCCTACCTCAGCCTCCGAAGTAGCTGGGACTATGGTCATCTGTCATCCTGCCTGGCTAATTTTTTAAATTTTGTAGAGACATCTTGCTATGTTGCTTAGTCTGGTGTTGAACCCCTGACCTCAAGTGATCCTCCTGCCTTGGCTTCCCAAAGTGCTGGGATTACAGGCATGAGTCATCCTTCCCAGCCCTCATTCCAATTTAAACAGCAGCCCCCAGTTCTCATTCCTTGATTGGAGATTTTGGTCAACAAGATCAACAAATACCTGACTCTCACGTGTAGTTTCCTTCCCCCTCAGCCTTTTGTGAACACAGACTCAACATCTCACCTTTTCCTCCTCCCAACTCCCTCCAGCTGAGCAGTTCTCAGCACTCACTGTGCATCAGAATCACCTGGGTAACATTTTTTAAATGTGATTTTCAGTCTGCACCCTGAGAGACTCAAAAAAAAAAAAAAAGGTCTGGGGTGTAGGCCAGGTGTCAATATTTATTTATTTGTTTCAAATAAACATGATGGGCAGTCACAGCTGAGAACTGGTGTCCCAGCCTCAGGTCTTGGTATCTTGGTGACTATCCTGGCTCCAGGTCAAAAGTAGCATACTGACCAGCCTCAGGCCAGATGCAGCCTCAGCATGTTGGTGTAGCTCCCAGTGTTACTCACCCAACCCACCATATTTCACCAAGTCCACAGTGCCATAGATTATAAAATACACCATCATTTGACATACCCTAAGAAATAAACAAAAAGCTGTTGATTATAAGAGACACCATAATTGTAACACATATGTAATTTATTACATAATTATACCAATTGCCTATAAGGCAAAATCCAATCCTACCCTAAAATATAGTTATTATTTAATGGATATAGCATTTCAGTTTGCAAAATAAAAAAGTTCTGGATAGCTGTTATGTGAATAAGTGTGTGTGCCTTGGAATCAGTGAAATACAGCATAAAAATTGAAACATTTCATATAAAAATTCAAATCTCCATTAAAAAATTAGATGACCTGGCAACGCAGAGCCCATATTCCCACAGGCAACAGTGCAGTGAATGCAGAGTTGAAGAAATGCAGCTCATGGCACAATGTTGCCAGTTGGCTGCATTACCTTGCCAGTGCACATCACTCAGCTGTTACCTGGCTGGCCCCCTATGCACCTGGGATTGAAGACCCTCCCCAGCACATCTCTAACTTATGCTAATACTACACACACTCACCCAGGCCCCACACAAACCCCCTCCATTCCTGCCCTTCCAGGTTCTTCCCAGCCCCTCTAGGCTCGCCAGCCTCACCCTGGTGCTTCTCAGCTGGCCTGCCAGGGCCTGAGTTACAGGTGTCACTGTAGTATGAGTCCCTCAGCCCTCGCTGTGGCTCGGCAGAGCACTTTTGGCATAAAAACAGTCCCTTCTCTTTCCTTCCGTGTAATGTACAAATACAGCCATTTTCCTTATGTGTCATGATATGAAAAAGGTCACAGAACGTGGTCCAGTGTTGAAGTAGAATTGGGGATCAGAAGATCTGGGATGCACCATCAGTCCTGCCACTTAGTATCTGGGTGATATTTAATACTCCAACACTAATATCTGGGTGGTCATTTAATCCCTCTGAATCTTGGTGTCTCCTTCATAAAGTGGTGACTAATGAGAATATTTCTATCCCAGAATCCACACAACAAATATTAACACATGTGATCATGCACATGACCAGTTTTGAAAATGTCGCTCTCACTTTCCTCCATGCCTGAGTGCCAGGGTAGGACAACCCCATGCAGGCTGGGTACATGCGGTGGCTACAGTGGGAGGGCTTGCTCTTACCACGCTTCTCAAATAGCTTACAACCCAGCAGTGAGAATGGGTGGATAGACCCCAGCAGGACAAAGATAAACCCTGAGTAAATAAATACCTCACGCCGAATCCCCAGGGAGGAGAGAGGCCATGAGCATATGGATGGTGTGGGTGATAGGTGTCTCCGGGTAAGTTAGTCAATAAATGAGGAGTCACTAAGCCCTGCATCCACAGAGAAAGCCATGGAACAACAGTTGGGCTTTTTTGTCTTTCCAGTAAGGTTGGCGTATCTTTTTTTAAAGTGTTTCGGCTTACTTTTAAAAATTCATGATGTAAACCAACAGGACGAGTGTCTTTCTTCAACCCCGTGCTGCTGTCCCACAACATCTGTAGGTGCAGGTATACTTTTAAGTTTTTCCTGCCACTATTCCCTCAAGTCCCCCCATACCAGGCATACCAAATGATCCAGACCCCATGTTCTCTAAAAAAGACAAAAATGTAAAAAACAGGAAAGCAATATTTTGATCAACCACAGAATAATAATGTGAGCGTGAGAAATGCAAAGATGCCTGTCAACGTTTCTATTTATGTGTAACGATGGCTGTAGCCCTCTCCTTAATTACGCTCTTATTCACCATACGCATGGAGTCTGTCACTGTGGGTATGGGTGTGACTGAGACTCCAACCAGCATAAATACATGCCACACACCCAGTCGTTCCATGCAACTTTTTCAAATGAATTATCGGGGAGATTTAAAAATTCTTCAAAAATGTCAAAATAATAACTATTTTATCTTTTTTATGCCCTAATTATGATTTGAAGCTTTGCTTTTCTTATTTCATCCAGGCACACCACAACTCATGAATAAAATATGACAAGTTTGATAGCAGCCATTGGAGAGGGTTCATCCGTAACCGCAGACGTGCTCAGTGTACAAAGAGCTTTTGTATTCCAACAGCCTTTGTTTCTGGGACAGGCTTTTATCTAAAAGAAGGACCACGTGTGTTCTCTCATCTCTCCTGTCTCCCTCGCAATACCCCACAATCCCTGCCTTCAGCACAACACCTGAACCGTGTTTACTTTGTCTTTTAATGAGCACATTTCTAAACAATTAGGGAACAAATAAAAAACCAAAGGGCACTCTGCTCCATATGAACCTGGCTTGAAACAACACATCAAACAATTGACTCTAAGAGACATGGTCAGACCACAGACTAATCCACAAAGTGGGCAACTTTACATCGGAAAAATCACTCATGTGATGGTGCCCACCTGGAAAGATATTTAAGGCACTCACAAGGTTCTCTCCCGAGAAGTTTCCTTTTCTTAGCAAAGGCTACCAGGTCCCTTCAAAGTTCAGACTCTCGTATGTCTTTCAAAGAAATAAATGTGAAAAGGAAAAGGAAATAATGTGTGGCTCTGCAAAACCATCAACATTTATCAAATGGCCCCAGGGATATCAGACTTCAAGTTTCGAGGTTTTATTTTTTTAAAGCAAACCTATAAGCATCTTGTTTTATCACACATGCAAAACCAGCTAGCTTCCAAGATCCCTTCCAAATACATTTTCTCCCAGAGTTTGTTTCAAAATATGTAAAAGCAAGAAGACATTTTAAAGTCATTCCTTCGCTAAAACTTGAAGAACTGAGTCAAGATTTAGATCTCCTGGACTGAGCATTTGCCAAACTTCCCAAGTTGTGGGTTTGTTTGTGGAGCTTTACAAACAAATCTAAGATTAAGCTGAGACTACAAAATATTTCTGACATTCCTCAAGAAAATGAACCCTGGTATTCTCAAGAAAAGCAGAATGCAAAAAGCTTGAAGCGTATGTTGTATTTTCATAAGTTTACTGTGCAGATGCACACTGGTAACTATTTCTGAAGACTGCAACTCCACATTTTTTTTCTCTTCACCCAGGTAGTGCAGGTGCTCCAAGACGCCAGGTAGCCTTGAACTGTGACTGCTTGTATCCACTAGAACAAGTCTTAAGCCCAAGTGACTGGCTACTGTATTGAGGCTATAGTTCCTGAGGGGGTGAGTTTAGTCACATTGTCTAACCTAATGTCATGTTATGTTAAACTGCACCTTACCATTGACACTTCATGACAACAGGCAACCCAACAGTGGTTATGTGCAGATGCAAAATAAAATTCTTCCTCCTCCACCACCTCACAACCTCAAACACACTCTCATGCCAGACATGCCTGCAGTTTGGACAGCAAGATGAGTCTGAATCTTTGGCAGATAAATAAGGCAGCAGCTTGAACACTCATGAAAAAGAGCTAATTTTTATACCCGCGGGACAGCACACAATAGCGGCTTTTGGCACTCTGAGAAGCTGCGCATTTAGAGATGTTGGGCCGAGTTTTCCTTCCACCAGACCCGATTTTCCAAAGGGGCCAAGTGAGACCTGGGAATCTGGCAGTGGCATTTAAATCTTTAACAGACACAGTCAAATGGGATTAGGCACCATACTTCAGATTTAGTGGTAAAAATAAAGTAGAAAGATAAAAAGATTTCCAAACTAGCTGAATGTATGCCTATACCAATCTTGCTTGAAATCCTAAGAAATCTTATTTTTATTTCAAAGAATCCCAGATGGAAATCTCAAGGTCTTGCCTGATAGATCTAGGAGCTGACATCCATCACCGTAAGCCCTAATTAATCATTCCCTCTCTGTCCTCCACTGGCTGGACACACTCCATGTGCCTTCTTCCATCCATGCCCTTGAGGACAGAGAAACTACAACAGTCATTAGATTCACTTTTCCCAGAAAAAGTCTAGGGGCTCATGGTCTGGAACATAAAACTATTAGTAATCTGCATTTGTGCCAGTACCAGTGTGTACCCAAATGTCTCTTGGGCTCTCCTTTCACAACTCTAAAGCTGGCTGATCAGTGGCATCCTGGACACAGACTGAGTAGCAGAGAATTGGACCAGCCACACTAGTTAAGTCAACCAAAAGGATGAGTTAAACACACTTGAGAACAACATTACGGCTACATACACTCCAGCTGAAATCTTTCACTGATGGTGCAAAAATGTTGGCATTTCTCCAATCTAGTGTCAATCTCCTCTTTTCATTTGCCTAAGAGGGCATGGTGGCCAGCTAAGTTGAGGCCCAGTGCTATAGCTGTAAGCAACCTACCTCCCAACCCACACCATATAGCCGCTATATGTTCTGAGACCTTTGTTTGGCATCTGGGGAGAGGAAAGGGAGTGTTTCTCTTTTTTCATTATGATAGTAGCCTGTAGGGAGAGAATGAAGTATCTCTCTCTCCTCCCCAGGCCTTTGGGCAGGGTTGGAGCCACTATGTTTAGAGGTATAAGAACACACAGGAGACAGGATAGTTCCTTAAGAGATTCTGTGGATTCTGGGCAAAGCAGGGATAGAGTCCAGGAAACAAAGTGTGGTGTAATTGGAGTAAGAGTCCTTCTGGACCCAGGAACACTCTGCTCCCCCAGAGGGCTGGATTCTGGTCAAAGTGGGGAGGACACCTCTGTCTCCAACAGTATCTCTAAAGACCTGCATCTCTGGAGGCCAATCAGGCGCAGCACCCTGGACAGAGGTGGTGATTTAGAGAGGATTCTATCAGCCCTGGCAATGACAAACCTCCTCCAGCAGCTTCTTGAACTGGCCAGAGTTGAGAAGAGAGAACAACCTGCCCAGTGGTGGATGAAGCTGTCGGACTGAGTGGTGAGATGCCCTAGAAGGAACCCCAGAAAGACTTAGATTCCTGAGATGACGCACAAAACACGAGAGGTTATGCTTGGACAGAATGATGCAAGAATAGATGTTTTATGGTTATTAGCAATACTGTAGTTCCATTGGTATTCACGGGTTTGTGAATCCTGGTGACACTGAGTCTCACAACAAACCATTAGCAGCATTAAGTAGAAGTGTACAGCATTTCAATGTGATCTTCTTCTTCCACGTGGACCATGGATCCTTTCAATGTCTGAGACTCCAGGTCAGCCCTATAGGAGAGTGTTGAGCCAAGGCTCTATGGAAAAGTTAATTACAAGAAGCAAATACCAAAATACTCCCAAATTTTAAATGTGTAGTTCATAAAGGGAGGCAGGTTAATGTAAGAGTTGAGTTAAAAGCAATGGAGATACATTTAGATAAAAGCAAGAGGAAAGTAGAGGAAGACAGAGTTTGTCAGGCAGGTCCACATTTGGGACTTAGCTACACTGCTTAACAGCTGCATAATTTTTCTGAGCCTCAAGTTCCTCATCTGTAAGATGGGATAAAATTCTCTATCTCACAGATTTTCGTGGTATATGGTAGGCTCAACGAACATCAGTTCCTTCTCATCTTTCCCTTCATTCTCCCAACCTTAGGTACTTCCACCAATTTTTTAAGTACTTATTACCTAGAAAATAGAAGAACAAAATGTTACAGATTCTTATTAATAGAAGAGACTCTAAAACAGTCATCCTCAACTGAGTTTTGCCCCCAGGGGACATCTGGCAATGTCTTGAGACATTTATCATTCCCACCACTTAGGGGCACTACTGTAATCTAGTGAGTAGCAGTCAAGAATACTGCTAAACATCTACAATGCACAGGATAGCTCCCCACAACAAAGAATTATCTAGCCTCAAATGTCAAGTACCAACACTAAGAAATCTGGCCTGAGAGGACCTCTAACCATCTTCCCACTACTTTGGGAATTCTCTCTACAATAACTCTGAGGGATTGTTTTCCTGGCTTTGGTTTGAACATTTTCAGGGACAGGCACTCACTACCCCTGATACAACCTCTCTCTATTGTCAGTTGGTTCTAACTCAAAATGCCTCTCCTTAGCTTAGCATACACTAAGGGTCAGTAGGATAGGAAGAACTTAGAATCAGGAGCGTGATGTAGTGGAAGATGAGAAAAGTGGTTTGGAGCCAGATTCATGGAAGTTCTCAAATGTCATGCTAAGGAGTTTGGATTTATTAGGCCACAGGACACATTCTGAATCAGGCGACACCATGATGGGTCTCGTGGGAGGACAATGCCTGCCACAGCTTAGAGTATGACCTGGAGAAGAGGGAGATTAGTGACAGTATAAGGGGATATCAGGGTGAAGGGATGTTTTGAATTTTAGGAGGCAGGGACAGAATTCCATCACCCCAAAATTCGTATGTTGAAGCCCTCAATATGATGGTATTTGGAGACAAGGCCTTTGGAAGGTAATTAGGTTAGACAAAGCCGTCGTGATGGAATAAGTGCCCTTACAAGAAGAGACCAGGGAGCTTGGCCCCTCTCTCTCTGCCATGTGAAGATAGAGCAAGGAGGAGGCTATCTGCAAACCAGGGGGAAGGTTCTCACCAGAACCTGACCATGCTGAAACCCTAATCTTGGACTTCTCAGCCTCTAAAACTGTTAAATTTCTGTTGTTTAAGCCATCAAGTTCTATGATTTGTTATGGCAGCCTAAGCTGACTAAGACAGCATGTTAAGAGGAAATAGAAGGAACATACCAAAATTGCAAAAAAAGGAGAACATGGCTCTCAAATCAGGTTTTGGAGGCAGGAGATTCCATGGGCTTAGGTAAAATCGGTTTAGAAAGGAAGACAATCACATGGCTCTCAGAGGCTGAGCCTAAAGGATGAGAAGAGAGGTGATGACGGTGGAATTCCAGAGGAAAAAAGAGTTAAGGAAACTCATTTCACATAACCTAAATTTTTACTGAGATAAAGGCAAGGTTATGGGCAGTAAAAGAGTGAGCCAAATAAGAAAAATGGAAAGGTTTGAAACAGATGCTCTGGTATGTATATAGGGTCAGAAAGCATTTGGGATATATAAGCACCAAAGGAAGATAATAAGAGTCCAGCTAAAGCTGGCTAATAGAAATTTGAAAGGCTGTAAGCAGCTGAGTCTCACCATTCCTACTGAGCATGGATGGTGGAATTTACCCAAGGTGGGGGATTATAGTAAGGCAGCCAGGAGAAGTCTCTCTATACCCAGTGATGGGGTAGGAAGATAAAACTGAGTGAATTCTGATTGGGGTGATAAAAAATTTTGGAAATAGTGGTGATTATTGCACAACATTGTGAATGTAATTAATGTCACTGAATGGTACATATATATATGGTATCACAATTTTAAAATTATATTTAAAAAAAAAAAACTAAGTGTAAAGGAAAATGAAGCCAGAGAAAAGAGAAAGGGGAAGAAAGAAAGGAGTTACAGAGAAAAAAAGTTGGGAGAGAAAGAAGAAAGAGAAGGAAGGATGGAGGTAAAGCTGGGATATCCTTCCCCAACATCTATCTCTATCACCACCACCAGAGTCTGTTCTCTTCCAGTCTGAACAGTCTTAGTTCCTCCAATATACTAGTGATATGGTGTTCATACATCTCACCCTGGTCCATGCAATTCCTCTGGACTTTACCAGTTTGTGAATTTTCCTCGTAAAATGCATTGCCCAGAACTGAATACGAGCTCCACTATGGAGTCTAGTGCAATGGTTCTTAACTAGAGGCATTTCCCCCCTCTCTCAGGGATATGTGGCAGTATCTGGAAATATTTTGGTTGCCACATCTGGGGGAACCTACCGGCAGTGAGTGGGTGGAGGCCCGGGATGCTGTTAATGCACAAAGCATAAGATAGACCCCATCAAAAAAGAATTTTCTGGCCTGGTGTGGTGGCTCACGCCTGTAATCCCAGCACTTTCGGAGGCCAAGGTGGGCGGATCACGAGGTCAGGAGATCCAGACCATCCTGGCTAGCATGGTGAAACCCTGTCTCTACTAAAAAAAAAAAAAAAAAAAAAAAAAATTACAAAAAATTAGCCCGGCGCCATCTCAGGTGCCTATAAGTCCCAGCTACTCAGGAGGCTGAGGCAGGAGAATGGCGTGAACCCAGGAGGCGGAGCTTTCAGTGAGCCTAGATAGCACCACTGCACTCCAGCCTGGGCGAAAGAGTGAGACTCCATCTCAAAAAAATAAATAAATAAAAAAGGAATTATCTGACCTAAAATATCAGTAACTCTGCTCTAGTGCAACTATCATCTCCCATGATCTGGACATTATGTCCCTATTCAGGTGGCCTAAGATAGATGACATAGACTCCTCTGGATCATATTGAACTTGACTCGATTAAACAATGCAGGTCTGGCCAGGCGCGGTGGCTCACGCCTGTAATCCCAGCACTTTGGGGGGCCGAGGCAGGCGGATCACGAGGTCAGGAGATCGAGACCACGGTGAAACCCCGTCTCCACTAAAAATACAAAAAATTAGCCGGGTGTGGTGGCGGGCACCTGTAGTCCCAGCTACTCGGGAGGCTGAGGCAGGAAAATGGCATGAACCCGGCAGGCAGAGCTTGCAGTGAGCCGAGATCACGCCACTGCACTCCAGCCTGGGAGACAGAGCGAGACTCCGTCTCATAAAAAAAAAAAAAAAAAAAAAAAAAAAAAAAAAAAAAAAAAAACCGCAGGTCTGGCTGGGCGTGGTGGCTCATGCCTATAATCCCAGCACTTTGGGATGCCAAGGTGGGTGGATCACCTGAGGTCAGGAGTTCAATACCAGCCTGGCCAACATGGTGAAACCCCATCTCTACTAAAAATAGAAAAATTAGCCAGGCCTGGTGGCTCATGCCTGTAATCTCAGTTACTCGGGAGGCTGAGGCAGGAGAATCGCTTGAACCCAGGAGACAGAGGTTGCAGTGAGCTGAGATCGTGCCACTGTACTCCAGCTTGGGTAACAGCCAGATTCTGTCTCAAAAAAAAAAAAACAAAAACAAAAACAAAAAAAAACAAAAACCCACACAGGTCTTTTTTACATGAAATGCTCTCAAGTTTGGCTTGTTGTTGTACAGCTGAGGTGTTAGACCCCTTGGAAGAACTTTATATTAACCCCTATGAAATTCCATCCTTTCAGTTTTGGTTTCTGGTTACAGTCCATGGAGATAATGAAATGAGAGGCTTGGTTCTAACATTCAGTGAAGGAGCAATTTCTCTCAGCTCTTCATTACTTCCAGCAGCAGCTCCCAAATAGGCGACTACAACTGGATCCAGGATGCTGGTGATTGGCAGCATTCTCTCAGCTAGTTTTCTGCCTGCTTCAGTCAAAATGAGCTGGGTTTTTACCTGAGCACTCAGGTGAGAGCAGCCCTCTAAGTAACAGCGCCCCCTATCATACTTCCCGCACATCTTACTGCCGGGTACCACAGCTTCTTCCCTCCCCTGCAGGGAAAAGGAGGGAGCAGAAACGGCTGATGATGAGTCAGGCCAGATATGTACATGTATGTGGCTTGGGGTTGGGGAAGTTGTTTCTCAACCACTCTCTGTATAATGCGAAATATTTGAATTGAATAAAACAGCATTAAGAGTGTGGTTCTTCTATTTTTGTCAGCAGAGCTATATGGACCTGAACTTTTCACTAAGTCTAAAAGACAATCAAATCCACAGGCTAACATTAAGGCTCCAGTCTATGATCTCCAAATGACAAATCTTCAGAGAGAAAATTACAGAAATGAGATTCACTGTAATTTTGAAAATTGAATTCTTATGTTACGATTGTTTGTGTTATATCCATTACATTATTTTATTTTAATGTCAGTATAAGGCAGCCAAATTTCCTTTCTTGGAACTGTCTTTTCTTATGACATCATATACTTTTTTAAATATTAAAATGTCATATCTTAGTAAAATGTTAGTGAAATGAATAGATCACAGTTAATATATGTACATCCTTCCTTGGCAAAAATAAAAAGTTGGAGACCCTGCATAATTTCCTAAATAATTTTTTCTACAATTTTCCAAGACTGTGAAACCCAAAATTCTAGGAGCAGGTGACCTAAACATTTGACAAATACAACTGTGACGTGTTCGTGCAAGTTGCTGATGAGAAATGTCAGCCCAGAAATTATATATACAAACCACATAGCATGGCCCTAGGGTTCATCCTTCAGGTCAACATCAATTCATGAATCAACATTCTTAGGATATGTTTGTTCAGTAAACTATAAATCTGCCTAACTATATTATCAACACGCTCACATTTAACTGTCTTATTTCTGAGACACTGTTAAAGGCCCTACTGAAATCAAAGTCAACTTGTCTGTGAGATAGCAATAGATAACTTAGTCCAGAACCTGGAGGTACTTGAATTTATTTTTCCTGCTTGTCATGTACTCCCTCTTTTTTGGTAGCTACACAGTGATTTTCCTCTGGAGATCCACCACTCACCCACTTTCAGCCCATATGATGCAGGTGTTCACTCCACCCTGCAACTCTATGGGTAGGCATGGGGTTCAGGTCTGGTCCATCAACACCGTCCATCCTCTTGACCACATATTTGGCTTAAGGATGTGTATATGCCCCATGACAAACCAATGAGACACAGTTCCAGAAGTTTTGTTCTGCTTATTGATGAAAACAAAACAAAACAAAACAAAGCAAACAACTTGAGTAGCATCTTCCAACTGGAATTCCTGAGAAAATATGATATAAGCCTGGGATCCTAGGGACCACTTTGCTCCTATGGGGACAGCCTGCCTAAATATAGCCAGCCCAAGACAGAGTGGAGCAAAGAGATGGAGAGAAAGTGAGATTAAGCCATGATGACATCATTGGAGCACCTTATTCCAGGAGGATGCAGGTTACATCCAACACTAACTTTAATAACAAGAGCTAATTAATTTCTCCCTTTTACTTAAGCCATTTTGAATTGGCTATTGATCTTTTAGACTTGGCCCTGGTTTTTAAAGAGGTGGTGGCCTAATGAAGGAGACCGGCACCTAAAAATACAAATTACAAGAAAATATGTAGTTAGAGCTAGACTCAAATGTGATTAATGTAGGGGCACAAAGACCAAACTGAACTGATTCCACCTTCCAGGGTTCAAAAAGCCATGAGGAAAAAAAATATGACATATGAGTGTATTCTTGAACTAGCTCCAGCAGAGTGAATCATTTCTAATGTTACCATCTGTTTAATTTCTTTAATTCAGAATTTTACCAAGAAGAGATATTAAGATCACTAGGCTCTGCTATCCTATGCTTTTTGGAATACAAAATTTCTCCATTAAAAATAATAAGGACAGATAGCATAGAAGCCATTAGCACATCCCTCACTCTCCTTGATTTTTCTAAGATTATAGCATAGAAGTTGGATGACCAAAACTAAATTTGTTCTGTTTCTTTGGATGAGATTCATCTGGGCTCAGGATTAGAAATTGTTTAAAGCACATTGAGGCCCTCTTCCTGTTATAACCAAATTAGGGCTTAATTTTTTCTTTCTCCTGTTTGCTTTATACTGTACTGTATTAAGACCATTCTTCCGGAAGGAAAAATTGAATCAAATAAGGAAAAGTGTGTGTGTGTGTCATCTGTTAATGTTATAGCTTCTATTTCAAGCACAGCACCCATTTTTTCCTTTTTCTTCTACTTCACCCAGACATAGTTAATGATAAGATCTTAAAATTATGGTAATTTCTGATACGTGGGCCATATACAAAATTTTCTGCTTCAAGGACAATAATTTGAGTGAAAAGTAATGTTGTGGTCTCACCAGTTATAACTTTATTTTACAGAGAAAATTCTCAAAGAAAAGTCAGTTTTTCTTTGCCATCTTTACAAACCATGTTTATAAATTTTTGCCCTCTTACAGCTCCTACTGTTGAAATGACTACTTCCAAAGCTGACTTGAACTAGAGTTGGTGCCAGGTTTTCTCAACAGATGCAAAAAAGACACTTGACAAAATGCACCATTCTTAAGGATTTTATGTATTTATTTATTTATTTAGAGATGGAGTTTCACTCTTGTTGCTGAGGCTGGAGTGCAATGGTGCGATCCTGGCTCACCGCAACCTCCACCTCCTGGGTTCAAGTGATTCTCCTGCCTCAGCCTCCCAAGTAGCTGGGATTACAGGCATGCACCACCACGCCCAGCTAATTTTGTATTTTTAGTAGAGATGGGGTTTCTCCATGTTGGTCAGGCTGGTCTCGAACTCCCAACCTCAGGTGATCCGCCTGCCTCGGCCTCCCAAACTGCTGGGATTATAGGTGTGAGCCACCACACCTGGCCAAGGATTTTATTTTTTAAATCTCTCAGCAAAGTAGGAATACATGACAACTCATTCTGATACAGGGCATCTACAAAAAAATCTACAGGTAACATCAGACTTGATGAAATATTGAATGCTTTCAACTAAAATTGGAATAAAAATATTCAGCATCATTTCTATTTACCACTGTACTGTAAGTACTGATCAGTGCAATAAGGCAAGAAAAGAAATAAAAGATAAAAGATGAGAAAAGTAAGACTGCTATTGTTTACAGATGACAACACTGTAAATGAAGAAAACCTTATAGAATCTGCCACATTAAAAAAGAAAAAAACTACCAAAATCAGTGGATTCAGCAGAATTTCAAGATGAATGGCCAATATATAAAAGTTAATTGCAATTCTATGAAATAGTAATAAACAATAAAAATGAAAGTTAAGTGTAATACCATTTAAATTAGCATTAAAAATCTAATATTAAAAAATAAATCCAACAAAAAGCTGGCCATGGTGATTAACGTCTGTAATCCCAATGACTCAGAAGGCTGAGGCAGGAGGATTGCTTGAGGCCAGGAGCTCAAAACCAGCCTGAGCAACACAGCAAGACTTCATCTCTAAAAAGAGTTTTTTTTTTTTTTTTTTAACTTAGCCAGGCATGGTGGCATGTGTCTGTAGTCCCAGCTACTAAGAAGGCTGGAGTGGGAGCATCACTTGAGCCCAGGAGTTCAAGGCTCCAGTAAGCCATGGTCATGCCATCACACTCCGGCCTGGGCAACAGAGTGAGACCCCAACTCCAAAAGAAAAAGAATAAATCCAACAGAAAATGTGCAACATCTCTACACTAAAAACTACAAAACAATGCTGAGAGATATTAAAGAAACCTAAATTGATGGAATGATAGACAATGTTGATGGATTGAGTCATGGAAAACTCAATATTGTATTAGTATTAAAAATATTTTTAAGATGTGCATTATCCAAAATTGATGCATAGATTTAATGCAATCCAAATCAAAATACCAGCAAAATTTTTTAAAGAAATTGACAACTTATTTTAAAATGTAAATTAAAATGAAAAGAACCTAGAAGAGAAAAGCAGTCATAAAAAAAAAAAAGTTGGAATTCTTCTACTGCCTGATTTCAGTATTTACCATAAAACTGCAGTAATAGCAAAGTGTGGTATTAGCATAAGGATAAGCTATAGATCAGCGGAATAGAAATAGATTCATATATACACACACACACACAAACACACACACACACACATAGACAAATAATTTTTGACAAAGTCAATGAAATAGGAAAAGTCTTTTCAACACATAGTGCCAGAACATCTGGGGAGCTGTGTTTTAAAAGCTGAACCCCAACCATTATTTTATATCACACACAAAAATTAATTCCAGGCTGGGCATGGTGTCTCACGCCTGTAATCCCAACACTTTGGGAGGCTAAATTAGGTGGATTCCTTGAGATCAGGAGTTAAAGACCAGCCTGAGCAACATTGTGAAACCCCATCTCTACAAAAAATACAAAAAATTAGCCAGGTGTGGTGGTGTGCACCTGTATTCCTAGCTACTGGGGAGGTTGAGACGGGAGGATCACCTGAGCCCAAGAATTCAAGGGTACAGTGAGCCATGATCTTGCCATTGCAGCCAGCCTGAGTGACGTGACAGAATGAGAACCCTGTCTCAAAATGATAAAATAATAATAATAATAATAATAATAATTCCGAGGTACATTATATACTAAACATAAAAGCCATAAATTTCTACAAGATAAAATTTCTTCATGGCTTTAAAGTAGGAAATGATGTCTTAGAAAAGACACAAAAAGCCACAAAAGAAAAAATATATATACTGGGCTTCATCAAAATTTAACATTTCTGTTCATGAGAAATACCAGCAAGAATATGAATAGATAAGCCAGAGACTGTAAGAAAAGTACCTGCAATGCATCTATCTGAAAAAGAACTTGCAGCCAGAATAAAGAACTCCTACAAGTCCATTTTTTAAATAATAATAATGAAGAAAAGACTTTAATGGACCCTGCACTGAGACATAGGAATAAAAACAAAACACACGTGAAAAGATGCTAAACATCATTAGTCATCGGGGAAATACAAATTTAAACCACAAAGAGATAATACTAAATATACGTTTGAATGGCTAAAATCAAAGGGACTGACAATACTGAATGTTGGAGAATATAGCAACTGCAACTCCTATACATTAATGATAGGATTGTAAAATAAATAACCACTTTGGAGAACTCGTTGGCGGTTTCTTATAAAGTTACATCTACTCTCTGTCCCAGCAATTCCACTCCTAAATATTTACCCAAAATAAATAATATTTTCATACAATGGAAAACTAGCTGACAATAAAAATAAGCCACTGATATATGCAACATGGCTACATCTAAAAATTTTATGTTGAGAAAAATGAAAGCAAATACAAAAAGTATAGTGAATAGTAGTATTCTATTCATCTAAAGTTCAAGGACAGGCAAAGCTAAATAGTGGGGGGTAGATGAAGTGTCAGGAAGGGATAATAAAAATATTTTTATTTAGAGGGTGATGGTTTTATGGGTGTATAAAATTATAAAAACTCATCAATAACAGTTAATATCTACTCATTTTATTGTATGCTAATTACACCTTAATTTTATGTTATTTTATTTAGTTATTTTTGAGAAAGGGTCTTTCTCTGTCACCCAAGCTGAAGCGTGGTGGCATGAACACAGCTTACTGCAGCCTCAACCTCCTAGGCTCAAGCATTCCTCCTACCTCAGCCTCCCAAGTAGCTTGGTCCACAAGCACATACCACTATGCCTGGATAATTTTTTTTAATGTTTTGTAGAGATGAGGTCTCATTGTGTTACCCAGGCTTGTCTTGAACTCCTGGGCTCAAGCATCCACCGACCTTGACCTCCCAAAGTGCTGGGATTACAGACGTGAGACACAGTACACAACCTATACCTTAATTTTTAAAAGAGAAAAAATATGAAAACATTGAACTTTTTTGCTCTTTTACAAAACGTGCTAGTAATTTCTCGCCCGCCATAGTCCCAGCTGTTCACTATACTGTGTGACATCCCCTGCTTTCTTCCATCCCTGCCCTAAAAGCTAACTGTACAAAGAATTATCACTCAACCAAGATCAAACAGCCCTAGAATAGCTGCATTACTTATAATCATTTAACGTCTGTTTCTATCACTGGATTATAAATCCCATGAGAGTAGAGGTTTTGTCTGCTTTGTTCTCCATTCTAACCCTATTGCTTAAAACAATTCCTAGGGTATAACAGCCCCTCAGTAAATATATGTCAAAATATGGATGGATGGATGGATGGATGGATGGATGGATGGATGGATGGATGGGTGGCTGGGTGGATGGATGGATGGATGGATGGATGGATGATAGAATATGCTCCAATACGCAATTGCAAAGACATGGAACCAACCTAAGTGCCCATCAACTGATGAGTGGATAAAGAAAATTATATATATACACGCATATACTATGGAATACTATTTAGCCATAAAAAGAACAAAATAATGTCTTTTACAGCAACTTGAATGGAGCCGGAGGCCAATGTTCTAAGTGAAGTAACTCAGGAATGGAAAATCAAAATACCATGAGTTCTTACTTATAAGTGAGAGATAAGCTATGGGTATGCAAAGGCATACAAAATTTATAATAAATTTTGGAGACTGAGAAGGCAGAAGGGTGGGAAGGGGAATAAGGAATTAAAAAAACTACATACTGGGTACAATGTACACTACTCAGATGATGGGTACACTAAAATCTCTGACTTTACCACTGTACAATTAATCCACGTAACCAAAAACTACTTTGTATCCCAAAAGCTACTGAAATAAATAAATTTTATAGATACTTAAGCTAATTGAGTGTTGGCAGTTACTTGCAGACAAAATATCTAAAATGTACCCAAGAGGCATGAGGGAATATGAGGTATTCAAGGAATCAAAAGGACCTCAATGTGGCTGGAGTACAGGAAGCAGGGAGGTGAGTGGTAAGACACTGCTGGACATGTAGACAGAAACCATATCACAAAGACCACCTAATGATTCTTAGGTGGTCTATCCTAGGTGCAACACTAAGTCATTAAGGGAATACTGGGTTTCCTAATTCCACTGCAGATGGAGCAAGAGGACAAAAATTTTGGCTATAGAATGAAGGTTTTGCATCTGAACTGACATGTTGGAGGGCTAACTCTTAGTAGAAGCTCACCCCTCTTTAGCTATGGCAAGGGTAAAGAAAGTAATTGGAGCTTTGCAATCCAACCCATCAGAAAGCCACTAAGAATACAAATTTCCCCACCTCCCCAGCCAGCTTTTCCTTCATTCAGTGATGCCAACAGACAGAACAAATGAAGACACATAGCTTGAGGACATGCAGTTCCCAACTATAGCTCAAGCAAGGGAAACCATACACAGCTGCCATGCTCAAGAAGGCCTAAAACTTACAAACTCAGGTTTTTCCTCTGATACTCAGATCACTTGTATCCCCATATAATCCCATGACCTCAAGTGCTGCCCTCTGCAATAAATGCCTTCTGCTATGATGTGAACATTTGTCACCTCCAAAACGCATGTTGAAATTTAATTTCCAAGATTGACATATTGAGAGGTGGGGCCTTTAGGAAGTGACTAGGTGATAAGGGTTCTGCTTTCATGAATAGATTAATCCATTTATGGATGTATAGATGCAGTCTTCAACCTTGGACTTAGCCTCCATAACTGAAGAAATAAATTACTTTTCTTTATAATTTACTCAGTTTCAGAAATTCTGTTATAATCAACAGAAAATGGACTAAGACATCTGAATTCCATCTCAGTTCCTTCTCTCTTTTGAATGAAAGGGTGCCAAACTGAATAGCTCTTCCTTTTCATCATGCCTAGATGACCTAGTTATCTTGCTGACCAAGACATGTTCCTCTTGCTGAAGAAATCATGTTTAGATGCATATTTCAAAAGATTCAGCACATTCTGTTTCCACTAATAAAATGTATCGTACAAAATATTCCCAAACATGCAAAACCATACATTGATATATCTTTATACACAGATACATTGCCCACACAGACTACTTAACATTTTCTCACTATTTAAATAATTCAATTGCCTTCCTGGTCAGCACAACCCATCACTCTGAGGCAATACTCAAAAATTATTATATGTGCCAGGTGTTCTATAAAAAGGAAGTCAGGCATGTAATTGTGAACAAGACATATCTGTGAGCCAAAGGGGAGCAGACCAATAATCAGCTAACTGCAGTCACCACCAGGGACTTCTCCTTTCGAGGGCAAAGAAAATGAAAGGGTTTTATCAGCCTGGAATAGTGTGCACAAGTTGTTAACTTCAGCCATGGGAATGGCACAAAAGTCTTTTCAAGGTTGTTTCCAGCCTTCAGGATATAATGGTGTAGAACCAGGAACAAACTACCTGGGAAGCTGTGTATCGTACACATCCTGGATTTCCACTTACCAAAACCACTACAGAGAAATAAACAATGTAAAAACTGGTGAGTGTACTGAGAAAACAGTCTAAAAATGATCTAGAACATATCTTGTAAATAAGATTTCACCTTCAATGTCCTTTATCTGAAAATCACACTTGGCAAAAACAATAGGATGAGAAAAGGGCAATGTTCAATTCCACGTGTGTGTGTGTGTGTGTGTGTGTGTGTGTGTGTGTGTGTGAAATCTGTCACAATTCCACTTTTAAATAATCATAACCACTATCTATTAAGTGGCTCTGTATGCCACATACTTCGATGCTTTTCTACATATGTGAAGGGAGGACAATATTAATATCTCCATCTTACAGATTAGAAGTCTGAGGTTGGAGTGGTTAAGTTACTTGCCTAAGATTACTGACCTAGTAAGTGGGGAGAAGGATTTGAACCCAAATCTGTCTGACTCCAAATCACATCTTTCCACTCATCCATGTCACCTTAGAGTTCTTGAAAAACTTGGAGATTTTTGTGTAATGATTCCAAAGAACTTCATTCTATGAACTATAGTAAGAAGTAAGGTCAAAGGTCCAGCAGACCCTGTGCTTCTCCCTCTGCCAACAGACACTGTCAAAAGATAGGGAGTATCTGCAACCACAGTCCAGGTGACTACAGAAGTCTTCCCTCACCCAAAAGACATGGATTCTAGTGGGGCTCTGTCACTGTTTGGCTCCTCAGTGTCTCAGTTTCCCCCCTTTTAAATAGGATAATTTCTCTCCTTGCTCACCTATCTTCTTATTAGTTAAATAATTAGAGTTAACAGACTTTAGACAGGTAAGAAATTCTTTTTCCTTGCAAAGATATTTTCACTTTACATGGAGGTCCAGCACAGAGAAGCAGAAAGAACACTAAGCTCAGAGTCAGAGGACAAGAATAAAATATTTCATAGTTCAGCCATTACTTCCTATGTGTTCTTGGACAAGTCATTTCCCTGCTTTGAGCCTCAATGTCCTCATCTAGAAGATTATGGCATTGCACCAGATCAATCACCCTTCAAATGTGGCCCACACCCAGTGGTAGACCATAAGGGTTGTCTTGATGGGTCTAAACTGGATGGAAAAACAAAGCTCCTTTTATTAATTGCATGAGTAAATGGCATCCCATTTCAAGGTGCTATTTTGTATACAGCCAAAGATTACTTACTAGTAACCTACTAAGTAGGTTACTGTAATTTGTTAACAGTCAACTAAAATTAATGTGCTTTTAGTTTATTCAGGACTCAACTACTTAGCAACATTCAAAGTTCCTACTGTGTATGAACATGTGCAGATGGTGGTAAAGCCCGCAATTTTGAGGAAGAACACACTAATGTCAGTGCTATCTTCAGTTGATCATGGCTTTCGATTGCTGTTATGATTGCTTATAAATTGATGTTAATAAGCTCCATAATTATCCATTTAGATTGTAATGGGTCATTTGGTTAATTCTACCATGTGTGGTGATACATACTTGGATCAATGTGTGAGACTTATAATTTTCAATAGTTGGGCTTTAAGGCATATAAAAATTAGATGGCTGGACAAAAAACAAATATTTACTGATCACCTATTATGTGACAAGTTCTGTTCCAGGCACTGGAACACTTCTGTGAACAAGATAACATCCTGTCGTTCAAAATTGTACATTCTAGCAGAAGACTACAGACAATAAACACATGAACAAAACAAGTAAATGAAGTGATACCTGGTTTCAAAAAAAGGGTGATGGAAAAGATAAAATAGGGTAATGTGGTAGAGAGAAGGCTTCTTCAGCCAAGGCAAAGGTCCTCAAAGATGTCTCTAAGGAGGTAACACATAAGTCATAAACTAAATAATGAGTGGCAGACTTGTGAAGATCTGGGCAACTGTATTCCAGGCAGAGGGAACAGTAAGGAAAAGAGCTTCTGAGGCAGGAACAAGCTTGGAGTATCATGGTCTGGACTGTCATTCAGCAAATATATTCCCTCCCTACTCCCACTGTGGACAGAACATATTACCATGGCCCCTGATGTTGAGTTTGACCGTATGAATTTACTTTGGCCAATGGAGCATAAATAGATGTGATATATGCAAAGGCTTAAAACATGCTGTGCAATAGGCTTGCCCTCCTGGGCTACCGCCTTGCAAAGAAAAGAGTCTGCCCTGAGTATGTGCTGCCCCATCATTCTGGGCTCCAGAAGGACCACCTATGGAGCAGATTTGAGCTTAAACTACTATAAAGAGCCAAGCCCAACAACTTAAAGCTGAACTCCCAGTCAAGCTCAGCCTAGATTAGCTGATTCCGTCAACTTGCAGTCCTATAAAAGAGAGAATAAATGCTTACCAATGTATGCTCCTGAGTTTTAGAGTAGTGTGTTATACAGCAATAGCTGACTGATATAGCATGTTCAGACAGTGAGAAGACTGGTCTGATTATGACAAGCAAGGATGATAAATAGTATAATAATATGGATGAGATAGAAAGGAGTCAGATAAGGTAAAACTTTACAACTTTAAAAGTCTTTAGTTTGCACTTCATTTTAATCATAGTGGTAAGTCACTGGACAGTTTTCAGCATAAGAGTGTTGCCTGTAGGATGGACTAGAGTGGAGCGTAAGTGGAGGACAGGATACCAGTTAGGAGGCTATTGTGATTTTCTAAGCAAGAAATGATAGTAGCTTGGAATAAGATTGTGGCTATGGACACAGTGAGATGTGATCTAATTGAAGATATATTTTTGGAGGTAGAGGAGATGGTACTAATCAATAGACTAGATGAGGAACATAAACATAACAGTGTTCAAGAATGGCCCCTAAATCTTGGGCCTGAGTAACTGAGTAGATGATGGAGCTGTTTAGTGAGATAGAAAAGGCTTAGGATTGGGGCAAGAAGATGTCCAGAGTGGTGAGGAGAGTGGATAGTTTTGGCATACCATGTTTGAGATGCTAGCTTGCCAGTTAGATATTTAACTCTGCCTTTCAGGGAAGTGGTGTGAGTTAGAAATATAAATCTAAGTGTCATCAGTGTACAGATGATATTTGGAGCCATGTGACCAGAGAGCACCTGAAGAGGTGGAGAAGATGAGACAGAGCTCAGAGCAATATTTGAAGATACAGAAGCTGAGGACAAGCCAGCAAAGGTTACAGGGAAATAAGGGTCTGTGGGGTAAGAGGAAAGCAGGCAAGGACTGAAGCAGGATACCTAGAGAAGACTCAAGGCTCAAATTTGATTCATTCCTAGCTTTAGGTGATGGCTAAAGAAGATATACAACTAATTACAAAAGAAAATAAAGAAAAGACCAGGAAAAGTAAACAGTAATCTCATTGTTACAACAACTCATGTCTAGAAAGTAGGGTTGGGTTTGGCAGATAAGCGATGAGTCTTGTTCCCTGCACAAATAGGTTTTAGTCAGAAAAGTTTCAGAGTCACTGGATTTTTTTTTTTAAGACAGAGTCTCACTCTATCACACAGGCTAGAGTACAGTGGCACGATCTTGGCTCACTGCAGCCACCACCCCCCGGGTTCAAGGATTGTCCCACCTCAGTCTCCCAAGTAGCTAGGATTACAGGTGTGCGCCATCACACCTGGCTAATCTTTGTATTTTTAGTGGAGATGGCGAGATCACCATGTTGGCCAGGCTGATCTCGAACTCCTGACCTTAAGTGATACACCTGCCTAGGCCTCCCAAAGTGCTGGGATTACAGGTGTGAGCTCCCGTGCCCACCCAGAGTCACTGGATTTAATAGTTTCTACAAGCCCTTTGAGCTTTCTAGAGTCTTTGAATACAGATTGGTTAGAAGCTACATTAGCTCAGTGTAGATTACCTGATGTATATATCTATTGAAAATGTGCACACAGAAACATTCTAGGTGAAAGAATAGAATATAAAGGAAGAGCTCTTCCCTCCCCTACCTGCCACAGCTCTTCCACCTCCAAAAAGCACTGCTATGGGTTAGGGATATCAAGGGGCAGAAGGCGGTGATATGGTTTGGCTGTGTCCTCACTCAAATCTCATCTTGAATTGTAGCTCCCATAATTCCCACATGTCATGGGAGGGACCCAGTAGGAGGTCATTGAATCACGGGGGTGGGTCTTTCCCATGCTGTTCTTGTGATAGTGAATAAGTCTCATGAGATCTGATGGTTTTACAAAGAGGAGTTCTCCTGCACACGCTCTCTTGCCTGCTGTCATGTAAGACATGACTTTGCTTCTCATTCACCTTCTGCCATGATTGTGAGGCCTCCTAGCCACATGGAACTGTGAGTCTATTAAACATCTTTTCTTTATAAATTACCCAGTCTCAGATATGTGTTTATTAGCAGTGTGAGAACAGACTACTACAGATGGAGTTTTCAGTGTGCTATAAGGGGAGGTAATGAGTAGACCCATGGGAGCCAAGATCCCTGAGTCTCGAGGAAAGGCATTATAATTTCTGCTCTTGCTTGGAAAGATTTCAGTCATTTTCCTCTTGGTTTCCCCCTACTACCTCTTTGAACTCTCCTCCTTACCTATAACCATTACAGTAAGACATAGCACAGCACTTTCCCCAGCTTGGGAGGATGTGTCCGCCACAGCACTTCATTCCCAACAGAGCCAAGCAAGAGCCTGGCTGATGCCTAGGTGTAAACAACAGTCTCCTCTTGGAAAAAGAAGCCCTTCTTACTGCAAAGTCCTCCTCAATAGAGGAATGCACCAGAGCATGGAGAAAAGCCCCAGCTAGTAATAACAATGCTCCTTCGCTGGTTTCTTGTCCTCTAACCCTTTGTTGCTCAAAGTATGGTCCATAGACCTGCAGCATCAGTGTCTTCTGGGAACTTGTTAGAAATGCAGAATGCCTAATCTCCTGAATCAGAATCCATGTGTTATCAAGATCCCCGAAAGGTTCATATACACATTAAAGTTTAAGAAGCATGACTCCATCATATATTTCCCTTAGGACTTTGCAGGAAGGGGTGGCTAACTGAGCACAGAATTACGTATTCATCAGTTCCCCTGACAAATACTCCATCTAATCTCTGTGGAAACACGGTCCCAGAATTCTGAAAATTGAGAGAAGTTTATAAAGACTTGGAGTGTTCCATCGTAGAATTAACCTTGATGGGTTTGGGTGACTCATCTACATTTTCTTTGAAGTACCCAGTACCACTAGCAATCCCTCTTTAAGGAAGGAAGCTCTAATCTCTGAAAAGTTCTTAGGATTATTCACAGAGATGAAAAGAAACACCATGATGTTCTTGGTGGCTTGACAGGGAAGATTCTAAAATGTCTCTGCCCTTTTTATCCTAATCAGGAATATTAAATAAGTCCTGATTATGCTTGTAGGCTTCAGAGACCTGGAGGTCAGTTTAATCACAATGGAAAAATGTCATCATCTGTGAGCAGTTAGAGATGAATAGAAGCCCTTCTGCCAGGTGACACAGTATGACACTTTCTTAAGTTGAGATAGGAGAAAAGACAAATGGCAATAGCATAAGCCCGGGGTCTAGGAGGGAAAGCTAAATGGTCTGTATTTGGGACGTGGATTAAGAATCAGACATGCATCAAGGCAGAGGGAAAAACACTATGAGGGGCGAGAAGGCTCCAGGAATTCACATGTGCACAGAAAGCTACTATTTGAACTTTAGAATGAGAACATCAGAAACCCAGGGAGGATTAGAAGCAGCTTAAAAATTGGTTTTGTTCTTAAAGTTAAAACGGGGGATGGGGTGGGGGAGGGGCCAGAAAGAAGTAAAGGAGAGGAGAAAACTCAGAACCAGAAAACATGTCAGTTCAGAGAAGGAACTGAAAAAGCAGGTTGAAGCCCTTTTAAAAAAGTTAAATCTGCAGAAAGCAGAAAGGGAACATCAGAAGGAACAGAAAATAAAACATTAGAGCTGGGCATGGTGGTGCCCAGCTGTAGTACCAGCTACTCAGGAGGCTGAGGCAGGAGGATCACTTGGGCCCAGGAGTTTGAATCCAGCCTAGGCAACATAGCAAGATACTGTCTCTACAAAAAATAAAATTAAGATAAAATGAAAAGAAAATGAAAATAAAATATTAGAAAAAGTAGATTTGAATTTCTTTGTTGCAACCAAGGAGGTACTAGAAAAAGAATATTTCTGACATCACTGATATTCCTGTCATCATCATGACAACATTAAGAAAAGTTATTTAAGGCTAAAGAAATCAAATGCTGCAACTTGGGACACCAGCATCAGCAGCAATCTGTTAAGGGGACTCTCCATTGAGGATCAAGGAGGGAAGGATTCCTAGATCTAAGGGACTCCAGGGCCAGGGGCAACCATGGAAGTTGCAGTGCCCTCAATGGTATTACAAGGCTGAGAAAGCTTCAGGATTCTTCAGGTTTGGAAAATGCCCCAAAGGAGAGGAGCAAGAGCCTGGGACCGGGGAAATGCAAGGCCAATTACAAAGTCCCCTGTCCTAAACATGGGGTTCCTGCTCCCAGAGATGGCAGGGACTGCTCAGTCTGTCTTCATCCAGGAAGACCTTCTCCTTTCCTAGTTTGAGGAGTGACAGTAAAGTGCAGGGTACGATCAAGAGTGTGGACTAGGAAGCCAGGTAGCCAGGACCAGTTCTGCCAATTCCAAGCAAGTGACCCTTTGAAAAATGAGGACAGTAATAGTGTACATCTCAGGGGGTTGTTATAAGCATTGAGTGGGCTAGAAAAGTGCCCAGCATGTGGTCTGCACTCAATAAGTGTTGGCTATTCTTCCCTCACTGAAATGTAAATTCCACCAGAACAGAGATTATTTGTTACTGCTATAACTTAGGCACAAGAATAGTATGTGGCAAATGGCAGTGACTCAATAAATATTTGTTGAGTGAATAAATAGTTCCCTCTCTGAATCTTCCTCCTGGTATAACGATGGCGCTTGAGGGTAAAGTATCTTGGTTATTGTCTCTTTGTTTTGTTGCATGTCTCTGAGTGACTCCTTTAAAAACCGTGCTTCCAGACCACTTGAGTTTTCTAGGCCATTTCACTACTTCCTTTCTCATGCTACCCCCTACAGTATATTAAGCACATCCTCTTGTGAACCCTGCAGAAAGTGAGAAGAGGTCACTTTGTCTCTCTGCCCAGGGAATGGCAGTGCGGGAACATGTCCATTAACATGACTGGCAATTTATCCAGCTGAATCCCACCCAAATCCCATTGCAGGTCACTTGAGCAAGGACCTCCATCCCTTTCACTTTCTGAGGATTCTCAGAAGACACTGTCAAGGGAAAGACAGAAATGGTGAAGTGCTTTTACCATGCCACAGCTCCCACTCTCTCTATCGTGACAGAAAATGTAAATACAGGCAGACAGCGGCTGGATTATTGTCTGCTGGGAACATTTAAAGAGCAACAAAGCACAGCAGGAAAGCAAGAGACAGTATTCATTTAATGTTGAGCATTTGGCTCCCAAGATGCAACCTGACAACGTGGTGTGCATCCTGCCCATCTGCAAATACAGCACAAAGAACATAGTAACATTGACGGTTCATCATTTCACTTTCACTCAAGGGCTCTGTCCTCTGCAGGCCTCACTGGACAATGTCAACGGGCCCTGGAAGGTGCTGCCAAACCACCACGATTTTAGCAGAGCTCTGCTGATCAACGTTGCCGTGTTCCCTGCTCTTTGTCAGGCAGTGCGTCCAACAGAGCTTTCTACAAGGACAGCTGTGCTGTCCAACACAGTAGCCAATACAGCATGATTACTGAGCACTTGAAATGTAGCTAGTGCAAATAAGGACCTGAATTTTTAACTTTTATTTTAATCAATTTAAATTTAAATAGCCACATGTAGCTTGCGGCAATTATATAGGACAACTCAGCTCTAAGGTGCTAAAAGAGCCCTACTTGTATCTCTGCTCCCAGTTCTAACACCTCAATGACTTGCTTGCTCCTCCAACAGGAAACACACCTTTAAGAAATACATTAAGCAAAGTCTGACTCCACTTCCTGGGGTTAAAGACCAAGTACACTGCCATCTCTGAGGAATAAAGAAATAGGTCCCATCTTTCAAATCTGGCTTCTCGTCCTCTAGCAGGAAAAGTTCTTCCCCAGGCATTACCTCATTGGTGATTCACAATACCCTGGGAAATAGATATTTCCTCCTACACTTTACATGTGGGGACATGATCCAAGGTCAAGAAGCTAGTCCTGCCTAAGCTGGGACTTGAATCCAGGTCCAAGTCCAGAACCTGGGCTATTATTCAATTCCATCAGAAAAGAATGAAGAAAAGAAAGAAAAAGTCTTTTTGAAAACATCAAATTTTCTAACGTGAACACAAACAGCAAAGTGACCCAGATTTTGATCCACAGTAGCTCAAACCAGTCTCTCCCAGGACCCTGCATCTAAGCTGAAGTGCTCCTGCTTAAAACCATCAGTGATTCCCCATCATCTGCACTCCCTGTGCCCCAGCAAGCCAGCAAACCCAGTGACCTGACAGCACCTCAATGCCTGTTCCATTCATCCACTCAGTCCCTCAGCACTGTGCACTCCTGTGTGCCAGGCTCTCTGTAAAGCACTGCATCTCTGCTCAGAATGCCTCCTGCCAGCCTCTCAACCTGATGAAAATCCCCCCACCCACCAGGGCTTGGAGTATCCTCTTCTGGGATGCTTACCTGGAAAACACACGTGCACAGCTGTGCACACGCACACACCCTCTAGCTCTCAGCAGAAATATTGGCTGTGATCTTACAATCTTCTATGCTACATTTTCTCACACTGTGTCATAGATGATAGATGATTCTGGGTGTTTTTCACTACTTCGTTTACTTAACGAATACTATACCAATAACTGGGATATAGCAGTGAACATCACAACTTAAAGGAAGCTAAACTCAGGGCCCTTATATCTAGTATGGAAGAATAACATTAAACAAATCCACGTATAAACATAAACTATAATTCCTGATCGTTCCAACTCTGAGCATTGCACAGTGCCTAGGTAATAGTAGTTCTCAGTAAATTTGATTTTTTCTCCACTTTAAATTTTTGTACTTGGAATATTTATCATAGTATCTTGTAGAATATTCTTTGGAAATAATAATAATGTTAATAGTAGAGACTGTAACCAATAATATTACCATTATGGAATAATACAACTAATAATAATGCTAGTAGTAGGAGATGTATAATAATAATAATGCTAACTATGGCTGACACTTAAGCATGATGTTTCAATCACTTGCTAATCTCTCTGCAGGCACTGTATTCCTTAATCCTTACCACAGTACTATGAGGTACACACTACTATTATCTACCTGTTTTACACATGTAAACTGAGGCACAACACATTAAAAAAACTGACTCAGGGTCACATTCTTTTTGAGCATTATCATGTATTCATGGATTTTTTTGTAGCAAGTTATTTTTATCAATTATAATAATTGTTGCTTTTTTATAATTAAATTGTTCCACATTGACCAATGGGAGCCCTTTCAGTTTACCTCTTGGCCCTTTTTTGCTCTAACTCAGATATATCTGAAAACAGATACCCCAGAGCCACCTTGATGTACCCCTGTTCCAAATTTTGTAATCAGTTCTACCCAGGGAGCTCTGGTTATTTTTAAAGGAGAATAACAATAACAAACTGGGGGGCAGGATTCACACCAGGCTATCAGACTCCAGAGCCTATGTGAGCTCTAGAATGAGGAGAAATAATAAAAATAAGAGCAGGTAAGTAAAAAATAAATAAATAACGTAGGGAAGAAGGCTACACAGGACTGGAGAGGAGAGGTATAGAAAAGAGGAAAGGGGGGCAAGCACGGTGGCTCACATCTGTAATCCCAGCACTTTGGGAGGCCGAGGCAGGCAGATCATGAGGTCAGGAGTTTGAGACCAGCCTGGACAACATGGTGAAACCCCGTATCTATAAAAAACACAAAAATTAGCCAGGCATGGTGGCACATGCCTGTAATCCCAGCTACTCGGGAGGCTGAGGCAGGAGAATTGCTTGAACCAGGGAGGAAGAGGTTGTAGTGAGCTGAGATCACACCACTGCACTCCAGTCTGGGTGACAGAGCAAGACTCTGTCTCAAAAAAATGAAAGGAGAGAGGAAGGGAGGGGGAGGGGAGGAGGGTAGGGGTCCAGAAATTATCAACTTTTCCTTTAAACATTTTAGAAATATATCCCTTGTTATGGTGAAAATAAAGAACTTCATGATTTAAAAAATAAGTACAGAATGTTTGATGAAGTAAATAAAGTAATGCTGTATTTTAGACAATGGACAATAAAGAGCAGGCCTGAGAAATTCCACAGACCAAGCAGACCACCATCTTCTCTGAATGAGAAACTCCAAGATGATTCTTGAACTTAAAGATTATCCTAAACCATGATGACAGGGGCCAGCTTTGACGCTGGGCTAAATGCCTAACTTTTTACCCCAGTGAGGGCAGCGTAGGCATCTATGCTTGCCTCACTTGTGCACTGACAGGTTGCTCTGCTCGGCCAGGGGCTTCCTGTGGCTGCTGGGGCAAGAGGAGTAGCCCATATAGGAGAAGCTCTAACTGTCTTTCTCCTGCCCTGCCCTCTCACCTGCCCACCGTGAGTGTTTGGAGAGCATGTGAGAAGGCATGCTCTAGCCAATCACATGGCCTCATTTATTTTCCTCTTTTCACACATTCTTCTCTCACTCAAACCTTCACCCCCCACTTGCCCTCAGTGGATGACCTCACTTCTTATTTCACTAAGAATAGAGGCAGAACTAGCTCATCTTTGCATCTTCAAGTATACTAACCTCATAAATCCATATTCATTATCCTCTCCCTTTCCTCCTGATGCCAAGGATCAGCTTACCCTGCTCCTAAAATGAGTCCCCTCACTCACATATGGCATCCCGGCCCCTCTCTCCTATTCAAGGATTTCCTTCCTGCAATTAGCAACCCCTCTACTGCATCATACTTTACAGACTCTACTACAGGACCCCTGCCCACTTTCAAATATGTTATAATATCTCTGACCTTAAGAAAAAACTCCCCTTCCAAAACAAAAACTCCCTAAACCCAAAGTCAGCATTCAGCTACTGCTCTTTGTCACTGTACCTTTTTATCTAACCCCATAAACAGCTGGCTATACTTGTCTCTGTTTCTTTACCATCCTTTCTCTTTTAACCTTACTTCAAACAAGGTTTCATGCTGGCCACTCCATTGAAACTGTTCCAGTCAAGGCTGCAAAAAGATCCTTGATATGGTTTGGCTCTGTCCCCACCCAAATCTCATCTTGAATTGTAGTTTCCATAATCCCCACATATTGTAGGAGGGACCTGGTTGGAGGTAATTTAATCATGCGGGCAGTTACCCCCATGCTGCTGTTCTCATGATAGTGAGTAAGTTCTCACAAGACATAATGGTTTTATAAGGGGCTTTTTCCCCTCTGCTTGGCACTTCTCCTTCCTGTCATCATGTGAAGAAGAACATGTTTGCTTCTCCTTCTGTCATGATTGTAAGTTTCCTGAGGCCTCCCAGCCATGCAAAAACGTGAGTCAATTAAACCTCTTTCCTTTATAAATTACCCAGTCTTGGGTAGTTCTTTATAGTAGCATGAGAATGGACTAATAAAATCCTCATCTTTCCCAAGCCATTGGACAATTTTTAGTCCTCATCTCCGTCAACCCTCAGCAGCATTTGACCCGACTGCTCACCACCTTAAACTCTTAGCATCCATTGCAAAACACTTTCTGAGTTTTTCTTTGAAGTTCCAAATTGGTTCTTCTTAGTAACCTTTGCTGGCTCCTTCTTCTCTTCCTAATACTAATTGCTAGAGATCCCGGGATCAGTCTAGGCCTCCTCTCTATCTCACTCCCCAGTACTTAATTTCAGTTACCACCAGAATTGGTTGGAGGAATTATTAAAACTTATCTAGACCCCACCCCCAAAGTTTCTAATTCAGTAATTCTAGGGAGAAGCCTGAGAAATTGGATTTCTAACAAATCCCCAGGGGCCACTGCTGCTGTTGTTGCTCCAAGAACCACACTTTAAGAGATGCTGCCCTAAATAATCTTATCACCACCTTGGCCTCAAATATCACACTTGTGCTGATGAACTCCAGAAATACACCTCCAGCCCAATCTCTCCTCTGAACCCTGGACTTGTTTGACCTAATGCCTTCCTGACATCTCCCTGTGGACATCTAATGGATTTCTCAAATCTAACATGACCTTAGATGACTGAATGATATCAGCACCTCCCCTAGTCTTTCCAATGGTAATACCACAAATGCAGTCTTGATTCCTCAGGATCCCTCATACTCCATATCCAATCCATCACATCCAATCCATCCTGTTGTCTCTACCTATAAAATATATATATCCCAAATCTGAATACTTCTCACCATATCCTTCATGATGATCCTCATCGGAGCCATCATCTCACCTGGATTCCTGCACCTCTCCTCCTATCTGGTCTCTCTAGTTACATTCTTCACCTTATACACAAAAGCAGCCAGTCATATTTCAAAAATACTAATCATAGATCATTGTCCTGCTCAAAATCCTCCAACTGCTTCCCACCCATGGAAAACAAAATCTAAATTTCTCTCCATAACCTCTAAGGCCCAATATGATCTGTCTCCTGCTTACCTCTCTGACATTAACTCCTGCTACTCCCAATTCTCACCTTCTCTACTTTAGTCACCATGATCTTCTACATTTTCCTCAAACTCACCAAGCTTGGAGCCTTCATACTTGCTGTTTCATCTACCCAGGATGTCCTTCTCCTGGAGTAGGAAATGGCTTCTTCCATCACCTCAGGTAGGTCTCTGCCCTAATATTAACTCCTTCTTGAGGACTTTTCTAAGCATTTCATCTAAAAACATCCCTATCACCTGTACTCTGTTGCTTTCCTTTATTTTACTTCATAGCACTTGTCACTAACAGAGTCTTATTATATATTTATTTGTCTACTGGTTAATTGACTGTCTACGCTAGAATGCAAAGTCCATGAGGGCAAAGACTGTCCCTTTTCTTGTTATAGTCCCATCACCTAAAACAATAACTAGTAAAGAGTAGACACTCAAAATTTTGTTGATTGAATAAATGAACGAATGGCCTTTGTCTCTATTCAACATTATCTTGTAATTTATTTGTTCATGTGTTTGTTTTCTCTCTCTTCTGATTTTATGCAACCTTCATAAGGGAATTTATTCTCTTGGTCATTGCTGTAGCCTCAATGACTGCACAGTGGTAGGTACTCAACAAATACATAAGGAAAAAATAAACTTCTACATATGGACCACTCTTACCATTAGAATTTCCCACTACACCTGGGGACTTTTTTATTTCTTCTTGTCCCCATCCTCTCCTCTGCTGATTCTACTTCCTATCCTCATCTGTTCCTGCTTCTCCCAGCCTAAGCTCCTAATCTAGGTTCTCTTTAGGCATGGTCCAGCTTGAGCTCAGACTATGCTCTGAATTTGCAGTTGTCCTGGAGAACTTCCCAAGCACTTACAGGTTAATTTCTACTACTGATGAACCATCTTGACCTACATCAATTAGATGTCACTTCTAGGAAGCAAATACATTAGGCCAAGTACCTAAGGAGACCGCTAAATTGTAGCTGAATGTTAGAAGATACAGTGCTCTTCTGTCAGAGCAACAGATGTAGGAGAGAACAAAGACTCTCAAAACCTATGGAAGGAAGATAGAGGAAGAGGGATGGCAGGGAGGAAGAGGAAGCGGGGAGCTAACACACTTGGATAGCAGCCATATACCAGGCCCTTTGATTTACATTATTTCATTTAGGTCCAACTATCCCTATTTTACAATCGAACAAATTGAGACTTAGAAAGGTTAAATAACCTGTTTAAGTTTACCCAGCTGGAAAATAACAAAGCGAGGGTTTGAATCCACTAGAATGTAAGTTCTGTAAATGTAGAGACTAGCCTTTGTGTTCCCCACTGTATCACCAGAACCTGGAATGGTACCTGGCATTTCAATAAATGACTTACAAAAGAATTAATGAATGAACTCAGGTCTAAATGATACAAAAGCCCATGCCTCCCCGCCGACAATAAGCTCCAAAACCGGGTACTTAAAACTTTGTACAGCTAAGCTCTAACCTAACTTTCCAGGATTTTCTCTCTGTCTTGCCACATGAACTCATTACTCATGTCAAACTGGCATCTACACTGTCCCTTGACAGCATATCCCCTGCTGCCTCATATGCCTTCCCCCACTTCTCAGCCTTTCCCAGCCATACTCACTTTTCCCCTCTTGCTGCAAATCCTCCAGGATCCTGCCAGCCCCAAATGATCTCCAAATCCTCAGACCTCCAACAGCACTCACCACCTGGGAGTCATTCAGGCACACCATTAATGCTCATTATCTTTACACATATATCTGTATTTCCTCCCCAGCTAGACTCTGCTGGTAGTTACCTTATCAGAAAAACAACAGTAGGACCCCAAACTATTAGTGCAGAACAAAAGGACAAAAATCCATGCAGTAAAAGAGGCAACTGAGGCCATGAAAAGCTGAAGTGAGGATTAAAGATGGAGCTTAACACAGGAGGAACTCAAATATTCTCTCCCATTTATTCAGATTCATGAAGCATAAGAACAAAGAGGGAATGGGCAGGAAGAAAGGGCAAAGTTCTATCTAGGTCTCAGGTGGTAGCAAGTGGGCCCAGTGTAAATCAGATCACCCATTCCTCCAGAATACCTCCTCCTTCCACCGAGGGAAAGGACTCGGAAAATGATGACTAGTGAGAAAAAAAAGACTCCAAAACCCTGAACAAGCCCAGCAGAAAGCTAGGCAAGTCCTAGAAAGGATGGGTCCCAGAGGACTCCATTAGAGGAGCCTCATTGTGAAATGCTTCTCTAGAAAAGTTGGTTTAGAGAGCACACCAGTGATTTTGCATGAAGGGAAGTCTTTTACTCAGAGAGTCTTCTAAGACAGCTGAGGACAAAGCCAACGTGTTTACCCACACATATGCACATCCTTACCACATGTATCTGCGCACACCTGCTCCCACTACAAATGGCAACAGCTGCCATTTACTCAATACTTGCTAATCCCGGACATATGCTTAGCATTTTTTATACATGGTTTTTATTTTCATCCTTATAGTAACCCTGTGAGGTGGTTATTATTATTCTGACTTGACAGATAAGAAAACTGATGTGCAGAGAGGTAAGTTACCTAACCTACCCGGCTTGTGAATTGTAAGTCTGGAATTCAAACCCACGTCTTAATTACTATGCACACATAATCCCAACAGCCTCATACTCAGGCACATCCCCACACTCATGCCCATGCAGACACATGGGTATTGAGCATCTGCACATTTACACTTACAGAGCCATAGGCATGCACTCACACACACAATTCCACCTTTAATGCACACACTCACAGTGACGCCCCCTCTAACCTAAGCTACCTAACCTAGCTCCAGTTCTTTATTGCTAGAAGCAAAGGTTCCTACTCTCTCCCCTTCTTTCATTCAGCCACAGGCATCAGCCAAGTAAACCCAACATAATAATTTCCTATGTGGTCTTAATTTGTGCAACAGAACCTCAGCAGGTAATTTCCAAAGTGCTTTAAGCCCACTAAAGCCTTGCAGCTTGTCAAGGTGTCAAGACATTCACAGAGTATCTGAAGCCCTGGGTGCCCCATATAAGTGCAGACCTCCTCAGGTGTCTGCAGAACTGTGTTTCTCAAGGTGAACAGCAATGTTAAGTAGTGTAGGTGTCAAATGCCCCTTTTGGAGCTGCAGCTGAAATTATCATAGAATCCTGACTCATACATACCGATTAACTCTCCACTGGCTTCTGGACACCAGGAAAATAAAGTGCATTTAGAATCACAGAAAAGAACAATGACCAAAGAAAATCTTCAGAGATCTATGTATCCTTCCCCTAATCTCAGTCAAAATTATTCAAGACATATCCAGATCTGGCTGCTTTGAAAATGTAATCCCTCCCTCAGTAGCCACTTTGAAGTTAGGAAGTTCTTCCTTGGGTATAAACTATACTCCTCATCCAGCCTCTGTGAAGTCAGGGAAAACTGCCTGCCATCATCTTTGTCTTACACATTCAGGTATCCACTAGGAAGCATGCCATCCTCAGTCTGCTGCTCTCAAGGTTAAATGATCCCAAACCTTGCTGGCTTTCACCCTGAAGCACAGACTTCTGTTCAAAGCAGCGGTCACAGTCACACACCATTCGTGGGTACAAATCAAAGCTGGGGGAATGGACCAACCACTGCTTGCCTCTGTTTCCTCTACTATGGTAGGAGTGCACCATAGCAAGATGAGCCAAGCCCAAGGTGTGGTATCAAAGAGGTCTAGGTTCAAGTACCGATTCTGCCATTTAACCTCTCTGGGTATTGGCTTTCTCATGTGAAAAAGAAGACTGCTATGAGAATGAAATACAATGGACTTAAATTTGTGACAGACTGCACACATCTTTGGGAATATGATGCAAAAATAGACCCTTTCCCCAGTAAAATGCATACACACACAAAATTTACATGCAATTTCAGGCAGTTTACAGGCTCACTGATGCTTCTCCATGGACTGTTAAGATCTCTAAGATACAACAGGTGTCTCTTAGACAAGCACAATACTGTTAGCTGCTAATTTAACAGTATAATATTAATAATCTTTTACATATTTGCTTATTTTCCAACTATACTTTCATATCTTAAAGGACAGGAATCAAACTTGGATCTGCCTGTAATTCACAGTTCCTACATGGTACCTTGCAGTTAGTGAGCCATTAGTCCTCTTTGATTATTTGTTTCAACGGGGAAGCTGTGTCTAAGGTCCTATATGATTAAGCGAAGCCAAGTGTCCTCCTTGGAAATTCATCTTCTCTCTACATTTCGAAGCTACAGCCAATCCACTGGAGCTCAAGCCAGAGATGGAACAGCTGCTTTCCCTTTCCCTTGGCCCAGACTAACACAGTCATTCCATCTATCAGACATCCTGAGTGCATCCAATTTCCTCCCCATTGGCTCAGCTCCACAGACAGCTTGCCTTCCCAACCGCCACAGCAGAAGAGAGCATAAAGTCAGGCAAAAGAAGTGACTCACAGTTATTCTCTCCTAGTACTCCATTACTGTGTGGAAATACCTGCCCAGCACTAGATATAAGGGAGGTCTTTAACCATGGAGATAGGTGAGTGGATGAATGGATGGATAGATGAAAGGATGGATGGATGAAGATGAGATAGAATTAAACTAGCAATCTATCAACATATTCAAATTAATAAATGTAATTCACCACACAAACAGAATTTTTAAAATCATATGATCTCAATATATACAGAAAAAGCTTTCCATAAAATCCAACATCCCTTTATGATAAAAACCCTCAAGAAACTAGGTATCAAAGGGACATAACTCAAAATAATAAAAGCCATCTATGACAAATCCATAACCAACATCATACTGAATGGGCAAAAACTAGAAGCATTCCCCTTGAGAACTGTCACAAGATAATAAAGCTCACTCTCACCACTCCTGTTCAACATAGTATTGGAAGTGCTAGCTAGAGCAATCAGACAAGAGAAAAAAATAAGAGGCATCTAAATAGGTCAAAAAAGAAGTTAAACTATCTCTTCACTGACAATACAATTCTATATCTAGGAAACCCTAAAAACACTGCCAAAAGGATATAAGAGCTAATAAACTGTTTCAGCAAGCTTTCATGACACAAAATCAATGTTAAAAAAAAATCAGTAGCATTTTTATATACCAATAATGTTCAAGCTGAGAGCCAATTCAAGAATGTAATCCCACTTATAATAGCCATAAAAAAAATAAAATACCTAGCAATACAGCTAGCCAAGGAGGTGAAAGATTTCTACAAGGAGGACTGCAAAACAGTTAAAGGAAATCATAGATGACACAAAGATTTGAAAAAGTATTCCATTCTTTTGGATTGCAAGAATCAACATCATTAACATGGCCATACTGCCCAGAGCAATCTACAGATTCAACACTATTCATATCAAATAACCAATGTCATTTTTCACAGAATTAGGAAAAACTATGATGAAATTCACATGGAACCAAAAATAGAGCCCCATAGTCAAAGCAATCCTAAGCAAAAAGAACAAAGCCAGAAACATCACATTACCTCACTTCAAACTATGAGACTACAGTAACCAAAACAGCATGATACTGGTACAAAAACAGACACATAGACCAAGAGAACAGAATAGAGAACCCAGAAATAAAGCCACAAATCTACAGCCATCTAATTATTAACAAAGTTGAAAAAAAAAAATAAGCAATGAAGAAAGGATTTCCTATTCAATAAATGATGATGAGATAGCTGACTAGCCACATGCAGAATGAAATCAGACACCTACCTTTCACTATTTACAAAAATTAACTCAATATTGATTAAAGATTTAAATGTAAGACATCAAACTATATGAATCATGGAAGAAAGCCTAGGAAACACCATTCTCGACATTGACCTTGAAAAGTAAGAATTTATGACTAAGTCCTAAAATGCAATTACAACAAAAACAAAAATTGACAAGTAGAAGCTAATTAAACTAAAGAGCTTCTGCACAGCAAAAGAAACTATCAACAGAGTAAACAGACAATTTACAGAACAGGAGACAATATTCACAACCTATGCATCCAACAAAGGTCTAAGATCCAGAATCTATTAGGAACTTAAACAACTGAACAGGCAAAAAACAAATAACCCCATTAAAAAACACATAAAAGACGTGAACAAACACTCCTCGAAAAGATACATAGAAACGGCCAACAAACATATGAAAAAATGCTCAGCATGACTAATCATTAAAGAAATGCAAATCAAAACCACAATAAAATAGCATCTCATACCAGTTAGAATAACTATTATTAAACAGCCAAAAAACAACAAATGCTAGTTAGGCTGTGGAGAAAAATGGAACACTTATACACTGTTGGTGGGAATGTAAATTAGTGCAATCACTGTGGAAAGCAGTTAGGAGATTTCTCAAAGAATTTAAAACAAAACTACCATTTGAGGTTCCGGGAAAACTGGCTAGCCATATGTAGAAAGCTGAAACTGGATCCCTTCCTTACACCTTATACAAAAATTAATTCAAGATGGATTAAAGACTTAAATGTTAGACCTAAAACCATAAAAACCCTAGAAGAAAACCTAGGCAATACCATTCAGGACATAGGCATGGGCAAGGGCTTCATGACTAAAATACCAAAAGCAATGGCAACAAAAGCCAAAATTGACAAATGGGATCTAATTAAACTACAGAGTTTCTGCACAGCAAAAGAAACTACCATCAGAGTGAACAGGCAACCTACAGAATGGGAGAAAATTTTACAATCTACCCATCTGACAAAGGGCTAATATCCAGAATCTACAATGAACGCCAACAAATTTACAAGAAAAAATCAAACAACCCCATCAAAAAGTGGGCAAAGTATATGAACAGACACTTCTCAAAAGAAGACATTTATGCAGCCAACAGATAAATGAAAAAATGCTCATCATCACTGGCAATCACAGAAATGCAAATCAAAACCACAATGAGATACCATCTCACACCAGTTAAAATGGCGATCATTAAAAAGTTAGGAAACAACAGGTGCTGGAGAGGATGTGGAGAAATAGGAACACTTTTACACTGTTGGTGAGACTGTAAACTAGTTCAACCATTGTGGAAGACAGTGTGGAGATTCCTCTAGGATCTAGAACTAGAAGTACCATTTGACCCAGCCATCCCATTACTGGGTATATACCCAAAGGATTATAAATCATGCTACTATAAAGACACATGCACACAGAGGTTTATTGCGGCACTATTCACAATAGCAAAAACTTGGAACCAACCCAAATGTCCATCAATGATAGACTGGATTAAGCAAATGTGGCACATATACACCATGGAATACTATGCAGCCATAAAAAAAGATGAGTTCATGTCCTTTGCAGGGACATGGATGAAGCTGGAAACCATCATTCTAAGCAAACTATCACAAGGACAGAAAACCAAACACTGCATGTTCTCACTCATAGGTGGGAACTGAACAATGAGAACACTTGGACACAGGGCAGGGAACATCACACATGGAGGCCTGTCATGGGGTGGGGGGATGGGGGAGGGACAGCATTAGGAGAAATACCTAATGTAAATGATGAGTTGATGGGTGCAGCAAACCAACATGGCACATGTATACCTATGTAACAAACCTGCACATTGTGCACATGTACCCTAGAACTTAAAGTATAATTTAAAAAATAAAAGAAAAAAATATTGGTGATTGTATTAACATAATATTGAGTGTTTTTTTTTTAAAGCAGGAACAAAGATTTTTCTACTGTGGGGTTCAACTTGTGTAAAGTTCAATACTATGCAAAACTAATCGATGATAGAAGTCAGATTATGGTTATCTTTTCCGGTGCTAGTGACTAGGGTGCTGGTATATTGTATTTCTTAGTCCAGAGACTGACTATACAGTTGTATTCACTTTGCATAAACCCAGCAAGTTGTAAACTTATAATTTGTACACATTTCTTTATGATTATGTCTCAATAAAATATTTTTAATAAAAAAACTACCATTTGATGCAACAATCCCATTGCTGGGTATATATCCCAAAAAAAATCATTCTACCAAAAGACATATGTGCTTGCATGTTCATCACAGTGCTATTCCCAATGGCAAAGACATGGACTAAACCTAGGTGCCCATCAGTGGTAAATTAGATAAGGAAAGTGTGGTATATATGTGCCATGGAATATTATGCAGTCATAAAAAAGACCGAAATCATGTCCTTTGCAGCAACATGGATGCAGCTGGAGGCCACTATCCTACATGTATTAACAAAGGAACAGAAAACAAAATACTCCATGTTCTCACAACTGGGAGCTAAACATTGGGAAACATGGACATAAAGATGGCAACAATAGACACTGAGGACTACTAGAGTGGGGAAGGAGGAAGAAAGAGTTGAAAAACTAACTTTTGGGTACTATGCTCACTACTTGGATGATGGGATCATTCATACTTCAAACCTCAGCATCACACAATATACCTAGGTAACAAACCTGCACATGGACCCCCTGAATCTAAAATAAATGTTGGAAAAATAAACAAAAACTAGCAACCTAGAGATCAGAAAACATCAAAACTAATTCCTAGTACGACCTGGATTCTAATTTTTATTCTGCAATTAACAAGCTGTATAACTCTAAATAAAACTTTTTCCAAATTAGCACCTATTTCCTCACATATAAAGTGAGAAAATGGGGCTTAAAAGGTAAGTATGTTTATATAAAACCCCAGATTCATGCATTTTCTTTGCTTTCAAGCCAGAGAGCACCCTCTCATTAGCTTACACAATTCCCACGGTGATCCAGCAGATTGCTGCCGCCACATCACCACAGACTTACAGCCTGCCTTGGAGACTGTACTCAGATACTCCTGTTGCTCACATGCCTGCTCTGATGGTTCCTCACCTACTTTCATGCCATCTCTGGGGCTTCCCTGATGCCACTGACACAGGAAATATCTCAGAACTCATATGGCATCCAGGCACATGCAACCTGGAAGTCTGGGGAAGTGGATGTTTCATGTAGGAAATTTGGAACAATAGTAGTTGGGAGTCAACAGATGAATTTTTCTCCCTTCCTCCCTTACTGCATGAACTGTTTGGAGATGCTGTGACTACATATGGTGTCTTTAAAAACATCCTGGAGACAGATATAATTTGGCTCTGTGTCCCCACCCAAATCTCATCTCAAATTATAATCCCCACATGTTGAGGGAGGTGATTGGATTATGTGGGCAGTTTAGTGAGTTCTTATGAGAGCTGATGGTTTTAAAGTGTGGCACTTCCTCATTCTCTTTCTCTCCTGCCAACATGTAAGACGTGCCTTGCTTCCCCTTTGCCTTCTACCATGATTGTAAGTTTCCTGAAACTTCCCCAGTCATTCAGAACTGTGAGTCAATTAAACCTTTCTTTATAAATTACCCAGTGTCAGGTAGTATCTTTGTAACAGTGTAAGAATGGACTAATACATATAATTGGTACCGGCAGAGTGGGGTACTGCTATAAAGATAAACTGAAAATGTGGAAGGGACTTTGGAACTGGGTAATGGGAAGATGTTAGAACAGTTTAGAGGGCTCAGAAGAAAAAAAGAAGATGTGGGAAAGTTTGGAATGTCCTAGAGACTCGTTGAATGGTTTTGACCAAATGCTGATAATGATATGGACAATGAAGTCCAGGCCGAGGTGGTCTCGGATGGAGATGAAGAACTTGCTGTGAACTGGAATAAAGGTCACTCATGCTATGCTTTAGCAAAGAGACTGGTGGCATTTTCCCCTGCCCTAGGAATCTATGGGACTTTCAGCTTGAGTGAGATGATTTAGGGTACCTGGTGGAAGAAATTTCTAACCAGCGAAGCATTTAAGAGGTGACCTGTCTTATTCTGAAAGCATTCAGTTATATATGCTCACGAAGAGATGGTCTGAAATTGGAACTTAGGCTTAAAAGGGAAGCAGACTATATAAGTTTGGAAAATTTGCAGCCTGACCATGTGGTAGAAAAGAAAAACCCATTTTCTGGGGAGAAGTTCAAGCTGGCTGCAGAAATTTGCATAAGTAACAAGGAGCTGAATGTTAACTGCCAAGATAATGGGAAACATGTCTCCACAGCATTGCAGAGATCTTCAAGGCAACCCCTTCCATCACAGGCCCAAGGCCTAGGAGGGAAAAATGGCTTCATAGGCCAGGCCCAGGGCCCAGCTGCTCTGTGCAGCCTCAGGACATGGCACACTGCCTTCCAGCTTCTCGGTGCAGCCTCAGGACATGGCACCCTGCCTTCCAGCTGCTCCAGCTCCAGCAGTGGCTAAAAGGGACCAAGGTACAGCTTGAGCTGTGGCCTCAGAGGGTGCAAGCCCCAAGCCCTGGCAGTTTCCATGTGGTGTTGGGCATGTGGGTGTGCAGAAGTCAAGAGCTGAGGTTTGGGAACCTCCACCTAGATTTCAGAGGATATATGGAAACACCTGGATGTACAGGTAGAATTCTACTGCAGGGGCAGAGCCCTCACGGAAAACCTCTGCTAGGCCAGTGTGGAAGGAAAATGTGGGGTTGGAGCCCCCCCCCACAGAGTCCCCACTGGGGCACTGCCTAATGGAGCTATGGAAGAGGGCCACCATTCTCTAGATGCCAGAATGATAGATCCAGCAACAGGTTACCACTGTGTGCTTGGAAAAGCCACAGGCACTCAACACCAACCTATGAAAGCAGCTCTGGGGGCTGTACCCTCCAGAGCTTCACGGGTGCAGCTGCCCAAGGCCCTGGGAACCCACCTGTTGTATCAGCATGCCCTGAATGTGAGTCATGAAGTCAAAGGAGATTACTCTGGAGCTTTAAGATTTACTGAGGGCCCTTTAGGATTCTGGACTTGGAGGAGGCCTGTGGCCCCTGTGTTTTGGCCAATGTCTCCCATTTGGAATGGGAACATTTACCCAATGCCTGCACCCCTACTGTATGTTGGGAGTAACTAATTTGTTTTTTATTTTACAGGCTCATAGGGAGAAGGGACTTGCCTTATCTCAGATGATACTTTGGACTTAGATTTTTGAGTTAATGCTGGACTGAGTTAAGACTTTACAGAACAGTTAGGAAGGCATGATTGATTTTGAAATGTGAAAAGGACATGAGATTTGGGAGGGGCCAGGGGCAGAATGATATGGTTTGGTTCTGTATTCCCACCCAAATCTCATCTTGAATGGTAATCCCCACATGTCAGGGGAGGCGACTGGATCATGGGGGCAGTTTCTCTCATGCTGTTCTCATGATAATGAGTGAGTTCTTATGAGAGCTGATAGTTTTAAAGTGTGGCGTTTCCTCATTCTCTCTCTCTCCTGCTGTTATGTAAGATGTGCCTTGCTTCCCCTTCACCTTCCACCATAATTGTAACTTTCCTGAGGCCACCCCAGCCAAGCAAAACTGTGAGTCAAATAAACCTCCTTTCTTTATAAATTACCCAGTCTCAGGTAGTATCTTTATAGCAGTGTGAGAATAGACTGATACAGAGACTGAGTAATCAACTTGCCAGGCAACTATGGCTTGCTTGGTAATGAACTCTCTTGTATTTGTTCTCCCTCCTTCTCTGCTTTATTTCTCTGACTCTGGCTTCTTCGGCTTGCACTTCTTAATAAGGGTTAGTGTAGAAAATGATTGTCTCATATTTATTGTGTTCTCACTGTGAGCCTGCCACTGTGCTAAAAGCTTTACATGTATCACCTCAGCTAACTACAATGAGAATAATTACCATTTATTGAGGATTTATCACAAGCATTGGCGTAAATGTTTTAAATCACTAAATCCTGTAATAACCCTACAAAATGTGTACTAGTATTATCTCAATGTGACAGATGAGGAAACTGAAGTATACATAACCAAGTTGCCCAATTCCATACAACTACTGTGTAAAGAGATATTACTCAAAATATTACTGTGAGGTGGATGACACTGCTGTTCCCTTTGAGAGGTGAGGAATGGAGACTCAGGGCCGGGCATGGTGGCTCATGCCTGTAATCCCAGCACTTTGGAAGGCTGAGGCAAGTAGATCACTTGAGGTCAGGAGTTCAAGACCAGCCTGGCCAACACAGCAAAATCACGTCTCTACTAAAAATACAAAAATTAGCTGGGTGTTGTGGCACACACCTGTAATCCCAGCTACTTGGGAGGCTGAGGCGGGAGGATCACTTGAACCTGGGAGATGCAGGTGCAGTGAGTTGAGATCCACACCACTGCATTCCAGCCTGGGTGATGGAGCAAGACTTTGTCTCAAAAAAAAAAAAAAAAAAAGAGAGACTCAGAAAGGTCAAGTAACATGACAAAATTTACACAGCTACTAAGTGGCAGAGCTGCAACTTGAAGTCCTGGAATACAAAGCCTGCACCAACTATCCGCCCTCCCCCTCTGCCAAGAACTCTTCAAACCCTCACATGTTAACCTGTTAAGCATCTGATAAAGGATAGATTCTTCTGGTGTTAACTACAGTTAGATCTCTGTGCCAAAGCCAAAGTCCTTCTCTTTACCCTTTGCCCTAGTCTTCCCACTCACCTAGTGTCAAGTCATTAAACTCTGTCTACTATCTCCCCGAACTTTTCTAAAAACATTAAAATATTATATTATGCTAGACTGTGACCAACAGTGCTCACAAATATTTGCTGCCCCTCCCTAGAGGAGAATTGTACTTTCCATCTCCTTTAACTTAAGGCTTGGCGATAAGACTTACTTTGGCCAATGAAATTTGAGCAGAATTGACACATATCATTTCTGAGCAGTAGCTTTAAATGCCAGTAGATGCTTCACCTTTCTTATTTTCCCACAATTTGCCACAGCAACAGCAAGCCTCCTTATAGCAGTTGCATGAATCCCAGGGGGTGAAAAATGTGAAGGAGAAAGGTAGGCAATTCATGATGAACATGTATTACAAGCAAGAAATAAACTCTTGATATTGTATGTCACTGAGATTTGAGGGTTGTTGCAACAACATCCAGTCTTCCTGTTGATACAAAATTCGTACAGGAAGTGTGAGGTACTACCATAACAACACAACAACAAACAAATAAATATATATATATATAAACAAAATATATATATAAACAAAATATATATATACACTATATATATATATATACACAAAATATATATCTATATCTCATTGGTTTCTGGAGCCATGCAGTGGGCAGAAAGGAGACTGTATTGTTGGAAGCTAGACTGATTTTGATTCATACTTCACAAGGATGAAACATTTGCTAAAGCTGTCATCCTAAATAAATTGGAAGAGGAAAATGTACCTGATGAGCTTGGAAAACAGAAAGTAGTGTGTCTTGGTTACTATTGGCTGCATCAGACAAAGACCAGGAGAAAAAGATGTGTTATGCACTGAACTGTGTCCCCCCAAAAATTCATATGTTGAAGTCCTAATCTCCAATTCCTCAGAATGTTACTTTGTTTAGAGATAGGGCCTTACAGAGGTAATGAAGCTAAAATGAGGTTGGTAGGGTGAGCTCTAACCCAGTATGACTGGTATCCTTATAAAAAGAAGAAATTTGAACATAGAGATCCACTTAGAGGGAAAATGATTTGAAGAGACATAGAGAGAAGACAGCCATCTACAAGCCAGGGAGAGAGCCCCATAACAGACCCTTCCCTCACAGCCCTCAGAAGGAACCAACTCCACCAATACCTTGATTTTGGACTCCTAGCATCCAAAAATGGAAAGAAAAAATTCTGTTTTCTAAGCCACCTAGTCAACAGTACTTTGCTAGAGCAGCCCTTGCAAACTAATACAAGATAAGAACAGAAAAGAGGCTGGGCACAGTGGCTCATGTCTGTAATCCCAGCACTTTGGGAGGCTGAGGCAGGCAGATCACAAGGTCAGGAGTTCAAGACCAGCCTGGCCAGCATGGTGAAACCCTGTCTCTACTAAAAATACAAAAAATTAAACGTGTATGGTGGCGCACGCCTGTAGTCCCAGCTACTCGGGAGGCTGAGGCAGGAGAATCGCTTGAACCCTGCAGGCAGAGGTTGCAGTGAGCTGAGATCGCACCACTGCACTCACTCCAGCCTGGGTGACAGAGCAAGACTCCATCTCAAAAGAAAAAAAAAAAAAACAGGAATGAACTGGCCACCTTATAAATGAAAATGAAAGGAAATAGAGTCCAGAAATTCCAGAGCTTGTAGTATCAAAAGCAACAACGTTTTCTCATCTCCAGCAATAAAAGATAAACCTGAAAAAGGCTTTGGGCAGGCCAATTAAATCTCAGCCTTGAAAACAAAACAAAAAAACTCAGCCTTGAGGCAAGGATTAAGTCAAGGAAATAGATGTCCCACCCATTGTTAAAGCATCTGAACAAATTAAGGTAGTACCAGTGAATCTTTTCAGTTGGACGAGATAAAGAAAAGTGACTAACAGTCTGGTTTTTCCATTAAATCCTGATAGGTTTGTGGTACTCAAAATTAATTGTGAGTATGGTTCCTGGTACATACCATGGCTGATTGGAATTAAATAGATGATAAAAATCACCAAGTTTCACTCTTATTTCATAGCCAAACAGTCACACTATCTTAGACTAAAAGAGTCAATGATTGTTTAGGAAATAAAATAATCCTCATGCTTCCAACCTCTATGGGTAAAGAGTGGACTGACAGAGTTTTTCAAGACTATAATGGAAAAAGAAGGACCCCAAGAAAGTGAAACCATAAGCCATGGAAAACAATGAACTAGAGATCTGTTTCCAGGGAGCTAAAGAACATGCTCAACTTTTAAGGTAAGGATCCTTGTAATGTCTGTTCCATTAAATCACAAATTTTTTCTAGAAGTAACTATTGTGTATCCTCCATTCTTCCTTTTTCCAAAACTATGTGTGTGTGTGTGTGTGTGTGTGTGTGTGTGTTTTTAATAGTATATTTAAATATTCTGGCCTTGTTCTGACAATGAATATTTAATATGAGAAGCAGATAATTTGCTTTTTTCCTTCATGAATACCTGAAGCAAGAGAATCAAATAAATACCTAGAGAAAGACACATCACAGGATCCTGGGCTATGATCCTATTGCCATGATTAGATGGGACATTTGTTTGTCCTCCCTAGAGAAAGGCCAGAAGAGAGTGTATTTTCTCAATCAAAAAGAGATTGAACCAAATATTTGTGATGAGAAGAAAAGACTACAATAAACTTTATTATCATTCACAAATGTTTGTTGTCTTTTCCTAGGGGAGGCCACTTCCTTGCTTAGCCATGGAACTTGCTTTAAGCAAAAGGGATACACTTCTAGAAGATGCTTTCGAGGCCAGCTCCTGCTTCATCATGCTCTCTTTTCCTTCTGTCAGAACACCAGCAAAGTTCTACATAAAGGCTGCCCTGTCAGCTTGCTCCAGGAGTCCCAGATGTCCCATAATGAACACGTAAAGAAATCAGCCCTTGGTACTAGCTACAGTGCAATCCAGCCTATATGGAATGATACAACCATAAATTCCCTCCTCTTTGAAAGATCCAAGCCGATATTCCTTCTGCCTCATCAACATTTGGCCCCTCGTTCTCCTCATCGTACTGGGGCTGAGTTCTAGAGCCTTAAGTTCTAGAATCCAGACTAACGAAGATTACAGATATGAAAAACACTATGCACAGAAATCCAGTCTGAAGACTAGCAATACATTTTGCCAGGAGCTCATAGCTTACCTTGAAGAAATGTTTTAGGTTTGACACCTAAAAGAGGAAGACCCTTGAGAGCAAGGGTAATGACTGCCTTCTTCAAAGCTATATCCCAGTACCCAGTACTGTGCCTAGCACATAGCTGATGCTCAGTGAAAGAAAAAATATTTTAATCTATTAAATAAAAAAAAAAAAAAATGAATAAATAAACCCTGACCCTAAACAGGCCATCCTATCTGCTTGTTGGTTTCTCCCCATATGCTATGCATGCCATTTCATCTTTTAAAATTCTGATACTGTTTTTCTAGAATGGCACTACCCAATAAAGCAGCCACTGGCCACATGTGGCTACTTAAATTTAAATTTAAAATCCAGCTTCTCAGTTGCACTAGTCACATTTTAACTACTCAATAGCCACGTGTGGCTTGTGACTATAGGATTGGGTAGTGTAGCTATAGATCTTTTCCATCATCACAGAAAGTTCTATTGGATAATGCTGCTCTGGAATAACCAATTTCATTTTTAGAAGCAGAAAGTGACCTTGGTTATTTAATTCAACCCTCTCCTTTTATAGATAGTAATGAAATTTAATGGTAATGAACATAAGGACATAAATGTGAGTCCAAAAAACTAACTGCATGAGCTCAAGAAGGGAGAAGTCAGAGATTAGCAGGAACAAGTGAAAAACAAACAAACCTCTTTGGGGTTTTGGTCCACAATAAGTTTACTACAAGTTAATATTGTGACAGGGGCTACACTAACACCAACATATGCACTTGCATTGAGTGTCACACATTGTGCTGGGTACTGATTTATGATGGAAGACAAAACAAGTAGAGTTTATGGAGTTATTTATTATTTACTGGGGGACAAAAATTAAAGGAGACCAAAAAAATATGTAATTTCAATTTATGAAAAGAACTCTGAATGACTAAACAGGAAGTAGTGATTGATAACAAAATGGGGAACCCTCAAAGGTAAGACAGTCCTTAAGAAAGTAACATTTAAGTTAAAAAGAGACGATGAGTAAGAGCCAGATACAGAAAAACAAACAAGCTGCCTAAGTTCAAACCCCAGTCAAGACTCTGACTTGCTGTTTAATCTTGGGCAAGGTGTTTAACTTCCTCACTTCATTTTTCCCATTTGTAAATAGAACCTCTATTTATAAGGAACAGAAACTTTTGTTGTAAAGTTCCTTGTGTAAAGGAACTGTGTAAAGACAAAGAGGTCTTCCAGGCAAAAGGCAAGCAGAAATGGTGGCATGAGTCAGGGAAAATCTTGGAGTATTCAGGCAACCAAAATGTGGCCAGCATGACTGAAGTGATTTAGGTGGGACAAACGTAAGACCATTGCATTAAACCAAATTTAGTCTTCCTTCAAATTACTTATAACAGAGCAGTCCAAAAATATTATTTGCTGCCTCACAATGTAGTATTATCTCCATCATTGGGATGACCAGGCATAGGATTGGACTAATGAGTTGTTGGATAATTAAGGATTTCCTAAAGAATTCTGTGGTAAGGTATGTGCCATAAGAATTTAAAAGCCATGAACAAGGAGGTATGCATGAAGATGTATATTGCAGTATTGTTTGTCAAAAATCTGAACCAAGCCAAGTTTTCATCAATAGCAAATGAATGAATACATTGTGGTATTATGCAGTAGTTCAAACTAATGAACTAGATCTAAATGTGTTCAAAAGAAAAATGGAGAGTGAAATGATAAGTTTCAGAGGAATCCATTTGTATTATGCCATTTAGATAATTTTGTAAACCGCATAAGGCAACAGTTAACACTCACTGAGTGTTTGCTACATACCCAATGCTGTTCTAATACATTATATTAACTAATTTGCTTAATCCACAGAACAATACTATGAAATAGACACTCTATTTACAAATGGTAAAAATGAAGTGAAGAAGTTAAGGAAATTGCCCAAGATTACACAGCTAGTAAGAGTCATAGCTAGGATTTGAATGTAGGCAGTCTGTCCCCAAAGGCTTCACATTTTGCCACTAGACATAAGCCCTCTCTACTATCTATCTTGTATATGGACACATACAAACGTGGTAATATGTAAGCATGCACACATACATACACACGTACATGGACATGGATCGAATGCTTTCAATCACATTAATAGTGACATCTGGCAAGGTTGATAAAGGAAAGGAACCAGGAGGGGAACTTCCATTTATTTTGCAATTATTTTTTGTTAAAGATCGAGGCAAATATGAAAAAATGTGAAGATGTGTTGATTCTGAGAGACAGCTACAGGGTTGTTGCTAATAGCATCCTTTGTGCTTGTGTGTATTTTTATTTTGTTTTGTAAAATAGTTCCTTGTCAAGCTATATAGCCATTTGACTGAGAGCTAAGGCCAGGAAAAGTTAAGTGATATACCCAGGGGTCAATAGTGAAGGCTAGAGCTTGGGTCCCCAGGCACGTGGCCCCATGCCTGCTCTGCTAGCCCATGCTGCCAGGCAGTTTCTGTGCCCGATTTTTTTAACAGACTGTAAGCATGAGACTGGAGCCAGCCTAGCTTATCACTACATGTGCTTTATTTCATACATTGGCTGCATTCACAGAAAGTTGTATTTAAGTAAAATATTTGCATATCGAATCTTTTTTTCACTTACATTTTAATTTTAGAGATGTGTTCCCACAGAAAATAATTTAGCCCCAATATGTAAAGATAAATCCTAATTAGAATCAGAACATTCATGAAAGACAGTGTAGTCAATACAGATCTAATTCTCCTACAATGCTTTCTCAAGAAAGCCCATGTCAAATATCCACAAAGGCTACATTGAAATAGCTGCCTATTAAATTGTGGCCCCATGGTTAATTCAGATGTTCTTGCAGATTCTCTTTAAGCAGACAAAAAGACTACCAGATACTCAACTCTAGGTATTCAGCAGCCTCCTCTGAGTGAAAGGATCATCAAAATTCCATTAAATGGAATTCACCAACTGACAAGACAACCATCTGTCCTGGTTAATTTAAAATACCTGTCAAAAGACACATTGGCAGATGTCCTCTGGTGTCTCTTAAGAGAAGCTGTATTTCTGTCAGGTTGCACTTATTTATTCCTTTCCACTTTCGTGAAGTAGGGGAAACATGCATAAGGTGGAGTGAGTCTAAGCCACAGGCTCCACAGGCATAGTCTCCTGAGTTCAAATCCTATGTCTGCCATAACAGCTAATGTGTGATCACAAATGAGTTACCGGAACCTCCTGGGTCTCAATTTCCTCATCTGGATAAAAAATATAAAAATAGTACCTGTATAGGAAGGCTGACAGAAGGATTAAATTATAAATTTTAGGTATTTGAAATCATTCTTTAAAAAAAAAAAAAAACAAAAACCCAGCTCAAATGGCAGTCATCCATCCTCACTAGGAATTAAGCGCAATATATAATTTTTTTTTTCTCACTCTGTCCCCAGGCTGGCATGCAATGGCGCGATGTCAACTCACTGCAAGCTCCACCTCCTGGGTTCACGCCATTCTCCTGCCTCAGGGTCCCGAGTAGCTGGGACTACAGGCGCCCGCCACCACGCCCAGCTAATTTTTTTTTTATTTTTAGTAGAGACGGGGTTTCACCATGTTAGCCAGGATGGTCTCGATCTCCTGACCTCGTGATCCGCCCGCCTTGGCCTCCCGAAGTACTGGGATTACAGGCGTGAGCCACCGCTCCCGTCCTATAATTTCAAATATATGCTTCTTGAGAGAAAACAAAGCAGAAATATTTTCCTGATTTAAATGCACGAATTTTCTTAACTTATATAAGGTGAACGTACTCTACACTTACTTATTTGCCTTTTGTCTTTGATTTCTTCACTGTTATATCCCTCATGCTTTAAAAAGTGCCTAGCACATGGTAGGAAATTGCTAGGTATTTAATTTTAAAAGTATATTTTCTAATAAATACTCTTAATAATAACATTAATTAATATTTAATTTTCTTTTTCTCATTAGCCAGGTGTGGTGGCACATGCCTGTGGGTCCTAGCCACTCAGGAGACTGAGGTGGAAGGATCACCTGAGCCTGGGAGGTCGAGGCTGCAGTGAGCTGGCAACATGCCACTGCACTGCAGCCTGGGTTAGAGAGTGAGACCCTGCCTCAAAAAAAAATTAAAAATAAAAAAACACATCAGGGCCAGGCATGATGGTTCACGCCTGTAATCCCAGCACTTAGGGAGGCTGAGGCGGGCAGGTCACCTGAGGTCAGGAGTTTGAGACCAGCCTGTCTAACATGGTGAAACTCTGTCTCTACTAAAACTACAAAAAAAAAAATGCCGGGCGTGGTGGCGTGATCCTGTAGTTCCAGCTACTCAGGAGGCTGAGGCAGGAGAACTGCTTGAGCCTGGGAGGTAGAGGTTGCAGTGAGCTGAGAAGGCACCACTGAACTCCAGCCTGGGTGACAAGAGCAAAACTCCAACTCAAAAAAAAAAAAAAAAAAAAAAAAAATCGGGGAGATAGCAGATAGGAGACAGGGGAGGTAGCTCCCACTTCGAATGACAGAACAGTGTGTGGAGACTCACACCATGAACTTTTGCTTGAAGAACCACCACAGAAACATACCAGAAAAAAACAAAAGAATGCATTGATCCTTTGAAAGAAGTGGCACACGAAGCAAACTCTGGGAGACAGACAAAAAACTGAGTTCCCGAAGGGTGAGAGGGGAAAAACCGGCCTCCAAACATACATGCAAACTGAGGAATCTGAATATCCAGATCTCAGGAGAAAGATTTAAACTTACCTAGAGCTGAAACAAATTTAGGGAGCTGCACAAAATAAAAAATAGAAGCAGCAGCAGGAAGAGCCTTCTAGGCACTCCCAATCTCCAGCTGAAATCCAGGGAAGCCATCCCTTATTATAATTATAGGCATCCTTAAAGAAGGCAATGAGTAGAACTGGGGAGGGGTCACAAGGTGAACCAAGCTTCCAAATGAAATCTGTAATAATTTCAACTGGACACAAATTTTCTTGAGTAAAATCTGGGGGGTGGCCAGGAACTGCTGCAGATATGAGCACAGGAGCTGCTGACCACAATGTGGGCAGACAGGGAGGGGGCAAGGCCTGAAAGCCATGTTTTCTTTCTCAGTGGGAACTTTATGACCTGGGCAAGATCTGAACAGGGGGCACTGCAGGAGCAAGACCAGCCTCACCAACTGCGTGGGTGTTGGGTGAGACCTTTCACTACCAGCTATCCCCCACTTCCCTGGTGAACTATATGACACAGAAGAGGCAGCCATAATCCCCTCTGAAACATAACCCCATTGGCCTGAGAACCACCGCCCCTCTACCAGCCCTCACAGTGGCTGCAGCAAGCCCCACCCAAGAAGAGTCTGAGCCCAGACCTGCCTAAATCTTCCCCCACCTGATGGTATTTCTCTACCAACCCTGGTAGCTGAACACAAAAGACAGACACTCCGGAGCTTTGTAGACCTGCCCATCAATCACCTGAGAAACCAGAATACTTACCCTGGTCAACTTAGGGCAAGCTTATATCCCCCTACTACCACAGCTGATGCTCTCTTGAAAGCGCCACCTCCTGGCTGGAGGCCAACCAACTCAGGCCATTAAAGCAACTCATGATGGAATAATCCTGCTCCCAGGAAAGAGAAAACAACAGGTAATTCCACTGCCTGCAACATCCTAGCTAACCAGAGGTCCTGTCTGTCCATGTGACAGCTTCACTGTTAACTAGCATTCGAGAAAGTAAGCACACTAAACATATTTACAACCAAGGACTCCCATAGAGTCTATTTTACTCCCCTGCCACCTCCACCAGAGCAGGTGCTGGTATCCACAGCTGGGAGACCTGAAGATGGATCATATCACAGGACTTGTTGCAAACATTCTCCAGCACCAGCCTAGAGCCTGGTAGCCCCACTGGATGGCTAAAACCCGAAGAGCAATAACAATCACTGTAGTCTAGCTCTCAGTAAGCCCCATCCGTAGTGAAAGTGGGAGAGCACCACATCAAGGGATCACCCCATGGGACAAGAGAATCTGAACAGCAGGCCTTTAGTTGCAGACCTCTCTACTGGATTACTCTACCCAAAAGAGAAGGAACCAAAAAAGTAATTCTGATAACATGACAAAACAGGTTCTATAACACCCCCAAAAGATCACACTAGCTCCCCAGCAATGGATCCAAACCAAGAAGAAATCTGAATTGTCAGATAAATTCAGAAGGTTGATTATTAAGCTACTCAAAGTTCAGAAGGTTGATTATTAAGCTACTCAAGGAGATGCCAGAGAAAGGTGAAAACCAAGTTAAAGAAATTTTAAAAAACAATGCAGGCTATGGATGAAAAATTATCCAGAGAAATAGATACCATAAAAAAAATTATAATTTCTGGAAATGAAAGACACACTTAAAGAAATACAAAACACAAGGGAAAGTTTCAACAATAGACTAGAACAAGTAGAAGAAAGATCTTCAGAGCTCAAAGACAAGGCTTTTGAATTAACCCAATCAGATAAAAACAAAGAAAAAATAATTTTTAAAAAATTAACAAAGCCTCCAAAATATATGGGAATATGTTATATGACCAAATCTAAGAATAATTGGTGCTCCTGAGGAGAAAGAAAAATCTAAAAGTTTGGAACACATATTTGAGGGAATAATTGAGGAAAACCTCACTGGCCTTACTAAAGATCTAGACAGCTAGACAAGAAGCTCAAAGAACTAAAGATCTAGACATCTAGATCTAGGCATCTTACTAAAGATCTAGAAATTTAGACAAGAAGCTCAAAGAACACTTGGGAAATTCATTGCAAAATGATCTTCACCTACGCACACAGTCATCAGGTTATCTAAAGTCAAGATGAAGTAAAGAATTTTAAGAGCTGTGAGACAAAAGCATCAAGTAACCTATAAAGGAAAACCTATCAGATTAACAGCTGATTTCTTAGCAGAAACTTTTCAAGCCAAAAGGGGTTGGGGTCCTATCTTTAGTCTCCTGAAAAAAAATAATTATCAGCCAAGAATTTTCCAGCAAAACTAAGCTTCATAAATGAAGAAGAGATAAAGTCTTTTTCAGACAAAAAAAAAATTGCTTAGAGAATTTGCCAGTACCAAGCCAGCACTACAAGAAATGCTAAAAGGAGTTCTAAATCTTGAAATAAAACCTCAAAATACACCAAAATAGAACCTCCGTGAAACATAAATCTCACAGGACCTATAAAACAATAACACAATGAGAAAAAAATACAAGGTACTTAGGCAACAACATGATGAATAGAACAGTACCTCACATCTCAAAACTAACATTGAATTGAATGGCCTAAATGCTTGACTTAAAAAATACAGAATGACAGAATGAATAAAAATCTACCAACCAAGTATCCACTGTTTGAGAGACTCATCTAACACCTAAGGACTCACACTAACTAAAGGTAAAGGGGTGGAAAAAGCTCATAATAGGGACACAACTTTTCAAAACCTCTGGGATACAGCAAAAGTGGTTCTAGGAGGAAAGTTCATAGCATTAAATGCCTACATCAAAAAGTCTGCAGGAGCACAAATAGAATATCTAAGGTCACACCCCAGGGAACTAGAGAAACAAGAACAAACCAAACCTAAACTCAGAAAAAGAAAATAAATAACAAAGATCAGAGTAGAACTAAAACAAATTGAAACAAAAAAATACAAAAAAAATAAATAAAACAAAAAGCTGATTCTTTGAAAAGATAAACACAATAAAGAAACCATTAGTAAGGTTAACCAAGAAAAGAAGAGAGAAGATCCAAATAAGCTCAATTAGAAATGAAACAGGAGATATTACAACTGACACCATAGAAATTCAAAAGATCATTCAAGGCTACTGTGAACACCTTTGCTCACACAAACTAGAAAATCTAGAGGAGATGGATAAAATCCAACCCTCCTAGATTAAATCAGGAAGAAATAGAAACTGAAGAGACCAATAACAAGTAGCAAGATTGAAACAGTAATTAAAAAAAAACTGCCAACAAAAAACACTCCAGGACCAGACGCATTCACAGCTAAACTCTATCAAACATTCAAAGAAGAATTAATATTAATCTTACTAAAACTATTCCAAAGGATGGCATTCTCCCTAAATCATTCTGTGAAACCAGTGTCACCCTAATACCAAAACCAGGAAAGGACATAACAAAAAAGAAAACTACAGACCAATATCCCTGATGAACACAGATGCAAAAATCCTCAACAAAATACTAGCTAACTGAATCCAACAGCATATCAAAAAGATATCACACCATGTTCTAGTGGGTTTCATACCAGGGATGGAGGGATGGTTTAACATACGCAAGTCAACAAATGTGCTACATCACACAGACAATTAGAAACAAATATATGATCATCTGAATACATGCAGAAAAAGCATTTGACAAAATCTAGCATCACTTTATGATTAAAAACCTCAGCGAAACTGGCATAGAAGGGACATACCTCAAGGTAATAAAAGCCTTCTATGACAAACCCACCACCTACATTATACTGAATGGGAGAAAAGTTGAAAGCATTTCCCCTGAGATCTGGAACAAGACAAGGATATTCACTTTCACCACTTCTATGCAACATAGTACTGGAAGTCCTAGCCAGAGCAATCAGACAAGAGAAAGAAATAAACGGCATCCAAATCTGTAAAGTGGAAGACAAACTGTTGCTGTTCACTGAAGATATGATCGTATATCTAGGGAACCCTAAATACTCATCCAAAAAGCTCCTAAATCTGACAAATGAATTCAGTAAAGATTCAGGATACAAAATCAATGTACACAAATCAGTAGCACTGACATACACCAACAATGACAAAGCTGAGAATCAAATCAAGAACTCAATCCCTTTTACATCAGCTGCAAAAAATAAGAATAATAATAAAATATTAATAATATACCTAACCAAGGACGTGAAAAATCTATATGAGGAAAACTACAAAACACTATTGAAAGAAATTATTGATGACACAAACAAGTGGAAATACATCCCACACTTACGGATGGGTAGAATCAATATTGTGAAAATGACCTTAGTGCCAAAAGCAATCTACAGATGCAATGCAATTCCCATCAAAATACCATCAAAATTCTTCACAGAACTAGAAAAAAGAATCCTAAAATTCCTATGGAACCAAGAAATACTCCATGCAGCCAAAGCAAGACTAAACAAAAAGAACAAATTTGAAGGCATCACATTACTCAACTTCAAATTGTACTACAAGGCTATAGTTAACAAAACAGCATGGTACTGGTATAAAAATAGTCACATAGACCAATGGAACAGAATAGAGAACCCAGAAATTAAAGCCAAATACTTACAGCCAACTAATCTTCAACAAAGCAAACAAAAATACAAAGTAGGGAAAGAATACCCTATTAAACAAATGGTGCTGGGATAATTGGCAAGCCCCAGGTCGAATAATGAAACTGGATCCTCGTCTCTCTCCTTAGACAAAAATCAACTCAAGATGGGTCAGACTTAAATCTAAGACCGGAAACCATAAAAATTCTAGAAGATAACATCAGAAAAACTCTTCGAGACAAGGGGTCCCCAACCCCTTGTCAGGAACCGGGCCACACAGCAGCAGGTGAGCAGTAAAGAAGCAAGCATTACCACCTGAGTTCTGCCACCTATCAGATCAGCAGCAGCATTAGATTCTCATAGGAGCATGACCCCTATTGTGAACTGTGCATGCAAGGAATCTAGGTTGTGTGCTCCTTTTAAGAATCTAATGCCTGATGATCTGAGGTGAAACAGCTTCATCCTGAAACCATCGCCTGCCCCCACCACAGTCCATGGAAATATTGTCTTCCATGCAACTGGTCCCTGGTGCCAAAAAGTTTGCGGACCACTGTTCCAGACATTCGCTTAGACATGGACTTCATGACCAAGAATCTGAAAGCAAATGCAACAAAAAATAAATGGATGGGACCTAATTAAACTAAAAAACTTCTGCACAGCAAAAGAAATAACCAGCAGAGTAAACAGACAACCAAAAGAGTGGGAGAAAATATTCACAAATTATGCATCTGACAAAGAACTAATATCCAGACTCTACAAGGAACTCAAGCAAATCAGCAAGAAAAAAAGCAAATAATACCATCAAAAAGTAAGCAAAGGACATGAATAGACAATTCTCAAAAGAAGATATACAAATGGCCAAAAAACATTAAAAAAAAAATGTTCAGGGAGGTTCCAAGATGGCTGAACAGGAAGAGCTCCAGTCCACAGTTCCCAGCATGAGTGACCCAGAAGACGGGTGATTTCTGCATTTCCAACTGCGGTACCCAGTTCATCTCACTGGGGCTTGTCAGACAGTGGGTGCAACCCAAGGAGTGTGAGCCGAAGCAGGGCGGGGCATCGCCTCACCCGGGAAGTGCAAGGGATCGGGGAATTCCCTTTCCTAGCCAAGGGAAGCCATGACAGATGGTACCTGGAAAATCGGGACACTCCCACCCTAATACTGTGCTTTCCAACAGTCTTAGCAAGAAGCACATTAGGAGATTATATCCTGTGCCTGGTTCAGAGAGTCCCACGCCCACACAGCCTCACTCACCACTAGCACAGCAGTCTGAGATCAAACTGCAAAGCAGCAGCGAGGCTGGGAGAGGGGCGCTCACCATTGCTGAGGCTTAAGTAGGTAAACAAAGCAGCCGGGAAGCTCCAACTGGGTGGAGCCCACTGCAGCTCAGGCAGGCCTGCCTGCCCCTGTATACTCCAGCTCTGGGGGCAGGGCATAGCTGAAGAAAAGGCAGCAGAAAGTTCTGCAGACTTAAACGTCCCTGTCTGACAGCTTTGAAGAAAGTAGTTGTTCTCCCAGCATGGAGTTTGAGATCTGAGAATGGACAGACTGCCTCCTCAAGTGGGTCCCAGATCCCTGAGTAGCCTAACCGACTGACACCTCTTACAGCCAGGTGCCCCTCTGAGACAAAGCTTCCAGAGGAAGGATCAGACAGCAACATCTGCCGTTCTGCAATACTTGCTATTCTGCAGCCTCTACTGGTGAAACCCAGGCAAACAGGGTCTGGAATGGACCTCCAGCAAACTCCAACAGACCTGCAGCTGAGGGTCCTGACTGTTAGAAGGAAAACTAACAAACAGAAAGGACATCCACACCAAAACCCAATCTGTACATCACCATCATCAAAGACCAAAGGTAGATAAAACCACAAAGATGGAGAGAAACCAGAGAAGGAAAGCTGAAAATTCTCAAAATCAGAGCGCCTCTTCTCCTCCAAAGGAATGCAGCTCCTTGCCAGCAATGGAACAAAGCTGAGCAGATAATGATTTTGACGAGTTGAGGGAAGAAGACTTCAGACGATTGGTAATAACAAACTTCTCTGAGCTAAAGGAGGAAGTTCAAACCCATCACAAAGAGGCTAAAAACCTTGAAAAAAGATTAGATGAATGGCTAACTAAAATAAACAGCACCAAGAAGACCTTAAATGACCTGATAGAGCTGAACACCATGGCAGGAGAACTACGTGACAAACGCACAAGCTTCAGTAGCCAATTCGACCAAGTGGAACAAAGGGTATCAGTGATTGAAGACCAAATGAATGAAATGAAGCGAGAAGAGAAGTTTAGAGAAAAAAGAGTAAAATGAACAAAGCCTCCAAGAAATATGGGACTATGTGAAAAGACCAAGTCTACATCTGATTGGTGTACCTAAAAATGATGGGGAGAGTGGAACCAAGTTGGAAAATACTCTTCAGGAGAACTTCCCCAACCTAACAAGGCAGGCCAACATTCAAATTCAGGAAATACAGAGAACGCCACAAAGATACTCCTTGAGAAGAGCAACTCCAAGACACATAATTGTCAGATTCACCAAAGGTGAAATGAAGGAAAAAATATTAAGGACAGCCAGAGAGAAAGGTTGGGTTACCCACAAAGGGAAGCCCATCAGACTAAGAGAGGATCTCTCAGCAGAAACTCTACAAGTCAGAAAAAAGTGGGGGCCAATATTCAACATTCCTTTTTTTTTTATTTTGTTATTATTATAAGTTTTAGGGTACATGTGCACAACGTGCAGGTTTGTTACATATGTATACATGTGCCATGTTGGTGTGCTGCACCCACTAACTCATCATTTAGCATTAGGTATATCTCCTAATGCTATCCCTCCCCCCTCCCCCCCAACCCCACAACAGTCCCCAGTGTGTGATGTTCCCCTTCCTGTGTCCATGTGTTCTCATTGTTCAATCCCCACCTCTGAGTAAAAACATGCGGTGTTTGGTTTTTTGTCCTTGTGATAGTTTGCTGAGAATGATGGTTTCCAGCTTCATCCATGTCCCTACAAAGGACATGAACTCATCATTTTTTATGGCTGCATAGTATTCCATGGTGTATATATGCCACATTTTCTTATATCCAGTCTATCATTCTTGAACATTAGGGTTGGTTCCAACTCTTTGCTATTGTGAATAGTGCCACAATAAACATATGTGTGCATGTGTCTTTATAGCAGCATGATTTATAGTCCTTTGGGTATATAACCCAGTAATGGGATGGCTGGGTCAAACGGTATTTCTAGTTCTAGATCCTTGAGGAATCGCCACACTGTCTTCCACAATGGTTGAACTAGTTTACAGCCCCACCAACAGTGTAAAAGTGTTCCTATTTCTCCACATCCTCTGCAGCACCTGTTGTTTCTTGACTTTTTAATAATCGCCATTCTAACTGGTGTGAGACGGTATCTCATTGTGGTTTTCATTTGCATTTCTCTGATGGCCAGTCATGATGAGCATTTTTTCACGTGTCTTTTGGCTGCATAAATGTCTTCTTATGAGAAGTGTCTGTTCATATACTTTGCCCACTTTTTGATGGGGTTGTTTGATTTTTTCTTGTAAATTTGTTGGCGTTCATTGTAGATTCTGGATATTAGCCCTTTGTCAGATGAGTAGGTTGCAAAAATTTTCTCCCATTCTGTAGGTTGCCTGTTCACTCTGATGGTAGTTTCTTTTGCTGTGCAGAAGCTCTTTAGTTTAATTAGATCCCATTTGTCAATTTTGGCTTTTGTTGCCATTGCTTTTGGTGTTTTAGACAGGAAGTCCTTGCCCACGCCTATGTCCTGAATGGTATTGCCTAGGTTTTCTTCTAGGGTTTTTATGGTTTTAGGTCTAACATTTAAGTCTTTAATCCATCTTAAATTCATTTTTGTATAAGGTGTAAGGAAGGGATCCAGTTTCAGCTTTCTACATATGGCTAGCCAGTTTTCCCAGCACCATTTATTAAATAGGGAATCCTTTCCCCATCGCTTGTTTTTGTCAGGTTTGTCAAAGATCAGATGGTTGTAGATATGCGGCATTATTTCTGAGGGCTCTGTTCTGTTCCATTGGTCTATATCTCTGTTTTGGTACCAGTACCATGCTGTTTTGGTTACTGTAGCCTTGTAGCATATAGTTTGAAGTCAGGTAGCGTGATGCATCCAGCTTTGTTCTTTTGGCTTAGGATTGACTTGGCAATGTGGGCTCTTTTTTGGTTCCATATGAACTTTAAAGTAGTTTTTTCCATTTCTGTGAAGAAAGCCATTGGTAGCTTGATGGGGATGTCATTCAATCTGTAAATCACCTTGGGCAGTATGGCCATTTTCACGATATTGATTCTTCCTACCCGTGAGCATGGAATGTTCTTCCATTTGTTTGTATCCTCTTTTATTTCATTGAGCAGTGGTTTGTAGTTCTCCTTGAAGCGGTCCTTCACATCCCTTGTAAATTGGATTCCTAGGTATTTTATTCTCTTTGAAGCAATTGTGAATGGGAGTTCACTCATGATTTGGCTCTCTGTTTGTCTGTTATTGGTGTATAAGAATGTCTGTGAATTTTTGCATATTGATTTTGTATCTTGACATTCTTAAAGAATTTTCAACCCAGAATTTCATATCCAGCCAAACTAAGCTTCGTAAGTGAAGGAGAAATAAAATCCTTTACAGACAAGTAAATGCTGAGAGATTTTGTCACCACCAGGCCTGACTTACAAGAGCTCCTGAAGGAAGCACTGAACATGGAAAGGAACAACTGGTACCAGCCACTGCAAAAACATGCCAAACTCTAAAGACCATCAAGGCTAGGAAGAAACTGCATCAACTAACAAGCAAAATAACCAGCTAACATCATAATGACAGGATCAAATTCACACATACTAATATTGACCTTAAATCTAAATGGGCTAAATGCTCCAATTAAAAGACACAGACTGGCAAATTGGATAAAGAGTCAAGACCCATCAGTGTGCTGTGTTCAGGAGACCCATCTCACCAGCAGAGACACACATAGGCTCAAAATAAAAGGATGGAGGAAGATCTGCCAAGCAAATGGAAAACAAAAAAAAGCAAGGGTTGCAATCCTAGTCTCTGATAAAACAGACTTTAAACCAACAAAGATCAAAAGAGACAAAGAAGGCCATTACATAATGGTAAAGGGATCAATTCAACAAGAAGAGCTAATGATCCTAAATACATATGCACCCAATACAGCAGCTCCCAGATTCATAAAGCAAGACCTTAGAGACCTACAAAGAGACTTAGACTCTCACACAATAATAATGGGAGACATTAACACCCCACTGTCAACATTACACAGATCAGCAAGACAGAGAGTTAACAAGGATACCCGGGAATTGAACTCAGCTCTACACCAAGCGGACCTAATAGACATCTACAGAACTCTCCACCCCAAATCAACAGAATATACATTCTTCTCAGCACCACATCACACTTATTCCAAAATTGACCACATAGTTGGAAGTAAAGCAATCCTCAGCAAATGTAAAAGAATAGAAATTATAACACACTGTCTCTCAGACCACAGTGCAATCAAACTAGAACTCAGGATTTAGAAACTCACTCAAAACCACTCAACTACATGGAAACTGAACAACCTGCTCCTGAATGACTTTCGGGTACATAAGGAAATGAAGGCAGAAATAAAGATGTTCTCTGAAACCAGTGAGAACAAAGACACAACATACCAGAATCTCTGGGACACATTTAAAGCAGTGTGTAGAGAGAAATTTATAGCACTAAATGCCTACAAGAGAAAGCAGGAAAGATCTAAAATTGACACCCTAACATCACAGTTAAAAGAACTAGAGAAGCAAGAGCAAACACATTCAACAGCTAGCAGAAGGCAAGAAATAACTAAGATCAGAGCAAAACTGAAGGAGATAGAGACACAAAAGAAAACCTTCAAAAAAACCAATGAATCCGGGAGCTGGTTTTTTGAAAAGATCAACAAAATTCATAGACTGCTAGCAAGATTAATAAAGAAGAAAAGAGAGAAGAATCAAATAGACGCAATAAAAAATGATAAAGGGGATATCACCACCGATCCCACAGAAATACAAACTACCATCAGAGAATACTATAAACACCTCTACATAAATGAACTAGAAAATCTAGAAGAAACGGATAAATTCCTCGACACATACACCCTCCCAACACTAAACCAGGAAGTTCAATCCCTGAATAGACCAGTAACAGGCTCTGAAATTGAGGCAATAAGTAATAGCCTACCAGCCAAAAAAAGTCCAGCACCAGACAGATTCACAGCTGAATTCTAACAGAGGTACAAGCAAGAGCTGGTACCATTCCTTCTGAAACTATTTCAATCAATAGAAAAAAGAGGGAATCCTCCCTAACTCACTTTATAAGGCCAGCATCATCCAAAGCCTGGCAGAGACACAACAAAAAAAGAGAATTTTAGACCACTATGCCTGATGAACATCAATGCAAAAATCCTCAATAAAATGCTGGCAAACCAAATCCAGCAGCACCTCAAAAAGCTTATCCACCATGATGAAGTGGGCTTCATCCCTGGGATGCATGGCTGCTTCAACATACACAAATCAATAAACGTAATCCATCATATAAAGAGAACCAAAGACAAAAACTACATGATTTCTCAATAGATGCAGAAAAGGCCTTTGTCAAAATTCAACAGCGCTTCATGCTAAAATCTCTCAATAAATTAGGTATTGATGGGACGTATCTCAAAATAATAAGAGCTTTTTATGACAAACCCACAACCAATATCATACTGAATGGGCAAAAACTGGAAGCATTCCGTTTGAAAACTGGCACAAGAGAGGGATGCCCTCTCTCACCACTCCTATTCAACATAGTGTTGGAAGTTCTGGCCAGGGCAATCACGCAGGAGAAGGAAATAAAGGGTATTCAGTTAGGAAAAGAGGAAGTCAAATTGTCCCTGTTTGCAGATGACATGATTGTATATTTAGAAAACCCCATTGTCTCAGCCCAAAATCTCCTTAAGCTGATAAGCAACTTCAGCAAAGTCTCAGGATACAAAATCAATGTGCAAAAATCACAAGCATTCTTATACACCAATAACAGACAAACAGAGAGCCAAATCATGAGTGAACTCCTATTCATAATTGCTTCAAAGAGAATAAAATACCTAGGAATCCAATTTACAAGGGATGTGAAGGACCTCTTCAAGGAGGACTACAAACCACTGCTCAATGAAACAAAAGAGGACACAAACAAATGGAAGAACATTCCATGCTCATGGATAGGAAACTCAGTATCATGAAAATGGCCATACTGCCCAAGGTAATTTATAGATTCAATGCCATCCCCATCAAGCTACCAATGACTTTCTTCACAGAATTGGAAAAAAACTACTTTAAAGTTCATATGGAATCAAAAAAGAGCCTGCATTGCCAAGACAATTCTGAGCCAAAAGAACAAAACTGGAGGCATCATGCTACCTTACTTCAAACTATACTACAAGGCTACAGTAACCAAAACAGCATGGTACTGGTACCAAAACAGAGATATAGACCAATGGAACAGAACAGAGCCCTCAGAAATAATACCGCACATCTACAACCATCTGATCTTTGACAAACCTGACAAAAACAAGCAATGGGGAAAGGATTCCCCATTTAATAAATGGTGCTGGGAAAACTGGCTAGCCATATGTAGAAAGCTGAAACTGGATCCCTTCCTTACACCTTATACAAAAATGAATTCAAGATGGATTAAAGACTTAAATGTTAGACCTAAAACCATAAAAACCCTAGAAGAAAACCTATGCATCACCATTCAGGACATAGGCATGGGCAAGGACTTCATGTCTAAAACACCAAAAGCAATGGCAACAAAAGCCAAAGTTGACAAATGGGATCTAATTAAACTAAAGAGCTTCTGCACAGCAAAAGAAACTACCATCAGAGTGAACAGGCAACCTACAGAATGGGAGAAAATTTTACAGTCTACCCAACTGACAAAGGGCTAATATCCAGAATCTACAAAGAACTTAAACAAACTTACAAGAAAAAATCAAACAACCCCATCAAAAAGTGGGCAAAGTATATGAACAGACACTTCTCAAAAGAAGACATTTATGCAGCCAAAAGACACATGAAAAAATGCTCATCATGACTGAGCATCAGAGAAATGCAAATCAAAACCACAATGAGATACCATCTCACACCAGTTAGAATGGCAATTATTAAAAAGACAAGAAACAACAGGTGCTGCAGAGGATGTGGAGAAATAGGAACACTTTTACACTGTTGGTGGGGCTGTAAACTAGTCCAACCATTGTGGAAGACAGTGTGGCGATTCCTCAAGGATCTAGAACTAGAAATACCATTTGACCCAGCCATCCCATTACTGAGTACATACCCAAAGGACTATAAATCATGCTGCTATAAAGACACATGCACACGTATGTTTATTGTGGCACTATTCACAATAGCAAAGACTTGGAACTGACCCAAATGTCCATCAGTGATAGATTGGGTTAAGAAAATGTGGCACATATACACCATGGAATACTAGGCAGCCATAAAAAAGGATAAGTTCATGTCCTTTGTAGGGACATGGATGAAACTGGAAACCATCATTCTCAGCAAACTATCACAAGGACAGAAAACCAAACACCGCATGTTCTTACTCAGAGGTGGGAATTGAACAATGAGAGCACTTGGACACAGGGTGGGGAACATCAGAAACTGGGGCCTGTTGTGGGGTGGGGGAAGGGGGGACAGATAGCATTAGGATATATACCTAATGTAAATGACGAGTTAATGGGTGCCGCACACCAACATGGCACATGTATACACATGTAACAAACCTGCATGTTGTGCACATGTATCCTAGAAGTATAATAAAAAAAATTTTATTGAAATATATATATTTTTTTTTCTTTGTCTTTTTTGAGATGGAGTCTCACTCTGTTGCTCAGGCTGGAATGCAGTGGCACTACCTTGGATCACTGCAACCTCTGCTTCCCAGGTTCAAGCAATTCTCCTGCCTCAGCCTCCCGAGTAGCTAGGACTACAGGCACGTGCCACCATGCCTGGCTAATTTTTGTATTTTTAGTAGAGACGGGGTTTCACTATATTGGCCAGGCTGTTCTTGAACTCCTGACCTCATGATCCACCTGCCTTGGCTTCCCAAAGTGCTGGGATTACAGACATGAGACACTGCACCCAGCCTATTGAAATACATATTATCCATTTAACATATATTTTGTTTTTTAAGCTCTGTTTTGTTTTTGTTTTTGTTTTTTCTAAAAACAGTTCTGTAATGAAGCTTGCTTTGTCAAGGACTATGTTGACTGATAATGAAAGCATCATTTTATAAAAAAAAAGTTCTACGTCCCTAATTATCAGGGAAATGAAAATTAAAACCACAATGAGATACCACCTTACTCCTGCAAGAATGGCCATAGTTTAAAAACTAAAAAATTATAGGTGTTGGCATGGATGTGATAAAAAAGGGAACACTTTTACACTGCTGGTAAGAATGTAAACCAGTACAACCACTATGGAAAACAGTATGGAGATTCCTTAAAGAACTAAAGTAGAACTACCATTTGATCCAGCAATTCCACTATTGGGTATCTACCCAGAGGAAAAGTCATTATATAAAAAAGAAACTTGCACATGCATGTTTATAGCAGCGCAATCAGCAATTGCAAAAATATGGAGCCAGCCTAAATGCCCATCTACCAATGAGTAGATAAAGAAAATGTGTGGCCAGGCACAGTGGCTCACGCCTGTAATCCCAGCACTTTGGGAGGCCAAGGTGGGCAGATCATGAGGTCAGGAGTTTGAGATCAGCCTGGCCAATATGGTGAAACTCCATCTCTACTAAAATACACAAATTAGTTGGGCATGGTGGCGTGCACCTGTAGTCCCAGCTGCTGGGGAGGCTAAGGCAGAGGAGTCGTTTGAACCCAGGAGGTAGAGGTTGCAGTGAGCGGAGATCGCACCACTGCACTCCAGCCTGAGTGACAGAGCGAGACTCCATCTCAAAAAAAAAGAAAAAGAAAAAGAAAATGTGGTGTATACATATATATACCTTGGAATACTACTCAGCCATAAAGAGGAAAGAAATAATGGCATTCACAGCAACATGGATGGAGTTGGAGACCGTTATTCTTTTTTGTTTGTTTTGTTTTTTTTGTTTGTTTTTGAGACAGAGTCTTGCTCTGTTGCCCAGGCTGGAGTACAGTGGTACGATCTCCACTATCTACAACCTCCGCCTCCTGGGTTCAAGCAATTCTCCTGCCTCAACCTCCCGAGTAGCTAGGGCTACAGATGTGCGCCACCATGCCCAGCTAATTTTTGTATTTTTAGTAGAGACAGGGTTTCACCATGTTGGCCAGGCTGGTCTCAAACTCCTGACCTCAGGTGATCTGCCCACCTCGGCCTCCCAAAGTACTGGGATTACAGGCATGAGCCACCACGCCCAGTTTGGAGACCGTTATTCTAAATGAAGTAACTCAGGAATGGAAAACCAAATATTGTATAACTTATAAGTGGGAGCTATGCTATGAGAATGCAAAGGAAAAGAATAATATAATGGACTTCGGGGACTTGTGGGGAAGGGTAGGAATGGGGTGAGGGATTAAAAAGCTACACATTAGGTACAGTGTACACTACCCAGGTCATGGGTGCACCAAAATCTCAGAAAGCACCACTAAATAACTTATCCATGTAACCAAAAACCACCTGTTCCCCAAAAACTATTGAAAGAAATTTTAATATGAATGTCTTTTTCTCACACCATGAATTTAAGTTATCTAAATTAATCCTTAAAAATATCTTCTACCTTGGACATTATCATTATTATTCAATGTCTGAAGAGGCAACACATTTAAGAGATGAAGCAATTTGCCCAAGGTTAATTTGTTCAGATGAAATTGGCCCATATAGCTAAATAGTTTCTAAAATAATTCTTATGATTTTGCATTCTCTGCTGTCTCTCTCCATCTCTGCTTTCCTTAATGTACTATTTGATGGCAGAAGGAGCATGACTGAGAGAAGAGATTTTAGTGCAGACGGTAGAAGTGGACAGATTTGGAGAATAAACACAGTTTATTTGCTCTACGATAATCACAAAGCCATTTAATGATTTTCCAGAATAAGCCAGTGCAGGTGTTAATTTGCCCCAGAGAGAGATTTGAAAAACCACTCCACTCTCACGGCTAGCTTGAGCTTTTATTTGGCAAGAGCAAAAACACTTCTATTTGGGAGACACTGGTATGTGAATTGAATCACTCGGCTAATTGATTAAATGCAAAGTTATACTAAATCACTCCACTCAAAGTAAGGTTGACTAGTAAATGCTCCCTGAGGTAATTAGTGACTAGGCTCATCCAATCAACAGAAAAAACAATTCAGACTTGGGCAACAGTGGGTGGCAGGAAATCTGGAAGATCGGCATTTAACAAACCCTTTGGGTAATTCCATCTTACTCAGATTTTCTGAGCATTAACAGCTATAGCTCAAACCTCAAGCACGGTTTTGTGAAAATGGTTACACATGGGCAGTGTTCCTATGAAAAAGAAACCACATATTTAACTCCTGTACATCTTCCAAGGTCTGTTCAGGTGCCACCTCCCCCAAAGACCATTTCCCAGGTCATCCAGTAAGAAATTTCTTTCTTGAACACTCTTAAGACTTTATCCACACTTGACGGCAAGCCAGTTCTCTTTTATTCTGAATTAGGGTGCCAGAGGTCATATTTGCCCTTCTGAACTGTAACGTAGTTGAGGCTGAGATCTTTACCTTATTCATCTAGGTCTTCCACAACATGTAGCTCAAAGCCTAGAAGGCAAACAGGTGCTAAATTCCTGAATCTTCCCCTGGAAGCAGCTACATTAGCCTTTGTTCTATCTTGTTACATAAAACAAGCTACTTGAAAGATACTATCTATTCTTCCTTTAGAAACTCTTTTGAAGCAGAACTCCTGAAAGGTAGCACTTTCCTGGCAGGAAAAAAAAAAAAAAAAGCAACATATTAAAGAATTTGCACTCATGCATATTCTAATTCACTTTTATAAATGAACCACCGATGACACATCCTCCCAACTACTTAACACTAAGACACTGTCAGTCAAGGAGAAGTATAGTTTCAAACTCTCAGATCTCCTCTGAGTACCACTCAAAGCAAAGCAGAGGTGTTCCAAAATGATTTTTGAAAATCTAATGCTGGTGTTTAGAATAGTTTTCAACTTAAATATCTGTGCCAGCCTTACCCATAGACACTCATTCTTTTCCCGGCACCATCGCTAATTTGTTGCTAAATTTGGTCTAAAGTTGCCTCCTTGTAAGTTTGGCCTAGAGGTTTTTCTATACATAGTGAACTGAAACCTAACTGGATGTGTAAACAGACTGTAACATACTCTTAAACCAATCATTGAGTTTTAGCCAACCAAAGGCAGCCAACTGTTTAAACAGTGTTTAAATAAAGCAAATGCCAAGCTATAAACAATTCAGCTATTTCCATACCTCACTTTTGTTTTATGTATATCACTTTCTTTTTTCTGTCTGTAAATCCTCTCCAACCACGTGACAGTACTAGACTTATTCTGGTTGTTTGGAGTTGAGGAGGGTGGCTGTTCAATTCACAAATTATTCTTTGCTTAAACTTCATTAAATGTAATTTTTCTAAAGTTATTGTGACAGTGTCAGATGACAAAAAATAAATGGTAAGATGTAGACCAAAAAAATTGAGTAGTATTTTTATTACTTCATAATCAGGCACAAACAAAACATAAGTCCACTCCTTACAACCTATAATAGGTTAAAAAATGAAAAACATTACCAAAGGCTTTCCCTCTTCTAGATAGACATCATTTATTAGGTCCCTTTTGGCATAGTTTAAAATAAATGTGGCAATAATGTTAAATATATCCCTCTGCAGCAAAAGCAGTGTTAAGAAGAAGGCTTATAGCACTAAAGGCCTACCTTAAAAAGTTAGAAAGATCTCACATCAATGATCTAACATCACACCCAGAGTAACAAGACAAAAATGACCCCAAACCTAGTGTTTTTCACTCCTAGAAAAAGAAAAAACTAACCCCAAAGCTAGCAGAAGAAAATAAATAACTAAAATAAGAGCAGAACTGAAAGAAATTAAGACTCAAAAGTCCACCCAAAGAATCAATGAAACCAAAAGTTGGGTATTTGAAAGTATAAACAAGATCAATAGAGCACTAGCTAGATTAACAAGGAAAAAAGAATATCCAAAAAAGCACAATCAGAAACAACAAAGGTGACATTTCAACCAATCCCCCAGAAATACAAAAGATCCTCAGAGACTACTATACACATCTCTATGCACACAAACCAGAAAATCTATCCAGAAATGGATAAATTCCTGGAAACACGTAACTTCTCATGATTGAACCAAGAAGGAATTGAACCCCTGAACAAACCAATATCAACTTCTGAGATTGAATAAGTAATTTTAAAAAATCCTATCTACCAAAAAAAAAGCCCAGGCCAGATGGATTCACAGCCAAATTCTACCAGATGTACAAAGAAAAGCTGGTACCAATTCCACTGAAACTATTGTGAAAAATTGAAGAGGGAGGACTCCTTCCTAACTCATTCTACGAAGCCAGCATCACCCTGTTATCAAAAAACAAAGACACAATGAAAAACTAAAACTATAAGCCAACATCCCTACCCTAATGAACATAGACACAAAATTCTTCAACAAAATACGAGCAAACAGAATCCAGTAGCACATCAAAAAGTTAATTCATCATGATCAAGTAGGGATGTAATCAACATACACAAATCAATAAATGTCATTCACCACATAAAGAAAACTAAAACAGAAACCATATGATCATCCAAATAGGCACAGAAAAAGCTTTTGATAAAATCCAACGTCTCTTTATGATAAAAACCCTCAAGAAACTAAACATCAAAGGAACATACCTCAAAATAATAAAAGTCATCTATGCAAACCCATAGCCACCATCGTATTGGACAGGCAAAAGCTGGGAGCATTCCCCTTGAGAAATGGAACAGGCAAAGATGTCTACTTTCACCACTCCTATTCAACACAGTACTGGAAGTGCTAGTCAGACCAATTAGGCAACAGGAAGACATTAAAGGCATCCAAATAGGAAAAGAAAAAGTCCAAATATCCCTCTTCACTGATGATATGATTCTCTACCTAGAAAACCCTGAAGACTATGCCAAAAGGTTCCTGGAACTCATAAACGACTTCAGTAAACTTTCAGGAGAGAAAATCAATGTATAAAAATCAGTAACATTTTTATATAACAGTAACGTTCAAGCTGAGAGCCAAGTCAAGGACACAGTCCCATTTATAATATATGCACAAAAAAATAAAATACCTAGAAACACACCTAACAATGGAGGTGAAAGCTCTCTACAAGGAGAACTATAAAACACTGCTAAAGGAAACTATAGATGACACAAGTAAATGAAGAAACGTTCCATGTTCATGGATTAGAAGAATCACTATCATTAAAATGACCATATAATCCAAAGCAATCTATGGATTCAACACAACTCCTATAAAACTACCAATGTCATTTTTCATAGAATTAAAAAAAAACCTACACTAAAATGTATGTGGATCCAAAAAAGAGCTGACATAACCAAAACAATCTTAAGCAGAAAGAGCATTACCCCACAGAAACATCACATTACCCCACTTCTATATTTTCTATTACCAAACTATACTATAAGGCTACAGTAACCTACAGTAAACAGCATGGTATTAGTACAAAAACAAGCACATAGACCAATAGAACAGAATAGAGAATCCAGAAATAAAACCACACGCCTACAACCATCTGATCTTTACTAAATGGACAAAGATAAGTGATGGGGAAAGGACCCCCTATTCAATAAATGGTGCTGGGATAACTGACCAGCCATATACAGAAGAATGAAAATAGACTCCTGTCTCTCACTATATGCAAAAATTAACTCAAGATGGATTAAAGATTTAAATATAAGACCTCAAACTATAAAAATCCTAGAAGAAAACCCAGAAAATACCATTCTGGACAACAGCTTTGACAAAGAATTTATGGCTAGTACCTCAAAAGCAATCACAAGAAAAACAAAAATTAACAAGGAGGACCTAGGCTTCAGATGATCAAACTACTCCGAGCTACAGGAGGAAATTCAAACCAAAGGCAAAGAAGTTGAAAACTTTGAAAAAAATTTAGACGAATGTATAACTAGAATAACCAATACAGAGAAGTGCTTAAAGGAGCTGATGGAGCTGAAAGCCAAGGCTTGAGAACTATGTGAAGAATGCAGAGCCTCAGGAGCCCATGCAATCAACTGGAAGAGAGGGTATCAGTGATGGAAGATGAAACGAATGAAATGAAGCGAGAAGGGAAGTTTAGAGAAAAAAGAATAAAAAGAAACGAACAAAGCCTCCAAGAAATATGGGACTATGTGAAAAGACCAAATCTGCGTCTGATTGGTGTACCTGAAAGTGACGGGGAGAATGGAACCAAGTTGGAAAACACTCTGCAGGATACTATCCAAGAGAACTTCCCCAATCTAGCAAGGCAGGCCAACATTCAGATTCAGGAAATACAGAGAACGCCACAAAGATACTCCTCGAGAAGAGCAACTCCAAGACACATAATTGTCAGATTCACCAAAGTTGAAATGAAGGAAAAAATGTTAAGGGCAGCCAGAGAGAAAGGTCGGGTTACCCTCAAAGGGAAGCCCATCAGACTAACAGCGGATCTCTCGGCAGAAACTCTACAAGCCAGAAAAGAGTGGGGGCCAATATTCAACGTTCTTAAAGAAAAGAATTTTCAACCCAGAATTTCATATCCAGCCAAACTAAGCTTCATAAGTGAAGGAGAAATAAAATACTTTACAGACAAGCAAATGCTGAGAGATTTTGTCAACCCAGGCCTGCCCTAAAAGAGCTCCTGAAGGAAGCACTAAATGTGGAAAGGCACAACCGGTACCAGCTGCTGCAAAATCATGCCAAAATGTAAAGACCATCGAGACTAGGAAGAAACTGCATCAACTAACAAGCAAAATAACCAGCTAACATCATAATGACAGGATCAAATTCACATACGACAATATTAGCTTTAAATGTAAATGGACTAAATGCTCCAGTTAAAAGACACAGACTGGCAAGTTGGATAAAGAGTCAAGACCCATCAGTGTGCTGTATTCAGGAAACCCATCTCACGTGCAGAGACACACATAGGCTCAAAATAAAAGGATGGAGGAAGATCTACCAAGCAAATGGAAAACAAAAAAAGGCAGGGGTTGCAATCCTAGTCTCTGATAAAACAGACTTTAAACCAACAAAGATCAAAAGAGACAAAGAAGGCCATTATATAATGGTAAAGGGATCAATTCAACAAGAAGAGCTAACTATCCTAAATATATATGCACCCAATACAGGAGCACCCAGATTCATAAAGCAAGTCCTGAATGACCCACAAAGAGACTTAGACTCCCACGCATTAATAATGGGAGACTTTAACACCCCACTGTCAACATTAGACAGATCAACGAGACAGAAAGTTAACAAGTATACCCGGGAATTGAACTCAGCTCTGCACTAAGCGGACCTAATAGACATCTACAGAACTTTCCACCCCAAATCAACAAAATATACATTCTTCTCAGCACCACATCACACTTATTCCAAAATTGACCACATAGTTGGAAGTAAAGCACTCCTCAGCAAATGTAAAAGAACAGAAACTATAACAAACTGTCTCTCAGACCACAGTGTAATCAAACTAGAACTCAGGATTAAGAAACTCACTCAAAACCACTCAACTACATGGAAACTGAACAACCTGCTCCTGAATGACTACTGGGTACATAAGGAAATGAAGGCAGAAATAAAGATGTTCTTTGAAACCAACGAGAACAAAGACACAACATACCAGAATCTCTGGGACACATTCAAAGCAGTGTGGAGAGGGAAATTTATAGCACTAAATGCCCACAAGAGAAAGCAGGAAAGACCCAAAATTGACACCCTAACATCACAATTAAAAGAACTAGAGAAGCAAGAGCAAACACATTCAAAAGCTAGCAGAAGGCAAGAAATAAATAAAATCAGAGCAGAACTGAAGGAAATAGAGACAAAAAAAAACCCTTCAAAAAATTAATGAATCCAGGAGCTGGTTTTTTGAAAGGATCAACAAAATTCATAAACTGCTAGCAAGACTAATAAAGAAAAAAAGAGAGAAGAATCAAATAGACACAATAAAAAATGATAAAGGGGATATCACCACCGATCCCACAGAAATACAAACTACCATCAGAGAATACTACAAACACCTCTATGCAAATAAACTAGAAAATCTAGAAGAAATGGATAAATTCCTCGACACATACACTCTCCCAAGACTAAACCAGGAAGAAGTTGAATCTCTGAATAGACCAATAACAGGATCTGAAATTGTGGCAATAATCAATACCTTACCAACCAAAAAGAGTCCAGGACCCGATGGATTCATGGCCGAATTCTACCAGAGGTACAAGGAGGAACTGGTACCATTCCTTCTGAAACTATTCCAATCAATAGAAAAAGAGGGAATCCTCCCTAACTCGTTTTATGAGGCCAGCATCATCCTGATACCAAAGCCGGTCAGAGACACAACCAAAAAAGAGAATTTTAGACCAATATCCTTGATGGACATTGATGCAAAAATCCTCAATAAAATACTGGCAAACCAAATCCAGCAGCACATCAAAAAGCTTATCCACCATGATCAAGTTGGCTTCATCCCTGGGATGCAAGGCTGGTTCAATATATGCAAATCAATAAATGTAATCCAGCATACAAACAGAACCAAAGACAAAAACCACACGATTATCTCAATAAATGCAAAAAAGGCCTTCAACAAAATTCAACAACCCTTCATGCTAAAAACGCTCAATAAATTAGGTATTGATGGGACGTATCTCAAAATAATAAGAGCTATCTATGACAAACCCACAGCCAATATCATACTGAATGGGCAAAAACTGGAAGCATTCTGTTTGAAAACTGGTACAAGACAGGGATGCCCTCTCTCACCACTCCTATTCAACATAGTGTTGGAAGTTCTGGCCAGGGCAATCAGGCAGGAGAAGGAAATAAAGGGTATTCAATTAGGAAAAGAGGAAGTCAAATTTTCCCTGTTTGCAGATGACATGATTGCATATCTAGAAAACGCCATTGTCTCAGCCCAAAATCTCCTTAAGCTGATAAGCAACTTCAGCAAAGTCTCAGGATACAAAATCAATGTACAAAAATCACAAGCATTCTTATACACCAATAACAGACAAACAGAGAACCAAATCATGAGTGAACTCCCATTCACAATTGCTTCAAAGAGAATAAAATACTTAGGAATCCAACTTAAAAGGGACGTGAAGGACCTCTTCAAGGAGAACTACAAACCACTGCTCAATGAAACAAAAGAGGACACAAACAAATGGAAGAACATTCCATGCTCATGGGTAGGAAGAATCAATATCGTGAAAATGGCCATACTGCCCAAGGTAATTTACAGATTCAATGCCATCCCCATCAAGCTACCAATGACTTTCTTCACAGAATTGGAAAAAACTACTTTAAAGTTCATATGGAACCAAAAAAGAGCCCACATCGCCAAGTCAATCCTAAGCCAAAAGAACAAAGCTGGAGGCATCATGCTACCTGACTTCAAACTATGCTACAAGGCTACGGTAACCAAAACAGCATGGTACTGGTACCAAAACAGAGATATAGATCAATGGAACAGAACAGAGCCCTCAGAAAGAACGCCACATATCTACAACTATCTGATCTTTGACAAACCTGAGAAAAACAAGCAATGGGGAAAGGATTCCCTATTTAATAAATGGTGCTGGGAAAACTGGCTAGCCATATGTAGAAAGCTGAAACTGGATCCCTTCCTTACACCTTATACAAAAATTAATTCAAGATGGATTAAAGACTTAAACATTAGACCTAAAACCATAAAAACCCTAGAAGAAAACCCAGGCATCACCATTCAGGACATAGGCATGGGCAAGGACTTCATGTCTAAAACACCAAAAGCAATGGCAACAAAAGCCAAAGTTGACAAATGGGATCTAATTAAACTAAAGAGCTTCTGCACAGCAAAAGAAACTACCATCAGAGTGAACAGGCAACCTACAGAATGGGAGAAAATTTTCACAACCTACTCATCTGACAAAGGGCTAATATCCAGAATCTGCAATGAACTCCAACAAATTCACAAGAAAAAAACAACCCCATCAAAAAGTGGGCAAAGGATATGAACAGACACTTCTCAAAAGAAGACATTTATGCAGCCAGAAGACACATGAAAAAATGCTCATCATCACTGGCCATCAGAGAAATGCAAATCAAAACCACAATGAGATACCATCTCACACCAGTTAGAATGGCTATCATTAAAAAGTCAGGAAACAACAGGTGCTGGAGAGGATGTGGAGAAATAGGAACACTTTTACACTGTTGGTGGGACTGTAAACTAGTTCAACCATTGTGGAAGTCAGTGTGGCGATTCCTCAGGGATCTAGAACTAGAAATACCATTTGACCCAGCCATCCCATTACTGAGTATATACCCAAAGGACTATAAATCATGCTGCTATAAAGACACACGCACACGTATGTTTATTGCGGCACTATTCACAATAGCAAAGACTTGGAACCAACCCAAATGTCCAACAATGATAGACTGGATTAAGAAAATGTGGCACATATACACCATGGAATACTATGCAGCCATAAAAAATGATGAGTTCATGTCCTTTGTGGGGACATGAATGCAATTGGAAATCATCATTCTCAGTAAACTATCGCAAGGACAAAAAACCAAACACCGCATGTTCTCACTCATAGATGGGAATTGAACAATGAGAACACATGGACACAGGAAGGGGAACATCACACTCTGGGGACTGTTGTGGGGTGGGGGGAGGGGGGAGGGATAGCATTAGGAGATATGCCTAATGCTAAATGATGAGTTAATGGGTGCAGCACACCAGCATGACACATGTATACCTATGTAACTAACCAGCACATTGTGCACATGTACCCTAAAACTTAAAGTATAATAATAATAAAAAATAAAAAATAAAAAAAGGGCTTCTGCATAGTAAAAGAAGACTATCAACAGAGTAAACAGGCAGCATACACAATGAGAGAAAATATTTGCAAACTATGCATCCAACAAAGGTCTAAGACCAGAATCTATAAGGAACTTAAACAATTGAACAAGCAAAAACCAAATAACAATATTAAAAAGTGAGCAAATGACATGAACAAACACTTTTCAAAAGAAGAAAGAAGACATATAAGCGGCCAATAAGCATATGAAAAAACGCTCCACATCACTCATCATTAGAGAGATGCAAATCCAAACCACAAAGAGATACCATCTCACACCTGTCAGAATGGCTATTACTAAAGAGTCAAAATACAATGGATGTTCAAAAGAGTCAAAATACACCAGATGTTCGTGAGGCTGCAGAGAAAAGGAAACACTTATACACTGTTGGTGGGAATGTGAATGAGTGCAGCCAGTCTGGAAAGCAGTTTGGAGATTTCTCAAAGAACTGAAACAGAACCACCATTGACTCACAATCCCATCACTGGGTATATAATACATATATCCAAAAGTAAATAAATCATTCTACCAAAAAACACATGTACTCGTATGTTTGTTGCAGCACTATTCACAATAGCAAAGACATGCAATCAATCTAGGTGGCCATTAATGGTGGATTGGATAAAGAAAATGTGGTATATATGTATATACCAAGGAATATCACACAGCCATAAAAAGAAACAATGAAATCATGTTCTTTGCAGCAACATGGATGCAGCTGGAGGCCATTATCCTAAGCAAATTAATGCAGAAACAGAAAATCAAATACTACAGGTTCTCACTTATAAGTGGGAGCTAAACATTGGATAAACATGAACATAAAGATGGCAGCTACAGACACTGGGAACTACGAGAGGGGGAAGATATTGATGGGTAAGGGTTGAAAAACCACTGGGTACTATCCTTACTACCTGGGTAACCAGATCAATTATACACCAAACCTCAGCATCACACAATATACCCAAGTAACAAATCTGCACATGTACCCTCTGAATCTAAAATAAAAGTTGAAATTATTTTTAAAAGCAAAGAGAAAACTTTTTTAATTTAAAAAATAAAAAAAAAGTTCTCTCTCATAGTAGCCTCTATAACAAATTCTACTACGAAAACTATGGTTACACAATGGACTTCTTTAAATTCTCTTACTAAAAGTATACTAAATAAAATAAATAATTTACTTTAAATTGCATACTTATTAAACAGGAAAAAAAATCTGTATGGTTAGTGATACTTCTTGTTACACATTAAGCATTATAGGGATTCAATTATACGAGATTAATAAAACAGACTACTTAGTTAAAACAAATAGTCTGTCTAACTTATTCTTTGACCTATTTAATTTTAGTTAGAGAAGGCCAGGCATGGTGGCTCATGCCTGTAATCCCAGAACTTTGGGAGGCCGAAGTGGACAGATCAGTTGAGGTCAGGAGTTCGAGACCAGCCTGGCCAACATGGTGAAACCCTGTCTCTACTAAAAATACAAAAAATTAGCTGGGTGTGGTAGTGAGCACCTGTAATCCCAGCTACTCAGGAGGCTGAGGTAGGAGAATCGCTTGAACCCAGGAGGCGGAGGTTGCAGTGAGCAGAGACTGTGCCACTGCACTACAACTTGGGTGACAGAGCAAAACTGTCACGGAAAAAAAAAAAAATTTAGTTTAGTTCATAAAGACCTTAACCAAAAAACATACTCCATATTCTTAACATTATCTTCCTAATATTCATAATACCAATCTCCCTGGCATACTACATTCTCCCAAAAATTGTAAATGTTTATACATAGCCATTCATAAAATGTCAAATAGTCTGTCTTCTACTGAAACTACAAAAACTCAATAAACAAAAATACATAGTCATAAAGACACCACATGACATATGACATACTGAGACCAAAAATTCAAAATAATAACAAAAATAGCACTGAAGTCCTTAGTTTTGGTCACACTCATCTACATTAATATCTGACCATTATTACACATTGTATGCCTATATCAAAATATTCAATACCACATGTAATAATGTACTCATAAAAATTAAATAATAAGAAAAAATCTCACTAAAAGAATTATTAAAATTACGAGAGGCCTTCTTTTAGACAAAACTCATATACTAGTCCCCAAGAGACCAGATCAGATCAAACCAAAATGAAGTCACTCATACTAAATATAACATAATCAAACTAAAAATTTGAAAAAAAAAAAAAGAGAGAGAGAGAGATCCCAAAACAGACCAGATGTTTTTTTCTCTCCTGAAAACAGGAGATTCCAGCATAAAAGGGACCCCTCTACTCTAACCTCTATTAAAAAAAAAAAAAAACTGAAGCCCCTATACACACATGTTCTACTATTTCCCAGTGATATTTGAGACCAACTAAATATATTTACAATAATGACAGAGTCACTTCAATGCCTAGAGTTTTGGTCAGCTTCTCTACTTGGAGAGGGCACTGAAAGGGGAGAATTGTTAAATTAAGTTTAGCCTAAAGCTTCCTCCTTGTAAATTCCACCTGAAAGTTTCTCCATACATAGTAAACTGTAACCTAACTGGGTGGTGTAAACAGACTGTAACCTACTCATATTGATCACCGAGTTTCAGCCACAGTGGCCAAATGTTCGAACAAGGCAAATGCCAAGCTACAACAAATTCAGCTGTTTGTGTACCACACCTCCTTCCATTTTTTGTACATCACTTTCCCTTTTTTGTCCATAAATCCTCTCCAACCACCCGGCAGTGACAGTCTCTCTGAACCTATTCTGGTTCCGGGGGCTGCCTGATTCACGAATCATTCTTTGCTCAATTAAATTCTGTTAAATTTAATTTGTCTAAAGTTTTTCTTTTAACACCCTAAAAAAATTTATTTCAAGCAAGAAGAAAATAAAAATCTTACTTACTCAATTCTTTGTGCTCTACAAAGACAGCAGTAACAAAGATAACTCAAAAGCTGGCTAGCCCCAAAATAAATGCTACCAGGCTTTGCAATTGGTACTGTAGAAATGTTCCCAGTTAAGTGAGGTTTCTATTTAAATGTATCGATATTATTAACAGGCTAGCACTGAAATGAAGGTTTTCATTCTCTGAACACACAATTCACAGCTGGACATCAGATGGTGAAATATTAGGAGAAATAAAAATAAATGAAGGAAAGAATAATGAACTGTTTTTTTTTTACACTTTGCACTTTTGAAGTGCTTTCCCATATGTAGTCATTGAATTCTTATCAGTCTTTTTATTCGTCCCATTTCCAGACAAGGAAACTGAGGCTTGAATACATTAAGAGACGTATCCACTGTCACCCTTAAATACTGCCTCAAAATACTTCCATTTACTCATTGATAAAAGGGGGTAATAATAGTACCTATTTTATATCATAGTAGTGAGGATGAAATAAATTAAAACAAAAAATGCTGATTTTAATCTTCTGCCCTTCCCCAGTCTTCTGCTTTTTCCACTATCCTAATCTACTTCTGGGTTAAAATCTGACATCAATAATGCATAAGGCAGATGATACACATGAGGGAAAAAAAGCCAAAGCTATACCCTATTACTTTAAAATGTATAGACTCAAGTTTAACGAGAGCTCACCACCAAGTACTGTTCGAGCACTTTGTATGTATTATTTCACCCTCACTACAACCATATATAGTAGGCACTATTATTACCCCCACCTTATCAGTGAGTAAATGGAAGTACTTTGAGATGGAGAGCTTAAGTAGCTTGATAGTTGCTATCATACATTAACCTTAAAGTACAGGATTTTTGAAGTCTGCCTATATTAACAGAGCTGTGGTGAAACAGTAAAATTTCTGAGCATCTCCAGATCTGTACTGTCTAATATGGTAACCCCTAGCCACAAAAAGCAACTGAGCACATGAAATATGGCTAGTGTGGCTGAGGAAATGAATTTTCAATTTTGCATAATTTTAATTAATTTTAATTTAGATTTATAGTGAATATTTGATGAAACTACAGTTTTCAAGACACTAGCCATCAGTCAATGAAGGGCAGTGATCCTTCAGAGACGGGATACAAAAGAGATGAGCCCTATAATTACCATAGCTTACTGCTCTGAGGGAGTTTCCAGGCATAGCATAGGAAGGCAGAACTCAGGCAATCTCCTTGAGTTGAGGAGAGAAAGCTGAAGTCTGGGGAGACCAAGGCACCTAGATTTCACAGGACAGTATACACAAGAGAAGATAGCAGCACAAAGACGGAAACACAGATCTACCCAAAATCAGTATTCAGCTGAGTACTGACCTGTGCATACATGTTAGAAAATTACCCAAGGACAGGAAAGACCCACCCAAAAGGCAACAGTATCCAGCATACACGAGGGCCAGAAATAGTACCTATTTCCACCAGTCAAACTGGAAAATCCCATGACTTATCAGTCACTGGGTAGAGTACGCTGAAGGATCTTGCCTCAGTGATGGTAAATAATTAGTTCTACCCTAACTACTAGCACTAGCACTTCTCTGGGCCCATCTAACAAACCTTTAAAGTAGGATCTAAAAGAATTGAATTGTGTCCCAGTTACTAGAACAAAACTCAAAGGTATTTATAAAAATACACAAAAGCTCAGTACCAAAGACGGTAAAATTCACAATGACTGGCCATTAATCAAAAATTAAGAGGCATGCAAGGAAGAAGTAATGAGGAGAAAAATCAGTCAATCAAAATTGGCCCAGCACTGATACAATTATTAGAATTTTCGATTAACAACATTAAAACAGTTATTAGAACTGTATTCATATATTCAAAGAGTTAGGTAGAGACATGGAAGATTTTTTACACAGTCAAACTGAACTTACAGAGTTAAAGCTACAATATATGAGGTAAAAAATACACTAAGTGATAGTAATGACAGATAATACAGAAGTTTCGTAACCTTGAAGGCATAACAATGGAAATGATCAAAAATTATACACAGAGAGAAAAAAGAATAATGTTTTAAATTTTTTTAATTTAATTTTTAGTCTTTTTAAAATAATTTTTGTTTTATTTTTTGTAGAGATGAGGGTCTCACTATGTTGCCCAGGCTGGTCTTGAATTCCTGGACTCAAGCAATCCTCCTGCCTCAAACCTCCCAAAGTATTGGGATTACAGGTGTGAGCCCCCATACCTGGCCTTAGTAAATATTTTAAATAAATATAATATCAATTAGTTATGGAACACCTTTAAGCAGTCAAATATATACATGTAATTGTAGTCACTACAGAAAAAAAAAAAAAAGAACGAACAGAAAAAATATTTGAAGACATAATGGCCAAATTTTTCCCAAGTTCAGTAGATCTCATATGCAAGAAACATGACAAAAACCACACCAGGGACATCATAATAAAATAGCTCAAAATCAGTGATAAAGAGAAAGTCTTAAAAGCAGGGAAAAATACTTGTCTCCAGAGGGACAAAAATATAATAACAACAGACTTCTTGTTGGAAACAATATAAGTGAAAAGACATCTTTAAAGAATGGGGACAAAAACCTGTCGGCACAGAATTTTATACTTAGCAAAGATATATTTCAAAAATAAAAGCAAAATAAAGACTTTTGCAGATGTACAAAATCTAAAAGAATTCATCACCAGCAGACCTGCACTATAAGAAATATTAGTGAAGAAAGAAATGTTAAATGTTAAAGAAAGTCCTTCAGGCAGGATGAAAATAATATCGGGTGGAAATATAAAGTTACACAAAAGAACAAAGAACACAGAAAACAGAAACGGCAAGAGCACAGACACAGATGGGAAAAATAGACACTGAGGACTACTTCCAGCGGGAGAGTGGGAGGGAGTTTGTGGGCTGAAACACTACCTATAGGGAATTATGCTCACTACCTGGGTGATGGGATCGTTTGTATACCAAACCTCAGCAACACATAATTTACCCATATAACAAATCTGGACAGGTACCCCCTGAACCTAAAACAAAAGTTGGGGAAAAAAAGAAACTACATGAGTTAAACGTATAATTGATTTTATTATCTAAATCTGCTTAAAAGATAATTGACTCATTAAATAAAAATAACAATGTAGTCAGGAGTTTATAAACTAAATAGCAAAACAAAGAGTTATAGCTAATAAGCCAACAAAGATAAAACAAAATTGTAAAAAATATTCAATTAATCCAAAAGAAGACATAAAGAGGGGAAAGGGAACAAAGAATACATGGAACAGGTAGGAAACAAATCACGAGAAGATAGATTTAAATATAATCATGTCAATAATCACATTAAATGTAAATAGTCTAAATACGCTGATGAAAAAACACAAATTATTTTATTGGTTTAAATAAAAAGTTAGCCTCCAACTATATATTGCCTGTAAGAAAAGCACTTTACATGCTGCAATATGTATAAATCTCAAAATACCCATAATGAGTAAAAGAATCCAGACCAAAAAAGCACATACTGTATGATTCTATTTATATAAAATTCTAGAAAATGCAAATTAGTGTATAGTCACAGAAAGCAGATCAATAATTGCCTAGAAGTGGAGGTTGGGAGAGGTAAGTGGGAGGAATTATAAAAGAAAAAAGGTAAACTTTTTGGGTGATAACTATGTTCATTTTTCTTGATTGTGATGATGGCTGCACAGGTATATTTGTATATTAAAATTACCAAGTTGTATATTTTGAATACACAGTTTATTATAATATAATTATACCTCAATAAACCTGTTTAATTTTTTAATCTAATAATTGTCTGTACAGAATAATTTGATGAATCTACGTTTTTAACTTTAAATTTTATGAAATCAACATACATATCAATTACTACAAATTAAAAATTTAGCATGCAAATCGGAATGTGTTTTAAGTGTAAAATACCAATTAATTTTGAAGGCCTTGTTTTTTAAAAAAAGTAAAATATCTTATTAATATATTTTTGGGTTGACCATACGTTGAAATAATATTTTTTATATGTTGGGTTAAATAAAATATATAATTACTTTTATCTGTTTCTTTTTACTTTTTTAATGTGGCTCTTACAGATGTTACAATTAAAGATGCAGCGCACAATACATTTCGATTGGACCATACTGCACTAGAAAAAGGAAGATTTAATTGTAGTACTCAGGAAACATCATTATGTTCATATTTATGCCCAACAATGCTTAGCCATTCTATGATAGAATAATGGGCCCCAAAAGATATTCATATTTTAATCCCCAGAACCTGTTAATATGTCAACTTATATGGCAAAAAAAGATTTTGCAGATGTGATTAAATTATGAATCTTGAGATGAGAATACTTAGATTACCTGGGTGGTTCCAACATAATCACAAGATTTCTTATAAGGGAAAATGGAAGGCAGAAGGTCAATATCAGAGAAGATAATATGATGACAGAATCAAAGAGAAGGAAATGTGACAACAGAAGTCGACCTTGGACTGATGCAGCCATGAGCCAAGGAATGTGGCAATTTCTGGAAGCTCCAACAGGCAATGAACTGAATGAATATTCAGTAGAGCTTCCAGAAAGAACACAGCCCTACTAACACCTTGGTTTTAGCCCCATAAATCTCTTTTTTGAACTTATGACCTCTAGAAGTATAAGATAATAAATTTATTTTAAGTCACTAAATTTGTAGAAATTTGTTATAGCACCAGTAAGAAACCAATGCAAACTTTAGGTAACTGGAAGTGGGGTGCTGCTGTAACAAATACCTAAAAATGTGGAAGAGGCTTCGGCATTGGATAATAGGCTGGAAAATTTTTAAGGAGCTTGGTAGAAAAGGCCAGTTGCCTTCAACAGGGAGTTAAAAATAAATATAGATGTTAAAAGTGGTCCCAGCAAAGACATAAAAGGAAATGAGGGACATATTATTGAATGAATACCCAAAGATGGAGGATCCTTGTTACATGATGCCAGAAAGCTTATCTGCATTTTGTCCTGTAGTTATGTGGAAAGTAAAATAAACTTGGATATTTAGGTGAGGAGATTTCCAAGCAAAGTGTTGAAGTTACAGTCTGATTTCTTCTTGCTATTTATGGCAAAATGTGAGAGAAAAGTAAGGGATTGAGAGAAGAGCTGTTAAGCAAAAAGGAGTCAGGACTTGATAATTCAGAGAGTTCTCAGCCTATCCAGATTGCAAAACACAATAAAAGGAGACACACTATCAGGAAAGCCTGCTCTAGAGCCACGTTGTGGTTAAACAACTTTTTGAGAGTGCCTTGGAAGGATCAAAAGATCAAAATATTCAATCACCTAGAGGCCTCTTTGTAGAGATCAGTATGTGAATCATGGATTCCCTTCAGCCATCTCAGTAGTAGTCAGGAATAGAGACAGCATTATCTAGGACAGATCTGTGGATAAGCTGCTTGTCTAGTGGACAGGAGACCTTCAAGATTCTTGAGAATACTATACCAACAGAAACCCTGCCAATTTGGACTGAAGAAGACTGAGAGAGGACACAATGAAAGATGTCTGACAAACCACCAAAACTTTACAGGCAGGAAACAAGCTGATTAAACTACTCAACTGCAAACAAATGCTATCCTTCATGAAAAATGAACGATGTCTCAGAGGAATGAGCCACAAGCCAGAAGACAGAGCCAAAACCAAAGAGGATTATTTCTAAGACTTGAACCCAACGGAGTTTGCACTGCTGAATTTCACAATTGTCTGGGACCAGTGACTCCTTTCTTCTTTCCATTTCCTTCCTTTGGAACAGAAATATCTATAACTGGTATCTTATGCCTGTCCCGCCATTGTATTTTGGAAGCAGATTACCTGTTTTCCAGTTTCATAAGACCACAATAAAGAGAAATTTTTCCCCCAAAATGGATTATACCCACTGTCTCACCCATATCTGATTTAGATTACTTAATGAGATGTAGAATTTTTCAGCTGAGATTAAGGGAGATTTCAATCTTTGAGTTGTTGCTATGATGGATTAAGACTTTTTGAGATACTGCGATGGGGTGAATGTATTTTGCATGTGGGACAGACATGAATCCTTGGGATCTAGAGGGCAGACTTTGTGGCAAACAAAATAATGGCTCCCCAAAAATGTCCAGGTGCTAATTGACAGAATCTATAATTATGTTACCTTACATGACAGAAGGGATTTGCAGATGTGATTAAGTTACTGATATTGAGATGGGGGAGATTATCCTGAATTTCTAGGTGAGCCGAATATAATCACAGGGGATATAAGCGAAAGGCCTTCTCTGTCAAAGTTCCATAAAAAAGTTACTCTTCCCACCAAAGAAGCTGAAAATCCCTCCCAGTTGTTGTAGCCGGGCAGACAACACAGAGATGGTTGCCAAAACAGAGAATGCACAGATTAGAAAGTAGAGTTCCAGCCCAGGGGACCTACACTTGTGGAATGAATAGTAGTAACTAAAGCAAGCAGTAAGTTTTTTATAAGGTACATAGTACAAAAGAAATTTTAATTCCATTCAAAATGTTTATTGATCACCTACTGTGTTTCATGCACAGTAGGTGGCCCTGAGGATCTAGGAGTATCTAGGTCAGCAGGACTCCTGCCCTCTTGAAGCTTACAGACCAGCCAGGTTTCCATAGCAACTTTGTTTATAAAGTATCAGCATGAGTTGTTGCTATGATGGATTAAGACTCAGATCAAGAAAGGTATGGACTCTCAACAGTGACTGGCCAGATATAGCACAATGCAAAAACAAAGTAATTCAGTCTACCCTTTTAACCATGCCCAGCTTACATACTTCACCAATTCATTAGTAAGGAGTAAGTGAAAATTAGTATGTCCATAGTCTTGTTACATATAATTACATAATAACTCTAGATTTGCTACATATCACTAACAAGTCTTAAGTTATCTGCACTGTAAATATGTAAATCTCATTCTATTATGTTGGTTCAGCCATGCTAAAATAATCCTTTTGTTATCATCATAAAAGGCTGAGTTAAAAGAACCCTGCCAGACATTTTCGTAGAGGAATATCCAGGCTGCCTTACTATGGTATCTGGTCAGTTCATTTCCCTGTTTAAACCTCTACAAAGGCCCCACTTCTCTGAGAGTAAAGCACAAAGCTGTTAAGTGGCCTATGGGCAAGAGTAATACTTAAAACAGGTAACAAAAAGTACATGGCATCCCACCTATCAAAATGGACACTGACCATAAATCATCAGTACACCCAAACCCACACATATCAGCAGAATATCAGCTCTGACAACAGGGTCCCATGTAACCTAGTCTCTGTCTACCCCTCTAGACATTCACCACCCTTCCGCCATGCGAAAGTCTTTTTGTTGGCTTTTGCCTTACCTTTATATATACTATTTCCTCTATTCAGAATGCTGTGAGACCCCATCCCTTCCTATACCAGGCTTTTTATCCATTTTTTAAGTATCTGTTGACCTATCACTTTGCTGATTTGAATATCTGTGTCCCACCAAAATTCATATTAAAACTTAATCCCTAGTGCATTAAGAGGTGGGGCCTTTAGACAGTGATTAAATTATGAAGTCTTTGCCCTTGTGAATGGATTAGTGTCTTTAGAAAGGAAACTAGCTAGTTATTTTTCTGCCTTTCCATCCCTTCCACCATTTGAGGACACAGCATTCCACAGGACACAGTAACAAGGCATCATCTTGGAAGCAGACAGAGCCAGCCCCCACTAAGTACCAAATCTGCTGATGCCTTATTCTTGGACTTCACAGCCTCCAGAATTGTGAGAAACACCATGCTTCTAAGAACCACACCATGTTTTCTCTATAAATGCTTGCTGAATGATTTAATGAATTGTGGTCCCGCTTATAGTGGGCAGAACTGAGTAAGCTCTACCTCAAGGAGAATGCAGCCATAAGTTTTCCTCTGTTCTTATGGCCTATCCACTAGATGAAAGATGTAAATATAGGTATAGGTGTAAGTACAGGCAAAGATATTGATAACAGCTAGAGAAATGTCCTGTAACAATAATATAGATGGTCAATGGCTTTCAAGTATGTTATAAATCCATCCCACTTTAGATCCTCACCAAAATCAAGGAAATATTTCACTGCCAAACCAAATATTTTACCACCATGATCTCTAATGCCTCCCTCCTGCCCTCAGAATAATACCCCCTGCATATCTAAACACTCAAGACAGCAACACAAGAGAAATAGCAAAGGCGATCTCCAGACAAACACACAACAAATGAGCACTCCCCAGACAGACCCTCCTCCCCAACCTCTGCCACCATGCAAGAAAGGAGGTGCCTTTACCTTGAAATAAAAATGCTTTGCTGGCATTGTGCATTCCAGACACCTGAGCAACTCCAAGGGTGGTGTTCACAAGGTCAAGCTCGGTGACGATATCCATCTGAAGGTCAGGGTCCATCCCAAAGCCCACCACTGGAAAGGAACAAAGAGTTGTTTGGGCTTAAAATGCAGACTGTTACTAGCATTCAGAGGTTACAGAGTCGGGGAGTGGCAGGGAATACAAGGAAGCCAATGATGAGTGCTTGGAGAGTCTTTGTCTATGGAGGGAAAAGAAAAGCAAATCTTTGCTCCCTTACCCCGCTAATACTGTAGTTTCTTTGTTCCTTCCCCCAACCCCACCCCCAATTATGGATTGATAATTTCTTATCCAAAACTCCTGGGGTTAAATATAGTTCAGAATTCAGAAGGTGCCATGTGTTAGAAAGGTAATATGGCCTATATACTACATTTTATGTAACATTTTTAGCAAAGTCTAACTCAGAACCCCATAATCAAGTACAACATTTCTGAAGCAAAAAGTATGACATACTTCTCTAATTGGCATAAATAAAGATTATAAATAGGTTGATATCAGTTTAGATCAAGTCTTGCCATGAAATGAGTTCAACTCAGGATAGGTTTTGCTGTCAGATGAGTTATGAAGAAACTGGGTTTCCAAGCTTTATAGAGGTGGTGACTGCGGATACAAGATTGTGGCCCTGATCCACCTGCCTCAGAGACTGATGCAGTAGCAAAATCTGACCCACCACCACCAGTAAACACCTCCACAAAGTGTTCCCTAATTAATCAGTCACAATCACCTGTGTTAAGGAGGAAAAAAGTGGAAAAGGACCCTGTCCCTGTTGAAGAAGGGTGGCAGAGGGACTGGCCAGGAAGGAGAATCCCTGGAATAATGGATATATATTTCCATCCAAGGGGATTCCTGGATGGAAAGCCAGATACCCTGATAACTCTTTTTAGAGAACCTTAATGCAGAGAAATACAGCCGTGAGCCTCCTCTTCCCTTGTTTGAGAAAGACAAATCCCTAAAGATGCCTCTCACCCATGGGGTGCTCTGAGCAATGATTCATTCATGATTGCAAAGTGATTTCCAACTATATGTATTAATAAGGCTAGTGATCACTCTAAGGGGCTATGTTTAAGCCATTCATAAAGGCTGTGTCTATCTACACATACCATCTCAATAGTGCAATTTTGACTGTGCTGTTGGAAATGTTTTAATCAGCAACAGCTGTCAACTCTCATCTGATGGTAATGCAGTCACTGAGACAAGATTTGGAGGGCTTGTACCCACTGCGTGAATGTTCACCGGGACATCATAAGCTATCACCACCTCACCTGTCCTCCCACCTTAACCCCTGGTCCTACAGCCTTGGAGAAGGAAATCTACTCTTTCCTTACTCTTTTCCTGTTAGGAAACAGGACCTGCTAGGCTTCTGTCAACAGACGGTTGGTCAGGAAGGCCTCTTTAGAGCTGAAACCGGTTATTGCCAAGGCAGACAAAATGTCTATAACTGCCTTCTCAGTTTCTATCAGACTTCCCCTTGTCCCCTGAACTGAAGATTTAAGTTTTCCCCTTCCAGTTGACCCAAAGATGTCTTCCTTCCATTCACTCTGCATTCATTCATTTCATAATTTTTTCAACAGGTATTACTGAGTGCTTACTATATAGCACACACATGGAGCTCGCATTCCTGTGGGTTAGGTTGGGGGAGGGCAAAAAATAAACAAATGAATAAGATAATCTGAGATGGCAATAAACACCATGAAGAAAATAGAGTAATGGGATAGAAAGCAACTTGGATGGGGGGGTCCTACTTTAGAAAGGGGGGTTGAAAAGTTTCTTTCAAGCTGAAACTTGAATGACTAGAAAAGGCAAGATGGGAGGAAGCTTTCCACATGCAGAGAAGGGTGCATGCAAACGAGGAACAAACTGGGAGTGTCCTAAGAACAGAAAAAAGGCTAGCATGGCAGAAACTGAATGGGCCAGGGGTAGAGAAGTAGAAAATGAGGCCACCCAGGCACGGTGGCTCACACCTGTAATTCTAACACTTTGGGAGGCTGAGGCAGGAGGACTGTTTGAGCTCAGGAGTTTGAGGCCAGCCTGGGCAACATAGGGAGACCATGTCTCTACAAAAAGATCAAAAAATTAGCCGGGCATGGTGGCGTACACCTATGGTCCCAGTTAATTAGGAGGATCACCTGCACCCAGGAAGCAGATCCTGCAGCACCACTGCACTCCAGCCTGGGTGCCAGAGTGAAACTCTGTATCAAAAAAAAAGAAAAGAAAAGAAAAAAGAAGAGAGGCCAAAGTGGGAGAGAGAGAAGGGCCAGATCATATAAGCCCTGTGACCCAAAAGGAGCTTGGATGTTATTCTAATTCTGAGATATAATTGGAGGGTTCTAAGGTTTATGCTTAAGGGCAGAAATTAAATTTCAGGGGACCTCCAAGTTGGTGTTTCTCTGGCCAGGAATTTGGAATGTGGTCTGGGGAACGTGCCCTTCACCAGACGCAAGAAGAAGGAAGCACCCCTGTCGCCCAAGTGCCTTTCACAGGCCTGGACAGATGGCAGGCAGGCTCTCAACTTAAGACCTGATTATCTAATGAGTTGATGCATGATCAATACTTTGGGTGCAATGAACTCTGAGCAATATGCATATCTGGGGATAGTATGAGATGACGGATGACATGCAAGCCCAGGAAACTTTCCAAAAGGACAGTGGTTGACTGAACATTGGCCTTAAATCTTTACCCCTCTCATATCCACAGCCTTTACTGAGTGGCTTTGCAGTTCCTTCCACTACAATGGGAGTAAACCTCCCCATCTCTTGATTTTGAGGCAAGCCATGTAACTTGTTTTGGCCATTGGGATGTTAGTAACATTATTCAGGCAGCGACTTGAATATGCTTGTGCAGTGGGGTTTGTTCTCGTCTACTTCCACATCATGATAAGAACATGTCCCGGCTGGTCCACTGGTCCAAGGAGACCTAGACATGTGGAGCGGGCAGCCTACCTGAGTTTGAAACCAAGCCCAGCCAAATGCAGCCTAGATAAGCCAACCCCAAACACAATTTACAGATATGTGAACCAAAATCAATGGTTTGCTTTAAGCCACTGAGTTTGGGGTTATTTGTTATACAAAATTATTATGACAATATTGACCGATGCAGGGACTAAAGACCTTCTACGATGGCATCCTTAAGACGCTCAAATCTCCCAGACTAAGAGCCCTGCAATTAATTGGGCAAGGCTTCAACCACCCAAACAAACTCTGTAGAACTAGCAGAACACCCCAATGGTATCCTTGAATCCCCACCCCCAAATGAGAACACAGTGCCCTCAATCCAGAAAGTATTGTGGAAACAACACTAAACTGAGATCCAGTTTCAGTCCAGTCTCTTCCCTCTACTAACCCTGTGCCCTTAAGAAAAGCATTCATTTATCAAGCCTCAGTTTCCTCATCCATAAAATAGGAACGTTAATACCTGCCTCCCTGAAGGGATTGCTGAAGCAGAGACTTCAGAACTCTAGTTCTCCATATCAGCGATAACACGGGTGGCTTCATATCTTCTGCTGTAGGAAATTTCATGTTTTGGGTTACCGTGTGTAAAAAGATACTGGTACCTGTTACACCAGACTCATGAGGACTCGGGGAAACTATATTCACACTTCAACAGCTCCATCTGGCACATAGGTGGTGCCCAGCTGGGGGTTGTTTCATCTGTCTTTAATAAGACCAGTTCTCCAGACCACTCCAGCTCCCTGGTCCTCAATTCCACTGGAATCATAAAAAAGGTACAGATGGCCCCTTTCCTCCCAGCCCTTATCCATGCCCAAGTGACTTAGAAGGGCCTCTCACGCTGGGTTTGCTAGTAAAATCCATATATGACATGTATATTCGCTCCCCAACTCCCTGCCCGCAACTCAAAAGTGAAGGAGCTTCTCTGGCTTTAAGATAAGTGTATTGCTTTTATTATGAAAACACCTCATAAAAACAGAGCCAAAAAAAGAGAAATCAATTAGGCTTCTGGATAGTTTTCTTCTCTGCCTTTAATTGGTCCCCACCAGGATGAAAATGCCTCGTGCCCATAGCAGGATGTATAAAGGATAGCATTTTGCATACTGCCTAGGGAATCAGAAAACCTATTAATAAGGCAGCATTGACATGGGCTGTCTTGAACCTTATGTAGTGTGAGTGTGGTCTCATAAAAAAAAAAAATGTATTGTTTCTGCTTCTTGTCCAAGCATGGAGCTCCTGCCCTTTCCTAGGAAACTCAATTAAAGTTCTCTACTTTGGACATAACGGCTCTACAAATGGCTAAAATTGGGAATTACAATTAAGCAAGATGAAAAGCTCCTGGGGAAGAAATATTTTAAAAACCTGGAAGGCAGCATGTCAATGTCACAGAGGCACTTGAGGCCTGACTAGGATTCAGAAACTCCACCCTAACAAAGATACCTGCTGCTACTGCTGCTATTGGCTGCTCCTCACCCCCACCCAGGGAATGCTCGGGCCCACAGCCCACTCAGTTCACCTTTGGGGTCCCAGACATAGGCTTTCCAGCAAATCCTCCTGGGTCTGGCTGACTTTAAATTTACTCCTGCTCATTGTCCATGGTGGAAGCTGTTTTCCTCTGGACCATGCAGACTAAAAAAATGCTCCAAGAGCTCATTTAACCACAGAATTTCACAACCACTTAATCAGGTTTGGGCCCCTGGGCACCTACGAAGGTCCTTAATACCCCAAAAGCAATTTTCTTGAAGAATATGCTCTATGCCTGTTCCAAGCTGGCCAGTATTTTCCATGATCCTTGGAGGCTGGGGGCTCATGTTCACAGTTCCATTATTCAATTCATAATTAATGATCCACCTGAGAGTTCCTTCCAAAAGAAAATCTCTTGGCCAGGCGCAGTGGCTCACACCTGTAATCTCAGCACTTTGGGAAGCCGAGGCGGGCAGATCACCTGAGGTCAGGAGTTCGAGACCAGCCTGACCAATATGAAGAAACTCCATCTCTACTAAAAATACAAAATTAGCTAGGCGTGGTGGTGCATGCCTGTAATCCCAGCTACTCGGGGGGGGGGGGGGGGGCTGAGGCAGGAGAATCACTTAAACCCAGGAGGCAGAGGTTGTGGTGAGCCGAGATCATGTCGCTGCACTCCAGCCTGGGCAACAAGAGCAAAACTCCATCTCAAAAAAAAAAAAAAAAATTCTCTCCTTTCCAGCAGGTGGCAGCAAAAGACATTCACTTGGTCAGTAGGGGCTTTGCAGGTGTAGGTACTCCCTTCACCCTCTGCCCTGGTGACCAAAACAAACTGGAAAGCAATGTGGGAATAATTATTGAGTTTTCAATTATTCACACTGCCAAAGCATTGGTGAAAACTCATAGAGATAGTGTGTTATTACTGCTATTATTGTAGCCTTCTAAATTTTCATTATTAGTGATGTACCTGAAAATCTCTGAATTATTTCTCAACCAGAAATAACAAGAACTGGAGAATGGCACCTCCCGTCTTGACTCCACTTTGCACTCTAAAACAAGTTCTCTGAACAAGGCAGATTTAAGCAGCTCCTCATGACACCTATCATTAGATCTTTTCATATGCAACTGTGTCTGCACTGCAGTCTTGCTTTAATTAAAATGTGCCTGATATCATCTACTCAGTTCCATTAAAAGCCGGTGATATCTGAGCAGCTCACTAAGTGAACCACATGTTTATTTCATCTAGGACTGTTAACAGCCCAGACAACAATTGTCCCACTTGACAAAGAAACTTTCAACGCAGCTGTTTGGATGCTGATAATCACAAGCCAGCCTTTGTTACCTAAGAAGAGGGTGGATGGATGATGTGGAAATGATTTCTGCACAGAATCAGAGGGCTGCCTCCAGAAAGCTACCGCTTATACCCTCTCAAGCTACAAGATACTTTAAGTGTACAAATTGAGAGGTAATTCCCCCGTCTCTCTGATTCTTCCGATAATGTGTGTAGAAGAAATATGCGGCCTCTAGTGTTCAAATAGTGCCAAGTGACATTGAGAACCCAAGCTCCCTAGGCAACAGCCACAACCAGTGGGTCAGATCCTTCCATGCTTCCCTGCCTTTGCTGAATCTGCTCCCTCTGCCAAGAATGCCTTCCCACTTTGTCCACCTGGAAAACTCCCTAGAAAGCCTTGAAGGTACATCTCTCAAATCCCTGACCACCACTCCTCCCTAGAATTAATTCAAACTGTCTCTCCTCCACATTTCCTTAATACAAACTTATACTCCTACCTCTCCACCACCCCCCCCATCAATCTGTAAAATTAAAATGCCTGCCAGTTTCTATCTAGATTCCCAGCTGAGCTTTAAGTTCCTAGAAGTCAAGGACTGTCATTTCCTCTTTGCATAAGAAATCCTGGCACCCAGCAAGACATCGTTTGTTGAATGAGTAAAGACATGAATGAATCTTCCCCTACAACGAAATTTTTACAAGATTTAAAGGGGATTGGAAGTGGAAAGAGGGAAAATACCTGTTCTTAAAGACCCCTTCCACAAGCAATGAACCCTGAAACACGTTCCATTCCGTGATAAGGGTACTTTGGCGACTTTTCAAAGGAGTAATGAGAACAAAGGATTTAGGCATATTCCGTAGTGATGTGCACTTAGGGATGTGAACTCACTAACGGGTTGCCCCCTCCCTACCTAGCTTCTTCCTGTCTGCGGTTCCTCTGTAAGATGTCCACGAGCACCAGACTCTCGCGCTCAGAGCCAGTAGCCCACGCTCTGCACTAGTCTTGCCTGTCCTGATCTTCCTGGGGTGCGCGCACTCCTTCAGCGTGTCCTGGTTTTAAAAGACTAACCCATCCGGATGGGCCTGAACTCAAGAAGCAACTATTCTAAGCTAGACTGAGCCTTGGCGTCTCCGCAGCCTGGGAAGCTCGGATAGAGGTAAGGAACGGAATGGGAGGTTTCTTTTGTCCCTTGAGAAATCCATATTCAACATTCTTAACCAGACGAAAGCCGCTGCCTGCTCAGTCCTGGGGAAGTGGGAAGGGCCCTCTGAAAGCTCCTAGACGCTAGATCTTCCAGCGGGCTAACTGCCAAAGAGGGGCGCCTGGGCGCAAGCGGAGGGAACTTTTGAGCCAACCAAGTGCAGACGCCCCTTCTTAGCCCTCTCCAGATGAACTTGCTCTTTGGCCTAGAGAGAAGGCCACGCCTCTAAAGAAGGAAATAAGGATGGTAAAGGGGGGAGAATAAAGGGAAAGGGAATGACCACACAGATTCTGGGGTGCAGCGCGTACGGAGGATGGCTGGGTAGGATTGCAAACCTCCGACACTCCCCCCAGTTGACAGGCCCTATTTTTGCCAATTTCCTACATCTCACCCCACCTCACCTCACCCCAGTCTCCCCGCATCTACTACTAGCTCTTTGAAGAAGGCGGCTGCAAGCCAGTCTCCGAACCCCAGGGGACTTTTGGGCAAGGGAGCCGGTGGAAGCAGAAGGAAGAAGATGCGCTGAGAGTCCTCACAACTGCGTCTCCGGAGGCAGAACGAAGTGGGGACTTCAGACAATCAAGCGTCATCCTTGCTCCCCCCTCCCCACACGGAACCCTGCGATTATGGCAAGAGAAAACTGGTTTGAGCTTGAGAAAATTTCCCCAGATTGTCTCCACTGCTCTATTTCCCTCAGATAATTGTTCGCCCAGCCCTTGGGAGCAAAGACAGGCGGAGGAGAATACTCCTGGAGTTCTCCTGGGTAGTCAGGAAGGCACAGGAGGAGATCGCGGGATCCCAGGGTTCTCCCGCAGCTCTCTGCCCTCGCCGCACCGCGCCCTCCCGGGCCCCGGCCGCGCCCGCCAGCCGGAAGCGCTCCCTCTGCGGGTGCGACTCCCGCAGCTACCCCTTCCCAGCCTGGCGGGGGTCGGCGAGAGTGGTTTCCACAGCACCTTACAAGTTCGGGAACTCGGGGCACGCGGGCCCGCCCTGCTGCGGGTTTCGACTCCCTGGGACGGAAAGCCGGTTACTAGCAGCAAGAGGGTGCGCCTACTCGGCCGCGCCCCTCACTCCTGCGCCCCTGAGGCCGGGTCCCCTGAGAAGGGGCACTCAACGGGGACATCTTCAAGCCCGTGAGTCCCTATTTTCACCCTGTCACTCCGAGCAGGGCAAAGAGATCCCAGGAACCGGTCCACGCTACCGCCGTTCCCCAGACCAGCGCAAAGCTCGGCTCCAGGTCTCCCCACGCCGCCGTGGTCTGTGGGCACCCCCATTTCCCGGATCCCTCTAACCGCCACAGTCATGCTTACCTGTCCTGGCAGTGCACACACAGAACCACACAACTAAAATCAAATCCATCGGCATCGCTCTCGAGGGTCCCCGCCTAGCAGGGGGCACCGAAGCTAGGTGGAAGCAAATGAGCCTGGATCCTGAGGCGCGCCTGGCTTGGAGCCGCCAAACTTGCTAGCGGGCGGCGGGGGAGGTGGCTCGGCAGCGCCGGGTGCTGCGCTCGCATATGCGCCCGGGAAGGCAGCCCCGGCCGCCCCGCCCCCAGCCCGCCCCCCACCGCTGGCGCGGCGGCGGCGGCGTGGGGCTCGGGGCCCGGCCCCCCGCTGCGGCTGCGTTCGTCTGGGAGCCCGGGCAGGAGCGCGGGGTTTGGCTACTGTGGCTTGTTGCGCTCCCCACTGGGGGCCGATTCCGTTCGCCTCCTTCGCCCGCAGAACTGCGAGGATCTGGACTGCAGGCGCCGCAGCCGCTATCACCCGGAGCACCGAAGTCGGAGTCCCAGGACCTGCGGCCGAAACGAGAGAGCGGGAGGCGCACGGCGCCCCCACGGCTTCACGCGCTCCAGCCCCTCCGAGCCGCAGTCGCCAATGTTGCCCTCTTTACTTCCGCACCGCGGTGGGGGCTGCCGAAGTTGCCACAGTTCATCCCCGCCGAGTCGAAAAGCCGCCGAGCCCTCGCGGGTGGGTATTTTTCCTCGGGGGAACCCAGACCGAGGCGGCGCCACCGAGCGCGCACGGACCCCCTCGGAAAACAATTACTCGGGATTCGCTCTGTCAACTGGGTGGGGAGGGACCTGAGGGGGATGATGGCTGAGTCCCTGCTCACCGCCTGTACCTTCTGTCTCCTCTCTCCTGTTGAACCCCTATGACTGAGTACTCTCTTTGTGGGTGCAGGAAGAGGGCGCTGAGGTGGGGGTGCAGAAAAGGGGTCCTCGAGGCGGAGCGAGCTGTGGTTGGGGTTTGGGAAGTCTATTTGCAAACCTTCTCATTCTGCAGGGCAGATGCTGCCACATAGGGGTAATTCCTAACCATCTTTTTTTCTTTCTTGCGTGATTTTCTTAATGGTATTATCAAAAGCCCACTCTTCTTTCATAGTCACATTTTGGCCCCATGTGCAATTCCTCCGGGACCTCCACCTTCTTTTCCCTCTCCCACCACAACATTCTCTGGAGAGAAAAGCTGGGCTGGGCTTTGTTTTCTACTTGCCGGCAAGAAGAGAATGGGTCCTCTCCCCTCTATGCGACCCTTTCAGGACCTGACCTTCCCTATGAAGATCCCCCAAATTTAAGACTTCTGTCCCACTTCCTATTTGTCCTACTAACACCTAGGAACGTTATTTATAACTGGATATGTAGAGTCATGAAATCTGAAATGACAGCCTCTGATTTATACCAAATGAACTCCACTTAGCTTGCTCAGTCTTCCCACTCTCTCTGAAGCCCCCGCTCCCCCTCACCAGCAGTACTCCTTTGATATTCACAACAGGGATCCCAGAGGAGTCCAAGGAAACCTCAGAACAGCCGTCCCTCGTTTCCTGGAAACCAATTCCAACGTTTCAGAATCCTCTTCACTAATAAGAACGTGCCCTTCTCACTTGCACCCACTTTCACTTCCTATATCCTTAACCCCTACACAACTTTGACCCCAGGAGCCCCAGTGAAGTTCACCAAATCAGCGCAGCTTATTAAGAGAGAAGGCTTTACTAGCATGCTGTTCTGGTCTCTGCCCTATTTTTCTGGATATTTCTGTGTGCAAGCCACTGTCCCATTTGGCCCTTTATGTTGTGGTCCTTTGGCAGATGAAAAAGAAAGTGAACAAGCAGGTAAATTCCAGCTCAAGAAGTCTACTGCACAATCCAGAAGTTGAGCTGAATGATTAAGAGGTAAACTGATGTCAGCTGACTCCAACTCAGATTCGGCTAAGACCCAAAGGAAATCTGTCTGCCTTGACTCTGTATTTTCACTAACAGAGTCCACGTGTTTTTCCTTCCACCCGGAGCGTGTTGCATTTAAAGCTAACATTAAAATCACACATCTTGAAGAGAATAGGATTTCCCAAGTCTTGTTGGGCCTTGTGGACAAGGACACCATACACCATGTTGTATTATAAGAGCCATTTCCTGTCTCTCCTCTGCAGTCTTTAAGTACACCTCAGCAGGAACAGCCTTGAGTTGCTTTGGACTGTTGTTTCCAAGGCCCTTTTATTGATTTCAGAAAGCCCAGAATCCTTAAAAGTACAGTGACCCCAGCAAGGGGAAAAGGTGGTCTGGGTAAGATCTTCAGAGCTCTCTATCTTTAAAGTCTCTGTGTAATTAGCTGGTCCTGTGGGATGGGACTTTTAGCTTGTTCCATTAAAAAATAAAGCAAGACATATGTTCTGTCATAGCTTTGCAGCATAACATCCATTAACAGTAACAAGAGTTAATCTCAACAAGGTCATAAATCTTTTCTAGATAACTAAGTACTGCAATCTCCTCCTATAAGTGCAACCCTTGAGTGGGGATTTTGAGTGTGTAGGTCTGTTAAGCTAAGGTGACCTTCATAGAATGGGCCCAGCAAGTTTCTCTAGTGACAATGAAGGGACACATGGCTATGTATGTACTTGGTGGTGGAATGTTACAGTGAGACCTGTGTTCGGTGGAAGCCACACTGAAACATCTTACCTGATGCCAGATCCCAAGTCCACCCTCCCCTTCAGGATGGCCTACCTCCATGGGTTCTTCAGGAGCCAGTAGTTGTCTTTGATTATCCCTCTGCCTCTTCTTCCTGACCTCTAAATGTTGGAGAGCCCCAGGACTCACTCCTCAACCCTTCCCTTCCCGCCACACTCCCTCCCTATTAAGCTCATCCCACCTCATGGATTTAAATATCTGTGCAGGGATGACTCTCAAATATGCATCTCTATCCCCAGCCTCTATTTTGAACCCCAGGCCTACATCTCTAACTACCTATTAGACATCTTGAATATAATATGGCCACATCATCAAAATTAAAAACATTTGCACTTCAAAGTACACCATCAATGAAGTAAAAAAAACAACCGATGGAAAAGTATCTTTGCAAGACATATCTGATTGGAACTTGTATCTACTAAAAAACTATTACAACTAGATAATACAAGACAATAAAAGGTCCAATTTGCAAATAGGCAAAAGATCTGAATAGATATTACTCCAAAGTATATATACAAGCGGCCAATAAAGACATGAGAAGATGTTCGACATCATTAGCCATCTGGGAAATGCAAGTCAAAACTACAGTGAGATATCACTTCACATCCACTAGGACGGCTAGAATAAAATAGATAATAAATGTTGGTGAGGATGTGGAGAAATTGGAACTCATATACTGCTAGTTAGAATGTAAAGTGTTCTTTAAACAGTTAAACATAGAGTTGCTGTACAGCAACTCTATCCCTAATATCCACACAAGGTAAATGAAAACATATGTCCATATACTAACTTGTACATAAATGTTTAGAGCATTATTCAAAATAGCCAAAAAGTAGGAACAACCTAAATGTCCATTGACAAATAAGTGGATAAATAAAATGTGGTATGCCTATATAATGGAATATTATTCAGCAATAAAAAGACATGAAGCATTGACACATACTACAACATTGACCTTGAAAACCTCACACTAAGTGAAAAAAAGCCTGTCACAAGGGACCATATATTATACAATTTCATTTCTATGAAAAGTCAGGAGGCAAATATATAGAGACAAAACATCTGATTAGTGGTTGTCTAGGGCTTGGGGCCAGGGAGGTAGGATTAGGGGGTAATGGCTCAAAAGTGTAGGGGCTATTTTTGAGGTAATGAAAAGGCTCTAAATTTGATTGTGGTGATGGATGTAAAACTCTCACATATATTCACAATATAGTAAAAACCATTGAATTGTATACTTTAAATGGGTGGATTGTATGGTATGTGAATTATATCTCAAGCTGTTTTTTAAAATACTTTAATGATCATGACAAAAAATTGTAATATGGCCAACTAAGGACTTTTGACTTTTCCCTTGTCTTAAATTTCCACTGCTGACTTCTACGGACATGGCATGAGCCTTCACCAAGTGCTCCAGCTACATAACCCAGGGTCATCCTTGACTTGCTTGCCCTTAGCCCCCACACACAAGGCATCAAGCCCTGTCAGTATACCTTAAAGAAAAATCCCCAGTCAAATTTCTCTTCTCACCAGGTCTCCTCCCACCTTCCTCCAACCCATCATTATCTCTCCCATAGCCTACAGCTATAGACTCTCAATGCTTCTCTCTGCCTCCATTCTTGCCCCGTATAATTCAGTCACCTCCACCTTCAGCAGTCATAGTCTGTGTTTTGTAACATGTATCATATCACACTCCCTTGCTCAAAACTCCTCCTGGAGTTTTCCATCATATTTTAGTAAAATCCAAACATCTTATATCACCCCTGCTTCTCCTCCCAGGTCCCTCTCTCCCCATTCTCCCCCTAACTCACTCCAGTGTTTCTTGTTCCTTAAACATTCCAAGTTCATACCATCCTCATGATCTTTGCACTTGCTGTCCCCTCTACCTGGAAGGTTCACTTTTCACTGACTCAAATCTCGTCTCAATGTCAGCTCTTTGAGGAGACCTTGCCTAAAGAAGCTTCTCACTTTACTCCCAACATTCTCTGCCTCCTTACCCTGCTTTATTTTTTAGAGTGCTTGTTATTGTCTAAAATAATATGATTTATATGTTTACTTATTCGTTCTGTCCCCCCCACACACACAATATAATGCAAGCTCCACAAGAATAGGAATTTTGTCTTTCTTGTTCACCAACGTATATTTCCACCTAGAACAGTGCCTAGCACATTTTAGGAGCTCATTAAATGTTGTTGAATGAATGAATCAATGCATGTTCTGCCAGGAAGCAGCATGGAGAATGAACTCTTCTCATTGGCTGTCAGCATGGCAACAGTCAGAAGGCCTTGTCTCTCTGTCCCCCAGAGTTGCTCCACTGCTGACTCTATGTGGGGCAGCAGACCCCATAGAGGAAGAGTAAGAAGGACTCCTTTTTAGTATCCAAACTAAACGTGCAAGCTAAAAGCAGTTCCAAGCATGAGAAACCCTCTATTGTATTTACTGCCTAATGAATTCCCCTCCCGAAGCCACTCTTCTTTGTCCAAACAGCCTTTCAACTATCTTCACAACTACCTTCACATTGTGGACACATAATAAGTTTATACAACTTATTATAAACATAATAAGTTTATTTTATAATAAGTTTATACAACTTATTATAAACACAATAAGTTTATAAAACAGGAGGAAATGAGAAAGTAGCACTGTGACAGATTGGATTCTATACCTTCCCTCTGCTCTAAAGAATAAGTTGAAGTCCTAACCCCTGGTACCTGTGAATGTGAGCTTATTTGGAAATTGGGTTTTTGCAGATGTAATAACTTAAGATGAGGTCGTTAGTATAGGCCCTAATGCGGTGTGACTGATATCCTTATAAGAGAAAAATACCATGGGAAGACAGAGACACAGGGAGAATGCCATGTGACCATGGATGCAGAGATTATAGTGTTGTAGTAGCTGTGCTATGGTTTGACTATTTGTCCCCTGCAAAAATTATGTTGAAGTTTAACTCCCGTGTGGCAGTATTGAAAGAGCCTCTAAGAGGTGATCAGATCATGAGGGCAGAAATTAATGGGTTAATGGGTTAATGGATTAATGGATTATCATGGGAGGGGAACTGGTGGCTTTACAAGAAGAAGAAGAAGGACCTGAGTGAACATGTTAGCATGCTCAGCACCCTCACCATGACATCCTGTGCCACTCTATTCTAGAGTCCCCACTAGCAAGAAGGTTCTCACCAGATGCAGACCCTCGACCTGGGACCTTTCCATCTCCACAACTGTAAGAAATAGATATTTTTTCTTTAAAAATTATGCAGTTTCAGGTATTCTGTTAAAAGCAACAGAAGTCCAGGCACTGTGGCTCACGCATGTAATGCCAGCACTTTGGGAGGCTGAGGCGGGCAGATTGCCTGAGCTCAGGAGTTCACAACCAACCTGGGCAACATGGTGAAACCCCATCACTACTAAAATACAAAAAATTAGCCAGCCATGGCAGCATGCGCCTGTAGTCCCAGCTACTTGGAAGGCTGAGGTAGGAGAATTGCTTGAACCCGGGAGGTGGAGGTTACAGTGAGCCAAGATTCTGCCACTGCACTCCAGCCTGGGCAACAGAGTGAGACTCCATCTCAAAAAAAAAAAAGAGAAAATGAAGACAAGCTACAAGCCAAGGGATGTCTTCCAGAGGCTGGAAGAGGCGAGGAAGGATTATCCCCTGAAGACTTGTCCTGCCAACCCTTGATTTCAGATTTCTAATCTCCAGAACTGTGAGAGATTAAATTTCTGTTGTCTTACATCTTTCAGTTTGTAGAGCTTTGTTGTGGCAGCAGTAGGAAACTAACACAAGTGCCAATTTGCTGCCAGAGTCAAGGAAAGTGCAAAAGCACCCAAGTTTCCCTCACAAACCTAACAGCCTCAATACTCTCTGCAACTGTGCAAGCCTGACTTGGGTGGATATTTTCATTTCCTGAAATGCACATGCACTTATAAAAAGAGGCTGAATGAATGTATTTATGTGTGAACCTCTGTTTCTATATGGATGTATAAACTCTATATGAAAACTTCGTTCTCTTATTACCACAGTCCACTTCAATGATATCCAAATTAGAGGGATCCATATTTTGCTAAATTAACTAGTGTCCTCGTCTCATATCTTCAAACATGTTTTAGAGCAAAGCTGGGTATAGATCTGTAGGAAAATAGGTAGAAAAGTATATAGACATATAGATAAAGGCATCTCATGATTCTTTGGATGAAACCATTCTAATCCATAACATCAATAATCTTGGAAAAGTTTCAAGTTTCTGATGACAAGAACCAAGGTGTGCTCATATCTAGGCTTTATTAAATGTTGAGTAATCACATGTCCATTCCAGTAGACCATTAAAAATTTGGCACACTATCTTCAAAGAGGCCCTAGAAACAGTCTCCACCCCCGCCCTGGCCAGAATGGTATTGGCTACATTTCTTAAGTGTAACTATGAGTGGTCACTGCTGTAAGTACTGTCCAAGGATTAACCCATTTATTCTTCAAAACAACCCAGTTAGGTAGGTAGCATTATTATACCTATCTTACAAATGTGGAAAGTGAGCCATTGACCAAGTAAGTGGCTAAGTGAGACTCAAACCCAGGCCATATGAACTTTACTGTTTCTCCTGGGATGAAGCCTGTGAAGTCAGTTTCATAACAGCCCAATTCCCTGCCTGAGTTCTGAACCAATTGAGAAATAAGATAACAGCTAGCAGGAGGCTAAAACATCACTTTTATTAATGTAGAGACAATGCTGGAAGAGCGTAGCCTATGTGAAAGCCAAAATAGACTGGTCATCTGCCTTCCCTGCAGGCTGGACCTTGCCACAGCCATCTGCTCCCACTGATCTGGATGAAAAGAGAAAGCTAAGGAGACCCCACTGAGAAACGAGGACCAATGGCTGGCACCTTCCTCCACAAGGGATGGGAGAAGAGGGAGTGGGATAAAAGGCCAAGAGTGTTTATTTTATTTCCTATATCAGTAAAGATTCTATCTGGCTTCATATAACAGGAAAACTCCCAAACGATAGTAACTTAAATAACTTAGGTCTTTAATACTCTCTTCAGTAAAAGAATTCTAGAGTTGGAGAGTCCACCATCCCTAGAATGTAGTTCTTGTCCTCATGGTTCAATATAGCTGCTGATGCTCCAGCCATTACAGCCACATTCCAGACAGCAAAATATGGAAGAGAATGAAGAGAAGAAGAGCGTGCCTAGGAGTCCCATGTATTATTTCCATATATATTTGGGCAGAACCTAGTCACAGGGCCACTCCATACGTATCTGTTAGCTATTGCTACATAGCAACCACAAAATTTCCATGTCATACAACACATATCTGCAGGTTGGCTAGGGTTCAGTTCCTCCATGCTGGTCTCAGACAGGCAGTTCTGCTTCGGGTTACAGTGGCTGAGCTGATTCCATTTCTCACTGCAGGTCTGTGTTTCAGTTGAGTGACTGTCCCATGTGCCTTTCATCTTCCTTGGGTTGATGAAAGGAAGCCACATCTTTCAACAGGGCTAGCCACATCTGTTCCTCATGGCCCAAAGAGACACCAAAGAGCATATAGAAATAGGTGAGACCTCTTAAGGTCTAGACTCAAAACTGGCACACTGCCACGTCTGTTCACAAGCTATTAGCCAAAGCATAGATGCATTACCAAGCCCCAAGTCAAGGGCAAGAAGTACAATCCACCCACGATGAGGACACAGCAAGGGTGTGGTTCACGGGGGGCGGGGGCGGGGCATAAAGAAGTGAAGCCAGGTCAATCTACCGTACTTTGCAGCAAGGGAACCTGGAAACGTCATGCTTTGACTGGGTGGCAACAAGCCTGGCTAAAGTCAGAGATGTTACTAAAAAAGGGAAGAATAGAAATTCAAAGGCAGTTACCAGTTTCTCCCCTATACTCCCTCACATTGTACCAACTTTATAAAATATCAGTACTGGCCTAGTGTAAGTTCTCTGTCATTCTTGCCCTCACCTCAAGGCTGTGTATAGAAGTAAACACTCACAAGAAGGCCAAAAAAAAAAAAAGGTTCACAGTGAGATTGTCATGGGCCTGTGCTTACCAGTGCTTTCCACTTTTGAGTAGGTGAGACAGAGTGATTTTTTTTAAATATGTTTTATCTCAAAGCCCTAATCCCGGAAAGATCAAATTCATGCAACCTTAGCAGGTAAGACCCAAACTTCTCTCTGTGCATCTTTCCTGAACACCGGGCAGTGAGTGCCACATGATGGAGATGGCCGGAAGCCTGGAGGCAAATCATGCAAGTGAATATACCACATAATTGCAGAATGCCTCTGCCTCTGTTTCCTGATTGAAAGGAGGAGGCAAGAGGAATCAAGTTATGGAATAAAAATACCTGGGCTATCCTGAAGCCCCTGAGCCCACATCCAAGACCCCACATACCCCAGCATCCCCCCTGGACTCCCAGACTTCGCCATGATCCAGCAAATCACATGACAAATCCTGGGAGAAGAGTCACCAGTGAGACTGGAGTACCAGACTGGTGACTCTTCTTCTAAAAACAAAAAATTAACTCTTAAGTTTCTGCTATTTCTCCTTATCCCCAATTAAGGAAAAACATATTTAGAAGGGTTATAAAAACATAATAGAGCATTTCTAACTGAAATTCCATGGTACCTGGGATCTGCTTTGAACTACTCTAAGGAAACAGAGTTTCAGGGTAGGGAGACGGATCATGAAATAAACTTGGACATGAGTTGGTAATTGTTGAAAGTGTGTGATGTGGACATAGGAGTTCATTGTTCTGTTCTCTCCAACTTTATGTATACCTGAAATTTTTCAAGATAAAAAGTTAAACACACACACACACACACACACACACACACACACACAATGATCAAAGGAGTCTCAGGAAAGAGATAGAAGATAATGAGTCAGCACCAAGCTCTGATCCCACAGAATGCACTTCTTGCCCTTTCAGGAGCACTGTTGCTGGGAAGATAAGACATTACACTGAGTTTAGTGTTCACGGCGCTGTGCACCTGCCAAAGTACAGTTTTAAGGCCAGTCCTGAATGTATTGTATGGAGCTCTTATTATCATAGACTTTTCCCAGCCTGGAGCTTGACTGCAGGCTGGACACCTGTGCACTTGGCGTGTGGATTTCAGCATCAGCTTGTGAGGGCATTTCTTTCCCAGGGAGGATAGCCTAGATCATCTCTGTAGCCTTCCAACACTGAAGCTGAAGATGGAGGCAGAGCATGAGTATGTGGTGCTCATTTGAGGAGGACAGAGTCAAGCCTCTGGGTTGACCTGATCAGACAGCAGAGAACATGACACTGAACCCTGGGGCCCCATCTCTGAGTAAGGAACATGAGGGCTCCACCCACTCAAAAGGAGAGAAATGGTGTTTCTTTGTTTTTTAGAAATAGGTTTTCCTTCTACTATAATTTGAGTTCCCTAAGATTTGAGACCTTTTTATTCCATTTTGCCTGGGGCCTAGCACAATGCAGGAACTACACAAAATGTTTGCTAAATTGAAATATAGTTGAAGACTGACAAAATGATCATGAAAACACACACGATGTTTTAATTTGTCCAGTCTTTCTGTTCAGATCTCAGATCTACTCAGATTCTGTTTCTCTTTTTCTTTCTTCTCCTACTCCAATCTCTCTCTCTTCCCCCATGAGGGTGATTAATAATTCAGCAAACAATAGTGTATTCTGATGGTTAAAAATATAATAATTGATATTTGTTTCTGCAGCAGCACAGTATCTCGTTTTCCCAGGACGGCAGTTTTCCATGGCTGTTCCAGGTTTTGCACAACAAAATTGATCAATCTGGGGGATACCTATAAGGCTGTTTATTAAGAAATAAAGATGATGGGTAATGGCTTTGTAAGAGACACAATACTATAATCATGTTTTAAACACTGACATTTATTTAGGGTTTTGTGAACTCATACATTATTAGGGTAAATTCTAATTTATATCAGTACATAATAGGCAAATATATAATACAATAAATTGCATTTTTATACATAAATAGAAAATTTGAGGTAGGGCCTCAAGAATGACTTCTTAAATGAATAATGTGCAGTATATAATATGTAATCTATAAGATATATATATATATATATATATATATATGATGCATCATTTGTAACATAATATATTTTCTTCATGTATAGTTAATGGAAAAATATAAGGACCTGATTAGGGAACATATGTTTATTCATGGGCAACAGTACCCACAAAAGATGCCTGCATTTAGGACATTAGCCAAGTACACAATGTAAGAATTAACCTATTCCTTTACAGGTCCATAATAAAGTGCAAAAACCACAAACAAATGAGAGACAAAACAGTTTTTAGTCAATTACTAAGAATCATCCTAACAGTAAAATACACCTGTAAGGCAAATGGTTACCTGAAGATGTATTTAATCCGTGGCAGGCAAGTCAAACCACTGCTTGCTTTTCAGAGGTGATGAATACCTAATCTGAAAACACTTTCTCTTTGGCTGCAGGCTGCTCAGAGGTGACCTGAGCAAAGACCACATTTCAAAACTACTTGGCCTTTCTGGGCAATTAAAGCAAAATCTGGGAAAGATAGGAAGCTTCACTTTCACAAATCCTAGGGCCACTTTGTGGGGAAATGAGTATCAAGGCAGAATCACCCACACCTTTGCTCCCAGCCTGGAAGTTTTCTGCTTGATACCCAGTGTGAAAGAGAAGGAAATGCTCCTCTGTTGGCCTTGGCCTTTTGGTCCTGCAAAACACCTGCCACACAGCACGTCCTCTCTTGAATCATCTGCCTCAAAGAAGCATGTCCCAACTCAAATCCAGGTGCAACAACAGTAGTATGATCTTGCCATCTCATCTTACATTGAGCAACAGTTATTGTGCTAGCCTCTGGGAAGAGGACAATGACCTACAGCCAAGGGAACAAAGAGAAAAGAAAATCTTACTTTTAGGCATGGGAAACCATGCTGAGAGCAAAGGTGGACAGGAAGCACTGAGAGACACATAGATGAGGAAACAAGAACTTAATTAAAGGAAAACTCAACTCCAATGCAACATTACCATAAAAACAACCCAAGTCCTATCCATTTAAAGGTCATCATGTTAAACTCTTTTTAAAGTGCTGCTTACTGAAATACAAGTTGATTACATTTCTTACATATTAAAAACACATTGCAAATTTCAAAGACATTGAGGTCATCATGATTTTGCATTGACCACAGACCTCATGCAATACATAAATATAAAGGAAAAAGAAACAATAAAACAGAACTAGACACATTTGTACCTGATAAGCACAGTCCTAAAGATAATAAAAGTTACTAATATGCAAGACATTTGCATAAGAAGTCACAACACCACTTGTTAAGAAATATACATTTTTTCTCCTCTAAGGATATGACAGGATTACTGTTTTTCACATATGGCTTTTTTTCTGAATGAGTTTCTGGCATTTGTTGGTGTTATGAAATAATCTCACAAGTGGAAAATGCTCCACCATTCTACACAGTGAACCAATGAAAGTCTTTCCTCAGCTACTCGGTTTTTTCCCCCACTTTGAAGGGAAGTTTTCAGGTGCCAGTTTCTAACAATGTTATTCATTTTATTTTTTTCATTTTTTTTCTTCCAATTGACTGTACATTTTAATATCATGGAAACAATCCATTAGACAAGCTAAATTTACAAGGTAACCATTTCCAGGTAAATTTGGAACCTTTCACCTAAGCGTGTCCCTTTAAACAAAGGGAAATAAATCTTGGAAATTATAGTGAAGTGGGGTGGGGGGGAAACAGCTGCTCAGGGAGCAGCTACTGCATCTTACCTGGACAAATCATAATTAACACAAATGTAAATGCCCCCAAATCCAAAACATGCAGCTAGTGATGAGGTCTCCGTTCTCACAATTAAGTTAACTTTCAGTTTGTACAAAACAAACCTGGCAGCATCTGTGGGAGCCCCCCACCCCCACCTTCTTTTAATCACAAAAGCAATAATTAGCAGAAATTGGGTTGGCGTCCAGCATCAGACTGCAACCATTGGCTCAATCAGAGTTTTAGCCAAGAGGCAACAGGAGAGCCAAAAACCATTCATCCTGACACAAACATACCAGTCCCATGAGAGAATGCTAATTGATTTAAGCTCTCTTTCTCAACCTTCAAATTGCAAAGCCTGCAGATAATTTCCAGGCCTAAGTTATTCCTCCTGGCTCCTCTCACTCTACCAGGTATCAGCTGGAGAGGCTCATTTTTGGTACCATTGTGCGACGTCTGCTGCAGTAATTGGGGGCTTCTCATCAATATGGCTTTCTTAGAGAAATCTGTGTTCATGGCAGACAGGTGAGGCCACAGCTCAGCTTCCTAAAGCTAAGTTTAGGGGAAGCTCAAGGTTTAGTCTCTATGATAGACTCAAGCAAGTTTGAGCTTTGGGAGACAAGGGGGGAAAGGAGGAGAAGGAGAGGGGAGAACAAATATACACTGCAGACAAAAGACATGAAAATCTAAAGTTCAAAACCCATCTTTGTTTCCTTTTCTAAAACCTTTCACAAGCTACTCTTAAAAACTGGAAGTTCATATTGATGTTGGCAAATGGCGATGATACTTGCCCTAGAAAAGGGAGAGCTCAGTAAAATGAGTTGAGACTTTTTTTAACAAATGAAATCTTTTAAAAAAAAATGTACATTAAAGCCTGTTGTTGGGTTTCATTGCTGTTAAACAGGATGAAAATGTCACAACAATATACAAGATTTGAACTGAAAAACTTTGCCTGAGACCCTGTACTATGAAGATAAATGAAGAAAATGATTGAAATGATCTCCCCTAAAGGAAACAATTTTAGGTTTAGATATTATTACTGTAAGGGAAAATAAAATCCCCAGACTACACTATACTAAACTCACCATCTCTACAGAATTCAAAAGATATTTATAAGGACAGAAAACACCACTACAAGTACACACTACATGAACACATGTCACATTTTAAAAATTTCATATATGCATGTTCAGGATACAAGAAGATAATAAAGTTTACACTTTGCCAATTTCTGCAGACATATGATCAGCTCTCATTAGAGTGCCGTTAAAATGAGTACTGTGAATAGGGAACTCTTAAAATTGAATTGGCTAAATGTAGTCTTAAAAGCTATAGTCTTAATTGGCTCACTCGCTACTTACCTAAGCTGTATTTATCAGAAAGTTCTATAAATACCATGTCCTAAAATGTACTACCAGTGCAGTGAATATTGTGGTTGCTTTCTATTAAACTCTCCATTTCTTTGATTTCTCTATGACCACAGTTGGCATTTACTGTGAATGAAAAAGAGTAAAAATTAAGAAGTTATCTGTCTTTTAAGAGCATGTGTCCTATATATATAATATATAGACAGAACCAGGGTAAGTCTTGTTTTCCCAGAGGTCAAAAGACAAGGTGTCTACAGCTTATAGAAAGACATTTAGAGAAGAAACACAGGATCGTGACATTGAACCATGGTGCTAAATATCATGTAGAAATGAGCATGGAGCTCTACTATGAACGTACAAAATGAGGCACAACTTATATGATGGCTTCTTGGGCAGAGGTGGAGGAAATGACCAAAAGAACTCACAAATGTGGTTATTTAAAACAAAAAAAGACAGTTGAGGGAAGAAAACTGACAGTTCAATCAAAGTCACAATGTGTAGACTGTAGCATCTGAGTTAGTGGTAACTGGAGATTGCTGATCCAAACGAAGGAAACAGATCCCCAGTGGTGACTGGAAATATAAACTTAACCACCTCAGTGGTGTCCAAATTGAATGGTCTTGTCTTACATCCAAAACATTTTCTGACCACTGCTAACTCTCTGAAAAAAAAAAAAACCTGTCTTGAACTTTGTGTGTCTGAACAAGATCACCACATTGCTCAGTTCTGTTCAAGTCCAAATAAAGTCTTGTAATTCGGCCACTCTATACATGCCTTACTGGCACCCCCCATGCCATCACACAGTGGATACCTCTCTATTGACAAAACCACGCATACCTACCAGTGCTCACCTAACTGATCCTCCTCTGCAGGGTAAAACGTGTGGTCAGGGGACCAACCTGACCAGAAACAGTCACCATGGGCACAGGCAAACAGCGCTTCAGGTGGTCTATGTAGCTCTTTACTGCAGCATGCGACACTATGCCTACTTTTCTACATAATCACTCTCATGCGTGGATGTGAACCAAGATGTAGGAAGAAAGATGAAGAAAAATGGGAGGAGAGCTATGGAAAACATTAGGAGGAGGCAGAGAGGAAAAACAGGATCAAGTCTGGACCATCCCACACCACTGGACTAGCACTGAGTGCCCAGTTCCAAATCCTTCACTGGCAGTTTGAGTCCCAAGGAAGAGGTTCCCAAGGGGTCGATCATGTTCTTGTAACGCTCCCCGCGGTGTTGAGCTAAGAATGGGCCCCAGTCCGGCTGTGGCGAGCACACCAACTTCAGCCTCTGCAAAGAAGCCAAAGACAGACATGGTCACAGAAGTAGTGCACCTTCCTCACCTGGGGACGACCCACTCATCCCCAAACTGCTTATGACCACTTTGACCAGAGTCCTTGCTTGAGCCAAGAGGCCCTCTACCAAGAGAGGCAGTTAGGAAGATAAGCGTTCATTAATTAACTAGGCCAGAGACATTAAAAAGGACACTTAGTTTGGTTCACTTGAAATTATTTACATCACCCTGCAAGCAATATTGCAATTGCTCTGTGTTTGCCTTGCACAAGATTAATAGAGGATAAAGGGCCCAGATTTTAATTATATATTTTTTCCCTCCAAATGAAGAGAATCCACAAGCTTCTCTCTTCACTGCCAAACACAGTCTGCAAAACACATGTGCTTGATTACTTTTGTTCTGTAGTCTCAACAGTGGATTGCTACATCTAAATAATTGCATTTTGTTTAGCATATTTCCCAGAAGGATATAAATGACCGGAGGAAAAAAAAAATCCAACCCCAAAGATACATCGCCAAGAGTGAGCAAAGATTTTAATTATCTGTTGACAAAATGCACGCTTCTGACTTGGTTCAGCAGTGTGGGTTCTTGCAGGCAAGCTAAAAATAATAGGAATGTCTCTAATCCTTCAGCTGAAATTTTTATGGAAAACATAACTTGACTGAAACATTTTCTAGAAAAAGGAAAGAAAACATATTTCTGACTAAGAGGGAACAATTATATGTTTATTACCTTTTAAAGTGAAGCTGGTACTTAGAGCTGTTAGTTTAATCTCTCCTTAATCATCAGTTTGCAACCTTTGTGTCCCAAATCCACCATAATAAATTTATATAGCCAACTCAATTAGTTTAGAGAATTTTAGCCTAAGACAAAAGTAGCAGAGGCTAAACCAGGTTCTATTCAGAGGGAAAGAGATTTCTGGGTCAGTTGGTGGGGAGGCTTATGTGCGGCAGAAGTGAACCATCTCTGGAAGCCCATGGGGCCAGTCACTTACCTCATTTACCTCAAGGGAATAACAGAATTTCCTGAGGTTGGAAACTAGAATACAGCTGCAGTAAAAAGATTCCTACACCTCCTTTTGCTAATTCTGTCTCTACCGTTAGTCCAATGAAGACAAAAGCTACCTCCCCACCCAGTGGACTTTTGTGTTGTGCACGTACCACATGCCTGATTCCCATCCTCTGTCTCCCCTCCAGAGCCTCAATGGGATAACCCAGAGGCCTGTTCCTTCTTCATTCCTTTTTCAACCCATCAGACCAACAGCAAAGCCCAAACTGTTCTTCTCTGCCTTCTATCACCTGAGTCTAGTCCAATGCTTCGCTAACGAGGGGGCTTGTTAAACTGTAGATGCCAGGGTCCCATTTCCCCAAGACTCTGGTTCAGTAGGAGTCTTCTGCCTGGATTCTGATCATATGCATTTCCAACAAGTTCTCAGGTGAGAAGGATGCTGCTGGTCTCAGGAGCAAACCCTAAGTAGCCCTGATTTAGTCCAAAATGCCAGATTCCTGGATCCTCAAGACCGAGGCAGGGCTGAGTGATTCCTAGCACACCTGAGCAAGTGACTCCTCATAAATAACAAAAGCCTGACCACACTTCACTGGTGGCACAAGAGGCAGTCCCCTTCCCATTCACTCAGGAGTGACAGTGGGGATTCTTCACATTAGAGATGGGAATTGGGTCCAGCAAGGGATCAATTGACAAAGAAAGACAAGTCTCACCTCATACCAGCCACGTCCTGAAATTCTCACTACATTCTGTGGGAACAGTGACATTTTAATCAGCTGAGACCCTCAACCATCCCTAACAGAGGCACAACAGGAGGGGGTAGTGATTTTAAGTTTAATGGTAATAGATGTTTGGGAAGAAGAAGGCTTAGACAGAGAGGAGCATCAGGGAAGGGGGAATCTGATGTGTGGTTAAAAACAAAACACTGAGATTTAAACTGTGGATAAGGGGAGAGGAAGAGGAAACTCCAGGAAAGAGGAGACCCTCCGATCATTTATTCCCCAGAGCTGTCACCACACTGAGGACCAGCATAATAACAGTTCTGCTTGCAGACTGGCTGAGCCCCTCCATTAGAGGAATCATACATAATAAAAATGGGTTTAACAGAAACGGTGGCAACTGTAATCGCTTCATCACCAAGTCTCCCTCTTGAATAAGTTTACCGAATCTTTTGTTTTTTAACATGCAGAGCTTTTATGGGCTTTCCCTTGGGAGGAATTGGGAGGGAAAGAAGTAGACAGAATTACCTCAATAAATCTTCCAGGGGCCAGATGCATTTTTATCACAAACATAATTGGGATCCAGATGACGGAACAGGCGAGCATTAGCCATCCGAGCACCATGGACCAGTTAGGATAGCGGTAAGAGCCATAGGTCATGGGCTCCCACTGGTAAAAGCTGAAGCAAAGGATAAACTGGAAAGAGAAAAGTGACACACGTGTTAGGGTGGTGGCGTGAATTATTCAAGCACTCAACACTATTAAACCCCCGTTATGAGTTTGATGCTTTCGTCTCTATTATTCTATACCCACGAAAGAGTAGTATTATTAATCCATTTTTCAAATGAAGAAACTAAATTTCAAAGAGATGGAAATGATATATTCTGAGCTGCTGACTCTGCATTTGCCAAACCATGGGAGCGGAGCAATATGTGTGCATGTGTATACATACAGACAGGCAGAGAAGACAAGTTTAAAGGATACATACCAAGGTCACAAATAGGCAGAGGTGGGCAGGGGTGATAGTGGGTGTTTTTAAGGAGTTCTCTGTATTTTCTTTTTCTTTTTTTTTTCTTTTTGAGACAGAGTCTCACTCTGTCACCCAGGCTGGAGTACAATGGCGTGATCTCAGCTACTGCAACCTCCCCCTCCCAGGTTCAAGCGATTCTCCTGCCCCAGCCTCCCGAATAGCTGGGATTACAGATGTATGCCACACACCCAGCTAATTTTTGTATTTTTAGTAGAGACAGTATTTCACCATGTTGGCCAGGCTGATCTCAAACTCCTGACCTCAGGTGATCTGCCCACCTCGGCCTCCTAAAGTACTGGGATTACAGGTGTGAGCCACTGTGCCCAGCCCGTATTTTCTGTAAGGGGTAATAATCAAGCTTTTGCTATAAGAAAGAAACCCAGGCCAGGCGCAGTGGCTCATGCCTGTAATCCCAGCACTTAGGGAGGCTGAGGCGGTGGATCACCTGAGGTCAGGAGTTTGAGACCAGCCTAGCCAACATGGTCAAACCCCATCTCAACTAAAAATATAAAAATTAGCCAGGCATGGTGGCACGCGCCTGTAATCCCAGCTACTTGGGAGGCTGAGGCAGGAGAATTGCTTGAACCTGGGAGGCAGAGGCTGCAGTAAGCCGAGATCATGCCACCGTACCCCAACCTGGGCAATAGGGCGCGTCTCGGTCTCAGGAAAAAGGGAAGGGCATAGGAGGGGTGGGGGAGAGGAGGGGAGGGGAGAGGGCAAGAGGGGTGGGGGGTGGAGGGAAGGGAAGGGGAGGGAGGGGAAACCCATTCCGTTTATGTATTTTTACTTTTAAAAAATTGAATCTACTTTGCTTTCTTCTGGAATGAGGAATGGCCCACATCCCGGAGCTTCCTCTAATGCTGGCTGAGTGAGACACAGAGTGGTCCCCGGGCCGTGACTGAGCTGGAAGCTTGGTCCTATAATAAGCTATGGGACAAACAGAAGGGATGCACAGCTCCCCTTAAATGACTCAATAAGAACAGGCGTCTGGCCGGGCGCGGTGGCTCACGCCTGTAATCCCAGCACTTTGGGAGGCCGAGGCGGGCGGATCACGAGGTCAGGAGATCGAGACCATCCTGGCTAACACGGTGAAACCCCGTCTCTACTAAAAATACAAAAAATTAGCCGGGCGTGGTAGCGGGCGCCTGTAGTCCGAGCTACTCAGGAGGCTGAGGCAGGAGAATGGCGTGAACCCGGGAGGCGGAGCTTGCAGTGAGCCGAGATCGCGCCACTGCACTCCAGCCTGGGCGACAGAGCGAGACTCCATCTCAAAAAAAAAAAAAAAAAAAAAAAAAAAAAGAACAGGCGTCATCACCAAGTGGTGAGCCGTGACCCCGGAGACCAGCAGGCTGATCTTGGCCCAACCACTAATTAGCTGAGGGGACCTTTATGTCACAGACTTCCCTGCCATAAAATGGATATATCTCACTCTGTGTATACCACACAGGGGTTTTCTGGAAATGATAGTTTGGTATTTACTCATGAGTCCCCCCTTGATTTTAAGAGAGGTCATGATGTGTTTTCTGCCCATTAACTCCTATCACTGCACACTTGGGCTAGCAACAGCCATGAGACCCCTCTGAAGACTTGGCCAGTGCAGCTGAAGAGAAAGAAAGGAATTTAAGTGCTGAAAATGGAGGCATCTTTAAAAAGTGGAGCCAAGGTTCTAACTTCTCTACTCAAGCCTTTGGGGGAAAATTTCCCTGAAAAGTGTATGGCTCCCTGTATTCACCCTGCCTGTAGCAACATCAGCCTAGAATAATGTACCTATGTAAGTCCTCTCCTCCTCTCCCCACCCCTCTCTTCCTAACTTAAACAACAAAATAACTGCGCAAAAGTGATTGGAAGGAATTTTGCCAGGAAAGATAATGTATGAAAGTGTTTTAGAAAAGTGTGAAGTGCTAGATGGATGTAAGGCATCTGTATTACTGCCGCAAAGCCCAGGCAGCTGGGGCAAGTGATTATTTCAGTACAATAATAATTCAATATATTGATTCAAAGCAACATGAGCCCAAAGACAACTGTTGGAAAAAAGTCTTCTATGGAAAGAGATGTCTACTCTAGGCCCCTTTTTAAACATTTGTCCCTAGAGTTATAAACTTTATTAACCAGAGTATTGTAAGTATGGCCTAATGTAATTATGGTAAGCTGCTCCATTTCATTTACTATATAAATAGCAATACATCTGCTTATGTGCATGCATAACTCAGTAACGTGATCTGACTATGTATACAGTAATTGCATGGAGAATATTTATAGCTCTATAAATCCATGAAGGCATATATAAAAATGATCAATTTCGTTTTAGGGGCTCCAAAGTAATTTAAACCCATAATCTTAGCCTATTCCAGCACACCACAAATATCCATTTTATAGAAGGGCAAATGGCAAAAAATAAGTGTTGGGCTTGGTCCTCCGACACTCATTTCCAGTTGCACAAATATCATATCAAACTTACCCGGGCAAATTTGTCCTTTGCCATAAATTTCCCTCTGCCAAGTTAACTTTGATGAAACCCTGTCCTTGGCTGGGACTGGCCATGAGAGATAATAATTTAGCCACTGAGTCAGGTACACCCTGACCTTTTTGTGATGGCAGCCAAAGAAGGTGCTGGAGGGAGACTCATCAGTTGACAATGATGATGGAATTGACCCCTTCTCATTGTCCTTACTTCCCAGCCAACACAGAAGGGGAATCTGGTTCAGGATATTTTCTGGGACCTCTCCACAACTTTCTGGCATAAGATTTATATTAGAAACTAAGTAAAGCACAACATAGTTGAGGAACTTTCTCAAAAAACAGGAAGTCCGTAAAATTCCTCTTCTCTGACATTCTGCTCACAAAAATGATTAGAACTATTTTAATCCAAACTGGCCAAACTCTAATTGAAGATGAAAGTACTAGGTTTTTAGAGATAATATATAGGTATTGGCTTGAAGCTTAGACAGTCCTGGATTCAATTCTTGGCATTGTCACCTCCAAATCTAGTGGCCTGGGGCAAGTTCCTTGACCTCTCCAAGCCTCAGTGCACACACGTGTAAAATGAGAGAGGAATCACCCAGCAGGCAAAGTGGTCCTAAGCTTTAGAAACAATGCTTATGAAGTGCCTGCCTCATATAGACCACAACAAATAGCAGCGCTGATTATTACTATGTGAAATGTTATTCCAGAGTATAATAAAATCCTCTGAAGCACAGTATCTTTTGGGGTGGGAAGAAAAGCAAGAGGAAATCTAGAACATGTTCTAACTTTGATTTTAATCAAGCATAAACCATGAGTGTTAGGATCCGGGGAAGAGGGCAAGTGCAGTAGAGATGGGAACACCGGAGGCCTGTGAGTCTGTCTGTTCGCAGATGTTCTCTTCCCACCGATTAGGTAAATTCAAGTTCTTCATATACATTCCAGTCCTGAATTCAAGAGATAGAAAGCCTACCCTTTTCAACTCTCATGCCCCAAATCTGGTGGGACTTTTCAGACAAATTGCAGACTCTAAAATATAGGTACAGATGTCAGCTTCAGTATGATGTTCATGTCAACGCAGAGGGAGATCAATGCTGAACGATTTTTCTGTCTACATTTCTAGCTTTTCAGAAAGAAATTGAGATGTTTTGATTAAAACTCATTTTATGAAGGAAGGGAAGAGAGGGAGGGAAGGAAAGAAGAAAGAAAGAAAAAAATGTATTCCCTCTGCGATTGTACTTTCATCCTGTCTTGGTTGCCTTTAGGGAAACTGGGACCATGTGTAATAGCAAAACAAAGGCCTTAATCTGGTTTCTAGTGCCACCTACTGGATTCTGTGGGAATTACAGCCAACATCCTCCAGCGTTCCCAAAATTACACCTGTACAAGCCACAGAGGAGGATGGGGAAGGATCTCTGTCAATTGCTGTGTTTGCAGTGTGAAGTGGGGCAAAGCTGGCAGCTTATAGCACAATAACAAAGGTGACAAAATGAGAATGTAAGACCCTGAACTGCAGATTTTCTGAAACGTGAAAGGCTCTGATCTTTAAGAAGGTGAATGTCAGATGATCCCAAAATGTCATCATCCCACTTGAAGATGACAAGGTAGTTCTCAAAAGCAATGAAAATTAGCATAAAAGCTTAATGCTATATTAGTTGTAGAGCAGCTGTGTTGAACAGTGATTAAGAGCATGAATTCTAGAGGCAGACCGCCTAAGTTCAAATCCAAGCTGTTGATAATTATTAGATGTACAAGGCAAGGCAAGTCACATCAACTCTGGGCTTCCGTTTCCTCATCTGTAAAGTGGAGATAATTATAATGCCAACCTTGAGGAGCTACTGTGAGGGAGAGATGAGGCTATACATAGGAAGCACTGTGAACAAAGCCTACAGCAAATTAGCACGTGGAAAACGTGGCTGTGATTGTAAGCCATTATTAGTACATAAAGCAGACTGATATAATGGGAAATGTGCCATAGGAAATGTTCCATAGGAACATTTATATATATATATAGGAACTGATATATATATAAATATATATAGGAACTGATATATATATAATAGGAACTATATAATAGGAATTCCTATATAATAGGAATATATATAACTATATAATAGGAATATATAGTTATATATATAACTATATAATAGGAATATATAGTTATATATATAACTATATAACTATATAATAGGAATTCCTATATAATAGGAATATATATAACTGATATTATATATATAGGAACTGATATATATATAAATATATATAAATTTATATATATATATAGGAACTGATATAATGGGAAATGTGCCATAGGAAATGTTCTCCAAAGACCTTTGCATGAGTCCTAGCTCTGCACCTGACCTGCTAGGCACCTTTAGGCAAGTCTTTTCAACTCTCTGAACTTCAGTTTTCTCATTTGAAAGACAAGACCACCACCCAACCTACCAGCTCCCAGGCTCACACACTGTTCAAATGTAAACAGGCATGCACTGTTCAAATGTAAAACACCACATACGTATGCAAGGTGCTGTCTGCACAAGAAAACATGCAAAATCCTTACGGTTAAAATGGTTGGGGTTACAAATGCCCAGCAGACTTTCCAGAAGATGTTAGGCTGGAATCCAATCATCATCTCTATATCTTCACAGAATCTTTGCAAGCCTGCAAATAGACAAGCAGAGAACAGGTATAAGGCACAGTAGCAGGAAGGTGAGGTGGTGGCAGGGCAGGCACTAGAGCCCCTCACTCAAGCACCATTGGCTAGGGCTGGCCCCAGCCCTGTATCAACATGACCTCTATTATGCAGGGAACCATCAGACAAATGACTCGCTGCCAGGAAGATTAAGGCAAATTGAACACTTAAATAGATATTAAATATGCTCTGTGGTGAGATTAAAAAATGTCAGCCTGCAGTGACATCTAAAAAGTTCAGTTCCAGCCTGGCCCAGACTCTCAGCATTGCTACAACCTGACATCTCACATGTGCAGCTGTTTTCTGAGGTGCTTAGTGACAACTCTGGCAAAACCAGTGAAGACTGTGGTCAATAAACAGAGCATATTCTGAAAGCATTGGAATTTAGAGAGAAAATCATTGCACACCGGCTTTTATCCCCCACCCTCCCAAAGCCACTCTTCCAATGAGTCATTTATCTTTGTGCCGTGCAAGATGATAATAGCACACAAAAACCAACGTAAATTCCAAGTGTCAATCACCCACTTTGTTGGAACTCAAAGGACTGCTGTCTTCTTGGTCACTCATCAACCTCACTAAAGTAAAAACAGAGGAGATGGTTACTCTCATGGCCCTAGACAACCGCCATCCCTGCACCCTCTTGGTTTAGGAAGGTTTTTAAAACCACTCCTTGAAAGAAAAAGGCATTGAGAAATATTTTAGAATTGGGCAGTTTCTTGCATTCTTTCCCCACCTCATCAGAACTGTGGCCTTCCCAGGACTGTGGGATTAAGATGTTGAATGGACCTACACGGTCTCCAAGTTCAAGCTCCTTCATAGTCAGCAGCTCTGATTTCAACATGGCCTCAGCTTAAAAACTCATCATTCTGGCCGGGCGTGGTGGCTCATGCCTGTAATCCCAGCACTTTGGGAGGCCAAGGCAGGTGGATCACGAGGTCAGGAGATCGAGAACATCCCGTCTAACACGGTGAAACCCCGTCCCTACTAAAAATACAGAAAAGCTGGGCATCGTGGCGGGCGCCTAGAGTCCCAGGTACTCGGGAGGCTGAGGCAGGAGAATAGTGTGAAACAAGGAGGCAGAGCTTGTAGTGAGCCGAGATCGCACCACTGCACTCTAGCCTGGGTGACACAGCAAGACTCTATCTCAAAAAAAAAAAAAAAAAAAAACACTTCATCATTCCTTCATCCTCCATCATTTTCATGAAAAGTGGGTACCTGCAGGTCAAGAGGGACATACCAACATCTCCTCCCATCAAGAATACTCCTTGTACATTTTCAGGCCTTCTTTCTAGACCTTGGTCGCTTGCTCCTCCTGTTCTCAGGATTTCCCAGCCTCCTCAGATTTCTGGGTCTTTTGCCCTGAGCTCCACCAGAGCAGGTGAATTCAGTCTCTGGGTGCTCCTCTTCCTGCCTTCACTGGCCACCTCTCCCACTTCTGCCATCATCTCCCTGGACACCACCTGTACTAGCTGCCCTCATCTGATCAGTGTCCCCCACCACCCCCACCTCAGTCCCCACTTATCCTTCCTGGTCCTGTATTTTCAATGCGTGCCCTCTACTACTTGGAAGTGGGGAAGGATGGATGTGATGTGAGAAGATAATCTCTTGCTGGGCTAGAAAGCAGAGACTGGAGTTTTCCTTCTGCAGAATGGAATAGTTCAATTCAGACCCTTAAAAAATGGACCCGCTGGGCCAGGCATGGTGGCTCTATCCTGTAATCCCAGCATTTTGGGAGGCCGAGGCAGGTGGATCACTTGAGGCCAGGAGTTCGAGATCAGCCTGGCCAACTTAGTGAAACCCCATCTCTACCAAAAATACAAAAAATCAGCCGGGCATGGTGACGCATGCCTGTAATCCCAGCTACTTGGGAGCCCGAGGCAGAAGAATCATTTGAACCCGGGAGGCAGAGGTTGCAGTGAGATGAGATCGCACCACTGCACTCCAGCCTGGGCAACCAGAGCGAAACTCTGTCTCAAAAAAAAAAAGAAAAAGAAAAAGAAAAAAATGGCCCTGCTGATGTTCTATATCTTGATTTGGGTGCTGGTTACATTGGGGTGAAAATTCATTGAGTTGTACACTCAAGATACATGCTCTTGTGGCAAAAAGTAACCCTAGTACACTGTTGGTAGGAATGTAAATTAGTACAGTCACTATGGAAAACATTATGGATGTTCCTCTGAAAACTAAAAATAGCACTACCATATGATCCAACAATCCAGCTACTGGGTGTATATCCAAAGGATGTGACATCAGTATGTCCAAAAGATATCTGCACTCTTATGTTTATTGCAGCATCAATGGAATCAACATAAGTGCACATCAACTGATGAATGGATAAATGTGTGGTGTACATACACAACGGCGTACCATTCAGCCTTTTGAAAGAGTGGAGATGATGTCACGAGTGATAACATGAACCTGGAGGACATTATGCGAAGTAAAATAAGCCAGGCACAGAAAGACAAACACTGTATGTTCTCACTTACGTGTGGAATCTAAAAAAAAAATTGAACACAGAGAAGGAGACAGCAGAATGGTAGTTACCAGAGGTTGGAGAATGGGGAAAATGGGGAGATGTTTGTCAAGGATACAGTGTTTCAGTTAGACAGGAGGAATAAATGATAAGTATATGAGGTGATAGAAATGTCAATTAGCTTGATTCAATTGTTCCACATTGTATAACACATATAGCATCCCTTTTGAACCTCGTAAATATATACAATTATAACTTGTCAGTATCTAATAAAAAATACATAAATAAATGAAAAATATATCATGTATGTACATTGTACTTCAATCTTAAAATTAACTCAAAAAACTCCACTCCAGACACGACTATCAAAATAATGGATCCTGAGACCCTTCACAGCCCTCCACTCCTGACATTTGCTTTTACTTCCTACCAAGCTCAGACTGAGAATGTCAGCCACCCCTCATGTACAGCGAGTCTCCAGACCCCTGACAGCAGCCACCATGGAGGGCCGCCAAGCCTCGGGACTGTTGTAGAGGAGCCTGTGCTGGGAACAGTATGACGATTCATCCAAGGCAACTTTTCCCAGCTCACTCTAAAATGCCTTAGGTTGCAGCTGAGCTTCCTGCTCTACTTTAAGGCAAGTCTGACAGCAGTCAGTCACAAACATGGTACAGTGGAAAGAGCACTGGACTGGGAGTTAAGGTCCAAGAGTTGATCCCCAGTTCTTCTACTGACTCACTGTGTGACCTTAGGTGAAACAGTCTTCCTGCCCAAGCTGTTGTTTATTGGGGAGACTGAGCCAAATGAGCTCTTAAGGCTTTTCCGGAGAGGTCAATCCATGACGCAAGGACACTCCAGGTTGCTTTCTTGGGTCTACAGGCAAGAACTGCATGCTTTGAGCAGCTGACCCAATCATCTTTGGATTTGTTAGTCTCCTTTAGTTTTTATTACACACCTTCAAATGAGTGGCCTCTGATCACTAGGCCTTCTGAGCATAAGTGAGGGGAGAGAATAAAATAAATAGAAGTCAAAGCTGAGGCCCTCAAAAATATATATAAAGCACCAACAGCAGGCCTCAGTTCTTTTTCTAAAAAAAAAAAAAGAGAGAGAGATTCTAGAAATTTCTATTATTAGCATCAATCCTGTTGCCATGTTGTTCCCCTTCATGAAACCATCCCCAAGAGATGGTGGCTTGTGGCTTGACTGGGGACACCGATATGATAGGGCTCAAGGTTAGACCTAAGGAATACACATAAGCAGCCTCCTGTAAGAGGAGGGGGTCATGGTAAAAGTGCTCAAGCTCCCCGAGAGGGGATAAAGAGCTGGACCCCAAGCTGTAGGAAGGGGTGGATCATGGGTGCTCAGTTTTCAGCAAGAGACAACTTAATGAAGAGGAGCAGTCCTGGGACCAAGAGTGAAAAGGCTTGGGTTTCAGGGCCAGTTTGGACCCCGGAAAGACATTTCCCCTGTCACGCAACCCTCCTGCACCGTGCCATTCCTGAGTCAAGCTCTCCAGTTCCTCCAGCCTCTGCCTCACTCCCAGCACCCAGGCCCTGGCCCACATCCAAGTCCCCACCTGAGTCCTTCACTGAGTCAACAGCTATTTTCATCTTAGGCCTCTGTTTATATGGTTTCCTCTGCCTGCTTTCTCCTTTCCCCTAATCCACATCCATCTTGCCTTCAAGGCCTAACTCATGATAAAGGAACTGTTCTTGGAGCCTTGAGCATGGGCAAGAGGGACTTGCCTGCTGTATGACCTCAAGCCTGGAGGGGTAAGAGAGCAAGTAGTCAGGCCCCAAAAGGGCTCTGAGCAGCTGATTCTCAAAAATGCGTCTGAATTAGCAGAAAAACAGCAGGGGGGAAAGAAGGTGGTGAACTCATGGCTATTATTTTAGACTCAAACAGATATGAGGCTCAGAAATCAGTCCATGACAAACTGCATACGACCAAAAGATCCTGAACTGAGATGTCAAAGAGTTGCTTCAACCAGTCAATCACTTTCCCCCATGCACCTTTGTGGCTTTTGCCTCTCTAAACCACACCTGTGCCCTTGGTCTGGATATTGTTCATGGGGGCTGCTCTCCCTCCTGGGTGGCCAGGTGTGGTTCCTCTCTGAGCACACAGATCTCTGTGCTCAGAGAGGAACCACACCTGGTTTAGCGCTCTCCAGCTACCATATTGAACTTCATATTTTTTTTTAACAAGTGACTCTATATTTTCATTTAGTACTATATCCCACAAATTACGTCTCCAGTCTTGTGTATACTTTTGGACAAGTAAATCCCCAAGTCATTCTTTTGTAGTTACTGTGAAGGGCCCTCAGCTTAATACTCCCTAAGTCCCAGTGTTTATTTATTTTATATTATTTTTTCTCTGAGATGCCACCTCCAAGGATTTTCTGACTACTCTGACCCTCCATTATCTCTGGGCAACAAAAGGGCTCACAGCCAGGGATGCACAGTTAGCACTGTCCTTCTCCTCAGTGTCTTAAGTGTGTGTGTTCTTCCTTGGGAGCTAGTTGGCAAGTTCCATGACTATAGGACATTATCCCACCCTCTCCACATTCTTAAAAGCCCACATGACATACTCACACACATTTACCTGTGTGAGTTATTAATGAGCTAAAGCCTCTCATTCCTAAAATTTACTGAGTACCAGAAAATGGAACTAGGGAACACTACACCCTGAAATTGGTGGTGTATACCATGACATTTCAGATAAAAACATAAGGGAAAGTGGAGCTCAGGGAGGGGGCTCACAGAGAAATAAATTAAGCTTGAATTTGCAGATTTCAGGGGTACAGTTTATTTTTGTTGTTTTGTTGTTTTTGGGGGGTTTTGTACTTTAAAAAATCTTGCTGAGTTCAGCCATCAGGATGGGCAAGAACTGAAAACAGATAGTCCATCAAGCAAAAGCCATTGTCTGCTGTGAATCTAACATTTCTCACAAGAATGTGAAGAGAGGCCATCTGGGAGGTGGAATGTGAAACAAGTAACTGACTGACATGGAAAACAGATCAAGACCACTCCATGTTGAGGTTGGGGAAATACACAATGAAGAGCCAGGCAGTTAGCAAGCAGGAGACCTTGGTAGTGGCTGTTCAATCACATTGTTTCTCCAGCCAAAAGGCCCCTGTACTGGCTCCAGAAAAAATGCAAAACATTTTTTCAAAATGACTCTACTTAGATAAAAGTCTGCTAAAGGGACCACTTCTACACAAAACTAAGGGAGTTTTACTTTTAAACCTGGATACCTCGAAGCCAGCTATTGGCCATTGAGGCATGTTGACTTGAGAACGTCAAACAACTGTTTCAATCTAATAAATAAAACTTGAAAATTGTCCCTACCATATTTCAAATGTTTGGATGATATCCTCTAGAATCTAGAGATTATTAGAAACAAGAAGAAAACACAAATGTCTTCAATTCACTGGCTTATTTTTTTAATTCTGGCTAGGAAGGTAGCACATCAAGTGAGTCAGTTTCATTTTAACCCTTCACAGGTTTATGTTCCACTATTTTAAATGAACCCTGCACTGGTCTGGGGCCTCATCATCTCAATAAAGAATACACTGTCTTCTGGGATATAAATTACAGATTTGTGCAGGCTTTTTTCTTCTTTTTTTTTTTTTTACCTCAAACAGTCATGTTAGCTTATTTTTCTTCCTGAGATTCACTTCTTAGAATTCCATCCAGATCCAAATCAGAGGCGCACACCCACATCCGACACTGCAGAAGTCAGGTTCAACCTGAGCCCAGCACAGAGTCAACCTGATTCTGGAGGCAAGCCCAACACCAGCACTCTTACTTAGAAACCAGGGGATTCCCTGGGTGGTCCCAAGGAAAATTAACATAGCCCAGGGACTAAAGCACTCAGGATTTATTTTTTCCTTCAGAACTAAGAAACCTATGACTAGATTTGTATGGGGATGCGGGGGAGACTATTTAATTCCTAAAAACAGAAATATTAAGGTTTCTATTTTAATGATGTTTTAAACCATCCTGAACAGCCCTGTTTTATAGGGAAGAACTGTGCAAACGTGCCCTTTGTGGCAATCAGCAGTTAGGGTACAGGTAACAGAAGATGTAAATGAGATAGTTACTTGCACTTGGGCCAGTGCTGCAAATAAAGTGCTTTCCCGACTTTGCCAACTGATCGTCTAGTGACCTCAGCTTACATGTTGACCCATGAGGTGCTGAGGTGCCAAAGAAAGACCTTGGAGGCTTCTTTTTGCCTCTCCTGGCAAGGTCTTTGGTTTCTGGGCACAAAGTTAAGATACGCTGTGGTGGATTTCACTGGGTTTCTACCACTCTCTGCTCAAGTAAAAAGCACTTTGAAGCCTCACCCTAACTCCGACAGCAGGTCTTCAATCACTGCAGGATCTAGGCGGTCTTATCAGCCAAAAGTGCTGGCAGCTTGGTCTCTGATCTCATCAGGACAGCTGGCATGCCTGCCCACCTCTCTTGCCAGGAACTAAACTCTCCCTGCAGTGGGGATGTGATCTCTAGTCTGAGACAAATTCCCCTTCTACTAATGCCCAAAATTGACTGCAGGTATCATCCTGTTTCTGGAGTACCAGGAGGTTTACACAGGAGGTTTCTTTTTCCATCTTGATTCCCACTCCACCCCCTTTATTTTAATGAGTTTTCCAGAAAAGCAAGAAGCTGTTAAGCACCTCTTCGGTGGAGGCTAACAATTACATTAAAAATAAGATGCTCATAACAGGGGTACCTGGAGGTTAGGGTGAGCTTTGCTGGGCCCCCAGTTTAAAGACCAGAGCTCTGCAGACCCCTCTGGCCTAGACCCCTCTTCCTTTGGGCTTCAGAGGGTACATTTGTCCCTCGAGCATATCCTGCATTCCAAATAATATCTTGCACTTCCTTTTAGCTTAGAATATGTTGCTGTCTCTTTTGGGATCTGAAGTGCAATTAGATAGTCTGAACTGGAAGTGTTCGCCTTCCTGATATTTGCTATGGTGGCCTTATATATATATTAGTGAGGCCTCAGGACAGTTCTGAGCAGGCTTCCAAGCAGAAAGAAGTCAGTAGGGCCTTGAATCAAATAGGACTTTCTTGAACTCACCGACAGTGCATACAAGGGACCAGGAGATGCCCTTGAAACCCCAAGGACAAACACCTCCACACAAAGGGAAAAGATGGCATCTGATAGCTCACCATTTCTGTTGTTGATAATGGCCCCACTGATATGGCATGCCGGTTGCTATTGTGACAGTAGGAAGGATAAACTGGAAGTCTATTCCTGGAAAAATCTGAGATTGAGATATTGCATCACAGGCTCCTATGATGCTAATACAATTTCCTAAGGATCTGTGAGCTGAGTGGTCTCTGTTCTCACTACAGTACCCAGGGACCAGCTACAAAGTTACCCCTCAATTCAAGCTGCATGGGTATTGAATACCAGGAAATAATTTCACGCCTGCAAAGTAGCCTCCTCCTTTCTGATCTGGCCATTGTTCAAAAGCATTAACTGTTCAAATGCCAGATCATACCCAAAGGGGTGTCCAAGTCCTAGGAATTTCTGATACAAAGATTTTTAAGTTTCGCCTTCAGCCACCTCTTGTTTCCCTATTAAATTTGGATCACAGTGGTCGTGAGGCAAGTTTAGAAACAAAAGTGCAGCTCTCTTAGGTTTCCTAAATAGTTGCAATTTAAGCCCTGTATTGTCTTATTAAGTATGGGAAATCTGCTTGCCATGAATGCCTTACCGACACTCAAGCTCTACTTCAGCAACAGGCACAGTGATTTCCTTACCATACACATAAGAGATCCCCACGAGCTCAAAAATGGCAATGATGACAAGGGCATAGGAGGCAGCATAGGTGTCCACAAGCTGAAACATGTAAATTCCACCCTAACAGGAGAGAGAAACAACCAATATCAAATGCGTCCTGAAGCCAGGCTGTCTCTTCCCACGTTTAACAGCCAGTTCTCTCAATCCTAAAAAGAGTCAGGTGCAAACAGGAGTCCATGCATCTCCCCTCCTCTCAGTAGCAGTAACCTACACCTGGTCCAGCATGTAAGCTGGAGGCCTTGCTGAGTCAGCAAAGCAGTTCCTCAACAGGCTCCGAGCTAATCAATATAACAAGCACCAAAAAAAGCGATTTAACATCTTATTCTTGAAAGGCAAAGGTCAAGGTCTGAAGAAGTATATGTGAAAGCAGCCAGATTGCTTTATTTTTGCTTTAAGCAATTGATCGTTTCCACCTATGTATCTGCATTCGATTGACCCTCCGATGACCTTTAGGTGTCTCTGGGTATTTCTCACACACCCCCACATTATCTCTACCTCAATCTTTAAGTCTCCCTACAGTAAATAAGGTGTAGAGACCTTCACATTCCAATCCATTATTTTACAGAAGAAGAAATTAAAGCCCTGAGTAGTTAACTTGCTCAAGGCCACAGAGACAACAAAAGCAATATATATACTGAGTAAGCTAACACAATTTACCAAGACACTTGGGACTGGAAGAAACTGCAGTGGCTGTTGACTCATACATGACATTAATCATCAGAAATTGTACCTGATTGGTAAATAAAGATTTTTATGTATTCTGTTTTCTTTTTCCTAATTTTTTATTTACTTTTTAGAGGCAGGGTCCCACGATGTTGCCCAGGCAGGAGTATAGTGGCTATTCACAGATGCAATCAGAGCACACTGCAACCTTGAACTCCTGGCCTCAAGCAATCCTTCTGCCTCAGCCTCCCAAGTAGCTGGGACTAGAGACATGCGCCACTGCACCTATTTTCTTAAAGTAGGACACACCTGCCTTGTTGGCTCAATAAGGCTACATCTCAATTATGAAGATACTAGAAGCATCACTGGTAGCCAAGATGACATATTTCCCTCTGCAGTCAGAATCCCTAATGAACTGGTGCCATCTACATGGAAATGGTAGTGATTTGCCTTTGATTATAAGGTCTGAGAGCTAAGGGTTGAAAGACAGATAGCTATTGGCCCCCCACCCTCCTGCCCCCACCCCAAGCCTGTGCCTAGGAGGCAGCTTACCTGAGTGATCATTGGAAAACCCATGATGAAGAAACAAATGCAGCAGCCCAGAGTAAACACTGGCTTGTGTGTGCGTAGGTACTTGGGAAACTCGTCTGAGATGGAGGTCACTATGGTCTCGATGGTGGCAAACTGGAACCGTGTCAGGAAATGAACATCTGAGTCAAATTGTACCACCCAGGAGGTACCCCCAAGCCCTTTGTATGTCCCATCCAGGAAAGTTGTATTTGTGTTAGGTTTGGTTTTTAGGATGGCATTCCCTCAATGGGTCTAAAAAGCCTCCTTGGGGTCCAACCCACAGGCAGCCAAGAGAACCCAAGCAGGATGTGAGCTTTAAAAATTGCACTTCCAACCCCCAGAGACTTGCATTCATATTCACCCATTAGGACAGTTTAAGTTTCACTTTGTATTCATGAGATGTAAATTCCTCTCCTCCAGTTTACCTTGCATTTGCTCTTCTACTTGAGGAAAAACCCTCTTTGCACCCAAGGACTAAACTCTGAGCACCTGTCAGCATGATCTGCGGTTGTCTCAGCCCCACAGCAATTTCCCTAAAATTGATTTCACATTATTCTTTATCCAGCCCTAAAGAATTTGCTTTGGCAAAATGACACGAAGGCAGGAGATACACAGGCTAAAAGTTGCCACATAGAACAGAGGGAGAAGGAAGGAGAGAGGATGACTCTCTTGCACCATTACATGAGCACCCAAAATACAAGGTGATCCTGAGCCCTACACAGGCACTTCAGCATCTCTAGATCTCTCGGGAGAAACATTCAGACACCCGTAAGCCTACCCCTCTCCTGAAGGGTGAACCCAGGACCCAGGAGAGGGGGAGTCTTCAAGAGGAGCATGGGATAGAGACTGATGGAAAAGGGGCTCACCATAGTGTCAAGTCCAAGAGTGAGGAGCATCAGGAAAAAGATGATGGCCCAGAACGGAGAGAGAGGCAGCCTGGTTAAGGCTTCCGGGTAAACCACAAATGCAATGCCTGGCCCTGGAAGGAACAAGACAGATGATTGCAGGCAGGCCCTACTCAAGGCTGCTCTTCCCAGAGCCCAGAGGGCCTTCTCTCTGCTGAGATCCTCATTTATTACTTCTTATATGCTGCTTCCACTGTTGGTTATTTTTTACTCATCTCTATCCATTTCCTCAATTAGACCTTAGGCTCCTTGAAGGGGAAGACCAAAGGAATTAGGTCAACAGCTAGGAGAACTCACAGGAGAGGCCTAAAAATAGTGTCTAAGCAGAGACTCAGAGGCAACTCTACTGGACTCCACGGCTAGGCTGTGTACCATGTACATAGGATCTTTGTATTGGATGAATTAAAGGAAAATGTAATTAATTAGCCTTTACAGCAGTAGTACTCAACCAGCAGTGATTTTGCCATGTTTGGGATATTTGGCAATGTCTGCAGACATTTTTTATTCTCACGGGTGAGCTGGGGGTAGGGGTAGGATAACTACTGGCATCTAGTGGGGTGGAGGCAAGGGATGCTGGTAAGCCTCTTACAATGCACAAGAGAGCTTCTTGCCAACAAAGAATTATCCTGTCTCAAATGTCAATAGTGCTGAGGTTTGAGAATCCCCGCTCTAAAAGTTGGAACATGACCAGAATGACATCATTTCTTCCTTTATTTATTTTATTAAGTTCTGGGGTGCATGTGCAGGTTTGTTACATAGGTAAACGTGTGTCATTGTGGTTTGCTGCACAGATCACCCCATCACCTAAGTATTAAGTCTGGCATGCATTAGTATTTCTTCCTTTAACTACCCTTCCTCCTATTTAGTCCTCCAGGAGAAAACATTCACATAAAATATGAATCTAACACTTTCAGGATCTTGCACTATTGGTATAAATGGGGCTACATCAGTCCTAGTAGTTAGTCGGGTTGCGGGGGGGCGGCGCATGAAACATCATGTAAGGGTTAAGAGGGTTCAGTCTCTAAGGGTTAGATCTGGTCCAAATCCAGATTCCGTGACTTACCATCTGTGCAACCCTAGACAAGTTATTTAATTTCTGTAAGCCTCAATTTTGTCCATCTGTAAAATGGGGACAAAAATAGGACCTCACAAGGTGGTTACAATAAACAAATGAGAAAACGCAGGTAAAACACTGAGCCCAGTACCCCCTACATCATCAACACCCACAGAATATTATCTTCTATTATGAGTGGACTATGAACTTGGAAGTTAGCGGTTCTGATTCAGGTTTTCTCTAGAACACTTCATGTGGTCTTGGTGGGGAAGTCTGAGCGGCAGTTTTCTCTGCTATCGTAAAGCTCTGCCAGCCATTCTCCCTGCCTCACGGTCTCACTGGGAAGATTACTGTAATCAAAGGTAGCTAAAGACACAGCAGTTGTGAATTTTCCTGTAAGTAGAAAACTAAATGATAATGGGCAGAGACAAGTGAATGTGGGCGCCGGGATAATCCACAGCCAGCACACGTCCACAATCAGCAATCACAGCACCTAGAATGTTTATAACTCAAGCATAACAGCACTTTTTTAAACTGGAATTTATCAGGTTGTTAGTTCCTAATGTTGCCTAGGGCCTTTGTGTATTTAAAATATAAAGCCTCAAATGCCAGAAATACCCCCGCTTTACGCATTTATTGAACAGACTGTAGAGCCAGCCTCTGAAGGCTCCCTATGTGAACCGTAAAAGAAAAGTCTGTATTAAACTAAAGTTCAAAATAGGTCTCAAATGCAGAACAACAAGGAAGTCAGTTTAATGTTCTGGCGACAGTCAGGCCCGTAAAGCCGACAAGAAGATCTTGAATGGCCACTACCAGAGGTCCTCAGCTGCTCACTTTAACAGGATTCTACCCTTTGGGCTTTACAGCTTTTTTAGAGGAAACAAGTGATTTCAAAATATTCAGTCTGCTTCCATTTCAGCTGCCTCCCTAAAGCACCCAGGTGAAGGCATTCTTTGCAAGCTAAATTACAGCAGACTCCACTTACCCAAGGCAGATGGGGAGCGGAGTCATCTAGAGAATAACATCGTTAGATGTTTAAAAGAGTATATGGCCAGTCTGATGAAGGCCAAGTTCTGCCTCTCTCCTCTCCCACTGGGAGGCAGTAGAGCCCAGTGGCTGGAGTACAGGCTCTCTTCCTCATGGATTAAAAAACTGGCAGCCAGGTGCGGTGGCTCACGCCTGTAATCCCCACACTTTGGGAGGCCAAGGTGGGCAGATCACAAGGTGAGGAGTTCAAGACCAGCCTGGCCAATATGGTGAAACCCCGTCTCTACTAAAAATACAAAAATTAGCCGGGCGTAGTGGGGGGCGCCTGTAGTCCCAGCTACTCAGGAGGCTGAGGCAGGAGAATGGTGTGAACCCGGGAGGCAGAAGTTGCAGTGAGCCAAGATGGCACCACTGCACTCCAGCCTGGGTGACAGAGCAAGACTCCATCTCAAAAAGAAACAAAAAACAAACTGGCTGTACCTCTTGCTAGCCGAGGACTTAGGGGGTCACTTGTTCTCTCTAGACAAACTTTAGTTTCTTTATCCACACAATGGAAATAGTAATAGTACCTACCTTTATAGAGCTTCCGTGAGAATTAAATGCATCAACACAAGTAAAAGGCTTAGAACAATGCCTGGACATACTATGAACTCAGAAAACATAGACCATTATTAGTCTTCTTATGAGAAGGGATCAAAGGGGCTCTTCATTTCAGTAACTTGAGCAGAGTCCCCAGAGATCCTACCATGAGAGCCTCCTTTATCCTAGAGTGCCACTAAAGACACAGCAAGGGGCTCTGGTCAGTGCAATGCATCAAGGCCCATGGCACAGCTTGGGTAGCCACTCTGCTGTGATAACTATTACAAATTGAATGAGCTCTCTGAGGATATGCCACCTGGACCTCTGTGCCTTTGGGCAGAAGGATTGGGATACAGGTGACAGACAGATGGCTGCATGGAAGTGGGACATCAGTGCTGTTTGAGAATGCTTATTTTGATTAGTAAGGTATCTGAACTATTAAGGGGCAAGGGAACCAAAGTAGTATTTCTAGTGCTCCGGTTAGCTGAGAGTTACCTACACCTGGGAATGCTAAATAAATATGCAAATTTCTGCTTATCTACTCTGGTATAACTCAGTGTTTCTGCTATTGGATAAGCATCTTTGTTTGGCTTCAGGATAGATTCTGAACATGAGTCACCGCTCCATAGGTGGTAATGCATATGGTGGCGAGATGGCTCTGAAGGGCTAACTTTCCTGGAAGCTGCTTTTCTAGAGTAGTTCCCCGAGAACATGCCCCCTTCCCTATGCCTATCATAAAAGCAAAACACAGCTTGGTCTCTTCACCAATCCCATCCTCAGCCCCTCAAAATTTTGATAAGACCAAGATTTAAGATGATCATTTTGGTAGAAATGCCTCTTTTAGAAGGGAGTGGTAAACTAAATCGCATAGTGTTAGGTCATTAAAGAGAACCTCTATTTGACTAAAGATCAAAACTTAGTTACCAAAGTTGGGTCAGCAAAAATGTCCTGAATGTCTATATGCCAGTGTTGCCCAGCAAGGAGGAAGTGGGGCTCAGGTTGAATGCAGGCCTGACCCCAAATCTCTGTCCTGTATTCTGCAGAGCCTCCATTATATCAAGGCAAGTAAGACAAGCCTGTAAAGCACATATAAAAATACATCCAGGTTCAGATGAGCAGGAAAGCTTCCCCAGTGGGTCTGGGAGAAGATCTCATGGGCCTTCTCCTGTGAGAGATGAGGCCCACCCGTCCCTGTGCCAGAGACAAGAATTAACACAACAGGTTAGAACCTGTTAGAAGTGCCCCTACCCTTGTTCAAATCAAAGGAAGTGAAAAAACATTGGAAAGGAGAAATTTCAGAGGAAAACATGGGCAATTTGTTGGCAATTTTACACACCAGATAAACAACATTCTGTTTGAGTTTTTGCAATATCTCCCCAGAAATCCGTTTCCTGGAGCAGAAAAGAGTTCAGAATCATTTACTAACCTGGCCCACATCTCAGGATTCACAGTCTCTAGCAGGTTGGCCACTGGTTCCAAAAGAACTCAGTAATGTCACAAAAAGCAAAATGCCTAAGATCTTCTAGAAAATGGGACAGAACCTATCTGCTCCAACCACTCTGCTAGGAGGAAATGAGGTTACAGGACAGCTGGAAGTGACTCCAGTACCTCTAAGGACAAAACCCGTTTACCCTCTCACTTTCCCTCCCTGCCTCCCAGGGTATCTGAGAATTCTCAACCAGGGAGAGCCATTGCTTATCTCCTGGGGCCCCTCTAATTTAGTGCATTGCTGCGGAACCAAACACCCCTCAGGGTTTTACACTCTCTCCAGGGAGAGATAATTGCACCCCTGGAAAGTGCTGGCTCTTTAACTCTTTGAGGCCCCTGGTGCACCATCAGCATGAATTGGCGCAGTAATGAATTATCCTTGGGGAGCCAGAAGAAATCTTAGTATCCAAGAAGGTGACATTTCCAGGGCTTAGTTCTCTCACCACATCTGAGCCATTATCTGAGAATTGCAGTCAGCTCCTTGAAGGAAGATAACTGCCCAGACAAGCCTCTCACAGGTACGCCCCTTGGTTGTCCAGGGCCACAGTCATGCCCCACAGCATGAGGCACATGACCAACACACTACGCATCCCATAAATGTCTGAATTGAGAATGAGATCATAATGGTAAACAACAGACACAATGAAATCCCTTGATCACTGAAACCTACTAAATATACAAATCCTTTGTGGAACCAGGCTGGGTGAAAATGAAGAGTTAAACTAAAATCTTGAATGCTTTCTCTGCAAAATGCTGTCCTAGTAATATGGATTAAGTGAAATAAAAATGAAAGCTCTTTGTCAACTTGAAAGCACCATACAAATGTTAGCCATTAATAAAAAGATCATTTGGGTAGAGAGTAAACATTTATTCCACATGCCTCTCCACCCACCCAGCACGATCCAACATTTCTACCCACTGGGGAAAAAAACTGCAGGTCTGCATTGCTAACTAAGCAGAAGGCCCTGAAAGCACATTTGACCTAACAATCAGAAAAGTGCTTTGTAAGGAAAATGCTCCTCTGAAGTCAGTTCTCTCACTAAGCCTTGGTTTCGACAGGGCCTTCTGCAATGAATGTCATCCTACAGCAGCCTGTGCCCACATCAGCTCCTGAGGCAATGGTTTGCCTAATAAATTCTCTACTCATACCTAACAGGTATAACCCTTATTTCTATAGACTGGAGCTAAATTAAGAGGGGCAAGGTAAGAGGAAGGAGAGGCAAGGAGAAGGAAAGAGGGCTTTTAAAGCAATCCCTCCAGTTAGAGACCAGCCAGTTCTGACTCTGCAGTGAGCTTCCTACTTGAGCCTGCCTTGGTCCCTCTGTAAAGAAGGACCTGGGCTCCTCCACCCTCTATCCTGTTCCAGAAGGCCAGCTTCCCAGCATAGTCTAAATTAGGAGCTTGTGACATGAGCCTGGGACCTGCCCTGCAACAGCAGGGTAACAACTGTCCTGTACCTTGGTCTGCCACATTCTCAATGTTGACTTTGCGTTCATTGGCCATGAAGCCGATAACGGAGAAGATGACGAAGCCGGCAAAGATGCTTGTGGCACTGTTGGTGCAGGTGACAATTAGAGTGTCCCTGGAAGGAAGAGACCAGAGTTTTCCATTAGGTGTGCTTGGTGAGTGGAAAGGGACAAGGGGAAGGACACACAAATGTGTGCCCACATGTTTGTCTGCACATGTGTAGGCATATACGTGTACGTTCATGTCCTAACCACAGGCTCCCTTGGGCTCACTTAAAAAGCACCAAAAGGCTCAGACGATATCCCCTAATAGCCCTGATTCAGGGCCTGTGGGCCAAAGCTCTGACTCCACGATCTATATAAATGGGTCTCAACTCATCTGCTGTGGTCTGAATCCCCCCATCTCAAATTCATTGGCTGAAACTTAATCCACAATTTGATAGTATTAAGAGGTGGAGGCTTTAGAAAAGTGATTAAGTCATGAAGACAGAGCCAACTCATGGGATTAGTGCCCTTATAAAATAGGCTGAAGGGAATGTGTCTGCCTCTTCCACCATATGAAGACACAGCAACAAGGTGCCATCTTTGAAACAGAGAGCAGCCCTCCAGACACTGAATATTCTGGCACCTTGAACTTGGACTTCCCAGCCCCTAGAGCAGTGAGCAATAAATTTCTGTTGTTTATAGCCAAAAGTCAGTTAAAGATACAAAAATATAGCTAGGTAGGAGAAATAAACTCTAGTATTCTATAGCACTATAGGATGACTATATTAACAACCATCCCAGCCGGGCACGGTGGCTCATACCTGTAATCCCGGCACTTTGGGAGGCCAAGGCAGGTGGATCACCTGAGGTCAGGAGTTCGAGACCAGCCTCACCAACATGGTGAAACCCCGTGTCTACCCAATACACACACAAAAAAAAAAATTAGCGGGGCATGGTGGCACATGCCCGCAATCCCAGCTACTTGAATTGCTTGAACCTGGGAGGTGGAGGTTGCAGTGAGCTGAGATTGGCCATTGCACTCCAGCCTGGGCAACAAGAGCGAAACTCCATCTCAAAAAAAAAAAAAAAAATCATCCTACAGCACTATGAGATGACTATATTAACAACAATTTATTTTATGTTTTCAAACAGCTAGAAGAATGAACTGTCAGTGTTTTCAACACAAAGAAATGATAAATGTTTGAGGTAGTAGATATGCTAATTACCCTGATTTGATCATTACACATTGTATACATGTACCGAAATATCATACTGTACTCCATAAATATGCATAATTACTATGTGTCATTTAAAAATAATAAAAGCAAAAAACGTATAAAGAAAAAATATTACTCAGTCTATGGCATTTTGTTAGACAATCTGAACAAACTAAGACATTATTCCAGGGGCAGAGGTAAATCTGTTCATCAGAACAGAAATTGAGGAGATGGGGCCTTGGTCGGCTCCAGGACAGGAACTATGTGTGAGGGAAGAGAAGGCAGTGGGAAAGTCAAATGACCCTAAAATGTGAGGGTAGCCTGGAGTTGGGACACACAGGGTTGAGAAGGACAAAGGGGCAGGGGAGGGAAGAGAGCCCAGTGTCTCTACCTTCATCGCAGAGCCTGCTGCTGGTAAGATAGCCAGGGTTTCCCAGTCTACCTTCAGTCATCCTAGATTCAAATGTGAGGTCACAGCTAGACGGGCTACACTGTAACCCAGGGCTACACTGAAATCCTGGTTCTCCTGCCTTTTAGTGGCATGACCTTGAGCAATCCACTTCCTTTCCACTCTGATTTGAAATGGCAGCAATGAGTCTATCTGTCATAGGCTGTTGCCAGGAGAGAATGAGATGATACCTGTACTATGCACCGCCTAGCACAGAGCAAGTGTGCAGCAAATGATCCACCTTGTCTGACCCCTTAGTTTACTGAAGAGGAAACTGAGGCCCAGGGAAAGGTAATGGACTAATTAATAGTGTGGGCCAGGATATGAATCTAGATTTTCAAGCTCTCAGCCTGGGTTATTTCTGCCACACCACAGCCTCATTTCTAATAAAGAAGATAGCAATGCTTCACCCTTTAATGGTGTTCAGACTGATTTGGGTCAATGGTTAATGAGCAGTTGTGACTAATGAAGTTTAAATACCATAGTCTGTTACTCAAGGTCATTTTGAACTGAATTGTGTCTTCCTACCACTCCCCTATCACTACCAAATTCATATTTTGTCATCCTAATCACTAGCATCTCATAACGTGACTGTATTTGGAGATAGGGCCTTTAAAGAGGTAATTAAGTTAAATGAAGTCATTAGAGTGGTCCCTGATCCAATGTGACTGATATGACTGGGGTCTTTATAAGAAGAGGAGATTAGGTCACAGCCCCACACAGAGGGAAGACCATCTGAAGGCACAGTCCATTGTATCCACAGACTAGGTAGCTCACAAATGACTGTCACAGAACACAGCCAACTGCACAGTGACCTGCAGACAAACTTGCTTCCATCCTGTAAATAGCCACTGAGCCTCCCCCATGTGTCAGAGCCAGGTGTGTAAGTGAGGGTCCAGGCCTTCAGAAGATAGTGCCTAGGCCTTAGCAGGTGGTTTCTCCTAGGCCAGAGGCAAATCTTTAGCTCTCCCTAAGATGAAATGTGAGGATGTGGCCTCAGGTGTCTGATAACTCAGTCCATTCTTCTGTCCCACTCACCAGCTATGCCCAGATCTTGTAGTACCTCTACATACCTGTAGCAGTTGTTGTGGAATTTGTTGTAAGAAGAGAGAGTGATCAGGCCTCCCCATGCAGCAGATAAAGAGAAGAAAATCTGAGTGGCAGCATCTTTCCACACCTGAGAGGCAAAAGGGAAAGAGATTCAAGACCCATGAAGGAGACTGGCGCCAGGGGAGAGGAGTCACACACCCAGTGCCATATCATGTTTCCAGGGGAAACATCAGGGACAAGATGACCCCCGACATCAACATCAATGAGAACATAAATCACTTGTGCTGGAAACCAAAGGCATAGTCAATTACCTGGGAGATTTTAACTTCCTCTATCAAAGGTGAGGAACTCAATAAACTACACTACATACCATGCTCATATGTTCTCTCCTGTAAAGCTAAACGGAAGGGAGAGTCCTTCCTTTAGGTCAATACACTCTCAGAAAATAATAATTTACAACAGAAAAATATAACAACGGATGCAAAATCAAAACCCTTTTTAACTGACATTTCTGCAGATTACAACTGCTATTAAATTTCTGAAACTCTGTAGCCCCAATCTCAGTAAAGCAACCTCTATGCCGCTGCAGACTTTATAGTGTCACGTCCTACCTGCTATTAAGTGGAGACTTTCTGTTTTGTGCAATCAAACTCAATCCTAGCTATGCAATCTTAACACATCCTGGAAAAGCAGAGTTTTCCTTTAAGGTGAGAAAATTCAGTTCCCCTTCAACAATCACCCCCTCATTTGTAGTTTTTGAATTGGAAATTTTAGAGTTAGATATGCCTGTACAGAATATGCAAAGACAAAGTTCAGCTTGTGCTGGCCCTGTGTGGGTGCACAAAAGTATTCAGATGTGTCTGAGCCCTTAAAGGGTTCAGGTAAAAATATTTTTAAAATAGAATCGCTTGTGGTTTACACTAAGTGCTGTTATTTTCCCACCAGCAAAACTACCCTTCCGACACTCTATAATTAGCAACAGATAAGTGATGTGAGTTGGCCCAAAGCTATTAAGGGGATTTCATTCTTCATTTTCGGCCTCTACTATAACCCCAGATGTAGGACAACTATTCCAGGAATCTAAAAACCCTCAGTTGTCCACTTCTCATTAAATATTTCCTGAGTGCATAATGTACCAAGATCATCAGGCTCTTATAAAAGCACACACTGGGATTCCCTGGAGGAGGAAGTCTAACCCTTTTTGCCCAAGCCTCCCAGAGGGCCACTCCCCCAGGGCTGGTTATAGATAAAATTAGAAGCCCACCGTGGCATCCGTGAGTTTCTCCCACTTGGGTGTGATGAAGTACCAGATCCCAGCTCCAGCTCCAGGCAGGGTGACTCCTCGGATGAGGAGGATCACGAGTACGACATACGGGAACGTGGCCGTGAAGTACACCACCTAGAAAAGCCATGGGCAGAGGGGCTGGAAGAAGCAGCCCTGCAGAGTGCACCTGTGCAGAAGGAGCATTGCTCGGGGAAGAGTGGGGCTGCGCATGACAGAGAGCACATCAGGGTAGTTGTCCCCAAATGCAGCCAGGGCTGGGGAAGCAGGGAAGGCACTGGGACCAAAGGTGAGTCAGAGAGAGCTAGAAATAAAGCCTCTTAGGAGAGACCCAAGGCTGTGGGGTGAGTCGGCCTACAGCCAGAAGGCTGGGGGAGATGTCATCCAGCCCAGCTGATGAGTACACAACTCCTTAGGGGACCACAGAGAGAAGGAGGGAGGGGGGCTCTGTGCCCATGCCCGCTAGAGCACCAAAATTCCACCATTAAAGATGAATCCTATTAGCTTAAGCTTTCCATCCCTGTTTATACACATACCTAAGTGAGGCAGTCCCATAAGGTCAGAAGAACATGATATTAGAATTAGACGCATTTAGGTTCAAATGAAACTGTACATCTGGCACTGACTAGCTGTGTGACCTTAGACATTTATTAAGCTCTCTGAATCTTAGTTTCAGTATCTGTAAATCAAGGATAATAGCACCTTTCTTACAGATAATCGTGAGGATTCAATGAGCTAATGCATGGATAGGACCTAGCATGGTGCCTGATTTATAACAGCAGGTCATTAAATGACATTAAGTTCAACAAATATTTATTGAGGGCCTCCTATGAGCTGGGCACTATGCCAGGCATCAGCTGCATAAAGATGAAGGGACTCCTAACCTAGAAGACACAAAGACAATGTCTGAATAATGAGCTAGGGAATTACACAGAGGGCACTATGGAAGTTCAGGGAAGGGCATTGTGCCCAACCTGGGCGTCTACTAAGACGTTCATGGAGATGACACTGAACTGGACAAGTGCAGCTTAGAGGAGGAGAGGCAAGGTGGGAAGGTGAAGGAAGCACATGGGCAAGGCAGGCGTGTGAGGCAAAGCTCTACTCACTCACTATCAGCACAGCATAAAGTTGAGGCTAAGAGTAGGGGGTGGGGGGCTAGAGACATTGGAGGAGACCACGTCATGGGAAGACTTGAATGCCAGCAAAAGGGTATTGCTGGATGCTGGAAAAGAGGGAGGGACCAGCGTCAAGAAACATTTGGGAGGCCGGGCGCGGTGGCTTATGCCTGTAATCCCAACAATTTGGGAGGTCAAGGCGGGCAGATCACCTGAGGTCAGGAGTTCAAGACCAGCCTGGCCAATATGGCAAAACCCCATCTCTACTAAAAATACAAAAATTAGCCGGGTGTGGTGGCAGGCTCCTATAATCCCAGCTATTCAGGAGGCTTAGGCAGGAAAATCACTTGAACCCAGGAGGCGGAGGTTGCAGTGAGCAGAGATCACGCCATTGCACTCCAGACTGGGTGACAAGAGCAAAACTCCATCTCAAAAGAAAGAAAGAAAGAAACATTTGGGAGGTAACATTAGCAGAACTTGGGGGTTAGTTGAACATGGTAGGTAGGAGGACCTTTCCTTCCGTACCTGTCCATCAAACCTCAAGGTGAAGGTAGGGCTTGGGACCAGGATTTGGCAGAAGCAGAAGGAGCAGTGTGAGAGCTCAGGCTCTGCAGTCCCACGAGCCTGGGTCCAAATTCTGACTCCAGCACTTACGAACTGTGTCACCAAATCCTGACTCCAGCACTCACTGAGGCAGCAACTTAACCTCTCTGAGTCTCTGACCCTCAGTGTCCACACCTGCAAAGTGGCAACAATAGTAGATTCTTCATGGGGCTATTGGAAGAGTACAGTGTCACTTACAATCCACACAAAGTGGAACAGGCCCAGGGCACTGGAAACAGAAGTACCATTTCACAGTCTGGCCTAGGACTCCCCAGTCCTCAACTTAATCACACTGACAGCGCTCGACTCACAGGTAGGCTACATTAAAAGTGCATTAAAAGACACTTGAGAGGCTGAGGTTAAGCTCCCATCCAGGCCCACTCTGGGCTCTCGGGATCCATGGGGTGACGGCTATTGGTTCAGGGCCACCTCCATTTCCACATGCAGTCCTTCCTCTGAGGGCAACTGGAATACCTGCCCCCATGAGAGGGACACAGGGCACCTGCCGCACGCTGTCTGCACAGACTCGAGTACCTGGTAGGGGGCTCCAGCATGGTAGTGAGTGGGATTTCAGGAGATGAGGACGGATTCAAGGACTCACAGGGGGAGATGAATTGGGAAAGTTTAGAGCTGAGATGAAGAAATAACTCTTGGGGGCCGGGAGCGTTGGCTCACACCTGTAATCCAGCACTTTGGGAGGCTGAGGCAGGCGGATCACTTGAGGTCAGGAGATCGAGACCAGCCTGGGCAACATAGTGAAACCCCATCTCCACAAAAATACAAAAATTAACCGGGCATGGTGGTGCATGCCTGTAGTCCCAGCTACTCAGGAGGCTGAAGCAGGTGAATTGCTTGAACTCAGGAGGCAGAGGCTACAGTGAGCCAATATCACACCACTGCACTCCAGCCTGAGTGACAGAGTGAGACTCTGTCTCAAAAAAAATATATATATATAATATATATATATAAAACCCTTGGGGTCATTCCACCTGTTCAAATGAATATACATACTTATATATATATTTAGAGCAACTAATATGTGCCAGCCAGTTAAGCATTCAGGACCTATCAGTAAATAAAGCAAAGATTTCTGCCCTGAATAGCTTCCATTCTAGCTGGGGAGAGAGTCAACCAACAATAATCGTGATAAGTATTATTTGTGGCATATTAGAAGGTGATATGTGGATTGAAAAAATGAAAAATTAGAGCTGGGTAAGTGGGGTGGGGTGTGGGGAGGATGGTTGGGAAGGCTTCAGGGAGAAGTTGGTCAAGGAAGAAAGTCAGGGTGAGCCAACTGGATGTCTGGGAGAACATTTCAGATGGAGGGAACAGTTGGAATCATGGCCCTAAGAAGGGAGTGTGCCTGGCTCCTAGGAACAGCAAAGAGGCCAGTGTGGCAAGAGAGGGGGCACAGGTGGGAGAGATCGGCAAGGTGGGAGTAGGGAGGGGCAGACTAGGTGGGGCCAGGCAGAGCTCTCACTCTGTGGGCAACAGGGCTACGGCAGGGACTCAGGAAGAGGGGTAACAGGATCTAACGTTTGCACAGAATCACCCAGTTGCTATGTAGCAAGAATACTGCAGGGTTAACAGTAAGGAGGCCACAGCAGCCAGCAGGCAAAGGACAAAGAATGGGGATGGCTCCAGCCAGGGTGTTGTCGCTGGAGCTGGTGAGAAACACATGCCAGATACATTTTCAGGAGGAGCCACCAGACTTCATGGGGAGTGTGAGAGAAAGAGAAGAGTCAAGGTGACTCCCAAGTGTTTTGGCCTCAGCAACTGAAAGGGTGGAGTTGCCATGAACTGAAATGGGGAAGTTACTTCTGTCTCTAAACTCAATTACTCAAGGCCGAACTCTTTCTTCCTGGCTGCAGGTTCAGACCTGCCAGAGGTGGACTGCACTCCTTTTCTCTCCACTGTGACACTGCTGACCAGGACACATTTTTCCTGCACCACAGAACAGCAGTCTCTCCTCCCTCCTTGTCTCAAAGAACTTGCAGTGCTAGGAATGGAAGGGAGGAGCAGCAGCCAGCTCCTCTCTATTTCTTCCAAACCTGCTTCTCTCCTTCCATCCCCTTGAAGTCTAAGGAGAAGTGAAGCCCTTCCACACGTGGATGTTAGGAAATCCAAGGGCATCTGACGTCTCAGGGCTGGCCTCACAGCTGTCAGGTGGGGCTGGGAAGATGAGATACTACAAGGGCAGGCCCTGACCAGCCTGACTTTCCTGCCCCCAAAACAGCACGGGGATGGGATGGGAGACAACTAAGGAGTATCCTTTCCATCCTCTGACCACCTGGGGCTGGTGGGAAATGAGGATGGAAGAGGTGACGGAGAGGACATGACCTAGACAGCGGTGGCTTATAGAAGGAAATCTCCAAGGCTGGCATGAGTTTAAGAGACAGCTGTTCCCATTTCACTGTTGGAGGCTGTTTAGACACCATCACTCCTGAGTTCCCTCTGTGGCCAGGTATATTTGTCCCATTTTGCAGAGAAGTTAACTGAGGTTCAGGTTAAGCATCTCACAAGGGTTTAAATATCTCGTTCAAGGTCTTGAGACAAGACTTAAGCCCAAAGCTTCCCCACTCCAAAGCCACTCTTTCCATGAATGCCATTCTATGGGCCACATGATGAGAAATGTGTATGGCAGGGCCAGGACTAGGGGGAGGCAAGTGAGACAGGAGGCATCTAGGGTGCAAAATTTACAGAGGCATTCACTGTCAGGTGCCGGCCCTGCACTTCAGGAACCTGAGAGTGAGCGCCTCTCAATTTTGCACACTAGGCACTGGCTCACCTCACCCAGGTGATGCATTCATTTTTTAGGTGGTGATCATGGTGAACTGAGAGGGCCAACAGTTTGGTTTATAAATCCTGGGAATGCCTCAAATGTGAGACAGGTGTGCATTGGAGGTTTCTGCACAGCTAGTTCCCCTGTGTCAGGGGAGATTCAGAATGCACCTGTTTCCACATTGTATTGTCAGAGGAGTTAAACTTGAACAGTAATGAATTACACTTGGCAGGAGTGACACTGACTCGCCCATCTGAGCCTGTTGGCCTGACACCTCCAGGCATCCTTCTCACCATGGGACCCCTGAACAGGTGGTAAAGGCCCAACAGCCTGTACGAGCTAATTAGGTTAGCTTTGCTTGGTTGCCACAACTCTCAGGCAGAGGCGCCCCTGAGGGCAGGTGGGCTGCATTTGACCTTCAGGCTGCCTGCTGGTCGCCCGTGCCTCTGGAATTCTAGCTGCTGGAAAACAGCCTCCAACAGTGAAATAGGAAGACCTGTCTCAGAGGAAGCAACCTGCCAGTCCTGTCTCCTGAGGCCCTAAACAAGAGGAACTGAGCTTATCTGGCTGCAGGAAGACGACATCTCTTTTGCATAAAAATGACAGTGTTCCTGGGATTTCAATCACAAAGGAGTTCATCATAAAGCACCTTCAGCTGCGCATCCACCTTGGCTCCCAAATAATGCTCCATGATTAATGTCTGCACAGCCCAGGGCAGGATAGTAAATTGTGATTCATTATTTCTGGTAGTATTCTTCATTTAAAATAAAAATTGATCATTGATCTCTGGTTGGAAACTTTTCTCAATGAAGCAGAGAGATAAGTTGGCAGATCTAAATGAAAAACATATCTGCTCAAAACTTCCTATTCCAGAAAGCCTATAAAATCTATCACCAAGAATTAGATTCTAAATCAGTGGAAAGAACTGGCTGCAATGCCATTCCAAAAGAGCACAGACTAATAAGATAAAAAGAATCCTAGAGAATATTCTAACTCTTGATTTTGCAAATGAAGACAATGAGGCTGTAATATATCCTGTGACTTGCCCAAAGTCACACAGCAAGACAGCAGAGACTGGGTAGAAATGCAGATTCTGATTTACTGTGGGGGGATTTTTTCCCCCACTATATGAAAATGATGACTCCACAATTCCTCATTTACTATCTATTCTTAATAACTCCTTCTTGGGAGAGAATGTCTTGTATTAGAAAAAGTCTAGGCCAGCTGGGCACGATAACTCACACCTGTAATCCTAGCACCTTGGGAGGCTAAGGTAGGGGGATCACCTGAGATCAAGAGGTCAAGACTAGCCTGGCCAACACGGTGAAATCCTGTCTCTACTAAAAATACAAAAAAAATTAGCTGGGCGTGGTGGTGGGCTCCTGTAATCCCAGCTACTCAGGAGTCTGAGGCAGGACAATCACTTGAACCCAGGAGGTGGAGGTTGCAGTGAGCCAAGATGGCACCACTGCACTCCAGCCTGGGTGACAAAGCGAGACTCCATCTCAATAAAAAAATAAAAAATAAATATAAATAAAAATAAAAAAGTCTAGGCTTCAAAGCCAGATAGACCTGGGTTCAAATCCCACTACTTCCACTTAAAAGCTCTGTGACTTCAGGCAATTTACTCTACCTTGACAAGCCTCAGTCTCTCTCTCTACAAAATGGGAATCAATGTGCTTCTAATGCATGTGAAGCAGCCAGCACAGTGCCTGGCACACAGTGTTCAACAAAGCTCTCTTTCTCTTCCAATCTCCCAACAAAGCCACTGCTGTGGAGATGTCAAAGTGGCACAATACCCAGTCAATACAGCAGCCATTCAGAATAATGAACATGAAAGGAGATAATGTTAATAACTGACCATACACCAGGTAGTAGCATGCATGTCTCACTTCATCCTTACAGCAATCCTAAGTATTATGCACTATTATCCCCTATTTACAGATGAGGAAATGGGTTTCAAAGGTTAAATAGCTTGTCCAGAGTCACACAACTAGAAAGTGATAGAGCCAGGATTTGAACTAAGATTGGTCTGACTCTGGAGCCACAGGCCATCCTTCCTCACATCATTAAAAGGTGCTGTTCTCACCCTCCTCACCTATCACCTCTCCTCCTGCAGTCTCACCTTCCAGCCTATACTACTAGGCACCTGTCTGGCCACTCACATCATGGTTGAGGTCAGCTTGTCTCCATTTCTAGCCATAAGTGACAGTCTTGCCCATGGGATTTTGATTGAGTATATACTTGGCTAGTCTTGTTGAGCAATTGCTTGGCTGGGCCCTTTGGAGATGATGAAACTCCCACCCAAGCTCAGCTCCAAGCCACAGAAGGTGAGGGGTCCAGGAAACCTCAGGCCATGCTCGGTATTGTCATAAGGGTCAAGTTAACATTTCCCATCTCCCTGTAACCTTAGAAAAACAATCAATCCAGTCTCATGGTACTCACTCAGAGCCAGCAGGTTCCTCAGGGGTCACTGAATCCCAGTTCTCTTTTTACAGAAGGGGAAACTGAGGTCACAGAGTAGAAGTGCTCCCAAACCTCCAGCTCACCCAGCAAGTGTTCCAACAGAATAATCTTAGAATTAGAGGACCTTAGACATCACCCAGTCCAATTACCCTCACCTTAGAAATGAGGAAACTGAGGACTTCTAAAATAGCTAGGAAAATGTGCTTTTCATTTATTGGCCAAAAAAAAAGCAATTAAAGCTAAGAGCAAAATCAGAAGCTCAGCCATGTTTCACCACCCAAGTAGAGATATCCCTACACAGCAAACACCATGAGAAGTCCCCAAGGACAAGGGCTCAGGTCTCCTCACTCCTGGGCTGGTTCTCTCTAGCTGACCTGATTCTCCCCACACTCTGTGATTTAAGGCATACCACCTGCCTCAGGTAACCCTGACAAACCTGCCAGAATCCACCACTCAAGTCCCTGTGGAACTACATGACATGAAAAGCAAGCACTAATAAAAGCTGTAATCAAAAATGTCCATGTCCCCAGGGAGAAGACAGTTCGGTCTATGTGGCTAATAGATGCTGGGATTGCGTGCCTAATGGGGGATGCAAAGCATGCCTGGGGGTGAAAGATGGCACTGACTACCCTCCCGATGAGACCCAACCTTTCAGAAGTTGGTTGATTGTAACATAATCGCAGAAATCCTTGGCCTGGATAATCAAACCAAATCTCAACTCCACAACCTATGGTCTCAGAATCCCCCATTACATCCTCATTCCTTGAGCCTTAAAGACATTTTTGTTTCATCCTAAAACATGCAAATACCTCCTGGCGTAATTAAATATTATTGCATGTGATCAGAATAACTGGTTAACTCTTCAGTAGGTTTTTCTTTGTGTGTGTGTGTGTGTGTGTGTGTGTGTGTGTGTCGGGCGGGACAGGATCTCACTCTGTCACCCTGTCACTCTGAAGTGCAGTGATGCCATCTTAGCTCACCGCAATCTCCGCCTCCCGGGTTCAAGTGATTCTCCTGCCTCAGCCTCCCAAGTAGCAGGGACTACAGGTGCCCCCCACCATGCCCAGCTAATTTTTGTATTTTTCATAGAGACGGGGTTTCACCATGTTGGCCAGGGTGGTCTCGAACTCCAGGCTTCAAATGATCCACCCGCCTCAGCCTCCCAAAGTGCTGGGATTACAGGCCTGAGCCACTGCACCCAACCTTCAGTAGGTTTTTCTAAGGCTGCAAGGAGATGAAGAAATGTTACTGTGACCCCTACAACAATGCCCACTGTGGCCTGAGGTTCGATGGGCTCCTCTCTTTCTGTGGCTTGGAACTGAGCTTGGGTGGGAGTTTCACCATCTCCAAAGGGCCCAGCCATGCGATCACTAACTGACCCTTACCAAGTAATTGCTCAGCCAAAATTCCATGGGCAGGACCATCTTCCTTTAGTGCTAGGGGCACATGGGGTAGAAGAGTGTCAAGCTTAGAGTTGAAAGAAAGGCAAGGAAGGCCATGAACATGGTGGCCGGGAGTGAGGAGAGGGAATCTACTACACAGTTTTGATCTTCAGCCAGCTTCTTGGCAGAAGCAATAGCTAACTTGGCAGCCAGACCAAGAGGCAAAAAGCCAGCAGCACAAATTCTAGAGTTTAGGGAAAGTGACTGAATGATATCAGGGAGGTTCCTTCTGCTGAATGAGTGGCAGCCCCTGAGAGGAAAGGAAGGAAATCCTAATCAGAGTACCCCCCACCATCCCTTGAGAGCTCTGTATATATGTGTCTCATTTAACCCTTAAAACAGCCCTGCAAGAAAGGTGTTATTATCCCCATTTTGCAGATGAAAGTGAAGTCACAGCCCCTCAGCTGCTCCAGGGCAGAGTCAGAATTAGCATCCACAGCTCCTGACTCTCTTTCCAGTGCTCTGCCTGCTCCCCAAAGCAACCGCCCCTGGGTGTCTCACAGCTTTCTCTTAGATAAATCCAAGTGCTTACTTTTCCTGAAGTCTTGATTCCTTTAGCCAATGATGCATACACAATGACCCAAGCCAGGAAGAGGCAGAGAGCTAGTGGCCACCTGATCTCGCCAGGATATTCAATCCCTGCAGAAATCTTCAGCACAAAGTACCTGAGAGTTGGAGGGAGGGATGGGGGGAGTGATAGAAAGAAGGAGAGAGGGAGGTGACAGGCAGTAGGCTTTAAGCCTCCAGTAGAGCCAGGAGGCTTGCACAAAACCCCAGCATCCTCCACCCACCCCACCATCAGGAACCTAATCACATCAGGCTGTGGGGAATTTGCTGGTCTGGGCTCTTGCCCACAGCCATCTGCAAAGACTCCAGCTGGATTTACTGTGCTCTTGATTACGTGCTGGGAGGCTGCTCATGGCCCTGGGCAGGCTTCAGGACAAGGCTGTCAGTTCCATTGTCACTAGCACATCCCCAGGAGAAGTGCAACAGAAACTCTGAACCGTCAAGGGTGATTTTTGTGTGTTTTCTGTATTGCTCTACTCTTTTATGAGAATTTATTCTGGTAGTATTTGTGTGATTTTAATTTTAAAAATTAGTACATAGTGGAAACTGCATATGCTAAATGACGAAAAATGTGGCCCTGGATTGTAGTTCAAGTTGTGTGGGTATGTCCTGAGGCGGAGGTTGGCTTAATTATAAAAGCAGGGCTGCCTAGACCTTGCTCAAGCAAAACATTCTAAGACAGATGAGCAGCTGCCAACAGAAGAGGCCACTGGTCAGCTGTAGCTGCTGCTGGCAACTCATTTAGATAATGAAGACATCGTGGCCTGCCTGGCCAAATGGCTAGCAGGGCAGCCCCACCCCTGAGGAAAGGAGGCAGCTTCAGGGACAGTGCCTGATAACAGACTCAGACAATTCTTTCTACTCCGCAACCATCTAGCCATACATCCTCTGTAAAACTGCTGTGTTTGTAGGTTGACGTTTTTCTGTGATCTAAAGGAAAGGCAAGCCAGCATCCAGGCTCTGTAGGACTGTAGGAATGATGGCCCAGAGAATTCTGACCTGCTGAAGGAAATGTAGGCAGCAGCCCCACTCCTGGTCCAGCTGGCTAGCTTGAGAGGCTGTTTGGCAACACACAGACATGCTTTTCATAACAGTGATGGCCAACCCTGTGCAGACAGAGCCTCTTTCAGGCCCAAACCCTGGCACAACCTGGGCTCAGAGTTGACTAGGGAAGACCAAGGCTGGAACTAAACTTGGTTCCACGGCAAAACCCTGAGGACCATATTTGCCAAGCAAGGAAAAGGACCTTCCCCATGTCCCATGCCCAAAATAGGTAAACCATATAGTCAACAATTCCATGACTTAGCCATCTCAACTGCTCCATGCTTCAATTGTAGGACCTCAAACAAGTCCCAAGAAACTCCTGATGACATTTCTTCTTAGAAATCAAGACTGGCCCCAGAGGATTAGTAAAGGCCATCAAAAGCAGGTTTGCAAATCACTTTTTAGTACACCTGACTGCATGGATTAAGTGTACTGGAAAATGATTTGCAAACCTGCTTTTGGCGGTCTTTCAGATTTCATCATACTACCAGGTCAGACTCAGTTGCTCAGTGCTCAGGGAGAATTAAAGACCCACCCTAATACCCCCATGGTAGTTATGGTCAAAGGGGACTATTTAATCAATTAGGTAACTCTCCCTTCTGTTCTGCAGGGAACAACTATGTACACCCTGAGTCTACAGGAAAGAAAACCAGGAGTAGGAAATAATGACAACTGGGAGAAGAGTCATGGTATTAGCAATCATTTGTCGTCATCTAAGTGAAAGCCACAAACTGGAGGCTCATTGATTTATGCATTTTATTTGATCCCCATGTTCTATTTGAATTATTTTGCTGCCATTTAAAATAGGAGAGATCACATAAAAATCCAGACTTTATTTCCATCTTTTATTGTAAAATAGAAGCTCTGGCATCACTGCCCCACATTTTCACAAGGCAGTGATCAGAGGAGCTGGGCACCAGTGGCTTTCCTTACATGCGACAGGCAGCCTCTTTGGTTTGCTACAGTCCCCACCCCCTCCCTATCATCTCATTTATTTTCACTTTACTCATTTATATTCCTGCCATGCCCGAGTACATTTGAATTTACAACCCCTGAATTAAAGTTTAGCTAGAGAACACTCTTTACGTACCCTATGATGAACTCTGTCTACATTTATCTCCCTTAAGACATAATTTCATGGCTGGGTGCAGTGGCTCACGCCTGTAATCCCAGCACTTTGGGAGGCCGTGGCAAGCAGATCACAAGGTCAGGATATCGAGGCCATCCTGGCTAACACGGTGAAACCCCGTCTCTACTAAAAGTACAAAAAATTAGCCGAGCATGGTGGCACGCGCCTGTAGTCCCAGCTCCTCGGGAGGCTGAGGCAGGAGAATAACTTGAACCCAGAGGCAGAGGTTTCAGTGAGCCGAGATCGCGCCACTGCACTCCAGCCTGGGCAACAGAGCGAGACTCCATCTCAAAAGAAAAAAAAGGAAAGAAAGAAAAGAAAAAAATAATTTTATGAACTTCACTAAATCTTCCAATGGTAGCTGAGGATCTTCAAGTATCCCTGAACCTCAATCTCCAATGCCTAGCAATACTGATATTAAAAAATACAAAACTAAGGCAAAGCTATAAAAAAAGGAAAAAAAATGAATTTGTTCTTATTTACACTAAAGCTCTGAACATGACTTCTTTTCTTTTTGTCTCTCTTCCCTGAAGCCAAGTGCAGATGGAAGAAAAAATAATCTGGTTAACTGACAGTCCACTTAGATCACACTGGATCAAGGTTTTGAAATGGGCTTTTCATCAGCATCATGAATTATAGCCGCAATGATTCTGCTCCTACTGCTGTCATTCATCCAGCTCTGCTTTCCAGGCTCACAAGACACAACAATCTGCTCTTGGAAGCCAAACCAGGGAAAAAACCTTCCTCTCTGATCTCATCCCTTGGGCTACCCACACCTCTGGTCTGCAAATTGAATATTTATTAATTCACTGTGTTTCTCTTAGAAGGTAAAAAAGGAAAAAGAAAGTCATCTTACTTGAAGTACTCTTCACTTCCACTGACAAATGTCTTATTGGCCTGGCTGGTGAAATTAACCATTGTCACGTTGGGATAAGCGGTCATGCAGAAAGTCGAGTTCTTGATCTGTATTTTGGGATGGTCACTGATAACACAGGAATCTGTTTAGGAGAGGACAGAATAGAAACACAGTTAAATCTGTACAGAAAACAGAGATTTGTCTCTCTGCAGCAGTTTAAAAACAAATGCCAAAAACATTTGCAAATATTGGAGAGTACCTTCAGGAAAGGATTAACTGGGCAAAGCCAGATATATTAAGAAAAGAACCAAAGAATTATGTTTTCTCCATCAGAGCCCCCAGTCCCCACAACTGCACCTTGTACTGATGACAAAGGCATTTACAGAACACTCTCTATGTGGTAGGCAAGTATTTTGCATGCATTATCTCATTTAATCCTCACAACAGCCTATGCAGGAGGTACTATAATCTTCCATTTTCAAAATAAGGAAGCAGGCTTAAAGAGGTAGGTAACTCTACTGAAGCCACACAGCTTATGAGGAAGAGAATCAGGATTCGAACTCAGATCCTTATGACTCTGCAGAAAATAAATAAATTGCTGAAACGAATTGAATTAGAAAATAAGCAGACCCCCTGAAGGGTACTGCTACAGAAGGCTTTCTAAGAAGTTCACCTTGGACCCACTGCCTGGCACCACATTTAGTAAGTACTCTAGGATACACGTGCTGTGTACTTTCTACTCTCACGTGGGTAAGCAGAGGCAGCAACCACGCCGTCTACCGGGGATCCTGTGACAGGACCTGACAGTGTGGTGCTCAACTGGGGATGAGTCTTCTCTCCAGGAAACATGTGGCAAGTCTGGAGGCATTTTTAGTTGTCATACCTTGGGGACCTGGTGCTTACTGGTGTCTAATAAGTAGAGGCCAGGGATGCTAATACTAAATATCCTACAATGCACAGGACAGCCCCCCACAACAAAGAATTGTTCAGTCCCTTAGCCAGGCATGATGGCACACACCTGTAGTCCTAAATACTTGGGAGGCTGAGGCAGGAGGATTGCTTGAGCCCAGAAATGCAAGGCTGCAGTGAGACATGATCATGCCACTGCATTCCCAGCCTGGGTGATGAAGCAAGACCCTGTCTCTTAAAAAAAAAAAAAAAAAAAAAAGAATTATTTAGTCCAAAACATCGGTGGTACCAAGGTTGAGAAGGCCTGATCTAGGCAGGGATGGAGAAAGGAAATTAACCCTGTGAGTCTTAGTATGTCAGGCTCTGTGTTGAACACTTTAATGATTATCTCATGAAATCCTCATAAAACCCAGGAGGTATATATTATTATTGTCATTTTAAATAGGAAGAATCTGAAGTCTTTCTGACCATTTTACAATGCCTCTCTTTAAAATACAGATAAACTGACAAATACCTTAAATAAAGAATCCACCAGGACTAATCCCAAAGGACGTTATTTTGCAAAGGAGCACATAGTAACAATAACAACAACAACTTACACTTATATGGCAGTTACCACGTTTATGGCACTGTTTTAAGTACTTTACATGCATTGACTAATTTAAGCCTCACACCACCCCCTATGAGAAGGTACTGTTATTATCTCTATGTTACAGATAAGGAAAACTGGGGCACAGAGGGATGCAGTGGCTAGCCAAGGTCATACATCAAGACAGGATGTAAACAAGCTCTCTCTTTGGAATCAATGACTTAGGCAATCCAATGTGAATAGGGAGCAGGGATTATAAATTCAAACACCTACAGAAGCCAGGATGATGACACAAATGAGGAAGGCATAAAATTAGAAAATAATAGAGAGAGGTGGGGACTGTGGCCAACCAGAGAGCACTCCAGCCAATCAGTGCCAAGCTTTTCCAGATGTTGTGGCAAAAGATGCAGAAAATCTATAAACTTACATGAAATATCTCCATTTAAAAATATTGAATGTGTTAAAATTGTCTTTAAATACCAGGAGCAACAATAACAAAAAGTGGCTGGGCAGGGTGGCTCACACCTATAATCCCAACAGTTTGGGAAGCCAAGGCAGGAGGATGGCTTGAGCCCAAGACTTCAAGACCAGCCTAGGCAACATAACAAGACCCCTATCTGTACCAAACATTTTAAAAATTAGCCAGGTGCAGTACTGCACATCTATAGTCCTAACTACTCAGGAGGCTGAGGGAGGAGGATTGCTTAAGCCCAGGAGTTCAAGGTTGCAGTGAGCTGTGATTGCACCACTGCACTCCAGCCCGGGCAACAGAATGAGACCCTTTCTCTAAAATAAATAAATAATTTTAAGAAGCAGGCTTGATCTGGTGCATGGACTCCCATTTTATGTTCTCTGTGGAAGAGCATAGAGGGCAAGAATGTGAGTTCAGGCGTTCCACTACTCCCGAGAGCTTGAATGAGTTCCATTTGTCCAAGCCTCCATTTTCTGGTCATAGTTGTTCAGGGTTGCAGTAAGGACTAAATGAAGAGAGATCACAAATTAAAAATCTTCCCACAATGCCTGGCACACAGCTGGCACTCAATAAATTTTAGCCATAACTCAATCATCATTGTTATAGCTTTTTCTGGAGAGAGTATCTCTAGTCTTCAGCATCATCTCCCGTAAGGCCACTTGCCTGCCATAAATTGCCTACCACTTCCCATACACACCGCAGAGTTTCTTAGAATGTTGGGTAAAAATGGAAACAATAATAAGAATCCCTTCCCTTTCAGTAGTTCTTTAGACCAAGGTTTCTCAATAGCTGTACTAATGGCATTTGGGGTCAGATAAAGTAACCGCAATAGGTCCATTGCCCAACAGGCACAGTGAGTCAATACTTCACCAAGACCCTGCGTTGCAGCAGAGAAAGAGGTTTAATTAAGAGAAGAGGACCTTTTTTAAGTCACCCCAGAATTCCAAAGGACCAATACCCCTGCAAGGGACAGCCTGGGCCCAGGAACAGAACACGCTCATGTGCTGATAACACAGAGAATGACAGATGGAGGGGCTGCACAAAGAAAGAGTGGGGATTGACACCTTGTTTTTTTTTTTTTTTCACCAAAATAAATAAACAAATAAACCACTGGGTAAGAATGAGATAGGATCTGCTCAGCCTGGTCATTTACTCGCAGGAAGCAAATAGAGTTTCCTGCGTTGCAGCAGAGAAAGAGGTTTAATCATAAGAGCCACTGAACAAGGAGATAGGAGGAAACCTCAAATCCATCTCCCCAAAGAGTTTGGAGCTAGGGTTTTGGAGTAGGTTGAAGAGTGCAGGGTGAAGTCCTGGGACAGAGAGATGAAGAAAAGCATTCTCACACTGATTCAGTTCCTCTGTGGGAACCTTTTTTCATTTGTTTGTTTTTTGTTTTTTGAGACAGTCTCACTGTGTCACCCAGGCTAGGGTGCAGTGGCACAATCTCTGCTCACTGCAACCTCTACCTCCAGGGTTCAAGTGATTCTCATGTCTCAGCCTCCAAAGTAGCTGGGATTACAGGTGTGTGCCAACACTTCCAGCTAATTCTTGTATTTTTAGTAGAGACAGGGTTTTGCCGTGTTGCCCAGGATGGTCTCCAACTCCTGGCCTCAAGTGATCCATCCACCTTGGCTTCCCAAGGTGCTGGGATTACAGGCATGAGCCCCTGCTTAAAGCTGGTAGGAGTCTTTAAACTGGTTGGCATCAGCTGTTTTGCTGGAATTCGGGATCTGCTTAAGCAATTCTTAAACAAAAGCCTTATGATTCTAGCATCAGAAATCTCATCTATAGGAACAATGGGGATGCAAATGTACGTAGTGTTACTCAATTTTTGGTTTCAAGGAAGTGAGTCAAAAGCACAGCCTGATTAATGCTGATTATAACAATACTTCTGTCTAGAATTCTTGTTAACCCTGCAAGGACAGCTTTAGTAATTCTTGGCTGTGGGACCGTCCTGTGCATTGCAGGATATTTAGCAGAATCCCTGGCCTCCACCTACTAAATGCCAGGAGCCCACCCAGCTGCAACAACTAAAAACGTCTCTGAACGTTGCCAAATGTCCCCTGCAAAATCTCCCCTGGTTGAGAATCTCCACTTCAGGGCCTAAAAATATCTTCCTATTCAAAGTATCTTCTTTAATCAAATAACAGAGTTTCAGGAGGATTCCCACCTAATCATTATCAAATATTTACCAGGAAAGCTTTTGTTTCCCCCAGCAGTGACATAAATGAAGACAATTAAAGAACACTCCATATCTCTGTTCTGTAAATAAGCACATAAGTTATTTCTAGCCCTCCTGCCAAACATTACGTCCACCCAAGACGGGAGAGATCACTAACACGAGGGCAAACACCAAATCTCTCGATTCCCAAGTTGCAATTGTGAAGCACGCAGGCAGCCTCACTAGAGAGCGTCTCTGGATGTCTGTAGATCACTGCCGCCGCAGCAGCACAAGGTCACCGTTCCTGCAGCAATGCAGCAGGGTTCCCAGGCTCCCCGCTCGCTCGCTCCGCAGCCCCAAGCCTCCTGCAATATCCCCTCCCACCACCGGGCGGCAGGAGCATGCTTCCCAGCGCCCGGAGCCTTCGGGTCCACCCGCGAGGGAATGATGGGCCATCTCATCAGAGAGCTCTGCGGCCCAGCAACCCCGAACAAAGAACAGCGATAATGATCGTGCTAAATTGGAAGCTGTGGAATGGGATTCTCTTTACTTGGGCAATTATTAATAAATGAAAGCACATGAAAGACCAGGGAGAAAAGGAATCATTTAATTAAAAGTTGTAATGAAAATGAAGCCATTCCGGAAATAGAAATGATATTTATGTTGTTCCTATTTTACGTGACCCAGCTAGCTCCTATTTTCACGTAAAGCCGCTGGTCTCACTTGACAGGGCACAGACTAGTCATTCTCCATTACAGATACTTGGAGAGTTGAGTCACCCTAAAGACAGCAGCCTCTCTTACAACCTGCAGCACAGAAAGATGTGGCAAACGCTGCCTCTCCCCACCCACAGATCCAGGGCTTTCCTCTGGGGCTGGAGTGGGTATGGTTGCCTGGTATCCCCATGGAATGTGTCCCTTGCAGCACTGAGAGTGTCATGGGGCAGCTCCAAGCTGCACACGAAGGTCACAATAGCTAGCCATTCAGCCCCTCTCTCCTGGGATGAGTCCTTTTGCCCAGCAGTCACAGGATGTGGGTAGTTATGGGATTGTGAGAGAGAAGGTGAGACTGGAAGGCAATTGGTGGGAAATGCTGGGGAAAGAGTTTATCCATCTCTTAAGGAAGGCTTGCTCAATATGACCATTTGGGAAACAGCCTGGCAATATCCGTTGTCTAGACTCCTGATTTGTCCAGCAGAGCAGTGGGGCTCTGCAAGTCAGGCCACCATCAACTTTTCTAAGTCACCCCAGAATTCCAAAGGACCAATACACCTGCAAGGGATAGCCTGGCGCCAGGAACAGAACACACTCATGTGCTGATAACACAGAGAATGACAGATGGAGGGGCTGCACAAAGAAAGAGTGTGGATTGACACCTTGTTTTTCTTTTCACCAAAAAAAAAAAAATTAAAAATTAAAACACTGGGTAAGAATGAGATAGGATCTGCTCAGCCTGGTCATATACTCGCAGGAAACAATCAGCGTGAAAAATGTACATTGTCTCCTTGTGCTCAGAGCTTGCATCATTTTAATGGTTTGTACCAGATGAGTAGGAGCTGAGCTGTGTCATATCTTTGCTCTGCCTTTCATGTCTCCCAGGCGATGGTGAGCCAGACTGGAAGCCAGAGACAGGGGCTTCTGTGTCTCTTGTGCCTCCACCCATGTGCCTGATCCAGTCAACATGCTCAGCCTGCTTTAAACACACACACACACACACACACACACACACACAGAGAGAGAGAGAGAGAGAGAGAGAGAGAGAGAGAGACAGACAGACAGACAGAGAGAGAGACTATAAACACATGTTCATGGCAGAAAATGCAGAAAAAAATGTCATCTCTCTGGGTCTGCGAGAGGGAAGAATTCATATTTTTGCCCTTAATATACTTGAAGGGTTAAATAGTGTCCTAGTTCCATCATGAAAAAAGCTGGTTTTGGAGGGCAGCACTAAGAGCCGATCATACAGAGATCACAGGAAGCTGGTCTCAGCACAGACCTAGCTGAGGAGAATTAACAGATCTACTGGGGAAAGAAGAAACTACTTGTTTCTAGGTTCCCTTTAAAATGACGAGAACTTCCAAAGTGACTGCTACTAGCACCTTTTATTTGTAGAGTTATATGCTTCTGCAACTGTATCACACTCCTCATTTCTTTTCTCCTTACAGCAATCCCCACAAGGTAGGTAGAGGAAGAACATTTTTATTTCTGTTTTTTAGAGAAGGAAAACAGATCCAGAGAGAGTTACTTGACCCAGACATACATACAGTCAGTGACAGAGGTATAGACCAGAAAGACTTTCTGACATAGCTGCCCTACTTCTCCTCACATTCACTCTCTTGCCCTTGACCCAAGAAGCTGACACTTTCTGCCAAGGCCTCAAGTCCCAATCTATTTCACATCTGAAGCATCTTCCAGGAACACTCCCTGACTCCCCAGTATCTTGCCCTCTTCTAGACACTACATTTTTATCAGAGTGGTCTAAGGGTCCACTCTCATATTCACCTCATGCACTGAGCAGTATCTTGTGAAGTCTGGCCCCAGGATCGCTCTCCTGGACTCTAGGAATTAGACCATCACTTTTCAAATTGTACCATGCAGATAAGTCACCTGGGAACCTACTTAAAATGCAAATCTATTCAGAAAGGCTAGGGCGGGGCTTCTAACCACCATCCAGGTAATGCTGCTAGTCTAAGAAACACTATAAAACAAAATAAAATTCTACAACGACTTGTTAAAATGCAAATTTTCTGAACCCAACCAAATCTATAAATCAGACTATCTTGTGGGCCTGTGAACCTGCATTTTTAACAAAGATTTCAGCTATTCATAAGCAAACAAAAATTTGATTAAGCTTTCCTCTGGGCCAGGAGCTCCTTAAGTTTTATGTTAGAATTAAGTATATTTGATAGTTTGATGTAATCTCTGTGTTCCCAGAACCTAGTATAGGTCCTAGCATGCATAATATATGTTCAATTATTTTGCTGAATAAATGGATAGTTTAGAATACACACACCTAAAGCAGGTATTTCCAAACTTACCTAATAAAAGTTTGGTTTTATCTTTGCATTCTGGCGTATTCCAAGGGTTGTTGCAGGAGCCCCAGGGTAGTACAGACACAAAGGAGGCAAACAGGTAGAAAAGTGTATAGCAAATAATCACATTGTAGTATATGGCTATTAGGACAGAGATGATCAGCATCGCGATGCCACAGCCTGCAGAAGCAAAAATTCCAGGGGTTCATTCCATCTTAAATGCTATGGAATTCTTAGAGTTGGGCATAGGGTGGGGACCTAGGTCTAGGCTCTCTTGTACAGAATGGATGCACTAATAGCAGAGTGGACTGTATGTCTACCAGGGATATGAAGGCATTCTGCTGGGAACTCAACAATGCCAGAGGTGATCTTGGGCCATTATTCAGAAGGATCAAATAAAGGAAGGAAAGAGTTAGTTCTATTAACCACAAAGGCAGGTCTCCCTCCCTGGGGCTGCATGGTGCCAGAGGGGACAGAGTAAGAAAGGGCCTGAGGAGGCTGAGCGGCAGGCTGGACTCACCTTGTAGAGCTGGGATGGCCTTCCACACAGACACTGGTCCCTGGCTGGCAAACTGGCCCAGCGACACCTCCAAGAAGAAGATGGGTAATCCAGCCAGAGCCAGCATCATCAGGTAAGGGATGAGGAAAGCACCTTGGAAAGAGAGTGGGGAGTGAGAGCCCTAGGAGGCAAAAGCAGGCTGCTGCCCTCCTTAACCCTCTGGGCTAGGGGCTGAGCTCCCTCTCAAAGAACTAAAGGACAATTTAGCTCCATTCCTGAAGAAGCCCTTTGATGTCCTGTTTCAGCAACAGTCACCCACAGATATTTAAGAGCCTTCCTCCAAAAAGTATAAGGGTACCCATGCAAATACACTCCTTATTTCAACTCTCCACTGGCAGATGGCTAGGGATATGTGCTGATGGGTTTTTATTATTTTCTTTTTTTATTATAGCACTTCAGTTTCCCAAAATGAAGCCCTCCCAGAGCTCAACCAGTCCATGCCTTTGACTCACTACTGGATTCAGGTTGGTGAAATCTTATCAGAGCCTCAGCCCTCCCAGGACCCAAAATCTTCTAAGCTAAACTCCAGGAGCCCTCCTCTACAGTAAGTTACCTGAACACCTTCTGCCAACCAGGGTTGGGCAGGCTCTGCCAGACAGCCATTGGGGAATACCCATCCTTCTTCCTAAACCCATCTCCATCCCCATCACACACTTCTCAACGCCCTTCCCCATATGAGAAGTTCCTTCCATCCTTCAAGGTCAACTCAAATGCTTCCTCCTCCAAGAAGTCTCCCTTCTGAGTCCTCCCACAGTACCTTTCTCCAGGCACCGATCACTTGATAATTTTTATGTAAGTGTCTTATTCAGCCTGTGAGCCCCTAATGTTGTTTGCGCTGCATCTCTTTATTCCTCAAAATGCCCCGTCTAGGGCAATAGTACTTGGCAGGCCTCCATAGAGTCACTGAGACTTCTCTAGGGTTCTTTCCCTTCAGCATTCTTTGAGGTTGTTTGGGAGGGACTTGGGGAATGGTCATGATTTTTGAAAAGGTTTTGACCAGAACATGCTGCTGCATGGGCCAGAGTCAAGGTGGGCACTGGAGATGCGCGAGCGCAGAACACTGGCCTCAGCGGAGGGAAAACTGATCTTTCTCCAGTCTACTCTTCATGCTCCCGCCCCTCCGCACTTCCTGTTTGATGGCAGGGCCTTTCCTGCCCGGGGCTCTCCAAGCCAGGAAGGCCCAGGGGCAGCCGCCGGCTGCTGGGCAGTAAAACCGGGGTCCTGCTTTATCCTCTCAAGACAGGGATTGTGCAGTCCTCCTCTGCTCCTGAAAAGGAGCGGCGAGCCCTCCACCCCGCACTGAGGGCTGAGGGGCCTCGAGCCGCAGTGTGGAACAGGCTGCCTCGCATCACAGAGCCTGGCTCCTCCGGAACCCTGAGATCTGCCCCGCCGCTCTTCGCAGATCCCGGGCGGGCAAAGCGCGGGCACTTGCGCGGGCCAACCTCCTTTTGCTGGAACTCCCTCCCCATCCACTACCCTGATAACCCACTCCCCTTCTAGTCACTGGAAGCCCTGTTGTAGCATCCTGGCCTGAGGGCGCCCTGCGGAAAACCAAACGGGAACCTATCTGGGTGCCTCTATTCGTGTGGCCGGTACCTGGTCTGTTTTCAGGGCACCCCCGATGGCAAATGCTCTGAGGTCCTCATAAGTACTTGTCAAAGTGTCCTAATTTGGAACTGGAGAGGACGGGAGTAGTGGCCTATGTTTTGCGCTTTAACCGTCCGGTGGTGCAGCACCTGTCCGTTCTGCTGCAACAAATTCCGCCTGAAGCGGACCCAAGAGACAAAAACAAAAGAACAAAAACCCTTAAACTGCCTGACCTATGGGGTGAAGCAGTGCATTGCTTGTCCCTTCGGTCCGGTTGAGAAGATGTGGGACGGGGCTCTAGGTTCAAATTCCTATTGCTAGAGAGCGGCCGGCCCCGCGGCACCCAAACGCTGGGAGGGCCAGAGGGATCGTGAATGTGCCAGGTCCCTCCTCGGTGGGTACAGAAGAGGTACAAGGGAGCATAGTGGCCCAGCAGCCGATGCAAGCCTAACTAGTGTCCTCCCCACCTCTGAAACGGCTTTCATTCAACAGCAGCACCTTCCCCCAATTTAGGGCAGATGAAAGAAACTTGTTTTCGCTGTAAGATTTTACTAAAATCAAAATATGTTCTGCTTCAAGAAGCAGAAGAAGGCGGGGGTGGCAGGCACTTCTGAGAGGTTTTTGACAGCACAGCCTCAACCCCTTCCCCCTCACCTCTTAGATCTCCTAAGGAGTCCCCTAGGAAGACAGGATATAATCCTGAATCAGGGCTCCAGGACTGCACAGCTGCTGGCTCTAACCTCGTTGGATGCCCGGAGTGCCGCCGCTCTCTGAACACTTGACCGCTAGCACCCGTGCTTACGTGGCTCAGGACCCAGGCCCCAAAACTGGGTCAGTGGGGGTTTGTGGGTTCTCACTCCTCCCCTGTGTCCCTCTCTAGATAAGATACTCCGGGATCTAATGCCGATCGATTATGGTCGCCCCCGCCCTCTGGTTATGCACTCAAGCCTACGAGGTGTAGGGCTGGAGCCTAAGGAGGCTGTCCTGAGCCTCCCCGCCCGGCGGCCCTGCCTGAGGGCTCCTGTCCCACCCAACCCTCAGGTGCCCGCCCCGCCCCGCCGCAGGCGGAAAGAGCGGAAAAGCCATACCTCCCCCGTTCTGGAAGGCCAGGTAGGGAAACCTCCAGACATTGCCCAGCCCCACTGCGTACCCCACCATGGACAGGATGAAGTCCAGTTTGCTGGACCAGTTCCCTCGGGCCTTATTCTCATCCCCTTGCTCGTCCTCCTGGGGGCGGAAAAGCACATTGTCGATAACAGCCCCGAGTAGGTCCACAAGCAGGCCCCTTCCACCCTCCCCCCCGCTAGGGGTCCTTCCCAGCAAGCAGGCTCCCACTTCTCAACCGAGGATGCATCAGCAAGCAGGACCCCAAATCTAAAGAAAGGATGCATCTACAAGCAGGGACCTCACCCCTCAACCCTGCACTGAGAGTCAATCAGCAAGCAGGTCCTCAATTCTGATCTGAAGATCCATCTTAAACAGACCCAAAACCCCTCTTTCCCAGATCATACAGTCAGGGCGCACCAGCAAGCAGCTCTCCCCAAACCTTGAACCTGTAAGGTGATTGCAAGCAGGTCCCTCCATCCCCAACCCCTTACCAAGAATTTATTTGGCAAGCAGGCTCCCCCAACATCATGCCTGGAGTTCCCAGCAAGCAGGTTCCTAATTAACCCTCTCCCACAAAAAAAAACCTTCACCACACCTCCTCCTCAGCCATTTCTTCCTTTAGAGTGTGTGCCAAGACCAGAAAGAGAGCTGCAATGCCGAAGCCAGCCAGAGCCCCTGCCTTACTTTCTTGACCAAACCAGAACCTGCCTGGTCAACTAATTTAAGAAGGCATCCTTCAAGACTAATGCAAGGGAGATGGGCAGGAGGGATATTTGAAGGTGAAACAAGACGGAAAACAAACAAACAAAAAAGGTTGATATGGGAAGAGACAAGCCATCTACGACCTTGAGTTCTGGTCTAAATTTTGCTACTAACCAGCTGGATAACCCCAGGCAAGCCACTTGCTCTCTCTGAACCTCCGTGTCTCATCTGTAAAAGAGGCTTAGAATGACTGTCCCCTGAAGCCCTTGCCAGCTCCAGCAGTCTATGAATCTTTGAAGCTCATTTCTTCAAGCTCACACGAAGATGCTTTCTTGGGGCAGTGCCTGGTCCTGGAATGCCTCACTAGTAAGCAGGAAAAATGGGGGGAGACCACCCCAAATAAACTCTGAAAATGTTCAGGACACCTAGACACTGCACAAAGCTTTCCAGGCACTCAGGCCAACACACAGTTTCCACCTTCTCAGTCACCCTTCACCTCCTATTGTAGTAACTTGCTAGGTCTCATACTTTTCTACAGGGTGTGCAGGACACAGCAGCAGCTGTCAGGAGAAGTCTTAGGGAGAGAGAAAGGGCCAGGGTGAGTGTCAGAAAGGCACAATCAGAAAGATGGACAGGGCTGAAAATAAGTACTTCCAGAAACCAAACATCTTTAACATCCTCCCTCTAATCCTCCCACACACAGACCACCTCCATTCCTAATCCCACCCTTCAATCCTTCCAGGGCTGCAAAGGGTGGGAGTTCCAGCTCCTTCTGCCGCAGTGCGGAGGTTAAGCAAGACAAGTGAAACAAATATTCTGCTCCACCTGGGGTCACACTGTGGGATACATGCTGTCAGAGGCAGATAATATACATAGAAAAACACTCCGGATGTGGACCCCGAAAGGAAAGGCAAGTGGGAGATTCTATGTTTATTTCTAGTTCTGACACCACAAGCTCCTGCTATGTGGGCCTGTGGATAAGTGTGAATGTGTATGTGTGTGTGTGTGTGTGCAAACACTAAAGTGACTAAGGATAGAAGGGTTGTATAAATCCTAAACCTCACACAGGCACAAATTTTGGTCCAGGCCCCACTGCTGGATATATGCATAGCCCCTGAGGCCAGGAAAGGAGAGGAAATAGCAGAAAGGCAGGCAGTGAGAAGGGAAGAGCTGAAGTTGATGAAAAAGGACAGAAGAAAGAAGAGATCAGAGAAGGAAGGAGAGAGACGAGAGGGAAATTGAAGAGAACAAAAGCCTATATGAGAGAGTGGGCCACCAGCAAAAGCTGCCTTTATTCATAACCCAAGGATTGGGATTTGCTCTGTGGGTTTTTCACGCCTCTAATTAAGTAGTAAAGGATCAAATGCAAGAGGGGATTAAGATTGGTGGGGCTTGAAGCTTATACAATTGAGGGAGGTTACTTTAGGGAAAAAAATAGAAAATTATGGCAAAAGTAGACACCAGGTTTTGGAAGGACCCAGGCAAAGGACAGGCCCCAAAACTAAAGCTTCAGTAGCCTCAGGTAAACCCACCTCGCATCAAATGAGTTCTCATGTAATAAAGGTAACTGGCAGTGTAAAGGCTACAAAACTTAAACTATTATCCTCCTACCCCTCCATCCCCAGCCACCACCACGTGGCTTTGTTCTGAATTTTAACCCTCTTTTTGTTTAATTAAGAAATTATTTTTGAAAAGAAAAGACAGTCATTGGCAGGAGAGGGAGTCTGTCTGCATAAAAGGGTGGAATCTATCTTCCTCAACTCTTTCGTGGATCTGGACCTGTATTCCCGCTACCGCCAAGGCTGGGAAGGGGCAGGTCGTGGCCCCTCTGGCAGGGTCACTGCAGCCCTCGCGCCCTGAACTGCCGACCCCAGCGCAGTGCGAGCTTCCGAAGCCCCAAAGCCGCCTCCCGCATCCATCACCTGGCACTGCCAACCGGTTTCCCCATCAGCATACGTGCACCCGCCACGGCCCGGCTGGCCTCTCTCGCGCAGCTGGAGAGCAGGACACTGTGCGGGCCGTAATGCAACCTGCTTACCTGGGTGGCAACGGTGGCCACGCTGCCCGGGAGCACGGACGTGATTCCATCCGTGGCCAGCACCACGGTGCTCTGGCTCATGTTCACCCAGCCCACAACAGGGGTATTGTTCCGCTCCAGGGTGCCCTTGCCCACACTCACGTTCGCATCCCCCTCCGGGCCTCGCAGAAAAGGGATCTTACAGTGCAGCGCGTTGCCGGGCCCGGAGCTCCCGGGAGGGGGCGAGGCCTGCGCGCCTTGCGCCTCTCTCAAGTCCCGCAGAGCTGCAGAGGCCGCCTGCGCCCGCGGGCTACTGAGTTTGCAAGACCCCACTCCTGGCCGCTCAGCCTCGCAGGCTCGCGCGTCCGCTGACTGGAAAGTTTGGGCGCCGGTGGAAGCGGACCTGGGCACACGTGGCGGCGGCGGGGCGGCAGCCGCGGGAAGCTCCTGCTCCGGGCTCGTCCTGGGAGCGCATGGGCCATCCGGGTGGCCCTGCGCCGCCGCCGCCTCCGGGCTGTTGGCTGGCAGTTTATTCATTTCCTTGGGAGCACTGCAATCCTGCAAACACAATGTCAAGTTCGTGCAAAACAAAGTCACAACAGCTTTTAAAATACCTGTATCTAGATATGGAGACGTTCGCAACTCAGGTCCAGACACAATATCTGGGGAAGCAAATTGGAATCTGAACTTTTTTTAAAAGAAAGGCTGCAATCAGTATTTCTCAATTTGCCCGTTTCATCAATAACCAGATGACAAAAAGAAGCTAATATTCCCTCCCTAGTGGAGGATGAACTAAGAAAAGAGGTAGAAATGTAATTTTGTAAGGGTAAAGGGGGAATGGAAATAGCCCTGGAGTCATGAGCTCCCCTCCCTCTTTGGATTCCACATCACAGCTGTGGGTGCCCGCATCCCCATCACCACTGTAGAAAGATTCTTTAATTTTCCGCCCCATTTCCTTTGTCATTCAACAATGCACACTGCCTTTTTCCCCCATAGACAAGCTGTGGCCACAAAGCTGATGCCCTGGCACCTGCGAGCGCTTGAGGCCAAATTGGTTGAGTCCCAGCGCTCCACAACCCACCTCCTCCCGCCAGGTAGCAAAGACAAGGTTAAGAATCACGATCAAAATAACCACAAAAAAACCTACAACGATAATAAACTAAATTTAAGACACAGAGTAGTAACTAGATTTGTTATCTTACACAACTCGTATTCACTTCCAGATTCCCAGACATGGAAAAGAATATGCAAAGCTTTTTGTTCTTTTGTTTAGGTCTTCTTCTTCTTCTTCTTCTTCTTCTTCTTCTTCTTCTTCTTCTTCTTCTTCTTCTTCTTCTTCTTCTTCTTCTTCCTCTTCTTCTTTTTTGCGTAACTATTCACAGGAGTCTAATATCCTTCACAACTCTAAGCTTGCTTGAGTACCAAAACTCATGACTAATTTTTATTCGCTTTTTCCCAATTCACTTTCAAATGAAAAGAACTGCCAGCGGTGGTTTTTCTATCCACTTTCTCCCCTCGTGTTATCTTTCACGGCTTCCTAAACATTAGCACCAATAATTATTATTACACTGTAAGAATAATCCTATTATCTTCGCCTCCACCGCACTCCTCTCGTCTAACCCCCTTTCACAAACACGCAGAATAGAACTCCTCGATTTGCACAAATCTAGGTACCTCGGCTTCAGCCAGCATTTGTCTCAGTAGCCTCTAGGACCCAGAGCAACTCGCCTCTGTACCGGCATCTGGCTTTTCAGCACCGAGGACAGTGCCCGGGATCGGGTCTTTAGGAGCCACAGCCAACCTCTCAGCTCTACAGCCTAGGAAACCTCTTTGCGACCTCAGGTGACGCTCACAAGTACAAATACCTAGGGCTGCGAGAATTGTTCTCCTCGTCGCCCCCTTTCCCCCCACCCAATGCACAGACATCTCCAAAAGAAATAGCCAAAACGAATCTGCTTTCCCTGTCCCCTCAGCCCCCTTTCCTCTTGAAAGAACAAAAGCAAACACTCACCATGTCTGACACAGGCAACAGACTGAACTGGTGGAGGGTGAAACCCGCTATTGACAAGACTGGGTTTGGCTCAGGCAGGAGAGGCGCTTTCTATATCTCCTTGGGAAAGGCCGGGTTTGCGTCAGTGCAAAGCAAGGTGCCCTTGGTTTGACATTTTCTTGATAATACAAGTTTGATAAATCATTACCCCCTTGGATTCAAGTTTTAAAGGGACAACAGCCTAGAGTATGCTGGCCAGTTGTCACTCCAGCGGGAGGGGGCTGCGTGTTTGGCGTGACTCATGTGGTCTGATTACTAAACCGAAACCGGCAGGAGGGGAAGACAGAAGTTTGCCTCCTCCTAATTAAGGGAAACATGGGAGGGACACGTCCCACTGCACCCAAGGCAAGGCGCAGCCGCCAACAGAGTGGATCGGGCTGTAGAGGAGGAAGGAGGGGGTTAAATCACTGTCTATTCTTTCCCTTTCACTAGATTCCATTGCTGTCCCCCCTTATCTTCAGGGATTCCGAAAATATTACTCCGAAAGAGGTTGAGGGTCTGCGCATAGCCCCACAGCTCTGCGATGACTGAAGCAGGCATGGGTCCTGCATTTATCAAGGTGTACCTACCTAGCATGTATGTGGACTTCAGATTCTCACATCCCTACCCTTCCAGACAGTCAGTCTTGGAGGAATCCTGGGGTTTTTGCTTAAAAATTGTGATCTGGTATTTCCGTTCCTATTTCTGTTATCACAATCAAGAGAAAATTCTGAGTATAACTGACCTTTTTCATTGTATTTTTAAGCTTTTCTGAAGACGTTTTAGAGAAAGAAAAACGAAGTTTTTCCAACACAGACCTAGTTCTTAGGTCACTTTCAAAGTCAAGGGAAACCCATTCTTTCTTTACAGTCCTTTCAATAAAATCCTACAAGAGCCAGGCCTGATTTGGCAGCGCGGGACCTTAGAGACCGTCCAAATCGGGATGCCCAGCAATGCGGGGGAGGGGGAATGAGAGCTGGCAATCTGCAAAGCCATGCCAGGATGTTCAACCGTACTGTGGCGGGGATGGGAGTGGGGGTGGCCATGGCGATAAAAAGATGGACTTTCTTGTTGTGTGTACAATGCAATAGCTATAATCAGAAGAGGAAAAAACGCCTTTACAAAGAAGGTGTAGTTTGGAGACTAGAAGGGGATTATCAGCAAAATGCTTCCCTTCTCTCCTTCCTTGCCGGTCTAGCTCGGGGAACCCCTGGCCTCGGGGATGAGGAGCCACAGACAGCACGTTTTCCCTTCCCTACTGCCAACAGCCCAGCCCACTGCCTCGGGGTGCGCGCCGTCGCCAGCGGCTGGGCCGTCCCACGCGGCGGGAGGACAATGCCGCGGCGGCCGCGGCCGCAGGCGTAGGCTGCAGTGGCAGATTGCGGCGGGCGCCGGGGGCACTAAGGGGCACCCTCCTGCTCCTCTGGAGAGCCCGAGAGTGTTTGGATGCCTCCGCTGGTTGGCTTTCCCGCCTAGCCCCTCTAAAGGGCAGCTGGCTGGGGACACACGGTCTGCATTGCCTTTGGTGGGGGCAGGAGGAGGAGATCTTTCTTTTGAGACGCCTTGAGGATTTCAGGTCGCTTTTTATTGCAGTTTTGAGCTAACGTCTATTGAGATCTCAATACTCAACCATTGTGCAAGGGATATCCATGAATTATCTCGGTTAGATTTAGCAATGGCCTTTCAGAAACTATACCAATTGCAAAGCTGAGGAAATTGGGGCTCAGAAAGTCGCTTTTGAACCCTGGAGAAGATCCCAACCACCTCCCGCCGGGCTGTCGCTAGGGTCAGTCGCTCTCTCCCCGGGGCCCGCTCGTAGGGAGAGGTCGGGAACGAGGGTTAAGAGGGTAGGGTGGGCTGTGGTGGACTCTGGCTGGAGGAGGGTCGTCTGAGTGGGTGGGACTGAGAATTCCGCAGGGGTGCCTGCTCAAGTTCCGGCTGGCGCTGAGAAGCACCCCGCAGGCTCTTGGCATCTTGGGGGACGCCAAGGGGACCTACGAGTGTTTCTGCCTAAACAGTCCCCAGTTTCCGAGAGGGCTCAAGACGAATGCGAGAACTGTAGAAGGCAGGCCTGGCAGGCAGGCTCGGGCTCAGAGAGCGATCGGCCGGAGCGGTACCACGAGGCGGGCCCAAAGATCGGTGTAGGCCTCCCTCTGCGGTTCCCCGGCCGACTTCCCCGAGGGACAGTCACGACTTTGGAAGGTTCTGGCCAGTTTCCCAATTTGCATTTGAGCAGCCCCCGCAAAGGGCCAGGTGCGAATGGAGAGTCTACGCGGCGCCCGGACGTTCCAGGGCGCACAGACTTGGCTGCCCCGGGAGGAAGGGAGAACTGCGCAGAGTGGGCAGAATCCTGCCGGCCTTCTCACTTCCCCCAGCTGCGGCCCTGGGCCTGAGTGACGCCCAGCGCCCCCGCTCAGCCCCCAGGCCTGATATTTCGCCCGCTGGCCCTCCCCGGCCCAGTGAGCACTTGGGTTCCGGCGTGGAGACTGCCGCGCGTCAGGCTCTGCAGAGGCGGGTGACGCGCAGGAACGGCTGCGGGGTTTGGCTGAGGCGCTATTCGGGCTCCCCGCCTGCCCCCACTTTCAGCCGCAAGATTCTAGAAGGGAGGGGCTACGTGGAGAATGGAGGGAGGGTCTGGAACGGAGAGGCCTAAGAGGGTTCGCTATGAGGCCAACGCTGGGACGGAGGGGCGGGCATCAGCAGGGCTTGAAGGTTGGGCTTCAGGGGCGGGAGAGAGCATGCGGAGGCAGGAAGCCAGGCCCTGGGGCAGCAGGTCGTGCGTATGGGTGTGTGTCAGCGCCTACGAAGCGCAGAGGATGGAACCGCAGTATTAAAAAACAAAAACAAAAAAAAAGAAGAAGAAGAAGAAGAAGACCAGCCGCACGTCCTCTAGACGCGGGCCTCCGCCCCCGCCCTCCGCGGACGCCTGTTTATAGTGATAATCAGGCCCAGCGCGCCGCAGCCAAGGAGGCCGTAAATCCGCATCCATCACCGCGCAGCCATTCGGTCTGAATTAGCCAGTCACTACGGCCTTAATTACTTTGTCAAAGATGAAAAATAGTAATTGATTTTGTCCTCGATCACTTTGTTCCCTCCTCTCCTGCCTTGCAGATAAGCAAATAAATATTTTTGAAAACTCGTGTCCACTCGGTTGTATGGGGGTAGCCTTCTGAAAAACAGGCCATCCGGTGACAGTCCTGACGCCAGTGTTACTGCCAAGACACGAAACGCCAGCTGCAACCCAGACAGGAGAGGGCCCAGAGGGCGGCCTACCGCATTCAAGTCGCTGCCCTCCTTTGCACTAAGGAAGGAGAGAGGAGGGAAAGATACCGGTGTTTTACAAGCTATTGCTCTGGCGTTAGCGGGGCACTGTGGCACCAGCCTCCTCTGGTCCTCAGGGCAGCATGCAAGAAAGAGCTGCCAGTGCGACTGACAGGCGAAGGAACGTGTCCAGGGTCAGAGGGCAGAGCCTAGCTTTGAGTCCCTGTCTGTGTTGGCTCCTCTCCATCCACCACATGAGGGATAGAGTATGAGCGCCTATGTCTATGTTTATGTGATTTTAACATGGGAGTCGTTAACACCTACAACTTCCATAGATGATGGATGTGAGGGCTCAGTGTGGGTTTCAGGTGACATGGCCGATAGTCAAGAAGCCATGCCGTATTTTTGTCCCACTTGTCTACTACTGCCCAGCTCCATTGCAGTGTTGTTCTGTGCTAAGAATGTGGGCTCTGCAGACACACTGCACCACTTCCTAGCTCTGTGACCTTGGGGGAAATTCCCCATCAGTAAAATGAGCATAATAAAAATTAACCTACCTCGGCCGGCGCAGTGGCTCACGCCTGTAATCCTAGCACTTTGGGAGGCCAAGACAGGCGGATCATGAGATCAGGAGATCGAGACCATCCTGGCTAACATGGTGAAACCCCGTCTCTACTAAAAATACAAAAAATTAGCTGAATATGGTGGCACGCACCTGTAGTCCCAGCTACTTAGGAGGCTGAGGCAGGAGAACAGCTTGAACCTGGGAGGCGGAGGTTGCAGTGAGCCAAGATGGCGCCATTGCACTCCAGCCTGGGAGACAGCGAGACTCCGTCTCAAAAAAAAAAAAATTAACCTAACCTCAAGGGTGGCCTGAGGATTAAACGAAAGAACGCATGCGAAGTGCCTAGATTGAGATTGGCTACCCGGCATACTTTCAATAAGCTATTGTTAACAATATTATTCAGTCTAAAGGAAACATATGTTTGAAGCCTCTCAAAATTAGCAAATAAGACAAATCCCTCTCCCTGGGTCGGAAGGTTTAATATGGGTAGACTTATGCAGAATAGAAAACCTTACAAAATACGTAATGATTGTGCAACATTTTCCCTCCTCATCCAGTGTTTGGTCGCCCAATAATCAAGTATTTACCTTTACTAAATGAAAATTAGGAGCATCCAGGAAAAGTGCTCAAATACAGAAGCTGCTATGAGTTTTTCCTGAGGCACTTTTTGTTTATATGAAGGTAAATTTCAGTATAAAGAAAGGACAGAAGCTTGGAGCTTCATAATCAGCCTCACTGTTCAGTTCTCATCTGAACCCAGGGGTGTCAGGGAAACACAAGTTAATCAAAGCAAGCATCCCTCATCATAGCATTTCAGAAGAGCTCATACTTGGAAATCAATGGTTCAGCTAAATAATCAGTCTGTGCAAAATGCAGGTCCAAAATTCCATGACTCAGACAGGCAGAACGCTTGTTCCTGAGTCAGCAGTAATGATGATTCTCACTTCACTGCAGCAAAACACAGGGCAGTGGGTGCTAGCGCAGAAGCAGAGAAGTATATGACAAGATGAAAAGGAGTTCAAGGTCATCTATAGTTCCACATGCCTGCCTTATCAGTGAGAAAGCAGAGTTCCAGGTCCAGGGAGGAAAAGTGAGTACTCAAGGTCATTTGACAAATTAGAAACAAATTCTAGTGGCATCTCTTTAAAAAAGAAAGAAAGAAAAAAGAACTATATTATCCTTTGACCCAGCAATCTCACTCTTAGAAATCTATCCCAGAGAAATAAAAAACCATAGTGCAAGAGTGTTTATTATAGCATAGTTGATAAAGTGAAAGCCTGCGGAAAAAAGAAATAGCCACATTAGATCATTAGAGTATCTGCAGCGTGGAATGATTTGTAGCTGTTAAAAAGATTGAATTAGAACCATTCAGAGATTGGAGAGATTTTCATGATGTATTGAGAAAAGCCAGATACATTAAAGTATGTATAATACAATCTTATTTTTATAAAATAAATAGTAACTAAAATGCCATGTCTGTCTGTCTCTCCCTCTCTCTTCTGTCTGTGTGTGTGTGTGTGCGCGCGTGTGTGTGTATGTGTTCTAGTAAAATGTGACGCACACACATAAGTTAGTAGGTAAGATTACTGGTAGACAATGTGGGCATTGATGTGAGCTCAGGAGACGAGGGAAGAGCCAAGCAGAAAAAGTGGACGGAGGGTGACAAAGATTGTACTTAAACAAAAATAGTTCTACTAGTCATACTTATAAATTTATGTAAAATATGTATAAAAAATTTAAAGGAAAGAATTCAGCACTAGAATCTATTGCTTTAATTAATGAGAATATTCACCGAGGCTTTCATTAGGAAGTATTACCCCTACGCCTATTTTATTGTCTTTCTCTGAAGAGTAGAGCTCAGAAAAATGAATTCGGTTAATTAAGGATCCCAGCTACCAATATGTGGCTAATCCTCCTTCCTCAGGTCATCATGTTTCTATCTCTTAGCTCTGCTGGGGTGGAACCAGGGCATAATTAAGACCTTCAGAGGACACAGTCTTGGAAAATATGATGCTGCTCTGCTACCCCCACCCTTATCCTTATAATGTACACTAAACTATAAAGTAATTTACATTAAAATTACACCAAATTGAAAATTCCTGATTTCTAATTCTTCCATAATGATAACATTAATGTCTTTCCAGTAAGCATTCACCCCTTTCCTCTGCTGCCTTTCCTCTGCTATCCTTTTGGTAGTCGTGCTTTGCTTGTTGCATATTTTTGGTGAAACTACTCAGTAATCTCCTTCCAGGTATGAGTCTTCTGTGTTTATCCATCTGCTGAAAGTTCCCGAACCCCAAAATGGGAGATACTAGCCTTGTAAGAGGTCAGATCTTGTAAGGTCTCAAATATATTTATTATGGGAAATAGGAGACTTCTAATACAAGAGAATTGATAATGTGTCTGCAATGTTGGTGAATAAGATTCTCTTTTTTTCTCTTTCTTAAATGTTTCCCTGGTCTTCTTTTTTTGTCCTAGTTGGTGGGGCAATGGGGGGTGGGGAATTAAGTTCAATGTCAGGAAAACCTAGCAGGAATTCCCACAAGTAGAATGAAACAGATGTTGGAAATCTTCACTGTACAGGCAGTTTATGTAGTTAACCAAGGCTATTGGGTGGAACATGAAGAAGGTTCAGAAAGGTACAATGGTAAGGATGCTAATCCATGAAGCAGAACTTGGAAAATTCAAGAGAATTTATACCTGTACAGAACTGCTAGACAGCATTAACAAGCTTTAGGACCTTGTGATTTTGTCACTGGGTAGCACCCTTGTAAATTGGGTCTAGGGGACTATGGACATTGGCACCCCATTTGCAACTGTTGGTTCTAGCAATCTGTGGCATCCAGATTTCTAAGACCATTTCAAACAACGGCCTGGAGGAGGCCACCTATGCCTACCATTTTTGGCAGACAATCCAGAGTTAATCATTATGGTAGTTGTCCCTTGGAATTTCACCATTAGAGCTTGGAAATGATCTACAAATCTTTTAGAATAATCTCTTAGAATCTACATTCTATTTCAGGGTGTTTCTATTTCAGTTTAAACATCTTTCTGGGTGGAGGGTAACATTATATCGTGAAAATAGGGCTTTAGTAGTACACATTAGTCAAGAGTTTGAACCAAGTTCAGCCATTTGTTAACTATGTGTTCTTGGGAAGCTAATAGCCAACGTGTGGCTAACTAACATTTACTTATCTGCAGAGCCTCACTTTCCTTTTCAATAAAATGGAGTTCCTTTGATTGATTAAATAAGATGAAGTGTATAAAAGCTTCTAGCATGGTGCCTGGCAAGAGCTCCTTCTACTTTGAGATACCAGAGTTGAAAGTTACTATCTGAAGTCTGACACTATGCCCTTAGAGATGTACCCAGATGACTCCTTTCTACACATCTTAATATTCCTGGATTTGTTCACCAAATCTTTATGTATTTTGCCCATCTTTCTTCTTTGGTTTTTAAAATAATGGGCCATTCTAAGGACTTTATTCTGCCCATCTTTTTTTTTTTTTTTTTTTTGAGACGGGGTCTCGCTCTGTCCCCCAGGCTGGAGTGCAGTGGCGCTATCTCAGCTCACTGCAAGCTCCGCCTCCCTGGTTCACGCCATTCTCCTGCCTCAGCCTCCCGAGTAGCTGGGACTACAGGCTCCCGCCATCACGCCCAGCTAATTTTTTGTATTTTTAGTAGAGACGGGGTTTCACTGTGTTAACCAGGATGGTCTCGATCTGCTGACCTGGTGATCCGCCCGTCTCAGCCTCCCAAAATGCTGGGATTACAGGCATGAGCCACCGCGCCCGGCCTCTGCCCATCTTTCTTGATGGGAAATGAGCTTTGCCTGTTTTTTTTTTCTTTTCTTCAAATGGGTTCTTTTTTCTATCTCTTTACACTGCACCTCCCTTAAAATGCCAAGCCCATCATAACGCTATGCCTTTGCCACTGCAGTGTCCTCTGCCTGCAATGCTCTTCCTTCTAGAATGAATTTCTACCTATACGTAAGACTTTGCCCAACATGTATCTCCTCTTGGAGGTTTTTTATGAAAAAAGTTAATATCTCCATTCTCTGTGCTTCCCTAGCACTAGTGCATTGTAATTATTTATTTCCATGTGCATCTTTTCAACTACAACAGCTAATAGCCAAGTGTGGCTACTGTTATTTTAATTAATTAAAATAAAATTAAATGCAAAATTGTATTATTCACTCACACTAACTATATTCTTAGTGCCCAACAGCTACTTACATTAGACAGTACAAAGAACATTTCTGTTAATTGCAGAAAATTCTACTGGACAATACTGTTCTAAATTGTGAATGCTTCAAAGGCAGAAATGTATGAATTTTTTAAGCCTCTTTCCAACTTGTACTGATATGCAGTAGTATTTTTGAATAAACGATTTAAAAAGTCACAGAATAGCCTCTTAGTTTCTTACATGCCATCTTACTATCTTTGCTAAACCATATTTTTGTATTTTATTAGTTTTCATTTGTATTATATTTCTGATTATAAAAATAATATGGGCTTAATATGAAAAGGTTGGAAAAACTCCCCCCAAGAAAACATAAAAATACACATTCCTATCTAGCCTAAAATGTATCTTATTAATGTTTTGGTGTAGAGCTTCCTAGTCTTTCATATGTATAGAGACGTAGTTTTTGTTTTTACAAAATCGAGATCATGCTATTCATATTGTTTTATAATCTTTTTTCACTTATATTATTGATATAGTTCCATTTCATTGCCATAAAATTTACATCATCATTTTTAATTACTGCATAGATTTTCATAGCATGAATATACTACAATTTAAGTAGTAAACAATTACTATGCATTTGAACTGTTTCTAATTTTTATTTTATTTTATTTTGAGACAGGGTCTTGCTCTGTTGCCCAGGCAGGTGTGCAGTGGCACAATCATGGCTCACTGCAGCCTCTAATTCCTGGGCTTAAGTAATCCTCCTTCTTTGACCTCCCAAAGTGCTGGGATTACAGGCATGAGCCAATATACCCAGCCATTTCTAATTTTTAAGATAAATAGTACTATATTATATATATTTCTGTCTATATACATCTTTGCTCATGTCTCTAATTTTGATTCGTAGTGTCGGTTCCTAACTATGGGATTACTTCCTAAAGGAATTGCACATTTTTCAGAATTGGATTCATCTTATCTGGACCAGTTTTTCTGATGACTGCCTTCAAAATGGAGACATGGAGCTGTGTATGAAGATGTAACCAAGCTCTGAGCAGAGAGTGACAGTGCTCTGTGCTTTGTTTTCATTCATTTTCCTAACGATGCTCAGCAATCTGTGAATACTTCTGGCTATAAAAAAGCCATGGGAACAAAGACCATACTATGTTTCCATAAAGAATAAATCAGTTTTCTCTTTAACATAAAGGAATTTTTTATGGAAATAATATTATTTGGTAAATACAAGTATTTGTAATTGTCAGTATGCACAATATGCAAATTTTACAACTATTAGGACTCAAGCAAATAAGCTCATCTGTTTACACAGGATTTAATTAAACAATTGCAAGAAATAATACAAACATTGTTAAAATGTGGAGGATTTGTGAATGCTTCTTCTGCAGTGGAAATGCCTGATTCAGGGCTCTCTCTGGTTTCTGCAGATTATGTGGATGATGACATGTTTTTCCAAGTCATTAACCTGGGCACAGCTTTGGGGCCAAATGAGAAGCTACATCCAAACCATTTAAGAGTCTGGGTGATTGGTGGGACTGACAAAGGAAAGACCCTCTGTCATTGCCCACGGTGAGAGCATTTGGGGAGTGTGATTGTCTGTGACGATGCACGGTTCAATGATTCCATTGTTTCACGAAGGCCTGGTTTCACTGATACCAAGGGAAAAAGGTGGGCTGCGCCCACACGGGCAATTAAGGTGATGTTGTCAAAGGCATTTAGAGTGATTTTTTTCCCTTAGAACTCTATTCTGTCACTTTTTGGCATTACAAGGTCTTTTGTATTACATTATGGAAAAAAATAAGCAAAAAGAAGAAAATAAATCACTTCATCAGGACTCTTTTTCAATTGCAAGGGATAGAAACCCAACTCAAAACTAGCTGACGCTTAGGTGTCAAGTAATGGACTGGTCAAGGTAAAAACGGAGCTCCCTTCAGGTAGGCTGGATCCAGGCTGCCCACAGCAACAGGATCCTCTCTTGGAGTCTCGGCCTCTGTGGGTCCATTTGTTGCATGTTTTCAGACTCTTGTGTTGTAGGTGTCTTGTGACTCAAAGATCTGGGTTCCCATGCTCATAGATTGTAATCCAAGGGGAAATAGTATATCTCTACTTCAGGTTGGGAGGTTTGGGGAAAGGAGGCTGAGATGGGGGCTTTGATGCAGGTAGATTATTTGGGAGTCCCAATGAGGTAGTTAGGGAAACAAGAAGAGTCAATACAGAGCGCATTAATGAGTAGGTTACCTCTGTGGACAATTGGATTCAGGCTCACCGGGGTCCCTCTAGGGTACCACGTGGGACACATGTCAAAGTTTTCCCTCCAGGGGACAGGGAAGCTAGAAGGTGATTTGTCCACAGACTCCCACCCCTTATTGGCTGAGGATTGTTCCTGAGAGTATTAAATCCTCAGCACTTGTGGGCACTCTACAGTTGGGCTGAGCAAATTGCTACAGCACTGGAAAAAGGCGTCAGTAGAGAAACAGAGAGACGTGATGGCTTGAAGTGGGGAGCTGTCAGCATGCCACAAATTGTCCAATACGACTGCAGGTGGACTTGCAGATGGGCCAAAGCAATATGGGCTGGGACATCAAAAGCAGCTGCTATGATCACCTTTACTTTCTTCCCCACTCCTTAGGCCAATCGCTCAGTACTTTGATAAGACCAAAGTTGGCCACATGTCTGCCTCTCAAACGTGGTGGGCAGGCAGCATGCTGTGAATGGAAGCTTCATCAAAATCACACCTGGAGAAAAGGAGGCAGTTTTCCAAATAAAGAATGGGGTAGCAAATTAGTTCTCAGAATAAGTGCAGGAGGGATGATGGACAGACTAAATAATAATAATAGCAATAAACAAGATATTCACTTCCAAACTTTAATCCTATTTTAAGGTTAAAACCACTGAATGTTTTAGTAAACATCCTTCCGGATTATGTTTATTTATGCATTTTTTTCCTTATAAACTGGGATAATACTAGAATTCGTATGTTTCATACCTGCATTTTTTACTTAACCATATTTAGTAAATACTTCAATATGTAATGAACATTTTGCTGTACATGATTATAAATATCGTAAAAGTACAGTTGACCCTTGAACAACATGGCTTTGAATTATGCAAGCCCACTTATACATGGGTTTTCTTCAATACAAAATACAGTGTTGGCCAGGCGCGGTAGCTCACGCCTGTAATCCCAGCACTTTGAGAGGCCGAGGCAGGTGGATCATGAGGTCAGGAGTTCAAGACCAGCCTGGCCAAGATGGTGAAATCCCATCTCTACTAAAAATACAAAAATTAGCTGGGTGTGATGGCGGGTGCCTGTAATCCCAGCTATTCGGGAAGCTGAGGTACAGAATTGCTTGAACCCGGGAGGTGGAGGTTGCAGTGAGCCGAGATCGCGCCACTGCACTCCAGCCTGGGCGACAGAGCGAGACTCCGTCTCAAAAAACAAAACAAACAAACAAAAAACCAGTGTTACTTTTCAATAAAGTCACACTGAGTGTGCCTGTCTCCGGCCTCCCCTTCTGCCTCCTTTACCTCTTCAGTCTCTGCCACTCCTGAGACAGCCAGATCAACCCCTCTTCTTCCTCCTTCTCCTTAGCCTATTCAATGTGAAGACAACAAGGATGGCTTCACAATGATCCACTTCCATTTAATGAATAGGAAATCTAATTTTTCTTCCTTATGATGTTCTTAATAACATTCCCTTTACTCTAGCTTACTTTACTGTAAGAATACAGTATATAATACATACAACATATGAAAACGTGTTAATCAACTGTATATGTTATCAGTAAGGCTTCACATCAACTGTAGACTATTAGGAGTTAGGTTTTAGGAAGTTATACCTGGATTCTCAGGCAGGTCACAGTGGTTCAAGCCTATAATCCTAGCATGTTGGTTGACTGAGACAGGAGGATCACTTGAACCTAGGAATTCGAGATTAGCCTGGGCAGCATGGCAAAACCTGTCTCTACTAAAAAGACAGAAATTAGCCCGGCATGATGGCACGTTCCTGTAGTCCCAGCTACTGGGGAGGCTGAGGTGGGAGGATCACTTGAGCCCAGGAGGTCGAGGCTGCAGTGAGCCATGATCATGTCACTGCATTCCAGCCTGGGTGACAGAGAGCCTAAAAAAAAAAAAGAAAAAGAAAGAAAAAGAAAAAAGAAAGAAACAAAGAAAGTTAGTTATATTTGGATTTTTTACTCCACGGGGTTGGTGCCCATAATTCCCACGTCATTCAGGGGTCAACTGTATGTAAAATGCATCAGTCAATATACTTTAAATATTTTCTCCCTACCAATGACTTTTGATTAAAAGTGGACTGGGAGGATAAATAGATGAAATCCACAGCAGTGCCTCTGCCCAGAGAAGAATATTTTAGTGGTAGAACTTCAGGCATCAGAGGGAGCTGTTAAAAAAAAAAAAAAAAAAAAAAAGCACCAATTTCAAAATCATAGAGCTCAGGATTTGAATTCTTATTACTAGCTATGTGACATTGGTCAATTGATTTAATCTTACAAATTTCATATCTTATTTTACATATAGTAAATGCTAAATAAAATGGTAGCATTCATATTATTATCTAAAATGAGAACAATCACCCTTTCCTGGCAGTATTATTATGAGGCTTGAATGAGGTTATGCACGTTATGTGCCCAGGAGACAGGCTGAGACATAATAGGAGATTAATTAACAATAGCTTTCTCCTATGATCTCTTAAGCTTATTATTTATTCATTTATTTATTTTGAGATGGAGTTTCACTCTTGTTGCCCAGGCTGGAGTGCAATGGTGCAATCTTGGCTCACTGCAACCTCCGCCTCCTGGGTTCAAGCTATTCTCCTGCCTCAGCCTCCCGAGTAGCTGGGATTACAGGCATGCACCACCATGCCTGGCTAATTTTGTATTTTTAGTAGAGATAAGGTTTCTCCATGTTGGTCAAGCTGGTCTTAAACTCCTGACCTCAGGTGATCTGTCCACCTCGGCCTCCCAAAGTGCTGGGATTACAGGCATGAGCCACCGTGCCCGGCCCTCTTAAGCTTATTTTAAGGAAGACTTTATGTCAGGCATAGCAGCTAGGCACCACAGCAATGAAAAGAGTGCCTTATGCCCAAAGAACCTCCTGAACACAAAGATTTGTACTATGCCACTATCACCAATTCAAAATTCATATAGTATCATAACTAGGGTTTGGTTTGGTTTTGTTTTGCTTTGTTTTGACAGAGACTTACTCTGTCGCCCAGGCTGGAGTGCAGTGGCACAATCTCAGCTCACTGCAGCCTCAACCTCCTAGGCTCAGGCAATCCTCCCACCTCAGCCTCTTGAGTAGCTGGGACTGCAGATGTATGTCACCACACCTGGGTAATTTTTGTATTTTTTGTAGAGATGGGGTTTCACCATGTTCCCCAGGCTAGTCTGGAACTCCTGGGCTCAAGTGATCCACCTGCCTTGGCCTCCCAAAGTGCTGGGATTACAGGCGTGAGCCGCTGCCCCCAGTCTAACCAAGCTGTTTTTTGTTTGTTCGTTGTGTTGTTGTTGTTTTTTAAATGCAACCTACTCCTAGAATAACTAATTACGTGTTTTCATCCTGGTATAAACTTTATCACATTGCTTTCCTCATTACAGCTAGCTGACATTTGCAGTATCCATAAACAAAACCTTAGTGAAGAGAGAAGTAAAGACAGTTTTGTACCATTTTGGTGGAGTGTTCAAACAGGAGAGAGATTTGGGCTGCCAGAAAAGAATATGATGTGCCTGAACTTCAGAGGGGTCAGAAGAGAGGTACTAGGAGGTGGGAAGATCCCTGAAAAAGGTACACTTTCTCTCCTGATTTTCAACTACTTTCAATCACCACTTTCCTAGAATTGCTAATATGAATGAATGAATTTGTTCCAATTGAACTGAGCTCCAATTTACAATCTTTTTCCCTGGCTCTGAATGGAAATAGCCCTAAATTAGGTTATCAGGTGACCTTGGATAAATTACTAGCTTCTCTGAGATTTCATTTCTACGGTTGTAAAATGGAGATAATAAATCTTGCTATGCCTAACTCTCAAAGCTGAGGTGAAGATGAAATAAAATAATGGAATTCAGAGAGCTGGGTAAATTGTGAAATATCATGCAATCCTAAGAACTTGGATCTCAACTATTCGTAGACCTGAGGCCTACAGATCCGTTTTAAATCATTCAAATGTCCATGTATGTGCGTGTGTTGTGGGGGATGGGAAGGTGCATGTTTCTTGAAATGAAGAATTATCAAAAACGTTACTTCCCTGGCCGGGCGAGGTGGCTCACACCTGTAATCCCAGCACTTTGGGAGGCTGAGGCAGGCATATCACGAGGTCAGGAGATCGAGACCATCCTGACCAACACAGTGAAACCCCATCTCTACTAAAAATACAAAAAAATTAGCCAGGTGTGGTGGTGGGTGCCTGTAGTCCCAGCTACTCGGGAGGCCGAGGCAGCAGAATGGCGTGAACCTGGGAGGTGGAGCTTGCAGTGAGCCAAGACTGTGCCATTGCACTCCAGCCTGGGTGACAGAGTGAGACTCTGTCTCAAAATAAAAAAAAAAATTAAAAAAAAAGTTACTTCCCTAAGGAGAGGATTACTGATAGGCCCAGAATGAGAAAAAATGCCAGTGAACTGGATGCAATAGTCTGTTAGCTGTATTCCCCACATTTTTTTCTCTTCCTCTTCCATAATAATTGAGTTTAGCTGGACACATGGCAATTCAGTTACAGATGACATATCTAAGCCTTCCTTACAGGTAGGCTAGCCCTTGTCACTAAGTTCTGAACAACAGGATGTGAGCAAACAGATATGTGCTCTCAGAGACTTGCTCTCAAAAAGCTTAAGCATGTGTCTCCCCCCCTTCCTGTTGGCTGGGGGAGGATGAAAGCTGAAGCTGTCACTATGGACCTACAAGTCAGAGCTACATGTTAAGAATGGCAGGCTGCCTACCAGCCCAGCCCCTCTTATCTCTTAACAATGACATAAAGACAAATAAACTCTTATCTAGTTTAAGTGGCTGTCATTTGGGGTCTCTTTGTTATAGCAGCCTAGACTTACCCTGACTAACATGCCAGGCCTTCACACAACATCAACCTGAGCCTGCCCCAGGTGGAAGCAAGCAGCCATTTGTCAAACTGAGGTAATATCCATGCAACTGACGAGATCCCCTGCCACCCTAATTGACTGACCAGAAGACCAATAAGCCATTTTTCTCGAAAGCCACTTTCTATCACCCAGGCCTGCCAAGGTCACTTATGCGAGGCCAGCAGTATGTGTCTGAGATTAAGGGCAGAGCATGAGTCACCAGCACTACTCCATTACTCTGTGCTGCTGTTTAGTGGGGCTCCCAGAGGCAGAGCAGAGTATGTGCTCATCAATCATACCTTACTTATGATGAGGCTGGCTCTTTGTATGCCTGCTAGGATCCAGATACCACGTTTGGCATTTTAAATCCATAGCCTCAAGGTAGGGGGTATTTTTCATACCAAGAAATAGTCTCAGAAAGGTTGAGTGAGTTACCTGAGGCAACAGAGCCTAGATGCCAAGGCAGATTGGGATAATTCGACAGCTTGTGCTTCTCCCACTGTGGTGCTGCTTTCAAATAATCTGCCTCCTTCCAAGCATGGCTGAAGGCTGCTTAAGCAAAGCTGGCATTTGTTTATTGAGATGAGAACCTTAAAGGCCTGGAAGCTCCACCCCAAAACCATTCACTACCTGCTGCCCACACTCTGAGCTTTCATCGTTTAAGAGGGTTTTCAATCCTGTGGGCGAGTGTTCCTATGCATGTGTATTGGGTACTTTTGAGATATGAAGAAAACTGTGAAAACACACACAATGTTGGGAGTTGAATTGGGTCCCCTGAAAAAAGACATATTGGAGTCCTAACCCCCAGTACCTCAAAATGTGACATTATGGGGAGACAGGGTCTTTACTGAGGTAATTAAGTTAAAATGAGGACATTAAAGTAGGCTGTATTCCAATATGATTTGTGTCCTTATAAAAGGAGGAAATTTGGGCACAGAGACAGACACATTTAGAGAAACGATGATGTGAAAAGACACAGAGAAAACACGGCCATCTACAAGCCATGGAAAGAGGCCTAGAATGAATCTTTCCTTCCCAGCACTCAGAAGAACCCGGCCCTGCCAATACATTGATCTCAAACTTCCAGCCTCCAGAGCTGTGGGACAATAAATTTCCATTATTTAAGCTGCCTAGTCTATGATATCTTGTTACTTGCAAACTAATACACACCCTTCCCTACAAGCACACATATACGCATATTACTATATTTGAGTATACCTTAAAAATACATAAAATATATCAGAATTCACATATAAATTCAGGGAATTCATAGTTCACCCCAGAACACCCTTGGGCTCCTCTTGAAGGACGCTTGCAAATTTTTATTTCCTGAAAACATTCCAATGCCTATAATAATAATATTAACAAAAACATAAAACAATTACTGTTCTAAGCACCATCCTAAGGGCTTGTATTAACCCACTTAATTCTCCCGACAACCCCAGCTGCCATAAGAAACTCATACAGATTTTGGTTCCTGGAAATGGAGTGCTGCTGTAACAAATTAGCAATAAACTTGATGGCTTAAAACAACAGAAATTTATTCTCTCACAGTTCTGAATGCCGGAAGTCCAAACTCAGTATCACTGGGTTGAAATCAAGGTGTTCACAGAAATGTGCTCCCCACAGAGTCCCTAGGGGAGAAGCCCTTCCTTGCCTCTTTTAACTTCTGGTGACTGCCTGCATTTCTTGGCCTGGGGCTGCATCACTCCAGTCTCTGCTTTCATCCTCACATCACTTCTCTGTACGTGAAACATCTCTGCCGTGCTTTTTTTTTTTTTTTTTTGAGACAGAGTCTCACTCTGTCACTCAGGCTGGAGTGCAGTGGCATGATCTCAGCTCACTGCAGCCTCTGCCTCCCAGGTTCAAACGATTCTGCTGCCTCAGCCTCCCAAGCAGCTGGGATTACAGGTGCCTGCCACTGCGCCCAACTAATTTTTGTATTTTTAGTAGAGACAAGGTTTTGCCATGCTGACCAAGCTGGTCTCGAACTCCTGCCTTGGCCTCTCAAAGTGCTGGGATTGCAGACATGAGCCGCCATGCCCAACCTTCTGCCATGTTCTCATAAGGACATATGTGATTGCATTCAGGGCCCACTTGGATAGTCCAGGTTAATCTCACCACCTCAAAATCATCTCATGGACATTGCCTCCTATTAATGTTGTCCATTATTTTTCAGTTTCCTCATCCATAAAATAGAGTGAAGTGAGGTTGAAGTGCATCAAGGATGGCAAGAATGTGGCCCATAGGACACCATTTCCTCTTCTGCAACTTCTTGCCAAAAGGAAGAAGGCTTTGCTTCATGTTTGTGTTCATAATGAAAGGTGAGGTCTTTGGGAAGGCCTCCAAGTTCATTAATTAAATTAACATGTGAAATACCTGGATGCTGAACTTGTACAAAAGCAGCTGTAGGTTAACTTGATAGTCTCACTACTCTGAGGCACTCACCGACTAGCGGACAAGACAAGCGGGCACTGAGGGGTGTGTTTTCATGGTGGGAGTTTATTTCATTGCAAGAACAGAAACTGGCCAGCTCTATCAGCCTCAGAGAGAGAGAGAGATCTTGCACCTTTCAGTATATCCATCAAATAACCCTCAACTGTGTCTCAGTTAGTGATTTGGGGCCTGGTCCCAGCTCTGAAACAATTACTGCAGCCAGGCATGGCATATACTAATTTGTGCTGGGAAGAGACATGGGGTCAGTTTCATCCAAACTGTTGGACAGAGAGGGAGGAGTGGTGGTTTCCAAAGGGAAAATTGGGGTGTTTTTACTAGAAGAAGAAAAATGGTGGCTGAGCACCCAGAAACTATAGATGTCAACAGAGCAAGAGTGGTTTCAATGGGAACCACTTGACAGCCTGTAGACAGGGCTCTCATGATTCTGCAGCAGCCTGTTTTCTAAGCATTGGAGTCTAAAAATGGGAGCCCTACCCACACTGTTCCATTTTACTCCAACCCCACAGGAGGATATAGATCTGGTTGATTCAGATTTCAGGTTATTTGTAGGGTCACTTTATCTAGGAGTGGAATTTGGTGGCCTAAATAAGCCAACAAATGCACGTTCGCTTTTAGGGCCTGGGCACCTGGAGTCATGAAGTCCCACTGAAGGGATTGAAGGTTAATATTTTGGGGCACTGGGGAAAAGACACAGCAGGCGAAGGAAACCTCCATATCTTAGGGGAAGAGACCCCCTGGCTCACTGGAGTTTTCTACTTGGTGGTTTGGTGCCAGAACACCAAAGTGAAGACAAAGCACTGCCTGACCCATTTGTGAGGACATCTGTGCCCAATGACCAGACCAGCACATTATCTCTTAGTAGCTTCTGTTACATGTGTTAATCTAGTCCTTCTTATAATTCTGGAGTTCACAGTAGCCCCTTCTCACAGCTATGCATTTACATTCTGATTTACTGGAAACATAGGTGGTGCCAGATCAAGGAAATGTGCTTTATGCTGGTTTAGGGAAACTGGCCTAGATCTTATGGCAATGATGTTCCATGGACTAGTTTCGAGCGACAGTTGTCTAAGGAACCTGGAGAGTTATATGGGCTGGAATCTCTAACATAGCCACTTGGAATGGGAGGATACATAGGTGAGTAGAAGAGGAAGAGAGGCAATTGACCCATTTGACTAGCTCTGCACCTTCAGGCAGGCCACTCTGTTTTGAGGTCCAGGACCCATTCCTCACACCACCCCGCCCCAATAACTAAAGCTGTGAGCTTTAGGGTCTGGAGGACAATGTAATTTAAGTTAGAAACCTTCAGCCCTTTGGCAAAGTCTGGGGAGATTTTTATTGGTTACATGGCATCCTTAGCACCATCGCAACATCTCAGAACAGGTCCCAAGAGGTATTCACAAAGATTTTGTAAATCACGAATTACAATCATGTCTTAGGTTCCCTCCCACCAATGTCATGCCCCTCCCAACTTAGCACATAACCACTTAGTTCCACATGATAGGAGTGAGGAGTGGACTGCAATGATCATTGTTTGTCCTGTGATGTTTATATGCTTATTTATTTATTTTTCAGTGACCAGACTGACCTCAAACTCTTGGGTTCAAGTGATCTTCCTACCTCAGCCTCCTGAATAGCTGGGACTACAGGTACATGCCACTGTGCCTGGCTGATTTTATATATCAACTTGACTGGGCTAAGGGTTGCCCAGATAGATGGTAAAATATCATTTCTGGTTATGTTTGTGAGGATGTTTTCAGAAAATATTAATATAGCGTTTGAATCAGTAAACTGAGTGAAGAAGATTTTCCTCACCAATGTAGGTGGGCATCACCCAATTTGTTGAGGGTCTAAATAGAAGGTCAGCCAGGCACAGTGGCTCATGCCTGTAATCCCAGCACTTTGGGAGACCAAGGCAGGCGGATCACCTGAGGCCAGGAGTTCAAGACCAGCCTGGCCAACATGGCGAAACCCCATCTCTACTAAAAATACAAAATTAGCCAGGCATGTTGGTGCATGCCTGTAATCCCAGCTACTCAGGAGGCTGGGGCAGGAGAATCACTTGAACCTGGGAGTCGAAGGTTGCGGTGAGCTGAGATCACAACATTGCACTCCAGCCTGGACAACAAGAGTGAAACTCCATCTCAAATAAATAAATAAATAAATAAATAAATAAATAAATAAATAGAAGGTCAAAAGAGAGGAGGAAGAGAGAATTCAACTTTTCTCTTGAGCTGGGCCATCCATCCTCTCCTGCCCTTAGACGTCACAGCTACTGGTTCTCAGGCCTTTAGACTTGAACTGAGACCTCCACCATCGGTTCCCCTGATTCTGAAGCCCTCAGGCTTAGACTAGAACTACACCACTGGCTTTTCTGGGCCTCCAACTTGCAGATGGCAGATTGTGGGGCTCCTCAGCCTCCATAATCACACAAGCTAATTCCTCATAATAAATCTCTTTCTGAATATCCGTATATATCCTATTGGTTCTATTTCTCTAGAGAACCCTGACCAATATATCTTGAGAGGTTTTATCTTGTCCTTAATGTTCCAAATAAGCTAAGACCTTGATGCCTCGGGCAAAACTTAAAATTTATTTAGATCTAGATTTTGTTTCCCCACACTCCACACAGTGAAACCAAAGTCCATACAGTTTGGTCTGGCACCAAACCACCAGATATTCTTCAGTCTTTTCCATCCTATATTATCAGTTACTAGGAATTACAATTAACTCTAGGACCTGAGGGCATATTTGTTTAATAAAAACTTTAGAACTCAATTATCATAAAAGGTTAGGAATGAAGGGAAACATTCGTATCGATGGCTGGTATTGGTGTTACCCTGCCTTGCAAAGCTCAGGCAAAGAGTGGTAGAAGGCTGGCATATTTAAATTCTGTAGTAGTTTCTTTCCAATTCTCTTTTGGTAATAGTCCACCTTTTGATCACGAGTATTATATTTCAGCAACATTCTTTCTTGACTACTGAATTTTCCTCCGAAAAATGAAGTTAAACTTCCAGGTGTCTCTTCAAACAAATAGGATACTCTAAAATCTGAACACAATTTTATGCACAAGGATACACCATCTATAATAACAAAATGTAGACTAAACTAGGGGAATCAAATAATTTAAGGTGTAGAGCCCTAGAATAAAGTATTATAAAGCCATTCATTTTTTTTTAATTATACTTTAAGTTCTAGGGTACATGTGCACAACATGCAGGTTTGTTACATAGGTATACATGTGCCATGTTGGTGTGCTGCACCCATTAACTCATGATTTACATTAGGTATATCTCCTAATCCTATCTCTAACCCCTCCCCCCTCCCCCTACCTCACAACTGGCCCCAGTGTGTGATGTTCCCCTTCCTGTGTCCAAGTGGTCTCATTGTTCAATTCCCACCTATGAGTGAGAACATGCGGTGTTTGGTTTTTTTGTCCCTGCGATAGTTTGCTGACGATGGTTTCCAGCTTCATCCATGTCCCTACAAAGGACATGAACTCATCATTTTTTATGGCTGCATAGTATTCCATGGTGTATATGTGCCACATTTTCTTAATCCAGTCTTCATTGATGGACATGTGGGTTGGTTCCAAGTCTTTGCTATTGTGAATAGTGCTGCAATAAACGTACATGTGCATGTGTCTTTATAGCAGCATGATTTATAATCCTTTGGGTATATACCCAGTAATGGGATGGCTGGGTCAAATCCTATTTCTAGTTCTAGATCCTTGAGGAATCGCCACACTGTCTTCCACAATGGTTGAACCAGTTTACAGTCCCACCAACAGTGTAAAAGTGTTCCTATTTCTCCACATCCTCTCCAGCACCTGTTGTTTCCTGACTTTTTGATTGCCATTCTAACTGGTGTGAGATGGTATCTCATTGTGGTTTTGATTTGCATTTCTCTGATGGCCAGTCATGATAAACATTTTTTCATGTGTCTGTTGGCTGCATAAATGTCTTCTTTTGAGAAGTGTCTGTTCATATCCTTTGCCCACTTTTTGATGGGGTTGTTTGTTTTTTTCTTGTAAATTTGTTTGAGTTCTTTGTAGATTCTGGATATTAGCCCTTTGTCAGATGAGTAGATTGCAACAATTTTCTCCCATTCTGTAGGTTGCCTGTTCACTCTGATGGTAGTTTCTTTTGCTGTGCAGAAGCTCTTTAGTTTAATTAGATCCCATTTGTCAATTTTGGCTTTTGTTGCCATTGCTTTTGGTGTTTTAGACGTGAAGTCCTTGCCCATGCCTATGTCCTGAATGGTATTGCCTAGGTTTTCTTCTAGGGTTTTTATGTTTTTAGGTCTAACATGTAAGTCTTTAATCCATCTTGAGTTAATTTTTGTATAAGGTGTAAGGAAGGGATCCAGTTTCAGCTTTCTACATATGGCTAGCCAGTTTTCCCAGCACCATTTATTAAATAGGGAATCCTTTCCCCATTGCTTGTTTTTGTCAGGTTTGTCAAAGATCAGATGGTTGTAGATGTGTGGTATTATTTCTGAGGGCTCTGTTCTGTTCCATTGGTCTATATCTCTGTTTTGGTAACAGTACCATGCTGTTTTGGTTACTGTAGCCTTGTAGTATAGTTTGAAGTCAGGTAGCGTGATGTCTCCAGCTTTGTTCTCTTGGCTTAGGGTTGACTTGGCAATGAGGGCTCTTTTTTGGTTCCATATGAACTTGAAAGTAGCTTTTTCCAATTCTGTGAAGAAAGTCATTGGTAGCTTGATGGGGATGGCATTAAATCTATAAATTACCTTGGGCAGTTGGTCATTTTCATGATATTGATTCTTTCTATCCATGAGCATGGAATGTTCTTCCATTTGTTTGTATCCTCTTTTATTTCATTGAGCAGTGGTTTGTAGTTCTCCTTGAAGAGGTCTTTCACATCCCTTGTAAGCTGGATTCCTAGGTATTTTATTCTCTTTGAAGCAATTGTGAATGGGAGTTCACTCATGATTTGGCTCTCTGTCTGTTATTGGTGTATAAGAATGCTTGTGATTTTTGCACATTGATTTTGTATCCTGAGACTTTGCTGACGTTGCTTATCAGCTTAAGGAGATTTTGGGCTGAGACGATGGGGTTTTCTAAATATATAATCATGTCATCTGCAAACAGGGAAAATTTGACTTCCTCTTTTCCTAATTGAATACCCTTTATTTCTTTCTCCTGCCTGATTGCCCTGGCCAGAACTTCCAACACTGTGTTGAATAGGAGTGGTGAGAGAGGGCATCCCTGTCTTGTGCCACTTTTCAAAGGGAATGCTTCCAGTTTTTGCCCATTCAGTATGATACTGGTTTTGGGTTTGTCATAAATAGCTGTTATTATTTTGAGATACGTCCAATCAATACCTAATTTATTGAGAGTTTTTAGCACGAAGGGCTGTTGAATTTTGTCACAGGCCTTTTCTGCATCTATTGAGATAATCATGTGGTTTTTGTCTTTGGATCTGTTTATATGCTGGATTATGTTTATTGATTTGCGTATGTTGAACCAGCCTTGCATCCCAGGGATGAAGCCCACTTGATCATGGTGGATAAGCTTTTTGATGTGCTGCTGGATTCGGTTTGCCAGTATTTTATTGAGGATTTTTGCATCGATGTTCATCAAGGATATTTGTCTAAAATTCTCTTTTTTTGTGTCTCTGCCAGGCTTTGGTATCAGGATGATGCTGGCCCCATAAAATGAGTTAGGGAGGATTCCGTCTTTTTCTACTGATTGGAATAATTTCAGAAGGAATGGTACCAGCTCCTCCTTGTACGTCTAGTAGAATTTGGCTGTGAATCCATCCAGTCCTGGACTTTTTTTGGTTGGTAGGCTATTAATTATTGCCTCAATTTCAGAGCCTGTTATTGGTCTATTCAGGGATTCAACTTCTTCCTGGTTTAGTCTTGGGATGGTGTATGTGTCGAGGAATTTATCCATTTCTTCTGGATTTTCTAGTTTATTTGCATAGAGGTGTTTGTAGTATTCTCTTATGGTAGTTTGTATTTCTGTGGGATCAGTGGTGATATCCCCTTTATCATTTTTTATTGCATCTATTTGATTCTTCTCTCTTTTCTTCTTTATTAGTCTTGCTAGCGGTCTATCAATTTTGTTGATCTTTTAAAAAAACCAGCTCCTGGATTTTTTGAAGGGTTTTTTATGTCTCTATCTCCTTCAGTTTTGCTCTGGTCTTAGTTATTTCTTGCCTTCTGCTGGCTTTTAAATGTGTTTGCTCTTGCTTCTTTAGTTCTTTTAATTGTGATTTTAGGGTGTCAACTTTAGATCTTTCCTGCTTTCTCTTGTAGGCATTTAGTGCTATAAATTTCCCTCAACACGCTGCTTTAAATGTGTCCCAGAGATTCTGATATGTTGTGTCTTTGTTCTCATTGGTTTCAAAGAACATCTTTATTTCTGTCCTCATTTCGTTAGGTACCCAGTAGTCATTCAGGAACAGGTTGTTCAGTTCCCATGTAGTTGAGCGGTTTTGAGTGAGTTTCTTAATCCTGAGTTCTAGTTTGATTGCACTGTGGTCTGAGAGACAGTGTGTTATAATTTCTGTTCTTTTACATTTGCTGAGGAGTGCTTTACTTCCAACTATGTGGTGAATTTTGGAATAAGTACAATGTGGTTCTGAGAAGAAGGTATATTCTGTTGATTTGGGGTGCAGAGTTCTGTAGATGTCTATTAGGTCCACTTGGTGCAGAGCTGAGTTCAATTCCTGGATATCCTTTTTAACTTTCTGTCTCATTGATATCCCCATATATAACTAATTTATGCTGTGCACCAACAAGAACCTGCTTTAAATTTCCATGCCAATTTGCAACCCGCATACTATAACAGGCAAGGTTAGTTGTTATTGAAAATACCACCAGGACAGGGCTATCTAAAGACACATTCGGTAGTGTGTTAACTATACAAAAAAAGACACTGTACAATTTAAAAACAAATCTTACACACCCTTACATTTCAGTTTTTGTCTTTAAAAGGAGTGAGTTGTGTACAGGGGGATTAAATGCTTTATAGACAAAAGAAAAACTGCACTAGAACCAACTTGTTCATCATCACCATCTTCTTCATCTTCATCATCTTCTTCATCTTCATCTTCATCTTTCTCCTCCTCCTCATCCTCTTCATCTTCCTCATTTTCCTCCTCTTCCTTCTTTTTCTTGCTTTTTGCAGCCTTGACAACTCCATTGTTTGCAGCATCATGCTTTCCTTTAGCTCGATATGCAGCAATATCCTTTTCGTATTTTTCTTTCAGCTTCGCCGACCTCTTTTCATAAGGCTGCTTGTCATCTGCAGCAGTGTTATTCCACATCTCTCCCAGCTTCTTCGCAACATCACCAAAGGACAGGCCAGGACGTTCTCCTTTGATTTTTGGGCCATACTCAGAGAAGTACAGGAAGAAGGCTGAAGGAGGCCTCTTGGGCGCATTGGGATCCTTGAACTTCTTTTTTGTCTCCCCTTTGGGAGGGATATAGGTTTTCATTTCTCTCTTATAATGGGCCTTGTCCGCCTTTGCCATATCTTCAAATTTTCCTCTCTTTTTGGGGGGTGGGGGGTGGGGGGACAGAGTCTGGCTCTGTTGCCCAGGCTGGAGTGCAGTGGTGCGATCTCCGCTCACTGCAAGCTCCACCTCCCAGGTTTACGCCATTCTCCTGTCTCAGCCTCCTGAGTAGCTGGGCCTACAGGAGCCCGCCACCACGACCGGCTAATTTTTTGGGTTTTTTTTAGTAGAGACGGGGTTTCACCGTGTTAGCCAGGATGGTCTTGATCTCCTGACCGTGATCCACCCGCCTCAGCCTCCCAAAGTGCTGGGATTACAGGTGTGAGCCACCGCGCCCGGCCAAATTTTCCTTTCTCTTTAGCAGACATGTTCTTCCACCTCTCTGAGCACTTCTTAGAAAACTCTGAGAAGTTGACTGAAACTCTCACTTTCCCCGGTGCTGTCTCTATGGAGCTCAATGTACTGCAATGGCTCTATAAAGCCGTTCTTAAGAATATAGGAAAGTACTTAAGATTCAGTGTTAGGCAACAAAAACTTACAGTATGATCTTATTCTGTTAAAAAAAAAAAAAAAAAACACTGGGTGCAGTGGCTCACACCTGTAATCTCAGCACTTTGGGAGGCTGAGGTGGGCGGATCACCTGAGGTCAGGAGTTCAAGACCAGCCTAGATAACATGGTGAAACCCCCTCTCTACTAAAAATTAAAAAAATTAGCCAGGCGTGGTGTTGGGTGCCTGTAATCCCAGCTACTCAGGAGGCTGAGGCAGGAGAATCCCTTGCACCCAAGGAGGCATTGGTTGCGGTGAGCCGAGATTGCACCATTGCACTCCAGCCTGGGTGAGGAGTAAGACTCCGTCTCAAAAAAATAAAAAATTAAAAAAATAAAGTGATTAGAACAAGGACTGGAAGGAACTGGTGTGAATATTAACAATTAGTGCCTATGAAGGTAAGAGGTGGGCTGAATTTTGTTTTATCTCTTTACATTTTCTGTATTTCTGAACTTTTTGTAGTAGACATATATTAATTCGACAGGAAAAATAATATTCTTTTTATGAAAAGACTAGAAGGAAGTAGATTAAGACTTTTTTTTTTTTCCAACTCTTAGCTGGCCCTTCTCACTTATAGAAAATGATACTTTACACACAATTGACATCATGCTTGGCCATGTGACTTGCTTTACTCAATAAAGTGTAAGTGGAAGTGATACATTACTTCCAAGCAGAATTCTTAAAGGCATCAAATGGTTCTTCTGTCTCTCTTTTCCTTCTGCCATGAGAACAGCATATCCTATAGAGAAGCTGTTCCCTTTATCCTATATCCCCAAGTGAAGAGGTCATAGAACACAGTCATGGCCAATTCCCAAAGGACGTTTATAATCTGTGATGGTTAATATTGAGTGTCAACTTGATTGGATTGAAGGATGCAAAGTTTTGTTCCTGGGTGTGTCTGTGAGGGTGATTAACACCAAAGGAGATTAACATTTGAGTCAGTGGACTAGGAGAGATACACCCACCCTCGACCTGGGTGGGGAGCATCTAATCAGCTGCCAGCATGGCTAGAATAAACCAGGCAGAAGAAAGTGAAATGAGCAGACTCGCTGAGTCTTCCGGCCTTCATCTTTCTCCTGTGCTGAAGGCTTCCTGCCCTCGAACATCAGACTCCAAGTTCCTCAGCTTTTGGACTCCTGGATTGGTATGACCCTGCGTTGCAAAGCTCAGGCAAAGAGTGGTAGAAGGGTGGCATGTTTAAATTCTGTGTATTTAGAATCATTCGCCAGTGATTTGCCAGGGGCCCTCAGACCTTTGGCCACAGACTGAAGGCTATAGTGTCAACTTCCCTACTTTTGAGGTTTGGGGACTTGGAATGGCTTCCTTGCTCCTCAGCTTGCAGACAGCCTATTGAGGAACTTCACCTTGTGATTGTGTGGGCCAGTACTCCTTAATAAACTCTTTCATGCGCGTCCATGTGAACAGACCACCAAACAGGCTTTGTGTGAGCAACATGGCTGTTTATTTCACCTGGGTGCAGGCGGGCTGAGTCCGAAAAGAGAGTCAGCGAAGGGAGATAGGGGTGGGGCCATTTTATAGGATTTGGGAAGGTAATGGAAAATTACGGTCAAAGGGGGTTGTTCTCTGGTGGGCAGGGGTGCATCTCACAAAGTACATTCTCAAGAGTGGGGAGAATTACAAAGAACCTTCTTAAGGGTGGGGGAGATTACAAAGTACATTGATCAGTTAGGGTGGGGCAGAAACAAATCACAATGGTGGAATGTCATCAGTTAAGGCTGTTTTTACTTCTTTTGTGGATCTTCAGTTACTTCAGGCCATCTGGATGTATACGTGCAAGTCACAGGGGATGCGATGGCCTGGCCTAGGCTCAGAGGCCTGACATTCCTGCCTTGTTATATTAATAAGACAAATAAAACAAAATAGTGTTGAAGTGTTGGAGCGGCGGAAGTTTTTGGGGGGTGGTATGGAGAGAGAATGGGCGATGTTTCTCAGGGCTGCTTCAAGCGGGATTAGGGGCGGCGTGGGAACCTAAAGTGGGAGAGATTAAGCTGAAGGGAGGTCTTGTGGTAAGAGGTGATATTGTGGGGTTGTTAGAAGAAACATTTGTTGTGTAGAATTATTGGTGATGGCCTGGATATGGTTTTGTATGAATTGAAAAACTAAATGGAATAAGAGAAGGAGGAAAACAGGTATAAAAGGTCTAAGAATTAGGACGACTCAGGACATCTGATTAGAGAGTGCCTAAGGAGATTCAGCATAGCCCTGCCAGCAAAGATTATTTATTTACTTCAAGAGTTAAGAATGGCAGTTTGGGGATAGCACGAGGCTAGCGTGATCAGGGTGAGGAACAGGAAAGAAGGAAATATGGGGAAATGGGGTGAATATCAGGTGGATCAGAGAGATGCAGTCATGAGGGTCAGGTGTGGTATCCGGAATAATGTGGGAGGCCGGATTGAAGTCCCGGCCAGGAACAATGGTAATTGTGGGAGACTCAACAAAGAGTGAGTATAGCTGAAGGAGCCGGGGAGCAGAAAGTATATATGTCAGGTGTGAGGAAGAAAATAGATTTTGGAAATTATGAGAGCTGTAGAGAGTGAGTTGAGCATAGTCTGTGATTTTTAGGGCCTCTAACAGTATTAAAGCAGCGGCAGCCGCTGCACACAGACATGAGGGCTAGGCTAAAACAGTAAGGTCAAGTTGTCTGGACAGAAAGGCTACACGGTGTGGTCCTGGCTCTTGTGTAAGAATTCTGACCACACTAACCATGCCTAGGAAGGAAAGGAGTTGTTGTTTTGTAGAAGGTGCTTGGGTTTGAGAGATCAGTCGGACACGATTGGCAGGGAGAGCACGTGTGTTTTTATGAGAATTATGCCGAGATAGGTAACAGATGAGGAAGAAATTTGGGCTTGACTGAAGTAATGGGGGCTGTCTGTGAAGCTCTGCAGCAGTACAGCCTAGGTAATTTGCTGAGCTTGGTGGGTGTCAGGGTCAGTCCAAGTGAAAGCGAAGAGAGGCTGGGATTAAGGGTGCAAGGGAATAGTAAAGAAAGCATGTTTGAGATCTAGGACAGAATAATGGGTTATAGAGGCAGGTATTGAGGATAGGAGAGTATATGGTTTTGGCACCACCGGGTGGATAGGCAAAACAATTTGGTTGATAAGGCGCAGATCCTGAACTAACTTGTAAGGCTTGTCTGGTTTTAGGACAGGTAAAATGAGGGAATTGTAAGGAGAGTTTATAGGCTTTAAAAGGCCATGCTGTAGCAGGCAAGTAATAACAGGCTTTAATCTTTTTAAAGCGTGCTGCGGGATGGGATATTGGCATTGAGTGGGGTAAGGGTGATTAGGTTTTAATGAGATGGTAAGGGGTGCATGATCGGTCGCCAAGGAGGGAGTGGAGGTATCTTATACTTGTGGGTGAAGGTGGGGGGATACAAGAGGAGGACGCAAAGGAGGCTTTGGATTGGGAAGAAGGGCGGCAATGAAATATAGCTGTAGTCCAGGATAGTCAGGGAAGCAGATAATTTAGTTAAAGTGTCTCAGCCTAATAAGGGAACTGGGCAGGTGGGGATAACTAAAAAGGAGTGCTTAAAAGAGTGTTGTCTAAGTTGGCACCAGAGTTGGGGAGTTTTAAGAGGTTTAGAAGCCTGGCCGTCAATACCCACAACAGTTATGGAGGCAAGGGAAACAGGCCCTTGAAAAGCAGGTAATGTGGAGTGAGTAGCCTCCGCATTGATTAAGAAGGGGATGGGCTTACCTTCCACTGTGAGAGCTATCCGAAGCTTGGCGTCGGTGATGGTCTAGGGGGCTTCCGAGGCGATCGGGCAGTGTCAGTCTTCAGCCGCCAAGCCAAGAAGATCTGGGAAGGAGTCAGTCAGAGAGCCTTGGGCCAGAGTTCCAGGGGCTCTGGGAGTGGCTGCCAGGTGAGTTGAACACTCCGATTTTCAGTGGGGTCCCACAGAGATGGGACATGGCTTAGGAGGAATCCCAGGCTGCGAGCATTCCTTGGCCCAGTGGTCAGATTTCCGGCACGTGTAGCAAGCTCCTGTGGGAGGAGGTTCTGGAGGAATGCCTGGCCACTGCGGTTCAGGCGTTTGGAAGTTCTTGTGTGCTGGAGATGTGGCTGGGGTTTGTCTCACAGTGGAGGCAAGGAATTGCAACTTTTTTCTATTATTGTACCCTTGAAGGCAAGGTTAATTAAATGCTGTTGTGGGGTTTGAGGGCCAGAATTTAATTTTTGGAGTTTTATTTAATGTCGGGAGCAGATTGGGTAATAAAATGTATATTGAGGATAAGATGGCCTTTTGACCTTTTAGGGTCTAGGGCTGTAAAGCGTCTCAGGGTTGCTGCAGAACGAGCCATGAACTGGGCTGGGTTTTTATATTTGATGAAAAAGAGCCTAAACGCTATCTGATTTGGGATAAAGTAAAAGGAGCATTAACCTTGACTATGCCTTTAGCTCCAGCCACCATTTTAAGAATAAATTGCTGGGCAGGTGGGGGAGGGCTAGTCACAGAATGAAACTGTAAGCCAGACCAGGTGTGAGGAGGGGAGGTGATAGAAGGATTATAGGGTGGAGGAGTAGAGGCTGAGGAAGTATTGGAACCTAGCTCGGCCTGGCGAGGAGGGGAGAGGTCAGATGGGTCTGTAGAAAAGGAAGATTAGAAAGACTCAGCGACACTTGGGGTTGGGACTGAGGGGACAGGCGGGAGGGAAAGAAGGAAGATTTGGGACGAGTTGCACTGGGCACAGAGACTAGGAAGGGACTGATGTGTAAAAGAATGCCTGGAAGTCAGGCACCTCAGACCATTTGCCCATTTTATGACAAGAATTATTTAGATCTTGTAGGATGGAAAAATTGAAAGTGCCGTTTTCCGGCTATTTGGAACCACTGTTGAGTTTGTATTGGGGTCAAGCAGCATTGTAGAAGAAAATAAGGCATTTAGGTTTTAGGTCAGGTGTGAGTTGAAGAGGTTTTAAGTTTTTGAGAACACAGGCTAAGGGAGAAGAAGGAGGAATGGAAGGTGGAAGCTTACCCATAGTGAAGGAGGCAAGCCCAGAAAAAAGAGTAGAGACACAGAGAAGGGGTAGGGGGTTCTTACCCTCCAGAAAAGCAGAGAAGGGGTTGGGGCATGGAAATAAGGGATTGAAGCACAGAGATAAGAGGTCAGGGTGCGGAAATAAGGGATTGAGGCACAGAGATAAGAGGTTGGGGTGCGGAAATAAGGATTGGGGGTTTCTTGCCCCCTAGGAAAGTGGGACTTGCCACTAAGGGTGAAGGAGAAAGGGTTGAGGGGTACTTGCCCCTGCCCCAGGAAAGCAGGACTTGCCGCTAAGGGTGAAGGACCAAGGCAGGCGTCCCTGCGTGGTCTGACACCTTTGAAAGGTGAGTGTATAATCAGAGAGGTGTCCCTGCAATGATTAAACACCAAGGGAAGGCTGCCTTCCCAGTCCGTGACCGGCGCCAGAGTTTTGGGTTCACGGATAAAACATGTCTCTTTTGTCTCTACCAGAAAATGAAAGGAATTGAAATTAAGAGAAGGGAGAGATTGAAGTGTGGGGCCAAGATTGAAAGGAGAAAGAGGTGGAGGGATAGTGAGGGAGGTTGGAGAAGAGGGTAAAAAGACGCCGCTTACCGGATTTGAAATTGGTGAGATGTTTCTTGGGCTGGTCGGTCTGAGGACCTGAGGTCGTAGGTGGATGTTTCTTATGGAGCAAAGAGCAGGAGGACAGGGGATTGATCTCCCAAGGGAGGTCCCCCGATCCGAGTCACGGCACCAAGTTTCATACGTGTCCGTGTGAAGAGACCACCAAACAGGCTTTGTGTGAGCAACATGGCTGTTTATTTCACCTGGGTGCAGGCGGGCTGAGTCCGAAAAGAGAGTCAGCGAAGGGAGATAGGGGTGGGGCCGTTTTATAGGATTTGGGAAGGTAATGGAAAATTACAGTCAAAGGGGGTTGTTCTCTGGTGGGCAGGGTTGCATCTCACAAAGTACATTCTCAAGAGTGGGGAGAATTACAAAGAACTTCTTAAGGGTGGGGGAGATTACAAAGTACATTGATCAGTTAGGGTGGGGCAGGAACAAATCACAATGGTGGAATGTCATCAGTTAAGGCTGTTTTTACTTCTTTTGTGGATCTTCATTTACTTCAGGCCATCTGGATGTATACGTGCAAGTCACAGGGGATGCCATGGCCTGGCCTCGGCTCAGAGGCCTGACAAACTCCCCTTCATATATACATCTATCCTAATAGTTCTGTCCCTCTAGGGAACCCTGACTAATACATAATCTAAGCAAGAAATAAAACTTTATTGTTTTAAACCACTAAGATTGGGGGATTGTTTGTTACCAAAACATAATTTGGAGAAAGCTAGCTGATACATAGACACTCAGACATAAAATGCACAAGGCAACAATAGTATAACATAGAAATAAGCCAACAAACAAAAACCAATGAAATGAAAGCGTCAGACTAAATAATTTCTTGAATCTCCTTCCAGCTCTGAATGAAATAGGCATGACACATTGAAAGGCCCATAGTGGCCAGGTAGGCAAGATTAATATATGAAGCATCCCTGAAACAAGTGCTGAAAAGTATAATACCTGCCTAATTACACTGTATTTAAAAATACTTCTGGAGCAAGCAAAGTACATATGTCAACTGTACATTGCACCTCCTGCCTAAACTCTTTGTAGCTATGTCTTTGATCAATACCAGGTCTCAAATCAGGAGCACTTAGATGGAAGAAACCCTGAGAAAGCTGGAGGCAGTTTTGAAATGGGTCCAGATAACCTCTTAAGGTGATTCTCCTGCTGGTCAAACATGTTGGGTGAGTTTGCACCATTGTTTAGAGCACAGGCTTTGGAGTTAGACCTAGTTTGGGTTCTTAGCTCCAGTTACTAGCTCCATGATCTCTAGCAAATGGCTTTTAATCTCTGTAAGCTTTAGTTACATTTTTGGAAAATGAGATAATAATAGAATCTACCTCATGGATTTGTTGGGAGTGAATGAAGTAATGCGCTTAGTATAATCCTTGATAAATGTGAGCTGTTGCCAGTATTACTGTTATTATTTTCTCTTGGTTATGAAGTAATCCTTGGAGCTGATGCCCTCTTGCAAATATAGTTTAAAATCAATGCAGAGGCTATAAGTCTTTAAAAATACGTTTTTTTTTTTGTTTTTTTTTTTTTTTTTTTTAGACAGGATATTGCTCTGCTGCCCAGGCTGGAGTGCAGTGGCACAATCATGTCTTGCTGCAGCCTGGACCTCCGGGGCTCAAGCATTCCTTCCACCTTAGTCTCTCAAGTAACTGGGACTACTGACATGCACCACCATGCCCAGCTAATTTTTTTAAACTTTTTGTAGAGACAGAGTCTCACTATGTTGCCTAAGCTAGTCTCGGAAACCTGGACACAATCTGTGGCCAAAGGCCTGAGAGGCCCTGGCAAATCACTGGCGAATGATTCTAAATACTACAGAATTTAAACATGCCACCCTTCTGCCACTCTTTGCCTGAGCTTTGCAACGCAGAGTAATGCCAATCCAGGAGTCCAAAAGCTGAGGAACTTGGAGTCTGATGTTCGAGGGCAGGAAGCCTCCAGCACAGGAGAAAGATGAAGGCCGGAAGACTCAGTGAGTCTACTCATTTCACTTTTTTCTGCCTGCTTTATTCTAGCCATGCTGGCAGCTGATTAGATGCTCCCCACCCAGGTCGAGGGTGGGTGTATCTCTCCCAGTCCACTGACTCAAATGTTAATCTCCTTTGGCAACACCCTCATGGACACACCCAGGAACAATACACAAACTATCCTCCCACCTTGGTTTCCCAAAGTGCTGGGATTACAGGCATGCATGAGCCAATATACCTGGCCTAAAATACGTTTTTAAAAGAAAATCACTAATCTGGTTTTAGCCCTGAGTTATCCAAATGATCAAATTCCTGTGCCCTTCTTCAAGTTTTTCTTAAAAGGTAAAAGTGGGAATATTAGATACACTCGATTTTTGGCCTTCTAGGTTTCACTACAATGTATACTTTTTTCTTTCTCTTTGCTCTGTATGTGATAAGAAAAAAGTCTTTAAAGAAGAAAAAGTTACCAGATTTGTAAACCAGTTTTCCAATTACTGAGCTTCTGCAAAGAAAGATGCCATAATTGCTCAAGGTGAAAGAAAAAGAAAGAGATATCATAAATTATCATGAAGATCGATGGTAGAAGCTTTCTGAAGACCCAAAGAGCACTGTGCCCTGTCTTACCTGTCAGACATGAGAGAATAAAACTGCTCACTCACCAGAAGATACTTGTATGCAACCATCCTTCAGCTGGATTTTTTTCTTCCCTACTTTCTTGGACACACACACATGCACACACACACCAAAAAATAACTTTATCATAAAGCTCCAACTAAGTAAGGGATAAAGATGAGTTGAAAGACAGAGAGTGGTTGGTATGCAACAAGATCAAAAAAAAAAAGAGAGAGAGAAAGAGAAAAAGAAGAAAAATCTGAGAGTGGGAGTTGCCCCACTGGCTGTCAGTGGCAAGAAAAAGCACTGTGAATCAAAATGAAACAAGAAAGATAATAGAGGTATGGTTATCTCAAATTGGTGCACTTTGATTCATTGTTATTTTCCACAACCTATCTTTGATTACAGACTCTATCTTTAGAAGGCAAACTTGGACAAGGCAAAGGTAAAATGCTTATGAACAATTGGCCCAACACTGACTCTAAGAATATCTTTTGGCTGCTTAGGTAATTTTCTTGATTGACTGAATCTCACTATCCTGGGGGCTAGTAAAGCACCTGGATATTTTGTCCTTTGAGCCATCAATGAGAATTTCTCCTGCAGCAGCCTTCTAGAACTAAGTTGCTGATTTTTTAACTCCCTTCACTGGTTTCACGTGGGGGAAAAAAAATAAAAAGCCTTTTCAACTGGGTTAATGTTTGACTTGTTTTGCTTTTCATATACTGTTCACAGTATGTGATAATATTTTTATTCACTCAGTAAACATTTACTGGGCATATCTCTAGGCCAGGTATTCCTGAGGACAGAGCAATAAAATAGATGCAGCCTCTGCTTTCATTAAGTTTTTGACCTATCAGGGAAAAGGACTAATAGGCTATTGTGATAAGACTGTGAGGAAGCTTGTGTTAACAACAATAAACATTAATTGAATGATTACTAGGAGCCAGGTACAAAGTACATTTCATGCATTAACTCACTGAATCCCTATGACAATTAGATAAGGTTGGTAATATTCTTATCTCCATTTAAAAGATGAGAAAACTGAGGCAGAGAGCAAATATACAACTTGCCCAAGGTCACCAACTTGTTGGTAGCTGGGCTATGAACCTAGGCAGTATGGCTTTAGATATGGCACTTTTAGCCATTATACTATAATTTAAAAAGCTCCAGGTACCCAGGGTTGGGGAAGCGTGTTCTCTAATCTGGTCCAGGTGGTAACTTTGCTGAGTCCGGCAGATCAAACAGGATTTAGCTTGGGAAGTGTGGTTGTATCTAGTGTAAATGCTTTCAGCTGCAAGTAACAGAAACCCAGCCAACAGTGACATAAACAAAGAGAGGATTGTTTTTCTACGTAACAAAATGTCTGGCAGTAAGTGGTTTCTAGCATTGGTCCAGGGGATCTAGGAAGTCAGACTTCTGGTCAACATCACTTTCCTTTCTCTTATTGGTCTGTGACAGGTGCAGGTCTCGTAATCAATTTCTAGGGGAGAAAGTGAGGGGAGTATGGGGCTGAAAGTTTTTGCTTACATATCTTCTTCTTGTAAAGAAGGAGAAATCTCTCAAGATGTCACGAAACAACTTCCTTTAAAAAATCATGAGCTAGAACTGGACTATATGTCACTTCTAGACCAGGGTCTGCACCTACTTTCCTTGGGACTAAGAGATTTCCAGGATTCTGTTGGCAAATAGAAAGGAAAGACTGAATTTTGAGTAGGCTTGTTGCCTACAATGCCTGCCAGAAAAGAGAATCATGTTCTAGGAAGAGGGAATCACACATGCAAAAGCTTGGCAGAAAACCAGAGCATGACAAAATTAAGAGTGGAAAGATGCTGAGTATGGCTGGAGACTAGCTTGACAGATGGCAATAGATGAGGCTGGAAGGGGTTGGAGATCCCAGAGCATGAAAAGCTGTGCCTAAGGAGTTTATACTGTGTTCTAAAGACAAAGGGAAATCAATAAAGGATTTTAGATATGGTAATGACCTGAGGTGACTTGTTTAGAAGGCTCATTCTGGCAGCTCTGTGAAGAACATTTGAAGGGTACTAGGAAGATGAGAGGGAAGAAAGTCATTGAGAAGATGCTGCAGAGGTACAGGTACAGGATGCTGGTGTCTTGAGCTCTTATAGTGGCATGGTGATGGAAAGGGGTAGATCACCATTTTTAGGAGGTAGAATCAAAGACTCAATGATTGGGTTTGGGAGCGAGGCCCTAGCAGCCTGATGAAAATTACTGATGAATACTGTCTGCATTTCCATTAGTAAAAACAGTATCATCAAAAGGCGTGGTTGCTGAAACCACCAAGGGGCAAGTTAAGTGGCAACTACTATGGAAGAAAATCCATACAGTGTATTCTTTTTCTTTTCTTTTTTTTTCTTTCCTTTTTTTTTTTTTTTTTTTTTTTGAGACAGGGTCTCACTCTGTTACCCAGGCTGGAGTGCAATGGCACAATCTCGGCTCACTGCAACCTCTGCCTCCCAGGCTCCCACCTCAGCTGGGACTACAGGTGTGTGCCACTACACTGGCTAATTTTTTGTAGAGACGGGGTCTCACTTGGTTTCCCAGGCTTGTCTAGAAACTTTGGGCTCAAGTGATCCTCCCCCCTTGGCCTCCTAAAGTACGGGGATTACAGGAGTGAGCCACCACACCTGGCCCATTCATTTTTTAACTTGAATATTATTTCTGTTATACACATACATATGTCACATCGAATCGTTTCACAATGCTTGCAATGAGAAACCACTGTCAAATTATGATCACACCACTGCACTCCAGCCTGGACAACAGGGCAAGACTCTGCCTCAAAATAAATAAATAAATAAATAAATAAATAAAAAGGCACTGTCCTTTGCCCCAGTTTACTCCACTAACAATTACGACTCCATAGAAGCATCTACTGAATATTTCGGCTGTTTCTTCTGATGCTTTTCTCCACGCTTCTAATTAACATGATTGTTCTGCTATTTCTTGACTTCTAACTACGGAAAGTAGGATTTGGGTTTCTTCCATTTCACCACCTACCCCTCCATCATACATGTACACACAAGCCCTCTCCTCTGAGCCTTCCAATGTCCTTATCTATCATAAATTGGAGTTAAAACAATATCAATTGTTTGCTTTATTATGACCATGTGACTGTTATTCATAGATGAGACATTCAAAACATTATGATTTCATTCTCATTCTTGTACAACGTTTTGGATAACAAATTGCCTTGCTTTCTATGAATCTAAAAGTAAATCATTTCTTAATCTTCACTAGAAATGTAAATATTCTTGTCAATATATTGAAACATATTAGCTTATCTAACGATACCACTTTTTTTCTTGAAGATCTCCATCTGCAAGCCTCCAACTCCTCTGCTCCAATGTGAACTCATTATTCTCTAGGCCTGTGTATCAGCTATTTCAGTAAAACAAACTACCCTAGGATTTAGCAGTAAAAAACAACAATCAGTTATTTATTCAGTTCATTTATTTAGTTCACAATTCTTCAGGTTGGCAATTGGGACTGAGCACAACTGAATGGTCCTCCTGGTCTTGGCAGGACTCCTTCAGACATCTGCAGTTAATTGCAGCTTAGTTAAGTAGCTGTGCTTGGGGCAGGAGGTTGGTGGGTGGCTATTGGATAGTATGATTTCTTATCCTTCTAGCAGGTTAGCCCAGGCTCAGTGGTGGAGGCAAGGATCTGAGAGAAAGGAAATATGTAAAGCCTGTTGAGGCCAGGATTAGAATGGTTCACTGTGACTTCTATCACTTTGTACTGGCTAAACGAGTCACAAGGCCAGCCAAGATTCAAGAGGTACAAAAATAGACTCCATGTCTTGATGGAAGAATCTGAAAAGTCACTTTACAAATAATATAGATACAGGAAGGTCACCAACTGGGGCTATCAATTTAAGCAATCTACTAGTCTGGTACATAATTATTGTCCCAGGATGTCCTTCCACCCTCACCCTTTGAGTTCTTGTTTTCATCTTGTATTGGATCTCCTGTATATCAGTCAGGCTTCAGAAATGATGCCAGTTATTTTAACAGACCAGAGGGTGAGAGGTGGCTTAGCTGGTGCTGGTATCTCTGAGGGGCATAGGAGGCTGATCTTGAAAGTGTTGGGAAAACTGTCAACTGGATTAACAGTTGCTACAAGAAGGAACTTTTGCTGCCAGGGGGAAGAAGTGTTGCCAGTGTGATGCTCTCAGGAACTGCAAGAGAACAGCAAGCAAACAGTAAGGAATAAGTCCCTTCTTCCTTCCCCAGTCCTCCAGTCTCCCTCTAGCAACCCTGCTCCCCCACTAGCAGAGATTAACAGGGAGTCAGCTGGCCAAGGTGAAGAGTGATTTTTGGAGTCTGAGCCCCAGAATCATGTAGCAGAGTATGGAATTGTGGGTTTGCAGCTGCAAGACAAGATAACAGGCACACTCTGTTTTCTGGTTTCTATGTCTTCCTAATTTTTGTCCCTTCAGTAACTTCCTAAGGAAGGATCCATGTAAGATAGACTGTTTCAGATCTTTAATATCTGAAATATCCTTAGCCTACCATCACAATTATAGTTTGGCTGAATATGGAGATCATTTCCCTCATTATTTTGAAGGCATTACTCCATTATTTTCTAGCATCCATTGTGGCCATTAAGTCTGATGCCATATGGATGTCTGAACCTTTGTATATGACTTATTTTTGTTGATTTTTGTTTGTTTGATCTTTTCTTTCTGGCTGCTTTTAGGATATATCTCTTTATCTCCGTTATCCTGAAATCACAATAATTTACCTTAGTTCTGTTTTTTCTCTGTTTTTTAAAAAAAATTCATTCTGCAAGGTAGTTAGTAAGTCTTTTCAGTCTACAAACTCATTTCTGGGAAATTTTATTGAAGTCTTTGATCATTTCTTCATATCTTTTTTCTCTGTTCTTTCTTTCAGGAATTCCTGTTAGCCAGTTGTGGAATCATGTAAGTTTTTTACCATTGTTTTCTTACTGTCAAGTGTGTAATTCCCCTGTTTGCAGTATGGTGCCCTTGCATTTAGCAGTGCCTGATATCCAGAAGAGTCCTTATGATTCAGCACCTCCACAGAGTGTACCTCCAGGCTCTGGGGTATAGCAAGAGTATTTACTTGATTGTTTAGGGCAGGAGAAAAGATATAGAAGTTAAGATATGCCTTTTACACAAACTTGCAGCTCATTCTCCTTTTAGCCTCACCTACACACTGAATTTCAGATGTACTTCCTGCCTTCAATATCTGAATCTCTAGGCTTCTATTGCATGAACTAACTTCCTTCTTGGCTTCCTCCATTTCAGACTTTAGTTTTCTTTTTCTCTGGTCTGCTAAGACAGTTTCACTTACCCACTTGTTTTTATCTCTTTTGACCTATCTTTGACTCTATCAGCACTGCTGGAAAGCATTTCTATCAACAAGAGACAACAGAGATGTAGTTGTCTTAATTGAAAAAGATGGTAACATTGGTAAATGTGCTTCAGAGGTTGTGGTAGATTGTTGTAGCAATTCCCTCAGTGAATCAAGTTATCTACAACCTTGCGTAGCTCTCTCCCACATTGAATTAGCAAATGGGAAGCAGGTAGAGGCTTCTGCATTGGGATTTACTCTCTGACTGCTAGGAACCCTGAGCCCACCAAGTGAAGAATCAATGGCTAGACTCCTGGAAGGTGAGAGAACACATGGAGAGAAGCCAAACCATCCCAGCAGAACCCAGACCTGTCATACCAGCTACCAGCTGACTGCAAATGAATGAACTCATTTAATACCAACAGTAGACCCACCTACCTGAGCCTAGCCCAAATGACTGACTCACACCATTATGAGCAAGTAAAATGATTTTTATTTTAAGCCATTAGGCTTTGGGGTGGTTGGTTATGCAGCAGGTGATAACCAATACGAGGTATATTGGTTGCATTTACAAATCGCAGAGATCAAGGCTATGCTGTTTTAATCTATGTGTCTTTGTTGACTTAGACTTGTTTTTTTTTCTTATTTTTTTATTTTTTTCTTATTTTACTTTAAGTTCTGGGATACATGTGCGGAACATGCAGGTTTGTTACATAGGTATACATGTGCCATGGTGGTTTGCTGCACCTATCAACCCGTCTAGACTTGTTTTTTAAATCTCTTTGTCATTTTAGTGTGGTTTTGGGAAGGAGTAAAAGTAAATATACATTCATCACATTTAACTGGAATGTGGAACTCCATTCACTTCCTCTTCATCTGTCCAACAGATATTTTCTGATTACCTAGTAGATATCAACAGCACTGGATACTTGTAACACAGCTCTCATTTAATCTTTACAGCAGTGCTATGCATTAGGCATTAGATTCCCCTTTTAACAGATGAGACAAATAAGACTCAGTGAGGTTAAGAGACTTGCTAGAGGTCTTGCAATTAGTAAATAGCATTGTTAGAATTTGTGTCCTTGACTGAGTGTCAACAAAGTACCCAATATTTTCAATATACTTTGTTAAACTAGAAAATAGACAGTAGAGATTCTAAAGTTGGAATGGATATAAGACCGATCACATAGTAGACAAGCTGACAGCTGATTGGATATGATGTGAAAAAGAAAGAATGTCTGAGAACTCTACCTCCTATTGATCTGCCTTTGACCCCATCTTAATAATGGATAGCACCACTAATAAAAGGGGACAAGAATGGAATGGACATCTTAACCGGGAAAGACGGAAAATTTGCTTCCAGGGGCTATATTCGATCTTTGTTTTTTTTTTCCTCGTCTGCATCTACAGATCAAGGCTCTGCCGAGCATAGTTGTTAACATTGTTTGTGGTCTCCTTTTACTGGGGAAGATTGGTTGGTACTACTTACAGGACATTTTACCAGGCAAATGGTAGTCTGATTGGGCTCCTCGGTGGGGGTGGGGAGCTGAGCCCTGTGAGACTCAATATGGTTAATGGCTGTCGAATGGTTAAAACACCAGGCACTGCTTAGGAAATATTCCCAGAAGGCCTTTTGCACTCTGTGTAGGGGAAATTAAGTGCTGAGAAAAGTGTGTTCAATTTAGATCCATCTGTTATGGGTTGCTTCTTTCTCTTCTTTTTCTCCAGGAAAGAGGACTATTCAAACAAAGGCACTTTGTGGTCCCTTTAACCTGCTAGGAGCCAAGAGTGTTGCCAGCCAAACATGTCGAGAAGCAGAGAGAAAAACTGTCCCATTTCCAATTGGTAGTAATCCCAGCTCAAAGCAGCATTCATTATCCAAGGTGCTGGCTACCCAGGACATAGAGTTGGGAGGAAAGAAAGGGTGCCTGGTTTGAGAACTTTATTTCTAGAAGAATAAAGTGGCCCTTGCTAGAAAATGGTCTCTTGCAGTACCTTCTAGCAGCAAGTGAACACTAGGAAGCTTTAATAAGAAATGTCACTAGATTCCAAATAAGAAAACCAAAACCGGTCAGGCACAGTGACTCATACCTGTAATCCCAGCAATTTGGGATGCCGAGGTGGGTAGATTACCTGAGGTCAGGAGTTTGAGACCAGCTTGGCCAACATGGTGAAACCCTGTCTCTACCAAAATACAAAAACTAGCCGGGCATGGTAGTGGGCGCCTGTAGTCCCAGCTACTCAGGAGGAGGCTGAGGCACGAGGATCGCTTGAACCCGGGAGGCGGAGGTCGCTGTGAGCCAAGATTTCGCTATTGCACTCCAGCCTGGGTGACAGAGCAAGACTCCATCTCAAAAAAAAAAAAAAAAAAAGAAAGAAAAGAAAAAAGAAAGAAAAGAAAACGCAAACCACAAATTCTAGATTTTCCAAGTGGCCCCAACTTCAAAAACTTGTTCTCAGTATTGGACTATGATTTTGGAGTAGCTAGTCAGTGAATTTATAAACCACATCAGTTATCAATAAAAGACACCTGCCCTGTGGAACCCTATATAGCTGTTACTAAAAACAAGGTAGATAATAATTATTTATTCTTATTAAACATTTAACCAAGTGTCAATCATTGTTCTGTATATTTTTTAGTTTTTCCCTTCCAGTAACCCCATGAGAGGATTGTTATTAGTCTAGTGGTGTGTGTTTTTTTTTTGTTTGTTTGTTTCAGAGACAGGGTCTTGCTCTGTCACCCAGGCTGGAGTGCAATGGCACAATCACGGCTCTCTGCAGCCTCGACTTCCCAGGCTCAAGCAATCCTCCCACCTCAGCCTCCCCAGTAGCTGGGACTACAGGTGCACACCACCACACCTAATTTTTGTGTTTTTTGTAGATATGGGGTTTCACCATGTTTCCCAAACTGGTCTTGAACTCCTGGACTCAAGTGATCCTCCCACCTCAGCCATCCAAAGTGCTGAGATTATAGGTGTGAGCCACCATGTCTGGCCTATCTTACTTTTATAGATAAATATACTAAGGCATATGGAGGTTAGCTAACCTACAAGTTGCTCAAGTCTACAACTAGTAAGTGATAAGGCTTGGGCTTGAACCCGTGTGACCTGCTTTTAGAGCCCACATGACTATCCTAGGTCAGAGGCTACACAACCACCTGGTAGCATGGATGTCTCCAGGGAGAGGAGATACAGAAGAGCAGATGAAAGGTTTTCACTTTTTACTTTACCAAATGCTATACTGTTTGAGTTTTTCTCCTTAAACATGTGTTACTTGTTTGCTTTAAAAATATATAATAAAATAAAGCAAGGCTGGGGAAGATGAGATAGCAATGGAGCATTTTTCTTTTCTTCTTTGCGGTGAATCAGGAGAAGGCACTATCCCCATTATGTTAGCAGTAGGAATTTAAGTACCAGTGAAGTCTAGGCTGAGAGCCAGGAACTAATTGAATTATCTTCAAAATCTCATAAGCCACCAGTAAGCGAATGGGAATATGGACAGGTATAAAACAAGCCCTTAGGACAGAGTAATGGGTTAGATATTAATATGGTTTGGCTGTGTCCCCACCCAAATCTCATCTTGAATTGTAGTTCCCATAATCCCCACATGTTGTGGGAGGGACCCAGTGGGAGGTAATTGAATCATGGGGGTGGTTACCCCCATGTTGCTGTTCTCATGATAGTGAGTGAGTTTTCACATGATCTGACGGTTTTATAAGAGGCTTTTCACCCTTTGCTCAGCACTTCTCTCTCCTGCTGCCTTGTGAAGCATGTTTGCTTCCCCTTCTGTCATGATTGTAAATTTCCTGAGGCCTACCCAGCCAAGCAGAACTGTGAGTTAATTAAACCTCTTTCCTTTATAAATTACCCAGTCTCAGGTAGTTCTTTATAGCAGCATGAGAATGGACTAATACAGTAAATTGGTACTGGGAGTGGGGTGCTGCTATAAGGATACCTGAAATGTGGAAGCAACTTTGGAACTGGGTAACAGGCAGAGGTAGGAAAAGTTTGGAGGGCTCAGAAGAAGACAGGAAAATGTGGGAAAGTTTGGAACTTCCTAGAGGCTTGTTGAATGGCTTTGATCAAAATGCTGATAGTCATATGGACAATGAAGTCCAGGCTGAGGTGGTCTCAGATGGAGATTAGGAACTTGTTGGGAACTGGTATAAAGGTGACTCTTGCCATAGTTTAGCAAAGAGACTAGTGGCATTTTGCTCCTGTACTAGAGATGTGTGGAACTTTGAACTTGAGAGAGATGATTAGGGTATCTAGTGGAAGAAATTTCTAAACAGCAAAGCATTCAAGAGGTGACAGAGCATAAAAGTTTGGAAAATTTGCAGCCTGATGATGCAGTAGCAAAGAAAAACCCGTTTTCTGGGGAGAAATTCAAGCCACTGCAGAAATTTGTATAAGTTACAAGGAGCCAAATGTTAATTGCCAAGACAATGGGGAAAATGTCTCCAGGGCATGTTAGTTACCTTCATGGCAGCTTCTCCTATCACAGGCCCAGAGGCCTAGGAGGGAACAATGGTTTCATGGGCCAGGTCCAGGGCCCCCCTGCTGTGTACAGCCTGAGGACTTAGTGCCCCGCATCCCAGCTGCTCCAGCCATGGCTAAAAGGGACCAATGCACAGCTCAGGCCATTGCTTTAGAGCTGCAAGCCTTGGCAGCTTCCATGTGGTGTCGGTCCTGTGGGTGCACAGACAACAAGAATTGAAGTTTGGGAACCTCTGCCTAGATTTCAGAGGATATATGGAAATGCAGGCAGAAGTCTGCTGCAGGGGTGGATCCCTCATGGAGAACCTCTGCTAGGGTAGTGCAAAAGGGAAATGTGGGGTCAGAGCCCCCACACAGAGTCCCCACTGGGCCACTGCCTAGTGGAGCTGCAAGAAGAGGGCCACTGTCCTCCAGACCCCAGAATGGCAGATCCACCAACAGCTTGCACCATGCACCTGGAAAAGTCTCAGACAGTCAGTGCCAGCCTGTGAAAGCAGCTGGGAATGGGGCTGTACCCTGCAAAGCCATAGGGGCAAAGCTGCCCAAGGCCATGGGAGCTCACTTCTTGCATCAGCTTGAGCTGGATGTGAGACATGAAGTCACAGGAGATCTTTTCGAACTTTAAGGTTTAATGACTGCCTTATTGGATGTCAGACCTACATGGGACCTATTGTTTTGGCTAATTTCTACCATTTGGAACAGGTGTATTTACCCAATGCCTGTACCCCCATTGTATCTAGGAAGTAACTAACTTGCTTTTGATTTCACAGGCTCTTAAGTGGAAGGGTCTTGTCTTATCTCAGATGAGACTTTGGACTTGGACTTTTAGGTTAATGCTGGAATGAGTTAATACTTTGGGGAACTGTTGGAAGGGCATAATTGTGTTTTGAAATGTGAGGACATGAGATTTGGGAGGGGCCACGAGTGGAATGATATAGTTTGGCTCTGTTTCCCCACCCAAATCTCACCTTGAATTGTAATAATCCCCACGTGTCCAGGGTGGGACCAGGTGGAGATAATTGAATCATCGGGGTGGTTTCCCCCATGCTGTTCTCAGGATAGTGAGTGAGTTCTCATGAAGTCTGATGGTTTTATAAGGGGCTTCTCCCTTTGCTCAGCACTCATTCTCCCTTCTGCCGTCTGGTGAAGAGGTGACTTCTGCCATGATTGTAAGTTTCCTGAGGCCTCCTCAGCCATGTGGAACTGTGAATCAATTAAACCTCTTTCCTTTATAAATTACCCAGTCTTTGGTATTTTTTCATAGCAGTTTGAAAATGGACTATTACAGATATCATTGAGACAAATGCAAATTATGAGAGCTCAGATCCTGGAGCACAAGACAAGGTGATAGACAGCTGGAAGAACAGGCAGCTGGATACTAGGAGACCCAGGGTAACTAAAGGAGTAGAATACGGTGAGCTCTTGAAGAAAACAGATGCAAGGCCCCAGGAGGGAGAATGTAAGCACCTATGTTGGCCAGGGAGCCTCTTATGGAGTCCCTGCTGGGTCTTAAAGGTAGATGAAGGTAAGGAGATAGAGGAAGGTAAAGAAGGCATACCTGGCTGAAGCAAAGGAAGGAAGGAAGGGAGGGAGGGAGGGAGGGAGGGAGGGAGGATCCTGACATCTTCACACTGAAAACCATATGACTTTGATGTAGAGTTTCTCCATGCACTATCATCTTGCAAGGTTTTCATTTTAAATATTCCCACATTTGTGAGTGTGCAGGCTTTCCTTTCTGCTTAGTAAGAAAGAAACTTATCAGAGGTGAGGGGATGTGTGGGCAGGATGCTGGCCAGTACACTTATCCATTCCTGCTACCATTCTTCATGTTAACACTTATCACCCTTTAAATGCTTACCTAATTTCTAGATAATAAACTCTGATAATGCAGCATCATCTCCATCTTGCTCCCCACTCTAACCCCACACCTAGCACCAGGCTTGTCACACAGTAGAAAGGCAATAATTATTTGTTGAATTAATTTGTTTGAAGAATTGGTAGGCTGGGCGTGGTGGCTTACTCCTGTAATCCCAGCATTTCAGGAGGCTGAGTTGGAGGATTGCTTGAGCCCAGGCATTTGAAAATAAACTGGGAAACATAGTGGGACACTGTCTCTGCAAAAAATTCAAACATTAGCTGGGTGAGGTGGTATGTGCCTGTAATCCCAGCTTCTTGGGAGGCTGAGTTGGGAGGATTGCTTGAGCCCAGGAGGTTGAGGCTGCAGTGAGCTGGGTTCGTGTCAGTGGACTCCAACCTGGGCAATGGAGCAAGACCCTGTCTCAAGGAGGAGGAGGAGGAAGGAGGAGGAGGAGGAGGGAGAAGAAGAAGGAGAAGGAGAAAGAAAAAGGAGGAAGGAGGAGAAAGAAAAAGAAAGAAGAAGGAGGAGGAGGAGGAAGAGGAAGAAGAAGAAGAAGAAAGAGGAGGAGGAGGGGAGGGGGAGGGAGGAAGAGGGAGGAGGAAGGAGGAGGAAGGAGGAGGAGAAGAGGAGGAGGAAGAGGAAGAGGAAGAAGGAGGAAGAGAAGAGGAAGAAGAATTGGAGAAATAAATGAATACCATTGGGAAAGTTGTTGATGTGTCGTATGCTGAAAATATCAAACTCTTTTTCGGGCTTCAATTAGTAATCCTCTTGATTGTAATACAGTTTTGATTGCTAGCATTTATTGATGACTTATATGTGCTTTTTATGTTTTAAGTAAAAGGAAGCCCCTCTCAAATTTTGCTTAAAATGTTCATGGACAGGGTAAAGTTTGATCAGGGCTCTGACTTGGCTTCCCTGTAATTCAGCTCCACCCAGTTCCATGTGTTGGCTTTCCTTAGGCTGGATTTACTCATGGATTCAAAATGGCTGCTGGTTGTAACTGGTGCCACACAATTCCTCGTTCACATTTAGGGGAGGCACAGGGATGGAGAGCTCTACCATCAAACAATATCTACCATCAAATAACTTTTTTTGAGACTCTGTCTCACTCTGCCACCCAGGCTGGAGTACGGTGGTGCAATCATGGCTCACTGCAGCCTTAACCTCCTGGGCTCAAGCAATACTCCCAGCTAAGCCTCCCAAGTAGCTGGAACTATAGGTGCATGCCATCATGCTGGCTAGGTTTTTTTTGTACTTTTTATAGAGACAAGGTCTTACTTTGTTTCCTAGGCTGGTCTCAAATTTTTGGCCTCAAGTGATTCCCCACTTTGCCCTCTTAAAGTGCCAGAGTTACTTACAGGCATGAGGCACCACACCCAGCCCCATCAAAGAAATTTCTGAACTTTACTCTGACCAAAGCAAACTGAACCAACCAGGAGAAATTCACATGTTGATTGGCATAGCCTAGGTAACTCATCCCTCGACCAATCAGTGTAGCAACAGGGCTGGTGTTATCCTAATTGATTGGATCAACCATGGCCTATTTCTGGAGTTTGGGATGCAGGCTTTTCTAACCAAATTACATGGCTGCTTTCAAATGGAGGAAGAGATGAATAGATGTTGAAAAGCCAAATGAATGTCCATTCATTTAATCCTCACAACACGCTGTGAATTAGATCCCAGGGAGAGGTGAGAAAAATGACCTCAGAGAAGCAACTTGCTCAAGATCAGGCAGCTAGTAATTAGCAACATTGGGATCCAAACTCAGGTCTGTCTGACTTCAAAGTCTATGCACTTGGCCTCTAGACTCCAGTGCCCCAAATCTCAGCTATTGTATGAATCTCTCCAGTTGCCTCCAAGAGAAACCTGTTCTTGTGATCACCCCTAGCTGTTCTAGGGAACAACCTGGGCTCAGGTTGAACTCCTTTAAAAAGGGTCAAGGACCCTCCACAAAGCCCAGGCTGTGAGATCAGCTTCAGAGGCCTGGGGACGCCAGCCTTAATTTGGGGAGCAGCAAACACCTGCTTGGGGACTAAGAGGTTGCTGTAAAACCAGGACAGACAGTCCCTGTTCTTCTATCAGTGGTCATTCATCAAGCAGTTACTGAGCATCTGCTCTCTGAGGACCCATCTGCCTGAGCTAAAGCCTGAAACTCTTTCCAGTGTCCTTGTCTAGTCTTCCATTTTTGTCTGTTTCTTTGTCATGCACCCCTTCTTCTCTTCTCCTGGGCTGAACTTTCTGGACTAATGTTGGTTCTTTGTCTCAGACCTGCACCCAGCTTTTTCCAGCACCCCAGGATAGTAACTGTTTCTCTTCTGCAAATTTCAGTTAATTGACAACGTCTGCCTTAAGAAGGAGGCAGTTTGTATCCAGTCTCAGATGGGAAGTGCACTATTGTCAACAATCAATGTCTACCGTGGGGACCATCAGTATCTACCATGGGGAGGAGAGGTTGAACCGCAGCCTGCATAGTGGGTATCTGACATCCTTGGGTCCATATACCCACCACAGCTTCATATTTGGGACCCTTAGAACGGCTGCCCCCATTGCTTGAATTCCCTGAGAGTGACATTCATGTGTCAGCATAATACCAACAAGTTCTGGCCTCCTGCCTGTCTTTTCCAGAATTCTGAATGAGATTGAGCTGTTTACATGCTATAACCAGAATGATGAAGAAGTCTGGAGATGAAGAAAAGAGTGAAAAGGCCTGGAATGGGCTGAGGAACTCTGGACTGTGATTTAGGATGTCTGGGTTCAATCCTGCTAAACCCTAGCTCACTCTGTGACACTCGGCAAGTTTCCTTTCACTTGGTCTCAGTTTCCTTATGTGATGCTAGGCTACCTCAGGGATTCTCAGTGGGGGAGAAACCATTTCCCGGGAGGTGATCTGGAAAGTTATGGGGGCATTTTACAGTGTCCCAATGACTGGAGGTTGTTTCTGGCATTTACTGGGCAGGGGCAGGGCTGTTAGATAACCTGTAATACACAGGACAGTCCCCCACAGTGAAAAACCATCCCACATCCTGCACAACTGTCACATGTCCTCCTGGATACTCATGTAGATGAAAAACTTGTTCATAATTGTCTGACTCCAGTCAGATAAAAACTAGCTCTGCTTTAAATAGGAACACAAGTTGTTTTTGCACCGTACCAGTGTGTGTTGAACTTTTGAAAATGGAATTACCACATAAATCAAAAGAAATCCACATCTTTTAAAAACAGTTTTATCGAAGTATGACTTATATGCCAGAAAATTAATTCATTTTTTCAGTGATATCAATTCAGTTTGTGTTTATTCAATTCAGTGATTTTGGTAAATTTGATGGAGTTGGGCATGTATCATCAAAATCCAGCTTCAGAACAGTTCCTTCCTTCCAACAAGTTTCCTTATACCAGTTTGCTGTCAATTATCACTCCCACCCCAAGCCCCAGGCAACCACTGATTTGCTTACTGTTTCTGTAGATCTGTCTTTTCTAGAAATTTTACATATAAAGAATCATACAATATATAGTCTTTTGTATTTCTCTCCTTTCACTTAGCATCCTGTTTTTTAAGATTCATCCACATTGTACCATGGATTATAGTTTGTTTCTTTTTATTGCTGAATAATATTCCATAGCAGTAAACCACATTTTGTTTATCCATTTATCAGCTTGATGGACATTTGAATTGTTGCTAGGTTTTGGCTCTTAGGAATTTGGCTGCTATGAATATTCCTATACAAGTCTTTGAGAGGACATATATTTCATTTCACTTGGGCATATACTTAGAAGCAGGATTGCTGAATTATTTATTTTTTTTTAAGTCAAGAGTTGTTTAAACTCTTTTGGAACTCATTTTGGAAAATCAACATTGCTCATGGTATCTGAATCAGCAATATAATGCTCCTGTATACATGTGCATGGGGAGTGCTACTGGTCACAGTCATAGACATAGAATCACATATGCATCAGTATATCAATGCATATTCTATGCATAGGTAGAGTATGTGATTCTGTGTGTAAGTATATCCATGATTCTATGCATAGGTAAAGCATGCAGTTCTATGTGTAAGTATATCCATGATTCTGTGCATAGGTATAGTATGTGGTTCTATGTGTAAGTATATCCATGATTCTACACATAGGTACAGTATGTGGTTCTATATGTAAGTATATCCATGATTCTATGCATAGGTGTAGCATGTGGTTCTATGTGTAAGTATATCCATCATTTTATGCACAGGTATAGCACGTGGTTCTATGTGTAGGTATATCCATGATTCTACACATAGGTATAGCATGTGGTTCTATGTGTAAGTATATCCATGATTCTATGCATAGGTGTAGCATGTGGTTCTATGTGTAGGTATATCCATGATTCTACACATAGGTATAGCACGTGGTTCTATGTGTAGGTATATCCATGATTCTACGCATAGGTGTAGCATGTGGTTCTATGTGTAAGTATATCCATGATTCTATGTGTAGGTGTAGACTTCTGAGTACTTCATTATGTCTCTAGTTAGGATGTAATCAAACATTTCTGTATTTTTTTTTTTTTAATTTTTTTTTTTATTGATCATTCTTGGGTGTTTCTCGCAGAGGGGGATTTGGCAGGGTCATAGGACAACAGTGGAGGGAAGGTCAGCAGATAAACAAGTGAACAAAGGTCTCTGGTTTTCCTAGGCAGAGGACCCTGCGGCCTTCCGCAGTGTTTGTGTCCCTGGGTACTTAAGATTAGGGAGTGGTGATGACTCTTAACGAGCATGCTGCCTTCAAGCATCTGTTTAACAAAGCACATCTTGCACCGCCCTTAATCCATTTAACCCTGAGTGGACACAGCACATGTTTCAGAGAGCACAGGGTTGGGGATAAGGTCACAGATCAACAGGATCCCAAGGCAGAAGAATTTTTCTTAGTACAGAACAAAATGAAAAGTCTCCCATGTCTACTTCTATCCACACAGACCCCGCAACCATCCGATTTCTCAATTTTTTCCCCACCCTTCCCGCCTTTCTATTCCACAAAACCGCCATTGTCATCATGGCCCATCCCCAATGAGCCGCTGGGCACACCTCCCAGACGGGGTCGTGGCCGGGCAGAGGGGCTCCTCACTTCCCAGTAGGGGCGGCCGGGCAGAAGCGCCCCTCACCTCCCGGATGGGGCGGCTGGCCGGGCAGAGGGGTCCTCACTTCCCAGTAGGGGCGGCCGGGCAGAGGCGCCCCTCACCTCCCGGATGGGGCGGCCGGCCGGGCGGGGGGCTGACCCCCCCACCTCCCTCCCGGACAGGGCGGCTGGCCGACCCCCCCCCCGCCTCCCTCCCGGACGGGGCGGCTGGCCGGGCAGAGGGGCTCCTCACTTCCCAGTAGGGGCGGCCGGGCAGAGGCGCCCCTCACCTCCCGGACGGGGCGGCTGGCCGGGCGGGGGGCTGACCCCCCCCACCTCCCTCCTGGACGGGGCGGCTGGCCGGGCAGAGGGGCTCCTCACTTCCCAGTAGGGGCGGCCGGGCAGAGGAGCCCCTCACCTCCCGGACGGGGCGGCTGGCCGGGCGGGGGTTGACCCCCCCCACCTCCCTCCCGGACGGGGTGGCTGCCGGGCGGAGACGCTCCTCACTTTCCAGACGGGGTGGCTGCCAGGCGGAGGGGCTCCTCACTTCCCAGACGGGGCGGTTGCTAGGCAGAGGGTTTCCTCACTTCTCAGACGGGGCGGCCGGGCAGAGACGCTCCTCACCTCCCAGACAGGGTTGCGGCCCAGCAGAGGCGCTCCTCACATCCCAGACAGGGCGGCGGGGCAGAGGTGCTCCCCACATCTCAGACGATGGGCTGCCGGGCAGAGACGCTCCTCACTTCCTAGATGGGATGGCGGCGGGGAAGAGGCGCTCCTCGCTTCCTAGATGGGATGGCGGCCGGGCAGAGACGCTCCTCACTTTCCAGACTGGGCAGCCAGGCAGAGGGGCTCCTCACATCCCAGACGATGGGGGGCCAGGCAGAGACGCTCCTCACTTCCCAGACGGGGTGGCGGCTGGGCAGAGGCTGCAATCTCGGCACTTTGGGGGGGCCAAGGCAGGCGGGTGGGAGGTGGTTTTAGCGAGCCGAGATCACGCCACTGCACTCCAGCCTGGGCACCATTGAGCACTGAGTGAACGAGACTCCGTCTGCAATCCCGGCACCTCGGGAGGCTGAGGCTGGCGGATCACTCGCGGTTAGGAGCTGGAGACCAGCCCGGCCAACACAGCAAAACCCCGTCTCCACCAAAAAAAAAACGAAAACCAGTCAGGCCTGGCGACGCGCGCCTGCAATCGCAGGCACTCGGCAGGCTGAGGCAGGAGAATCAGGCAGGGAGGTTGCAGTGAGCCGAGATGGCAGCAGTACCGTCCAGCTTTGGCTCGGCATCAGAGGGAGACCGTGGAGAGAGGGAGGGAGAGGGAGAGAGGGAGGGAGAGGGAGAGGGAGAGAGGGAGGGAGAGGGAGAGGGAGAGGGAGAGAGGGAGGGAGAGGGAGAGGGAGAGGGAGAGGGAGAGGGAGAGGGAGAGACAGAGACATTTCTGTATTAAAATATGTATTTTGTAATAGATTCTTCTTATGTCTCCTATATAATGTACTAAGAACATTATAATGATTTTTAAAATCATGTGCATAAGTGGCTTATATTATTTATGAATTCAATTTCAGGATAGTAAAAAGGATATTAAAAAATATTTTTTATGTAATAGAAAAGGAGCCTTGAGACAGAGTAGGAGGGGCTGGTCCATTTTAAGGACCTGACACCTGTGAGTTTTTAAATCCTGTGCTCAGAGGCTTAATTAGAAAGGCAACCATTAATCCAGATTTGAAGCCAACAGCAAATCAAAGCAATTGTCCTGCACCAGTTGTTTTGATCATCAGATTGTGGCCCAGTTCTTTTAGGCCAGGATCAGAGAGACTGTGAGGAATAAACAAACCTAAGAGAACCATCGAGAAAATGTACAGGAAGAGCTTCCAATTCTATCACTCAGCCTTGATTTCAGAGTGAATCACGGCACAGACTCACAGATTGACCCAGCAGGCCGGACCTTGAGAGACCCATGGAGTCCAGCCCCACATTCTTCAAATGCAGAAAGGGAGGCCTGGAAAAGGGGGTGGTGGGGACTGGGGAACTGAGGCAGCCACATAGCCAGACCAGGTCTCAAGGATCCTGGGGGCCTGATAATTAGATGCCTCTTCAGTCAAACATTCTGTGCCATTTAAAGATAAGACTGAGCCCTGTGAGGGAAAGGCTGAGATGGAAAATTCTGCAGGGTCCAGCTTCTCACCTTCCTTGCCCAAGCTGTCAGCTCTGGCCCAGACTTTCCTACCTCCCCTCCAATTAACCTGATCGACATTCCCAGGTCAGGGGGCAGTGCTTACCTGCTGTTACTCAAGCAAAACATGTTTGGAAGGTCTCACCACCTCCACCCACTTCAAGTGGTTTACCCAAGTAGGCCTGTGTCCTTTCCCCTAGCGGAGTCTTGGAAAAAGAAATTATCTCTGTCCCATTACATTTCACTGGCACTTTCTTGTCCCTTCTTGGAGGGATTGGAGCCAGTTGATTTGCCCTTTGATCAGGTGTTATACCCTCTCTGGTCAGGTTCTTCCCACTCTCTGGGCTTCCCAGGCAGTTAAAGAAAAGAGGAGCATTATCAGAGCAGTCAATCTCACCCTGAGAGATCAGGCCATGCAGGAAGCTGTGGTGTGGTGACCGCGCGTGGCCCTGTGGCCCTCCGTAGACCACCTGTAAATCATTTGAGGACAGGGAACCCAGAGGTTGAGCTCAGCATCCCCCATAGGGCCCCCCAACCGGAGGGAGGCTGGAATGAGGTGGGAATCAGTGTTTGGGGTTGATGTCACCCCCAGGCGAGGTCATTATAGCACTCTGGCTTTTAGTTTGGAGATTTCTCTTCTTTTTAAACTCAGACCTTGACAATTCGTTTGTGCAAGCGCTAGTTATCTGCAAAGGAAGTGGCCTTCCAAAGGGGCCACTTGTGCCCACAGTGGTCCTCTGAGCCCAAGCAACTGGCTGCAGTGCTGCGTGTTTTGGCCAGGGACCTAGGCAGGACGATGGCCGCGCCTCACCTTGCCTGGGCGCACGGGGATCAGGTGGTCAATCCAGCAGTCTTGTGAATGCTCCAGGGGACCTGGTGGGCAGCCTAGAGAGGAATCCTGGTGAGCATAAGAGGAGGTAGATGGGAAAGAGGAGAAAGCAGGCAGACTCAGAGAAAGAGAGGGAGCAAGGAGACGAGAAAAAGGGGGAAACAGACTGGAAGACACAGAAATGTGGAGAGGGATAGGGAATGGGGTGAGGAAGGGAAGAAAGGGAAAAAAGAGAAAAGCAGAGGAGGAGGAAAGAGGGAAGGAGACAAAGACAAGATAGGGGAGAGGGAGCCTACGGGGAAGGGCAGAGGAAGGGCGGAGGCGGAGGGAGGAGCATGAGGAAGAGGACAGAGAAAAGGCCTGGGGTATTTCTGCCAGGGCCTGGCCCTCTGTGGAGAAGGCCTCCTTTCCTGAAAAAACGGCCACTTTTCTCTGTACCAGTCCCATCTTCTGCATGCCACCCACATGCCAGGCCAACCTGCCTTCCAAGGCTGTGGACAATCCCAGGGCTGGGGGCTCGTCTCCATTCTTTGCAAGAACCGTGGAAGATTAAAGGCCTCTGAGAAGGGGACCTGGCTGGGGCCTCAGCGTCCTCTCACAGGCCAAGGTGCTAACTAGGTGTTATCTGGAGGGGCACCGAGATCCAGTGTGCCCAGGTGCTCACAGAGAGGTGAGTGTACCCACACAGAGGCCCAGCTGCCTGTATGGAGCCCAGGTAGCCAAACAGAACTCATGAGGCCTGCACAGCAGGCTGAATGTTCACAGACTCGGGCACTCACATGCATTCCCACACAGGTGCATTCTGTACCACAGGCTGGAGGCCTGGGTGCCCATACCAAAAGAAGCTGGCAGTTCTTGCTGAGGGCTGGGCATTGACCTTCCTGATCCCCACGGTAAGCTCCAAAGCTGGACAGTGGTTTCTGAGTTATGAGCAGACATTTGGGTGTTTCTCTGCAGCCTGCATTGGGCCTGGGCTCGAGAGTAGCATCTAGTGTGGGCAGGAAGAGGAGGGCTGTGAGAGGCAAGCACCAAGGCAGCACAGGCTCTGACATCAGGACCAGCCTGCTGGAAAGGCCATGCCTGAACAATTTGTCGTCTCCTACTGCTCACTACATTCCCAGAGTCATATTCTTGTGTTTATGATGGAGGAATCTCTGGCTGTGGAACGATTACTATGTTGCAAACAAAGCGTTATGGCTGGAGGTGAGAGGAAAAACAAATAGCATGCACTTTGAAATCTGGCTTCCTTAGGGCTTCTGCAGCAAATTTCTCAGGTGTAGAGCAATCGGGAGCTCCAGGGGCCTGCTGGGAAGCTGCTGGATTACAGACATTTACAAAAGAAAAAGGAAAAAACCAGTCAGCCTGGCTTAGATAAGAGCAGCACATCTAGCCCCGGGAAGCCAGGAGTATGTGCCTTGCAAGCAAATAACAGTGTCTGCCTGAGCGTAAGAAAAGCTGAATTCAGGGCTTTGAAAAATGAAATGATCATTCTCCTTGCTTTTAAGAAATCGAGCAAGAAACTATGAGGTTATTTTTGACTTGGTTATTTGCTTCTGCTGATTAAGCACAGAGTTTGCACCCAGGTGGATTGCATGGAGAAGGCAAGGCAGGATAGCCAGAGGTCATGAGCACAGGTCTTAGAGTCAAATTGCCTGTATTTGCATCTGGCCTCTCAGCCTCCTGTCTTTACTGTAACCCTCTGAGCCTCAGTTTCTCATCTGAAGCTTCATAGAGGTGTTGTGAGGATTAAATGAGATCCATGGAAAGAACAGGGCCAGGCGTATGTTAAGTATCCCATCAAACGTCAGTGGTTACTAAGCACTTAACTACAGTTTGCATATGTGGCACCTAATTTATGAATTAGCTCATTTTTATAATAGAGTGGTAGGATTTTGTCACTGTGTACTGGCAAAGTCGCCCAACTTCTTTCCCTTCATTGTGCACTAACATGGACAGAGCCATTCTTTTCCTGTAGAGCCGAGCCTCATTTCAAGATGGGCTTCTATTCCAAAAAATGTTAAATTGGGCAAGATCAAAATAAATCATCTTGCCCAGACCATTTACTTTTTATTAAGTGTACAACTTCATGGTTTTTTAAAAGTATATTTACAGAGTTGATTAACCATTGCCATAGTCTAATTTTGGATCATGTTCATTCCCCTCCAGAGGAAACCCTGTACCTATTAGCAGTCATTCCCCATTTTCCCCAACCCTTCTTCCCAAGCCTTCGGCAACTGCCCATCCAATTTCCATCTCTAAGGATTTTCTGATTCTGAATATTTTGTGAAAACTGTATCATGGAATATGTGGTCCTCTGTGGACTGGCTTCTTTCATGTAGACTAGTGTGCTCAAAGTTCGTCATCAGTTGGTGGACATCTGGGTTGTTCTCACTTTGTGGCTGTTATGAACAATGCTTTCGTAAACATTCCTGTACAGGTTTTTCTGTGAACCTGTTTTCATTTCTCTTGGTTACCAGATGTGGAATTGCTAGGTCACACAGGAACTCTACGTTTATTCTGTAATGAACTTCCAGATTGTTTTCCAAAGTGGCTACACCATTTTACACTTACAGTAGCAATGAAAATGGATTTCTCCACATGCTCACCAACACTTGTTATCGTCTGTCTTTTTACTATAGTCAGGTGGATGTGAACTTCTATTTCATTATTGCTTTGATTTTTATTTCCCTGGTGGCAAATGATGCCAAGCATATTTCCATGTGCTTATTGGCCATGTTTGTTTGTTTGTTTGTTTTTTCGGAGACAGAGTCTCACTCTGTCGTCCAGGCTGGACTGCAGTGGCATGATCTCGGCTCACTACAACCTCCATCTCCTGGGTTCAAGTGAATCTCCTCCCTCAGCCTCCTGAGTAGCTGGGACTACAGGACCACATGATGCCCGGCTAATTTTTATATTTTTAATAGAGAGGAGGTTTTGCTATGTTGGCCAGGCTGGTCTCAAACTCCTGAGCTCAAGTGATCTGCCCACCTCAGCCTCCCAAAGTGCTGGAATTACAGGCCTGAGCCACCTCACCTGGCCCCTTATTGGCCATTTGTATAACTTCTCTGGAGGACGGTCTAGTCAAATCTTTTTCTCATTTTAAAAATTGGGTTGTTTGTTTTTTGTTGTTAAGTAGTAAGTGGTTGTTTTGTTTTGTTTTGTTTTGTTTTTTGTTTTTTTATTTGAGATGGAGTCTCACTCTGTTGCCCAGGCTGGAGTGCAATGGTGCAATCTCGGCTCACTGCAACCTCCACCTCCCAGGTTCAGGCGATTCTCCTGCCTCAGCCTCCTGAGTAGCTAGGATTACAGGCGCCCACCACTATACCCAGCTAATTTTTGTATTTTTAGTAGAGACGGGGTTTCACCATGTTGTTTAGGCTGGTCTCAAACTCCTGACCTCAGGTGATCCACCCGCGTCAGCCTCCCAAAGTGCTGGGATTACAGGCATGAGCCACCGCGCCCAGTCAAGTTATATGTGTTTTTAAATGTACTCTAGATTCAAGTCCCTTATCAAGACACATGATTTGCAGATATCTTCTACCACTCTGCGGGTTATCTTTTCACTTTCTCAATGATGTCCTTTGAAGCATAAAAAGTTTTAATTCTGATACAGCCCAACTTATCAATTTTCTCTTTTATCACTGTGCATTTTGTCATATCTAAAAAACCACTGCCTAATTAATGATTAGGAAAATTGGCTCCTATGTTTTCTTCTGAGAGTCTTACAGTTTTTGCTTAGACTATTTCGTTTAAACCAACAAGGAAACTAAGACTCAGTTAAGGTAGGATTTGCTCTGAATTACATTGCTACTAAGTGGCAGATAAATAATTTTTTAAAAACCAATCTAATTTTATACAGCATAAAATCAATATAATTTCAAGACCAAAGAGGCACTCAAGTCATATTAAAAACTCAAAGTCTGAAACCCAGTTTATATTCACCCTGAAATAGAACCAACCTTTAATTTAAGGCTAATAATGATTTTTTTAAAACAAAAACAAAAACAAAAAAATACTTTCCATTTCTTGAGCGATTAGTCTGGGTCTTTTACATACATTCTCTTTTTAATTCTTAAAGCCACCTTATAAATAAGTACTATTGTTGTCCTTATTTTAAACATGATGAAATTTGTGCTCAGAAAGCTTTTTAAGTAACACATTCAAAATCACACAGTTAATACGAGGCAAAGCTAGGTTTTAAACCCAGGGCCCTCACTCTCTTTGTACAGTGTCCTATTAGAAAAACTAATGATTGTGGCTGAAACTCTAATAAAGGGTTTCTGGCAAGATAAGAGCCTCCTGATGACATAAACCGGGTCTCATCTGCCATGTCCATCCCTTGTCACATCTCTTGGCAATTTATCTTGGTGGGGTTGTGTTGATTTGTGGTGATCAGAATCCAGACACCACAAAGCATGTGGGTTGTAATGAAGTCCTGAGTCTTTTCTTTAAATCCAATTTTCCACTTGGTTTGGCTAGGGCAGGAGGATGTCAAATTCTGTGGCAGAGGTCAGTCCTATAAGGTGTTTGTCTCTATTTACATAATTCATCAGAACATTTCATGGAGGGAAATCCATCTTCATTGACATTAGCCTTGGGAACTACCTGGGAGGCAGAGAAAAATCTCAAGCTCAGATTTCAGTGCTTGCCATGTATAGACATCTAAGTTTGCAGTTTCAATCAGGCATATTTATTTACATGTGGAAATTCCCAGTGGGAAGCTGAAGAACACAGCTTAGGAGTAGTCCCCAAGTGGGAAATTGAACAGTACACTGAGCTCCTTTTATTTCCATTTAATTTACCATCAGTATCATTACCATTCTTTTGTTAATCATTTCACTAGCAATGATGTAACTTGGGACCAAGGTAATTGCAGCCAAATGGGGAAGATGCTTATCTGAAGTATTTGGTTAGCAAAGACTTCCATTCGCCTTTTTAAAGATGGGTGTTAGTTCTTTCCTTTACTCAGGTAGCATAGAGCTGCCTTGAAATGCTGACAATATTAACAGCTCCCTGCAGCTTAATGAACACCACACTTGGTGAAAGAGAGGATTCTTCAGTTTTCAGCTCGCTGCTGCCTGAAATGGTATCACTTTGCACAGTGAAGTGGGTTCCTGAGGTTCTAACAAGTCTAAGTAAAACAGACCAGGCCTATCCTGTGGTCTGAGCAATGTGGAATAAATGATCAGGACTTTGAACTCAGAGACTTGACTCCACTATTTGATAGCTGTATGACTTTAGTCATGTTACTTGTGTTCTCTAAGTCTCTATTTTCTTAACTATCTAAAAGAAAGTTAACACTAGTCACTTCACAGATTGTTGGGCAGTAAATGAAGTAAGAAGGATAGAAGGCCCAGGACTTTCCTTGGCCCATAATAGGTGTTCAATAAATGCTGTTTCTTTTCTGAAAAAAGTGCTGGTGTTGAGGACTTTTCTTCTGAGTCCCAGGATTGTTTAGGAACCAAGTCCAAGGAGAGATGTGAAGAGTTACCCTAAGAGAGGCACTTTTTGGTTAGCAAAAATGAAGACCTTGGCAGGGCTACTAAGATGTCTGTGACAGTACTTGGTCTCCACACTCACCTTTAGACTCTGGGGATCACCTTTGAGAGCTAGAGATCGATCGCGTGCAGTCCAGCCCTGCCTCCCTCCCCACCTTGCCTGGTGCATCTCTTCACTCCCTCGCTCCTCACATTGTCCTCACTGCACAATGGCCTTTTCTCACTTCCTCCAAGGTGCTAAACGTTCCCTCCTCAGGTTCTTCCCATAGGCTGTTCCCTCTGCTTGGTTTACCCCACACCCCCAACACGATTTACCTGGTTGATGCCTCCTAATCCCCACATCTTTGTTTCTTTGTCATTTTCTTTGTCGTGTCCCTCTGGATGTGTCCCTGATGGGCTCTCACAGATCTCCCTGTGCTTTTTTCACAGCACAGAGTGGTCTGTGACTCACTGGGCTTCTTTTGGTGTGGGATTTTTGATTTTTAAAATCCTCCATCACCAGACAGTACCTCGAAGCCTGGGTCTGGACTATTTTGCTTACCACCCTGGGAGGTGTTCAGTAATACTCACTGAATGAAAGAATGAGGAATCTCATGGGGAAAATGCATAGGGCATGCTGTGATGCTGACTGTTGAACTCTCACAATCCTGGATTAAGACTTTCGAGCATAGGAATGCTTTTACACTGTTGGTGGGAATGTAAATTAGTTTAACCATTGTGGAAGATGGTGTGGTGATTCCTCAAAGATCTAGAACCAGAAATGACATTTGACACAGCAATCCTACTACTGGGTATATACCCAAAGGAATATAAATCATTCTATTACAAAGATACATGCGTGCATATATTCATTGCAGCACTTTTCACAATAGCGAAGACATAGAATCAACCCAAATACCATCAACATAGACCAGATAAAGAAAATGTGGTATATATACACCATGGAATACTATGCATCCATAAAAATGAATGAGATCATGTCCTTTGCAGGTCATGGATGCAGCTGGGAGCCATTATCCTCAGCAAACTAACACAGGAACAGAAAACCAAACACCACATGTTCTCAGTTACAAGTAGGAGCTGAACAACGAGAACACATGAACACAGGGAGGGGAATATCGGGGAACCAGCCCCCAATATTTCAATGTAGGTTCTTTTCTATTTTCCCTAAGTGTCAGCCAGTCTGAGAAATAAAGAGAAAGAGTACAAAGAGAGAAATTTTACAGCTGGGTCTCCGGGAGTCCAGGAGTGACATCATATAAAGGTAGGACCGTGATGACAACCCCGAGCCGCAAAACCAGCAAGTTTTATTAGGAATTTTAAAAGGGGAGGCGGTGTACGAACAGAGAGTAGGTCACAAGGATCGCATGCTTCAAAGGACAATAAAGATCACAAGGCAAGGCAAAATTAGAATTACTGATGAGGGTCTATGTCCCGCTGTGCATGCATTGTCTTGATAGACATCTTAACAGGAAACAGGGTTCGAGAGCAGAGAACCAGTCTGACTAGAATTTACCAGGCTGGAATTTCCTAATCCTATTAAGCCTGAGGGTACTGCAGGAGACCAGGGTATGTTTCAGTCCTTTTCTCAACTGCATAAGACAGACACTCCCAGAGCGGCCGTCTATAGACCTACCCCCAGGAATGCATTCCTTCCCCAGGGTTATTCCTTGCTGGGAAAAGAATTCAGCGATATTTCTCCTACTCACACATTCATTTATAGGCTTTCTGCAAGAAGAAAAATATGGCTCTATTCTGACTGACACTGCAGGCAGTCAGACCTTATGGTTATCTTCCCTTCTTCCCTGAAAATCGCTGTTATTTTGTTCTTTTTCAGGGTGCACTGATTTCATATTGCTCAAACACACATTTTACAATCAGATTTCATGTTGTTCAAACACACATGTTCTACAATCAATTTGTACAATAGTGGTCCTGAGGTACATTCTCAGCTTACGAAGATAGCAGGATTAAGAGATTAAAGTAAAGATAGTCATAAGAAGTTGTAAGAGTATTATTAGGGAAGTGATAAATGTCCATGAAATCTTCACAATTTATGTTCAGAGATTGCAGTAAAGACAGGTGAAAGAAATTATAAAAGTATTAATTTTGGGAACCGATAAATGTCCATGAAATCTTCACAATTTATGTTCTTCCGCCTCGGCTCCAGCCGGTGCCTCCGTTCGGGGTCCCTGACTTACCGCAACAGGGGAACAACACACACTGGGGCCTGTTGGGGGAGGATGGGGGAGGGAGAACATTAGGGAAAATAGCTAATGCATGCTAGGCTTAATACCTAGGTGATGGGTTGATAGGTGCAGCAAACTACCATGGCACACATTTACCTATGCAACAAATCTGCACATCCTGCACATGTACCCCAGAACTTAAAATAAAAATTAAAATAAAAAAATACTTTCAAGCAGACAAGAAGATGAAAGTATTGCTATTAGCTGATACAGTACGCTTTCTATCTGCCAGGAGCTTGTCTCAGTGCTTCTGTGCATTAACTTATTCAATCTTCACAATAACCTTATTATTAATATTACTATCATCCCATTGTAAAGGTCAGAGACCTGAGGTACAGAGAAGTCATTCTTAGGTAGTAGTGGCAGGGCCATCATTTGGACCTAGATACCCTGGCTCCAGAATGTATACTCTTAGCCATCAAACCAACTTTCCCCTACATATTCTTGTTCCCTAGAGTGTACTTTTCTTCCCCAATCCTATCCTCCCCATCCATGCACACATGTTTTGGGCTTCAGTTTCTAGGTGCAATAGCACTTCCCTGGGGAGATCCTTCCACACTCCCACCCTAGCTCAAGCCTCATCATCAGCATTCACAGCATCCTGAACTTTTTTTTTTTCTTTAAATAAACCCTAGGAGTTATTTTCTCTCTAATTGCAGGACATGTCTTAATTTATCTTTGGACCCTCTCTAGCCTCTAGCACAAGGCTCAGCATCTAGTAGGTACCCAAAAACTGTTGGTTAAACTGGAATGTTCCAATGTCTTCAGAAGCTAGCTGTTTGCCTAAGTTTGGCAATATATTGTCACATGTAAAATACACATGTGTTTGACCCAGCTACCTCACAGATAGGAATTTACTATAACGAGGTAATCATGCAAGTACAAAATGATGTTGATGCAAGGATTGTTGATAATGGCAAAAATTAAGAACAATCTATGGTGGCAATGAGTGGTGGACAAATTAAATAATGTTCTCTCTGCATAATGGAACACTGTGTAGCCATTTAAAAAGATAGTACAAGGAAATCTATAGATGATAACATAGAACTTTATTCACGTTATATTGGTGAGGATAAAAAAAGGCAGAAAATGTAATAACTGACTTTGCTGAGAGCTTACTCCCTTACTGTCATGCACCATGCTAAGCCCTTTTACATACATTAGCTCATTCAATCTTCACAACAATCCTATGAAATAGGTTTGTTCTGCTATAATCCCTAATTTACAGATAAGTAAACTGAATAGTGTCTAAACCAGATTTCAACCTGTAATTATCTCCAGACTTCTAATCTTTATCACTATTATACTGTCTCTGTGATCCTATTATGTAATATTGCATAGACACTGTGATTGTGACAGAGACTGCCAGACACCCCTGGATATCTACTCCTCTCTTCTTTCACACTAATAGGATTTTTAACTGGGCACATGGCTACATTTCCCAAGTCCTGTGCATCTGGGTATGACCATGTAACTTGGTTCAGGCCAATGGGATGTAAGCAGAAATATGTGGAAGCTTCCTCAAGAGCAACACGTATTCCTGTTGCCCCACCCCCACCCCTTTCTCTTGTTTTGTTCCTTTCTCTTTCCTAGACGGCAAATTCTGTCCTGTGGACCATGAGGTGGAGGCTACCTACAATTTAGCAACAAGACAGAAGGAGTCTAGGAGACTGACATTATGGAGTGCCTTGCCAGGCCTGAGCCTCCCACCCAGACTTCCATGTGAAAGAGGAATGAGCTTCTATCATGGTGACATCATTGTTGTTTTGGTTTTCTGTCACTTAGAGCTGAATGTAACCTAATATATGCACACACATGTGTCTGCACATGCATACAGAAATGCCTGCAAAGATATTCATCATAGTGTTAACAGTAGTGCCTTGGGATTGCAGTATTTGTAGTGGTTTTTACCTTATCTTCATACTTCTCTGGGTATATGCGCCACTTCTTACAAAAGCGGTAAATCAAAAGAAAAATGTCATAATGCTCTCCACCTTCTGCCTCCAGTTTCAGTTCCATGGCTGAGTTCTCACCTGCCCTCAGCCCAGCCAGAGTGCCGTGACTGTGGGTGACTGCTTGCCCTGCTCCTCTGGCTTGTCTGACCTTGAGGCCCAGGCTTCATCTGCAAAACTGCAGCCACTGTCCACCATTCTCTTGGGTGGGGAAGAAAGATTAGTTCTGTGCCCATCTCTTCCCCAGGATGGGGGAGAAAGCACAAAAAGTCAAGCCAGTTAGTGTCCCTGGAGAGAAGACAGCTGGAAATACACCTGTATTTCATTCACTTCTTCAGTAAATATCGATTGAGGGCCTATATGTTCCAAGCAATGTTCTAGGTAGGGCAAAGAGCAGTAAATAAGAGTCTTTGTGGTCATGATGCTTGTACTCTAGCAGAAAGGACCAACCATCAACAAGCCCGCATTTAGGTGCCTCTGTGTGAATGTGCCTGTCTGAGCCAGTCTGAGCTTGAACCCATTTGTTAGTGATGCTCCCACTTCCCAGAAGATCTCAATGTCTCCTTGTTTCATTCATTCATTTGACAAACATGTTCTGAGGGTGTAGACATGCCAAGCTGTAAACTGGAAATTTAATGACAAGCAAGATTGGGCCAGTCTAACAGAAGCATCAGCACTACAAAAGCTTGCAAGTTGCAACATGGTAAGATGGGAGTTACCATCCGCCAGAGCCCTATCAGACTATCAAAAGGAGCTCCCAGCCTTGCCTGAAGAGCAATGCAAGGAAGGCACTGGGGACCATAGTAGCTGAGCTAAGTCCTGAAGGGTGAATGAAAATTGCCAGGTTATGTTTCAGCCTCAGCAGAAACAATTCTTACTCAGGTGCTGATTAACAGCTGCAGTAAAATTCAGGGGGGACTTTCACCTTTCAAGCATACCAGGGAACTCAGCTAAAGTCTAAACTGGGATTCAGATATGTGTGATAAATGCACGAGTTGGGTTGCCTCATACTGCAAAGTGCCATTTGGCTGGAGTTGAAGGCAAGACAGGGTTGGGGAGGATAGAACAGGGTATCTTCTCAGCTCTTGGTCCCCAGCTTGGTCCCACAGACTTGTGTTTGAGCCCCACTGAGCACAAGCAGAGGCTGGAGGAGCTGTTTTCATGAGGGACATGAGGCATAAGCAGCCTGCTTAAGGGACCAGGTGACGAGAGAGGGTGATATGGTTTGGCTCTGTCCCTACCCAAATATCCAATTGTAGCTCCCACAATTCCCACGTGCTGTGGGAGGGACCCAGTGGGAGGTAATTGAATCATGGGGGTGGGTCTTTCTCATGCTGTTTTTATGATAGTGAATAAGTCTCATGAGATCTGATAGTTTTATAAAGAGGAGTTTCCCTGCACAAGCTCTCTCTTGCCTGCTACCAGGTAAGACATCCCTTGTTCTTCTAGGAACAAGAATGTGAGGTCACCCCAGCCATGTGGAACTGAGTCAATTATACCCCTTTCCTTTATAAATTACCCAGTCTTGGGTATATCTTTATTAGCAGCATGAGAATAGACTAATACAGAGGGTACGGGGGGACAAGCCTCCTTCCCATGTGTTTTACTATTGCCGTGTGGCTTCATTCAGGAAGCGCTCCAGGAATGCAGTGCTGCCTTGATTCCACAGGGCTGCAGGTTTGGGAACGTGGGAAGACAGTGCCTTGAGGAGGAATGTGTGCAGAGTAAGACACGGTCAGGATCTCAAGGGATATGATAGCACCTTAAGTGACTTCTCAATCAGTGTCACTCAGCATGTGCCAGAGCAAAGAACACATGAGGAAACCTCATGAAAACAGGTGAGCTGGCTCTGAAGATTCCCAGTAATAGTGAGGGAGGAGGAGGGGTCTAAATTAGGGTGCTGAGGCTGAGTCCTGTATTGGAGATAAGGACAGGTGAGAATTTAGTTACTACAAATTCATTAGATCTTAGCCTGGGTTCCCTGAAAACAGAGCATAAGATCCATGCTTGTGTGGAGGTAGTTGATTTGGGAATATGATCCTGGGGAGCAGGAGGCAGAGACAAGGGGAAGGGAAACATAGAATGGAGAATCACGGCCAGGCACAGTGGCTCATGCCTATAATCCTGGCACTTGGGGAGGCCAAGGCAGGCAGATCACTTGAGCCCAGGAATTTGAGACAAGCCTGCCCAACGTGGTGGAACTCCATCTCTGCTAAAAATATAAAAATTAACTGGGTGTGGTGGTGGGTGCCTATAATTCCAGCTACTCAGGAGGCTGAGGCAGGAGAATCACTTGAGCCCAGGAAGTGGAGGTTGCAGTGAGCTGAGATCACGCCACTGCACTCCACCCTGGACGACAGAGCGAGATTCCATCTCAAAAATAAATAAATAAATAAAATAAAAAAGAATGGAGAATCACTACAAGGGTGTGTTGTTGGGTTGGCTGCTCCTTGATTCATGGGAGTTTCTGAGAGCCTATTGGCCTGCAGGGGATAAAAGGGATGAATTTATCTATTAGCTTTAGTTCCATATTGTCCGTAGTGCCCCCAAGGGTGTTAAGTGCCCCACGCTTCCAGCAAGTTCTCAGGTGTCCCACTCAGAGAGTCAGAGAAGGCCTGGGGCAGGAAGTGAAGGTATGAGGAGTGACCCAAGAGAAGGCATTACAGATGCACCTGCTCAAAGCTGGCTGAAGGTCTGTGAGGAAGTGGTCGTCACACAGTGCCTGGAGTATGAGGTGGCTTGGAAGGATATGGAGGAGTGGACAAGAGGTTCCCAAACCCCATAAACCTGGGAGGCCTCAGAAACCCAATTTATGCGAGTTTTCAGAAACGCAAGAAGAATGGTATTGCGTTGTTATTGCTGTTAACAAATAATAGCTAATATTTTTGGACATAAATTATGTTGTAAGTCCTTACACAGACTCATTTCATTTAAACTCACAACAGTGCTTTGTGGCATATATCATTATTGATTTCTAGAGAGCAGATGAGGAAACTGAGGCAGGACATTACTTCCTCAAGGTCATAGAGCTGGCACATGTTGGAGTCACACTGGCTCCTCATAAGGGAGTAAACAAGCAGCCTGGCTTGAAGAAGGGTGTGCATCTCCCCTGAGCCCTTTGGCCTTGTGGCCTCTAGCGCCAGCTTTGGTAGACACTTTTCCAAATCAGGTGCACCTGTGTTAGCTTTAAAAGTCACAGCAGATGCATCAGGGGAGAATTTAGAATCTGCTTCCTTAGAATTTGATAACCTGGGTTCAAGGGCTGGCTCTGTCGTCACCCAGCTACGGGGTGAGGCGAGTTGTATTAGTATTACACATCACATCTCCTGCTTGTGCCTCTGTTTTGCTATCTGTAAAATGACATGACTAGGCTACAACATCTGTAAGATCAAGTCTGCTTAGACGACTTATTGGTTTTAAAGGTAATCCACATAAGTGGGTGCAGAATCGTTGAAGACAAAAGTAAAGGCTCTCTTAAACAAGACACAGACAGGAAAATCCTTAAAGGGAAAAGAATGATAAAGTGAATATTTCCTTTTTTTTTTTTTTTTTTTTTTTGAGACAGGCTCTTGCTCTGTTGCCCAGGCTGGAGTGCAGTGGCACTCAGCCTCCCAAGTAGCTGGGATTACAGGCACAAGCCACCACACCCGGCTAATTTTTTGTATTTTTAGCAGAGATGGGGTTTCTCCATGTTGGCCAGGCTGGTCTCAAAGTCCTGACCTCAAGTGATCCACCCACCTCAGCCTCCTAAAGTACTGGGATTACAGGCGTGAGCCACTGCACCTGGCCTAATTTCTAAATTTAAAAATTCTCCATGATAAAAGACATAAAGTCAAAATAAAAACATCTGGGGGTAAGTATTTGCAGCATACACAGAGAAAAAAAGACTAGTGTCTAGACTATATAAAGAATAAGGAGGAGAAGATCACAACTAGGCAGTTCACAGCAAAGAAAACATAAATGAATGATGAAAATATGAAAACATGCTCAAATTTACTAGTAACAAAGGAAATGAAGATTAAAACATGAATGAAATGCTGTTTTTTCACCCCTAGGTTTGGTAACAAATATTTGGTAATATTAATTATTGGCAAATCTATAGGAAAGCAGTGGCCCTGTTGACGGGGATAGAAGAACAATTTGGCATTATCTGTTAAAATGAAAAATATTCAAATTCCGGTGACTCTGTGGTTATCTTTCCCAATTTATCCCTTAGGGAAGCACCCACATAGGCCTACAAAGGGGCACAGACAAGAATGTTCATGCCAACGTTGTTTGTTGTCACTAAAATATAACAGACTGCAGAGAGTAGGAAACAGCTTAAACGAACATCTATAAATAAATCTTGTTAATTCTATGTTTTGCAATTATATGCAAAACATTAAAAATAATATGATGGAGTTATGGTACTGATAGGGAAAATCCATATGACTTCACAATGAGTTTTAAAAAAGTAAATTGTGGAATACATAGAGTGTAATACCATTACAAGAAATAATACTCAATTGTTCTCCTCAAAACTGCCTAGAAGAGGGTCTGGAAGCTATAAGACCAAATGGATGTCATAAATTATTTCTGGAAAGGGGACAGAATTAGTGTTGGGAGGCTCAGCTCTATACTGATTTAACTTGTTTAGAAGGGCAATATATTCATGCATTACTGATGTAGTCTTAAAAATAGATTTTTGAAGTATTAAAATATATTAGCAATTGACGGTTTGCAGTTTCCCTTCCCCCAGCCTCCAAGGAACAGAATTCCTATGCTGTAAATGATAGCAACATCCAAAATGAACCCTCTCCTCCCAGCACATCTCTTGTCTCGTTCTGGACGCCAAAACTCCTTTCCATTCCACTGCAGTCTAGGAGGCCAGACGCTCATTCTTTCCCTTCAAATATTCCATTAGTATTGTTTACATTGCTTTGACATTTGTTTACCCAGAGCTAACTGCAGGGTGATTCTACGATTACAGTGGCATTTTTGTTTTGATTTTTTATTTCTTATTTTTTCAATAAGGATTGAAAGGTTGAACATGTAATGTTAGCATTCAACCTAGTGTAAAAACATTCCAACCAAAAGGCTTTGAAAGTTGATTTTTGTGGTGAGCAATCTGGAAAACATTTGTTAGAAGTTGCTCACGTTTCGTTTTCTGTTAGTTGTCAAGAGGTGTTGTGCGTGTTAATTTAGAGCAGTGGCCCCAAGATCAGCCAAGTGTGTCCCCAGTTCAGCAGCAACAGCATCACCTCGGAACTTGTTAGATCTGCACCTCCGTGGGCCCCACCCCAAACCTGCTGAATTGGAAACTGAGAGTTAGGCTCAGCGATTGGTGTTTTAACGAGCCCACAACATGATTCAGATGCACCCTCAAATTTGAGAACCTCTGATTTACATGGCTAAATATAAATTCCCTGTCAGAATGCCGATCCATTCATCTGCAAAATAACAACCTGTTACTAAAATCCTTTTAATTTCTATTCATCCTTCAGCTCTCAGCTGATACATCACTTTCTCAGTAAACATTTTCCTGCACTATGCTCCATAACTCTACGTCCTTCTTTTTGCATTTATCACAGGTGTATTTTACATTTATTTGTGTGATCACTTGATTAAAATTTGTTCCCCCACTACCATCACCCTGTAGTCTGCTTGAATATACCACAGTGCAAGGCATACAGTAAGTGCTCAGTAAACACTTGCAAATGAATGAATATATGAACAAATTCTTCATAGAGTGTTTTCCCACTTTTCAACACATTTCTTTCTTTTTGAGACAAGAATCTCACTCTGTCATCCAGGCTGGAGTGCGGTAGTGCAATCATGGCTCACTGTGGCCTCTACCTTTCTGGCTTAGGTGGTCCTCCCACCTCAGCCTCATGAGTAGCTGAGACCACAGGTGCACACCACCATGCCTGGCTGATTTTTGTATTCTACAAAAAAAAAAATGTTGTCCAGGCTGGTCTCAAACTCCTGAGCTCAAGCAATCTCCCCCACTAGACCTCCCAAAGTGCTGGGATTACAGATGTGAGCCTCCACGCCCAGCCTCAACACATTTCTGATGAATCGTTAATGAAACATTCTTCATCTAGCTCAACACTATTTTTCTAGCACAGTCGCAGGCAGCTCAAATCTCCTCTCAGCTCACTTGCTCAATTTCCCCTAAATACTGTGTTTACTAAAATTGTAGACTGCAATTATTAGTATCTGATTAACATTTTACAGTTTCCAAAGTGTTTTTTACTGATATTAGTAATATTACTAAACCAAGTATTGGCAGCTTACTTGTCAGACAATGAAGTGATTCTCGTAACTGTGAAGGAGGTATTTCTTATCTATTCTATGTTTTCATGGAGGGATGAGTCAGGGTTAGTGAGGGCCAAGTAACTGGTACACGATTGCTTGGCTGCTAAGCGCAGAGACAGGATTTGCCTTCTGATGCTAGCTGACTCTGTGGCCTGTCCTCTGTGCTATAATGCCCTCCACTGGACTTGCATTACGGTCCCTCACATTGTAAGATCTTAGGTATTTGGATTCCATACCTGGTGCCTCTGGATCACTCTCTCTGTGCAAATCGTGCAATGGGAGTAGGCATGTGTACTGGCAAGAAGAAGGGTCCTGGAGTCAGAGAGACCTGGGTTCAAATCTAGACTGTGTGATCTACTGCAAAGTATTTATCCACTCAGAAGTTCAGTTCCTTTTTCTATAAAATAAGGACAATTAGGCTGGGTGCAGTGACTCACACCTGTAATCCCAGCACTTTGGGAGGTCAAGGTGGGTGGATCACCTGAGGTCAGGAGTTCGAGACCAGCCTGGACAACATGGTGAAACCCCATCTCTACTAAAAATGCAAAAATTAGCCGGGTGTGGTGGCACGTGCCTATAATCCCAGCTACTTGAGAGGCTGAGGCAGGAGAATTGCTTGAACCTGGGAAGCAGAGGTTACAGTGAACCAAGATGGTGCCACTGCACTCCAGCCCGGGTGACAGAGTGAGACTCTGACTCAAAATAAATAAATAAATAAATAGGACAATTAAAATTATGACCTCATAGGATTGCTATGAGGATTAAATGAGAGATAGTGCACTTATCAGAGTGCTTAGAGTAAGAATAAATCAATGTTAACTAGTATTATGTCTACTTCTAGTTCTTTATATATCATATCTGAACTCTATCCACCTTTTGAGGCTGCATGTAATATGGGGTCCCTTTTTCCTCTCTAACTACGTTTCTATTTATTCCAAAAATGCTAGTCTTTATTTTCTCAGTACATATCATAATCATTGCCATTGCCATGTCTCCAATTATAAAAAAGATGGATGGTCTTTGAAAAATGAAATCAAGCAATATACAAAACTACAGAGAAAAGAAAATAATATATTTTTTGATTCCTATCATGCAGAAACAACCACTATGATACATTCTTTCTTATATCTGTGTGTGCATGTTCATATGTGTAATTGTACCTAGATAGATTATGTTTTGAAACTCAATTTTTTTTTTTTTTTTTTTTTTTTGAGATGGAGTCTCACTCTGTCACCCAGGCTGGAGTGCAGTGGTGCAATCTCGGCTCACTGCAACCTCCACCTCCTGGGTTCCAGCAATTCTCCTGCCTCAGCCTCCCGTGTAGGTGGGACTACAGGTGCATGCCACCATGCCAGGGTAATTTTTGTATTTTTTAGTAGAGATGGGATTTCACCATATTGGCCAGGCTGGTCTCGAACTCCTGACCTCGTGATCCGCCCACCTCAGCCTCTCAAAGTGCTGGGATTACAGGCATGAGCCACTATGCCCAGTAAAACTCAATTTTTTTTCACTTAACAATATTAAATAGATTTTTTAAATGTCAAAAATTATAGATCGTTTAATCATTTACAATGGCTGCTTAGTATGGTATTACATATAGTATATTCTATTGAGGGACTGTATTGGTTAACTACTGCTGCATAACAAATTGTCCTCAAAATCAGAGGCTTCAAATGACAATTAAAAATATATATATATTTACATTTATATATGTATATATATTTACATTTATAAATACATATATATTTTATATATATATATTGTGTGTGTGTGTGTGTGTGTGTGTGTGTGTGTGTGTGTTTTAGCTTCAACTTATAGCTGCTCTGTCTATATGCTGGCAAGGCTGACTCTCCTCCATGTGTCTCTTATCTTCTTTCTGAGACCAAAGAGCCAACTGGGACATGCTTTTCTTTTGGAGAATATAGGAACACAAGAGGAAAAGCAGAAATACTTGAGGTCTCTTAAGGTCTGGGCTTAATGTCACTTCTTCCCATAGATTGTTAGCCAAAGCACATCATATGGCCAAGTCCAGTCAAGGGTTGGGGAAATAGACCTTGGTTATGATGAGGACTTATAACTGCAGGTTGGGGTGAACAATTGAGACCAACGCCAGGCCTGGTGGCTCATGCCTGTAATCCCAGCACTTTAGGAGGCCAAGGTGGGCGGATCACTTGAGGTCAGGAATTCGAGACCAGCCTGGCCAACATAGTGAAACCCCGTCTCTATTAAAAATACAAAAAATTACCCAAGCGCGGTGGTGTGCGCCTGTTGTCTTAGCTACTCAGGAGGCTGAGGCAGGAGATCCCTTGAACCCCACTACCGCCACACTGTAATCTGCTTGAATATAGCACAGTGCAAGGCACATAGTAAGCACTCAATAAATGCTTGGGAATGAATAGATATATGAATAAATCCTTCATAGGGTGTTTTCCTACTTTTCAACACATTTCTTTTTTTTTTTTTTTTTTTTTTTAGACAGAGTCTCACTTTGTCGCCCAGGCTGGAGTACAGTTGTGCAATCATGGCTCACTGCAGCCATGGGGAGGCAGAGGTTGCAGTGAGCTGAGATCCTGCCACTGCACTCCAGCCCGGGCGACAGAGCAAGACTCCATCTCAAAAAATAAATAAATAAATAAATAAAATAAAGAAGAGGGAAAATTGAAAACAATTCAACCTACCACGTAGACAGTTTTAAACTTCTTTGAACTTACGTTTTTGTTTACGTGTCCAATTATCTTTAAGTCAAATTGCTGTATTAAAGGGCATATGCATTTCAAATACTGCATATTATCTAAGAATGTTCCAAAAAGATTGTGTAGTCCTAGTAATAATGCAAGAGGGTCCTAGTTTCATCACACTTTCTCCACTACAGGTTTTGTCAGTCAAAAAAACAAAACAAAACAAAATCAGCAAAAATCCCCTTGCCCATCCTTTTTTTTCCTTTCTTTTCTTTCTTTTCTTTTTAAGATGTAGTTTCACTCTTGTCACCCAGGCTGGAGTGCAATGGTGCGATCTTGACTCACTGTAACCTCCGCCTCCCAGGTTCAAGCAATTCTCCTGCCTCAGCCTCTCGAGTAGCTGGGACTGCAGGTGCCTACCACCACTCCAAGCTAATTTTTGTATTTTTAGTACAAAATTTGTACTAAAATGGGGATTCACCATGTTGGCCAGGCTGGTCTCGAACTCCTGACCTCATGTGATTCGCCCACCTCAGCCTCCCAAAGTGCTGAAATTACAGGCGTGAGCCACCATGCCTGGCTGCCCATCCTAATACAAGAAACATATTTAGATTCTTATTACATTTTATTGATTATAAGTGAGGTTAGAAATATTTGTATCTTTCTTGGCCTTTTATATTTCTTTTTGTAAATGACTTCTTTAAGCCTTTTACCTAAATCACTTTTTTTCAAATAAAATCATATTTTCACAAAACTAGGATGAGGTCACTGCTAGCTTCTCTTAACCCAAGTCTTGTGGAAATCTGTTCTGAGGTGTCACTCTCATCCCCTTTCCTAAGGCAGAATGCAATTAGCTAAGTTGGCAAGAAGACAAGGCATTGGAGGGGCTCATGCCCTTCATCTGACTGGGAAAAAGCCATGGACATGAGACAACTAGGGAAGGTCAGAACCTGGGCCAGTCTTCCGTGAAGGGTGACAATTCCTACTTCCAATGATGCTGACTCAGAAGGAAAAGGCCTGTTATTTTCTTGATGCCAAGGGAAAATTTCTCTATAACCAATGCCATGGGACGTCTAAATGGTTTCTATTTAAAGAAGTCTTTATTTAAATGTATGCACATCTAAAATCACAGTCCCAGTTGGCAAGTTCTGGAAAGAAAATGGCAAACTCCAAATCTTTCTAGTGTGGCTATAAATGCTTTGAACTCAGGAAGGAATGTCAACAGCCCCATCCTTGCCATCATGTTGCCTTCTTTGGTATAGCTTGATAGGAAATCTGAGAGTCTGGGAGACTGGAATGATTGGGCTGGAAGCTGAATAGTGTAAGAATAATAACAACAACAATAACAGCTTGTACTCAGATAACATTGTTTAGGTGCTTAGGATTGTGTTAAGTACTTTACACATATATAAACTCATTTAATCCTTGCAGCAACCATATGAAATAGGCATTATTATTATTATTCCTGTTTTATAGCTCAAAGGAAACTGAGACAGGAAGAGTATATTTGCCCAAGGACCCACAACTAGTAAATGATGGAGTCGGGATTTAGACACAGGTGGTCTGGCTCCAGAGTCAGTGCTTTAATTACTTTACTAGGACTTCCCCAAATGCACCGCATTTCCCAAAGTGCATTCTAAAACACACTGATGGCTGAGTGCAGTGGCTCATGCCTATAATCCCAGCACTTTGGGAGGCCATAGCAGGAGGATCACTTGAGCCCAGGAGTTTGAGATCAACCTGGGCAACATAGCAAGACCCCGTCTCTACAAAAAATGAAAATATTAGAGGGGCGTGATGGTACGTTCCTGTAGTCCCAGCTACTCCAGAGGCTGAGGCAGGTGGATCGCTTGAGCAGGGGTTGCAGTGAGCTGAGATCATGCTACTGCACTCCAGCCTAGAGGACAGAACCAGGCCCTGTCTCAAAAAAAAAAAAAAAAAAAAAAGAAAAGAAAAAAGAAAAAGAAAAGAAATATAAACAAACAAACAAAACCACAAACACATGATCCTGCAGGATGCTGAATGCTATTGCATGAAAAAGGCAACATTGGGTTGAAATTAACAGGTCTCATTACCTCAGCACTTCTTAAGGCCTATGGTATGTCCATCTAAATGGTAGATTTTAAGGAAGCAAATTAACGATGCATCATTTCCCAAACATATTTAACTCTTTAAAATCTGGTTTCAGGAAAGATTTTAAAGAACCAGTATTCCACAGACCACATGTTATTAAACACTGGTATCGAGGGCTTTGGAGTCAGACACACAGGCCCTGCTGGAGCTGCCTTGCATCAGCTCATGAGGGCCAATTATCAAGTTTTCTGAAAGTCTGAGAGCTGGTTGTCAAATTCAGGCATTATTAAAATTTTTATTATATAATCTTAGTTAAATACATAATATTACAAAGGCAATGAATATGCAATATGCAATGAATATGCAATATGTATTATTTCTTAATTATTTCACCACAGTTTAATATAATCTATGCTCTTAAGGTTATTTATGTCTAGTGTATCTATACGGTGGAAATATTTGTGTGTCCTCGAGCATCTCTTGACAATTCCACATACAGTAATGTCCTGTTGGCAGCCTGAAATCATCCAACATAAAAGTATTTACACCACAAAATTTGGCAAAGGCTCCAAATCAGGGCCCATTTGAGGGAAGGGAGGTCTGTTTTTAGAGAACTGGATGTTAGACATTTACCAGTGCAGACACATATGCTTAAAATATGGACTTTAAGTGTGATTTGGGGAAAGCGATTCGTTTTTGAACTTTGGTCTTCTATTTCTGAAGATGGTTGTAAGGACTACATAAGCTAGACTGGATTCGAGCAGTGGCTCCCACACCTGGGGCACATCAGAATCACTATGGATTCCTCAACGCCACTCAAGACCTACAGCATTAGGATCCCCATGGATGGTGCCCAGAGATATGTCCTTTAAATAAAGCTCCCTGGGACTTATTGCAGATGGACCACAGACCTACAATTGGGAACAAGTGGTGAAAGCCACCAGTAGGAAAGAGATTTCTGGACTAACCAACGAAGAGTTACATTTCTCCTCCAACCCCAGAAGCAGCAAGGACAAAGTCAAGTTTTCTCTCTCCGAAGCATGACTGGTTTGTTACAGGGCCAAGGCACAGAAGGGTCCCTCTGTGACCCAGAGCTACTTTGTGTCTTTAATTCTCTAAGGTAACTCGAGAAGGATAGGACCATTTCTCTAGGCCATCTACAGGATATGAAAATAACTCAGGACCAGGCATGGTGGCTCACGCCTGTGATCCCAGCACTTTGGGAAGCTGAGAGTGGTGGATCACGGGGTCAGGAAATGGAGACCATCCTGGCTAACACAGTGAAACCCTGTCTCTACTAAAAATACAAAAAAATTAGCCGGGCATGGTGGCATGTGCCTGTAGTCCCAGCTACTTGGGAGGCTGAGCCAGGAGAATCGCTTGAACCTGGGAGGCAGAGGTTGCAGTGAGGCGAGATTGCATCACTGCACTCCAGCCTGGGTGACAGAACGAGACTCTGTCTCAAAAATAAATAAATAAATAAATAAAACTCAATTACGAAAACTCACTTTGGAATGCTCTTTACTATCCTGAGCTCTCACCTGTCTTGTACCCAAATCTTCACGGCAAGGCCAAGACACCAGGACCACTGGAAGCCCCTGGAAATCCTCTTGTTCCCCTTTCATGCCTGAATAAGGCCAACAGCAAAAGCTGATACTTTGTATCAAACCGTTGAGTCTGACATGCCAGAGTGGATTTCACCTCTCTATCCAGCCCCAACTCCACTAACAAACAGGTCAGACCACCAAATTAGTTTTGGTTCCATTTAAAATATTTTATTTTTATTATCTAGGCAATATATGTATATACTTTGTTATACAATCAAAGAAGACAAGAGACCATCATCATCATAAAAAGATTTCCTTGCCTCAATGCAGTTTGAACCCAGTCCTCCTACCCAGAACCAACCTCTTTTCACTTGCTACAACAGTTTCTGTTTTAAATTGCTCTTGTAGTTACTGTTACATCCCTAAATATTACGTTTATGTCTCCATGTTTTTATGTATCCACTTTAGACATTATCTATGATTACCTTTCTCTATGATAGAGAGGATTCAGTTTATTTAGGCTACCCTAACCTTCCTATTACTACTTTGTTACTGTTACTGTATCTATTACTGTTCTTATTTCCATAGTTACTTTACCTATTTTATGTATGTACTTTGATTGCACCCATACTAGGTTACATTTCAAGTTCTCACTTCAGAAGAAACACTTTAGAGCTCCTACTCTCTGTTCTGCCTTCCTCACCCACTCCTTGCCCCTCCAACTCAAGTCTTCTGTCTTTCCACGTTATTAAGGCTAAATGGACTTCTGTGAGATGCAATCTGCCAGTCCGCGGCTGACTTTTTGAGATTAAATGGTTACTGGGATGGCTCAGTGTGTTCAGGATTGCCATCACATGTTGATAACATAAAGTGCCAGGAAACAGTAGAATCTTGAATTCCCTCAGTTACACCTTTGTCTGTTTAAGGAAAAGACAGGATCCTCCTTTTATTTTTCTTTCTGGATCACAGGAGTTGTCTCATTAAACCAAACATCACAGAGCAGCATGAGGAGCCAGGGCAAACAAAGGTGTAAGCAGGGAAATCCTATTAGGGTTCACAGTAGGAGGCTCATTGGAGACACCCACACTAATGAAACAAAGACCTGGAGCTCCATTCATGTTAATGTGGCCTTAGCTTCAGTTCCAAAGAGGGGAAAAATGTGCTGTTTACTTTCAGAAAACATCCTGGAGACACTCACCACACGAAAGATTTTGTTCCTTCAGAAACCTTTGAGATAGAGAGAAAAAAACTTAACAAGAATCCTTACTGTCATTATTTTTATCTATTTTCATTTTTATTTTTTTGAGACAGAGTCTCACTCTGTTGCCCAGGCTGGAGTGCAGTGGCCCCATCTCAGCTCAATGCAACCTCCATCTCCTGGGTTCAAGCGATTCTCCTGTCTCAGCCTCCTGAGTAAGTGGGATTACAGGTGCACACCACCACATCCAGCTAATCTTTGTATTTTTAGTAGAGAGGGGGTTTCGCCATGTTGGCCAGGCTGATCTTGAACTCCTGACCTCAGGTGATCCACCAGCCTTGGCCCCCTCAAAGGGCTCGGATTATAGGCATGAGCCCCCGTACCTGCCCACTGTCATTATTTTTATACAACTCGATAAGGCTTTAAAAAGTTATCTGATCAAGATTCCTCATTAAAATATCCTAATTATTAATATTCGTAGTTTATGTGGCTATGTGTTGAAGAGATATTTGGTGCCATTCATAATTTTGTCCTCGTTTCCTTACCTGCTAATTCATAAGTAAACAATATTAAAGTGTGTTAGAATTTATATTGACCTTTTAAGGGAAGCTTTAACTGTATCTATACAAGCAGTTTTCACACACTTACCAATACAACAGGGTTAGCCTTTGAAAATTCTAATATTACCAGATTATCTACGTTTCAAAAAGGATCAACATGCAAGTCAGTTCAAAACTATTTAAATGTGTACATATTAACTAAATGACCCATTCATATGCAAACCCAGAGTTTTTCTGTGGGCTCAGACCATCCTGTGGTCTAAGGCTTTGAAATTTTAATACATCACAGTGGTTGAGAGAAAAGAAATATTTAAATATATACTAATGATATACAAAAGGTTTCCTAATTCAGAAAGGCCAAAGTAATTTATAGACAATAAAACAAATGAAGAAGATAACTGCCAGAGTATCATTGGTTAATTACGTAAGGTACCAGTCTAGATTACTGGCCAATAGATGCTGTATTCATTCATTTATCCAACATGTATTTACTGAAGTTCCTATTTTGTCCCAGTGCACTATACAGTAGTTAATAAAACAGATGAAAATCCCTGTCCTTCTGGAGCTTATAATAAAATAAAAAATATGAAATTGGTAAAATATAGAGTATATTAGATGGCAATATATGCTGTGAGAAAAATAAAAGAGGAATGGGGTTTGGAAATGTTGAGTGTGAGTTTTGCAACTTTTAATTGGCAGGTTGGAGAAACCTCGTTGAGAAAGTGATTTTTGAAGGCAGATCTGAAAAAGGCAAAGAGTGAATTATGTGGCTCTCTGGAGGAAGAGGTTGTCAGGCAGAAGGAACAGCTTGTGAGCAGAGTGGAAGGAGAGGAAGGTCAGTGTGGCTGGAGCTGAGTCAGTGAAAGAAGTGGTCCCCGGACACGTTTCAGAGATGTATGTAATGGGACGTGAGGTGCAGGGTTTTTGTAGGCAAATGTCAGGACTTGAGTCTTTATTCTGAGTGAGATGAGAAGCTTCTGGGAGTGTTTGAGTAAAGGAATAACAATCTGATTTATATTTTGAGAGAATTACTTTGTCTGATTGAGGCTATGGTGGGGTAAGTCAGAAGTAGAAAGACCAATTAGGAGGGTCTTGTAATAATCTAGGTTAGTGATTCTCAAACTTTTTTTTATTTCATGACCTCTTTACTTTCTTAAAAATTGAATATCCCGGCCGGGCGCGGTGGCTCACACCTGTAATCCCAGCACTTTGGGAGGCCGAGGCAGGAAGATTGCCTGAGCTCAGGAGTTCGAGAGCAGCCTGGGCAACATGGTGAAACCCATCTCTACTAAAACTACAAAAAAAAAAAATTAGCCAGGCATGGTGGTGGGTGCCTGTAGTCCCAACTACTCAGGAGGCGGAGGCAGGAGAATTGCTTGAACCCGGAAGGCGGAGGTTGCAGTGAGCTGAGATGGGGCCACTGCACTCTAGCCTGGCGACACAGCGAGACTCTGTCTCAAAAAAAAAAAAAAAAAATTAACTATCCCAAAGAGCTTTTCTTTGTGGGTTACATCTATTAATATTTACCATAATTAGAAATTAAAGCTGAGAAAATTTTATATTTATTAATTTATTAAAAATAATAAACCATATATGTTGACAGAAATAATATGTTTTTAATGGAAATAACTATATATATATTTTGAGACAGTGTCTTGCTCTGTCACCCAGGCTGGAGTGCACAATCACAGCTCACTGCAGCCTCCACCTCCTGGGCTCGAGTGATCCTCCCACCGCATCCTCCCTCCCCAGTAGCTGGGAACACAGGTGTGCCACCACATCCAGCTAATTAAATAAATTTTTTTTTGTGGGGATGGGGTCTCACTATGTTGCCCAGGGTGGTCTTTAACTCCTGGGCTCAAGTGATCCTCCCACCTTGGTCTCCCAAAGTATTGAGATTACAGGTGTGAAACACCACACCTAGCCTATTTTTTAAAAAATATTTAATGAAAAGAATGGTGGTGTTTAGCATTTTTACAAATCTCTATTGTCTTGTTTAGTAGAACCCAGCTGGTTTCTTACAGCTGCTTCTGCCTTCAGTCTGTGAACAGTAAGTTGTTTTAGTTGAAGTTTATGAAGAAAATATGGCGTCACACCAATAGTCCTCTTCGATACTAAACCAGAACTTGACAAGTAGTTTCTTAAACGTCAGGTGCAATGTGGAATCTGAAATCACATCAGTAAATTTTTGTATTGTTACATTGAAATCCAGTGGTTTGTCTTGACCATTGAATGGATATTTGTAAGATCATCCATTTGGGGGGAAATATTAGATCACTGGGTTATGCAGATCTTCCAAATGTGGACACATTTTGTTCTGCAATATTTTAAAAAATCATATTTCTTATTATTACCACTAATCTCAAAATCTAAAAATTGGGAAGCCTCAAGCTCACAGTAGAAAATTACATATTGTTTAAAATTCACATTTTAGCATGAAAGCTTGAATTTTATCATTAATAACAAATACTACCAGTTGTCTCACTTGAAGTGATAAGCTCACTTTTTTCTTTTGCAGAAAAATGTCCGCCATGGTTTGTCTGTCGGTAATTCTTTCAAGTAAAAATGACGTTCCATAAAAAAATGTGTCTAGTGTAGCTCACAGTTCAATTGCATAAGTGCTTTTCTTCAAGGCACGCGTTGTATTTCAGGATGCAACAGAAGTGCTTTATTAATGTCACACAGAATTTCGAAAAGACGTATATTCAAGGTTCAGAATTTAATAAAATTAGTGTTTTGTTTTGTTTTACAGCTTCATCAGTAATTTTTCTTTTCTTTTCTTTTTTTTTTTTTTGAGACAGAGTCTCGCTCTGTCACCCAGGCTGGAGTGCAGTGGCACGATCTTGGCTCACTGCAACCTCTGCCTCCTGGGTTCAAGTGATTCTTGTGCCTCAGCCTCCTGAGTATCTGGGACTACAGGTGTGAGCCACCATGCCTGGCTAATTTTTGTATTTTTAATAGAGATGGGGTTTCACCATGTTGGCCGGGCTGGTCTCAAACTCCTGACCTCAGATGATCCACCTGCCTCGGCCTCCTGAAGTTCTGGGATTACAGGCGTGAGCCACTGCACCCAGCCAATAATTTTTCTTTTCTTTTCTTTTCTTTCTTTTATTTTTTTGAGACAGGATCTTGCTCTGTTGTCCAGGCTGGATTTAAATTCCTGGGCTCAAGAGATCCTTCCAGTCTGTCTCCTAAGTAACTGGGACTACAGGCATGTGCCACCGTGTCCAGCTTATCAAGGATATTTTAGAGAGTATGTGGTAATAAAGAATGCAATGTAGCCAGACGTGGTGGCGCATGCCTGTAATCCCAGCTACTCAGGAGGCTGAGGCAAGAGAACCACTTGAATCCGGGAGGCGGAGGTTGCGGTGAGGTGAGATCGCACCATTGCATTCCAGCCTGGGCAACAAGAGTGGAACTCTGTCTCAAACAAACAAACAAACAAACAAACAAACAAGAATGCAATGACTATTAGTATAGTTTGGTGCCTTGATCTGTGCTAAGGGGCCAGCAAGTTTACCTACCATTGCTGTTGCACCATCAGTGCCAATGTTGATACAGTGAAAAAGGCAAACAATGTGTTAGTACTATGCCAAAAATAGTTTTTCTTTCCTGACTGCCAGCAAGGGTTTTTGGGAACTGCCAGAGTCTGTGTATTATTTTGTGCACAGAGTCTGTGCATGATTTTGAGAATCAGTGATCTAGGTGGAAGACAATGATGGTTTGGACCAGGGTGGCACTAGTATAGGTAGTGGGAAATACTCTGGTTCTGGATGAATTTTGAAGGTAGATCCTAGACTTGTTAACCAGTTTGGATATGGTGTGAGAGAAAGAAGTCAAGGATGACTTTACGATTTCTGGCCTCAGCTACTGAAAGTTGGAGTCCATTCAGTGATATGGAGGAAGACAGCAGGGACAGGGTTTGGGGGAAGATTGGAAATCTGGCTTTGACTATACAAAGTTTGAGATGCCCTTTAGACATCCAAGGAGAGATGCCATGTACACAGTTATACATAGAAGACTGCCCTGGAAGATAGATGGGTAGACAAATACCTCTAGAAGTCATCAGTATCTAGGTATTTAAAGCCGCAAGACTGGATGAAATCCCCAAGGGAGGGACAGGAAAGAGATCCCAGGACTAAGATGCCAACATGTTAAAGGTGAGGAGATGAGGAAGAACAAGGGAAACTGAAGAGTGGCCAAGGAGGAGGGAGGAGAGCAGGGGAAGTCAAGTGTCTTAGTTCAGGCTGTTGCAACAAAGTACTCTACACTGGGTGGCTTATAAGCAACAGAAATTTATTTCTCACCATCTAGAGGCTGAAAGTACAAGATCAGGATGCCAGCATGGTTGGGTTCTGGTTAGGGCCCTCTTTCAGGTTGTAGACCACTGACTTCTCATTGTATCTTCACTTGGCAGCAAGAGGGCAAGAGAGCTCTTTAAGGACACTAATCTCATTCATGAGGGTGCAACCTTTCGGGCCTAATTGCTTCTCAAAGGCCGTCCCCCTCCTAATACCATCACATTGAGGGTGAGGATTTCAACATACAGGCATACCTCGTTGTGTTGTGCTTCACTTTATTGCACTCCAAAGATACTGCATATATATATATATATATATATATATATATATATATATATATATATATATACACACACACACACACGAATTGAGAGCTCGTGGCAACTCTGCATTGAGCAAGTCTATTGGTGCCATTTTTCCAACAGCATGTGCTTACTTCGTATCTCTATGTCAGCATTTTTTAGCAATAAAGTAATTTTAAGTTAAGATCTGTACTTTTTTTAGACATAATGCAAATTATCATACACTTAATGGTATAGTGTGAACATAACTTTTACATGCGCTGGGAAACTAAAAAATGTGTGTGACTTGCTTTACTGTGGTGGTTTGGAACTGAACCTGCAGTATCTCTGAGGTATGCCTGAGTGAATTTTGGAAGAATATAAACATTCAATCCATAACAGCAAGGAAAGTGTTTCAAGAAGGAAGTGAATCAAATACTGCTGGTAAGTCAAGTAAAATTAGGGCTGAGAATTGGTCACTGGAATTAACATAGTTCACTGGTGAGCTTGAAAAGAGTAGTTTGAATGGGGTGGTGGAGGTAAAGGCCTGGTGAGGTTGGGCTCAAGAAAGATTTGTACACAAATGCTCATAGCAGCTTAATTCATAACAGCCAAAACCTGGAAACAGCCCACATGTTCACCAGCAGGTGAATGGATAAACAAATCAGTGGTATCCCTTTTATAACAGAATAATATTGAGTAACAGAAGGGAATGGGCTACTGAAACATAACATGGTGAATCTCAAAAAACATGCTGAATGAAGCTGGAAACAAGAGTATACACTGCATAATTCGATTTGCTGTGGTTTGTATGGGACCTCTCAAAAACTCAGGTGTTGAAACTTAATGGCCAATGAGATGGTAATAAGAGGTGGGGCCTTTAAGAAGTGATTAGGCAACGAAGGCTGCTCCCTCTTGAATTGGATTAAGGCCCTTATAAAAGGGGCTTCAGACACCTTGTGGCCCTCTTGCCCTTCTGCCTTCTTTTTTCTTTTGAGATAGGGTCCCACTCTGTCACCCAGGCTGGAGTGCTGTGGCACAAACATGGCTCAATGTAATCTTGACCTACTGTGCTCAACACATCCTCCTGCCTCAGCTTCCCATGTAGCTGGGACCACAGGTGTGTGCCACCATGCCTGGCTAATTTTTTTTTCTTTTTGTAGAGAGCGGGAGGGCGGGGGGGGGGGTCACACTTTGTTGCCCGGGCTGGTCTTGAACTCCTGGGCTCAAGCGATCCTCCTGCCTCAGCCTCCCCAAAGTTCTGGGATTATAGGAGTGAGCCACTGTGCCCAGCTGCCCTTCTGCTGTGTGAGGACACAGTGTTCCTCGGGAGGATGCAACAACAAGGTGCCATTATGGAAGCAGAGAGCAGCCCTCACCAGACAACCAAACCTGCTGGTGCCTTGATCTCAGACTTCCTAGACTCCAAAACTGTAAGAAAGATGAATTTGTTCTTTATAAATTACCCAGTCTGTGGTATTGTTATAGCTGCACAAATGGACCAAGACACCATTTAGATGCAGTTCTAAGACAGGCAAAACATATTTATCATCGATAGAAATCAGATTAGTGTTTGCCTGGGGAGGAACGGGAGGACAAATGTTGGCAGCAAGGCTGAATAAGGAAACTTTTTGGTGTGAAGGAAGTGTTCTAAATATTAATAGAGGTGATGGTTGCAAGGGTGTATACATTTGTCAAAACTCATGCAATTAAAATGTGTGCAACTTATTGTATATAAATCATAGGTGAAACAATGGAAATAGAGAAAACAGTAAACACAGACAACTCTTTGAGGGTTTTCAGTGTAAAGGGAAAACTAGAAATGTGGCAGTAGCAGGAAAGAAGTGGAGTCAAGATAGGAGAAACTGTAGCCTATTTGTATGCTAACTGGGGAGCAGTGGAGGGAAACGGTGATGATGCAGGGGAAAGGGGAGAAATGCTGACAAAACATCTGAGTAATTAAGGGAGTGGGGTGTGAGGCACAGGGACAGTGGCTGGCCTCAGCCTCAGTACCCGAAGCTTTGTGATACTAAAGAGAGCGAGCTGAAAAAGTAGGTAGTGAGAATGATACTTAAAATTAAGATCCAGCTGGCGTTGGAGTTCTGGGTTATGGCCAATTCTAGAGGATGACCATAGGGGTGAGTAGCTGAGGTCAGGTGGAGGCAAGATCACTGGAGGAGGCCAATGAACCAAAAGGTCAGGGAATAAAGGATCATCCATGTGATGATACTGACTCTGATTAGGCAGGAGCAGTGTGGGCAGTGAGTTAGGGGCTAACATTTTTAAGGAGGTGAGAGACGTGACAGTTGCAAGGGCGTATACATTTGCCAAAACTCATCATAGTATGCAATTAAAATGTGTGCAATTTATTGTATATAAATTAAAGGCAAAACAATGGAAAGAAAACAGGAATGAGGTGAGTGACCTGGGGGTGGTGTGATGATGCTGACAAGGTTAGGTGGTTGGTGTTAACAGTCTTGATGACAGGTGATTAAAGATGTAAAAGCAGTAGAAGTAAGGAGAATGGTCTATGATTGGCAACCAAAAACAAGAAGTCTCCCACCTTACAGCCAAGTCTAGGGCGATGAGTGGTGTGCGAGAAGATAGCTCCCATTTTAGAAGGCTTCAGGGGAAGCAGTGATCTTGGCAGTGATCTCAGGATTTTATTTAGAAAATGGGGATATATTGGCACTGCATGAAGATTAGAAATGGAGGATGCAGAATGAACTGTGAGACCTGGGCTTCTTGGAGTGATTGGCATTAATAGGAATAAAGGGTATCATGAAATTAGTCCTGATGGTCTCCAAACAATGTTTTCCAACCTGGGATTGTCGGCAGAGATGGAGGGTTGCGTTTTGCCAGAGTGCAGAATTCTTGGGCTTCCACATTCCATCTAAGCTGATGCGGTGGCCTGGTGGGTTCATTTCTTATATCAACACTTTGCAAAATGATTTCAGCTACTCAGTTTTGTTTAAGAATATATTTTAAAAACTTACAAAAGTTATACAACATTACAGAAAGTTTAGAGGAAAAAGCCACTTATAATCCAATCACTGACACTTTTTTCTTTCAGCATTTTAGCATGTGTAGGCTTTTTCTTTTAATCAGTGTAACCTTATATTGCTTTATCTTTTTATCATGAGCTTTTCCATGCTGCCTTGAGGACGTGATACTGATTTTTCTTGAATGCATAATATTCCATAAAATGACTATGCTATAATTAATTGCCTCCTTTGTTATCTATTATCTTCATTTTAATTACAACTAAGTGGCAACATTTTTGTCTGCATTTAGCTACACTGTAGAACTAACAATGTGAACAGCTCCACATTAACCAGGATGGTGAGACAATAGATGAAAACTTTATTGGAAAGGTCAAATGAATTACTAAGTTTTTTTTTTATTATTATACTTTAAGTTCTAGGGTACGTGTGCACAACCTGTAGGTTTGTTACATATGTATACATGTGCCATGTTGGTGTGCTGCACCCATTAACTCATAATTTACATTAGGTGTATCTCCTAATGCTATCCCTCCCCCCACCCCCCACCCCACGACAGGCCCTGGTGTGTGGTGTTCCCCACCCTGTGTCCAAGTGTTCTCATTGTTCAATTCCCACCTATGAGTGAGAACATGCGGCGTTTGGTTTTCTGTCCATGAATTACTAAGATATTTTAGAAGTGTTTCTTCTATCATTCTTCTTGAAAAAGTTTACTCTAACTTTATAGCAACGAAACACTCAAAATCATGAAGAGACTTAAGACCGACGAGCCTCCAAGCCAACAAAGCGTGTGTGGATAGCTGTGCAGGCACTTTACATATCTTGCCATGGCCCCATGCATCACTACAACAGTAGTGCCATGTTCTTGGGTGACATCCAAGCAGGGAAGGCATTAAGGAATCCCAAGACTTGTTAAAACTGCTGAGTTCCCCAACTGTCTCTCCTAATGTTGATAGTTTTGGGTCCAGAGCTATCTTGAAGACCACTGCAATTACTTTCTTTAAGGCTCAGAAGTCATTCACTAGCTGGGTTATTTTGTAGCTCAAGGGCAGGGGTCAACCATCTCTAGCTTTAAAATGTTCTGTTTAGGCTGGGAGCGCTGGCTCACACCTGCAATCCCAGCACTTTGGGAGGCTGAGGTGGGCAGATCCCTTGAGCTTTGGAGTTGGAGGCCAGCCTGGGCAACGCGGTGAAGCCCCATCTCTATAAAAAATAGAAAAATTACCCAGGTGTGGTGGCATGTGCCTGTAGTCCCAGCTATTAGGGAGGCTGAGGTGGGAGGATCAACTGAGCCCTGGGAGGTCAAGGATGCAGTGGGCCGAGATAGCGCCACTGTACTCCAGCCTGGGTGACAGAGTGAGACCCTATTTCAAAACAAAACCACAAGCAAACAAAAGTTCTGTTTGCAGATTTCTTCTGGTCTAATTAAAACTTTTAAAATGGAGTTGACAATCAGCTACAAGGTTTCAGTTTTACTAATTCCCTTTATACAAGGCACTAATTGTTACAACTCAAAACATCAGTTTCATGTATGTAAATGCTGTATCTTTTTTAGCAATTTAGGTTTAATCAATCCTGTGTTCATAAATGGAGTAATATATCCAGTTGCTTAGCTCCACATTAAAAAAAATAGTTCTTAAAATCTATGTGTTCTGTTGTGCATTTATATCTTCTCTGCCATGACCATTAATGAGTTATATGAAGAAATACTTTATATATGGCATTAGTCATCTCTGCTCCAAAAGGTAGCTGTTCTTTCTTGGCTGCAACTAAAAACAAATTTATTACTTCATCTGAGTAGGTTTTCTATACAGATTATTTATTTATTTTTTTAGACAGAGTTTTGCTCTTGTTGCCCAGGCTGGAGTGTAGTGGCATGATCTCAGCTCACTGCAACCTCCGCCTCCCGGGTTCAAGCCATTCTCCTGCCTCAGCCTCCTGAGTAGCTGGGATTACAGGCATGCGCCACCACACCCAGCTAATTTTGTATTTTTAGTAGAGACAGGGTTTTACCATGTTGTTCAGGCTGGTCTCGAACTACTGACCTCAGGCGATCCACCCGCCTCGGCCTCCCAAACTGCTGGGACTACAGGCGTGAGCTACTGTGCCCGGCCTCAGATAATAAATCTTACCTAAATTTGTTTGACTCAGAATTGACTTCTCTATTATCATCACCTCACTCTCAGCTGTAAGAGCAAATATGTACCTTGCTATCACTACAAGCCTTACAGGGCCAGGAGTTGGAAAACTTTCTCTGTAAAGGGACAGCTGGTTAAGTATTTTCAGCCTTGTGGGCCACACAGTCTGTCACAGTTACTCAACTCTGCCATGATAGTACAAAAGCAGCTACAGATAGTATAAAAATGAATTAAGTGTGGCTGTGTTCAATAAAATTTTATTTCCCAAAACAGGGGGCAGGTGGGTTTGGCCCCGGGGCTGCAGTTTGCTAACCCTGCATTGGACAGGGCTTGACCTTGGGTATCTCACCTATCTGGTCTTTCACCACAAGTTAGTTTCTCTCGAAGGAGTGAAATAGTTTAAAAACTTTATGCTATACTATTTATACTATTTGTTTTTGCAAATAATTTAAAGTGTGGCTGAAACTCTATGACAGTGTTGCAAACCTGACATGTTTTTGTTATTCTGCTACACAGAAAAATCTGAATACCTCGATATTTTGGGTACATGTTACAGCCCAGCAGCTTAAATTATGATTTTTGGCACAGTCACTAAAAGCAAAGTGGCATATCATATTGTTTTAATTTCTCCTGTTGAAAGCTTGAGAGCATGTCTGGTAAGACTCCTATGGACTGATCTCAAGTCCATAATATCACACGTTATATTTTACATCATCATAAAAAGTGAGGTAGAATGCTGAAGGACACAGGTGGACTACACTGATTAATCCACATTAAGTGATTTAAAAAACAACAACAAAAAACTCTGTAGGACCAGACTTCTCACTCCTCCCTAACCCAAACAGGGATTGTTTCAAAGTTAAACAGCTGCCTGATTAATCACGGAGTGTGCTCTATAGCCATTATGGCTACTTATTGGACCATTCTGTACACACTTGAGAGGTCTGTTTCCTTGGAACATTCCTTCTGAAGTGCTATCTTCAGACCACACTGTTTCGCTATAGATGACCATCATATTGAGATGAGCCCCACACATTACAATACACAATATCACAAAGAAAGGTAGAGGAAAAATGTGTTTTCTTAATGGAAATAAAATCCCTGAAACAGAGTAAACTGGTATCTATAGATGCCCATCTGTCACAACATAAAAGCATAGTGTATTTATCATTGTCAAGGGGTACAAAGTACTTATTTTTTACAGCAATTTGAAGGTGGAAATTCTAATTGAAGAGCTAACATTTGGACACTTATGTTCTCATAAAATGCTTGGGTACACAAATAAGAATGTCCTGGCCTTGGAAGGCTAATTGAAACAAACAAAGATCCACTAACTGCAGCTGGGCTAGTAATAACCTGAAGAGAATAAAGTGTCACCAGGTGCAAATCTGATGGAAACCTAACAAGAGTTCTGAAGAGAAATAATTAAGAAGTTTATACAATAGGAAATATTTAATATGCACTTACAATGAGAGAGAAAACAAAAAATCCGATAGTTTTTGGTTACTTTAAAAATTCATTAAATCTTCTTTTTGGCCTCCTTATTTATCACCCTAACCTCAAATTTGTGTAGGAAGCCATTCAAGACAAAATTGCAAGTAGTTTAAACTGTATTATCAGCACCATACATTTCTAGTAATGGTCTGAATTCAAATCCATAGTGAAAACAAGCTGACTGGTTTAGCCCAATGAAAGCGAATCATGTTTGTGAAGGAAGACTAAAGACTATGGTCTTAAAACCAACATTTGAAGAGGTTTTTCCTCCTCATTGCTAGGCCAGTTTTCTGAGACCAAAGACAATTTCTTGTTGAAACAGATTTTGCCACTTTAAATATTAATGCCCATCATAATTTTCTCACGCATTCATGTACTAGGGCAATAATTACTATCTGATGAACGTGACAATTCTTAAACTGATCTAATGTAGGTGCCATATATTCTTTGGGAGTCCTTGAATGGATAATGATGATTCTATCACCTAATAGTTTTCTATGTGCCAGGTACTGATCTAAATTCTTTATTAATTCATAAATTGGCACGTTCATGGAGGGAGACAGAAGTTAAGGAAAGCTACTAAGATCATACAGCAAGTAAGAGCTGGAGCTAGGATTTGAACCTAGGCACTGACTCCATAGCTATCATGCTTCTCAATACTATGCTCCATGCTTGTCAACACTATGCTAAGCTGCCTCGTGTATGTCTTGTTTTGACAAAGAACCAACTGCTGAACTTAAAAGAGGCATGTGGAATGCCTCTCCTTAAAAGCCTTATTTTCTTAAAAATAATCCCTTTGTTAAGACTTGTTTTAAATGCTTCTGATTTTACAAAAGGCCTTAGTATGTTGAAACTTATCTATTTATGAGTGAATAAATGAATGATGAGGCCTAACCCTGCCACCCAGGCTGGAATGCAGTGGTGTGATCTCATTGTGGCCTTGACCTCCTGGACTCAAGGGATCCTCCTGCCTCAGCCTCCAGAGTAGCCGGGACTACAGGTGTGTGCCACACCTGGCTAATTTTTTGTAAAGATGGAGTCTCCCTATGTTGCCCAGGCTGGCCTTGAACTCCTGACCTTAAACAATCCTCCTGCCTTGGCCTCCCAAAGTGTTGTGATTATAAGCATGAACCACCATGCCTGGCCCTGTTTTTTACTTTTAATTAATTAACTTTTCTAGAGACAGAGTCTTTCTCTGTTACCCAGGCTGGAGTGCAGTGGCACGATCTTGACTTACTGTAGTTTCCAACTCCTGGACTCAAGCAATCTGCTCACCACAGCTTCCCAAGTAGTTAGGACTACAGGCATGCACCACTATGCCTGGCTAATTTTTTTAAAAGAATTTTTTGTACAGACCTGTGTTGCCTAGGCTGCTCTCAAACTCCTGGGCTTAAGTGATCTTCCTGCCTTGGCCTCCCAAATGCTGGGATTATAGGTATGAGCTACCATACCCTGTTGAAATATTTTATAATGTTGTTTGATATATTTTATTGAAAACTTTTATAATATCAATATTTTTAAAATATTTTATAAGTTGATACATTTTATTAAAATTTTATTCTACATTTCAAATTGAATCAGTAATTGTAAATGACAACTTTATAGACTGCTTAGTAACAGTTACATGTTTAACCTTTGCACATAAATCTGGTTTGAAAAAGATAATACGTTAGTAAATAAGTACATATTTATCCCAATCTTTAAAAACTTTCATGAAACCTAGGATAAATGTATTGAAATTAGATTTCCTGGGCAGTACTAGAAATCTATAAGGCTAAGGAATAGTCACAAAGAGGGAAGAAACTACAAAATGAGAACCCTAAGTATGCTAGATAATCAACTAGGCTGTCTGCATATATGATTTGTATATGAAGGCTGAAGCTCTTTTCCATATTTTAGTTTTTTTATACAAATCTTTATTACATCCTGATTTTCTAGCAAATACAATTAAAAACTCCTCCTCAGAGGAGTCCATAATAAAATGTGTAGTACCTGTGTTACTAGTTTAATAAAATATCCAAATAACTAACCAATTTGTTTAAAATTTATAGTAAGAAACTTATTAAAAACAAAAGACTATCTCTCTTCCAAATATAGGCCAATGTAAATGATTTTCAATATAGATAAACTCAATGTGGGAGTTACATTTGGTTAAATCTGGTGGAGCAAACGTCTAAGAAAATGATTACGTGGCAGACCATGAGGATCAGCTGATTCTCTTCCTCAGCTGAACTATGTCAGATTCCCACAATGAGAACTTCTCTCTTATTGAGGAGGCTCATTAGGAAAGGGTCCATCATCCATCCATCTGCTCACATAAAACCAGCTCCCTCCTGCTGACCCACTCTACCCCCACATTAAAAACTACAAGGTAGTGTGCTTTTATGGCTGTTTCACTGGAGACCATAAGTTTGAGTTGAATTATTCAACGTGAGGGTCACGGTGAGAGAACGTGGATCTTTCTTATTCTTGTGAACTGTGACCTTTCCTTTCAAGGCTTCACCTGTAAAACAAAGGCAAAAATTGTTAAGAATTCAAGGAATACAGTGTAGCAGAAAAGTAAACAATGTATAACTAGCACTTCTTTTTATTGTGATGTTTTCCCACTTTTTAAACTTTATTTAAGGTTAATATTCTTTTTTTTTTTTTTTTTTTTTAAGATGGAGTCTCACTCTGTCACCCAGGCTGGAGTGCGGTGGTGTGATCTCAGCTCACTGCATTCTCCCAGGCTGGAGTGCACTGGTGCAAGCTTGGCTCACTGCAACCTCCGCCTCCTGGGTTCAAGAGATTTTCCTGCCTCAGCTTCCCGAATAGCTGGGACTACAGGCGCATGCCACCATGCCCAGCTAATTTTTTATTTTTAGTAGAGATGGGGTTTCACCATGTTGGCCAGGCTGGTCTCGAACTCCTGACCTCAGGTGATCCACCCGCCTCAGCCTCCCAAAGTGCTGGGAATACAGGAATGAGCCATTGTGCCCAGCCAATATTCATTTTTTAGAGCAGCATTATGTTTCATTAATTTTTTTTTTAAGACAGTCTCTCTCTGTTGCCCAGGCTAGAGTGCAGTGGTACAATCCCAGTTGACTGCAACCTCTGCCTCCCGTGTTCAAGTGATTTCTCCTGCCTCAGCCTCCCAAGTAGCTGGGATTACAGGCATGCGCCACCATGACCTGCTAATTTTGTATTTTTAGTAGAGACAAGGTTTTGCCATTTTGGCCAGGCTGGTCTAGAACTCCTGACCTCAGGTGATGCGCTCACCTACCTCAGCCTCCCAAAGTGCTGGGATTACAGGCGTAAGCCACTGCGCCCAGCCCTGTTTCATTAATTTTTGAATGAAGCGAGAACTAACTACATACCACAGTGTCAAATCCTTGTGAAAGTGAGTAAAACTATTGTGGTCATAAAGGGTCAATGGAAGCATTTTACTGAACTTCTAAATATGAGGCCCTATGGTGGGTTCTGGGCATCTAGAAAAAAGATATGGTCCCTGCCCTCAAAGAGTTTGTGATCAGGGTGAAGAAAAAAGCTATACTAACAATTACACAATAGGCATGTGTCTAAAGTGTGCTGGAGGTGAGCACTGGGGATGGTTGGAAGGCAGTTAAAGGCAAGGTTTCACAAGAATTAATGAATTACCCAATGCCAGGGCTGAAGTCATGGAGAACCAGGCTTAAGGGATGTACATGTAATGGTATTTAAGGAAAACACATACACAGAACCTTCAGGAATGGCATTTTGAGGAACTGAAAATTATAGCTGGGAAAATGTAGAGGCACATGACAAAGCCATTGGCCATTGATGCACTGGTGCTGTAAAAGGGAAACAATGTACCCATGTGAAACAGTGAACACACAAAAATTACTTACCTGTGCAAAGGCTGATTTCCTAAATTCTGTAGGTTCCAAATTTTTATCTATGTACTTTTCTAATTATAAATACTTCTCATTTAATTTTTCATTTATTTTAAAGAGCTGTTTAAAAAGTAACAAATTGCTAAGTTGTAGTTGATCACCATTCTTTGCTTAAATAATATTAAGATAACACCAAACAGTGTCAGGAATAGCTTTAGCATCTGCATGGACACAATGAGGCTCCATATAATGACCAAGGAAATCTACATAAAACTATTGAAGTACTGAATGAATATCGTATTTAAAAAAATACAAATTCCCCATATTCAAGGAAAATTATCTGAATGCTTTTCAAGATGGTAGTGAAATAACACAAGTAAAACATAACCACCTGTTATATTTATTTTCAGAATATAAAGATTCCATTACTGATACCTTCTCTACATCTTTGCAAAAAAGGTGAGACTCACAGTTTAACACATAATTAAGGAGTTAAATAATAGAAGAAATAATGTGGCCCAAGGTGCAATCCATTCAACAAAATATAACAATTTTTGTGTACGTATATATGTTAATGTGTATATTTGGCTTTAGCTTTTATATCTGACCTATTCCTCTATATTAAGAAAATGATATAAAACTATCTCATATGACATGTTCACCAATAGTGGACATAATAAAGATTACCAGTCAGATAGTTCTACAAACTTTATGGAGTTCAGGTTAATCATTAGATAATTTATGCTTATATTTATTCAACACTTACTTTGTGCTAGGCTCTACTCTAAGGTCTTTACATGATTTATCTCACTTAATGGTCACAAAATATTGCTATGAGGTAAGCGCATTTTCCTTACTCACAGATGAAGTTCAGAAAAGGTAAGTAATTTGCCCAAGGTCATCTGCCAGCTAGTGAAAGAACTAGGATTTTCAGCAAGGCAGTTTGATTCCAGAACCCAAGTTCCTCAACTATACTCTGGTGCTTCCCTATCTCTATCTAAAAAAATGATGATTATAGCTTTAAATATACTATAATGAATAAGAAATAGACCTAAATTTTACCGCCCCGTGGGTTTTGTTTTTTTTTTTTGGTAAAAATATTTACTTGTTTATAAACACAATTGATATGTAAGTTGATGTAACTATTATTCTATAATAACTAATGAACAATGATACACGTTTTCTTATCTAAGGCATTAACCTAAGGAAGAAATAAAAGATCATTAGTATATTGAACACATTTAAGATTTTCCTATTTTGACTTTTCTATTTTGGCTATTTTATTTGCTTCTTTTTAAATCAACATTTAAAAACTTCTATTTAAGTTATTTATTGACACCAAAACTGGGAACGAACAGCCACATTATGATAAACTGACAATGTTTTTGTAAATACATGACAGAGAATAGTAATTGCCAACTTGGTTATTGGGTTTAACTTACTGTTATTGAATTGCCAACACTGAATCAACAAACTTGATTTTTACAACACAGTGGCTTGTTAGTTCCTTTTTACTTACAAGCAGTATGTCTTATACAAATTACTTAATTTAGTTGCTGGTATAAAGTAGTTCACATATGAAAAGACAGATAATGGACACTTGAGATTCAAAAATAACAAAATGACCTCCAGAGACCCAACATAAAGTAAGTATTCTATTAGATGTCCTAGTCAGGACATTAAAGTGTGGAGGGAAAAAGGATACAGACTGGGGGAGGGGGAATTAAAGTTTTCATTTGCATACTACCTGGTTTTATACATAGAAAATCCTGAAGCTATATGCAAAGAAGGCTACTAGAACTATTTATTGAAGTTTAAGCAAGGTCTTATGATTTAGGATCAAGGTATAAAAATTCTATTTCTACGTACTAGCAATGAAGAATTTATATAATACTACAAACAACAGCTTCAAAAAAGCATAAAGGCTGGGTGTGGTGGCTCATGCCTGTAATACCAGCACCTTGGGAGGCCAAGGTGGGCGGATCACTTGAGACAAGGAATTCGAGACCAGCCTGGCCAACCTGGCAAAACTCTGTCTCTACTAAAAACACAAAAATTAGCCAGGCATGTGGTGCACACCTGTAGTCTCAGTTACTTGGGAGGCTGAGGCACAAGGATGGCCTGAACCCAGGAGGTGGCAGTTGCAGTAAGCAGAGATCATGCCACTGCACTCCAGCCTGGGCGACAGACCGAGTCTCAGTCGCTCTCGCTCTCTCTCTCTCTCTCTCTCTCTCTCTCTCTCTCTCTCACACACACACACACACACATACAATACTTGAGATAAATGTAACAATATATGTCTGACTTACATAAACTACAAAACAACTTTAAAGATGGTCCACATAAATGGAGAGACCCACTCTCTCGTGAGTGAAAGACTCAATGTTGTTAAGATGTCAATTTTCCCTAATCTATTGATTTAACAAAATCCCAGTCAAAATCCTAACAGGCTTTCTTAGGCCAGAAATTAATGAGCTGATTTTAAAATTTATATGGCAATATAAAGGACCTAGAATAGCCAAAACAACTGTTTGTGTAAATCTTGCCATTTTGTTCTTTTTCAATCTTATAAAGACTGTCTTAAAGGCACAAGGACAGACATACAGATCCCTGGGGGAAAATGAGAGCTCAGAAGTAGATCTATATGCATATGGTCAATTAATTTTTGACAAGGGAGCCAAGGCGATTAAATCGGAAAAGGATAGTCTTTTTAAGAAATGATGATGGAGCAAGTGAATATACATTTGGGAAAAGATGAACTATTATTAACTTTTAAATTTAACTCAATTAGATGACCACCCAATTTGAAATCAAGCAAAATATCTGAGCAGAAATCTCACAAGAAGATATAAAAATGGCCAATACACATATGAAACAATGCCCAACATCACATCAGGCAAATGAAAACTACAAGCACAGCTATAACTACATACTCAAAACGGCTTAAAATACTGCATCTTTTTTATAAGTGTTAAAAATGATGTGGAACAACTGAATTCACAATGGTGTTAGCCCTAGGGATGTTAGATAGCATAGTCATTTTTAAAAAATTTGCCAGTTTCTTATAAAGTTAAATATACACTTACCATAAGACCCAGTAATTCCACTTCTAGGTACTTACCCAAGAGAAATGAAAACATCTGTCTGCACCAAGACTTTTACATGAATATTCATAGCAACTTTATTCTTAATGGCCCCTAACTGAAAGCAATACAAAAGTCTAGCAGCAGGTGAATACCTAAGTAAACTGTGGCATAGCCAAAGGAATATTACTTGGCAATAAAAAGGAACAACCTAATGATAGAAGAATCTCAAAAAAAAAAAATGCCAAGAAAGCTAGAGTACATGCTGTATAATTCCATTGATAAAAATTCTAAAAAGGTAATACTAACATATAATGACAAAGCATATCAGTGACTGTCTTGGTCTGGGAATCACGGTTGGGGACTGACCATACAGGGAATTGCAGAAGAAACTTTTTGGAGTGATGGAAATAATCTATATTTCCACAGTGGTATATGTAATTTTCAAAACTCAATGAGCTGTACAATCAAAATGTGTGAATTTTGATTATATGTAAATTATTTGTTTAAAAATGTGGTGCCTAGGAATAAACACAGACAAATGAGAGAAATAAGATCAATTATGAAGACTCAGTACATAGTAAGTGGAGCATTTTAAGTCACTGAGGAAAGGATTCAATACATTGTACAAAAGTAGTAATATAATCTTTTAAAGGATGAAACCAAAGCCAGACACCAAAAGCAAAAGGTTGACAGATGTGACTATAAAAAATGAAAAAAAATTCTATAAAGCAAGATAGTTTAAAGAAAGAAAAGCAAATTAAAGCAGTGTCTTTGTGTAACAAGTATTTTTTAAGTCTGAATTTTGAATTGATTCTTTAGGATGGATTATCAGAAGTATAATTCCTTCATAAAAGGTATGAAATATATTCCAGTGTTACATTCCTGCCATCTTCATCAACAAAAGAGTAAATGAAAAACAACAACCAAAACGTGATTGCTCTGATTTGTATTTCAAATCAGAGGAGATAAGTACTATTTATTTAACTACCATCTAAAAAATCTGGTGCATTTACCTTACTTCTTTTCTCATTGAAGCATATGAGGTATTGCTAGTAAATATTTCATTTTTGTACATTTGTTCTGATGGTTGCTGCTCTTTCATTTACATTGCCTTTTGAGTGTTAAAAATATGTAAGCTGTCTTGTTTATAGAAGTCCTATTCAATCCTTAGTGCAAGTCAAAATAGAAATGTTCCATAGTGCTTATAAATCTGGTTATCATCTTCATTTCAGGATCAAAGGATGTACCTATAAGAGTTCTATGCATTCCTCAGTTTAGAAATAAAAAACCCCAGTCAAAATGAATTAGTAATGGATATTTGTTAATTTTTCACAAAAGAAAAAATGCTAAGCATCAATATAGCAGCTGAAAAATTAACATAATGTCATATATATAAGCTGATGCTGATAACCATGATTTTCATTTCTTAAAATGAAATACAGGTAAATCTTTTCCATAATCATATTTCAAAGATGAGGGTGCACACACAATCATTTAAGTTAATTAAGTAGCATGAAGGGTCACAGTAATAAATACATAATTCACACTGCTGATCTCCCTTCAATTGTTCAGACCTAACTAAAGTGCCAAGGCAGTGGCTATAATACCAGAATGAATCAGAGTAATTAATCAGTGTCAAATAGATATAAAATGACTGATGTTGTTAAGTGTGTGCACTGTGGTGAGAGCTGGAAGGAACACTCTGGAGCTGAGCCGCATGGACTTGTTTTTTATCATCAGCAGACGGCTGTTAGTATATCACAAAGCAGTGCCGTAGTTCAAGAACAAAATTGACTTCATTTTAATTGTTACAGTGTATTTTTTAGAATTAATTTCTTCCGGAGCAATGAAACTTCATTTCCCCAGAAAAAGGAAAGAAAAACACAACAAATCATTATTAATTGTTGTCAAAGCTTAGAGTTTAAAAATGAAAGAAAAAAATCCCAGATTATCTATCATATAAAAGCTTACTATGTACTGTATGGATAAATAAAGAGAAATAGCCTGATTTTATATTTTCAAAGCCAAATCACATTAAAAAGATTTGAATTTTAAAGTACTGCCATATTTACTTACAATAAAAGTTTGTACAATAAAACTGTACATGAATTGTAAAGGGAAAACCCACCCTGAATTCAAACTTTAAGTGTCCTCATCTAGGCAAAATAACTCTATAGTTCCATTTACAATATTTTACTTATCTTGTCATATTACCTTCTGGACACTAAAATAAGCTTTACATACAGTAATTTTTCCAAACTAGACTCATAGCTTCATTTATTTTTATCTAAAAATCTTATAGTACATTGGGTCAAAAGCTACTTTTAGTTTCAATATAACTATAGAGAACTCTTTTTCAGCCACACCAAGGTAAGTTTGAATATTAACCTGCTCAAGTGCAATAGTATGATGAAATTTCTGGTAACACCAGAGTTGGCAAAATTGGCCATCCAAATATGGACACTAGATGACCTTGGCATAGTGTTACCCAAGGTGATGGAGAAAATTGGATTTCAATGACAATATATATTATTGTACTTATTCATTTATTCAGCACAGTATGTCAAATACTACATCACATCAAGAAGGAATGAGGGAGGCACACTAAGATGTTGAACTTCTATTAGAACTCCAGTACACTAAGATGTTGTAACAAATGTGTATATGAATTTATCTGGGGAATCAAGAAAGGGAACAATTAGCTCTGAAGACATTTAAATTTTACAGAAATTAGCTATGTCATGAAGGGTAAATTGGAATTTATCAAGTGAAAGAGGTCAAAACAACCTTCTAGGTAGAAAAACATCTTGGACAAAAGCAAGAAAAATAAAAGTTAGCTTAAAAATGAGCAATCTGTACAACTGGAGTACATGAGCTTACCTGGGGTTGTGAAAGGATGGGGTTGGAAATGATGAAAAACCAGAGTCAGACTGCAAAGGGACATAGGAGTTTGTATTTTATCCTGAAGATATTGACTGTCCAGTGAGAAGTTTAAAACTAACTTTACGGTGTTACTTACATAAAATGTGTTCGAATGTTGCCACTATCTTAGTTTCATAAACCACTCCAAAGTCTCAAATATTATTTCTTCCAGAAGTTTTACAGTCTAAGCTTTTAGATTTGTACCTATGATCCACTTAGTTTTTATGTATGTTAGTTTTTGGATATGGTGTGAAGAATGATTTTCTCAAACAAATATTTACTTGTTCTAGCACCATTTCAAAAGATCACCCTTTCCCCATTAATCAACACTGCCCCTTTGTAAAAATTTAATTATACAAGAGCAGGTCTATTTCTGGATTATTTGTTATACTGACTTACATGGCTACAATAAACACCACTACTATACTGCCTAGATTAATATAACCTTTTGGTAAGTTTAGAAATAACACAGCATAAAGATTCCAATGTAGTTCTTTCTCAATTATTTTGGTTATTCTAGGCTTTTGATTTCTATATAACTTTTAGAATTAGCCCATTAATTTCTACAAAACTGAGATTTTGACTGAGATTGCACTGAATTAATAAAGGAAATTCTTCTATGAAGAAGTAACACTGTAACAGTATTAAGTGTTCCAATTCAGAGTATATCTCTCCATTATTTAAGTTTTCTTTAATTTCTCTGAGCAATGTTCTATAGTTTTAAATATACAAGTTTTGCATATATTTTGTTAAATTTATTCCTAAGGTTTTAATTTTTCTTGATGCTGCTGTAAATGGTATTGTTTTTTAAATCACAAGTTCAATCATTCATTGCTCCTCCAGGAGCTCTCGCTGTCTGTGCTGATCCCTGCCTAGGTTTCAGGCTATCTGGATTCCAGGCTGGGGGATATTGGAAGAAAACATAAATTTACCACAAGTTTGCTGGTACTTAGAATTCCGGTCTTCTCCTCCCAATTATTTGCTATTACTTTTCAGAGATCTTGATGGCTGCTCCATATACTCTGGTTTTATAGCTACATTTGGCGGGAAAAATTGGATAGAATGTGCTGTTATCACATTACCTGGGACCGGAATTTCAGTGCCTTTATATTTAAAGTGTGCTTCCTGGAGGCAGCATTTAGTTTTATTCAGTCTATTTCTGCCTTTTAATTGGCATTTTCCAGATCCTTTATGTTTAATGTAATTATCAGTCTATTTAAGCGTGAATTTAAGTCTATCATCTCACCATTTGTTTTCTATTTGTTCACCTGTTTGTGTCCTTTTCCCCATCTTCTTCTTTAAAAAAATTTAATTTTTTTTTAGAAATAGGACCTTGCTCTGCACCCAGGCTGAAGTATAGTAATGCAATCATAGCTCACCACAGCCTGGACCTCCTGGGCTTAAGCAATCCTCCTGCCTCAGCCTCCTGTGTAGCTCAGACTACAGTTATGTGCCACCACACTTGGCTAATTAAAAAAAATTTTTTTTCTTTAGAGACAGGGTCTTGCTTTGTTCCCCAGGCTGGTCTCAAACTCTTGGCCTCAGCGATCCTGCTGCCTTGGCCTCCCAATGTGCTGGGATTACAGGCATGAACCACCACGCCTGGCCCCTATCTTCTTTTGAATTGGGTACTTTTTTCAGGATTCCATTCTGTCTCCACCAGTAAATTATTAGCTATAGTTTGTGGTTTAATTTTAAATTCATTAGCTGTTGCTTTAGGGTTTACAATGTACATACTTAACTGCTTCACATACAGTGTAAAAACTTTACAATACATTAAATATTTCTATTTTATCATTAATTTCCTTGGTTATCATTGCCATATATTTTACTTCTCCATATGTTTTAAGCCTAAAAACATTATTTTGCTTTAGTCAATGATCATTTAAGAAATTAAGAAATGAAAAAATAAAGCTTTTTAATGTGATCACACATTTACCATTTCTGGCATTTTCCACTGCTTTGTTAAGATCCAAGTTTCCATTTGGTGACATTTTGTTTCCTCTTGAACTTACTTTAATACATGTCTTATATTTCCAGTCTGCTGAAAATAAATTTGTTCAGCATTTTTCTCCTGAAAAAGTCTTCATTTAGTTTCATTAAAGAACATATTTCTTGTAGATGCAGAATCTAGGTTGCCAGTTTCAATACTTCAAAATGTCATTCAATTAATCATCTTTCCTACACAGTTTTTGATGAATATTCTTTTTTTTCCTTCTAGACAGAGTCTTGCTCTGTTGCCCAGGCTGGAATGCAGTGGTGCAATCTCAGCTCACTGCAACCTCTGCCTCCTGGGTTGAAACAATTCTTGTGCCTCGGCCTCCCGAATAGCCGGGATTACAGGTGCGTGCTACCACGTCCAGCTAATTTTTTGTATTTTGAGTAGAGATGGGATTTCGCCATGTTGCCCAGGCCTGTCTCGAACTCCTGAGCTCAGGCAATCTGCCTGCCTCGGCCTCTCAAAGTGCTAGGATTACAGGCATGAGCAATCACGCCCGGCCAGTTTTTGATGAATATTCTAAGGTTATTTCTTTGTTCTTCTCTACATGATGTTTCATTTTACTCTGGCTTATGTTAAAATTTTAAAAAGTTATCACTGTTAGTTTGGCATGTTTTGGTGTTTTGAGCTTATCCTTCTTCGGGTTAATTGAGTTTCTTCGATGTGTAGCTTGTATCAAATATACTTCCTGTTGCATTGCCTCACCTTACCCTATTCCTCCCTCAGCTTCTTCCAAGGACTAGGCTAGAGTGCTTGGTATTTCCCCATAAGCTACTGTGGATATGTTCATTTTTATTTTAAATATGTTTCTTCTCTCCTTGCTTTATTTTGGATACATTTTATTGCTATGTATTCAAGTTCACTGATCTTTTCTTCTGCCATTAATTCCATCAAATGACATTTTCACTTTAAATGTCTTCTTATATTCTCTTCGCTATGTTCACATAAGCATAGTTATAACATTTTTTTCAACATGCTTGTCTGCTAATTTCATCACTTCTGGGTCTGTTCCTATCAGACATTTTCCTGCACCCATTGTTTGGTTGAATGTATCCATTTTGTTTTCCTTTGTGGCTACTAAGTTACTTGCAGCTTAGTTCTTTTCCCTTCAAGGCTTGTTTTTAAGATTTGTTAAGGAGGATCTAGACAGCCTTAAGCTAGAAACGTGAACCCCTTGCAGCCCTGTGTGAACTGAGAACTCCTTGGTACACATTTGCTCCAACTACTTTGCCTGACCTTGTGCATTTAATCCTACATATACACATCTTATTACTTGCGTAAAACTCCGGGAGTCTTCCTATAGATCTTTTTGAGCTTGTTTTCTGATGAGCTTACCCTCTTCAGTACTCTGCTCTGCAACTTCCCAGCATCTGTTAATCAAGGCTAACATCAAAGGCTTAGCAGGATTCAGAACAACAAAAAGTGTTAACACTTACATGATCCTTTCTTTATACTCCCATAACTAAGAAATGACTATTTTTCCAACTGTAAAATTTCCTTTTAAAATCTTTCTTCAGCTTGTACTCTCTTAGGGGATTCTAATATTTTGTGATACATTGGTCTTACTATTTAGATACAAATGCATACACCACAGTAGTAAAAGAAACACAGGTGGTGCCAGCAGGCAACATTTGCATCACACACCTCCTTCACGATATTCTATAAATACCTAAGAGCAAAGCACAAACCAGTTACTCTAAGGATTACTGGGTAAAGAATAGTTAGGATTTTAAAACTTCACTAGTCATCAAACAATATTTTCTCGTAATGAAGTAGGAGAAAATTTTGAGAATCAAACTCAAATGCTATCTTAAGTCTCCCTCACGATTAAAACATGAACTAGTACTGCCTTTAAAATTCTAGTATTAAGATGACAAAATGGCTACAATGAAGAAAAAAAAGCAACATTTTCAAGTTTCCAAACATCAATCCAAATACCAGAGCTACAGAAAAACAAAAATGAGGCTTAAAGGACCTCATTTGGGTTTGCCTCATTTCACTTTTGCTGTGCTGAAGCTTTCTGCAGACAGAGAAAATGACACCATCAAGGTTTTATTTCCATATCACTTGCAACTTCAAAGTGAGAAAATGACAAGGTGCTGCTTCAATCTGGTATTTACTTGCATCTATTAAACTCAATTTATGTACCAACAGTGAAACTGAAGCTATAGAATTTATGAAATATTTAAAACAGAGATTGATAACCACCTGGTAACTGTAATATAGAGCCCACCACTCAGCTTTGTAAAATCTATCAGAGTTCCTCCAATTTTTTACAAAGTTTTCCTTTATATGTCTTTTATATGACATTGACCCCCACCCCCCACCCCAGTTGTAGCCTGCCCTAATCCTATTTCTATCCAGAGGTAACCACTATGCTGAATCTGAGCTGCTTGTTTCATACTTGTATTAGATATGTGTATGTATGGTTGCTTACATGTTTTAAAAGTTCACATAAATGGTATCTTGTCAGACTCATTCTGCAATTTTCTTTTTTGCTCAATGTTGCCTCCCTTACATTAACTCCCCAAGAGACAGGGTCTCACTATGTCGCCCCAGCTGGAGTAAAGCAGCTCAATCACAGCTCACTGCAGCCTCAGACTCCTGGGCTCAAGGGAACTTCTGGCCTCAGCCTCCTAAGTAGCAGGGACTATAGGTGTGCGCCACCATGCCCGGCTTCAATGTTGTTTTTGATAGAAACATACATACATAACTTACCTGATCCAGATACTATGCTATGCAACTACCACATTTATTTATCCATCTTCTGCTGAGGGACAATTAAGGTTATTTCCAATTTTTCCCTTCTATAAAACATGCTACTATAAAGATTTTTACATATGTTGTGGGAGAGACTGTTTAGAATACATGCCTAGGAAAAAATTGCTTAGCTGTAGGGATGGTACATCTATACTTAGCTTCATAGTATCAAACTGTTCTCGAAAGTTTTACTAATTAAAAGCCAGCAAAAGGGAATGAAAGTTCCATTTGGCTACATTATTGCCAGCACTTGACATTGTTAAACTTTATGTATTTTCTTCCCCCAATTGATGGACAAGAAACAGCATCTCATGGTTTCAGTTAGCCTTTTCCTGAGTTATTGGTGAAGCTGGATTTTTTTCACTGCAGCTTGTTATACATTCAGCTTTTGTACTCTCAGGAGGTTTTCAGAGAAGGTGGTACAAGAAGACTTATATGTAGTAAGCAGTTTAAATTTTTAAATTCCATAATCAAATTCTAACTTTTAGAGTGAAATATATAGGTATGTCAGAACTATAGGTGCTAATGTAAGTGAACAATCAATGAGTTTTTAAAATAAAAAATAGAATCTGATTAGCCCTTGAATACTGCATAAGATTTGGATAGGCAGGGAAGAGACAGTGGAGAGAATGCTAAGACAAATATATTTTGAATGCAATAACTTTTTCTCTTTTTTTGAGACATGGTCTTGCTGTGTCACCCAGGCTGGAGTGCAGTGGTATCATCATAGCTCCCTGCAGACTCAAGCAAGCCTCCTGCCTCAGCCTCCAAGCAGCTAAGACTACAGGCTTTTGTCACTATGCCCAGATAATTTTTATTGTTTTGTAGAGATAGGGTCTTGCTATGTTGCTTGGGCTGGTTTAAACTGGCCTCGGCTGGGTGCGGTGGCTCATGTCTGTAATCCCAGCACTTTGGAAGGCCGAGATGGGCAGATCGTCTGAGGTCAGGAGTTTGAGACCAGCCTAGCCAACGTGGTGAAACCCCATCTCTACTAAAAATACAAAAATTAGCTGGGCGTGGTGGTGCCAGCTACTTGGGAGACTGAGGCAGGAGAATTGCTTGAACCCAGGAGGTGGAGGTTGCAGTGAGCTGAGATGGTGCCACTGCACTCCAGTCTGGGCAACAAGAGTGGAACTCCGTCTCAAAAAAGAAAAAACAAAACCCAAAACTGGCCTCAAGTTATCCTCCTGCCTCAGCCTCCCAAAGTGGCTTATTACAGGCATAAGCCACTGTGCCTGGCCTACAATAACTACTGAATGAAATTGTCTTTAACTTTTATTTTATTGGTAATATTTCTCTTCAGTCACTTGGAGAAAGAAAATATTTTTAGTTATATTTGTAACTTATTAAATACTAATTATTGCCGAAAGTTTTCTGAATTATTTTGTGATACTTTAAGAGCCAGGTAGTCTTATTTATTTTAGTTGGCAGAAATTAGACTTAAAAATTTTTCTTAAATTATGTCTTTAATTAAATGATATGCCATCTAAAATTTATGTAGATGGTAAGCTCTAAGAATATCTTTTCTTAACATCTGTTATATTGCTTCAAATATATTGTGCAGGCCAGGCGCAGTGGCTCACACCTGCAATCCCAGCACTTTGGGGGGGCCGAGGCAGGTGGATCACTTGAGGTCAGGAGTTGGGGACCAACATGGTGAAACCCCATCTCTACTAAAAATACAAACATTAGCTGGGTGTGGTGGTGTGTGCCTGTAATCCCAAGTACTTGGGAGGCTGAGGCAGGAGAACTGCTTGAACCCAGGGGATGGAGGTTGCAGTGAGCCGAGATCACTGTTCTCCAGCCTGGGTGAGACAGCGAGACTCCGTCTCAAAAAACAAATATAGTGTGCACATAAAAAGTGGCTGTAAAATGAATGAATATCATTTACTTCAGAATGAATAAGATACTTCCCCCCTACTATTCTTTCTCACCTGCTTTAACTGAAAATGGTTTTTCCAGTAGAAATACTGTTTGTTTCCAGTGTGTTTTGGTGCTCTGAGGGCCCGTAGAGAACACGACCTGAATTGGTAAAGTTCAAAGGTATTTGATGAAGTACAAGATTTTTAATATCATGGTACATTAATCTACGACATCAAACACAAGCCCCAATTGCTTACAGCAGCAAAATGCTTATGATTAAACACCTTGGGGCACAAAATAAAATATAATGTACTTCTGTAATAATTAATTCTTATGAGATAATTCATGATACTTACCCTGTTGTGGCAATTCTTCTCAAAATATATATCAAAGTAGCCAGCAATTGCCTGTTTTTTAAAAAAAGAAATATAAATGCTTACTAAATGAATTACATAATATAATAACTCATTACTGTCTCTTAAGACATGGCAAATGATAAACCATTTCAGAGACTAAATACCTCTTAAACTCAATATTTTTCCTGGAAAAGATGTTGTAAGTAAAAACGAAGTAATGTAATTTGGCTTTTCCTCACAGAAACAACATAATAAAGGTAATAAGGCTAATCAAATAATTAGTACATTTTATTAGAGAAATAATCATGCTAGACCACTGAAAGGTGAACACACATGGAGAGAGAGACTCAGCTGGCCCCTCACTGATCCTCACTCGCCAACTGAGATGTCCACCCACGCATTAGGCTATCTTGACTTCTCCAGCTGTAGTCAAGTGTTCAGACAACTGCAGCGGCATGAAAGATGCCAGGAAGGACCAGCAAGTGCACTACTCAGTTAAGTCCAGTCAGGATTGCAGAATCGGAAACAAACAGATAAAAATGGTTTGGGCTTCAAGCCAGAGTTCTGAGATGGGCTATTACATAGCAATAAATAATTAAAACATCCTATTTATACAAAGCCAGTTCATTTAATTTCTTCTAGTCCAGTATATCTGTTTTTAAGTACTATGAATATTTTTGTGATGAAATAAAGATTTTTAAAATGTTACTTATTTTTTTTTTCCTGAAAAAATGAACAGTAGTACTCAAATCTTATGTTTAAGCAAGTACTCAAAGGAGAAACTCCAAAGTGAGCTCTAAGGGTTATTGTGATAGTACAAAAAGATTTTTTTTTTTTTGACATGGAGTCTTGCTCTGTTGCCCAGAGGGATCTCAGCTCATTGCAACCTCCGCCTCCTGGGTTCAAGCGATTCTCCTGCCTCAGCCTCCTGAGTAGATGGGACCACAGGCGTGCGCCACCACACCTGGCTTTTATATTTTTAGTAGAGACGGGGTTTCACCGTGTTGGTCAGGCAAGGCTGAGTAGATGGGACTACAGGCGTGCGCCACCACACCCGGCTAATTTTTATATTTTTAGTAGAGATGGGGTTTCACCATGTTGGTCAGGCTGGTCTCGAACTCCTGACCTTGCGACTCACCCACTTCGGCTTCCCAAAGTGCTAGGATTAGAGGTGTGAGCCACTGCACCCAGCCTACAAAAGATCTCTTAAAGAAATTAACATACTCAGATAAATACATAATTTTGAGTTTTTTGGTTAAATTTAAATACCATTCCATTTTCTTTCACTATTGGAACTAGCTGGACTTAATCACTTTTTAAAGCTGGCATTACATTAAGCTTAGAAAGTGTAAAAAACAGGACACTGATTTTTTGAAAAATCATGGTAAAGCTAATTTGTGTACTCTGCTACTTTTGTTAAAAATGTGACATTTTATTGATCTGGTAGGGTTAATATGGATTAGGTCCAAACCAAACTCAATATTTAACCCTGAGGTTCACTGCAATTTAGATACCAAGAGAGAATCAAAATACTAGTAATAATTCTGCCAAATAGAATTATAAAACAATGTAGTACTCAGCCACAGATTATCATAAAAACCACGTGGTTAATTAGAATATTTCTAAATATAACTTTATCAGTTGATTTCCAGATACTTATGATACCCCTTCACAGACCAATTCAACTGTTTTCTTATTTATTCCTGTATGCCTGTCTTGTTCACCACTATACTCTCAGTGCCCAGAGCAGTAACCTGGCCCATAGGATACAATACAATACAATATTTGATGAGCAAATGTGTTTATTATACATTCTGTTATGTTAGTTACGATAGTATATTACAGTTTGCCTTATACTGCAATTTATTTAAGAGCAAGGCATATGTATAACTCACTTCTATGCCCCTTACCCAATACAATGTTATATAGTAGGTTCTCAATAAATTTTAGCCAAATTAAAATTTTTAGTCTTCAGTCTCAAATATGGCTAGCTTTATTACATAGTCAGTATACTTTATTAAAGCATTGACTAACTGAACTTGAATGGAACTAATAATTTTTAACTCTGAAAAGCATGGAACATGTGGGACAAATATGGAGAGGAGAGAGCTAGAAAAGATCTAATTCTGTATGTAGGAAATGCAGAAGTCTCAGCCTAACCCCCAAATTACGCATTTTCAGGTGAGATCCAAACCCACACAGCAAAAGCTTAGAGCATTGAACTAAAATTTGAATCACTGCTGCAAGTCTCAGGATTAACCTCTGGATAAAACATGCATGGAAAAAAAACCGAAACCAACAAGTAAAGGCCTAGAGAACTGACGTGAGATTGGAAAAATCTGTAAAAGTCTCAGACTAATCCGTAAACTAGGTATGTGTAAGACAGCCTCAAAACAGCATAACAAAGGCTTAGAGAATGTGACTGAGACTTGGTCAACTGTCTGCTCGGACACTAAGACAGAACTTATGGTCTGATTTTAACTGGGCTTGACTGCTAACAACAAACATCAACATCCTTAAGATTTTAACAAGACACACAGTTTACACAACATAGCATGCACAACATCTAAGGTGCAATCTCAAATTACTCAACATACAAAGAATCAGGAAAATTGAACAACTCTCAGGAGAAAAGACAAGCCACCTCTGAGATAATCCAGATGCTCAAACTATCAAGCAAAACTTTAAAGCAGCAATTATAACCATGTTCCAACGGTGACAGAAAACACAATGGAATGAATCAAAAGACAGAAATTCTCAGCAGAGAAACCATAAAAAAGCACCAAATGAAAAATTTTCAATTGAAAATTATAATAACTGAAACTTCCGGGTTGAATAGCAGAATGGAGATGACAGGGAAAAAATCAGTGAATTTGAAGATTGATAGAAATTATCCAATTTGAAGAAGGGAAAAAGACAGCAATTAAAATGCATGTTATAGAACCTTGGAGACCTATAGATCTAACGTGTCATTGGTGGTCCAGATGGAAAAGAAAAAGACACTGATGGAGAAAAAAAAGTTTTAAAATTCTATATCTAGACAGAATGAATGAAGGCATTTTCAAGTCAAGGAAAAGTAAAGAAATTCATTGCCAATAGACTTCCTCTAGAAACATTTTAAAAGAAGTTCTTCAGAAGGTAAACTGGAACAACAAGAACAGAAAACCCATAGTTCTAAAACATCCTTTTGTTTTCAAAATTTTTAGTGTACCTTTTAAAATTGTTTTAAACTCATGTAACAGCCTCTCATCTTTCTGTAATTATACTTCTATAACTGTTATATTTATTGCCAGTCTTTTTTTAATCAGAATTAGAAATGCTTCTCTTCATGTATCTGAAGATGTCACAAAAGCTGCTTTTAAACCCAAATTTTCACAAAAGCTCTTATTAGCTTACTAGGATTTATTTTTCCCCACATTTTTTGGGGGGCCTCCCAAAGCACTGGGATTACAGGTGTGAGCCACCACGTCCAGCCACACATGCTTATTAATCAATCTCCAAATCTGTGTATGAATTTCAGTTAAAAATTTCCAGCCCTTAATAATATAGTGAAAGAAATACTGGGAAGTTCTGGGTAACCAAAAAATAAGTTTTAAGACAAAGAAAAATGACAGATATAGTTAACTTCAGTTGTAAGCACTGGAAAGAATCTATGACAAATATCTGAAATTGCATCTATGTGAAATGCCTCACAGTATCTTTGAGTCTTCAAGCACAGTCACATTTCTAATGAGGTTTGGTTTACAGTAATACTCAGTTCCACAGCACACATTAAACAGAAAGCAGAAGCATGAGGAGAAGTTAGGAAGGAATTCACCTAAAATTCAAACTGTGTGCAGATAATCTATCTACTCACTAGACAGCATTCGTACAGTTGAGAAAGTGGAAGATTGCTGCTCTGAAAAAAACAAAGGGAGTTTCTGGTTTTAAAATGGGTGTCTACCCTCAAACACCAACATGATCTAGAATGCCCCTTAAAGAGACAGGGTTTGTGGTGTTACCTTTTTTTCTTTTCTTTTCTGTGTGATTCTTATTTTTAAAAATTTTTATTTAATTTTAGAGATGGAGTCCCGCTATGGTGCCCAGACTGAAATCAAACTCCTGGGCTTAAGGGATCTTTCTGCCTAAGCCTCCTGAGTAGCTGGGACAACAGTTGCATGCTACTAACTCTTAATTAAAAGAGATTAAGAAAAAAAAAAACCCCTTCAATTTGAAACATAGTAATATAAAACCAAATGAATTATGATTAGTGTTTTTATTTCTGCAAAGCTATTAAATAAGGAATAATGATATAACCAAATATCAGCTGATTTAGGAATAAATGACTTATTTTGTCAGGAAAATATAAACATGCCACTATTTTCAATTACAGTTTGGCCACCTTGCTACCATCACTTTGACAGGCTATCTTAACATCTTTTAAATGTTAATTTCAATGAATATACATTATCTCTGTGGAAGTCATTCAAATATAAGAATAAACAACCATAGGAAATAATGACTAATAGGCAATGGCAACAAATAACTAACTGGAGCTACAACTTGACATATGCTCGTAAAAGATCAGAGAGGTCTGAAGGCTGACTGCAGAAGAAATTTCTCCTTTGTCTCACGTATATATCTTGTTGGGGCAATGAGAACTGCTGAGGGGGAAAAAAGCATTAAAATCTATCTGTAGGAGTTGGGTTAATCTGCAAAGGCAAGGTCACAGTTAAATAAAATTTCACTGAATTATACCACAGTCAGAAAAATTTATAACTAAAAGTTTAGTTATAAAAGTCCCTTAGAGTGAGAGAAGGGAGAATGAGTGGTAAGTAGTAAAAAAACAAAAACAATGATAGAAGAAAACAGAATGAAAGGAAACTACGTATACATAGTGAATTTCTGGGATAGCTTGATCACTCTTGATATTTTGTGAGAATCCTCGACAATTACTTTGATGCACATAGGAAAATACAAGCATGGAGCTCTGTTGTACATCTTAAATATTCCTCAGCATGTAATAGTTTCAGAACTCATCTTTTTGTGGATTTCACAAAAAGAAAACTCATGGCATTTGTAAACTGAATCATGAAAAAATCTGTTTTAAGCCATGTTTTGTTTATATGTATAAAGGTAAATGCAGTTCATTTAATATACACTCATTTGAAGAACAATGATTTGGGATAAAAAATGACTTTCTCAGGTATTTTAGTGTGATGAATATTTCTTTAAAGAGGACACATTGTGTGTATGTAATAGGATGGCAACCAATGAAATAAGATCAGACTAGACCTTATGAGGAAGAAGGAAATTAAAAATTATCATTATCACTATCACCTGCAGGGAGTAATTTATCATTTCTGTTCTTCATTGGTATCATGTTCCAACAGCATGTGGTTACAGCAGATACAATTAGGCAGCTGGCCACAGAAGTAGGAGGATAATGTGCTTTTGATGGAGTTTATCCAAGCATGGAGATAGAGTGCTTGTAATCCATGCAGCAGAATCACTATAACAAAAATACAATTCATTTTTCGTTGAAGTATTTCTTTCAAAATCTCAATATGGAATGCAAAAGCCAACTGATGAGTCTGAAGCAAGCAAAGAAAGAGTAAGCAGACAATGCCATAAAAATGACTGTTATAGCTTAGATCATCATATATAAACCAAGGAGATGAAAATACAAACATAAGCTATACGAGCTGCCACATACAGAGCATGAACTGTGCTAGTAATAAATGGCGTTTAAGAAGACATAATCAACAAATATGAAAATTATATATTATGATTTTTTCCCCAATTGTAACTATACATTAAATTACGGACTCTTTCTTTTTCAATTAATTTTCTATTGTATCCCAAGAGAAAATCTGCACCTTTTCTTTCATGATTCTCCTCTAGGGAACAATACACATTAAGTGCCATATACGTCTCAAGAGATACTGCCAGATTGAGTGGTGGTAAAAAATAGACAAAGCAATATGGGAAGTAGTAAAACAGGCAATAGTCCAAAAATATTTTTAAAAATACTTTTATTGAAAAACACAATGTAATTTATTTCTGATCTACATAGAATATTTCAAGATAACTGAAACTCCTTTTAAATTTATTTGGGATTGCTTCCTTGTAATTTCAAAATTGCTTATTAAAGTGGTTTTAGGGGGCAAAAATCATCTTCAGAGTCTGTAACACGAATACTTTCATTTTGACATTTCATAAATTGATACCTCACATTTCTTCCTAGCTATAAACACAAAATTGTTTTATACAACCCATATTCATTGAAATTTACTGATTTTTCATTTTAGAAACTGCTTTATAATGTACATTCAGAAAAGTGCACATAAGTGTACATCATGCTGAATTTTCAAACTGAATACAGCTGTGAAACCCACACCCAGATGAAGAAACAGAACATCTCAGCACCCTAGTAGTCCCCCTCATGCACCTATGCCTCTAACGACCTATCCTAATACTCTTAAGCAAAGATTCATTTTTCCTATTATACTTCAATATATAAAGAATCATACATCAGGCAGTCCTTTGTGTCTGGCTAATTTCCTCAATATTGTTTATGAAATTCATCTACATTACTGCAGATGATTCATTTTCATGGCCGTAAGGTATATGTGACTATATAATTTAGTCTACTGCTGACAGGCACTTGAACGGTTTTTGTGAATATACATAACATGGCCATTGGGTATATACCTAAGAGAACTACTGGTATGTAAATATTTACCAGTTTTGTTCACCTTTATTCCTTCCTGAATTTCTGGCCTTCCATCAGGGATCATTTGCTGTTTGCCTGAATATCCCTCGGTACTTCCTTTGGCACAGGTTTTTAAGGCAAATTCTTTCTCTTCTTTTCTGCTTATCTGAAAATATCTTTATTTCAGCTTCATTCTTCTTCTTCTTTTTTTTTTTTCTTGAGATGGAGTCTCACTCTATTGCCCAGGTTGGAGTGTAGAGGTGCAATCTCAGTTCACTGCAACCTCCACCTCCTGGGTTCAAGCAATTCTCCTGCCTCAGCCTCCCGAGTAGCTGGGACTAGAGGTGTGTGCCATGATGCCCGGCTAATCTTTGTAATTTTAGTAGAGACGAGGTTTCACCGTGTTGGCCAGGCTGGTCTTGAACTCCTGACCTCAAGCCACCTGCCTGCTTCGCCCTGCCGAAGTGCTGGGATTACAGGCATGAGCCACTGTGCCCAGCCAAGTTGTCCAGCTTCATTCTTAGAAGAAATCTTAGTTGGGTTAAACTCAGGGTTGGCAGTTATTTTCTGGCAGCACAGTGATAATGTCATCATTACAATTTCTTCTGTCTTTTTTTCTTCTGATTACAATGTTCCTCTCCCCTGCTCCCCGAATTCCATTGTTCCTTGTGCACCTGGCTAATACAGGGCATACATGCCCTGTATTAGGTAGGTGTACAAAGGGGACTACTAGGGTGCTGAGATGTTTTGTTTCTTCATCTGGGTGTGGGTTTCACAGCTGTATTCAGTTTGAAGATTTACCAATTATAGAAATTATCTACTAGTCTACTTAGCTCTTCTTTAAAGGTAATTCCAGCACCATAGTTCCACCAACTTTGAGATTTTTCTTTGGTTTCTGTAGTTTCACTAGGATATGTCTAGGTGTGGGTTTCTCTTCCCTCATTTAAACTGAGGTATAATTCACATACCAAAAAATTTACCCATTTAAATTGTACAATTCAACATTCTTTAGTATACTCAGAGTTGTGTAACCATCATTACAATCTAATTTTAAAAACATTTCATTTCCCCCAAAAGAAATCTTCCATCCATTCTCTTCTTGCCCAGTCTGTGTCTACAAATATACCTATTCTGGATATTTCATCTAAATGGAATCATATAAGAGATGGTCTTTTGTGACTGGTTTCTTTCACTTAGCGTAATGTTTTTAAGGGTTAACCATGTTGTATCGTGTTTCATTCTTTTTTGTAGCTGAATAATATTCCATTGCATGGATATGCCAAATTTTACTTATCCATTCTATAGGTGATAGACATTTGAATTACTTCCATTTCTTAGCTATTATGAATAATGCTGCTATAAACATTTGCGTGGACATGTTTTCACTTCTCTTAGATATACACCTACATTTGGATACAATCTTAAAATTATGCTATTTAGGTTATGTTGACTTCTTAAATTGTTGCTTTCATCTGTTTTGGAAAATTCTTAGCCATCATCTCTTTAAATACTGTAACATTCTCATCCTCCTTTTCTCTGGGATGCCCATTTACATGTATATGTAATTAGACCTTTTCTTGTATCTACGTTATTTCTTGCCCTTCCCTCTGTCTCATTCTTGCATGTCTCCAGGCTTCTTTCTGGACATTTTCTTCTGCCCTAAAATCCAGTTCGCAGATCTTCTCTACACTAATACATGAAGATCTGCTGTTCAAATCATATTTAATTTGGTCTTAGAATGTCTGTTCAATTCTTTTCCAAACCGTATTTTAAAAAATGTTTCCATTTGTTAAAATTTGCAGTATTTTTTCTCTTTGAATTTAGTAAGCATAGTTTTTCAAAACCTATGTCTGCTATAACTAATTCCTGGAGCACCTAGAGCTCTGTTTTTATTGTCTACTGCTTCAACTGGTTCTTGATTCATGTTGTTTTGTGTCCTTGTGTGACTGATTACCTCTGAATATGTTTTGAACATTAATATTTGAAAAACTTTGTGAAAATAATTTGAAACCTGTAATAATCTTCTAGAAAGAATTTTTGTTTCTGCAAGGAACCTGGGGGCATGGCAAACCGAGATCTTAATCTAATATCAGGGTTTGAGACTTCCTGGACCACCCAGATGACTTGAAGCTGTGCTGTAGTCCATGCAAGTGTTCATTTACTTCTCTCATACCTTATTCTTGGGCACAGTCTTTACAGTCCCAATGCAAAGTCCTGCAAAACTATTAGGGTCCCACTTTGTATTCCTATCCACGTGAGCAATATCAAAAGGGCTACACAAGTCTTTCAGCTCCTTCCTCTGAATTGGTAAATGCCTATAGGGCAAAAGCAGCCCCAATTGTTAGTCTCATTTTTCAGATTACCTTCTTTTCTGAGTCTTGGCTTAGTAGTACTTCCTTATTTGTTAACTTCAAACAGATAGCATTTAACTTTTTTTTGGCATTTGTAGCTGTTTTCGGCAAAAGGGTTTCTCCATTTTATGTGGCTTACCACTACAAAGAGGAAGATTATTTACTGTATTGCTTTTTCCTACCTAAGGCCCCCTACCTGTATGATAAAGACAAACCAGAGACTGGGCAATTTACAAAAGAAAGAGGTTTAATGGGACTTACAGTTCCACGTGGCTGGGGAAGTCTCACAATCATGGTGGAAGGCAAAGAGGAGCAAGTCATGTCTTACATGGATGGCAGCAGGCAAAGAGAGTTTGTGTATGAAAACTCCCCCTTATAATACACATCAGACCTTGAGACTCACTGTCATGACAGCAGCACAGGAAAGGCCTGCCCCCATGATTCAATTACCTCTTACTGGATCCCTCCCACAACACATGGGAATTCAAGATTTGGGTGAGGACACAGCCAAACCATATCACTGTAACACTCCCCCCAATTCTTAAACTAACTCATTTGTGATGTCTCAGTTTAAATATTATTTCCTCTGGGCAGCCTTCTTTAATCCCAGAGTAGGGTATAATACATCCATAAAATGTTCCTGCACTCCTTGTAATAACACTCACTATATTTATAATACTTTTTGTTCAATGTCTTTGTTCACTTGTAGATCCCAATAGCCCTTTAAGGGCAGTCTTACCATTTCTTTGTTCGCCTCTGCATCCTCACTGCCTAAGCATGCCTGGGCATGCTATCTAAATGGTGAAACTGCACAGAAGGCATGAAATATCCTGGAATGTTCAGGGACTATAGGAAATCAGTATGATTTATTAAGTAAACTATTTGTTAAATGATAAAGAGATATGGTCAACCTGTCCCAACCTTTGGTAAAAGGAAATGATGATGCTGTAACTTATAACTTCCTATTTTTAACTCAAAACTGCTATCAGATGCAACAACTTCAGAGAAATATTCCCTCATCTGTACAATTAATTACTTCCCACTAATACAATACATATGGTATTAGAAAGGCTTTCAAGAAGAAGCCATACTTAAAGTAAAAACCTTAAAGACGAGCAGGGATCAGGGAAAGGAAGAGTATACAAGGCTACGGGTGTCTTTTATATGCCTCTGCTATTCTATTATAGAGCACTACATTACAATTCTCCATTTATGTTGGCCTCTCCTTCTAAATGAATGTCTCTAGGGCTAGAAATTACATTTTGATTATTTGTTGTATTCATAGTGCCTAGCACAGAAGCCCACACATAGTGTTCAGTCCATGTTTGAATGAAAAGTGATGTTGCATAGTATTTTTTTTTTTTTTTTTTGGCAATCTCTGCCATTTAAAAAGGCTTGCAGCCCACTGCTTCTCTAGATTTCTCTTCTCCTGCTCCCTCACACATCATCGGTTTTCCACTGCTTGATATCAATGATTACTGTTTCCTTATATTCCATTTTTTGTGCTGCTTTCCAATCTTCCCCCAAAACTATCCATGCAAAAGCCCTATGTTCCATTCCTAATTCCTCAAATGACAGAAGATACTATCAGTCGTAAGTAAACATTATATTTTAATATTAAGAATACACTTGTTCACCTGAACAAAACAGATACACTGAATTTACAAATCAACGCAGCATAAAAAAATTAGTTTTATGACTGCTGAAGAAGTTTAAAACTGAAAAATATTAAAACTAATTTTTGTGTCTAGGTGACCAAGTTCTACCAAATGCTACTTGTCTTTACAACCCTTCAATAGTATAAATTAAGAGATGGAACACTGAAACAACGATTTAACAGACGGTAAAAGGGGGACATATAGAAGATGTGATATACCCTATTTTCTGAAATGAATAGTTTTTTTTTGCTCTTTTGAAAAGTAAGGTAGAAAGATAGCTACCAACTCACCACCTAAGCCCTTCTGTTATGTACCTGATATATAGAGTGGGAACTAAAAATCTGGCAAATATTATAAGGTATATTCTGAGCCATCTGGTATATATATCAAATTTATTTTTCTAATTTTTGACTTGACTTGTCTTTCCAAATTTTTGACTTGACTTGTCTTTCCATGAGGAGTGATTTCCTCCTGTTAATACATACATATACATAAAATGTCTGTAAACATTAGGTACTTCAGGATTTTTAGAAGATCTTAATGCCAATATTCATAATGGTGTCTGTCAGTGCCTAAGTTAAAATAAGCCTGAACTTGGGAAGATTACTTCCTTATACGTCATTACTCCATGGGTAACCGGCTGAATCAAAAAGGAAAATACCTGGTCCAACTCATTTCTTATCACAATCTAATAATGTTAATTGACAGCCTCTGTGATAAGTCTAGGGAGAACCCCTCTGACATCTCTAATCAAGAGTCCACTCTTATTGATTATTTGATAAATACACTATTTTGTGCTTATTGCTAAACTTCAGATAGATATTCTAGTCCTGCTAATTTCTCAGAATTTATTGTCCTTCAACATTGCTGATTTCAAGCATAAACCTATACCTATCTAGAATTAAATGATTTTAATATAGCTTAAGAATTTTAAGATTCCACTCAAATTGTATTTTAGGACAATTTGATGTTCAAATCCTTTTATAATATCACTCACTTGGAGGCTTTAGAATCAGAATTTTTTAAAATGCTGATAAAATTTCTTTAATGTCTCTGAAATTTAAACAATGAATTACAGAAATTCAGAAGCATTATTTTTCAGCATGGCTTTCAAAAGAGGATCAAGCACACGAATCTCTATTAACTCTATGGACAGGTTATTTTACTCAACTGCAGGGTTCCTCATTTTGTGGACTTTTGCATTCTCTCTGACTAGGTTCAAATATGATTTCAGTATTACAGGCGATTCCTCCCACTATTCTAGGCAACGAACATATACCTAAAAGTTTTCCAAAGCAGGAAACGTTATCTTCTTAATAATTTTTTCATAATGGTAATGTTTCCAAAAAGAGTAGACAGAAAAGCTAAACACAAAGAATGGGTTGAAAAAAATACAGACTTTTAAAAGGCTAAAATACTCTGGGGTCCAGTTTCAAGGGCTCTTGACTCTCTAGGGTTGGAAAAATGAAGGATAAAATGAAGTCAAATGGAAGTAAATTTGGAGAGCAATGCATAAGGTGCACCTGGACTTCAAATATGGAAAATATTAGAACTAGACAGAATCCCTTTGAAACAAAGTAATAAGACAAAACATTATTTTATAGTACTCATATTCTGCAGAGGATAAGTCATATGGGAAAAATCTCAAAATTACCTTGGAAAATCTCTTAAGATGTCATTTTAGAGACTAACATATAAACTATCCCTCAGTAAGTTCAATACAACCCGTTCTTTAAGCAATGGTACAAATCACCATTTCTTTGGCTGGGCTCCAGATGAAGTAGATGGCTTATAGTGAGTGCCATATTGTATTAAAAATACACACTTTTATAAAGACAATCATGCAGTCTAGCAAGATGCTCATCCTACAGAAATCTACTAAAGAAACAGCAGATGTGTTTCTCACATCATGCTCATTTTGGGGCACATGTTCACAATTAAAAAGGAGGGCAGAATCATCTGTACTACTGAGACCATTATTTCTCTCAGACTTTTTTTTTTTTTACCTGAATGCTTGCAGTTAATTTGCGTAAATTATATCTGCATATGATGCTACTCCACTGGATTTCCTTTAAAAAACAAGCTTTTGGAATCCAACAGCCTCAAGGAATAGCATAGGTTAAAAAATACATCCTCATTCATGTAATTTTATCATTGTTTAAAATGCTTTGTTAAAGTGTCAGCAGCATATTTTGATGGATATTTTCAAAAAGTCTTTCATAAAATGTTCTTTGATTCCTACTCTTATGTATCTGGGCCAAATATGTCACAAGTATGACTTGACAAGACAGGCCACAGAACTGTGTTTCAATTTCCTACTGGATATCACTACTTACATAACTCAAAGGTATGAAATTCAACGTACTAATAATTGAGCATCTGATCCTCACCTCTAAATTTGCTCTTCCAATTTTCTTTGACAGGACCATAATTTTTCAAATTGTACATGTAAGAAACCTTGGAGTCATCATTGATACTGAGAGCAATGGGAGTTATTGCCCTCACTCCCCATCATCTAACTCATTCTCAAGTCCTGTCAATTTTATCTCTTAGGTAACTCATGAACAAGTCCGCTAAAACTGCCTTTGTGTAAGTCACTGCAAAGCTACTAGAATAACCTACATATTGGCCTCCCACATCCACTCTGGTGGTCTCCTCTTTGTTCTCCATATTCTAGCCACAATCTTTCTAAAGGGCCCTTCTGATCACAACACTCTACTTAAAAAACATCACAACTGAAACGGCCAAATAGCACAAGGTGCTTTCCATCTCTTAGCACTATGATCTACATGTCCCAGCCATCCTAGGCTTCTTTCAACTCCTTAAACCTATCAAACTACTGACCACCAGATAGACATTTTTTGGCTTTGGTCAACTTTTCAACTGAAGTACTATATACAAGCAAAAAAACAGATATCTAGCTAACGCAAGAACCACTGGTTTTACATAGAACACACATACACACACAGAGAAGTGAGCAAATCATTGGGATGCAGCTCAGTGAACTTTTTCAAGGTGAACACACTTGTATAACCACTACCCAGATCAAGATACGGACCACTCCTAGTACTCCAGAGACTTCTTTTATGCTCCTTTCCCATCAAGTCACCCCACAAATTGTAACCACTATTCTGATGTCCATGACCAGATGGATCTCGAACTTCTGGCTTCAAGCGATCCTTCCAAATGTTGGGATTACAGGTGTAAACCACTGCGCCCAGCCTTTCCCCCCTTTTTAAATCAACTGTTCATGAAATTCATCCATGTTGTGCTATATTGCCAAGCTCATCTCTTTTTCAATGCTTTATTTTATTCCATAAATATACCACATTTACCCATCCTACTTTCTAGCTTGGGGCTGAGGAAGGCCGCAATGGACATTCTTGAACATTTTTTTTGGTGAACATGTCAACATATTTCTGTGTGTGTATCTGGATCCAGGAGGGAAATGGTTAAGACACAGGGTAAACATGTGTTCAGCTTTGGTAACTATAGCAGGTGGCTGAGATATACAGAAATATCTTTATCTCAGTGCAGTACTTTTGCCTCGTCACTCTTAGGCGTTTCTTATTGTTGTGAGATTCTTTAAAAAAATACTATCAAAAATTTCAAACATACACAATTAGAGAACCTCTGACAAACCTATATTCGGCACACATACTTCACCTAATCTCTTGAGCAAGTACCCTATATTATGTCATTTCTTCCCTCCAAATTCAGTTTGCGTCTGTAAAAAGACGGACATTTTCTTAGATAACTAGAATGCCCTTATCACATGTAACCAAATGTTCAATAATTCAATAATTCTTTAGTATTATCTAATATCCATAGGGTGAATATTTTTTCCACTGAAAGGTAGTGATGCAAATAGGGTGAATTTTATTATGTTTCCACTATTAATGCCTCCTGAATAGAGGAACTATCGGGTGTGGCTTGTTACTACATTCCCAATACCTCTCAGCTCCTAGCATATGCTACTACTCAAAGAACGTTTCCTGAGAATAAACGAAGAGATTTAAATGTTCGCACCACCACCTAAGCCCAGCTACAAAGGTTCAGGTTTCAGAGCAGAGTAGAAAGTTCAAGACCATACTTTAGACCACATGGTCATTCACAAGGAGGAGCCTAAAACCAACTGTAGAGGTGGGATCACATAATGAGAAATGTTCTCCCCCAAGACATAAAATTTACTTAATGAAGCCTATTAAAATATACACCAGATGTCCCATTAAAACCTATGATGCAAGTTCAAGACAAATCTTACTATTTCTAAGCAGCACAGATGTGTTTTAATAATTGTTTTAATAATTAGTTTCGTTAGCTGATTAGCTTTGTAAGGTCAAAATTAGGTCAACTTACAACAAAAAGTACTAAGAGCTAATTTAATACCTAGAAATAAGCTTAGAATTAGTAGGATTCTGCTGTCAGAGATTTTCCAGAAGCATTATAAGATTTAAAGAACACAATTGCAAATAAATGGGCTAATCTTGAAGTTTTTTCTTAAGCCATTAGAAAAATTTAAAGCTTAATTAAAAAGTAAAATGAAAACAGAGTATTATGACTAAGAGATCACTGGTTTGAACTGTAAACATTTTAAAGTTTCTTTTAATAGCAATTGCATTAGCCTTAAAAAACTCAGTAACTGAAAGACTTGTTTTGATTCCATCCAAAGCTAAATATTGGTACCTTTTAAATATCTCTATCATTTATCAAGTAGTTTTTTTTTTTTTTTTAAAGAGACAGGTTCTCACTCTGTCACCCAGGCTGGAGTGCAGTGGTACAATCATTGCTTGCTGCAGCCTTCAACTCCTATCAAGTAGATCATCAAAGAACTGAATTGAGAACTGAAAGGTAACATGAAATTTACCTTTACTTCACTAACTTATGTTTACTTTCATTTACCTTTCCTAACTTTATTTCTGAACTTTCTAAAATTCTAAATATGTAGGCCCAGATTTATTTTCCAGTTTGGGCTTTAAAAAGCAATTTATCCAAGGATGACTTCTAATTAGGATGTAGAAGGTTGCAAAAGACCCTCACTCTAACATAAAAAAGACCCTCACTCTAACATAACAAAAAGAAAACACTAGACTGACTAAACATTTCTCATTAAAACCACAGAGGAGTCTTACTTGCAAATAGGTCTAAATAACTGTCTCCAGAGGGGAATAAATTCTTCCTAGCTGAGCAAAAACAGCTGCTTTCATACCTGAGGGCGTTTGCCCAATGCTAGGGCCCATGTAGTGGGTAAAGTAGCAAAAATGCCACAGTCACAAGAACTTTGCTGGGACAAGGAAACACTAGCCAGGCCCAGTGCACTGGTACACTAGTATAGTTCCCTGGAATTTGGAGAAATCCAAAAGGCAGAGTTGGTCCTCTCTTCAAACCAATTCTCCCTCACGTTACTTATTGGAGTGGATGAAGCTGGTGGTTGTGCTGCAAAACAGGAAGTGGGGGGGGGGGGTTTCTCCTAAGCCAAAACCTTCTGTGGCCACACAGTTCACTATCTCTATTAATACGACATTACTATTCAATTATCTGCTATTCCAGAAGCTACTGCTTAGAAAGAAGAAGGTATTTGTTTCAGGTACCTCAAGAAAATCTATTTATTTGAACAACAGATATATCAATGAATCCTCAGGAGAGTAAATACCCTCCCGTCAAGAACAGATGACTCACTATGCTGTTTACTCTTCAACTCTTTTTTTTTTGAGACGGAATCTTGCTCTGTCACCCAGGCTGGAGTGCAGTGGTGCTATGTCGGCTCATTGGAACCTTCACCTCCAGGTTCAAGTGATTCTCCTGCTTCAGCATCCCGAGTAGCTAGGACTATAGACATGCACCACCATGCCTGGCTAATTTTTGTATTTTTAGTAGAGACTGGGCTGGTGTTGAACCCCTGACCTCAGGTGATCTGCCCGCCTCAGCCTCCAAAAGTGCTGGGATTACAGCCGTGAGCTGCTACACCCGGCCAAGACTCACTTTAAAACCCACCCCTTGATGTGTCTACCAGTTCTCAACTCATGCCAAATCCTAATCAGGACCTTTTCCCTCCAATGCACACACTGAAAGACCTGCTGAGAATTTCATAAATATTCTCACGTCCTTCCTCTGAGATGCTATTAAGACTGTCAATGTAGTGGTCATCCTTACTGTAATAAACCATAAACTCAGCTTTATTTTGATGGTCTTCCCAAGAACTTGGCCACAGGGAAGGGCTTGATCTTGTGCTTAAGACACGGGAAATCAAAAGGGATCGACCCCTCCCGCTAGCTAGCTAGGAGATATTCTTCTAAGGGAAAATATTACCTACTCTAGTCCGTATTATTCTTTTATACAATGTCTAGCATAAAATATGAGAACAAACTGAAAAATGTGACCCTTAAAAGGGAAGAGAAGCAAAATCGCAGATCACTTGGGGAATTAGCAAATTACATCTTAAAAGAATGATTATAAATGTCAAGGAATTCAGATAAAAAGATGGATCAAACTGGTTAAAGAGATAAAAAAACTCTAAAAATGAAAATAGAAATTGTACAACTAAAAGATATCTGAAATAAAAATATTTATTGGCTAAAAATGAACAGCAGAAAGAATGTAAAAAAGAAATAATGAATTAAAAAGTAGGTGAAAAAAATTATCTCAAAGGAACTTATGAAGTGACTACCATACTTCAAGCTTTTCCTTTATTTTGGGTTTGGGAGGGGCAAAGTTTTTCACTTCCTCATGGAATGTTGGCCGTAAAATTTATTAACTCCATTTTTCCTCCAGAAACCCAGTACCACACCACGCTTGGTGTATCTCTAAAACTTTACATTCATATTAAAATGTTCATCATTCATATTAAAATGTTCATAGTACTTGCCTCCTTTCATTAAAGTGCCTTTCCAGGGCAGAGAATATGTTTTGTTTTTGAGATGGAGTTTTTGCTCTATTGCCAAGACTGGAGTGCAATAGGGTGATCTAGCTCACTGCAACCTCTGCCTCCTGGGTTCAAGCAATTCTTCTGCCTCAGCCTCCTGAGTAGCTGGGATTACAGGCGCCTGCCATCACGCCTGGCTAATATTTTTTGTATTTTTAGTAGAGATGAGGTTTCACCACGTTGGCCAGGCTGGTCTTGAACTCTTGACCTGAGGTGATCCACTCGCCTCGGCCTCCCAAAGTGCTAGAATTACAGGCATGAGCCACTGTGCCCCGCCATGTTTTATTTGTTTTTATGTGCCTGCTTTATAGACAAGTACTTGGCACATAGTCAGCATTTAATATTTGTTTAAATCTGTTAATGTAAAGATTTAAAAGGCGGTGGCTCATGCCTGTAATCCCAGCACTTTGGGAGGCTGAGGTGGGCAGATCACCTGAGGTCTGGAGTTCAAGACTAGCCTGGCCAATATGGTGAAATCCCATCTCTACTAAATACAAAATACATCTCTACTAAAATAGAAAAATTAGCTGGGCGTGGTGGCGTCTGCCTGTAATCCCAGCAACTGGGGAGGCTGAGGCAGGAGAATTTCCTTGAGCCTGGGAGGTTGAGGTGGCAGTGAGCAGAGATCGCACCTCTGCACTCCAGCCCAGAAGACAGAGCTAGACTCTGTCTCAAAAAAAAAAAAAAAAAAAGACATTAAGTATCTCTCATGACACTATTCAAATTTATGAAGTTTGACAGAATCCAAAATAAAGGACTTTAAGAGGTTTTTAAGTAAAAACAGAGTCATGTGCCACATAACAATGTTTCAGTCAATGACTGCATATACAATGGTGGTCACATAAGATTATAATACTAAGGGGGCCAAGATGGCCAATTAGAAGCAGCTGCAGTCTGCAGCACTCACAGAGAAGAATGAAAGCGGCAAATGAATTCAGCAACTTCATCTGAAATATCCAGGTTCTTGTATTGGGACTGACTGGGCAAACATCTCAACCCACAGAGAAAGAAGAAAAGCAGGGTGGGGTGATGAACCAACTGGGAGCGGCACTGTAGAAAGTAGAAGTTCCTCTTCAAAGTTTCCCTTCTTGTTAAAGGATAATAATAAATGTTAGAAATAATAATTTCTTTTAAAGACTAAGTTTGTTCAAGCCTCCTTGCTTTGTGCTAATAACCCTTTGTTAAGCCCTATCCTATGTAGCTGTTACACAGGCTCACAGGCAAGTAGTACATTCTATGTCCTTGTACCTTAACCAAGATACTTGTAGTAGATGTGCTCACAGGCATGTCCCAGCTTGCAGCCTACCCCTTCCTTATTTAAGAATGTTATTACTTTTCTAAGTCCTTTAGTAAACAACTTCCTCTTTTCCTTTGTCCTTCCATTGCTTTCACCTATTTAGAAAAGTTTAAAATTATTAGCCAGTCAGGTTTTAGTTTAGATTGTGAGGTCTGGCTCCAGCCAATGGAAACAAGACATAGTAGAAAAGACAAGCTGCATAAAAGACATAAATTGCTTCCCTCCTTTGTTCAAGTGTGCTCTTGCCATTGTTCTATCTGCAAAGAGCACCATTGCCTCGCTGAGAGAACTTTTTGTCTAAATGCTGATTTTTCCTTGCAGTACTGAAGAACAAGCATTCTAACAGCACGAAGCCAAAGGAACACTCAGTCCCAGCTAAGGGAAGCAGTGAGTGATTGTGCGATCCTGCCCAGGAAACCACACCTCTCCCATGGATCTTTGCACCTAGGAGATCCCTTTGTAAGCCACACCACCAGGGCCTTCGGTCCAATACATAGCACCTGTATAGAGTCCTGGCAGAGCAGCCGCTGGGGCATACACAGAGACTCAGGAGTTTTGCATACTCTGGCCCCAGGATTCCTGGCAAGGCCAGAGATCTGTCCCTAGATACTCTTAGGAGGGGAACTGAATCCAGGAAGCCAAGTAGTGTAATTCTGTGGGCCCCACTGGCTTGGAATTCCAGTCAGAGAGGTTTGCCTGAGAAGCACCAAATTCCCAGGGGGAGGGGCGGCTGCCATCTCTGCAGTTCTGTCAACTTGACTATTCCAGCCTGCCAGCTCTGGAGAGTCCAGATGGTCTGGACAAGGAATGGTCTCCCACAGCACAGCACAGCTTCACTACCAAAAAGGAGCCAGACTCCTTCTTTAAGCGGATCCCTGATCCCACTCCTGCTACCTGGGTGACACCTCCCAAAAGGGGTCTCTAGCCACCTCGTACGGGTGCAGTTCAGGCTGGGAACAGGTCAGTACCCTGCAGGGATGGAGCTTCCAGAGGAAGGAGCAGGCTGCCATCTTTGCTGTTTTGCAGCCTTCACTGGTCATACCCTGTATGACACTTGGTATGGGAAAAACTGAGGCAACTAGGGTCTGGAATGGACCTACTGTTAAAAACCGAAAACAACATCAATGAAAAACCTGACACAAACCCCATTCAAAGGTTAACAACCTCAAAGATGAGAAAGGATCAACACAAAAATGCTAAAAACTCAAAAAGCCAGTGCCTCTCTTCCTCCAAATGACTGCAACACCTCTCCAGCAAGGGCACAGAACTGGGCTGAGGCTGCAGAACTGGGCTGAGATGGCTGAATTGACAGAAGTAGGCTTCAGAAGGTGGGTAATAATGAACTTTGCTGAGCTAAAGGAGCACGTTGCAACCCAATGTAAAGAAGCTAAGAATCATGGTAAAACATTACAGGAGCTGTTAACCAGAAGTAAAACACTCCTCAGCAAATGAAAAAGAATTGAAATCATAACAGTCTCTCAAACCTCAGCACAATCAAATTCACTCAAAACCACACAACTACATGGAAATTGAACAACTGCTCCTTAATGACTCCTGGGTAAATAAGTGAAATTAAGGCAGAAATCAAGGAGTTCTTTGAAACTAATGAGAACAAAGAGACAACATACCAGAATCACTGGGACACAGCTAACGCAGTGTTAAGAGGGAAATATATAGCACTAAATGTACACATCAAAAAGACAGAAAGATCTCAAATCGACATCCTAACATCACAACTAAAAGCACTAGAGAACCAAAAGCAAACAAACCCCAAACCTAGCAGAAGACAAGAAATAACCGAGATTAGAGCAGAAGTGAAGAAGATAGAGACACAAAAAACCCTTCAAAACATCAAAGAATCCAGGAGCTGTTTTTTTGAAAAAATTAATACGATAGACTGCTAGCTAGATAATAAAGAATAGAAGAATCAAATAAATACAATCAGGAATGGTAAAGGAATATTACCGTGGTCTCCACAGAAATACAAACAACCATCAAAGAAAACTATAAAAACCTGTATATAAACTAGAAAACCTAGAAGAAATGGATAAATTCCTGGACATATACACCCTCCCAAGACTGAGCCAGGAAGAAATTGAATCCCTGATGAGACCAATAATGAGCTCTGAAATTGAGGCGGTGATAAATAGCCTATCAACACCTCCCCACCCTCCACCCCCCACCCTCCAAAAAAAGCCCAGGACCAGATAGATTCACAGCTTAATTCTACCAGAGGTACAAAGAGGAGCTGGTACCACTTTTACTGAAACCATTCAAAACAACTGAAAATTGAAAAGGAGGAACTCCTCCCTACTTGTTCTATGAGGCCAGCATCATCCTGATACCAAAACCTGGCAGAGACAAAACAAAAAAAGAACACTTCAGGCCAGTATCCTTGATGAACAAACAAAAAAAGAAAACTTCAGGCCAATATCCTTGATGAACATCAATGCAAAAATCCTCAACAAAATATTGGCAAACTGAATTCAGCAGCACAAGTTGGCTTCATCTTTGGGAGGCAAAATTGGTTGAACATATGGAATCAATAAATGTGATTCATCACAAAAACAGAACCAATGACAAAAATCACACAATTATCTCAATAGATGCAGAAAAGGCCTTCAGTAAAATTCAACATCCCTTCATGTTAAACACTCTAAAACTAGGTATTGGTGGAACATATCTCAAAATCATAAGAGCTATTTATGACAAACCCACAGCCAATATCACACTGAATGGGCAACAGGTGGAAGCATTCCCCTTGAAAACAGGCACAAGACAAGGATGCCCTCTCTCACCACTCCTATTCAACATAGTATTGGAAGTCCTGGCCAGGGCAATCAGGCAAGAGAAAGAAATAAAGCATATTTAAATAGTAAGAGAGGAAGTCAAATTATCTTTGTTTGCAGATGACATGATCCTGTATCTAGAAAACTCCATCATCTCAGCCCAAAAGCTTCTTAAGCTGATAAGCAACTTCAGCAAAGTCTCAGGACACAAAAATCAATGAGCAAAAAGTCACTAGCATTCTCATATACCAACAACAGGCAAGCTGAGAGCCAAATCATGAATGAGCTCCCATTCACAATTGCTACAAAAAAAAATACCTAGGAATACTGCTAACGAGGGAAGTGAAGGACCTCTTCAAGGAGAACTGCAAACCACTGCTCAAAGAAAACAGAAAGGACACAAACAAATTGAAAAACATTCCATGCTAAGGGATAGAAAGAATCAATATTGTGAAAATTGCCATACTTCCCAAAGTAATGTATAGATTCAATGCTATTCCCATTAAACTACCATTGGACATCCTTCACAGAATTAGAAACACTATTTTAAAACCAAAAAAGAGCCTGAATAGTGAAGATGATCCTAAGCAAAAAGAACAAAGCTAGAGGCATCATGCTACCCAACTGCAAACTATAGCATATGGCTACAGTAACCAAAACAGCATGGTACTGGTACAAGGACAGACACATAGACCAATGGAACGGAATGGAGAGCTCAGAAATAAGACTTCACACCTTCAATCAACTGATCTTCAAAAAACCTGACAAAAACAAGCAAAGGGGAAAGGAGTCTCTAATAAATGGTGTTGGGAGAACTGGCTAGCCATGTGCAGAAAATTAAAACTGGACCCCTTCCTTACACCATACACAAAAATTAACTCAAAATGGATTAAAGACTTAAATGTAAAACCCAAAACTATAAAAACCCCAGAAGAAAATCTAGGTAATACTACTAAGGACATAGGCACGGGCAAAGATTTCATGACAAAAATGCCAAAAGCACTTGCAACAAAAGCAAAAATTGACAAGTGGGGTCTAATTAAACAAAGAGCTTCTGCACAGCAAAAGAAACTATCATCAGAATGAACAGACAACCTACAGAATGGGAGATTTTTGCAATCTATCCATCTGACAAAGGTCTAATATTCAAAATCTACCGAGAACTAATGCAAATTTACAAGAAAAAAAACCATTAAAAAGTGGGCAAACAACAGGAACAAACACTTCTTTACATGTGGCCAAGAAACATATGGAAAAAAAGCTCAACATTACTGATCATTAGAGAAACGTAAATCAAAACCACAAGGAAATACCATCTTATACCAGTCAAAATGGTGATTATTAAAAAGTAAAACAGATGCTGGTGAGGTTGTGGAGAAGGAGGAACGCTGTTTACATGGTTGGTGGAAATGTAAATTAGTTTAACCATTGCAGAAGACAGTGGCAATTCCTCAAAGACCTAGAGGCAGAACTACCATTTGACCCAGCAATCCCATTACTGGGTACATATATCCAGTGTAATATAAATAATTCAATTATAAAGATACATGCACATGTATGTTCACTGCAGCACTATTCATGATGGCAAAGACATGGAGTCAACCTAAATGCCCATTAATGGTAGACTGGATAAAGAAAATGTGGTACATATACATATACACCATGGAATACTATGCAGCCCTAAAAAGGAACGAGATCATGTCCTTTGCAGGGCCGTGGATGGAGTTGAGAGCTGTTATCCCGAGCAAACGAATGCAGGAACAGAAAATCAAACACCACATGTTCTCACTTATAAGTGAGAGCTGAATAATGCAAACACATGGATACCTGGGGAGGCAACAACACATGCTGGGGCCTGTTAGAGGGAGGAGGTTGAGGGAAGAACAGCTAATGGACACTGGGCATAATACCTGGGTGAGGGGATGATCTGTACAGCAAACCACTATGGCACACGTTTACCTATGGAACAAACCTGCACATCCTGCACATGAACCCCAGAACTGAAAAGGTGAAGAAAAAATTGTAATACCATATTTTTACTGTACCTTTTCTATGCTTAGATACATAAATACCATTGTGTTGTCATTGCCTATAGTTGTAAATACAGTAACATGCTGTACAGGTTTGTAACCTAGGAGCAACAGGCTATAGTATATAGCCTAGGTGTATAGTAGGCTATATAATCTAGGTTTTTGTAAGTATATTCTATAATATTTGCACAATGACAAGACTGCATAACAATACACTTCTTCACATATATCCCCCTCATTAAGTGATACATGACTGTATTAAAAAAGTCTGCTTCTTTTTTAATTCAGATGTTTATCTTTAACAACTGTAGTAAAAGAAAAATTCCTAGGAAAAACATGTTAAGGAATGTTTGTGAAAACTGAAAATTGCTATACCAGTCATTCTGGTACATGCTAATAGAAAAGTAGAATAAAAGAAAAAATGCTGAAATTAAGATATAAAAACTATTAAGAGATGATATATCAAATAAAAACCTTTACAGGTCGAATATTCATAATCTGAAAACCTGAAATGCTCCAAAATCTAAAATTTTGGGTGATGACATGATGCTCAAAGGAAATGCTTTTGGATTTCAGATTTCTGCATTAGGAATGCATAAATGGAAATATTCCAAAATCCAAAAAATTTCTAAATCTGAAACACTTCTGGGCCCAAGCAAGCATTTTGTATAAGAGATACTCAACCTGTGTTATTTGTGTGAGCATGTAATCTGATAAATCCATCTTAACTATTTTCATTTTTAAGGTAAACAACTCATTTGTTCTATAATAAGCATTATTCAAAATCATTTAATGTATACTTAGAATTATGAACGAACATACCTTTCTATACCTTTAAGTAGCTTATAGACACACAGATGAAAATATAAATGCCACTTGGCATACAGAGTAAGCGAATATTACACAAATGACATTACAAATAAACGAGAACTCACAAGATAAAACATATGACTTCTAAATTTTATAGTCTTACCGCTTTTGCTTTTGAACACCTATAAACTTTCCACAAAAATCACTGACTTTATTGTTCATTTTTGGCTAGGTTAAGCAGGCTGATATGATAGATGAAATGTCAGGAGCCAGCTAAACTTCATCTCTATTGTAAAAGCAATGACAATTTTATCTAAACTGTCAAAAATATCCTAAAGTAAGAAATGCTCAGAAAACTGCTATGTGGTACCAGTACTCATTGAAAAATTATCCTTCAATCATTATAGATGATTCAAGATTCAAGACATTTACATATAAATATCACATGTTAAATTCCTAAAATATAAAGTCTGTTAATGTAAAACATTAAAATGCCATGAAGCTTCGTCTGTGGCATATGGGGATGTGTGTATTTGGTGGTGGAGAAGACTGCAGAAGATAATGTTTTTCATGAAAGGTTCTAATAATCTTCAAGAAGCTATCTAAAAGCATTATCAGTCTATAGCATACATGCTATTAAAATACAAAAGGGGTGTTCTTAGCATCTTGTAACTTTGTAAAATCCAATTTCCTCTAACTTTTAAATTAGGCCACAAATTTAGAATCTCATTAAGAAATAAATGGTTATGACCAGGCAGAGAGTGGTTCATGCCTGTAATCCCAGCACTTTGAGAGGCTGAGGCAGGCAAATCATCTGAGGACATGAGTTTGAGACCAGCACAGCCAACACAGTGAAACCCTGTCTCTACTAAAAATACAAAAATTAGCCGGCTGTGGTGGCGCACATCTGCAGTCCCAGCTACTAGGGAGGCTGAGCCAAGAGGATCGCTTGAACCTGGAAGGCGGAGGTTGCAGTGGGCTGAGATCATGCCACTGCACTCCAGCCTAGGCAATATAGAGTGAGACCCTGTCTCAAAACAAACAAACAAACAAACAAAACAAAAACCACGTTATACATATATCATACATATATTTAAACTGGGCTAACTATAATAGAGAAATTCTCCACTTTAATTAGTAGCTAAGCATTCAAGTTTCAACACAAGAAGAAAAGCATTTAATATCTGAAGGTTTGTACTTAGCAGTACAAATTCAGATACTTTCTTCTTCCCTCTATCTAAAAAAGCCCAATCTCTTCCTCTTATTCCCCAGTTACTTTATTTATTCCTTTACTAGGCTTTTTCAAAAACTTTCAATATCTTCGCTAATTCTTCTAACTATAAAGGGGAAACAAAGTTCCAATTAGGCACTCATCCTTTTTAATACTTTTGTTATGGATTATTCCCACATAAACTGGGCGACTAATCCATTCAAAGAGGCCATGCTTGCGTAAGTAGCTCCAGATGGATAGGTCTGTAGGAGGGAGGGTAAGGAGCTGATACCATCCCAAAGAGCAAGAGAATCGAAGTAAATATGGGTGGATAGTTAAGATTCACAAATAATGAACACCTAATAGAAGCATTAGGCCACAACATCTTACATATGTCAAGCTCACGTTAGAGTTAGCATGCTGGGAAGGAGGTTTCCAAGAAATGTAGATGCTTAACCAAACAAGTATAAGCTTACTCTGAGAGGATAAAGAAAAACTTCAAAGATCTACTTCCTATCTGCTGCAAAGAGGATGAACTCTGGTACTGATTTCATCACATGAATCTGTGAGGCCTGTCTCTTAAGAAGAGTGAATTCTGATTATACATATTCTCTTTCCCTCTTCATTCCAACTGCTGGACTATTTGCCAAAAATAAACATTGTTAAATCTGTTTCAAATGCAACACGAAGCCTGCTTTCTTCTACCCCTGTAAGATCTTATTCATAGGTTTCTCTAAGTTCTTTTAATAGTTTCTACAATCCCACAAAGAAGGTTTTTTGGGTCAGGAAAGAGTAAGGAGATTTTATTTCACAAGTAAAACAGTAATTTTTTTCCTTCACCAGTAAGATGGGAATAATATGAGTACTCATCTCAAATGGTTATTATGAGAACTAAATAATGCTTTTAAAGTGATTAGCACATTGTCTGACATTCAAGTGTTCAACGACTGTTGATGTACGTTACCTTCCTCTGATAATATTAACTAAATTTTAAAGGATAATGTCAGAAGAGTTAACATTCAATGCTAACTACTAAAATATTTTATCTTCAGTACCTGGCATGCATCCAATAAATGGTTTGTAACAATACATTCTTCCTGAGGTGAGTTATGGAACTAGGTTATTCAGCAGTAACTAGACACCTGTAACTCCACTCCAACCTCCTGCCACCTTCTTCGCAAACCTTAGGCTCACCTAATTTCCAAACAAACTTTTTCATAAACACCATTCAGGCAAGTTGCGACTAAAAATGCAAATCTAAATAAAAGGTACTTTATAGATATAATGTAACAGTTTACTTATAATTCATTTTTCTTATGGAACTTTGTACAGGGACAAATGCAGCAAGTAACTATTTGATACTTAGATTCTTCAATATTAAAAGTTCAATTACAATCTTTGAATTAAATAGACTTTACCAATTTTTTTCTTGTTTTGTTTTACTCTTTTAAGTATACAGAATAAAACTAAGATGTTTCTTTTTACTCTTTTAAGTATACAGAATAAAACTAAGATGACTGAAGGATACAGTTTCATTTAATACAAACCTTCTTGTACTCTATCCTAAATACTAGGAAATAGAAAACAATTCCATATATGTGTTATGAAACTCCAGATCTGTAGTATAAAACTGTAGCTAAAACTGCTTTCCAAAACTTACTGACAGCTAGGGCCCCACATGACCTAGATTCACCAAGCAGATATGCTGAATGAAGATTTGGAAGGAGAACATGGCCTACCTGGGTTGGGAGGACAGAGGACCAGGAACCAGGATGGTAGTAAAGGGTTTTGTTCATCTGGGGTTGTCAGTGGTGGCTAACACGGAGTGGGCTAGGGGAATTAAGGTAAATAGAACCTACAGTGCTAGGCTATTTAAAACAGGCAGCTCTGTAGCAGGCCAGTTCAAAGGTGTGGTTCTAGAAGTTTCTAGAAGTTGAAAATACTGTCTGTTCCTTTAGGTCTCCCAATGTGTCTGGAAACTATTGTATTCCCTCTAACAAATCTCTCAGTTTAAACCAACCGATTTAAATTCTGTTGTCGAAAACTAAGAACCCTGACCAATAAACTAGAAAAAAAGAACATTTCAATGAAAGTCAATAAACTTTTCTAGAGTTCACAAATATGCACAAGCTTTTGACATCTTCAGTAGAGTTTTACATCTGCTCTATTTTGATTCATGTGATAGGCACTGAAAATATATGTGAAATATATATTTAATACTGGTGACATGACAATTTATTCTAGGAATTCCTTTATAGATGATTGATCAATTTTCATTAATCAAGATGGTCTTTTTTCAACCCTCATGTATTAATAATATCAAAACAAAAAGGAAAGTCTAGGAGTTAGCCTTTAGCCTAATTTCAATTGACAAAAATAATTTCAATTACTAAAAAGCAGAATTAGAAAATACATGGGAAATGAATCAAATTTTGCTTTTTGTTAATTAAATAAATAATGAGTGCTCCAAAGTCACAAATCTTTATTTGTGATATTTAAACTTTAATCTGGATATTTAAATTAAACTTAAATCTGGATATTTAAACTTTAAAAAATTATAAAACCAACTTCAACTAAAAGAAGATTCCCTCAAAACATCAAAGTACATTGTTAAACTTATTTGGATATAAAATAATCACTGAATCAAAATGAACTGAAACAACTGTAAAGACATGAAGTCTTGTGTATAATATATCGATCTGAACCAAATATTTAAAAGAATCAGGCAGAAGACTCAATGTTAACATGACTTATAATCTATTTTACAGATTCTGACAATACAATTTTCCATAAAAATGTAAACTTCTGAGGACATAGTTTTAAAAACCATATATTTTTAAAATAATATAAATATGTTAATACCACCTATATAAACTCATACTATAAGGAGCAGATTTTATGAACAATTTGAGTCTCCTGACAGCAGTAAATGTTATCTTAAAAAAATAAACATTTATAAATTATTTGAGATGAAAAATTTTTTATATTTTAATAATCTAACGTTTCTGGCTACATTGCAGGTATTTTCACATATATCTCATGAATCCATGTAATGAGTCATCGAAACAGAATTATCCCCATTTTTCTTAAAGCAACTGAATAGTCTGAAGTACAGATTACTTAGGTAACTTAACAACGAAATAAGTGGTAGAACCACATAGGAACCCAGATCTGCCTAACTTTTCCAAAGGATTTTTTCTATTAGACTATTAAATTATTATTAGATTTTTGAAAGGTAACTCAATAGCAGTTCAGTAATTTTTTCATACATAAATATAAAACATAAAATATTCTACCAAATAAACATATCTTCCATCTAAATTAAATGTAAAGAGTTAAAGGGAGGAATAGGGTATGAACTTTGGTCTTTGAAGATAAAGTTGAGTGCTCTTGACTAACCACGTGATAGGAAATAATGAAGACTCTATAAAGAAAAATCATTATGTAAACAGGGTTTCCTAATACTTTTTCTACTGAATTAAACTTTTTTGAAGTTTACTGACCTATTAACCAGATCTGTTCAATGGCCTAGCAAAGGCAATGGTAGACTGTCAGAGGCAATAGTCATTTTCATTTGTCACAAGCCTGGTAATTAAACTCATTAGCCTGCCAATCAACTGCACTGCTAGTGAAATTTGTAAAAGCAGAATGAAATAGCTTACCGTGCACATGGATGTCCTTGTGATTTTCAGGGTAAAATCTGATGAAAATTCCAAATCTGAGATAGACGTCGTATGGCAATCTATATGCTACCCATTAAAAAGAAGTGAAGAAAGAGCTTAGTAAAAATAGTCCAAAAAAAAAAAACAAAAAATAAAACAAAAACAACCCAGACAAACATTACTTCTTTTATGCACAAATGATTATTGGAAACCAAAGTTTTGCAAACTTTACTCACATGCTAATTTTTGGAATTATTTATAAGTTTAAGGAGTACTAGTACTATCATCTTGTTAATTTTTTCTTAAATTCATTTAACTTAGGCTCCTTGTAAACAATAGTATTTATCAAATCATAGTGCTAATGTGCTAAAGTTTTCCTGACACACTAAAATAAATACTTTCAAATAAAAAATGTTTTCCTGTGTTTCACCTAACATCATTTTGCCTACTGTGTATGGTACACCCACCACAACTGCTATAAAATATGTGTGATAACAGTCAATACATTTATAGGAACTGCCAACTTGAAAACACATGCTAATGAAAAGAAAGTTGTTTTAAAATTCATGTCTATAATTGAAGATAAGTTTTGTTAGATATGAGGAGAAACCACACAATTCAAACAAAACAGCAAAACTATGGAGATTTCGATCCAGAGAAAAAATAGCGAAATATCTTTATTTTCCCATTCTGCCCTTTTTCAAATCCTTCTCCATTATACTTTGGAGAAGGGATGGAATCACCTTTCAACTACAGCAGTCTAACCAGAAGTGTGCTGTAAAGACCGTCATCAGCTGAGTAGATCCAGCCAGGAGTAGATCATAACCCAGTGAATGCAATTAATGTAACCACACATCTGAGACACTATTGAAAACAATTTGAGAAAACATTTTAACAGTACAATGTGTTTGTGGGAGGACTGGAAAATACAGAACAAACTATTTACTTAAATAAATGTTAAAAAAAAAAAAAGAGTACATACACTTTTTAACACCTTATTTTCAGGTCTAAATTTTTCTGTCTCAACTATTTATTCATGGCAGTTTTTGCATTAAGCAGAGATCACTAGAGAGAGAAATCAGCAACCTCCACCAACTCTCCTCTTTCTGCTCAACTTTAAGGCTTAGTTGGTTATAACTGTACACTCCTATCCTGAGCCAAAGAGCCCAAATAAACTCTTTATTCTCACTGTACCAGAGCACTGAAGTCGTATAACCATCAAGCAGACTGTTTTTCTTAAAAGCTGAACGCACTTTTAATCAGCCTGCTCTTGTTAAGAAACTTCACATTTATTACTCTATACTATTAATGCTTTATCCATTTAAGAAAATTAAATATGTACTAAATATCTGCTTTGTACAGAGAAGAAATATTGATGCTATATGAAAGTAACAGCGTGATTAAAACGAGAAGACAGCACTTCGGGAGGCCGAGGCAGGCGGATCATGAGGTCAGGAGATCAAGACCATCCTGGTCAACACGGTGAAACCCCATCTCTACTAAAATACAAAAATTTAGCCAGGCATGGTGGTGCATGCCTGTAGTCCCAGCTACTTGGGAGGCTGAGGCAGGGGAATCGCTTGAACACGGGAGGCGGAGATTGCAGTGAGCCGAGATTGCGCCACTGCACTCCAGCCTGGGCGACAGAGTGAGACTCTTTTTTTTTTTTTCTCTTGAGACAAAGACAATATCCTGAACCTAACACTGAACATACTGCTCTAGATTTGATTATCTAGTTGAAACAGACCAAGAGTTAAGAAAAGCAGTATTGTTTTTTGCTGCAAAGTTATTAGTGAACCCATGTAAATTCAACATAGAAAAATTCATAATAAACCCAGAGATTAACATGGCAAAAAATAAGATGACAAAACACAAAAGGAATTAACTGAGAAATCTGAACATAGTAGGGCTTTCGTTTCATGGGCAAATTTACTATATGTAATTACTTAATCTGAAAACGCTGGAAGAAATCTGAATGAGAGAAGTTAAACTGTGTGGAATATATGACACGAATGAATAATCTGGCTGTAAATGAGAAGCTAAAATAAGGCTGGGGAGGATGATGAAGCAGAACTGATAATACAGCAGGACTTTTTACCTTATTAAGCCAAAGTAAATATAAATTATTCAACCGGTTCAGAGTTAGATTTGAAGGACTGTAAAACTGAGTGTAAGGAGTTTTAATATACAGAGAAGTGATTCTAAAGAGATGATATAGTCAACTGGTAAATATTATGACCTCAATTTGTTTTAGACTGATTACAATGGGAAAAGTACTGTTTTGAAAGCCCATATATAAAATCAATATATTATTTTCAAATGCTGAACTAAGAAAAATAGCAATACCATTATAAAAAATAAAGTTGGTAAAACACCTACCTTAATACCACAAGGTTCTGAAATAAGAGTCTTCGGATCTAAAACTTCCACAACAGCTTCTGGAATAACTGCTTTCTTCATGCAGGACATCTTGAAGCCATAGACATCATCCCAAAAAGCAATTCTATCAGCATGTTTATTCACATCACTCACTGCTACAAGGCTGATAGTGCAAATGTCAGGGTAGACTGTAACAAACAAAATGCCCAACAATTAAGCATTATCTCCCTTTCTTATGGAATATAATTTTTTAAAGCCTAAATATAAATATCAAATCCATCAGTAAGGATTACTAGCAATGGGAGATTAATGAAGGTATAGATCAGGAAAAACAACCATGCTTCATCTTGTAGCCTCTTTTAAAAACAGATACGCATTATCATGATGATAAAATTAAAACAGGGATTCCAATGATAGGGTTTGAATTAAAATAGGGTTATATAATTAAACAATTCTGAAATAAACATATTTATTGATATTAAAACTTAAAGTATGCTAACTTAAAAGGTACTAGATCTTTACTTATTCCTATATTCCTCTAAAAACATGCAGAAAAGGACAAATCATTTAAAAAGATATGTAGCATGTAAGAAAATCATGTAATAGGGTTTTATAGTTATACAGAAGACCACTTCATATTACTCTCATTTAATAGAAAAATATTTATAAGCATAAAGTATGTGCCAGACACATGTGCCAGTCTAATTTACAGACTATGGACACATATCACTATCCTCAATAAACTTATATTTAGACTATTTTGAAAAAGAAATGCATAGTTATTTGTGAGGTAATAAATACTAAGAACAGGAGCATCCAAGGTACTAAGGGAGCTCATGGCAAAACCAGCTAATTCAGACTTGGCTGGAGCAGGGGAGAAGGGATAATATATAAGATAAGAACTGAAGCCCAGTAAGTTGGGAGTGGGGAGGGAAAGTGTATTCTAGGCAAAGTGAGCAGCAGTGTGCATAAAGGGTCACAATAGATGGGATGGCCCATATACAATCTAATTGAGAGAGAAATAAGACACAAGGCTAGAAAGGTAAGTAGAGACCAAAGACTACATGCTGAGTAAACCAAATTAGTAAACTGGACTTAATTCTAAGAATAATGATAATCCAGTAAAAAATTTTACATAGGGTAGCAACATGACTAGATTTTGATTTTAGACAAACCACCTGGAATGCAATGTGGAGAATAATGGGAGGGTCTAAGATGAAAACAGAGACAAATTAAGAGATAGTTAAAATAAACCAGGTGATCTGAACTAGGATATTGCTGTGGGAATGGAAAGGATGAGATGTATTCAAGGGATATTTATGAAGTAGAACTCAGAGGACTTTGAGGCTGAGTGGCTGTGGGGCAAAAGGTCAAGGATGACAGTATTTAGCTTTAGTAACAGCACAGATTGTGGTACTAACCATTATAATAGGACATAAATATGGGCAGATTCAAAAGGAACAGGAGCATTTAGTGCTTAAGAGATAAACAAATAAAAATGTCTGAAATGTAGCTGAATACAAAGGTCTGAAATTCAAAAAAGGATATCTAAGTTGAAGACATAAATTTGGAGACCATAGGCATATAAATGAAAGATAAGTAAAGGGAGTTCATGAGACCTAGGGAGAATAGATAATGAATACTAGAATTCAAGGGACTTGACCGAGAAGCTGGAGCCACAAAAGTAAGAGAACCAAGAAGGTAAGTGTTACATGAGTTAAGGAAAGTGTGATTGAAGGAGAAACTCTCCACTAATAACAAGTAAAGAAATAACAAAATTAACTTTGTCTTTCCAATATCTCAAATATCAACTTTTAGGGTACTCATGAATTAAAAATATAAATCACATGTTCCCATATCAGCAAAATGAAACAAGTATAAATGTACCAAAGAAATGCAGCAAAAACAAAAACAAACAAACAAAAACCATGAGTATTAACTAGCTTTCAGGTGTAAACAATAGAAAAATTACTCTCTCCTTCCTCCTAACGTTTATTTCCACAGCCTTAGCAATTTTATTATTCAATGACAGCAGCACTAAATTATTCTCCAAATAAAGCCCACGATAAGATTTACTGGCACCAACGCAATTGCTTCCAAACCTAACTTGTGAGATACTCAGAAAAAACTACGTAGTACTAAGTCACTGATAAGAAGTTTCTCAAGTCTTCCCTGATAGGCATGTGAGGGATGTATGCCAGCTGCACCAGACCACGGTCCATTGCCATGCAAACTCTGCCCTTCCTCCACAAACAGGTAAAGCCTCTGGATTGTGTTTAAATTCTTGATTGATACAAATTCTTCAAAGTAACTGATTTGTTATTGAAAATGTTAACTCAGTAAGAGGATCAGCTATAAGGAAGTGTATTTAGTTTGTTGAACCACATCCTTAGGATGAGAAACACTGAATAAAAAAATAAGAATTCAGAAGCAGCTTTAGGTATGTGGCTAACTTTCTGATACATCCTTTGTTGGACTGAATAATTACAGAAGCTTTCCCACATTATGCCCTGTCGTTTCATCATTAAAGAGGAACATAATAAGGGTATAGTCAGGTGATCAGCAAACATTTTTTGTGAAATTACCAGTTTAGGTTTTGTGGACAAAACTGACTTTTGTTGAAACTACTGCTTTCTGCTATTGGTGTGAAAGCAGCATGGACAATATATAAACAAATGAGCATGGCTGTGTTCCAATAAAACTTTATCTACAAAACAGGCAGCAGGCTAGATACAGATAACCTTGATATAAATGAGCAGAAATGGAGGGGGGTTATTATCAGGGCCACCATATGGTCCTACTTCAGGGAGTGCCGTTCACACTATATAGTTAATGGGAACTGAATATCCTCTGGAGTTGTGCAGTACACAGACATTCAAGATACTTAACATAGTTGATACAGTTCTGCTATTTTAGAATATCTTTTAAAATCTTGCTGAAGTTTTAAAATGCCATCAGTCTCTCTATCAGGGTCAGCAGACTATGGCCCATAGTCAAATCCAGCCTGCTGCCAGTTTTTGTATTAATATATAAAGTTTAGCTGTAACACTACCACATTCATTTGTTTACATGTTGTCTATGGCCACACTACACTACAGTGGCAGAGTTGAATAGTTGGGACAGAGGCTATATGGCCTATAAAACTGAAAAAAAATTTACTATATGGCCTTTTACTGAAAAAATTTACTTATCTCTGGCTCTATATTAAGTAATATATTAGTGACACCATAAAACTAAAGGTAACTTTTTTATAAGAAAAAATTGTAACTTACTAAAAGTAATAAAACAATTTTGAAATTGTTGGTAATTAGAAGAGAAACTAAAGAAGAACATGATTTTATTTTTGGGTGTTGTGTATTTTTCAAATTATTTGTCTTTCACAAAAATACAGAAAAGCACAGTTTTTATATTGCTAGAATTTGCAAATAAAATTATTTTTAATCTTTCGGTTAGTAAGATCTATGAATATGCATAAGGATATGTAATCAGTGTTATAGGTCAATTTGGTTCTATAACCACCTCCTCACAGCTGGCTAAAATCTTGGACCACCTGCCAGAATCCTGACCCTTTACCTTTGCATTCTGACACATTTGTCATTTGATTTTTGTCAGATAGAAGCTATAATTGAATAATTATTTCTTGTTGTAGGTGAAATTAACAAAGCGCTGATTGGACAAAAGCATGCTCTTAACAGACCATTTATAAATTCATGGCTTTGACATCTGTGTCCTTCTCGATTCACTGCCCAGAATTCATTTGTCACTAGAATGGCTCACATGGTGAATAGATAAAGATGGGAAATCCTTTATCCCTTAGAAATGCCTCATAAACTTTTGGACACTAAAGGATAAGATAGAGATGCATAAAGAAACAATTTCTAGTAAACACTAGGAATTTTGTATCACTGTTTGTATAAATAACCACAGAGTAAAAAGATTTAAAACAAAGGAGATAGTAAATAAGTCAAAATAAACCACTTTTTTCATGATATATATGAACAATATGAAGATTTTAGTGAAATAACAATGGTAGCAAAAATGCTTGATATGCATAAAAGAAAATGTACTAGAAAGTCACCAAATGGGAATTAAATGAGCTTTAAAAATTAATTTCTAGTTTATATAATAAAGGTATCTTTAAAAAGTAATATTTATTTGGAAATTGGACTCATTTCCCCATCATTCATTTATAAATAATGACAAGACCCACTAACGTTTAGCTAAGGCTAACATATAGCTGTAATATGCTTTGAAAAATTATATGCTGAAAAATAAAAAATGACACTACTGCTCTATTACTGAACAAACTCAAACTAATAAATGTGAAAAATGCAGATCTGAAGATGAGGAAGTAGACAGTTATGAAAATACTAAAGGAATCCTTTAAGCACTATGAACCAATGCCAGTGGCTGATTATATTGAGATAATCTATGTAAAAGTGTAGAAAATGTGAAGTGCTGTATAAAAGGTAAGTGTTAATACCACAATGCTTAAATTCATTTCATAACTTTTATAAAGTATAAACCTACTGCTAATCTCATGTTCACCAGTTGTAACTCTGACTGGGAATTAACATTTATTGAGCAACTACTTTGTGTCAAGCACCTCATTTAGACTTTTGAATAATTTTACAAAGTTGGATTATAATCTTCATGTTATAAATTAAACTTAAATTCAGAGAGTAACTTGGGCAGAAAGTAACTTGCCCAAATAAATACCTGGTCTTCTTCAGCTAACCAGATAACTAGTCAGCTGACACAGCAGAGATTCAACTTAAGGTCTAATTGTGAAATCCATATGCTTTCCATTATGCATGATGCCACATTTTAATGCTTTTCAAATGGAAGAAACGGAAAGAGGAACCCCAGGTTCCTAAGGTAAACGGTACTTGTTGGAAGAGAAGGAAGGAGAAAGGGGGTTGAAAAGAGTGGAGATAAATAAAATTTCAGGACAAAGTAAGGAAAATGGTAACATTTAAGCTTATTTTGCTCTGAGCAAAGGAATGAGATGACAAGGCAAAAACAAAACAAAAACACCAAAAAGGAAAGCAAGCAAGCAAGGTCAAGAGATCAAGACCAGCCTGGCCACCATGCTGAAACCCCACTTCTACTAAAAATACAAAGAATTAGCTGGACGTGGTGGCAGGGCGCCTCTAATTCCAGCTAGTCGAGAGGCTGAGGCAGGAGAATTGCTTACACCCAGAAGGCAAAGGTTGCAGTGAGCCAAGATCGTGCCACTGCACTCCAGCCTGGGTGACAGGGACAGACTCCATTAAAAAATAAAAATAAAAAAGACAACTTAAAAATGAAAAGATACATTATAGTCATGAACTGTAAAACTCAATATTAAAATGCTGATCATTCCAATTCCAAATTTATCCAATTCCAAATTGATAAATTCATTCAATCCAATCCCTTCATAATTCTAGCAGTCTTTTTTTTAAAGCAGAAATAGCCAGATTCTAACATTTATTTTAAACTCCCCCCTGCCACATGACCAAACTATCAAAGCAATTTTTAAAAAGATCAAAATGGGGAGATTTTCCTTACCTGACCAAGACTCAGTATAAAGTTACAGTAATTAAGACAGTATGTTACTGGTGAAAGGACAGCCTTAAAGATCAAATGAAAAGAACACAAAAATAGACTCACATGAATATGGCCAATTAATTTTCAAGATATGCCAAGCAATTCATGGGAAAGAACAGCATTTCAATTAAGGGTGCTAGAAAATATTAATATCTAACCTTATCTCACACTATACACAAAAATTAATTAGAAATAAATCATAGACATAAATGTAAAAACTGAAACTCCAAGAAACAAAGGAAAATTCTGTGTGACCTTGAGTAAAGCAAAGATTTCTTAAGACATTTTTCTTAGTACGACAGAGACTGAGCACATGTTTAAGAGTCATCTGTATTTCCTTCTTTGTAAGCCACCGTTCAATTATTTGTCCAATTTTCTATTGGGTTTGTCGTCTATTTATTTATATAATCTACCTATATGTGGGAGAGATTAGCTTTCTGTTGTGACAGAAATTGAAAAATTATTTTCAGTATGTAGTTTCTCTTGTGACTTTGCTTATAGCATATTCTGCCATTTAGAAATTTATATAGATGCAATTAGATTTATCAGTGTTTCTTTCAGGGTTTCTGAATTAAAGTTCTTACTTAGAAAGACTCCCTTCCTCCAAGTTTATAAACCTATGTTTCCTTTTAGTATTTTTAGCATTTGACTTATCTTGCATTTAATCTTTGATTATCTGAAATTCACAGTGTACAATTTATTGTGTGGATTAAACTTTACTTTTTTTTTTTACACAATTGTCTCAATAGAATTTGCTACAGTATATCATTTCTTCAATTATATGAGATGCCATGTATAGTCAGGCCTATACCACTCTCTTCAACGCATCTCTCAAGAACCAATAATATATTGTTTTAATTATTAAGGCTTTATAATGTGTTTTAATATTTGGTAGCAGTATTCCTTCTGCTACCCCCCATCCTGCACCCTTCTATTTTTCAGAAAAATTAGGAATCAAATTATCTCATAATTCATTTGACCCGAAGAAGGTGGGAATTGCTACTTCAGCTGATTTTAAAAGTCTCTTTTCTGAAGTATAATTTATATGCAGCAAAACTCACTCTTTTTGGTATATATTTGCATGTGCTTTGATAAAGTCACACAGTTATGCAATCACCACCATAGTCAAGAGACATAGACAGGATCTACCACCACCAACCTCATCACTCAATTTAATGTTAGCTTCGTAGTGCTAAATGTACTTAATAATTCTACTACTTGATCCATCAGCTTTAAATAATATTCTTTAAGTTTCTATTATTAAAGATAAAGCAATTAAAATGTGAACACTTCTACCTGCTGTCTGCATTCCCTTTCCAATTTTTGTGAGATGGAGTATTTGACACGGTTAGCACATAAAACATTTATATTCTATGTTGTCTCCTAAAATATACATTTATTTTAGTCTTAATCGTAGTTGTAAAAACACCCATTGGTCATAACCAATATTTTCCTATTTTTCCTCCTCATCTCTTGTTGGCTGCATGTAAAACATTACAATTCCTGATACACAATTAGTGCTTAGTAAATATTAGCTAGAAATAGTAGAAATCGTTGCTAGTAAACCTGCTTTCATGAACTTTACAAAATTAGTTTTCTTAGAAGTAAGATAGTAAATATATAACTCTAAAACACAGTGGAATTGCTTGATTGATAATGGGGTAGATGAACATCCCAGTTATTGCCTGTGCTTTATAAAGCCTTTACTGCTCACCATAATATGTATGGTGAGACATAAATTGAACTTAAACTCATGTAAAAATAAATTGTGGTCCCATCACGTTTGTATGGGCCTTCAATATTTTCCCTCTCTCATACTGCATTCATTCTTTCTATCACCTTTTTACTACTAATTACTTGGTAAATCTTTCCTTCAGAAAAACAGAAAGGAAAACTTTGCTTTGTGATAAAACAATGAGCATCTAAATGACTGGTGATACGCATCAAGACATACTCAAAAACACAAATAGACTATTTTTTGTTACTCTTTTCTGAACTTTCTTTCTCTTGATTCTGTTAACAAATAAGATTCAACAGCACTGCTTAAGGAGTTAAATGCTGACCTCTCTTAAATATACCCCTGTATTATCTTAATACTAATATTAGCTATATAAAAGTATAGAAAGAGCTAGATATATGAACCTCCACTTTATCCCTCTGATGATAAGAAATAGCTCTGCCATTGTTCACATTGCTGTAAGTTCTTAATGAATTTCAGTGAGAATTCAATTTAAATGTATTAAGTTGCTGTCAGTTCCTCAATAAGATCAAGTCAGGCAGGTCTGGAAACAGTTACTTGGATCTTCCCTAGAACGTCAAGGCAATAATCACATTTAAAAAATACATTTTAGTAGGAAAACAAGGCTTAGTAAAAAGAACATGAATACTGGAGGCTGGCAGATGTGAGTTTAAAAAAAATCATGGTTTAGCCATTTAATATGTGTCATCCAGGACACTTTTAGGAGACTGTAAAATCTCAAAGGGCTCTTGTGAGGATTATGTCTAGTAACATAAATGAAGGTAGAGTATATTGTTTGGCAGCCAGTAGATGGTCAACAAATGATGTATAATGTTGTTTTTAAGTCATTAAATGTTACAGTTTATGTATCCCTAATCTGAAAATCTGAAATGCTCCATGTTCTAAAACTTTTTAAGCACTGACATGAACCCAAAGGAAATGCTCACTGCGACATTTCAGATGTCCGATTTTCAGATAAGCATGCTCAACCAGTAAGTATAATGCAAAGACTGTACTCCGAAACCCCCCTAAAACACAAAATCTGAAACACTGCAGGTCCCAACCATTTTAGATAAGGGATATTCAACCTGGAGTAGTCATTAAAAAAACAAAGCCACTGCAATCATAGAAAGTTGCAGCCAATTGCTGCAGGGTAAAATATATCTAAAAATTCTAGCCAGGTTCATGACAGAGATTGGGAACATATCTTGAAATGGTTGCAGAAAATAAAGTGATAAAATGGGCACATTTTGAAAAAGAAAGGCAATCCATTTAAATGCCATTATAAAAAGAACTCTCTTGTTCTGGAGAATTTTCTCTGTATTTATGTTTTGGCCTTACTGATTTTTTTTTTTTTTTCTGAGATGGAGTCTCGCTCTGTCACCCAGGCTGGAGTGCAGTGGCAGGATCTCCTCTCACTGCAACCTCTGCCTCCCGGGTTCAAGCAATTCTCCTGTCGGGACTATAGGCACCTGCCACCAAGCCCAGCTAATTTTTGGATTTTTTTTTTTTTTTTTTTTTTAGTAAAGACGGGGTTTCACTATATTGGTCAGGCTGGTCTTGAACTCCTGACCTCAGGTGATCTGCCTGCCATGGCCTCTCAGAGTGCTGGGATTACAAGCGTGAGCCACTGCACCCAGCCGGCCTGATTTTTAACTGTACCAAAACTGCCAAAGTAATTTCATAGAACATGGATGGTAGGAGGCATAACTATGGTCAAGTCCTTTGCATCACTAGTTTGAAATGCCTGCCCCTTTCATGTGACAGTTTTACCAACTGTATTCTGACCATGGAAACCATTTACTGATTCTGAAGCTTTGAGAAAGGTTAAGATGCAGGGAGGTAAGTGAAGGAGGAACATGCCATTCAATTCAGTTTTAATGATTCTTTAAATGATTCAATTCAATAAACATGGATGATGCTCCATCTACATCCTAGAAGCTGTGGAGCTCATTTAAGAGTTAAAGCTAAACAAACACAATCCCTGTCCTGAAAGACAATTATTTTGTATGTATATAATTGCTCACAGCAGATGGTCTGTAAAAACAGAATCTCACTCTGAGTATGCAGAGTTAATATGATTAAATGTTTTCCAGAGACATGAAAAGAAAGCCTTCCAAATTTATTAGGATCCCTTTATATGTGGATTGGTTATGTGGCACTTTTAAAACTCATTAGAAACCAGTCACTACTTGAAATGTTCTCAGAAAATCACAGAGAAGTCGGGTTTACAGATTTAGTGAAGTCGTGAATAATTTCCAACTTAGAATGAAATATGCCATTGGGAAAAAAGGGAACTAAATGACATGAGGATTAAAAATAAAAAGGAGTTTGTTAGATTTGAGTTTGAATATCAAAAAGCTTCCAAAACCTAGTCTTTAGATATTTATTAAAAGGACCTTTTAATAAAAGCATTCTTGAGAATACCATTACCTTGGAGTCCCCCATGTCTTATATAATATTCTACTTTCAACAATATAGTAAACAAATGTCTTAAAGCTTCTTGTAATGCAAACATCTTTCAACCCTATCGGGAACTTCCTCAGCCATGCATAGTTTATTTGAAATCCAAAGGTTCATCTGGTTCTGCTAGACTAAAATTAGATTATTAAAACCAGAATTTTATACTCACCCGAGCCTCCTTTTGCCAAGTATTTGTTCTTTGCATAAAGGACAGAATCTAACATAGACTCAAACAGAAGAAAATAGCCCTGCATAAAAAAAGGGGAAAAAAAGAGTTTAGAAATGTGCAATACTCTCATAAGCAGGTCAATTTAAACATCGGTGCTACTCTTTTAATTACAGAATATTTTTTTTTCTGCCACAGATGTAATAATATTCTGCAAAATCTGAAACTTTTTTTTGCAGTAAGTTATTGGAAAATCAGGCCAGCTTATAAAGTGAACCCAGAAAGTTTATTGTGGTAAAATATACTGCATTTTCTTTATCTATGATTCTACTTTCCAGACTACTCTTTCTTCCTCATTAAAAAATGTTTGGATAGACATTATTAACAAGCCCTATAACTCCCTGGAATGATGCAATATCCATCTAGAGCAGTGGTTCTCCACTTGATTTTGCCTGCTGGGGAACACGTGGCAATGTCTGAGTAATTTTTGATTGTTGCAACTGGGGGTGGGGGATGAACGAGATGCTACTGGCATCTACTGTGTAGAGCCAAGGTATGTTGGTAAACATCCTTCAATGCACAGGACAGCTTCTTACAAGAAAGAATGGCCTGGCCCAAAATGTCAATAGCACTAAGGTTGAGAAACTCTAGTCTAGAAAACCACTTCCCAAATAATTTCCTGTCTAGTGACTTTCTTTTTGGTATTAAAAAAAAAAACAAAAAAGAAAGTGGAGGGATCCTTAGTCAAAAAGGTTTAAGAAACGCCAGCTGCCATATCCTCCTATTAGAGATTCATAATGTGCATGAGCACACTAAAAGTTCTGAGTAGTTCTCATGGTAAAGAGAACTGCTGAACATATTTTAACCAAGTATTACCCACTTTCTGACTACAGACCTTTTTTTTTTCTATTTAACATCTATCAACACCTTGCAGAACTAGTGTTCATGGAAATAAAATTCATGAAACATGATCCTGGTGTACTACCGATTTTAGAGTATGATAATGAATCCTCTACCAAGAAAGGGTAAATAATACAGTACAAATGAAAAAAGAATTTGCCACTACTGGTGTCACAAATACGCTACATTCCAATACTGTGCTTCACAGTTTATTATACAAATGACAAATAATCATGACTGAGAAATCACTATCAGTTTCAGTCAGTCTTTCTCCTTCTAGGGTCCAACCCCCCAACAGCCCTATGCAGCAGGGAAAGCCAAGTGCTCAGCACATAGTACATCTTATTGCTCAGGGTGAACCAACATTAATTTTACCTTTACTTTAGCATTCTATATCAAAACTGTTCTCATCCACTCATTTGTTTTGTTCACAAATAAATGATCAGTGGGGTAAGTATAATATTCTTTAACCACATTAAAAAAACATTTTAAAGGTTTCTCTAGAACAAGAAAAACCTGCAAACCCAGAATGGATAATCTTCACAAGAGATTAACAGCAATTTTAATTTATAGAAAATACAGCTCTCATGCTTGAATCACTTATAAAGGAACTGAACTGAATTGCCGGCAACTCTACGTCGGTATTGACCTATTCCCCCCAGCTCACTGATTCATTGATACAAAAATAACTGCCTATTAAACAGAGGCTTAGGAACAAAGCTTGTTTATCAATATGTTACATTAGGAAAATTAAGGATTTGACAGAAACATGTTTTTCTGGATAGAGTACTTCAGTAATATGTAAAATTCTTACAAGTTAGTTCCCCATTAATATTATCTATGTATTCAAAGAACAAGGGACTTATGGGATTCAACTAAGAAATCTTTACCAATCTGACATATTCACGCAGATTTCACACACAAATGCTTATAAATAGGCATTCAACTGTTGCTTATAGTGAATTATAATTTATGCCAAGGAATTATTAAATGGAAGGCATCTATCTTACGAAGAAAAGATTGGCTGGTAAAACATAATAGATTTGGTGAAAAAAATGGTCCCTATCTGCAAGACTGCTGTGTTTCAAAACTGAAAATAAAATAAATAAAATTAACACTTTAGTACAAATTAAGTATTCACTACATTCCAATCCTTTTTGGACAAAGGCCCAAAAAAGTTTGTATTGATTTGTCATTGTCAAATTGTTTTCTAGTATTCTATCTTTCAGCTCAGCTGTTACCTTATCACAAAGAATTTCTCTGATGTTCCTACATAAAATATCCTTTCTTTTTCTTTCATCAAGCTCCATTTCTTTATCCTGCTTTGTATTTCATCATAGCACTTATGAATGAAAATACTATTTATTTTTGTTTTTATTTTGTCTCCTTACTAAAATATCAGCTCCAAGATCAAGGACTTTGTCATATTGTTTGAAGCTATATTCCTGAAGGCTGAAAATGTGTCTGGTACATAGTAGGAACTCAATATGTAACTTTAAAATGAATAAATAAAAGTTATTAATACTATGTGTAATATTATATTTGTTAAAATGAAACTGCTTTTTATTTTTGTGGTAGAAATTAAAATGTTATTTTAAAATGATATTTTGTTTTCTAAAATTAAAACTGACAAATAATGGTGGTGATAATCGTTAAAATTCATTGTGATGCCTCTATAAAAATTATTTCATTTAATTCTTCCCCAAAGCACCATTTATTGTTATTCCAATTTAATTTATTTATGTTAAGTAAGTTGCGATCTAAAATAATAGTTCGGTCACATAAATGGGGAGTGAATGAGACAGAATTCGAACCTTGATCTCACTATACAAGTTCTGAATCACCCTTTTATGTTGCCTCTTAAATTGATTTGTCTAATTGAAAATAAGATTTAGTATGTGTATTATACTACATTTGTTAAGGATTCAAGCATTGCAAAAATGAAAAATTTTCCATAGACCATATTAAACAAGATTAGAATTTACAACAGGTGTGCAATCATTTCAGAGTAATATCTCAGTTGGCAACTGGCCCTTAGCCACTATTCATTGTGAAAATATTAGTTTGGAAAAATCAATGCAAATACTAGCATATATATAGAACTAATAAGACATTCATGAGATAAAATATCCAGTTAAAAATATTAGCAGATGAAAAGATTCACATACGTATTGCTAATGGTCATTGTCCTTTCTCTCAACTTTCCACTTTGCTAAACTTCATTTTACGATAGGCTCCCTATGTGATACAACAGCCTTTAAATTCCTGGGAATTGTCCTTGGTTCTGAACCAAGTCATTTATTACTGATATCAGAAGGCTCTGGTCCAAATGCCCCGCTCATCTGCAGTGTAATTCAGACTGTAATTTCACAGGCTGCTGCCTCACCTGTAGGGGTGCCATCTGGAAGGAGAATTACGCCTGATATTTTCTCCCATGATGCTCATGGGCATTCTTCTTCCAACAGTGACATCTACTTTTAAAAAATTAAATACTGCATTTATACTTTAATGATTACTATAAAGGAACATATGGAATTAAATCAGGGACTAGAATATTAACTTCATTCATTGAAGTGGGAATCTTGTCTTTAAAATGGCTGTTCATATCTTCTTGGATTAGATACATTAGTGATAAATGAAACTTTTGATACCTTCAGTATAAGGTGCCTTTCTAACTTTTTTTAGTTCAAATAACTGAATTACTGATACATCTCTAGGCAAAATTTAACTATTAAAAAAAAGGTAAGACAAGGTAGAGTTACAAATATAATGGAAGAGTTAATCTGAAGGATGATGACAAAGACTCAATAATCTGAAATACTTAAAGATTACCTGCAACAAATACACAAGCCTATATAATATAATCATAATTTCTATGTAGTATATCTCTGAATCATAATAAGTAGTTGATAACATTTTTACCAGTATTACTCTCAAATTCTGTAACATTCACTGTAGACAGAATTTTTTGATGTGATTGGAGCTGGCAGTCAGTTGTTAATTGGAAACAAGACATTTCAAGTAAAAACATACAGATTCGTTTGCCAGCATTCTTTGAGGATATATCCACTGACTGGAATCCTCATCATCTTCCCTATCTAAAACAAATTCATAGGTTTTAGGTAATTTCCAGTTTTGGTTACTTTAAATAGAAGAAAAAAAAAATCTATGAGCACTTGCCAAGTAGAGAATCCTCCTTGAATTCTACGATTTCCACCCTCCTACTCGGGCTCTTCAAACTAGGAGGAGACAACTCAGGAAGGAGAAAACACTAAAAAAAATTGTGGAATGGAGTAAAACACTTTGTTTACAAACAATTTACAACTGTTTGTGAGTAAAACAATTTTACTTGCTCCATTCCATAGCATTTTTTAGTGTTTTCTTCTTCCTGAGTGTTTCCAAAGCAGTCACTTTTGTTTGCATAGAAAAAAACCAACTATATCCTTTATATAATCTTGTCAATAGTTTGTGTTCATATTTAACTGATTTTACATAAATAAGCAGGCAAACAAACACAATAAGATCTTGGTAAACAACGCAACTGACAGAAGCAGAACAGTGGCAGCAAGCTGAAGGTGGCTTTACGTGTTTAGAGAGAGCCACAGGAACCTAGCAAAGTGTTACGTAAAAAGAATGCAGAACATCACAAATTTGGTGAATTAGTTAAATGCAGGTTGATTATGATGTCTTCTATGACATATTCATGTAACAAAGTATACTGTCATAATGTCACCTCTCCAAGAAAATCCTTTATGCCCCATACCAGGTCAAGTACCTTTATAATATGACCCAAATTAGAGGCTAACTTATTATCAACGCATAGAAACAATCATTCTAAAGCAGGGTTTCTCGATATTGACACTAATGACATTTTGGGCCAGATAAATTTGTAGGGGCTTTCCTGTCCATTGAAGGATGTTTAGCAGCATTCCTGGGCTCTACTCACCGGCACCATTGTCCCCACCCAACCCACAGTCCCAAATTCTAACAATCTAAAATGTTTCCAGAGATTGCCCACAGCTCAAATAATCCCAGGAGTGTGAAACTGTCCCCTCTTCCACCCCATTGAAAACCACTGTTCTAGAGGTATCCAAAATGCAAATAAATAAGCATTCTTTCCTAATCTACTGTGTTCTCTGCTTAAAAAAAAAGCACCAAACTTAAGGTCTTACAGAATGCAATGCAATCTCTATTTATTTCACTGTTATAATAGCCTTAGATATTAAACACTTTTACTGCAAAGTTTTTTCAATGATTCCCCAGTCTATCACTTGACCCTTCCATCTTAAAATGTGCTAATGCTAACCACCTAATTTATCATAAATGTGATAATGAAATTACATGAGAGTTTTCAAAGTAATTATATAAAATCCTTTTGGGTAAGATACTTTCCTTACAGCTCCACAGTGACTGATAAAGATTATATTACACTGTTAGGCACTTGGCAAAATACAGGCGGCTGATGATATCACTCAACAGGGATACCTTTACCCTTTGCACTTATTTGCCATAGAATGGGTAGGAAAATGTTGTGTTGGCATCTGTATATATACACATAGACATCTTTGTACAATGTTTAATGTATTTGGCCAAGATAAATTTCTTAAAGTAGAATTCTTGGATTAAAGGATAGGCACATTCAAAATTTTGATATGTATCATCAAACTGCCCACAGAAAGACTATGACAATTTGTATTCCCACAACTGTATGAGTGGAGTAAAGACCTAAATGTAAAAGGGAAAGGTATAGAGCTTATGGAGAATATTTTCATGTTCCTGTGGGAAAAAAGTCTGACCATAAAGACCAATACATTTGACTATGTTAAAACCCAGAACCTCTGCTCATAAAAACAATGAAGTCACAGAGTCTGAAAAGATATTGGCCAGCCACACACATATACACGTTTGTATATTTTCCATCACCAATGAAGAATACTAATTGTTAAAAAAAAAAAAGAGTATGCAACCCAAAAGAAAAATGGGCAAAATAATTATATACAATTACTTCATAAGACAAAAAATATATTACTTCATTAGTAATTCAAACACAATGGGAAACTACTACATGACTACGAGATTAGCAGTCACACAATACCCAGGGTTGAGAAGTCTATGGAGGTATGAAATAAAATTTTACTGCAGTACTTTGGAAAAGTACAGTACTTTGGAATTAACATGTAAGAGCAGCACACCCTGTGCTCTAGCAACTCTACTCCTAATTGTATACCCAGACATGAGTGCTGAAGTGTAAGAGCACACACGTACAAGCACACTACAGCACTATTATTTGCGTAATAAACTGGAAATGATCCAGTGCCCACCAACAGTAAAATTTAAAAAACCTTTTCCTATGATGTGTTTTCTTGTGGTACATTCATACAACGACATCTATAGAAAATAAATTATCCTTATAGGCAATATAAATGAATGTTATGAACATGACTGAGTGAAGAAAGCAAAAACACATTTTAAAAAGAAAAAGGTATGTTTTGCTCCATTCATATAAATTTCAAAAACAGGTAAATATAAACTACACTGTTTAGGGATGTAAGTATAAGTGGTAACAGCAAAAAGAAAGGCAAGGAAATGATTATCATAAAGGTCAGGAGAGTGGTTACCTCTGGGGTACGGAGTTCTAACTGAGAAATGATATTTGGATGTCTTCTTTCTATATTTTCACCTGGCTGATGATCACACAGGTGTTCATTATATAACTATTCGTTATTACTGTACCTGTAAGTTTATGCAATTTTCTGTGTATGGTACATTTCACAACTAAAAAGGTTATACAAAGATTTATATAACTAGCATATATAATATACAATAACGTGGGTGAAAGCAAAAAGAACACATTCATATCTGCTTATAAATGGTTATAGCATGTGTGGAACAGTACACAATTAGACAAAATGATTGCCTCTGTGTATGGAATATAATAGTAGGGGTATAGGAAGGGAAGGAGACTAACTCTTCAATATAAACTCTTTCATATCTTGCAAATTTTACATCATTGTTATACACTATTTGCACATAAAATTTTAAAAAAGAAAACAAAAAGGCAAATAATCACAAGCTAAAAAGACAATAGTTTTTCATACTACATTTTGCAAAGAAAAAGTGAAACTGATTTTTTTTAAAAAATTAAGATTATAGGAAGAGATTGTAAGAGAGGTTTAGAAAAGGAAAAGTCAAGAAAGTGCTATATAGAAGAAATCCACTTTTAACCTATGTTTTTATATTTAAAGAAAAAGGGTGGGAAAACCCATAACATTTAAACATTAACCATAAGAAAATTACAATTATTAAAAACATTATCAGGGACAAAGAACAATACTTCATAATGATAAAGAAGCCAAACTATCAATGACACATAATAACCTAATGTGTATGCACCTAATAACCATATAAAAATACCTGAAGCAAAACCTGACAGAACTGAAAAGAGAAAGAGACAACCCTGAACTATAGGTAGAAATTTCATTCTTCTTCTTTCAGTAATTAACAGAATTAATAGACAAAATAAATAAGGATTTAAAAGACCTGAACAACTTGACTCAAATGGTAATTACGTAACACTCCAACAATAACAGAGTAGGTACTTCATTCTAAATCAATGTGGAACATTCAATGAGAGAGACCACATGCTGGGCCATAAAGCAAGTCTGAACAAATTTAAAGGAATGATAGCATATAGAGCATGTTCTCTTATCACAACCAAATTAAATTAGAAATTAATAACAGAAAGACATTTTTAAAATTTCTTAACACTTAGAAATTAAACATGCTTCTAAATAATCCATGGACCAAAGCAGAAATCACAAGGGTGTATTTTGAATTGAATAAATTTGTGGGATGCAGCTATAACAGTCATTAGAGGGAAACTTATTGACGAAAAAAGCAAGGTACAGAACAATATGTAGAATATGCATACCTTACACTGAACATGAGGTTCACTGCTTTATCCCGCCTAGAAGAGTGCCAGGTACATAGTAGCCACACTATTTGTTAAATGAATGAGTATGCCAAGAAATATACATACATGTTTATAATAGAGTGTAATATTTTAAGACAGATATACTAGAAACTGGTAACATTTTTTTGGGGACCAGGGGTGGGTCCTGAGTAATAGGGTTAAAGACAAAAAAGGATAAAATTTATAATATCTGTATATCACATAGTCAAAAAATGACAATAGAATTTTACATGTATTAATCACAAATATCTGTCAGAGAAGCTCCTAATTTACCTATTATTTAACTTGATCACCAACTTCCACGCAAGAAGAAGAATCATGGTAATAACGGCTACTTATTAGGTCCCTATTATATGCGTGCTACTGTTCTGCAAGACTACTTTCTTCCACTTCTCTCACCTTCCAACATACAGTTCCCAACTTTTTAGTATTGTGGACTTCTGGAGAACATAACTTAGCACAAGAAATAATTTCCTCTGCATATTCTAAAGTTTAAAAAACTTGTATTAGCTTTTTCTCCCACTGGATGGCACTCTCACTTAATCAACAAAAGACTGACAGTCAAATTGGCCCTATTCCTCAGACTGCAGAAAACCGCCCAATAAGCAAGTCTATCAAAGGAAAAAGTGAATCTCTAAAAATCTTTCCCAAGGCACGTGTGGGTCTTATTCCAGACCCACAAAAACAGTTTCTAAAACAATATTCCCAATCCCCCATGGTGGGTGAAAAAAATTCATTAATGGTAACTGGATATTCCACTCTCAACGAATATCTATTACAATTATTAAAAACATTATCAGGGACAAAGAACAATACTTCATAATTGTGCATAACATTAGGTTATTATGTGTCATTGATAGTTTGGCTTCTTGTAATTCTCCATGTAGTCAACGAACATGGAGGAAATAGGAGACAAAGCCCAAAGTTCAACCAAAGTGAGAACTCTAAGAAGAAACTGCCCTAAATAACAGAGCTGGGACAAACAAATATATCTACAGAGCAAATGTGAATTTACAGTCTCATCTGCTGTCACCCATTTCCCCAATTCAGTTTAGAACCTTGGTGTTGAGCAGTCAAACACATACTTCCTCCCTAACTCCACCCCGTCTCCAATATGCATAAGACAGGCCCCAAACATACAACCCTGATTTACAATGCCTGGGTGGCAGGAAAAACCTAAAGTCAATAATTTAAAAATGACCCTTCAACACACTCTTTGGTAAGACTGAGGAAAAATGGGTATTCTCATTCCATTGTTGGTAAGAAAGTCAAATGGTACACAGCATTGAGGAGAATTTGGCAACAACTAGTAACGTTGCCCTCTCCTTCCCTTTCTCCATCCCTCCAGAACTGGCCTCAAGCAATCTTCCTGCCTTGGCCTCCCAAAGTGCTGGGATTACAGGTATAAGCCATCATGCCCAGCCCTCATTAACCCTTTGATATATCAATCTCACCTCTAGCAATATAAAATGACATTACACATATACAAGAATATTCAATACAATATTATTTGTAATAGCAAAAGAATGGGTAAAATTCAAATGAGCATTAATTACGTAGAATGTAATTGTCTATACAATTTATTCTACACAAGAATAAAAACCTTATATTTGAAATATACATGAATATTAGTCCAGGTCATGGGGGTGTGCAGAATTAATCAAATACCTGTCTAGGAAAGTTGGTGTGCATGTGTGCACAGCCATAAAAAGGAATGAGAAATATCTCTATAGAATAATGAAGTGATTTCTGAGAAAGAATTTTAATTGAATAAAAGCAAAGTATAGAACAATATCTAGAATATGCTAACTTTTGCATAAGGGTGAATATATACATATCTAATATTTTCAAAATAACCCCAAAAATAAAAAGAAAATGGTCATCTATCCACAAAGGAAGATAACAGAAGAAGAAACAGAATGTCCTGTTATCTTAAAATGTACATAAAAATTACTAAAAAATTAGTAATTTTTTGCATAACTAAAACACAAAATTAAACTAAACAAGGGAAAAAGAAGCAATCCTCCCCAAAATTGAAAAAAAGAAAACACTGAAATCTGGTTGTATGTCAAGTTGGTAACAGAATAGGTGAAAATAGTGACTACAAGTGACTTTAAAAAAAAAAACAATATTTTGACTGTACATTTCTTATGAGATACATTCTATAAGAAAATATAAACAAAATTTAAGCTGCATTTAGAAGTCTTATTGTATAGTAGTAAAGTTGGTATTTAAGTTCTGAAACTAGCCGGGCACAGTGGCCCACGCCTGTAATCCCAGCCCTTTGGGAGGCTGAGGCAGGCAGATCACCTGAGGTCAGGAGTTCAAGACCAGCCCCGCCAACATGGCGAAACCCCGTCTCTACTAAAAATACAAAAATTAGCCGGGCGTGGTGGCAGGCACTTGTAATCTCAGCTACTAGGGAGGCTGAGGCAGGAGAATCACTGGAACCTGGGGGGCAGAGGTTACAGTGAGACGAGATCACGCCATTTCACTCTAGCCTGAGTAAAAAAAGCAAAACTCCATCTCAAAAAAAAAAAAAAAAAAAAACCTGAAACTATTGTAGGTAGGTTATATGATAAAGCAATTATCATCTTAGGAACCAAGGTTTTCTGCACAGACGTAAAGAGACGCAAGTATAAAATCAAAGACTTCAAGTAAAAATTCCATAATCTTACACGGAAAATATGAGTGTAGATTTGTGACTTTTTATATTTAAAAAGTTAATTACAGGCTGGGCGCGGTGGCTCAAGCCTGTAATCCCAGCACTTTGGGAGGCCGAGGCTGGTGGATCACGAGGTCAGGAGATCGAGACCATCCTGGCTAACATGGTGAAACCCCGTCTCTACTAAAAATACAAAAAAAATTAGCTGGGCATGGTGGCGGGTGCCTATAGTCCCAGCTACTCAGGAAGCTGAGGCAGGAGAATGGCGTGAACCCGGGAGGCGGAGCTTGCAGTGAGCCGAGATTGCGCCACTGCACTCCAGCCTGGGCGAAAGAGCGAGACTCCATCTCAAAATATATAAATAAATAAATAAATAAATAAATAAATAAATAAATAAATAAATAAATAAAAAGTTAGTAACATCTGGTCTGTAGGAACATAGATGATGATCTCTACATATCATTTTCCAATGAAAGACCAGGATTCTTTGATTCCAAGTTTAGGCAGTATAAAACGACCATAAAATATCTTCTAGTACCAGAAAGTAAAATCTGAATCATAAACATACTTATTTGATATTTTCTGTGTATTATTACAATATATCAACCTGTAATTCAGATGTTATATTGAGGACTACTAGGGTTTGTTAAAGGAACACAAGAGACAAGAAAAAAAAAGGGAGAGGTGAAACTACAGATTAAGAAATTTTAGACTTGATACCAAAGGCATGATCTATAAAAATAATTGATAAATTAGACTTTATCAATATTAAAAACTTTTGCTCTATGAAAGACTCTGTTAAAAGGACGAAAGGACCTGCCACAGAGTGGGAGAAAATATTTGCAAACCACATATCCAATAAAGGATTAGTAAAAAGAACTGCCAAACACAACAGTAACCAGTGCTTGGGACACAGTAAGTACTCAGTGGATGCTTCAATATAATTTCAAATTTTTTCTTTGTAAAATTCAAGAAAAATTAATATTACTATTTTAATATATAGTAGAATACTAACCATTTTGATAAAAGCATATCAATTTATTCATCATCATTGTACATAAAAGACATCCAGAACAACTGTTTTTGCTTTTCATGCTCTTAAATGTGTCTTTTTATGACAGAATTTCTTAATTTTGATGTAGTCCAGTCCAATTTATTTTCTCTTTTTTTTTTTTTTTTTTTTTGTATTTTTAGTAGAGATGGGGTTTCACCGTGTTAGCCAGGATGGTCTCAATCTCCTGACCTCGTGATTCGCCCGCCTTGGCCTCCCAAAGTGCTGGGATTACAGGCGTGAGCCACCACACCCGGCCTCTTTTTAAGAGTCAGCATCTCGCTCTGTTGCCCAGGCTGGAGGGCAGTGGTGCAATCATAGCTCATGCAGTCTTGAACTTCTGGGCTTAAGCCATCCTCCTGCCTCAGCCAATCAAACTGCTGGGATTACAAGAGTGAGCCACTATCTTTTCTCTTAACATTAGTATTTTGGGGGTTTTGACTAAGAAATTTTCTCTATCCAGTCATAAATATATCCCCTTTTATTATCTTCTAAAGCTCTTTTTCCATTTAGAACTTTACTCCACTTGGAACTGATTTCTTCATTTTCTATGAAGTAGAAATCTTACTTCTTTTTATTTTCCCCAGTAAGGACATTCAGTTGTTTCAGCATCATCCTTTCCTCACTACTCTGTAGTACCACCTTTACCACAAATCAAGTGACCTTATGAGTATGGGTTACACAGGTCTGTTTGTCAGTCTTTGCACAAGTAAAACACTGTTTTAATTGCTGTAGTATACTTTATAGCTTGATATCTAGTACACAAAGTCCTCCCACCTTATTCTCATAAGAGTATACAGGCTGCTTTTGGGCTTCTTTTTCATTTACCTAAAAAGCTGCTTTTTCAAACTCCACATAAACATGGTTGAGATTTTTGCTGGATTACATTAAATCTACAGATTAATATGAAGAGAATTGACATCTTTACAATGTCTTCCAAACTTCAAACATGGTAATATTATCTCCACTTACTTACAGTATTTCATCAGTTCTAAAATGGACACCTCCCCCAATACTACAATGTCTGAAACTGCAATGTACATTAAAATTGGTGGCTTTGGAGAGTGATATCAGCAAGGGCTGACTAGAAGCCACTAGCACTTGCCCCTTTCACAAAGACAGCAAGAACAATGAAATATACAACTATGTTAATGAAAATAACCCAGGGAGAGCTCTGGAGACATCAGTGGAGTAACAGAAACGCTGGTGAGCACAAAAACTCAGGATGGCCACATTGAGAATGAAAGGGAACACCAGTCTCCTACCACCCCAAATCCCAGCCAGGATCAAGTGGGAATCAGGAGAACTTCTCCCTATGGCAAGGAGGTAAGCAAGAGGATCCCAGCAACCTCCATCAACACATTGGACATCTACAGACCTCACCACTGGGGTCACCTGCAGTCCTGACAAGCAATATGCCAGCTGAAGGAGCTGCCTGGGGTCCAAATAGCTGTGCTCTCCCAAGGGAAAATGACACTCTGTCCTGCCCCCAGTGCCTGTGTGGCTACTGCCATCTTGGAATTGAAACTATGGCTGAAGTGTACCTTGCTTCAGGGGTGAGTAGCCATGGCTCCCCTTCATCTCTAAGGCTAAGCTGCTGAACCACCCCAGTCTGGTGGTCCAACTTCCCCAGGCAGAGTTGTGAGCAGCTGTTACACCCTTACACGTAGGGTCAAAGCAGAGGTGGAGGCACTCCACCTACCCCTCTCCCACCCCCTCAAGCTGGAGCTGCAGCAGTATGCTGCCTCCTGGGAAAAGAGTACTGGGGCCACTCAGAGCAGTAACACCCCTCTGCCATCAGGGTTGAAGCAGTGCCCTGCATCCCAGGAAATGGTGCCTTGGCTGCCCAGAGAAACCACGACCCCATTTGGTAAGCTGAAGTAGCACCCAGTATCATGAGAAATGGAACCTGGGCTGCCCAGAACAGTAATGCCCCACAGGTCTATGGTGAAGTGGATTATCACCCTCTGGGAAATCAGTGACCTGGCTAAGCTAAGCATCTGTGCATCCCAGGGCTGAGCTGATGCAGTATGCTGCATCCCAGGGAAACAAGAGCAGTGGCTGAGCTGAGACACCCCACCCTACACAATGACTCTAGTACCCTGCTTGCCTGAAGCTAGACTAACCCCCACGAGTCCGAGTTGCAGAGACACCCCTTTCCTTGGGAAGTAGAGTCATCACTGTGCCTTTAGGCCACCTGCCACCCTTAGGGCCCAAATGACAGCTGAGCTCCACCATTCTAGGGTACTTGCTGCTGCTGCACCCAGCCTCACAGAGTCTGGGATACAGCCAACACCCACCATCCCAGTGTCTAAAGTCACTACTGTACAGTGTACCCTGCTCCCCCAGCCCAAACCTCCAGAACATCCCTGCTTCCCCAGGGTCAGGCCAGTGCTGTGGCTTGAGTAAAACCACAGTTACAACTGAGCCCTCTGGTTCCGAGCTGCTGGAGGGTGCCTCCATTGTCACAGATCCTAGTTCTTGTGGGAAACTTACATCCAACCCTGCCACAGAGGGTGAATCTGCACCCAAAGACCCAGGTAACACAAAAGGTTCATGGGATTCTGATGCAGTACTGTGGCCCCACTGCTGCTCCAAGCACCACTGCTGCTGCTTGTAGACCATGTCAGACCTAACAGCAGGGTCAGCTAAGTCTTCCTATTGTAGGAAAAATGAAAACATGAGGATCTCCCAAACTGCTGCAACTGAGTACCTTAAAAACTATGCTGCTGCCGGCCGGGCGCAGTGGCTCACGCCTGTAATCCCAGCACTTTGGGAGGCCGAGGCGGGCGGATCACGAGGTCAGGAGATTGAGACCATCCTGGCTAACATGGTGAAACCCTGTCTCTACTAAAAATGCAAAAAATTAGCCGGGCATGGTGGCGAGTGCTTGTAGTCCCAGCTACTCGGGAGGCTGAGGCAGGAGAATGGCATGAACCAGGGAGGCGGAGCTTGCATTGAGCCGAGATCGCACCACTGCACTCCAGCCTGGGCAACAGAGCGAGACTCCGTCTCAAAAATAACAACAAAAAAAACTATGCTGCTGCCACCACTGCCACAAACTTCTACAGCCTATACCACTGAGTCACTCATATTATTGCTGATGTTGAACACAGGTCAAGAAGCTGCAAAGAGACTATACCACTGCACCTATCTGGAAACATACTCACCACACCATTCCCAACTGGAACACTAATCTTTCCCTTTGCAACACTAGGAAGTCTAGAAAAGGCAACTGCTCCACCAGATGTCTACATCAAAAAAGTTGAATGATTTCAAATACAAAACCTAATGATGCATCTCAAACAACTAGAAAAGCAAAGTAGAAGGAAAGAAATAACAAAGGTCAGAGCAGAAATGAACAAAATTGAGACTTAAAAAATACAAAAGATCAATAAGAAAACCTGGTTTTTAAAAAAGATAAGCAAAATTGACACACCATTAGCTAGACTAACCAAGAAAAAAAAAGAGAAAACACCAAAATAAATAAAATCAGAAACAAAGAGACATTAAAATAGATACCATAGAATTATAAATGTTTATTAGAGACTATGATGAACAACTATATGCTAACAAATTGGAAAACCTAGAGGAAATGGATACATTCCTGGACACATACAACCTACCAAGATTGAACCAGGAATAGAAAATCTGAACAGAACACAAGTAACTAGATTGAATCTGTAATAAAAAGTCTATCAAAGAAAAATTCAGGACCCGATGCTTTCACTGCTAAATTGTACCAAACCCTTAAAGAACTAACACCGATTACTCTCAAACTCTTCCAGAAAATCAAGAGGGGGGATTTCTTCCAAACTCATTCTATGAGGTTAGCATTATATAGATAACAAAATCAGTTAAAGACACTATTAAAAAAAAAAACAAACTGCAGGCCAATATCCCAGATGAACACAGATGTAAAAGTCCTTAACAAAATACAAGCAAACTAAATCTTGTGGCACATCAGAAGATCACTTGCCATGATCAAGTGGGATTCATCCCAGATATGCAAGGATGACAAAATGTACACAAGTCAATAAACATGATACTTCAACAAAATGAAGGACAAAAGCCATATGATCATCTCAAAAGACACAGAGAAGCATCTGATAAAATTCAACATCCCTTCATGATAAATACTCTCAACAAGTTAGGCATAGAAGGAACGTACCTAACACAATACAGGCCATCAATGACAAACCCACAACCAACAACATACTGAATGGGGACAAGTTCAAACCATTTCCTCTTAGATATGGAATAAGATGAGGATGTCCACTTTCACCACTTTTATTCAACATAATACTAGCCAGAGCAATCAGGCAAGAGAAAGAAATAAAGGACATCCAAATTGGAAAGAAGGGAGACAAATTGTTCCTGTTTGAAGACGACATGATCTTATACAGAAAATCTAAAAACCTCTTAGAGCTGACAAACACATTCAATAAAGCTGAATGATACAAAATCAATATTCAAAAATCAGTAGCATTTCTATACCCAGGGGAAGTAATAAAGAAATCAAGAAAGCAATCCCATTTATATAACTACAGTAAAATAAAATACTTAGGAATAACTTTAAACAAAGAGTTGAAAGATCTCTACAATGAAAACTACAAAATACTGATGAAAGAAATTGAAGGGAACACACCAAAAATGGAAAGTGATCCCATGCTTATGAATTGGAAGAATTAATACTGTTGAAATAACCATACTGGCCAAAGTGATTTACAGATTCAGTGTAACAAAATACCAATGACATTCTTCGTAGAAATAAACAACCCTAAAACTTGCATGAAACCACAAAAGATCCTGAATAGCCAAAGTGATCCTGAGCAAAAACGGCAAAGCTGGAGGCATCACAATTCCTGATGTCAACAACCTATAGTAACCAAAACAGCATGATATTGGCATAAAAGCAGACACATAGACCAAAATAACTGAATAGAGAACCCAGAAATAAATCCATGCATTTACAGCCAACCGATTTTTGGCAAAGGTACCAAAAACATTTATTGGAGAAGGGACAGTCTCTTCAATTGTTGAGAAGAATGGATATCCATATGCAAACAAACAAACAAACAAAAATCAAACTAGATCCCTATCTCCTACCATATACAAAAATCAACTAAAAATGGTCTGAGCGCGGTAATCCTAGTACTTTGGGAGGCTGACGTGGGTGGCTGGCTTAAGCCCAGGAGTTCAAGACCATCCTGGGCAATATGGCAAAACCCCATCTCTACTGAAAACACAAAAATTAGCTGGGTATAGTGGCGCACACCTGTAGTCCCAGCTCCTCAGGATACTGGGGTGGAAGGATTGCTTGAGCCCAGGAGGCAGAGGTTGCGGTGAGCTGAGATGGTGCCACTGCACTCCAGCCTGGGCGACAGAAAATAAATGAATTAAAAAAATATCAACTAAAAATGGATTAAATATTTAAATGTAAGGCTTTAGATTATTAAACTAATAGAAGAAAACATAGGGGAAACGCTTCAGGACATTAGTCTGGGCAAAGATTTTGTGGAGATGATCTCAAAAGCACAAACAACAAAAGCAAAAACAGACAAATGGGATTATACCAAATTAAATAGCTTTTACAAAAAAATCCCATGCAGATGAGTAGAAGGATCAATATCATTGAAATGGTCACACTGCCCAAAGCAATGTATAGATTCAATGTTATTCCTATCAAACTACCAATGACATTCTTCACAGAACTAGGAAAAACTATTTTAAAATTCATATGGAACCAAAAAACAGTCCAAATAACCAAGGCAATCCTAAGCAAATAGAACAAAACTGGAGGTTTCACATTTCCCAACTTCAAACTATACCACAGGGCTACAGTAATAAAAACAGCACAGTACTGGTACAAAAACAGACACATAGACCAATGGAACAGAACAGCGGACCCAGAAATAAAGCCACACACCCACAACCTTCAATCGGATTGAAGATCACAATCTAATCTTCAACAAAGCTGACAAAAACAAGCAATGAGGAAAGGACTCCCTATTCACTAAATGGTGCTGGGATAACTGCCTAGCTATATGCAGAAGACTGAAATTAGACCCCTTCCTTTCAACTCAAGATGGGCTAAAGACTTAAATGTAAAACCCAAAACTATAAAAACCCCGAAAGACAACCTAGGCAATACCATCCTGGACATAGGAACAGGCAAAGATTTCATGACAAAGATGCCAAAAGCAATTGCAACAAAAGCAAAAACTGACAAATAGGGTTTAATTAAACTAAAGAGCTTCTGCACAGCAAAAGAAACCATCAACAGAGTAAACAGACAACCCTTAGAATGCAAGAAAATATTTGCAAACTATGCATCTGACAAAGGTCTAATAACCAGCATCTATAAGGAATTTAAACAAATTTATACAAAAAGCAAACAACCCCATTAAAAGGTGGGCAAAGGACATGAAGAGACACTTTTCTAAAGAGGACATGCATGTGGCCAACAAGCATATGAAGAAAAGCTCAATATCACTGATCATTAGAGAAATGAACATCAAAATCACAATGAGATACCATCTCACACCAGTCAGAATGGCTATTATTAAAAAGTGAAAAAATAACGGTGCTGGCAAGATTGAGGCGAAAAGGCAACACTTAAACACTGTCTGAGTGTCAATTAGGTCAAACATTGTGGAAAGCAGTATGGTAATTCCTCAAAGAGCTAAAAACAGAACTACCAGGCCAGGTGTGGTGGTGCACGCCTATAATCCCAGCACTTTGGGAAGCCGAGGTGGGCAGATCACTTGAAGTCAGCAGTTCAAGACCAGCCTGGCCAACATGGTGAAACCTCATCTCTACCAAAAATACAAAAATTAGCCAGCACGGCGGTACATGTCTGTAGTCCCAGCTACTCTGGAGGCCGAGGTTGGAGAATTGCTTGAACCTGGGGGGTGGAGGTTGCAGTGAGACAAGACTGCACCACTGCACTCCAGCCTGGGAGACAGAGTGAGACCCTATCTTAAAAAAAACAAAAACAAAACAAAACAGAACTACCTTGTGACCCAACAATTCCATTACTGGGTATATACCCAGAGAAATAAAAATCATTCTACCATAAAGAGCAAGATGCACATGAATGTTCATTGCAGCATTATTCACAATAACAAAGATACGGAATTGGAATCAACCTAAACATCCATCAGTGACAGAGTGGATAAAGAAAATGGTGTCACAGATACACCATAGAATACTATTGCAGCCATAAAAAAGAATGAGATCATGTCTTTTGTGGGAACATGGATGGAGCTGGAGGCCATTATCTTTAGCAAACTAATACAGCAACAGAAAACCAAATACCACATGTTCTCACTTATAAGTGGGAGCTAAATGATGAGAACTCACGAATACGAGAAGGGAACAACAGACACTGGGGCCTACTTGAGGGTAGAGGTTGGGAGAAGGGAGATGAGTAAAAAAAAAATAACTATTGGGTACTAGGCTTAGTACCTAGGTGATGAAATAATTTGTACAACAAACCCCCATGGCACAAGTTATTACCTAAATAACAAACCTGTATATGTATTCCCAGATCTGAAAGAAAAAAAAAGCCACTAAAAAAGTAAATAAAGTTTCTGCACAGAAAAGAAAACAAAAGAGTAAAGAGATAATCTGCAGAATGGGAGAAAATATTTGCAAATTATTTATCCAGTAAGAGATTAATATCCAGAATATATAAAGAGCTCAACAGCAAAAACCCAAATAATCTGATCAAAAATGGGCAAATAAACTGAATAGACATCTCTCAAAAGAAGACATATAAAAGGCCAGCAGGTATATTAAAAAATGCTCAACATTACTAACCATCAGGAAAATGCAAACAAATTATAATGTGATATTATTTCATGCCAGTTAGAACGGCTGTTATCAAAAAGACAAAATAAGGATGCAAGGATGCAGAGAAGGAGAATTCTTATACACTGTTGGTAAGAATATAAATTAGTACAGCCATTATGAAAAAGAGTATAGAGGTTCCCCAAAAAACTAAAAATAGAACTATTATATGATCCAACAATCACACTACCGGGTATACATATTCAAAAGAAAGGAAAACAGAATGTCAAAGAAATGTCTGTACTCCCACATTTATAACAGCACTATTCACAATAGCCAAGATACAGAATCAACCTAAGTGTCTATTAAGAGTTGAATGGACAAAAAAAATGTGACATATATACACAATATACAGTTTATAGGAGACAATTTGTATTTATAATAAATGCTTATGTGCCTACAAATGTAAGCTGTAAATTTGAAGGGTTTACTTTTACTCCCAGGTAGAAGTAAACAGTATTACTGATAAAATATTTTTAAGTTGTTATACAATTTTAGAGTTTAAAATAAAAATTAACAAATATTTTGTGTTCTCTGAGGGATTACCTGAAAAATGTTTGTAAGGGCAGTTGATTCATGTTCCTGAATAACTTAACCTTTTAATATTCATGATTAGAATACTTTGTCACTTATCGAAGATTGAATAAAAGAAAGGCTAGGAAGTGGTTAAGAGCACAGACAAGAACAAAAATATAGATTATAAGACCAAAATAATTATACACAAGGGACCTATTACATTTCTATTCCCTTTGCTTTCATTTTATTCTTGATTCAGATGTTAGCATATCTATGAAAAAATATGAACCACAACTTTTCTTTCATTGTTCAAGTACTATAAATATCTCCCTGTTAATACTTAACAGTACTAGAAAACAGTACTGCGGAATGGGAATTTTATATTTTATCTAAAATTATTAGGCATTGTCAGCACTGCCTAAAAATTGTTTCCAAGGCAGCAAACTGAGAATTATGCTTGAAATATACATAAAGTACATTTTGATTCAACTAACATTAAGAAAAATACCAAGAATACCCCAAATCCCAATAACTCACATCCATCAGCTTACTTTCATACTTCTGTATACCAACCACAGACAGTCAATTAGTAAATGCTAGACATGGAAAGAGAAAGTCTTCCGCTTTTACAAAGGGCTTTAAGCAAGGGAGAAGCCCTAAGAATGTTCTTCCTCCAAGAATTAATATTCTTTATTTCATGTATATGATTATTTTCAACTGTTATTTATTGAATTAGCTAGTGTAGTAGCTCGCTCATGAGTTACAGAGTACTTAAAAGTTTGTATAACTTTCAAAACTGAATACCTAAGTTATTGAGATCTTATGTGCCAGAAACTGTTCTAAGAAATTTGCATGTATTAACTCATTTAATCCTCACAAAAAAACCTTATGAAGTAGGTAATACTGTTATTTTCATTTTATAGAGAAGGAAACTGAGGCACAGAGAGGTAACATGCCCAAGAATGGAGGTAGTTTGCCTCTGGAGCAACATTCTTAACCCTGTCATATACTATATCTCCATGCCTTCATGTATTGTACATAAAATTATAAATGTCTGAGGCCAGCGAATTTCTGTTTGGGAACGTTCTCTTACAATTTTACAATTCACATTCCGTCATCATTTACTAATGCTAAGCCTCGTGGACTTAGTCTATGTGTTTGCAAAGTTATGCTGAAAACATAGAGGAAATATAGCAACACCAAATGAGTCAATTTGGCTTACTGAGTCGGAATTAGGGATGCTTATTTTGAACAGTTTTATTAAGTAGGCAGAAATAAGAAGCAATAAAGAACAGCTCTCAAAACAAGAACTTCTATTGGTAGACTAAAATGTAAAAAATGAGGACACATACACAAAGACATAGGTATTAACATCTTCCAGGGATTAAACTGTTTACATTTAACTGAAACAATTTTGTCAAACAGAAATTCCATCTGATAAAAATGAAAATGTAGAGCATGATGACTACAGTTAGTAATATTGTATTGTATATGAAAAATTTCCTAAGAGAATAGATTTTAGGTGCTCTTATTACATACAGAAAGACAGGTAAGTATGTGAGATGACAGACATGTTAATTTGACAGCAGTAATAATCTCACTGTGTAAATCAAAACATCATGTTGTACACCTTAAATATATAAAATAAAAAGAAAACTTCTCTTAAATAAAAACAAAAATGAAAATATAAAATTAAAGGCAAGCCTAGAACTGGAAATTTGTTAATGCAAGCCAAGTGATTGTTTATTAAATAACATGCTAACAGCAATAATTTAGCTTTTAAAATTACATTCTTATCTAGAAAAATCTTCCAAAATAAAGACAAAAATTCATGAACAGGTGCAGACTAGAAACATATTTAGATTAAGCCATGGAATAGTTAGTGGACCACAGTAGAAGAAAACATGTACATCTCTGCTATATGATTTCTACACTGCTATACCGGATTACACATCCATTAAACATCTGTGCCCAATTCTGGAGGGTATATTCTATTTTTGTCTTTCCTTGTTGAAAATACTTGTAAAAAGAGAAAAAAAATGCTTAACTATGGTTCATTCTAGATTTTTGCATCTTTATTATGTTGTATGTAAAAAATAAAATAAATAAAGACAGGAGTCTGTGCAATTTAAGTTTAAAATGCTGGTTCATGAAAATGTGGCTACAGATTTAAAATAGTTGTTTACCATTTGCCTACTGTTTCAGCCAATGCGCCTGAAACATGGAGGATAAAGTTTAGAAAGCATACCTGCCCTTTGTTTAATTATGTAATTGATGTTTTCCAGCTTCTCAAATCAAAAATCCTAATGAAAGTACCAAATAAAGTTAGGGACTTCTAGGATTTAGAAGATACCATAAATGATATTTCCAATCCACAAAGATGATTGAAAATAATTTAGCACAAGCCTTCTTAAGCCTTAAATGCAAATTTCACCAGAGAAATAAGGCCATCCAGAGCTGACTGCCATAGAATAACTGCTGTAAGTTTAGTGTCCAATGCCCCACCTAGAGCACTTAAAACAGTTGCTAGACTTCAACTCACTTAAAACAAGGAAAGGCAGACAGTGAGATAATACAAATGCTTAAGTAACACCTTTGTGGTGAGGAAGAAGAAAAGTTCTTAGTTATCCCTTCCTGAATACACTGATTTGTTTTTCATTACTGGTTTCGAAGAACCTTGGCTTCCAAACAACTGGCTCCTTTCATCTCAGGCTCCAGTGACTCCAGTGACTGCCTTCCTGATGAAGAGAGAGGTCTTACCTGACCAACGCTCTGAAGTGAAAGGTGTTCTTTATTTCAGTTAGAGCAAGTCCCCAGCCCCCAAGCCAGGGATGGGTACTGGTCCGTGGCCTGTTAGGAACTGGACTACACAGCAAGAGGTGAGTGGCAGGCCAGCATTACCACCTGAGCTCCGCCTCCTGTCAGATCAGCAGTGGCATTAGATTCTCACAGGAGCGTGAACCCTATTGTGAACTGCCCAAGTGAAGGATCTAGACTGTATGCTCCTGATGAGAATCTAATGATGTGAGATGGAACAGTTTTATCCTGAAACCATCCCATCCCCATCCCCCAATCCATGGGAAAACTGTCTTCCATGAAACTGGACCCTGGTGCCAAGAAGTCTAGGGACTGCTGAGTTACAAGCACAAACTAGGAAAAGAGAAACCACAAAAGCTATTTAAAATAGAGGAAATTTAATGTCAAAAGTCACTTATACAGAGGATAAAAGATATGAGCAGTCATCAAGAGAGTGAGACAACCAGACTTGACAATGCCCACAAGTAACTAGCATTCCTAGGCTACTGCTACAAGAACCCAGGGCTGGGGTTGCACAGTGGATGCTGGAATTTCAGCATGCCTGTTCGGTGGGAAGTGGAACCACAAAAGAAATAGCTTTTGCCAGCAACACACTAGAGATAAAGTAAGAAGGGAAGAAATGCCCTGGCTTCTCCCTTTCTTAAATCTTGGGAGATTTAGTGTTTCTAGTGTTTCCCATTGGGTTCCCCAAACTCAGCAGAAGTTAGCCATCATAGGAGCTTGGTAAAGGCAGCCTGCAGGGTTAGCCCTCCTTGGTACAGAAGAAAGCAGAAGGGTACAAAATGGATTCCAGTACAACTTTCAATAAAGTTCACATCATAAAGACAATCTCATGAATTCATTCAATCCAGCTAACTGCAGTTATTAAACCAGCTGGCTCTAAGATATCAATTGCCTATTAATAATTCTAGATCATCTTTCAGATTTGGAAGTGAAAAATCCTAGAACATCAATATCCAGCAGTATAATTCTGCTAGGCAGAGCAAGAACTATCCCATTAGTTATTGTAATCAGATATATAATAATGTTCAACTGAGGTAACAGGAAGTTTGGACAAGTCTTTCTTTTGGTTTGCCTATAAAGTCTATTTTGGAGTAATTTAAAAGATGCATTTTCTAAGAAGAGTAAAATATACAGCATAAACTATTTAAAATTCTTGTCTATATGCCTCAAATGTGCTTTCTCAGAAGCATCTTTTCATAGTCTTTAAAGAAATATTACATTTTTAATTCATATCTACTCTTTCAATTCATGAGAAATCAGAGTGCTGATACAAATTCTTTGGTGTGAGAATACTGATATTGTGACTAAAGGTTGTTTAAGGCCAATCTTAGCATTAAAAAAAAAATCAACATACTGTTTCACATACAAAATAGTAACTGTCAACAACTGTGACTGTCATCAGCTCTAGACTGGAACTCCCTACACTACTACATTAAATCTGAATATTCCAAAAGTTCCTTGAAACATCTATTTCACTAGGATTATAACTATGTTTATTCAAAATTTATAAAAAATTATAAAGCAAAACTCAATGTTTTCAAAATTTTTTGATAAATTTTATGAAAATATATCTACCAAACAGAACTTTAAGGAAAAAAATTATTTCAAAATAATTTAAAAATCTTTATTAGAAACACTATCCAGTTTATTTCTGTCAAATTGACATATCAGTAAGTCAAATCAGCTGTCAAATACATTTTTTTTTTCGAGGTGGAGTCTCGCTCTGTCACCCAGGTTGGGGTGCAGTGGCGTGATCCTGGCTCACTGCAACCTCCAACCTCCTGGGTTCAAGCCACTCTCCTGCCTCAGCCTCCCAAGTGGCTGGGATTACAGGTGCCTGCCACTACGCCCAGCTAATCTTTGTATTTTTAGTAGAGATGGGGTTTCATCACGTTGGCCAGGCTGGTCTCAAACTCCTGACCTCAGGTGATCCACCTGCCTCAGCCTCCCAAAGTGCTGGGATTAAAGGTGTGAGCCACCATACCCAGACTCCATTAATTTTATTTCCATATATTTAAAAATAAACATTCTGTCTTGACAAAAGATTTCAACAGCAAATTATAAAGCTATGTAACATACCTTCCTTTTAATATTTCAGTAACAGCAATAAATTCTATTTTATGTGATAATGGACATTGATTACATGGCCCAACAGATTAGAAAGATAGGACATTCAGTATGATAATGGTGGCAATATCATGTTAATTTTGATGAAACAGTCCTAATGAGTTCTTATTAGTCCCTGGAGGCTTTCAGGCAAACACTTAGGTATCTAAAACTTAGAAAGTAGAAAAATAATTTATCAGGACTTTTAAGATAAAAAAGATAATTTATCACTTTTTAAAGATTATGAATAGCCAATAAATAAGGGCCATTTCAGAATAAACTACAGTAAGAAGACTGTAGCTATTTTTTTAAATTACACATTATAGTATCTAATGTAGCTACTTAAAAAATAATGTCACCATTCTGCCATGTATCAAATATAATTAAATTCATGAAAACTATTACTTTAAAAAAGTTTTTTCATTTTACCAGTGAAAGTAGTTTTTTCTATAAACACTCACCATCCACTCAGATATGATAACATCTACTTTTTCTACAGGAAGATGAACTTCTTCAATCTTTCCTTTAATTAGTGTAATAGTATCTTCAAGTTTATTTAGTCTGAAAATTATAATGAATTAGATTAGTAGGTTAAACAGATTCTGAAAGCTAGTTAAATTACATAATTTTTTGCCAACAACTCGTATTGTTTTGTGGGACAAAAAAGTATTTCAATCAAAGCTTAGTTGTTCTTTGGACATTGTAATTATTTTATGGTTACTCCATGCATGCCCAAAGATGTTTGTGGTTAATATGGCAATACAGTGAACCAATATTTAAAATCTGAGTTTGAAAAGAAATCCAAATTTTATCAAGAATAACATGTCAATGAAGTTACATGTCTTTAAAACAAACAACACAGTGGTGAAGACAGACATATAAGACATATAAAAGTATGGTTTAAAGGGAAGTGTTGTGTCTGTCATAGGGGTGAGAGAATTTGAAGCCCCAAGCCCATAATTTAACCCCCAGATTCTCTAGCATTTGTCAGCTATGTGATCTTCACCAAATTTTTAAGTAATTTCGTTGAGCCTGTGCTACTCCTGTGTAAAAGAGAATAATACCGACCCTATTTACGTCACAGGCTATTAAGAGGATCAAATACTTGTGAAAGCTATACATGTATCTATAAACAATGACACTATCATCAACAACAAAACATTAAGTGTTAAAACCTGAAATCTTATCACTATCAAAAATTAACCTTGACCAGTGGCACTCATTAGATGTTCTTATACACTTGATCATAAGATTAGCAATATTTCCCCTTCTTCTGTAATATGAAACAACAGTTATTTTCACAAAGGTGAATGTAAGCTGCTGGTTAAGTTTACATCTGATTAATAAATTCTCAATTCTCAGAATGTACATTGTAACTATAGAGGATTTTTTTCCTGCATCAAAGAAGAAATTGTACCCCTTAACTTCATTGGGTATTATTTACAAACAATTCAGTGCATTCATTTTAGGGTAGTTTTGTTAAATTCCGAAAAACAGATACTTTGTTGACCACCACAATCAATATATAGAACATTTCCTCTTCCCCCAAAGATTAGTGCCCATCCCAGAAAATCTCCCCATCCACAAGCAACCACTGATTTTCTTTCTTTCATTATATATTAGAGTTGCATTTTACAGACAGAGTTTCATACTAACAGAATCGTGCTGATTCTTTTTGTGCCTGGCTTCCTCCAATAAGCATGATGCTTTTTTAGTTTCATGTATGCTTTTGTGTATATCAGTAGTTTGTTTGTTCCTTGCTACTGCTGAGTAGTATTCCACCACATGGATAAATCACAATTTTGTTTATACATTCACCTGTGTATGTAATTCTGGATTGCTTCTAGCTTTGGACCATAATGAATAAAGCTGGTATAAACATCTGTGTATAAGCAGAATTGCTCCATCAAATGGTAGTGTATATCTAACTTTTTAAATAAACTGCCAACTTGTTTTACAAAGCATATAAACAATTTGACATTTCCAGCAGTAATACATGTGCATTCCTGTTGCTTCACATCCTTGTTAATAATCACTATTGTTGATCTTCGAAATTTTCACTGTGTAGAAAGAATTCATTGTGGTTATAAACTGCATTTTCCTAATGATCAAGCATTTTTTCTAGGCTTGCTTGCCATATTCCCATGTCTTCTTTCGTTCGAATCTTTTGCCCATTTAAAACATCAGGTCAGTTGTATTCTTTCTTTTTTTTTTTTTTTTAAAGACAGGGTCTCACTCTGTTGCCCAGGTTAGAATGCAGTGGTGCAATGACAGCTCACTGCAGCCTCAACCTCTCTCAAGCTCAAGTGATCCTCTCACCTCAGACTCCTGAGTAGCTGGGACTACAGGTGCGTGACACCATGCCTGGCTAATATTTGTGTTCTTTGTAGAGATGGGGCTTCTCTATGTTGTGGCTGGTCTCAAACAATCCACCTACCTCAACCTCCCAAAGTGCTGGGATTACAGGCATGAGCTGCCACACTTAGCCCAGTTGTATTCTTATTACTGAATTCTAAGAGTTCTTTACATATTCTGGACATAAATTCTGTCAGATTTATGTACAGTAAGTAATTCTGCCATACTGTGGCTTGGTTCTTAATTTTTTAAATGGTATGTTTTGAATAGCTAAAGTTTTTAACTTTGATAAAGAACAACTTATCATTTTTTTCTTTTATGGTTCATGCTTTTGGTGACATATCTAAGGAATCTTTGCCTACACCAAATACTTCACCTATGTTTTCTCCTAAAATGTTTTCAGTTTTCATTTAATTTTCCCATATGTATCTTGTTCATTTTTCCCCCATATCAATAACTACTGATACAGTGTTGAAAAAACTTTGTTGGACAGACTATCAACAGTGACAGTTTCAATGTTGTTGGGAAAACTATCACTAACTTACGGAATTACTTTGATATCTTTGTCAAAAACAACCATGTATGTGTGGATTTATTTCTGGACTTTCAATTCTGCCCCCAAATTTAGATGTGTATCCTTATGCCAATACAACACTTTCTTCATTACTATAGCTTTAAATTCAGCCAAGAAATTTGATAGTACCTCCTTAAAGTTTATTCTTTTTAAAAATCCTTCTGGCTATTCTTGATCATTTGCACTCCCATATCAATTTTTTTTTTTTTTTTTTGAGATGGCGTCTTGCTTTGTTGCCCAGGCTGGAGTGCAGTGGCGCGATCTCGGCTCACTGTAAGCTCCACCTCCCGGGTTTACACCATTCTCCTGCCTCAGCCTCCCGAGTAGCTGGGACTACAGGCGCCCGCCACCACACCCAGCTAATTTTTTGTATTTTCAGTAGATATGGGGTTTCACCGTGTTAGCCAGGATGGTCTCGATCTCCTAACCTCGTGATCCACCTGCCTCGGCCTCCCAAAGTGCTGGGTTTACAGGCGTCAGCCACCGCGCCTGGCCTTTTTTTTTTTTTTTTTTTTTTTTTTTTTAAGAGAGAATCTCACTCTGTCACTCAGGCTGGGGTGCAGTTGTGTGATCATGGCTCACTGTAACCTCAAACTCCCGGGATCAAGAGAACTTTTTGGAACTGATAAAAAGCATTAAGCCACAGACAGAAGTAATCCAATGAATCTCAAGACTAAATTCTTTAAAATCTTTAATACTTAAAAAAATCAGAGAAAAAAAATCAACAAAGGCAAATTATCTTCAATGGAATAACAATTGTTCTGACAGGTGACTTCTTAAAATAGCAACGATGAAAGCCATAGATAGTAGAATATCACCAATGAACTAGCAAACCTTTTCTTAAACTGCCGAAGTAAAAATATTTTAGACTTGCAGGACATATGATCTCTGTTGCAACTATTCAACTGCTATTTCTGTGTGAAAGAGGCAATAGACAATATGTAAACAAAAAGGCCCAGCCGTGTTCCAGCTTTACTTACAAAAACAGGTAGCTGGCCCATGGACTGAGGTTTACCAACTCCTGTACAACAATATTACTGCCAATGTAGAATTCTATATGTAGAGAAAAATATCTCCCAGAATTATAGGCAAAATACATTTCAGACCAACTAACAACAATCTCTTTGGCTACTGACATAAATGTACAATGAAGGAAATATTAAAAAATTAGTTCAAGAAGAAGAAAACTGGTCCTAGATGGTCTGGGAAAAAGGAAGAAATGAGAGAAGTGAATGGACATATGTGGGTGAAAGAATACATAAGATCAGAGTGTCAAATCTAACTCACATGAACCAGAGATCTTACCCAGTGTCAAGCTTTACAAATAATTTTTAAAATACAGGGAATCAGGAAGTCCAGACTAAGAGATTTGGGATATTAAAAGCAGCTGCTTCGGTCCTTCCTTCCCTACATAAGCTACACAATCTCTGGCCCAGAGTAGAAAAGGTCTTCAAATGGGGTGGATGGGTTATCAATTCACACAGTAAGAAGCCTTGCTCTATGTGCCAGGTTGATCCCTACTTCTTCTGAGTCCCCTGATTGCCTGTACCTTTGAAATTATTAATAAAGTTTAAAACTGGGTAATCTCTCTTGGTAATATCGGGTAATTAGGTTCACGTGTGTCTGACTTGAAACTATGTTAGCTCAGGATGGTGCTGTGTGCAGGACTCTCTTGCAGACCCATGAATCACAAAGCCTAAATAATTTTTTTAGTCAGAAAAAGGAAGGAATTTAAAAAAAGAAAACTGGCAGAGGATTGAATCCTAGGATGTTTGCCTACCTAACCTCGGTAGGAAATGGCAAGATTTAGAGAACCTGCTAGTGGACTGATAGGGAATAGTACGCAGAGGGGAAGATAGTGAAAAATCCCATTCTCTGGCTGTTACTAGTTTCTAATAAATGTCAGTCTTTTTAGAGAGGAAATGGTGGCAAGAGAGAGTTTTTCCTCACTGAAAGACTTCTTATGCTTTTACGTCTACCTGGAAAAATGAAGTATTCAACAGGAAAGTAATGAACTTAAAACTATGAGTTGTCACAAAGACAATGCAGACAGTTAGAGGACAAGTTTCGGGGACTACTATGTTCTGAGAGTATTCAGTAAAAAAAAAAGAAACTGTTTTACAGAGAAACACCAAAAAAGCCTGGTGATTCACTGTTGGCATAAACTCTCAACATTTACTACTGGCATAAATTCTCAGAATTAACAATCAGGGAAACACATCACTTACTTTACATACTACTGAGTAGAAGGGATTACTGGCTTGATTGATCCCCAAGTGGCTGTGAAGAGATTCTTCCAGGTGGTATGACAACTAATCTGCTACAGTGAGTAAAAGTAGGATTGCAGCATACCTACCGCAAGAGGGGTAACTGCCATACTCTCTTCCCCACATATAAAGCAAACAGTCCTTCTGAAGGAGTAGGCATGCTAGGAGTGCAACTGAACTTAGATAGGCTTTATGATAACAATAGAATTTAATGCTATGGACACAGGTGACAATGTATGTAGAAATTAGCAACTCCCCATTCTCGAGTACTTTATGTAATCTTACCGTTAGGAGGCTAAGAGAATATTCAGGAGGCACTATCTCATTGACTGGCTCAGTTAACAAGCACGGGGCCCACATGATGTTTTTAACATAGAAAGGAAAAGGAAAATCAAAGAGAGGAAAGAAAGGACAAGGGAAAAAATAACCAAGGACTCAATGGTTTTTGAAAAATGATGTAAAAAAGAGAAATTAGATGAGGGTTCTACGAAGAAATTATTAACAAGCTTTGTAGAGGACAGTTCAAATTCTGGTGGTCATTAAGGGTTTTTGGAGACTTATTCTTTGCATAAGTGATTGCAGAAAACAATAAAACAAAAGATACCTGAGAAATATATGGCAAGGAGATAATGATCAAGGTCAGAAGGTAGTGGGGAGGAAGAAATTAAAACAGCTGACCCATGAGTCACAGCCAACATTTATTGGGGGATGTTCATCCCCAGGGTGAATTTTCCATTTAAAGTGACTTAATGTCCTTGCATTGTCTGGGAGGAGGTTAAAAATATTAACAATAGGCCAGGAGTGGTGGCTCATGCTTATAATACCAGCATCTTGAGAGGCCAAGACGGGAGGATTGCTTGAGCCCAAGAGTTCAAGACCAGCCTAGGCAACATAGGAAGAACTTGTCTCTACAAAAAATAAACAAACTAGCCAGGCACGGTGGCGTGAGCCTGTGGTCCCGGCTACTCGAGAAGCAAGGTAGGAGGATCACTTGGGCCTGGGAGGTCAAGGCTGCAGTGAGACATGACCTTGCCAGTGCACTCCAGCCTGGATGACAAACTAAGACCCTGTCTCAAAAAAACAAACAAACAAAAAATAATAATAATAAACTCTGATTAATTACGTATTCAGCATCTTGATACTTTTACTGTAATTTGTTTATAGCTTCTTTCTAATGTATGTATTCATAAACATACATAAACATAAAAACAGTTTTGTTTTTTCACATCCAATTCTTATACTTCTCTTTTTATCATATTAGTGCATTGGCTAGGATCTCCTTTATGGTGTTGGATAGAAGAGGTGATGAAAGGTATCCTTGTCCTGTTCCTGAACTTAAAGAGAATGCTTTCAATGCTTCATCACAATACTGGTTGTAGGTTTTGTTTTTATAGATATTCTGTTATCAGCAGTCCCCAACCTTTTTGGCACCAGGGGCCAGTTTCGTGGAAGACAATCTTTCCATGGACCTGGGGGTGGGAGATGGTTTTGGGATGAAACTGCCACCTCAGATCATCAGATATTAGATTCTTGTAAGGAATGCACGACCTAGATCCCTCGCATACGCAGTTCACAATAGCGCCTGCAATCCGTGAAAATGTATTGCCCCCACTGATCTGACAGGAGGTGGCGCTCAGACGATTATGTTCACTCACCCACTGCTCACCTCCTGCTGTGTGGCCCAATTCCTCACAGGACACCCACAGATACTCATCCGCAGCCTGGGGATTGGGGACCCCTGTTCTTTATCATATTAGGACACTGCTTTCTAACTCTAGTTTACTAACAGTTTTAAATACATAGATACATTGAATGGATACTAAATTTTATCAGACTTTTATACTGCATCTCTTGAGACGCTCAATAGATTTTTCTGATTTTCTCATATTTAACCAACTTTGCATTCCTAGAATAAACTTTACTTCCCAATTTATTGCTCAGTTTTCCTTTTCTTTTTTTGAGACAGAGTCTTGCTCTATCACCCAGGCTAGAGTGCTGTGGCACGATCTCAGCTCACTGCAACCTCCGCCTCCAGGGTTCAAGCAATTCTCCTGCCTCAGCCTCCCAAGTAGCTGGGATTACAGGCATGTGCAACCATGCTGGGCTAATTTTTGTATTTTTAGTAGAGATAGGGTTTCGCCATGTTGCTCAGGCTGGTCTCGAACTCCTGGCCTAAAGTAATTCACCTACCTTGACCTCCCAAAGTATTGGAATTACAGGCGTGAGCCACTGTGCCTGGCCTAGCTTTCCAATATTTTTATTAGGATTCTTGCATTTGCATTCATGAATGAGTGACTTGTGATTTTCGGTTCTACTGCCTTAATGGAGTTTTAGTATAAAAGTTATAAAGACCTCATATAATGATGCTTGATTCTTGATAAAAATGATAGTGTAAGTACAAAGAATAATGAATGGGACCAGGACAACTGGGTCATCTAAAGAGAATACCAAAAAAAGGAACAAAACTGGACCACCACTTCATACTATATACAAAAATCAATGCCTAAGTGTAAAAAGCACAATTATAAAGCACTTACAAGAAAATATACCCTCTATAACCTAAGAAAAGGTACAGATTCCTTACTCAACTCACAAACAGTGGCAACTATAAATAAGAATGTTGCCATATGAAAACTGAGAATTTCAGATCATCAAGATATGACAAAGAGGGTGAAAAGGCAAACACGAATGAGAGAAGACTTTCACGTTACATAAAACCTATCAACAGTTCAAGTCCAAAATATACACATAGATTGCCTATGAATACTTGAACAAGACACAACTCAAAAGAAACCTGAGCAAAAGGCATAAACAGATATTTCACAGAAAAAGGAAATCCAAATTGCTAACAATCACATGAAAAGGTGCTCAGTTTCATTAGCAATCAAAGAAACAAAAATTAAAATTGCAATGAGATACTGCTACACAAATGACTGGAAACATTTTTTAATGGTGGATAATACCAACCACAACTGTTACATACTATAGGTGTAAGATAAAGTGGTATAATCACTTTGGAAAATAGTCTGGCAATATCTAGGAAATTTGAAGATATGTATACCCTAAGGACCACAGTTCTACTTCTAAGTATACACCCCCCAGATGTGTGCACCAAGGCACATGTAAAAACTGATCATAACAAAATTGTTCATACCAGCCCATCTGATTGAGAAAGAGCAGTGGAGGTGGGTGGGATTCTGAATTGGTGGCAAAGTTCTCTTGGCCTGGGTGATGGTTACTACATGTTTAATTTCATTTGTTATTTATGGATACTTATGCATATTAAACATGTTTATTGATGTTTTATGTACTCATTTTACATATTTCATACAAAAAGTTTTACAGAAATGTTTATGAGTTTTTTTTTTCAAAAGGGTATTTAATAAAATTCTGATGAAATTGCTATAGTTGCTTGTTGCTTACCAAAATACTGATTAAGGCTTTAACAATGACAAACACTTCAAAGAAAACTGAAGGCAAGCTTCTTTTAAAAGAGAAAAATGTTCCCATTGCTTAAAAATATCTTCAGAATGGTTATGCCGAAACAAGATCTGTGTTCTGTAAAAGACCATCTGCTAGGCCTGTTTATTGTCTGCTACAAGTTATAAACCTATTTGTATCAGAAATTATTTGTTCAAATATGACTATAACAAGAAAGATTATGACTTAAGGGAAAACACAGGAAAAAAGACAAAGCCTTGTAATTCCCATTAATTTTGTATTAAAACAGATATCACTGACACAGAAAACCTCTTTCATGAGACTGTTAATCACCACCTGATTTTTTCCATTCGTGAAAAAAATATACAGATTTTACTTAGTTTTCTCAAGTGGCTACTCACTAAACCCTACTTCAGTATAAACCAAATGAATCTTTATCTTTGGAAACACCTACTGAAAAACTAGCATGATTCTAATGTAGAGAACTATGACGAGGTAATAAAAAGGATATCTTTAAGTAATTCTCTTCACTAATCCAATAAAAATGAAATTATCAACTTTTTCTGAGGGGAAATTTTGTTAGAACACATACTTTCCTATCTTATTTCCTATCTTAAAAGTAGCAATTTAACTTTCACTTCATGATACAGGGACATCATCATGATTAATTATCTTGCACGAAGCATACAGAGATAAAAGACACAGTCCATGCACTTACGGGTATGGTCTAAGAGAGACAGAACAGTAAACAGGATTGGGGACTATGGAAGCTCAAATGATAAATCCTTATCTAAGTGACATCTGAGCTTAGCCAGGAAAGGACACAGCATACACAAAGATGTGTACAGGTATGGGAGTAGAAGAGGGTTGTGTCTGTGCACAACTGCCTCCTGTGTGTGTGTGTGTGTGTGTGTGACAGAGAGAGAGAGAGAAGCAAATTTAAATAACTGAACAGTTTAGTATGACTAGAGCAACAAGAGATAGTATACAGTGACATAGTTGGGGGATATTTAGAGGTAATGCTATGACTTATCTTCAAGTCTATATTTTACTTAAAGATAATGAAGAGTCATTTCAGGATCTTTGGAATAAAAAATATAGGATTAAATTTTCAATCTACATTTTCCCTATGTGATTTAGGTAAAAGATACGGTCTATGTTCTAAGAAGAAGATGGTCTAGTGGGGAGACAGACAAGCAAACAGCATAAAGTACATGTGAGTTCATACAATGAACACCTAATCGAGTGCATTTAAAGTTAGTGATAAAACAAATTTAAAGTTCACCTAGAATATATGGATGATAGCTTATGGGGGAGAAGAAAGGAATATCCTAATAGATATAAATAGATACAATATATACTATTCATTTACTTTCAGTTCAATATGTCATCGAAGTATACATATTTATTTCTCTTTTGCTCCCTAAGAACAGTGAAATGACAATAACGTAAAATGTAAGACACTGATAAATGCATGGAGATTTTGGAAGGGAATATCAAAGAGCCAAAGAATCTCATAATTCAGTGAGAGAAAAAAGGGAATGAAATTATATTGGTAAACCTGTGAAGAAAGACCCAGTACTCAGTGCACACGTCAGCGAGCATGACAGTGGAGGTGGAGCCATTCTTCACAACGCAAACCATTGGAGTCAAGAGGTTTACAAAGTGGGAGTGATAAAGGGACTAAAACATTACGGGGGTAACTGTAAACTGACCAGTCTCCACCCTTTCCCCTCAGAGACAAAACCTATGCCAGTTATCTTTATTAAAGTATCCAGTCCTTCATTCATAAATGTCAACAAAAAGCAAGAATTCTTAAACATTATGAAGCTGGGGGTAGATTTACACACATCCCATGAGAAACGAACTACCAAGAAGGTATGGGGCATAGACCTGGAACCATAACGGGCTATTCTATGAGCTGCTCCCTCCCAAATGTATCATCTTTATTTACAAATGTGTAGCTGTGGAATTACTAACACTGAGGACATTTATTGTTCGAAATTAGCAATAACTCAGTTCTAATAAAGTGAAAAAATATAAAAATAGTCATCTGGAATCTATCAGAAACAATGGGTTTGCAGGCTTTGGTGACAATGATTTACCTGGCTTTGAATATGTAATGTCCCAAATCTTGAAAATTGATTAATTCATTCATTGAATAAGTACTTACACTGAATGCCTAGGATGTGCTGGGTCCCCTTCCTGGTAGTTGGGACACATTAAAGAATGAAAAAAAGAAAAATTCCTGCCACACCACGGGGAGCTGATATTTTAGTAAAGTTTACATTCCTATGAATTTCATCTCTGTGACCTAAGGCTTTTGAGAGTGGCAAGAAATATACCAAAATGTTGATAGTAGTCTCTGATAGTAGAATCATATGTAATTTACCCTCTTTTATGTCTTCCCAAGACAAACATATCTTCCCCCCACCCCTTCTTCCTCTTTATTTAAAATAGAGGAGAATTAAGTGGGGAAATCAGTCTGGCTGCACTACAGAGAACAGATGACAGAGAGTGGTGGGAGGCAAAGACAAAGTACAAACAACTGGTCCAGTTAAGTGCAGATGCATTAATTCAGGTGAGAGATCTAAGAATGTAAAGTAAGACATGAGAAACATCATGGATAGATGAGAGACACATTTGAGAAACATTAAGGATACTCAACAGGACTCTGTCTCCAACAGGTATGTTGGGTAAAGGGGAAGAAAATGTCAAGTATGAATCCCAGGTTTACAACTCGGAAGAAATGAGTGAATGCAGCAGGTCTGTTTTGTTTTACTCAGTTCTTGCTTAGATCTCTATAGCCATGGCAATGATTCTTGATCAAACTCTAAGAACAAGAACTCCCAGATCACTCATATGATTGCAGAATAATAATGTTACTCTATTTTACCTGAAGCAGTAGGTTTAGATGAAGCAGGTTGACAATATGTTTAAAGTAAACATGAAGATTCATCATGCACACTTGTTACCTGGTTTGGGTGTATACCATGGCTGGTCAACATGGTGGAAATATGCCTACTTGACCAGCTAGCTTTGAGAACTACAGTCTCTAAGACTCATGCAAATTTCCCTGGGTAGAGACATCTCACATGTGCCTCTGAGGTATGAAGCTGGGGAGGAAAGAAAGTCTTGTATAACTAGTGGAAAAAGTGAGAGAGATACCTTGGAAGTCTGCCTGTGACCTCTTTGCCTATGGTCATCTTTTTCCTGCTGTTTCTGCACTATACCCTTTTCTGTAATCCTAGCTGTGAGTACAGCTTTATACTGAATTGTGTGAGTTCTTCCAGTAAATCACTGAACTAGTGGGTGGTCATGGAATGTACCCCACAAAGACAGAACCACTGGAGTGAATCAGAAATTAAGGGGATTTCGGGGTATACTAGGAAGGGAAATAAATTTAATTTCCCTGTAAGGTGTCTTGATGACCTTCATGACGTTCACCAGAGTTTTATGGCTTTTGAAGAACAAATTTTTTTTAAAACCATTTTAGCCTCATCAGTGGTTCAAATTTCTCTTTGGCTTTAATTCACATTTCTGTTATTTCTATTAAACTTAGAAACAAAATATGAAGTAGCATCCCTTATGTCAAGAATTTTTGCTGGTGTATTTTGTAATATTTTTCCAAAATACACACACACACACACACACACACACACACACACACACCACTACCACCACCACTGTCTTTAAAATCATTACCTTAAGATACTTCACTTTTATTCAAAAACCTTAACTAAGCATCTACTATGTGTGTCAGACACTTTGTTAGGTGTTAGGGATAAAAAGATGAGGATAAAGCTCTTGTCCTTGTGTCTAGAGAAGGACACCTGCATAAACATGACAATAAATCAAAATATTCTCTAGACTTTTCTTAATGTTTCCTTTCTAACAGTATTCTAAACACAGGCAATATAAAAGATTGCATCTTTAATGTCAAACTGAGATTGAGTGTACTGCATTATGGCCATATGATGGATCAACCTTCTCCTAAAAACTCTTCTGCAGTAACATCTGAAAGTCTGAATAATGAGCTATTCCATAACTGTGTCAATGAGAAACCAAAGGCACCCAGAATAATGGTAAAAATATTAAACAGACGCTACCTGCGCTTCCTGAGGGTAATAAACACAGTATACAACTGTCTGGCAACTGAATAGCTTTGCTATCCTTAGGTAAGTTTATGTTGCCGAAATGATCTTTCACTGCAGAGTTCAAAGTATGATAGCAAAAATAAGAAACAATTTCTGATTCTCTTCCATATGTCACTTTGAGACCTATTTGCCCTTACTAACATAACATCTCAGAAAATCTATATTGTTTTATTCATGTCTGCAACCTCAGAAGAGCCAGCCTAATCTTCTTAAAACCTGATATACTGTCAGTTTACAGTAACAACCAAAATGTATCCAATTCTAAACTCATTTCTTTAGAAATGCTAGATCACCTTTTTAAATAAAAAAGATAAAAATTGTTAGTAGAGGTATTTATTATTTTTTTGGTAGAGACAGTTCTATCTTGCCCAGGTTGGTCTTAAACTCCTTGGTCTCAAGGGATCCTTCTACCTCAGCCTCCCAAAGTGCTTAAGCCACCATGCCTAGCCAAAAATTATTTTAAACATAATCCAAGAATTGTTAAGTTGCACGTGTTTGAAGGAATAAAAGACTATGTATTTTTAAAATATCTATCTTTTAGAATTTAAAGTGCCTTTTATAGATGTAGGCTTGTGGAGTTTAACAGAAGACATTCTGCTGTATATAGACTTCTGACCGAGAAAAGGGCCTCAGAAGGGATAAGGACAACTTAGAGCCTGTTAACCAGAAGAGCTGTTTTTGTTGACTGATGTTATAGAAAACTCCAATATGCAAGAATAGACAAGTATCAGAGAAGTTAAGAACAGAGTTGAAGAGAGGCAAGTGAGTACAGAGTACGACTAAAGCTTGAAGTTTTATGGTATAAGAGAATAGAGATTGTGAAATAGAAAGAAGACAAAAAAGTAGTCACAGTTTGACAAGATAGCTGCAATAAATGTCCATCTTAGAAACATAACCACCCAAACGTAAAATATTATTTGAGGCATTGATGCCAAGCCAAACAGATGACCACTACTAATAATTAACATGATTATCATTACTGCTAACATTTAGTAAGCAGTTACAGGGCCAGCCATTTTGCAAAGCATCATAACGGATACAATTCCTGTAACAATCTTATGAGATAAGACTCCATCAACCTCATTTTATAAATGAAGAAATCAGGGCTTAAAGGGGTTGTAGTGAAAGAAAAATTAGAACTCAAGTCATGTCTGGATGCTGAGATGAGCATGCTATGCGGCCTCCTCAACTGGTTAGAATAATGAGTCAGTAAACTGCAGTGATATTAACAATTAACTGTTTCCTACATATTCTTTTAGAAGTACATTCACAGAGGAATAGAAGGCATTTCACTCCAAATTTTAAAATTTCAAATGGAAGACAAAGGAGAGACACATAAGAACACTATAAAAATAACTACCTTTTCACAATATAAAAAAGGCAAAGAACATTTCTGAAGAAACAGTACAATGTTGGCTTATCCAAAACAAAAAGGCCTGCTTTTCAAACATCCATAGGTTTTAAGTAAAGCAAACTACTGAATACAACCAATACATACCTTGTAAGTAGTTCAATGGAGATAAGGAATTGCAAACTGGCTATGAGGATAAGCTATGGAGTCAGGCTGCCTGGTAACTAATTCTGACCCCACTATAGAAACAGAGTCTCACTATGTTGCCCAGGCTCAATCCTAGCACACTAGCAGCCTCCAACTCCTAGTCTCAAGTGATTCTCCTGCCTCAGGCACATGCCACCATGCCCAGCCTCTTAATCTCTTATAATAGGTATAAATAATCTACATCAAAGGAGATTCAGTTACACCTGCACCAAAGGAGATTCAATAGAAAAAACTAAATTAATGTTAGCAATTTTATTATTAAACTGGGATATCTAAAGATTGAGTGCTAAGTCATTTTCAATAAATGTTCTCATGCACCAACACTCAAATGTATTAGGACACATTTACTGATATAATGTATAAGTTTCACTTTAAAATACTCCAACAAAAACAAAAACAAAACAAAAAAGGTGGGAGGGAAATGTATAAAAAAAATCGTGAAAAATTGATAAATGTAGACGCGGGTGATAGGCACACAGGAATTCATATCATTCTCTCTACTGTCATGTATGGCTGAAAATTTCAAAAATCCTTTTAAGGAACTCTCTGATACTTCAAAACAAAGGTGGGGGGGGGGTTCAGACTACATAGCTGTTCAACAGTTTTGTGAACAGATTTTTAAAAATTCATATTTTTGCAAAATGGATCTGGTGAACAAATGCTTCCCTCTGCTCTGATGACCATGACTCTAGTAATGATTGGCAAAAATAATGTCTATAATGAATCTTAAACATGGCCATCTAGCATGAGGTAAGACAAAAAGGTCTACACAAATATCACTGGATCTTGATAATAACAACTATAGCCTTTGATAGTTTCCATCTGAAAAGAAAACTAGGAATTGAGTGACAAAGCATTCAACAAGCAACTAGAGTACAAGCTTGGTCATTAGTACTAAAAACTGTGAGATAATAATAAGTCTGCTTCTTTAGTCCTTTAAATACATCTACTTGTTCAATTTCCACACTGTACAAAGGGGGAAAATAACATATGCAGGAGCTTTATAGATAATTAGAAAAAAACAAGTCTTATGTGGATACAATTTGTTTTGTTAAAAATCCATTATCACAAAGTCACAATACATGGCTGTTCCCTCTGAATCAACTGTGAACCTGCTGTATAATAAAACTTTTCCTCACTAAGCTTCTAGGTATATGCTCTCATGTGCAATGTTTTAAAACTATTTTTTAAAATGTGATTATTTTTTGCAAAAGCCTATTTATAGTAAATATGTGCTCTATGCAAAATGTTCACTTAGCTAAATTGGTACTTTAACTGAATATAAACTTAAGTTTTAGTCATTTTGTTATACTCTCCATGGTTAGTAGTGATCTTTGTCACAAATGCTATTTCTCTGACTGCTAACATTACAGCAAGAAAATAATTATTTGCAGTAGTGAAACTGATTTTGATTTCTTCACTGCACTTCTTATCTATGCTTCCTTCCTATAACTACATCTGACACTCAAGCAAAGATTCTAGATATACTTTGGAGCTAGCAGGAAATCTTACAAAAATGACACTTTACAAGATTGAGAGAATAAACATTGGTAAGCATAAAATATTTGACACAGCAAAGACTAGTTTGACATATGTACTTCCTACTTCACTACATTAAAATTAGTGTTCGAGATTCAAAAATCTGGCTGACAAAATGATCAGACTCCCTTTCCAAAAATACACACAGAAAAGACTGAAGACAAGTATTTTGAGTCAATGATTACAGACAGAGGATCCTTATCCAAATAAGTCACATGTCTCTACCTATTTTATCCTAAGAAACTGACAGAGCTCAAATTTTAGGTCTTAGGTATCTTGAACCCTAATAATTTTAATGAAAAGCTATTATGCTAGATTGCTGGGTTTAAATCTCATTATTACTATATAAAAATCTTGTTAAAATACTTTTAGTTATGTGCTTACTTAGCTGAGTTAACTTTAAGTTATCTCAAAAACATCTTTGTATCGAATCCTGTAAGTATTGCTAAAGAGACATTCTGTTAGCTCTGGCTTTATAAGTGAAAGATCTAAAGATGAGAAGGGAGGAGCAATTTATTGTATTTGAGTACATGGAAAAGCACTCCTTTGTGACTGCAGATGTCACTTGCTGAATCAGGGACATATTTCTTTCACACTTCTATTTTTGCCCACTGATGTAGAAGATGCTATCTTAACAGAAAAAATACTAATAGATGCAAATTGACACCCATCCTTTGATTAAAAGTAAGTTGGTAGCTTTCCCGGAGACTTTAAAAACAAAGACTATTAATCCCAAATTATTCTGGGCTCTGCACCAGTGACAAATATACTTTAGAAGGTCTTCTAACTAATAAAAATATTTAGGATTATGTGGGCAGAAAAAAAATTGTTCTTAAATCTGGATAGAATTACTGTGAATATCTTTAAATAATATTTTTAAATATTTTCAAGGTTTTTAATACTGGTATTAAATTATAAGATTTACACAACTACCTATTTATTTTGAAAAATCATAAAATATAATTTTTTTTAGAAATTGTTTCCGCTGGGAGCTCATCAATATACCAGAAACACATTTAATTCCAGTGTCTCGTTCCTCCAAAACTGTAACTCTAGATCAAAAGTAATATATCACGAAGTGTTTAGATGACCGCAATGAAAAAAGGACTGAAAATTAATTTCCTTCTAGCAATAATTTGTCAGAAAACATTTTCCTCATTAAGTAATTGAATGTTAAATGTATATGTCAGAAACATTTTAAATATTTTACTAAGAAGCTTGGACATGAACACCCTAGCACTAAATATTAATATTATAAACGATGAATTTTAGGTGTAATCATTACATAAACATGTTTCTACAAAGACAATGGGAATCAGGACTTCTGTAAAATAAAATGAAACAATGTATTATAATTCCTTTACATTTCTTTCATAGAGTTAAGAAATTAAAATGAGAGCACATCTAGTCCCATTTTATCGTAAAAAACAATGACTAACTCATAAATGTACTAGAAATTCTAGTAGAAATAGCTTTCATAAGACTAGAAATTCTAGTAGAAATAGCTCACCATAATTTTACTATCAACAATAAAATTTTGAGAATTCTTCTAAAACAATCTCTTCTTTGGGACAGTGGTTCTCATATTTGTTTGGATGGCAATGAATAAGCAATTGAGGGTACTCTCTATGGAACCCCCAAAATGATCATGTTGTACTTAATGGTATCATAAGAACTAGAAAAAGCTTGACTAGATATCTATCTATATATATGTATGTGTAATTCTATAATTGCAAATGCAACGTGTGTGTGTGTGTGTGTGTGTGTGTGTGTGTGTGTGTTTGTGTATTCCAATACAAAAATCGCAACCACAAACCATTATCTATGAAAAACCTAAACAAGTTCAGGGCAATTTTTCCATTAACACTGATTTGGTATTTGTTAATAATAACCATAGCTAACGCTCCAAATATTTAACATGTGGTGGGCAATAGGCCAATCTGATTTATATGTATATCTTACTTAGAACTTATGCACCTCAAAATATTTACTATGTGCTGGGCAACAGGCCAAACTGATTTATATATACGTATTATTTATAACTTACGCATCTTACTTACAACCACAAAAGATAGCCATTATAAGTTTCATTTGACAGTGAAACAACTGAGATTTCTAACACGTTAGATGTACTTTAACCGAAGTTCCAAGTACTGGTTAAATGGTAGAGTGAAGACTACATCCCAAGCTTGATTCAAACTTGTTCTTCTAACCACAACACTATCCTTCTAGTTATAAAATAAAATCTAAACAAATTTAAATATTTTATATAATCATATTTAAATTTTTAAACTAATCAGAAAAGACCAACATTAATCAAATTTAAAAAATTTTTTTTGGAGAAAGTGTCTTGCTCTGTCACCCAGGCTGGAGTGCGGTGGCATGATCACGGCTCACTGCAGCCTCCACTTCCCCAGGTCTATCAATCCTCCTGCCTCAGTCTCCCAAGTAGGTGGAATTACAGGCATGCACCACCATGCCTGGCTAATTTTAAAACACTTTTTATAGAGGACAGAGTCTCACTATTTTGCCTAGGCTGGCCTTGAACTCCTGGGCTCAAGCAATCCTTTCACCTCAGCCTCCCAAAGTGCTGGGATTACAGACATGAGCCACCATGCCTGGCCAACATTAATCAATCTTAAGAGTGGAACAGCAATGTAAGTTGAAGAATCACTTAAAAGTTGCTATGAGAAGCCTCCTATTAATCACATATTCTGGAAATGACTCCTAAGTTCCAAATGTAAGGTGCTTTTGTTAAGCACGTAGGGAAAGAAATTCAGTTGTGTCAGCTGGATTTCAAATAAAGGCCTTCTCACTAGGGTATAAGCCAACTGTAAAATCAATCAACCCAGCTAAATACTCAAAAGACAGAGATTTTTAGAGAATAAAAGTTTTAGGGGGTAATAAACTAAATCCACTCTGCCTTGTTTTCAGCAACTTTGGAATTTACTTAATTTGAAGGAGGTACATGGACTAGTGTTGTTACAAAAGGAAAAGACAAATAACTCTTAGTCTTTAGTATAACTGGTATTTGCTAAAGAAAATATTACTAATATATAATAAATATATTAGTAAGTAGGGAGTCCTCTGTCAGTATTACTCTAAGTATCAATAGTTTTTAATTTTATATTATTAGAATTGGCATATTTATAGCCATAGTCAGAAAGCCAGAAATCAATATAAAAATAATTCTCATCAATGAGAACTGTGAAAAGATTATTCAGCAGCATAGCTCAAATGTGTCTAGCTCAATTCAACTTAAAATCTTATTATTCTGGAGTGAATTTTTACTAAAAGACAAATGTCTTTAGTCTGCCTTAGATAGCTACTAAAGACAAGAAAATCTATTAAATAATCATTAAATTTTAAAATAATCTTAAATGAAGGCTTAAAATATATGTACCTTATAATATCCATTGCCTGGTAAAGTATTTCAGATTGATCAACTCCAAGAACCTTCTTCGCCCCAGCTTTAGCAGCAAACATAGAGAGAATTCCAGTTCCACACCCAACATCCAAAACTACCTAGGGTAATTAAGAAAAAACCAAAACAAAACAGATGTTATCAAAAAGGTCTCTATATTAAATTCTATTCATATATTATGATGTTTCTGGCTAGGAAAAGATCACAATAAAAATCTGAAACTGGCCAGGCGCGGTGGCTCACGCCTGTAATCCTTTGGCCTCCCAAAGTGCTGGGATTACAGGCAGGAGTCACCATGCCCGGCTCTTTCCATTACGTATTGAAATTATAATTTATTAGTATTGACTCCAGAAGAGAGATAATCTAACCATCCTGATATCCACTGAAGAAATAAAGTTGTTGAAAGGCTACTACTTTGTGCTTCCTATCCTATGCCCAGATGGTTTCAGTGGGAATTTGTCTGTTCTTGAACACATGGCCTGTCTGGGTGAGTCAGTACATTTTAACATAATTACTTTTATAAACATTAAGAATTTTACTTTAACATGCAATCTGTATACATCACTGCAAACAAAAAGAATTTTTTAAAAGTTCCAAATAAAACGTAGTAACAAAAATGGCAAGAAAACAGTATACTACATAGTATATATGTATCCAGTACAGTTATAGTACCTCAACTTGAAATACTGTACGGCAGAAAATGAAAAAATAGAAAAATATACACAATAGAACAGTATATAATAAGTTTCCAGAAACTCTCATTAAAATAAAACATTTACAAAACTAAAAAATGAAAAATAAAAGATCAGTGTGGAATTTAGAAGTTTGCTGAAAGTGCTTTGGTGATACTGTCTGGGAAGATCAACACTCCCTTGCTGTGTACCAAAGACAAGCTGGCAGCACAACTGGTGACACCATACATGGTATATACCCTTCATGACCTAGGGAGTCCAGTGCTAACAAATTACCTTATAATTGTGCTCGCATATGTATACAAATATTTTTAATATTTTATATGAAGCATTGTTTCTAACATAAAAACTGAAACAACTTATGGACATTCTTACATTGGATATACGAACTATTAAAAGAATATTAATGAAAAGATGCTCAAAATCACTAATCGTTAGAAAAATGCAAATCAATATAAATATCACCTCACACCAACTAGGATAGCTATTATCAAAAAACTAGAAAACAACAAGTATTGCTAAGGATATGGAAAAATTGGAACCCTTGTGCACTGCTGGTGGGAATACAAAATGGTACACCCACTGTGAAAAACAGCACAGTGATTTCTCAAGGAATTAAAAATGGAATTACCATATGACTCAGCAATTTCATTTCTGGGTATATACCCAAAAGAATTAAAAGCATGGCCCCTAAGAGATATCTGTATACCTATGTTAATAGCAGCAATATTCACAACAGCTTTAATATATAAGTAACCCAAATATCCATAGACAGATGAATGAATGGATAAGCAAAATGTCATACATATGTAAAATGGATTATTGAGCCTTAAAAATGAAAAAAATTCTGACATTCGCTGTAACAAGGTCAAATCTTGAGGACATTATGCTAAGTGCAATAAGCCGGTTACAAAAGGAAATACAGTCAGCCCTTTATATCCCTGGGTTCCCCATCCAGGGAGTCAACCAACTGCTAATCGAAAACATTCGGGAAAACAAATTGCTTCTGTACTGAACATGAAGTCTTCTTTCTCTTGTCACGGTTCTAAACAATACAGCATAACAACTATTTATATAGCACTTACATTGTATTAGGTATTATAAGTAATCTGGAGATGATTTAAAGTACACAGGAAGATGTGTGCAGGTTATATGCAAACACTACACCATTTTATATCCGGTAAATGAGCATTTGTGGATGCTGGTATCCACAGAGGGTCCTGGAACCAATCCCTCACAGATACTGAAGGAACGACTGTACTGTAAGATTCCACTTATATGATGTATATGAGTAGTCAAAATCATAGAGACAGAAAGTAGAACAGTGATTTCCAGGGGCTGGGAGGAAGGGAGAATGGGGAATTACCGTTTAATGAGAACAGTTCCAGTTTTATAAGATGAAGAGTTCTGGAGATGGAGGTGGTGATGGCTGCATGACATTATAAATGTATTTAATACCACTTACCTATACACTTAGGGATAGCTAAGATGGCAAATTTTGTATCATGTTTATTTACCATAAGAAAAAACACGGGGGTAAAAAGATAATAAGGAATTTCTCCAAGAAAAGCTGCTGAGTGAAGAAAGTTAAGTATAGAAAGATATGTTTAGTATATTCCAATAAGAGTATGTGTTTTTTTGTAAGACTATCCATACATACATTCATATATAATGTATATACAAATGCATATATGTGTATGTGTATGAAATCCTTATTTAATTCTCATTTTACAAATGAAGAATGTGAGCTTCAGAGAGGCAAAGAAATAGGTCCAGGGTCACACAGCTGGTAAATTGTAGGGCCTGCATTCAAACACAGGTTAACCTTCTTCTAAAGCCTATATTTTTAATTGTATGTTAGTTATTTATCACATCTAGCTTAGAATTAGGTGATCAAGCAGATTAGCTAAAATTTGATAGAATCAAAGAGGTAGAAATAGAATGAACATTATTTTATAAAATGATGAGGAAATTTGATTCATTTTTTTTCTTAAAAAACTGAATGAATTTTAACTGTAGATAATAATCACAAGCATAAAGAAGGCACCTAACTGGGAATTTCTTCAATAAACTACAAACAGAAATTAATTATGAGTGGGTGACAACACGATTAAATACCACCCAAAGTTAAATTAATCTGAGAAACCATATGGCCTCCACAGGAGCTTTGTGAATTGAAATAATATTAAGAAAAGAAGGAAGAAAAGGAGGCTGGGAAGGGATGGAGAGAGAAGGGAAGGAAAAAAGGAAAGAAAACATTTTTAATAAAAATATTTAATATCTTGATGATTAATCTTATGATTACTAATACTTGAGCCTTTTCAGTATTTACTTACCTATTATAAGACAAGTCCATTCAGAAGCATACTGAAGGAACATTCTAACTTACTTTCTTAACAAGCTCCTCTGGTATTCCTATCACCAAGTATTAAGAGAAGATGGCTAAAAGAAAAACAATGATAATGCTCTCACCGTAATAAAACCCACAGAATTTTAGAACCAGAAGGAATTTTTACAATCACCTTACAGGTTAGGCCCAAAGAGATTCACCACTTGCCCAAAAGTATATAACTGGTTCCAGACTAGCCAGGATTAGTGATTCTCATGTTTCATCTCTATATAACATATTAAGGAAAAAATAAAATAAAAATCTGGGCATCATCCAACTAGAAATATAAAGCAACATCATTAACAGCAACATAATTTGCTTCACTGGAAACAGAGTGGTTTTTAGACAAACATTAAATAAGCTTTCCAGCACTTGTTTTGCAAATACAAAAACTATGAAGGGCCGGCGTGGTGGCTCACGTCTGTAATCCCAGCACTTTGGGAGGCCGAGGCGGGCGGATCACAAGGTCAAGAAATCAAGGCCATCCTGACCAACATGGTGAAACCCCGTCTCTATTAAAAATACAAAAATTAGCTGGGCGTGGTGGCACGTGCCTGTAGTCCCAGCTACTCCAGAGGCTGACGCAGGAGAATCGCTTGAACCCAGGAGGCGGAGGTTGCAGTGAACGGAGATCGCGCCAGTGCACTCCAGCATGGCGACAAAGCGAGACTCTGTCTCAAAAAAAAAAAAAAAAAAAAAAAAAAAAAAAAAAAAAAAAACTATGAAAAGTCTCCACTATAGTAACATATAGAAAGCATACAAAAAAAAACTAAATATAAAAAACTGATAACTATAATTTTTAAATGAAATCATTTATTTGTCTCTGGTGGGAATCAGCACAAACAATTATAAACTTTTCACGAGGTGCAATGCTTTGGCCAAAAAGATCAGAGCACCATATAAATTACAGTATATCTGTCCAGTTCAGCCAACTCACAAGTGAAACACTGCTCTTAAAAAAGAGGTATGGAAAATGAAAAGCCAATCCAGATTATATTCCAAACAATACAAAAATCAGGAAAAAGGATTTTTAAAACACAAAAGTTGTTACTGCTGCCATATCATGTAAACCCCATGAAGTAACCTTAGAGAGATGAAAGCCGAATTATAACAACCTGATACATTATCAATATACATGTTCTCAAAGTAAAAAGAGTGGGAAAAAATTTCCAAGGAAAGGTATATAAATGGCAGAGATCATAATATTCCTGATTAAATTAGGGGACTAGTTTCCCATCAGGAAGAACAAACGGAAAACCTGAACTTTTAAGTAACCATGCCAATGTATAAAGAGAGGAAAAGAGAGAGGGAAAAAGAGAATAAAGAAAAAAAAAAGTGTAAGGAAGAAAAGCCAAAAAACACAAATTTCTAACACACAGGCACATGCACACACAGGGTATAAGATCATTTTTTAAATAACTTGAGCCAATATTAAAATTAATTGTAAAATACAAAGTATCTCTAAATGGGGTAAATAAAGTATTAAAATAAAGCATATAAACTAAATACTATACTACCATAGTGAACCCTTATTGTTCTTAAACTCATTAATTCTCAATTACTTAACACAAACTAGAGTAATAATTAAAAGTATGCTATGACATGGTGCTTATCTGATACATTTAAAATTCATGGGAATAACTGTAAACAAAAAATATGGTTTAAGCAAAATTATCTGAATAAGCAAAATTTAACTAAGCTATGTCATTATAACTAAGTTACGCCATTGTAATAACTTTCAATTTTAAAAAAGAGCATACTGAATGACAGCAGCAATCAGCATTTGTTATTGGTACTCTGCACCACAGAGCAGCATCATAAATGTCTTCCATGAAATACAGACAGAAGATGTTAAATCAATTGCTATCACAATGATGAGCCAAGAGAGGATTTCTACTGCCCAAGAACAAGATGAAATGTATAATTCTATAACCTATACTACTTACCTTGTCTTTGAAGATATGTGGATTTTGGTATATGAAATCTCGGTAGCTTTCTGTTCGTATTTTGTCCTAGGGTGGAGAGAGGAAAACGCTGTGTTTATAGGACAGTCTAAACAAATAAATTTTTTAAGGGAGATATTTGCCATATTAACACACATTGCTAGTTTCCATAGCAGTTTTTATACCTGGGATACCAAGCTTATTTTTTTCCTAAGAAAACAATAAAGAATAGAAATAGCAACAACACACAAAGAAAATATTTTATGAAGACTGAAACTCAAATAAGACCCAAGTTCTTAAAAATGCGTACATTTTCCTCTTGACGTGCATTATCACCATAAGACTTAGAGTGATAATTAAAGCTAATAAAAGATGAACATGTTTTGCTCCTTTCAATAGGGCCTGGAAACTACAGCCTGATTCTCTGTACTAGAGCTATATTAAAATAAGGGAGAAGCCAAGTGCAGTGGCTCATGCCTGTAATACTCACTTGAAGCTAGGAGTTTGAGACCAGGCTGGGCAACAAAGTGAGACCCTGCCTCCAAAAAAAAATAGAAATAAAAATAACAGGCTGGGTTCAGTGGCTCACACCTGTAATCCCAGCACTTTGGGAGGCCGAGGCAAGAGGATCACTTGAGGTCAGGAGTTCGAGACCAGCCTGACCAACATGGAGTAACCCTGTCTCTACTAAAAATACAAAATTAGTCGGGTGTGGTGGCGCATGCCTGTAATCCTAGCTACTGGGGAGGCTGAGGCAGGAGAATCTCTTGAACCCGGGAGGCGGAGGTTGCGGTGAGCTGAGATTGCACCATTGCACTCCAGCCTGGGCCACAAGAGCGCAAATTCCGTCTCAAAAAACAAAAAAAAACAAAAACAAAAATAGAAAGGAGATAAAAGTAAATAAATGTAAACATTGCAGCTACATACAAAAAATTACACTAAACTGGATACGTTTCAGCTACATACAAAAAATTACACTAAACTGGATACGTTTTTCTAAGAAAGTCATTGATCAGCACCTATCTGATTTACATTCCTGTTTTGTCTGTAAAAATTTCTGTAGTAGGAAATGATGTTTAAAAGCCTGTAAGCCTAAAAGTAAATCATTTGAGCCCTGCAGCCCACATTATAAGGCTCCTACACTCTGGAGTCTCCCATAACCTGTGACCAAGGCAAACATGTAACTCTAACATTTATGCTGGTTCATGAACAGAGTTGATTCCCTAGGTTGAAACACATACTGACTGCAAATTAAGCAGTTAGGGGCTCTGCTGTCAAGTAAGTAAAATATGACTGTGATAAAAATAAATATCATAGAATGGGAATTCTAGTTTTAAGTTTCACATTAGGGTGAAAAGAACATATTACACCAATTGCTACAATATCAAAATTTTATACAACTCATACCCCCAATACATTTTTATGCCAACTGAGTTTTTTTTTAATGCATAAAAGGAGATCTTAAAGGGCAAGTTGTTTTACTTAAGTACTAGACCTAAAAAGGGAATTGTCCATAATTAATTCCATGTTTTCTGATTATTTCTCACTGCTTTACAAAAAAATTATTAAATCTTCTCCTGAAGAATTACTAAGATGAATAAATGTATATATATTAACTAATTATCTAATTTTAAAACTTTTTTTCAAAGCATACCGTTTCATACACTTTTACAAATTTTACACTCTTCTGATACTATAACCAGTGATTTTTGCAGAAACGACAAAACTTACACAGAGTGAACATCAGTCAGGAATGCAGTCACTCAGAAAGCTCCCACTAATCATACTGCCTGACCACTACTTCCCCTTAATCAAAAGAATTCCAACTGCTATCCTAATGCCATGCACTGCTGCTCAACTAAACTACAATCTTTCATTCTGGCTCTTACAATATATAAATCTGTTTTTGTTTGTATGCTCATGCTGGTGTAATGAAATCCAAAGTATACAAAACATAGTGTCTTGTATATAGCAGAGCTTCAATTCAGTCACTTAATTTTTGGAAAAAAAAAAAATCCAATAAATACGAAAACGCAAGCAAATAAAAGAGTAGCCTTTATAACCATTTCTAAAAATTTATTCTAACAAAGGCTAACACGTCAATACAAATCAACAATAAACAGAAATTTAAAAATTTTTTTTATATCAACCTTGAAACTAAGAAAAATAAAATAACAAAATTACTGCTCCAATACTTAGGAGCAAGATAATATTTTAAGACTAGTAAAGTATCAAGAAATTATTCCTACAAATATAAAAAAAAGAATGAAGGTAAAGAAAAAAGTTATATACTACAAATTTTACATACACAAGCAACAGTATGTTTTTAATTTACAAGCTCATAAAGGTGGACCAAGTGCATGAGACAGGTGCAGATACAATAAAGAGAATGCAGCAAAGAAAAATTACTGAAATTTCACTTTACTAAATGGTACTATGATCTGTGATAAATGTACAACAGAATGAATAATGTTTATCTTAAAACAAAGAAGACCGATGCATTTCGGATTTATAGTGTTAGCCAATGATGACTCTTCTTCAAAAAGATAAAGTGGCAAGGAATTCTGAAAGTTCATGTAATCTATCCCTCTATCAATCATATCTCTGGAATTCAAAAAAGGTATCTTCATCTTATCTAAAGAAATAAGATCACAAGCTACTTTTATTTAAAATTATAATTAAAACATGTACCAAAAATAGTGTCATGGAAAGACATGAAGCCAAGCAACAAAAAATCCAAATTATACTCTATAAAAACAAGGCCAATGCCAAGCATAAAAATATGTCCTGTAAATATGATTTCTCAATTTTAAATGATTTATAAAAATTAGGTAAGATTCTAGTGGTAATATACCTTGAACAGTTTATGTGTGCTAAGAATCGTTCTAAGAAACAAGAAATAAAGCTGTGATATAAGGCATGCTTCACATTCATCCAAGGCACGTAACTTGGCAAAATGCAAATGAATAAACAGTTCTTTTTGAATCAACTATCCATATGTCCTATAGACATTTAATCAAATCATTTCCAAGGGGAGGAAATTACACTGCACAAGAACTAAAGGAAGCTAAGGCACAAAGAATGATATTTAAGTGATTCTCTCAAAGGGAGAAGGTGGCACTGGAAACTTCAAGTTGGAACTTCTTAAATCTATATGTACATTGAAAGGAGTTAAACGTACCAGAGCAGGTGTGAAGTCTTATGGTTACTGACATACAAGTGTCCAGGATAAAGATTTGTAAATGGTAAGTACTCAAACTGAATTTCCCTGATGATTGTACTCACAACACTCAACACTCTACTGAAAGTTTCGGTGACCTTTAATCTGTCTGAAAAGCCCAACACAATTTCCATACCAAAGGAATGAAAGGTTTATGGTATTTAAGCTGATGGGGTGATTTAATATGACAAACATGGCCCTAGATAAACCTCTTTAAAGAAAATACTCTAAACATAAAAAAATTAATTTTAATAAAGAAAATGAAGCAAGTCAATTTCTTTTCAACAAATTCACTGAGACTTAAAATAACGTATTACTTATAATAACATATCTATTATTTATAATGTTATGCCATTACCTACGTGACAACAAAAAGCACAACCATGACATGCAATTAGTAATGACATGACAATGTTTTAAAAGACCCCATATAAGTACAATTATCAATTACCAAACTTCTATTCTGTGATCCAGCAAAACTGAATCAACAAAATATATACATGTTATCAAATATCCCTGGTTAGCTTAAATGCCTATGCTTCAGGGAAACCATAAAATAAAACAATCTCTGAAAGAAGGATTTAGAAAGGGATATTTTGTTTGTTGGTTTTAAGAACAGGTAATGGTGGCATCTAAAATTCAGAGATAAACATCTAAAACTTTCAATTTTACGTTCCAACATTTATTTTACTCTATGTAGATATTCTCAATTTCACTGAACTAAAAATTACATCTTCCTATTTTACAATCTATAATACTTAATAAAATGTATAATTATCAAGTATAGCTAGAAATCAACTTCTATTTTATATGGATATTACCGTTATAAAAATTAAAACCAGCCAGATTTAAATACAGTCACATGTTGCTTAATGCTAGGGATACTTCTGAGAAATGTGTTGTTGTGTGAACATCATAGAGAATACTTCACAAATGGAGATGGTATATAGCCTACTACACACCTAGGCTCTGTAAGATAGCCTATTACTCCTAGGCTACAAACCTGTACAGCATGTCACTGTACTGAATACTGTAGGCAACTGTAACACAGTGGTATTTGTGTATCTAAGCATATCTAAAGATAGAAAAGGTACAGTAAAAATATGGCATTACGGTGAAACCCCGTCTCTACTAAAAAATACAAAAAATTAGCCAGGCGCCGTGGCGGGCACCTGTAGTCCCAGCTACTCGGTAGGCTGAGGCAAGAGAATGGCGTGAACCTGAGAGGCGGAGCTTGCAGTGAGCCGAGATCGCACCACTGCACTCCAGCCTGGGTGACAGAGCGAGACTCCATCTCAACAACAACAAAAAAAAATATGGCATTATAGTCTCATGGAAGCACCATCACACCAGTCTGACTGACCAAAACACTAGCATGCAGTGCACAACTGTACCTAATTTGACCAATTCAGGAAATACTCCTATATGTCAATTATTTCAAATGTAAAAAACTTACACCATAAAAATTGTGAGATTTATAATTAAACTTTATATCAAAGAATTATTATTGGCCCAAACAAAAGTCAGTATGGCTATTTAAAACACTGAAATTAATCATTTCCTTTACACGTTAAAAGGTAATATATAATTTAATCCATCTAATTGTTCCTATTTAATAGCTGCCCTTGAGAAGACTAAAATTGTCGTTTTTCCAATATTTTAAGGAAAAAGTGATTTCATAAAAAGATTAATGATTTTAAATGGAATGTACAAATGACTGATGCCTCTGTAATCTTTTTTTTTTTTTTTTTTTTTAAATAGAGACAGGGTCTCACTGTATTGCCCAGGCTGGTGTCAAACTCCTGGGCTCAAGCAATCCTCCTGCCTCGGGCTCCCAAAGTGCTGGTATTACAGGCATGTGCCACCGTGCCCAGTCTTGTAATATTTTCAACCCAAGATGAGATACCAAGCACCAAAGAGGTGTTTAAAAAGCAGTTCTCCCCACCCAAAAAAAAGAGGTCTCCTATAGTGCACACATATATTAAGAAAGAACCTGTTCTATTTTTCCTTTAGTATGGATTTGACGCATTTGTGTTCTTTTCTAACCTTTAGCATTTCTTCATGTATCCCATAATGCCCGTATGAGCTGAAATAAACACCATCCTCATCCTCCTGGAGGTCCGCAATGACACTAGTAGATGACGAGCAGGTTCTGACATCTGTGTGCATCACAAAATCCTGAGCAAATTGTCTGTAATCAATTTGAAATACACCCTTGAGACAGGTTTATTGGACCATGAATAAAGGAAAGGCTAGAGGTTGAGGAAGAGGAAAGGGGAGGGAGTACAGTGTGATGAGTCTTCTAAATCACATTCTATCTTGAACAACTGAAAGCTCCCCCTGCTGGATCTGAAGCAATGGCAATATTCAGAAACAATTATACATACTCCTTCTACAAACCACAAAAGCAATGCCAACCGCAGATTGTAGCTCCTTATGTCTTTCAACTGAACAAATAAGCATATTACTTTTATAATCCTCTATTATTTCTATTGTTTTAAAATCCTTTTTTAGCAAATGAATCAATGTCGTTTATTTCAGCTCTATTAATATTCTTTAAAACCATATTATTTCTTGGGAGTATTATGTAAGCAGAAAGTAGACCCAAATAGATAATTATTTACATACACCAGCACCGCCCACTCCAGCTCTAAAACTTAGATCCCTCTCAGATCATGACATATTAGGAATCCATAAGGTATATAAAAGGGAGAAGTTCAAAGGGGCAAAAGGTAGAGCTGGTGTTGGTTACTTGGTTACCTAGCATAAAAATTCTGAAACAGGGAAGAGGAACTACAATTGGCTCTACTATCTTTCCTGCTGGACATTCATTCTGGCAAACCATCAGATGGGTACTCAGGCAACAGCAAACAGCTTACAAATCCAACAGGAAGGCCTGTGAGGTATACTTGTCAGAAATGCAGAATCTCAGGCCCTATTCTCAATCTTCTGAATCAGAATTTATATTTTAACACGATCCCAGTTGATTCCTATGCACATTAAACTTTGAAAAGTACTACACCAGTAGAATGCTAATTTATTCACTGGAAAAAACTGTCACTGTATATCTGGTTTTCTGGGTTCATACTACACCATAATTACATTCTGATTCCCCCCCACCGACCCCACCCCGACAAAGTCTTGCTCTGTTGCCCAGGCTGGAGTACAGTGGTGCGATCTCAGCTCACTGCAACCTCCCCTTCCCGGATTCAAGCAATTCTCCTGTCTCAGCCTCCCAGGTAGCTGGGATTACAGGCGTGCACCACCACAACCCGGCTAATTTTTGTATTTTTAGTAGAGACAGGGTTTCACCATGTTGGCCAGGCTGGTCTCAAACTCCTGACCTCATGATCCTCCTGCCTCGGCCTCCCAAAGTGCTGAGATTACAGGTGTGAGCCACCGCACCCGGCCTACATTTTGATTCTTTAAAACTAAAAACTTCAACCCTGTATTTTCCCCAAACCTCAAAAAGATTAATCCTTCCACTTTAAAAAACTAGGATAGAAAAAGTAAAATGGAGAAATCAATGCAAACAGGAAAACTGAAAGGAAGGCAATAAAGAACAAAAACATTCATGAGGACAACATTTGTCAGAACATATCAGAATAGGTAAAACTATAAGATTTTATATTAATTAACTATATCCATAGTGTACAAAAATGCTACATATCTTTAACAGTATGAAGATAAAATATCTACATTGTACTTTCCAGTATATGAAATGTTCTACTATATTCTACTTTGCCATTAGGTTGTATTATTCTGGAGATCTAAAACAATTAATTTTGCAAGATTGATAAATTACTTCATTTTTTGCAGATCCTCACGTGCTCTGGCCAATGCGGCTTCAGCAGACAGTGCCCTGGCTTCCATATGTTTCAATTTTTCAACAACAGATGTATTTTCACTGAGTCCATTGGGGTATGAGAAGGGTACTGACACCGGTTCATAAAGATCTTCTACATCTAAAGAAATAAATGGACATTATTATCAGGCCATCTTATAACAATAAAACAAGTATAAATATGTTAGGAATAAATACGCCCTAAGTTTCTACTATGTGGCCAATTGAGAAAGATTAGTGAAAGTACTTTTAATTGAATATTAATCATCTTGGCTTTGCACAGTGGCTCTTGCCTGTAATCCCAGCACTTTGGAAGGCCGAGGCAGGCAGATCACTTGAGGCCAACAGTTCAAGACCAGCCTGGCCAATTTGGTGAAACCTTATCTCTACTAAAAAAAAAAAAATACAAAAAGTTAGCCAGGTCTGGTGATGCGAGCCTTTAGTCCCAGCTACCTGGGAGGCTGAGGCAGAAGAATTGCTTGAACCTCGGAAGCGGAGGTTGCAGTGAGCTGTGATCGCACCACTGTACTCCAACCTGGGCAATACAGTGAGACTCGGTCTTAAAAGTAATAATAATAATAATAAATATTTATCATCTACACTATTTTAATTTGAATTCAAAGAGCATGCTGTTAGTCTAAGTTTTTCATTAGTTGGCTAAACTGAACATATATTTAAATATTAATTATTAATTATACTCAACCAAATCCAGGAAGAAAGAAAAAAGTAGAAAGAAAAAAACCTAATATTTATTGATCAGCAGGTATCTTTCCAGTACATCATTACATCTTGTTTTATTCTCAAAACACAGTTAAGATGTATTTATCCCTATTTTAGGCAAGGAAAAAATAAATTTCAGAGAAATTAAGTGACTATCCTAAAGTTATATATCTGTTTATGGAGGAACTAAGATTTAAACCCAAACCTGCCTTCCCAGCCCACGTTCTTCCCATTACACAAAGCCACCTCCTAGCCCATGTCCTTATTGTAGCAGGTATTAAATTCAGATATTGCTTAAGGGAAATCCTGCCATATATGAAAATATGAATGAACATGGAGGACATTATGTGAAGCAAAATAAGCCAGACACAAACAGACAAATACTGTGTGATCTCACTCTTGTGTGGAATTAAAAAAAAACTCACAGCAGCAGAGAGTGGAATGGTGGTGGAAATGAGGAGATGTTGGTCAAAGGGTACACACTTTCAGCTACAAGATGAGTAAGTTCTGGGCATCTGTCTATTGTAAAGTGACTATAGTTAAAAATGCTGCACTGTATACTTGAAATTTGCAGACAATAGATCTTAACTGTTCTCACCACAAAAATAAAAAAATGGAATGTGAGGTGATGATGTTAATCAGCTTGGTTATGGTAATCATTTCACAATGTATATGCATATCAAATCATCACATTGTATACCTGAAATGTACACAATTTTCACTTATCAATTATACCTGAATAAAACTGGAGGAAAAAAAAAACATTCCTAAGGACAGCGTGTAAAGAATTCTACACATTCAATAATTTTTCATCCTGGGCAAGGTGGAGTGAAATCTATACACTAAAGTCTTATTGCTGATATTATTAAATATCCTAATTCCTAGTATTTAATTTTAATTTCACTTCTCTACAAAGAGAAGTTAATATATGTAGTTAGTGAATTTCACAAAATCAGTGTCCATTTACTGATCTAACTTTCGGATCAACTTAAGGCAGTGAGCAGTGCAAATATTACATTTTCCCCTCAGGATAGCACTGGAAGAAATGTGACTTCGTAAAAATTCCTATTCATTTTTTAGTTGTGAAGACACGTCCTTGGAATTAGGACAAAATAGCTAAGCCAAACGAATGCATTATACTATAAGAGACTACAGCCTAAGTTGAATTCTTGTTATAAAAGCAGTGCAGGGTGTCACTAACTTCTCATCACTGTGGCAGAATATTGAGTCACTGAGGTTTAAAAACTGCATCATTCACTATCTAATTCACCAAAAATTAATCAGCACAACAAAATATTTCCAAACTATATAAGGCTGGTATACTGTATTTTCTACTTCCTACTACAAACCTCATTTTGTATTTTGATTTCAAAATTCTTCAAACTGTTTGGCCAGTTTCTGTTTTGCTTTCTGCTGCAATAAAAATTAGTCATAATAAAAACTTTTTAATGTTAAGAATATGCAGATAATTATATATTAAAGATTAAACTTAGAGATTTGAAAAAAAGAGGATTCAGTAAATATTAAGATTCCTAACTACAATTTGCTAGAACAGTCTAATTCAAAGGCCTAAACCATATTCAGAAAGATGAACATCTACATCTACCTTCTGTCTCAGGATGTTCAAATCACCTGGATACTTCTTTCGGGCAGAGAAGAATTACTGCAAAGGCTGACCAATTTTTCAGTAAAATATAACAATTATAAATGTGTATAAACCTCACATAAGAGCTCCAAAATACATGAAGCAATTAAAGGCAAAACCAGACAATCTTTTGATCACAGAGTTTTTAGTTTTTTTAGACAGAGTCTTGCTCTGTCACCTGTATACCAGGTTCAAGTGATTCTCCTGCCTCAACCTCCCGAGTAGATGGGACTACAGAAGCCCGCCACCATGCCCGGCTAATTTTTTGTATTTTTAGTAGAGATGGGGTTTCACTGTGTTAGCCATGATGGTCTGGATCTCCTGACCTCGTGATCTGCCCTTTTAGCCTCCCAAAGTGTTGGGATTACAGGCGTGAGCCGCCACACCTGGCCGACTATTAGTTTTTAAGCAACTTAACTTTTCTACTGAAACTAACTACCTGATGAAGCATTTAGATAATTTTAAAAAGCATGTCTTTTCCTAAAACACTCTACCTCCATTTTGCCGTTAACAAACGGCCTTATGTTAATTAAAGGAGATACACTTATGTTCATCTTACCAAATTGAAGTAAAAGGTCATCTTCTAATACTGGCTTCAAATACTCTTCTTTCTCCCAAGGCACTGGGTTGTATATGGAATTCATGTACTCAACTGTAGGATTCTGGATATAAAATTAATCTCATGTTTTTTTCATTACATATAATCACAAAATCCCCTTAGTAAAAACTACAGAAATTAAACAAAAAGGAAATCATGTTTGCATTACACAAAGTCAGTATGTCTCCAAAAAGTCTACGTGCCTGTCATTTCATTAACTTGCTGGACGACTGCTTAACCAGCAGTTTCAACGCAGAGTTTTTTTTACTGTTTGGATTTGGGGAAAGCGTTGTCATGTCATTAAACATTCATTTAAACAGGACAAAAAAAAAAAAAAACAAAGTATCTGAAAAAAAACAGAATAAAAAAGAGCAACCAAAATACTTAAAATCACATTAGAAATTATTTCTGATTTTACAGATCCTGTCCATCAGTATTTCCCTTTATTTGACACTGAATTACTTTTTCACATACACCGATTCATCTCTTAGATGCAGTGAAAACAATATTTGTTAGTTATGGTAGACATTTACATGGTGCTTTCTGCTGTGCTACCTCCTAATGTCCGTGATTCCCCCAATATGATGAGTACCAAATTTAATGCAGTTCCTCATATTCTTTTAAATAATCAGTACACTGACAGTCACTGTAGCATTTCTTTGATTTCTAAACGAAATTATAAATTAAGCTGTCAACTTACCTTAAGTCTAATAAAATTTATTAGCTTAATGTATCCATAAAATTCAAGTCCTAAAGGGGGAAAAAGATAATTCACCTATGTTAACATAATGAGTTTTGTTTAACTGACCTATTCTATAAAGCCTTCTCTGATTAAACAATAAAATAATTCTGACCTCTAAATTACTACTTATATTTTGAATTTTATTAAGAATTAGAAGTAGTAATACAATGATACTTCTGAATATCTTGAGAAGCAGCCATAAATGACAAATTAAAGCTTTTCTAGTATTTCTAAAAAGATGGAAAACTGATTTCTAAAATTCTACTCCTCCTTTGTCAGAACAATACAAATCTGGAAAATTAAGATCCACATTTTACCAAGTATTTGGCAACTGATATCAGAGCTGAAAGTATTAAATCCCTAATTTTTATGGTGTGTATCAAATTATAATTTTGCCAGGACATGGTGTATACTAGCTTTTACATGAAGTTAAATGATGCAAGCCCAATAAGGCTTGTTATCTGGTTCTCGTATCTTTCCAGAAATGAAGCAGCATTTAAAACAAAGGAAAGCAGTAATACATCCAACCAACCAATTATTTGTCATAAAACTCTTGTTATGAGAAAACTTTAATAGTATACAAACCCCCTATATCGGTAAGTAAAAAAAAAACAAAACAAAATTCTATCTTAAGTATGATTCTAATACTTTAGAAATGCAACATTAAAAACATTAAGGCTGGGCACAGTGGCTCATGCCTGTAACCCCAGCACTTTGGGAGGCCAAGGCAGGCGGATCACCTGAGGTCGGGAGTTCCAGACCAGCCTGACCAACATGGAGAAACCCTGTCTCTCCTAAAATACAAAATTAGCCAGTGTGGTGGCGCATGCCTATAATCCCAGCTACTTGGGAGGCTGAGGCAGGAGAATCACTTGAACCCGGGAGGCGGAGGTTGCAGTGAGCCGAGATCGTGCCATTGCACTCCAGCCTGGGCAACAAGAGCGAGACTCCGTCTCAAAAAAAAAACAAAAACAAAAAACATTAAAAAATGAGGCTGTCATTTATGCCTTACGAAAGTACTTGCAGTTGAATTTATGATTTATAAACATGTGATATCACGTATTTATCTGACACTGAAACACCTGTTAGTATTTGCTATTCTTCAGTAATGTCCCTTCTTAGTTGTCAACAAATATAGGGACCAAAAAACCTATTATTTTTTTTTTTTTGAGACGGCGTCTCAGTCTGTCACCCAGGCTGTAGTGCAGTGGCATGATCTTAGCTCACTGCAACCTCCGCCTCCCGGGTTCAAGTAATTCTCCTGCCTCAGCCTCCCAAGTAGCTGGGACTACAGGCACATGCCACCATGCCCGACTAATTTTTTGTATTTTTAGTAGAGTTGGGTTTTCACTGGGTTAGCCAGGATGGTCTCGATCTCCTGACCTTGTGATCCATCCGCCTTGGCCTCCCAAAGGTTTTCACTGGGTTAGCCAGGATGGTCTCAATCTCTTGACCTTGTGATCCACCTGCCTTGGCCTCCCAAAGTGTTGGAATCACAGGCGTGAGCCACAGCACCTGGCCTATTTAGTTAATTTTATTGTAGTATAGCTCTTCTACATCCATTTAAAGTGGAAGGCCTTAATTGTAAGGCAAGTGTGTTTAAATAAAAGTTTCAATAGAAACATCACCTGAGTATTTTGCATATTAATCTTAACTTCATCACTCTTTTTCCAGTCTCTACCGAACTTTGTATAAAACTCAGTCTCGTAGGCTGTGAAGTTCATGTCATGCTTTGAGCTGATTGTCTTTTTTCAAATGACCTGCGTCCTTTTTCAAGTCCTACATCTACACTTGCTCTCCCTAAATCTAATATGTAATCACATAAAATGTAAAAATGTAATCACATGCCAAGTCTGTTTTTGTTTTTAGTTGAAAAGCTAATATAAGCTTAAATACAGTGAATCTTGTCTAGAAGAGTGACTTATTCATCTTTTCTCAAGGACCGCTTGTCAAAAAAACTCCATTTCCACAAGATGTTGCTGTGTGATTCGCCATATTAAACTCGTACAGAAAAGGGTCTGAAAAACTATAAAATCTGAACTTATATTTCACAGATTTTTTTTTTTTTTGAGAAGAGTCTCACTCTGTTGCCCAGGCTGGAGTGCAGTGATACCATCTCAGCTCACTGCCACCTCTGCCTCCCAGGTTTAAGCAATTCACCTGCCTCAGTCTTCTGAGCAGCTGCTATTACAGGTGTGCGTCACCACACCCAGATAACTTTTGTATTTTAGTACAGGTGGGGTTTCAGCATGTTGGCCAGGCTGGTCTTGAACTCCCGACCTAAAGTGATCCACCCACCTCAGCCTCCCAAAGTGCTGGGATTACAGGTGTGAGCTGCCATGCCTGCCCAAATTTCACAAATTAAATTGCCTTTATTCTAAAAACTACTCACCATGTTTATGAACCATGCTGTCAATATTAAACTGATGCTCAGACTTACAGTGTGAAAATGTTTCTTCAGCAGATGTGAATAACCTGAAAAATCAAGCAATAGCTTCATGGAATAGTCCCCTAAGAAGTCTAAATACTGATTTCATGTTACATATACACTTTTTTTTTTTTTTTAACTCTGCTGGTTTCTAGTTTTACTTCCAATTAAGAAAAAACAAACACACTTGTATCTGAAAGGAAGGGAATCCAGCACTTTTAAAGGGAATTAGTACTTCTGAGTCCCATTTTATACCTAAAACCAATTATCCTTTAAATGTCAAAGTGAATTTATTTGTCAAATAATATCACTGATTTTATCAAAAGGCTTTTAAGAGAGTTCCCTTTGATAGAGTCTGTTTCTCTCAAGTCATACAATTTCTCTACTTGAGATTCTTTTCTCCTCTAAGTGTCAACTCTGCTTTCAGAGGCTTTGAACTGGCACAGCTCAAACTGCTTTTAGAAATAAAGCATAAAATGTAATTTTACAGCTGGCATACTCCCCAAGTGCCTTATTTCAAAAGTGATCTTGTAGTATTCCCAACGTACTTGCATCACAGACACTGTGAGGATCAATCCTCTTTATTATGTGACATGCAAATCTGAAGGCTACTTAAAGACAGGAATACACAGCAGAGAAGCTGTATACCTTATCTATATTCCTAACACATGTGGAGCATTAGTTTTCCACAAATGTTTACCGAGATAGGTTATGTCGACTATTTATGGAGGCTATCACAGCCACGGTACCACTGGTGCTCAATAAATATTTTATGACAACTAGAATATATACAGGCATTCTATCTACCCAATGGGGCTACAGATGAGAACACTAACGCACCACCACTCAGCACCATGCCCAGATACAGGGAACACTGGAAAATGTATTAAAGTAACACCGGCCAATGCCAACCGGGCCTCTTTCATGCCTACTTGCCTAGGACAGGAGCCAAAGCTTCCCAAGACTAACAGGCAGAATTTTAAGTGGCAAGAATGTGAGTTTGGAAATAAGCACACCACAGCTTTGTGACCTTGAGCAAATTATTGATACTACAGTCTTTTTCCTTAAGTGAAAAGTCCTACTTAAGTAAGGTGAACTTCCTTCTTAGACTATGGAAACCGCTCAAATAAAAAAGAAATGTTTCACCTGAGAAGCTCTGTACTGGTCAAAGAATTAGCATGGTAAAGCCGGAAGGCTCCGTAGGGATTATCTAGTTCAGGGTGGCTGCCAAATATGTTACTCGTTAGTAGTAACTCGTTAGTAACTTCACTGTTACTTCCGATCTTGTCCTCATAAAAACAGAATATTCTTAGACCCCATCCCTGACTTGGAAGGATTCAGGTGCAGAGTTCAGTATCATTTTGTTTTCAGCGTCTCAAGTGACAAGATTTGGGAACCACAGATTCAATGCACTACCAGTCAAAAGCTTGCAGTACAACCGGCCTTCCAGTTCACGGTTCCCCCTCTCTACTACCGAGGGTCCTCCTTCTCCACAAGCCCTCACCCCAGACCAGTGGTTCCAGAATTCAAAGACAGGCCACTCTGGCTTGCCTCCCGCCCGAAGGCGTTCCTGGGCACACAGACCCCACGCGCCCGGGCACCCTAGGGCAGAGGCCAGGCGCTGAGGCGGACGAACCTGTTACAGAACAGGCAGGGGGTCTGCTGCTTGCCGTGGGGGAGATCTGCATCGTCCTCATCCTCCCAGGCGGCCTCGTCCCCGCTGTCCGACAGTTCTGGCAGGTCCTCCTCATTCTCCACAGCGCCCCGGCCGCCTAACACACACACACAACAATCAGATCGGCCTCGGACACCGGTGCGGCCCGGGGGCTCGAGGAGCAGGTGACGATGGGCTCTCCTCCGCCCCGTTCGCCCGCGGCCCTCACTCAGCACCTCCTTCATGATCCCTGCGAGCCCCCCACCCTGCCCGGGCCCGTGTCCCGGAGGGTCTTCCACCGGCCCCACAGCGGCGCGGCCTGGGGCTGGACGAGCCGGGTGCTGAGGGGCCAGGGTACCCACCGGTAGCGCCTGACGCTAACGAGCACATGGCTGTGGTGCCCCGAGAGCCCGGCGTGTCTGGGGGCGGGGACCGGGTTGGGCAACGAGCGCGCGCAGCGGCCGCCGACTCCAGGAACGAGCGCGAGCACAAGCGCGAACCCGCGGCGGGACCCGGGCTCCGGAAACTTCGCAGACCGCCGGGAACGCCGAAGCGCGCGCGCTGGCTCGCAATCGCTTCCGGCCTCGAGGCGCCGTGCGGGTCACGTGAGGTGGGGGCGGGGCGAGAGCGGGGGCTCCGCCTCCTCCTGCCGCAGGGTTGGCGCAGTGCGCGCTGAAGAGGCGCGCTGATGACGGTTAATGTTGCAGCCCGGAAGATGACTTTTGTCTCCTCCTTGGGTTGCGGCAGGCGTTAGTGGGAGGTCGCGGCCCGCTGCTGTGAGCCCCAAGGCAGAGAGACGTCGCTGCGGTTTTGGGGTTGGCATCCTGTCCTCTGTGCGCCCCTTTTTCCTGGGATGAGCGGTTAGCGGAGGGGCGATCGGCCCATGACGCCCTCTGGTGGCGGAGGAGGCCAAACGCTGGAGGCTCGGCTGGTTTCTGGGCTCCCAGGTCCTGGAGGGGGTGCAGCTGGCGAGAGGGAACGAACTGCATGGGCCAGGGTGGGTCTACTGCAGGGACAGATAGGTGTCAAACCCCCCAAGACGGATTTTAATCTTTGGTTAAGTGAGAACGTGAACTCTAGAGGCAGCCTGCTGGGTTTGAATCCTACCCACGTCACTTTGTAACTGTGATCTTGGGCAAGTTACTCGACCTCTCTCTGCCTCAGTTTCATCAAATACAAAACAAGGATAATAACTGCACTTGGGCAGGGCACGGTGGCTCACGTCTATAGTACCAGCACTTTGGGAGGCTGAGGCGGGCGGATCACCTGAGGTCAGGAGTTGGAGACCAGCCTGGCCAACATGGTGAAACCCTGTCCCTACTAAAAATACAAAAATTAACCAGGTGTGGTGGCACGCGCCTGCAATCCCAGCTACTTGGGAGGCTGAGGCAGGAGAATTGCTTGAGCCCGGGAGGCGGAGCTTGTGGTGAGCCGAGATTGTGCCACCGTACTCCAGCCTGGGCAACAGAGCAAGACTCCATCTTAAAAAAAAAAAAACAAAAAACAAAAAACCTGGACTAACTTCAGAACTACAGTAAGGATAAAACGAGTTAATACATGTAAAGTGCTCAGACATAACTATTTAAGCCAGGGAGTGATGCTCTCAGATGTGTTGAGAAAGTAACAATCTGGCTGCTGTGTGGGGAAGAACACAAATGTTCCCCTGCCTGCCTCATGCCACGTCCCTTTCTTCCTTTCCTTATATCTCTTCAAACCATAGAACTTTTTTTTGTTTGATTTTTGAGACGGAGTTTCGCTCTTGTTGCCCAGGCTGGAGTGCAATGGCACGATCTCAGGCTCACCGCAACCTCCACCTTCCGGGTTCAAGCGATTCTCTTGCCTCAGCCTCCCGAGTAGTTGGGATTACAGGCATGCGCCACCACGTCCGGCTGATTTTGGATTTTTAGTAGAGACAGGGTTTCTCCATGTTGGTCAGGCTGGTCTGGAACTCCCGACCTCAGGTGATCCACCTGCCCGCGAGCCACCGCCCGGCCCAGAATTCTTGCTTAGGAGGGAGTGCCCCAGGCTCTAGCAGAGTTTATCTAATTGGCCTATCAGGCCCTGCATAATCCTGCCTCTTTCCAATGGAACCCTTCACCTTGGGTCCCACCCTTAAGCCTTTTATTTACTGCTAATCATTGAATGTTCTACACATGGGTAGGTCCCTTTGGTCTCAACCAGAAACACTTTCCTCAGGCCATTTCTAAAATAGTTTCCACCATTATTTCAGGAGTATCCTGTTAGTTTCTTAGCACCCACCATTTGCTTACTTGATTTTTTTTTCTTTTTTGGTGATACCCCACAGCACTGAACAATAAGGGTAAGTAAGGGCCATGTCTCTTTACTTTCATTTCTCTGGCACATAATATGTGGCCTGGCCCATAGTATTAATAGATACTGAATGTATTCACTGAATAAAAATGATGCCTTATATTATTGCTAAATGTACTTCTAAATGTACTTTTCTCCCTTAATTGTAAATTCCTAGAGGACAGAATCCATTAAATATTAGTTTTTGTTTTTGTTTTTCTTTGAGACAGAGTCTCGCTCGGTTGCCCAGGCTGGAGTGCAGTGGTGCGATCTTGTCCCACTGCAACCTCCACCTCCCAGGTTCAAGCGATTCTCCTGCCTCAGCCTCCCAAGTAGCTGGGATTATAGGTGCTCACCACCATGCCTGGCTAATTTTTATATTTTTAGTAGTGACAGGGTTTCACCATGTTGGTCAGACTGGTCTTGAACTCCTGACCTCAAGTGATCTGCCCACCTCGGCTTCCCAAAGTCCTGAGATTACAGGCGTGATTGACCGCACCCGGCCCAAATATTAATTTTGAAGCTTTCTTACATCCTAGGACATTGCCAGAATAGCTGCTGGCTCTCTTGAGTTGGAGTCATCGTTCATGGATGCATCCCCAGTGCCTGTGTGCTCAGTGGCACATGAAAGGCACTGAATAAGCATTTGCTGAATGAATTAATGAACACTTGATTACCTGGGCCCATCCAACTTTTCCCTTCATCCTTCCAACATAAACTTTTTCTGTCTGTGTAACATTTGGTGGAAAACTTCCTGAATCCCTTAGTACTAAATGGAACACCCAGTCCATTCAGTGTTGACAATAAAACAAGTTAACACCCATTGTGGAGGAGTGATTGGGCCAGAGTCTTGTTCCTTAGTAAGTTCATATCTCACCACAATGCAGAGCTCAAGAGAGGGCTGCTTTTCTCTCTACTCCAAAGGTGAACACAGACCCTTCCTCATTATCCCACATCACTACTGAGACCAGAATAACATGTTGAATGAAACCTGCTCGAAGGTTTGTGAGTAAGGAAATAATATAAGGAGAATAACTTAAAACAGGCCACTGGGTTTAGCTGCTTTCAGAGCCCAGAGGCCTCAACATATCCTCGGCCCATGCTTTTTCACCATCAAAACAACACACTTAGGCTCTTCAAAGTCCAACTCCCAGGGAACCCCACCTGGCAGAAGGAAGATATTTCATTTCCTTTTAAAGCTCACATTTCAATATCCCACCCTGCCCTAAAATATGCCTCTTTTTTGGGTGACTGACACTGGGAATGTCTTCTCCCTTCTAAGGATATACACTCCAAATTAAGGAGAATGGCCTTTATCCTCCAGTGTATACTGAAGCTTGAAATGTACTTGGCATACAGTAGGCCTTGGAAGAATTGACTGAGTCCCTCGAATCACTTTGCTTCCCTGGTGCAGACGTTAAGACAAGTTACATTAACATCTTTTGTTCTATGATGGAAATTAGCAATGTATGTTCCTCTTGGCTTTGACCCTTCCTTCTGCATCTTCCTTTGCCTTAATTTTTAAAGTGCAGCAGCATGAGCACTTTAAAGTTTGGTGGCATAGAATTTTACTGGCTATGTGAACATTTAGTAATTAATCACTAGAACAAAGGAGAAACCCAAATATTTCGATTTTGTTCATCCACAACATGTAGTAACAATCAACTGGAACTACCTGGAAATATACGGGAACAGAATGCTTTTGCAGGGTGCTTAAAAACACGATATATGGGATCTATGGGATCAGGCAGACCTGGGTTAGAATCCTGACTCTGCCATTTCTTTGCTTCAGTTCTTCAGATTTGGACTCTTGAGCAAGGCACTTAACCACAGTGAGCCTCATTTCCCCATCTAAGACATGAAGATCATGATAGTATCACTTTATAAGGATTGTTTATAAGAGGGTTAAAGCACAGATAACACATGTAAAGACTGGTACTTAGCAAGCATTTGGTAAATATTAGCTGCTATTATATCACCCCATAGGCTGAAATGCTGCATATCACACTACATGGGCATTTTCAAGCAATCTAAGAGGCACCCAGGAGTTGTCCATTCATCTTTATTCCTTTATTTAATCCTCCCCATGTATTATATAAGCTTAGGTATATAACTTCTATTACATAAAGAAGTAGTAAAGGCACAATGTTTACTTACACAATTACATGTAGTGAATTAGCACTTTTGTAACTCAGAGACATGAATGTCAACAATTTTAGAGCAGAGCTCATTTGCACGGTCATAAGGTTTTCATGGCTGCTGTGACTCTGCAGACAAGCATTTCAAAGCAGGCCCCCCAGCCAGTGGCATCGGAACCAGTGGCATCAGGGGAAGTATAAACAAAGAAAATTACAGATTATTGTGCCCACACCCCAGAAATTTTGATTCAAGTTTGAGATAGGGCTGACAAATCTTTATTTTTCCAAAGCTCCCTGAGTGATCTATATGTATAACCAGGCTCTGAACCACTGATGCAGAGCACCATCATTTCTTGATTGGAATGGATGCCTGAGGATAGTAAAACAACAAAGTTAAAACATGCTGACTTTTTTTAGACCCTGAAATTACCGATTTGGTGATGGGTGTTAAGGTTGACAATAAAAACCATTTCTCCAATGTGGTCATGGCTTGAGAGAGCCATGCGCTTTCCCCAGGTCATGGATGGCCTTGTTCTCCAGCAGTTCCATCTGCTTGTCTCTTGGTCTCACCACATTGTTCAGCATTGCTCTAACCACGGTCACCACAGGCACAGAATGCCCACTGGCCCAAGAGTCTGGTAAGGAGCCAAAGAACTTTCTAACCAGCCATTCACCTGGGCGAGATTCTTGCCTATCACATAACAGAACTCTAAAATAAAAAAAAAAAAAAAAGAAAGAAAAGCAGAGGAAGAGGTGGTAAATTGCACTGAGACCACAGTGGGCATTACGGACAAAACTGTATCCCCTCAATATTCTAATGTTGAAGCCCTAATCCCCAAGGTGTCTATATTTGAAGATAAGGCATTAAGGGAAGTAATTAAGTTTAATGAGGTCTTAAGGATGGAATAGGACTAGTGTGATGGGACTGGGGTCCTCATAAGAGGAAGAGACATCAGAGGTCTCTCTCTGTCTGCATACACTAAGAAGAAAGGCCATGTGAGGACACTGCCAGAAGGTGGTCTGTCTGCCAGCCAGGAAAAGAGGCCTCACCGGACACCAACCCTGAGGGCACCTTGATCTTGGACTTCCAATCTCCAGACTGCGTGAAAAAAAATTTCTGTTGTTTAAGACACCCAATCTGTGTGGTATTCTGTTATGGCAACCCAAGCAGACTAATACAGTAGACGTAAGGTTTTATTTGGCACATGAAGAGGATTTAAGAAGGCAGCAAATGCTGTCCAGGAAGTTCCAGACTATTCTGAAGCAGGCCCCACCATCTACCCTTTCTTTCTAAGCAAAAAGGTGTGTCCTTCAGAGAAGCAATCTACCTCTAGCCAATGTCTTTCATATCTTAGATATTTCAGCTGTCAGCCTTTCCAAATGAAAAATTAGTATCTAGGGATTAACCATCAGTGGCATACTCTCATTCAGTATAAATATTATACTTACCCAGGCCTAAATACAGAGTAACGATCAAATTTTAATTCTTCAACCTTGGCTTCTACTTCTCCCTATTAAGAAAAAACACATTTTCAGTATTTAATCGCGACCAGCTCACCTGTGTGAAGTTTAAGAGAGAATAATTTGTGGTTTTGAGATAATCTGCTTTTGCAGATCTCAATACTCAAAATATCCTTATCTAGAATTTTAGGTTCCAAGGAGTCTGGGAAATTAAGGAAGAGATCATTTAATCCTGATGTGTAGTCTTTCATTTAAAAGATCCACTAAATGAGTGAATGGCTGCATAGTCAGTCCTCTCACTTTATTGATATTAAAACAGATTCAGAGAGGGTAAGTCATACGTTAGTACAATCATAAAAGAATATCCTCTATTTAGTCCAGAATTCATGTTGCATGCTAGCAGACACTAACGTTTTTTTGGTTTATAGGTAGTTCCAGTGGGTCAGAAAACCATAGACCCACTATATTACTCACTTCTTAAACCTCACAAAATTTTAAGACAGATTACATCTAGATGATGCTTTAAATCTAATTTGTTAAATAAAGCATGCATTTTCATGGCAGGCATCTCTGGAAACAAAATGCCTGAGGAGCTCAGCCCACAGGCACTTCCAAAGGCCTGTGAACTACCACACGGTCATGCACGCCTCCTTCTTGGCCTGTGTGTACCACTCAATTGGCACTTAACCTGTCTCATCACAGACATTTAAGTAGCTATTTTTAAATATCTTTTTCTTTTTAAAAATTTTTTAATTTTAATTATTTATTTATTTATGTATTTTTTGTGTGTGATAGAGTCTCACCATGTCACCTAGGCTGAAGTGCAAGGGCATGATCTTGGCTCACTGCAACTTCCACCTCCCAGGTTCAAGCAATTCTCCTGCCTCGGCCTCCCAAGTAGCTGGGATTACAGGCATCCGCCATTATGCCTGGCTAATTTTTGTATTTTTAGTAGTGACGGGGTTGTCACCATGTTGACCAGGCTGGTCTCGAACTCCTGACCTCAAGTGATCCACCCGCCTCAGCCTCCCAAAGTGCTGGGATTACAGGCGAGAGCCACCGCGCTTGGCCATTCTTTTTTTTTTAATAGGTGGTTTTTAGTATATACACAGAACTCTGTAACCTTCATCACGATCTAAGTTTTAAAATATTTCATCACCCTGAAAAGAAATCCCATATCATTAGCAGTCACTCCTCGTACCCTACCCTCTGGGGACCTAGTCAACCACTAATGTACCTTCTATCTCTATAGATTTGCCTATTCTGGACATTTCATATAAATGAAATCATATAATTCGTGGTCTTTTGTGACTGTCTCCTCACACTTAGCATAATATTTTCAAGGTTCACCCATGTTGTAGTATGTATCATTTCTTTTTATAGCTGAATAATATTCTATTGCATGAATATATCACATTTTATTCATCTATTCATCAGTCGATGGCTATCTAGGTTGTTCCCACTCTTTGGCCATTATAAATAATGCTGCTATGAACAGTCATACACAAGATTTTATGTGTACACACATTTCTTAGCTTTTTTTTTTTTTTTTTTTTGAGATGGAGTCTCACTCTGTCGCCCAGGCTGGAGTGCAGTGGCGCAATCTCAGCTCACTGCAAGCTCCGCCTCCCGGGTTCATGCCGTTCTCCTGCCTCAGCCTCCCGAGCAGCTGGGACTACAGGCACCTGCCATCACGCCCGGCTAATTTTTTGTATTTTTAGTAGAGACGGGGTTTCACCGTGTTAGCCAGGATGGTCTCAATCTCCTGACCTCGTGATCCGCCCGCCTCGGCCTCCCAAAGCGCTGGGATTACAGGCGTGAGCCACCGCGCCCAGCCCATTTCTTAGCTTTTTAAAAGATTTGTTTTGTCTCTATTAGCAGTGTGCATAAAAGAGATACCATAGCAGGCTGAGACTGCTATCCTTAGAAAGGCCTGTTACAAGTTTGGCCCCTGGCTTGTGCTTGCAACCTTGGATTTTCGGTGTGTTCCCACCATTCCCTATCTGATAAGGGTCATGTACTATGCCTAAACTGTCTGTACAAACAATGTGGTTTATGCTGAAAACTTGCCTTTCTTCTGGAGGGCTGCAATTTGGCTAGGCCAATGTGCCTATGTAACTGGCTCCCATAAAAACCCTGCATTCCTAGGCTCAGATGAGTTTCTCTGGCAGAAAACGTTCATCGCTGGAGACATTAAGCACATCCTGTGCAAGCTCTATGGGGAGAGGCCTCTTGGAAGCTTGTACCTACTTTCCTCCAGACTTCACCCGACACACCTTTTCCCTTTGCTGATTTTGCTCTATATCCTTTCAATGCGATAAGTTGTAGCTGTGAGTATGACTATATGCTGAGTCCTATGAAACCTTCTAGTGAATTACCAAACTTGGGGGTGTCTTTGAGGATCCCTCAATACAAGCAGATTATAAACTCCTTGAGGTCAAGGATGATACCCAATAATAAAATGTCACATGTCTGGAAAGTATACCTTCACCCTGAATAGATGAGGAAACCAAAGCTTATAAACCCTGAGAACAGAGGACATGAGGCCCATCCAGTACTCTGGGCTCCACATCCTGACACGTCTCCCCACGGCACCAGCAGAATGCCCATAAAGCACATGATTGATCCAAGCCCCCAGAGCTGGCCCACCATGAATGAATGCAATTGAAACTTCATTGAGTAGAATAAATGTTCCTAAACAATAAAGGAGTTTCTAAAATTGGGTGGGGCGGGGGAGTTCATACACACATGGAGGCTGAGAAAATAGGCAATAAATACTAGGAATGTTACACACAGTAGTTGAAGGATTATTTTGGAAAGATAATCTTTCCAAATTGTAAAAGCAATTATATATTGTTCAGCGTCATTCTGGGTTGGATCATTTGGTTGTCATTTCTGTCCTTTATTAATCTAATTCATAATCCCAGGCTGCAGGTAATGCAGGCCAATTGCAGTGAAATCAGAAGTGTCTTTCCGTTGTATTGGCCTTAATATTTGCTGAGGCTCTGTCACGGTCCAATCTCTGCTGGGTCCCTTTTGCATGTATTAGTGACAAAGGCTATTCATTACTTAATAGCTAGTGGCATAGGCCTTGGAATCAGCCTGGGTTCAAGCTCTAGCTTTGCCGCTTAACAGCTGGTGTTTTTGTTGTTGTTGTTGTTGTTGTTGTTTGTTTTGTTTTGTTTTGTTTTTGAGACAGAGTCTCACTCTGTCCCCAAGCTGGAGTGCAGTGATGTGATCTTGGCTCACTGCAGCCTCTGCTTCCCGGGTTCATGCAATTCTCCTGCCTCAGCCTCCCGAGTAGCTGGGATTACAGGCATACACCACTGTGCCAGTTAATTTTTGTATTTTTAGTACAGACAGGGTTTTGCCACGTTTCCCAGGCTGGTTTCAAACTCCCAGCCTCAAGTGATCTTCCCACCTCGGCCTCCCAAAGTGCTAGAATTACAGGCGTGAGCCACCGTGCCCAGCCAACAGCTGGTGGTCTTAATATCACAGTACCTGTTTCCACGCAAATGCACATAAAAGCCCTCAGAATACTGCCTGGCTCATTTAGTGTTAGCTATTTTTTTAAAAATCTGGTTAAATCATTATTATAACCCAGTGAGTCAGTAGTAACGCCTTTATCTTTAACAATGAGGAAATATCTTATGTATATTTTCTTTCCTAAAAGGTATAAATGTTGATCTTGCTAATGAGAGCAAAAATCCTATTTGATAACCTTTCTCAGAACCCACATGTGTCAGTGTTTTAAAAAACAAGTTGGGCCTGATCCCTCATGCCTGTAGTCCCAGCTGCTCAGGAGGTTGAGGCTGGAGATTGTTTGAGCCCAGGAATCTGAGGTTGTAGTGAGCTGTGACCGCACCACTGCACTTCAACCTGGGTGACAGAGCAAGACTTTGACTCTAAAAAAAAAGGAAAACAGATTTTTTCCTTTTAAGAATTGTTCTAAACTCTGACAATTAAGTGGAAACTTTTCCATTCTTCATGTAATTTCATTGGTGGCTCACTGATCTTCATCTGGTTCAAAATACTATTTTAGGATAGGTGAGATATGGCTCAGCTATAAGCCATGTGAAAAAAATCTGGAAATTTTTAATATTACAGGCTGATCATGAGCCAACAACATAATAAGGATGTTTGGTAAAATAGTAACAATCTTATATCCTATTTTTTTAAAAAAACATAGTGTTCGGAGCATGAATAGTACTCCCAGTGCAGTTCCAGTATAATATCACTGCAAAGTTCACCCTTAGCAAAGTGATGCAGTCATGAAGGAGCTAGACACAGGAACCCATAAAGAATGGTGCAAGGATTTAAAGGTGTTATGCCTGGGAAACATACAATTAAGGGGGTCATAATCTCCAAATGTCTTAAAAACTACAATGCAAAAGAAAGACTGGACGTATTTTTGTTATTTTAAAAGGCAGAACTGATAACAATTTGTATTTACATAACAATAAATTTCACTTCAAGGTAAAGACTTTTGGACAAGTAGATCTGACCCAAAATAGAAAAAGTTGGCTAACGAGATAGTAATCTCTGTAGTGCTGGAGATATTTAAGCAGAAAGGAGATGAACTTCTGTAAAAGGACTTCACATAGGAAAAGTCTATGGCTGAATGACCTCTGTGGCTCTGCTGCTTAAACTGTGGGCACCTGGGGTGCAAAGGGAGGCACACAAAGACAAAGCCATGCCTATCTTCCAACAGCATCAATTTAACTGAAAGGTAAGTTAATAGAAACCTTTTAAATTAAAATAAACAGGGATATGTATAGTACTAAGAATAGCAAAATGTGCATAAATTTTTAAAAGATAAAACGTTAAGACTTTTAAGAAAGTTGAGGCCAGACGCAGTGGCTCACACCTGTAATCCCAGCACTTTGGGAGGCTGAGATGGGCTGATCATTTGAACTCAGGAGTTTGAGACCAGCCTGGGCAACATGGCAAAACCCCATCTCTACCAAAAATACAAAAATTAGCCAGGCATGGTGGCTCATGCCTCTAGTCCCAGTTACTTGGCGGGGCAGAGGCTGCAGCGAGCCAAGATCATGCCACTGCACTCCAGCCTGGGAACCTGTCTCAAAAAAAAAAAAAAGAAAAGAAAGTTGAGTCTGTAACTAGAATACTGCTTCAGGATAGATTTCTCCAAATCTCTACACAAATAAAAGCTCTTCTTTCCGCTCAGTCATTAGGGAGACTGACGGAAAAGTTTAAGAATCACTGCCTCCAAGTCTCTTCCAATGCTAAGCTGCCATGCTGACAGTCAAGGCTGGAGATGCCATATCTCATTCCATTTGTTGCTGGATAATTAATAGAGAGGAAGACATTGGAAATTACCTTTCCAATCATTCCTGTTTACTAAATATATTCCTGCAGTCCCGTAGCCATACAAATGCATAATATGATGCATTTGATGGTTTTTGTATTATATAATATTTTATATTCTTTAGTACTGCCAAATAGCTAGGGTTCTCCAAAGTGTATGAAAAACAGAAACTTGCACAAACCTTAACTTGTAGATATAAAAAATTGCTTGATTTATCAGCTCCTTTAGAGGATAGCAAGTTGAAATGTTTGCACCCTCCAGCTTTTGCCAGCTCTGCAGACTTCAGCACATAATCTCGGTCAACACGAACAAATCCCTCCTAAGGGGGAAAAGGACATGAGTTATTTCCAAAAAGCAGCAAGTTCATCTTAAAGATTACTACTTGGCTTGGGTAGCAGGCTGGGAGGCCTAGAAGGATGGAGATCTAAATAAAATGTGTCCAAGCAATACATGAAAGTCAGGCTTAGACCCTGGGAAAGGCTCCAGGTCTGGTCCTCTGGATAGGCACACCAGCTTTAGCAGCAAGACTGGACTGCAATAAGGAAACAAGGACAATGACATTGAAACACAGACACCAAACAAATCTGCAAAGAACAAAGGGAACAGTAAGATCAGGCTGAGAAACTACTTTTAAGCCAGACTTTTTTTTTTGTCTTAATAACTTCACAACTTTACACTCCTGTTTTCTGTGTCAATTCTAATGTGGTAGGGTCTCCGAGTATGGGTGAGGACACTCCCCAGGCACTAAGAGAACAAAGTCTATTTAATTCCCAATTTTTGTGTATGCTCTACAATGTACCTCACACATTAGTAAAGAATGCATCCTCAAACGTTTTTATTAATGGGTCTCTAGTCAAAAGTGTTTGGAGACACCCAATCTAGATTCAGTCCAGTGAAGGCAGTGGCTGGGTCTTTTTTCTTAATTCATCTCTCAGCATCAGCACATGTCCAGCATATGGTAGATGCTCCAAAAATGAATGAACAAAACGCCAATGAAAGCAGAGAAAAGGTAAATCCAGTCAGAAACAAACAGAACTAAGTGGCAATAAAAGGGGGAGGGAAGAGAATGACACAAATAACAGAATATAGACTCACTTCCAGGGCCTAACTGAAAAGCATGCACCTTTACCCAGAAAAGGGAATTCCAAGGAGTAACAGTCTCTTGAGACCACCATAAATTCTGGCATCTTCAAACCCAAGACAGCTGAAGACAAGTCTAAAGTCTATTGAAGCTGAACTTTATAGGTAGTCACAATTACAGAATGAGGTCTTAGAGTAGTAGGAATTCCAAATCTGAAGACTGGACTACTGCCCCAGTGATTGATTGATTGAGACAGTCTTGCTCTGTTGCCCAGGCTGGAGGGCAGTGGCGTGGTCTCCACTCACCACAACCTCTGCCTCCTGAGTTCAAGTGATTCTCCTGCCTCAGCCTCCCAAGTAGCTGGGATTATAGACACATGTCACCATGTCCGGCTAATTTTTGTATTTTAGTAGAGACAGGGTTTCACCACGTTAGCGAGGCTGGTCTTGAACTCCTGACCTCAGATGACCCGCCCACCTTGGCCTTCCAAAGTGCTGGGATTACAGGTGTGAGCCACCGCGCCCGGCCTGATTTTTTTTTTTAATTAAAAAATTTGCTCCTCAGTAGTTACTGATTCTAAATGTTCTATTTGGTAGGGCGATGTGTATCTTTCACAGAATGTTAGAAGGTACCTTAGGAAATATCACATCCAGTCCCCTCATGATATAGACAGGAACCAAGGTCCAGTGGGCGGGTGAACTGTTAGCTGGGAAGTGGGAGAGCCGAGAGCAGAGTGCAGATTCTGGACTCTGAGCAGTGCTCTTTTCACTGTACCCATGTTCCTTTTTTATCCCCCACCCTCTCTCGCTAATGAAAATGACTAATCCGTGATTGTGGTAGGCAGAATAATGGTCCCTCAAAGATGCCCACGTCCTAATCTTTGTGAATATGTCATGTTACATGACAAGGGGGAATTCCATCACAGATGGTATTTAGGCAGAAGCAAGATGAATCATGCTAAAACAACAACAACAAAAAAACTGAATTTATTTCACCAGTCAACTGTGTCATTTTGTTGTAACAAACACATTATTAAAATCAGAGTTCTAGTGAACTGGCATGAGGGGAAGAAATAGATGTGGAAGGGAAATTCAGTGTTTTAGAAATTCAGTGTTTAGAATTAGGGTGCTAATCAGCTGGCCTTGAAACAGAGAGATTAGTTTGAATTATCCATGTGGGCCCAATGTAATCACAAGGGCCCTTAAAAGTAAAAGAACGAGGCAGAAGAGCAGGCTGGAGTAATGCAACCTAAGAAGGGCTCAGCTACCACATTGCTGGCCTTAAGGATGGTAAGGGGACCACAGGCCAAGGAATGGGGGTGGCCTCTAGAAGCTGAAAAACGTATGGAAATGGTTTCTGTCCTACAGCCTCCCAGAAAGGAATGCAGCTCTGTCAACACCTTGATTTTATCTCAGGTAAACCCGTGTCAGACTTCTAAGATGATAAATTTGTGTTGTCTTAAGCTGCTAAATTTGAGGAATTTATTAAAGCAGCAATAGGAAACTAATACAGAATTCAATTTTAAAACAATACGCCCATGCAGATTTTTTAACTTTGTATGGAAGTGTATCATAAAAGTAAACATAAGTATAGAGCTCAATAAATTTTCATAAACTGAACATGCTCTGCCACCAGTTCCAAGATCAAGAAATAGAACATTACCATTACTGTAAAAGCCTTCCTCATCCTCCTTTCCCATCACTCACAAGTACATTTTTAACTATATCCACCACCTGGAGGACAGTGTTATTTTTCTGCCTTACTTTTTCTACCTTAGTTTGTGGGTAATATAAACTTACCTCTTTACTCACGAGTCATCACCATCTCCTTTTGTATACTTTTTGTTGTATACTTTGACACTCAGTCCTGAACAACGGACTTGCCAAGCTGTCTATATACCGACTCAAATTCATGCAGTTGCTTTTAAAATTAGTGTAAAGCAAACCAATTTAAGTACTCAGCACATCCTGAGAGAAGTGATTACCCTCAGAGCCATTCTCCAAATGGAGACTTTAGATGTGCTGAAAGTGTGCCAAGAGAAACAGCCCAAAACTACATAGAAAAATTCTAAGACACTAAATTTTTCTTCCACATCTGTTTCTTCCCCTCATGCCAGTTTATCAGAACTCTGATTTTAATGACAGGTTAGTTATTCACAACAAAATGACACAGTTGACTAGTGAAATAAATTCAGTTTTTTTGTTGTTGTTGTTTTAGCAAGATTGATTGGAAGGATTATTATAGTAGTCTGTTAAAATACTTTTTCTTTCATCCGTTTCTTTAAAAATAAGGGAAAGATTCAGCCAATCACAAGTCTCCTGACCGACGCTGTCTCTCTCACTTAATCCAGAGCCAGTAAAAGGATAATTTGATTAAACTGAGACCCTAATTTATTTGGCTTTAGTTCTGGATCAACCTCTCCTTAATAGAGTGCTGTCGTCTCCAATTGTTTGATGAAAATTAAAGTGACATAAATACCATGGGACTTTTTCAATCTGATTAGTCAGCGAAGGCACATCAATACCACCCCGGCCATCAGACTTTGGCGTCCTTCCTTTCACCCGCCTCGCTAACGACTGACAACCGCTCCTTGAAGGACGAGCACCCACGCTGCTGCAGAGACCCCCACACTTAGCCCATCATCCCTGCTCAATGGGGCCTGTTGACAAGGTGCCCATACCTTTCTCCATTGCTGTTCTCTGGACAAAGCTAAATATTGTTTTATTAGCAATCAATGGCTGTTAATCCAAAACGATTTCACAAATCCTCTGAGCCTTCAAGCTCATTATAAATACGCGTTTTTCCAAGCCCACTAAATTTTGAATTTCACTTCCGTCACCCTGATGGCGTGGCCTTTTAGCTGGTGAATGAAACTCAAAAGCAAAAGGGTCAACAGCTTTCAAAGACTTAAAAATCAAACTGAAGCATGGGTCCTGATGACTGACTAGGAGGTATCACACACCAATTTTCTCTGGAGTGAGGAAGATTCTATTTACAGATGAAAGGAGCGATCTCGAAAATCTTATTCATGCCCTTTATTGTTCTCCAATAGCTCGATTAAAAAAACAACAGAAAAACTAACTAAAGCAAGCTATTTCATATCTCAGAAACACAATTTTTAGAAAAACTGTACTTAGTTTCCCTAACCATGTGGACAGACATCTCTTCTGAGAGTATTAAGTCCACATGTCATTCTGTCTTTATGATTCCATAGCCAATGTGTCCTGCTCTAAGCTAGGAATCTGAGTCCCTTCTAGAAAAAGGAATTAATTAAATAAGTTCCCACTATAAAGTCCTTTCCCAGCACCCTCTCAAAAAGAATAAACACAGTATACTACACTCAGTAGAGATATCCTCATAGGCTCCACAACATCAAAGGCAGCAAATTCTCCAACGACTCTTAAGTCTTACTAAAATCCAAAGCTACTAAGTATTTCTTCTAATCTTCTTTACCAGTGCCTGAAAACTAAAAACAACATTCTGGCTTCAGAACAACTCATCCTAACAAGGTATAGTATTTCAGTGCTGACTGATAGGACAAGTTAGCACGTCTAAACGACTCAAGAAGGTCATGGGGTCAGGCACGGTGGTCTGTGGTCCCAGCTACTCAGGAGGCTGAAGCAGGAAGATCGCTTGATCCCAGGAATTTGAGTCTAGCCTTGGCAACACAGTGAGACCCTGTCTCTAAAAAATTAATTAATTTATAAAAAAGTAAATCATGGGGATCTTTTTCCAAGAAGGGTGGGTCTATCATTCTGTAAAGGTCCCATTCAGCCCTATTTCTGCTTCAGGTTCTTTCTCCTTCACTCCCTTTCAATCCAACCCTATAAATTAGACTAGAAAACAAAGATGCTGACAAACACCAAATGGTATAATCTGAGGCACCTTTTGTTTGTGTCCTGGAGGGCATCTCCATATTTGATGTTCAATGGTAGGGGAAAGATCTTGGTTAGAGAAGTTCTGGATAGATAAATAAAATCAAGCAGATACTGAGGATTCCTGGGTCAATCTATATGTTCTTGAAAAAGTTTTCCAATTGGATATTCTTTCTTCTGTGTTTCATAGAGTCAAAGAATTTTTCAGGCCGGGTGCGATGGCTCATGGTAATCCCAGCACTTTGGGAGGCCGAGGCAAGCAGATCACTTGAACCCAGGAGTTCAAGACCAGCCTGGGTGGGAAGCATGGCAAAACCCTGTCTCTACAAAAAAAAATACAAAAATTAGCCAGCCATGGTGGCGCATGCCTGTGGTCCCAGCTACTTGGGAGGCTGAGGTGGGAGGATTGCTTGAGCTGGGTAGGTGGAGGCTGCAGTGACCGAAATCGCACTCCTGCAGTGAGCCGAAATCACACAACTGCACTCCAGCCTGGGCGATGGAATGAGACTCTGTCTCAAAAAAACAGAAAAATGTTTAAGAATTTTGCAGTAGGAAGGTGGGTTCACTGGTCACCTCCTTCTGACAGACAAGGAGGTAGTGGCCTCCAAAAGCTAACCAGCAAACTCCAGGCTCCATAGCTACTTGGCAACCAAACAGGGCCTGTGATCTGGGTCCCTTGAACCAGCTAGGACCTCGCCACTTCACAAGCCCCCTCCTAGACATCAAATAAACAACAGAGATTAGAACAAGGGTGGGCAAACTTTTCCTGTAAAGGATCAGACAGTAACTATTTTTAGCTTTGCAGGCCTCTGTTGCAACTATATAGCTCTACCATTATGTTAATAGCACAAAAGCAGCCACAGATAATACATAAAGTAATAAGCATGGCTGTGTCCCAATACCACTTTATGTATAAAGACTAAAATTTGAAGTTTTTATATTTTCACATGGTATGACATTATTCTTTTGAATTTTTTAACCAGTTAAAAATATAGGCCGGGTGCGGTGGCTCACGCCTGTAATCCCAGCACTTTGGGAGGCCAAGACGGGCAGATCACGAGGTCAGGAGATCGAGACCATCCTGGCTAACACGGTAAAACCCCATCTCTACTAAAAATACAAAAAATTAGCTGGGCATGGTGGTGGGCACCTGTAGTCCCAGCTACTTGGGAGGCTGAGGCAGGAGAATGGCGTGAACCCAGGAGGCGGAGCTTGCAGTGAGCCGAGATTGCGCCACTGCACTCTAGCCTGGGCAACTGAGCGAGACTCCGTCTCAAAAAAAAAATATATACATAAAGACATTCTTAGCTCACAGGGTGTACAAAAACAGGTGGCAGGCTGTATTGCAAACCTTTGAATTAGAAGAGCAGATCATTAGAATCAGAAGCCATAAGGTTCTAATGAGATGGGCCATGAGATGCCTAATAAATGTCACAGTGGCCACACTAATCACATTAATGACATCATCCACTCAACAGAAAACAAGAACCTGGACTTCTGGAGCCTACTACGACCAGGTGAGGAAACAAATGAAAAGGTGAAACCACATCGAACCACCTTGAATTCACTAATCAAATCCCTCTTTTGATACAAATAAGGGGAAATGAACTATTCTCACTGGCATCTCTAAGTTTTTGTGCTTCACTCCAGGACAATACAGATCTGGTTTTCAAAGGCTATTTCAATCTTCACTAGCAAACAAGTTACTCACTAAAGCAAGGCAAAGGTTATCCAGGACCACAGTACCCAGAAAACCAGCAAGTGAGGGGAATTAATACACCCCAATGCCTCTTGAAAGTAGGTTCAACAAGAAGGACAGGGTTGACTGCATCAGGATCTCCCAAGGAGCCTGCTAAAAATACAGATTCCAAGCTTCCAAATTCAGAGATGCTGATGCAGTAGATCTGGATCAGGGCCAAGTCAGGGAGCCAGTGCATTGACTGAACAACTGTGTTCTGTGAATATGAAAAGGAAGATTAGCATCTGCCCAGCTACTGTTAAAGGAAATAGTCTTCCAAACAGCTGAGGAAAGCTAATAGACCTTTTCCTAGAACCAGTGTCAATAGAAACCTGAGTAGACTGAATTTTGTGGGTTGGATTACATCCCCCCAAAATGCGTATGTTGAACTCCTAACCCCCATTACCTCAGAATATGACCTTATTTGGAAATAAGTTCATTGCAGATGTAATTAGTTGAGATCATACTAAATAGGGTGGTCCCTAATCCAGTATGACTAGTGGTCTTATAAAAAGGGGAAATGTGGATATAGGCACAGGTATTCAGGGAAAATACCACGTAAAGAGACACAAAGAGAAGGCTGCCATCTACAAGACAAGGAGAGGGCCTGGAAACTCAAGGGCTCAGCCTCAGAGCACTGACCAGCCTGCTGAGACCTGGATCTCAGACTTCTAGCCTCCAGAACTGTGAGACAATACGTTTCTGTTGTTCAAGCTACTTGGGTTATGGCAGCCCTAGCAAACTAATACACTGAACATCACATGGAAATAAGCCACCTACACAGAGGATCTCAATACTGAGACAAAAACGCTGAATTTCTTGAAGTTTCTCTGCTGGAAACACAGACTGCTAAGGCAATATATGAGGTGTTCCAGTTACAAAATCCCTAGTGAAGCGTACTAGTTTTGCCACTAGCTTTGTAGTACTCATATGATAAACCACCCAACGAACTTTTTTCTACAGAGAGGGCTGCTGACCCAGAACACCAGCTGGGATAAGCTTGGAAATCCACAACCTCCACTTAAAACACTATCGTTACTTAGCCACATATGAACTGTCACCTCTTTCATATTGGCTAAAGTTATCAACCTCCCAACTTTATATTGTACACAGCCCAAATTAGTTTTTTTTTTAAAGCCCCCAAAACAAACAAAACACTTTTCTGGTATAAGTGTCAGCTTGCTTTCCACCACTAACCTCTTAAATCATTTAAGTCCTAATTCATTTCTAAGCTAGGTGAATAGTCTAGGCTCATTAGTCTATTCTTGCTTACTAGTTAATTACTTTTATCTTTCCAAATTGATTTTAAAGGAGAACAAAAGGTATTGAATAGCCTGAGACGTGAAGAACCAACCCCATTAAAAAAGAAAATTCTGGATAGTAAAGACACACAATTCCTCTGATTAAAATTGCATTACCCATTTTGAACACAAAAAGCAGTTTAGACTTTTCCCTGGCACACCCTATAATGAGATTTGCCTTATGTCATGAAAATCAACCCTTCTATGCCTAATGCAGCATTTTGTTTTGCTGACTCACCACCAAAACCAGGTTGGCACTTGAGACAAACCTGCAGTGTCCTGGAACAAAAGTTTTTCAATGCTTTTGGAGGGCACACCACTTGTGACTGTGCCTGGGACAGAAAAGACTGCACCCACTGTTAAGCAGGAACATGACCCTTTCTAGGAGAGATAATGTGCCAATTCCTGGGAAAGTCAAACTTCTCTATAATCCATAGTTCCCATCACAGAGCTCCAATCCCAGCTGTGTTCCAGGACAGATAGGCAGAACTGCAGAAGGTATGGAAATACATCTTGATTGAAAGCATACATAGAATTACTCTTTGCATCACAAGGAGGCCCAAAGAAATACATCTGAATCTAACTACTCGGTTGGTATAAATGAATAGTTCTTCACTATATGCTCCCTTAATGTTTCAGGTGAAGGGGTCTGGCTTATAAACCTAAGGAGAATTCCCATGGCAGAGTCATAGTCATATATATATATATTTTTTCTTTTTTCTTGTTTTCCTGGGATTACAGGCATGAACCACTGTGCCTCGGCTTTATTTATTTATTTACTTTTTTCACTTTCTTCTGTTTTATTTATGTATTTATTATTAAATATTTTTAAATTTTACTTTAAGTTCTGGGATACATATGCAGAACATGCAGGTTTTTTCAGCTCCAGCATGTAAATTCTGCCAGAGGAATAAACTATAGTCAAAGTATAAATTAAATAAGATGTACCCGCACTAACATTTGCCCAGAATCCAGGTAGTAAACTCTGATTTCTAACTATGTAGTAAACTATGACTTCTGTACAGGAGCTGACTCAATTTAGAACACCATTAAAAAGAAAATAAAATGTGCGTTAAAAGACTTTTGCGTCAGTAAAGACTGAATCATTAGTGGGGTTGAATCATCGCTGAAGGCTGAGTCATCGCTGGAGGCTGGTTGAATCGTGCCTGTGTTCTGATGTTCTATTCCAGAAGTTTAAAGCTTGACATGAAAATAAGTTGAAGCAAATCACTCAAGTGAGACAGAACATTTCAAATTTCAAACATTTATTAAGGGGAAAAACAGCTGATTGTTAACAGCATAAACCAATTAGTTTTACTCAGACATCATGGTTTCCCTTAGTCAGGGGATGTAGTGATAGCGATAATCACAATAGGCAAAATCATGTAAATATTTACGACGTCTCCAGCACTGGGGCCTGAACTCAAGGATTACTTTGAAAGACGAACTTATCAGTACTATTAAAAGGATACCAAAGGTTAGTGCAGCATATAGAATCTTAAACAATAAAGGCTTATTCACATTTAAGCATTGCAACAGGCACAAAGAAAAAGAGTGAGCAAGAAAAGAATCCTTGATATTACTGGCCAGCAAAAAGGGAAAAGAGCATATGCCTTCCTTACCGCCCCAGCTTTCCCTCTGGTGGTACCCAGGCAACAGAATCCAACATCATGACCTTGAAAGGCAGAGGCGTAGTCATCCAACTTTTCAAAGTCCACCACTTCTTGATTCTAGGCAAGGACACAGTTGTATGTAGTTTCATGTTATTTAAACAACAGACCAAAAACCCCCTCTAGATTTAAAGACTAAGTTACAGAACATTACTGACAGGCCTGTCCACTTAACATCAAATTTTACAAATTCCTTTTCTCCAACCAAAAAGCAATGAACCTCAGTTGAAAATCAACAACACACACATATGTCCACAGTCTATATAACTGGACTAGGGGTGATCCAGATTTCTGAAGTCAGGTTCGATTATAATCTCTCTCTGGAAAAATAAAAGACCTGTGTGTAGCTAACCAGGAAGGAGACCACTGAGGTATGATGTGAGGGCAAGAGATGGCGTTTGGCATCTTAAAGAAGACCTAGCTGCAAATCTTGGGCTTGCTACACTCACTAGGCATGTAGTTACGGGCAAATTATTCATCATACACTACAGCTTTTTTTTTTCAGCTGTAAAATGGGGGTGATAATCTTTCCTTCAGTCCAATCCATGAACCATTTGCATTATAATTAGTCAGGGAGTGCTTAATAAAAAGGCATATTCCTACATCCCACACCAATAGTTCTGAATCAGAATCTGCACTTTTAACAAGCACCCACCTTAATTCTCATGCACACAGAAGTTTACGAACCTCCATCTAACCTTATCAGTTTGCTGTATAACTTAAAAAAGAAAGCATGATAAATTCCTATCATCCAAGAACTCCGATAAAATGTTGGTTTCCATCCTTACTGTCAACTCTGAAAAGAATTTTTCTGGCACTGCCTATGACACTAAAGAAAAATAGGGTTTCACTGTTAATCCCAGCACTTTGGGAGGCTGAGGTGGGTGGATCACGAGGTCAGGAGATCGAGACCATCCTGGCTAACATGGTGAAACCCCGTCTCTACTAAAAATGCAAAAAAAAAATTAGCCGGTTGTGGTGGTAGGCACCTGTAGTTGCAGCTACTCGGGAGGCTGAGGCAGGAGAATGGCGTGAACCCAGGAAGCGGAGCTTGCAGTGAGCTGAGATCGCACCACTGCACTCCAGACTGGGCGACAGAGTGAGACTCCATCTCAAAAAAAAAAAAAAAAAAAAGAAAAGAAAAGAAAAGAAAAAGAAAAATAGGGTTTCACAAAGTACCTAGTCAAACAGATGTGCCACCAAAACTCGACACTCAAAACACAGATTTCAATTTGTTTCTTTTCTTTTTTTTTTTTTTTTTTTGAGACAGAGTCTCGCTCTGTCACCCAGGCTGGAGTGCAGTGGCACAATTTCTGCTCACTGCAACCTCCATCTCCTGGGTTCAAGTGATTCTCGCACCTCCGCCTCCTGAGTAGCTGAGATTACAGGCGTGCACCACCACGCCCAGCTAATTTCTGTATTTTTAGTAGAGACAGGGTTTCACCATGTTGGCCAGGCTGGTCTGGAACTCTTGACCTCAAGAGATCCCCTGCCTCGGACTCCCAAAGCTCTGGGATTACAGGCATGAGCCACCACGCCCAGCCTTCAGTTTCAGCTTCTAATTACCATGAATATCTGACACAGCCCATGAAACCGGTGAGAACACATCTGCCTCAGCCTGAGGAAAGATGTCTGTTTTAAATAAACAAGACTTGATGGACCAAAGGCATTCACACCATGACCTGAACACAGACCTGCGAGAATCAAGAACATTTATTTGCAAGATGGCTTGTTATTTGAAATGTTCTTTCTATGAAACCTGTGGGGCCAAATTCTGTAGCTGTGGTGTCTTGAGATCACACTATGTTAATTTGTTGCAGTTCACAGATAATTCCCTTTAAATAAAGAACAGAATCTCCAAGAAACTCAGGCTTCTGATATTTAGGGGGTCATGACAAGACAGAAGTCTGGTATATCATTCCTATAATCATAAAAGTGTAACTTAGGCTGGGCGCGGTGGCTCACGCCTGTAATCGCAGCACTTTGGGAGGCTGAAGCGGGAGCATCATCTGAGGTCAAGAGTTCGAGACCAGCCTGGCCAACATGGTGAAACCTTGTCTCGTCTCTACTAAAAATACAAAAGTTAGCCAGGAGTGGTGACGCACGCCTGTAGTTCCAGTTACTCGGGAGGCTGAGGCAGAAGAATCGCTTGAACCTGAAAGGCAGAGGTTGCACTGAGCCGAGATCGTGCCACTGCACTCCAGCCTGGGGGACAGAGTGAGACTCCGTCTCAGAAAAAAAAAAAAAAAAACCTTTAACTTAGAGTGAAGGGAATATCCGATTTACAGACACAAGCCTGGGAAGTCAGGCAGGGCAAATTCTTGTAAGTGAATAATCCCACCTTTCACTGCCATAGACCTATCTCACTCTGCAAAGCAGTTTCAGAATCCCTGACAATATTAGTGTGAAGTGCGCAGGTTGACAAAATCAGCAAAGTGGCTGAGAAAATTCTCAAGGTCACCAGGGCTGCCTCTAGAATACAGCTTGTATGACCCTGAAAACAGTGCTCTTCTGTCTCACCAGCCCCCACCCCCATTACAACCCAGACCCAGCTTTATAGGGTTGCAGATGGAGAGAAGGGCTTTGCCCAAGACCACACAATGAGCGGGAGGGAGGCACACCTGGGCTACAATCCAGGAGTCAGACTTCTGGGAGGGACTCTCACAGACCAATCTTGGCCAAGTTTTGATGGCCTCTCACTACCCCCACCACTGGCAGGGCAGTATTCAGCCTTTAGGCATGAAATATGTTCACCTCGCAGAATCCTGGGGGTCCATTTGAGTCCCAGCTGAAATACCCACCACATTTTTATAAGCTTCCTCGTCGAAGGTGAGCTTCCTCCGGCCAATGAGCGTGACTTTGGAAAACAGGCCCTGCTCCAGGATTTCCTTTAAGAGCACTCTGCCGGTTTCTCCGCTGGCGCCCAAAATAAAGACGGATTTATTCTGCATCCTGAAGTCTTCCCGAAGCTTCGACAGGGCTTCTGTTTCGGCCATGCTGGGGAAATAACATCGACAGATGCCGGTCTTAGGGTGTCAGGGGACTGCCAGTCCTTATCCCGAGGAACAAGGGCTGTTTATCTGTTAGGGAGGAGGATATTGTTCTCCGCAGTCCGGGCTCTGGGGAAAGTGCTGAGTCACGTGCGGGGCGCGGCTCCCCGGCCATCGCCCGCACCTGAGCCAGCAGACCCATCGGAAGGGGCCCGAGCTGGAGGGTGCGCCCAGGTGCCACAAGCTGCTGGCATCACTGGGCATACCCCACGGTATCCCCGGCCCGGCCAGGAGACCTGGCCCAGCTCGGTCCCATACGCGGAGGGGTTACCTGGGGCCAGCCCCCGGCCCCGGGTCCTCACGACGCAGCAGGAGCAGGGCGGCCGCCAGAGCAGCCGCCGCCGCCGCGCTCAGCGCCGCAGGCCCGGCCATCAGAGCATCCCACCTTCCCTGGTCGGACCGGGGGGGTTGGAGGCGACGGAGACAGCGCCTACCCGGCTTGGTCTTCCGGGTGGCCTCGCGGCGACGCTGCCTCGCCCCGCCCACAGGGGCGGGACCTGGAGACGAACTCCTGGCACCCTCACAGGCGCGGGGAAGGTGACCCCGAGAGCACGTGCGCGGAGCCGCGACCCTTCCTAAGTTTGGAATCTGCAAGACCCTCTTCCCGCGTTTTCCCTCACCTGCTGGGCTCAGCTCACCCAGGCGCCAGCTAGTAGACTTGCCAGACTTGATCTTCAATGGTCCCCCCAGCTGGAATGTCAATTGTATATTGGCCATCATCTCAAATTCACCAAGTCAAAAACTTAACCCTGCCTACCCAACCACCCCAAACAGGAATAAAACAAACCTATTCCTAGCCTCTCTTGGGTGTCACTGTCCCTACATAAACATACACACACACACGCACACACACACACACCTCCTTCTACCCTGTCAAGTCAGAAATCAGGATTCCTTTGATTCCTTTCTTTTCTAGCCTTTCCACACTACAGACTTATCAAGTCCTGTTATCCCATCTGCCTTACAAATATTTCTCCCATGTAATTCAAGCTCGCATCATATCTCCCCAGAATAAATGGTCTACCTGCCCAGGTCCTGGCCTAATTCATCACCTAGATGGTTGAACCCGGGTGACCTTCCACACCTGTGATTCAGTCTTCCTAGCCCAGATCAGTGGTTTGGGACACAGGTATCTACACTGGGCCTGTCCTGGATCTTGGAAGTCCTGAACAGAGGTTAGAATGACAAGCAGAAATCTGAATAATTTCAGATTGTTCAGGTTTTGTTGGGAACATTGGTCATTTGGGGGCCCCACCTCCCATCTAGAAGCCAATGAAACACATTGCCTCTTCCATCTCCATGGGAGTTATTATATGTAGGCTTTGCCTAGGCTCAGCAAGCCAGAGGCTCACGCATAGGTTTTCAGTTTTGGAGGAGTAATGAAAAGATGCAGTGAAGGCCTGAGATATATGTGGGTTGGTTGGGGCAAGGGTATAGGATTATGGCATCATATGATCCACCAGCCATCTGATGGTCTGATCTTGTCTTAAATTCCTGCCTGTTTTCAGAGACTGTTGTGAATACAGTACTTCCTGTTATTCTTCTGATAAATTCCTGTGCTGTATAAGCTTACCAGATATATTCTGTTGTTTGCAATAAAAAAGCTTGATTAATATAGAGCAGTGTGGTTCATTCCCCACTGGCCTGTCACAGTGCCTGGACTCTTCCCTTTGAGTTCCTAAAGGTTTTCTACAAGAATGCAATGTTAAACCTTGTCAGCAAACACTGTCCTAGTAATTCATTTATCAAATCTGTCACAGAAATTATTCATTGTACCCTGTCTATTCTTCCCCTTTGTTTAAAATTGTGGCATAATTAATATACAATAAAATGTACAGAACCTAAAGGTTCTGTTCCATGATTTTAGGAGATTGTATATACACCTAAATAACCACCACCAAAAACAAGATATAGAGCATGTCTGCCATCCCTGAAAGTGCCTTCATTCCCTTCTTGCAATCTCTCCCCACTCCAGAGGTAATCACTTTCTGGTCACTATCAACATAGATTAGTTTTGCCTGTTGTAGAATTCTATTTAAGAGTACAGCATGTACTCTTTTGTGTCCCAGGTTTTTGGCTTAACACATATTTTAGTATTTATTCTTGTTTGTAGGCCTGCATTATGATTTCTATGGGCCCTAAGCACTTCATGAGCCCCTTCATTTTATGTACACACACTATATAATCAAAAATTATGTCTTATGACTATGTTGCTATAAAGATGAATATGACAAACTATTTATATAATCAAAAATTATGTCTTATGACTATGTTGCTATAAAGATGAATATGACAATTTCTTTCACCTAAAACATTTTCTTCCACCTAAAAGTTTATTTTCACAGGCCCCAGAACTGTGCCTACTGTGCCAAATGAGTAAATCAGCCCTGGTTGTTTCATGTATCAGGAATTCATTCCTTTTTATTGCTGAGTAGCCTTCCAGTATTCCAGTATGAATATCCCACAACATGTTTAAATATTCTCCTGTTGATGGACATTTGGTTTGTTTCTACCTTTTGGCTAATTATGAATAAGGCTCCTATGAACATTATTGGACCAGTCTTTCTGCAGTAACATGTTTTCATTACTCTTGGACATATATATACACACACACACACACACATATAATGTTTTATATATATATATAATGTGTATATATATATAAAATGTGTATATATATAATGTGTGTATATATAATGTGTATATATAATGTGTATATATATAATGTGTGTGTATATATAATGTGTGTATATATATAAAATGTGTATATATATATATAAAATGTGTATATATATATAAGATGTGTGTGTGTGTGTGTATATATATATATATATATATATATATATATATATATATATATATAATATAATGACCCTGCAGGCAATCAGACCTTTTGGTTGTCTTCCCTTGTCCCCTAAAAATTGCTGTTATTCTGTTCTTTTTCAAGGTGCACTGATTTCATATTGTTCAAACACACGTTTTACAATCAATTTGTACAGTTAATACAGTTATCATAGTGGTCCTGAGGTGACGTATATCCTCAGCTTACGAAGATAACAGGATTAAGAGATTAAAGTAAAGACAGGCATAAGAAATTATAAAAGTATTATTTGGGAACCGATAAGTGTCCATGAAATCTTCACAATTTATGTTCCTCTGCCGGAGCTCCAGGCAGTCCCTCCATTCGGGGTCCCTGACTTCCCACAACACACTTGCAAGCTAGCACGAGCACGTGACAGTGATTTAGCCAACGAGAAGCAAGCAGAGGTAATATGTGCACATTTGAATCACATCTTTATAAGGAAGTTACCTTCTTTCCTTTCACTTTCCCTTTCCCTTCACTTTCCCTTTCCCCCTTTGCTTAGGCCAGAATGTGAATGTACTGGTAAACCAGCTCTGACCATGAGGAGAAAGACACTCTCTAGAGGATAGCAGGGCAAGGAGCCCTTGGATGACTTCATAGAACAGAGCCGCCTGCCCACCCTGGACTGCCGGCACACCTCTGGGGAGTGAGAGAAAAATCAACTTCTGTCATGTTGGAGCCACTGTAATTTTGTTACAGCAGCTTAGCCAGCATTTTGCCTAATGTAAGATTCTTTTAGTCAATCTTGTCAATGGATATTTACTGATTATCTAATGCAAGCCAGATACTGTGCTAGGCACAATAGATTTTTCCAAGGTGAATCAGGGACACCAGCTAAATTCACTCTCATCTTGAAGGCAAGTCATAAATACTTGGGAAGCTAAATAAAGTTAAGCAACATTATAAAACATCCCCCAAACTTTCACAGGGTGGCACATGCTGAAGGCCAAATGAGCATACAGAAATAGAAGGAAACTCAGAGAAAAACAAGTCCATGCCTTTCCTTCTCTGACAGCTGGAACCATGTCATCCAAGTGCTGAGATAATGTGACAAGACCTAGGCTCCTAGAGCAACCGGACCACAAAAATTCAGGGCAAAGGGGAAGGGGAAAGCATAGGGAAGGAGGGAAAGGGGACATAAAGAAACGGAGCTGGCATGGAAAGATCCTTGGCCAGAGACCTGCCTGCCACGTTCAGGTTTGCCTTTGATGAAGTCTCTTCATATATCTTGGCCTCCATTTCCCTATCTGTAAGATGGGAACTGTTTCATTACATTCGCTTTGCTCCAAGGAACAAACTGACTCATGGCGAGTAAAGATGGTGAATATTGTAATATTGTAAGGCTATAAATCATGTATAAGAGAGACAGAATCTCAGAGAAATCTCAAAACAGGATCTGCTGTAGGATGGGGCCTTAGGGAGACTGGAACTGTATTTAGGTCAGATTTAGAGTCCTCAGGATCAGGGATCCATGCATCTTCACTTCAGAGCTATATTTTTAGTTATACCTTCATTAAGACTCTGTTTCACGTGTTTGAAGCCCCAAACTCAAAATGTTTTGAGGAAAAAAAAAAAGGAAATGTCCTGGCTCATGCAACTAAAGAATCAGTGTATATAATAGTCTTGGCATGACCAGAATCAGCCAGTCAGCCAATGGGGCCAGGACCCAGTCCCTCTGCCAACCATGGCTCTATTTCCCTTCACGTCGGCCTTACTCTCAGACCCTGCAAGATGACCCAAAGGCTGTGCTCTTGCTCATACTCTTCATTGTCTAAATTCAACCAGAAGCTAGAGGGAACTTATATTGTGCAGACCAGTTTTCTTCAGGGCATACAATAAGGTAGATAAATGAGGAGAATGGATGATTGAAGCTATCAAGTACATCCCCCTAGATTCAAGTCCAGTAGAAAGAGCATAACTGTAAGCAGAAGTCCCCAGCTGTATCTCCTTAGTTCTGATTAAACCTTATGATTGTCACTGTGGCTCTGGGAATGAAGCCGGGTGGGGCTATCTCTTCCCACATGTCTGGGAGTAGGGGAGGAAGTAAGGTCCCCAAGGAAAGTAGAGGTCACTATTATAGAAAGAAAACAGAACGGATGTTAAATAGCATCTAAAGTGGCTATACTTGTTCCCCATTTATCTCATTTATTTGTAAATATGAATGCTAGATAATTTTTTTTTTTTTTTAACAAATGAGAGCTTTAAATAACTGTAGCATGACTAAGATATCTGGTTGGGCACATAAGAGGTTGGATTTGGTAAAGGTAGGTGTCTGAAAGAAAGTATTGTAATTTTCTGCTCTCACATAACAAATACAACCATGAATTGCATTCAACAGTTTAGGTAGTTGATTTAGTGTATCTATCGTGTTCTTGATAGCTAATTGTTTTTATAGATGGAGAAACTGAGTCACACGTTTATTAAATATATCATCTAAGATCTTGGGATTCAACTTTGGTGCCAGGACAAGAACCTGGATATCCAGATCAATGACAAAATCATGAGTAATACCTGTGTAATTCTAGAATGTTTTCAGGAAAGCATAATTCTTCTTGTTTTTAGCTGATAGCACTGTATTTGTTAAATTCTTCAGGTTCCCTAGCACTCATGGGTATGTCCTCTTACTGATATATACCAAAGGAATAACCTATGTAAAAGCACTGTGGTAGGTAGAAGTATGGCTGGTTTTGAAGGGCCAAAAACCAATATGCTTGAAATGGAGAGATGGAAGCATGGGGCAGGGGCAGGGCAGGGGAGGGGAGACTAGAGAGGCAGGTAGGGACCAGCCTGTGAAGGACATCATAAGATACATTATCATTTATAATTATTGTTAAATTTTAGGTTTTAAAATTTAGCAAACTTGATTTTATTAGATTTATTTTTTATGGTTTTCTTCTATTCAAGGTAGTGAAATATTACCTTAATTACCATTAATACATTTATTAGTACCTGTTACTAGTAGTACATTTAACAAAGTTTAAAAAAAAAGAGGACGTTTTCATAAAATATTAAGTACAGCTGAGTGTATTGTAAACATAGGATATGGTAAACTCATGAAAATAGTATCTGAAGGAGTAAAGTTTGGGAAACACTGGTATGTTGGGCATTTTTCTTTTTTCTTTCTTTTGTGAGATATGATCTTGCTCTGTCGCCCAGGCTGTAGGGCAGTGGCATGATCTCAGCTCATTGCAACCTCTGCCTCCCGGGTTCAAGCTCCCACAGCCTCCCGTGTGGCTGAGACTACAGACACGCATCTTTTTTTTTTTTTTCTCCAGAAACAGGGTTTTGTCATGTTGCCCAGGCTGGTCTTGAACTCCTGAGCTCGAGTAATTATCTGTGTCAGCCTCCCAAGTACTGGGATTACAGGCACATTTTTCATTTGCCCCTCCAGATCCACTTTCCACTCTCTGTATCCTTTTCTGTGACTCCACAGCTGACCTCTAAGGCCTGCATCACCCAGTCTACCTTGTCCTCCTTGACCTATCACCTACCTTGGTGATAAGAGTCACCAGTAGGAAATTGAAGCAGAGGAGGAGTATGGGGTTAGGGGCTTTATTCCCCTGAATTCCTGCTATGAGATTGCTATTCCTCGACCCAAGAGCCTCACTCCTGTCTGATAGCCTCCCTGACAGCTGCAGGCACTCTCTCCAGGTTCCAGTAACCACCTCCTTGCCTCAACCTTTTAGACTTAGGAGTAGAAATGGCTCCCCGCTATTGCTAGCACTGAGACACAGCACCATTCCTTGTTGGGTTTTCTTTAACCCTTCCTGCTTCCTTGTAAATAATCTTTCACTAAATTCTCCCTCAGTTACTCTGTTGGAACATGTTCTCTGTTTCTTGCCAGGACCCAAACTGATACACATGATGTGGTAGAAAGCAACTTTGCAGTCAGACGGAAGTAGATTTGAATCCTGGCCATCCACTTAGTAGCTGTGTGACCTCAGTGAAGTCCAACTAGATAAGCACAATATTTATCAAAACAGGAAGACTCTGCTCTGTGAGGTCAGCCACCACATCTATCTCACTGCTACAGCCCCAGCTTTGGGGCAGTGTTTGGCACTTAGTAGGTGCTCAAGAAAAATGTTTTCATGGGGTAGATTTCACCATACCTTATGCATGAGACCTAGGAGAGTAAGAGGTGAACTAGTCAAACATACTTTATGGATGACCCCCAAGAATGTAGCAAGACTTGTGCAAGTAGTGGATCTTAGACACACTCTTTAATGCAGGCAACAAAAGGAAGGGTTGAGGCTGGTAAAAAAAATTAGAAAACATGTCAAGGAACTGACTGGCAAAGAGCACCCTGCCTACTACACCACCATGTCCCTAGAGATCTCATCTCCTCCCCCACTATCACTCCACCTCAAAAGCCAGTTCCCTTCTGAAGGGGGACTCTGTTGAGAGGGCATGTCTTCTTTCTGATGAGGAGGGAACATGAGGGAAGGCACACAAAGAGACCTGAGGGTCCCAGGGAGAAGACAGTGAAGGAACAACCAGATGGGCAGAGGATTTATGCAAGACCAGGGCTGGATTGGCAGGGAAGCCACAGATGTCATGGTCCCTGAAAGTCAAAAAGAGGTGATGAGCTGGTATATTAGTTTCCTAAGGCTGCTGTAACAAATGACCACACACTGGATGGTTTACAACACCAGAAACTTACTCTCTCAGAAGTCTGAAATTGAAGTGTCAGCAGGACCATGTTCCCTCTGCAGGTTCTAGGGGAGAATGCTCCCTTCCCTCTTCCCACTTCTGATGGCTCCAGGCGTTCCTCGGGTTGTGGCTGTAAAACTCCCATCTCTGCCTCTGTCTTCACGTGGTCTTCTCTTCTGGTGTCTGTGTCTTCTGTCTCTTATAAGGACAATTGTCAATGGATTTAGGGCCTGCCCAGATAATCCAGGATGACCTCATATGAAGATCTTTAACTTATTTATATCTACAAAGAACTTTTTTCCAAATAAGTTCATGCTCATAGGGTGCAGAGGTTAGGATGAGGACAGGTCTTTTGGGGGGCCACCATTCAACCCACTACAGATGTTGATATGGCTTGGCTGTGTCCCCACCCAAATCTCATCTTGAATTGTAGTTCCCATAGTCCCCACATGTTGTGGGAGGGACCCAGTGGAAAGTAATTGAATCGTGGGGGCAGTTTCTCCCATGCTATTCTCATGATAGTAAGTTCTCACAAGATCTCATGGTTTTATAAGGGGCTTCCGCCTTTGCTTAGCTCTCATTCTTCTCTCTCCTGTCATTGTGTGAAGAAGGATATGTTTGCTTCCCCTTCCACCATGATTGTAAGTTTCCTGAGGCCTCCCCAGCCACGCTGAAATGTGAGTCAATTAAACCTCTTTCCTTCATAAATTACCCAGTCTCAGGTATGTCTATTAACAGCAGGAGAATGGACTAATATAGTCGGTAAACAGGACAAATATTGGTCATTTTTAAACGAAAGAGTTACTTGATGAACTCTGCACTTAATGGTTAAAGATTAAGCCGAAGGTAGTGTTCAGGGAAGAGATAAAGACAGGAGGGGGCTTCTGGTGAAAGCTCTTGCCAAAGTAACCTACGGGATGATGAAAATATGGACCGATGTAGCCACTGCAGGAAAGAGGAGGAAGTAATGCATATGAAAGACCTTATTTTTTAAAAAATCAATCTTGTTCTCTCCAACAACATGGAAAGAGCATAAGTTTTTGAGTCATATGACCCACGTATAAGCCCCAGTTTGTATACTGACTAGCTATGTACGTTTGGTCAAGCTCTTAGTTTTAGTCTTTTTATCTGTAAGTTGAGGGTAATGGCAAACCTGCTTATTGCATAGGTTTATAGCAAAGTTCAAATCAGATACCACACAGCACTGGTTGTGTGCTGTGACAGTATACCACGTGGCCACATGGTGGCGATTTGCAATTCTGACTACACATGGACATCCCTTGAAGCTTTAGAAAAATAAAGATGCCTGAGTTTGCCCTAGACCTACTGAATTAGGAACAGCAGTTTTAAAAACTCCTTGAGTCATACTGCTGCCCAGTTAAAGGAGAAATTCACTGTGGAAGGACATGGTATTAAGATATAATATCCATAAAGAAAATGAACATAGTCTTCACCTTAGAAAGACCATGTAGTGGCCTGAAGCAAACTGGGGTTCAACTCTCCTCCTTTAAAAAAAAAAAAACTTATGAACATCCTTATAAATCAGGAATTATGATTATTATGGATTCATTTTGTATTTTTAGTAGAGACAGAGTTTCACCATGTTGGCCAGGCTGGTCTTGATCTCCTGACCTCAGGTGATCCACCCGCCTCGTCTCCCACAGTGCTGGGATTACAGGCATGAGCCACCATGCCCGGCCAATTATTATTAATTTTAATATTATCACTAATTATTCAGTTTCATGTAAACATAAAACAAGTTCCAGTTTAATTCTAACTAAGAATTTGAAATATCCGAGCCTGTTTATCCAGCCACTGGGACAGGACACCCAAAGTCTACTTGCTGGGGTCTGAGGAGCTTCCTGGGAGATAACGCATCCAAACAAAAGAAAGATCCTGGTACGAAAAGTTTCACCTCATAAGAAAGATTTAGCCATCAGAAAGGAAGGAGGGTGATTCAAATACAACGTAGGATCTGTTTCTTAATGACATTTACTTCCTGAGCTTCTGCTAGTTTCCCATGGCTTTGTGTAACAGTCCTGTGGTGCACACACAGTGAACCCGAAAAACCAAAACGCTTGTTTTACTAAGGAATGAACAAAAAGCTCTGCAAGACAATGAAGAACAAGCAGCACTGCTTGGAGGCTGCCTTTAAATAAAGGAAAAGTGGAAGGAGAATGGCTGTATTTTATTCTTCCAAAAGGAATTTCCTGCAGTTTTAACTCCTCAAAGAATTCAGAGCCTTGGCCTCAGAAAGGAGGAAGAGGGTAGATGGAGGAGGGGAGGGAGAGGGAAAGAGAGAGAGAGAGAGAATGCAATGAGAACAATCTTATCAAATAACACAGTCAGACAGGGAGACATACTTCCAAAAACGCATTTCATAGATTGTGTGAGTCTTCAGGAGCAGGAGCTGAAGGGACTTCAAATGGATAAGGACAATTTCAGCCTAGGAAACCCAGGTTAAAGGATATTTTACAATTCCTGACATAAGCACTGATTAGAGTAACATACAGGGAAGAAAAACAAGTTTAGTTTATAAAGGTTTGTGTGTACAACGCAGAACATAAATCCAGATCCAGTATCACCGTCCTGCACTCCTGGAAGCATCGCAATCTTGACAGTTGCAGCTAGGAAGCACAAGAGGGCGCCAGAGAAGGTGGAAATGTTTTATTTTCCCGGGTACCATTCAGTGTTGGAAAATCCCCTTTGATCTATTTTTTTCCTTTTTTACCATTAATTCTAGTTAACTCCTTTTATCTTTATTTATAAGCATGCTTACTATTAGTTCTCTTGGCTTTTTTAAGAAATGGAATGACTATGAGCCTTAAGTTTATTGGCTAATATTTCATTATTAACTTGGTTAAGTTGAGGGGTGGGATAGTTCACAAGTGAAAAAGCTAAAATAAGTAAGCAGTTTGGGAGAATGCAGAAGGGAAAGAAGTTGCTAGTGATGGATTAATTAAATAAATTAACATTTACTGGTTGGGTGCCCAGTCGTGTGTTAAACCCTATGGGTAGAAAGATAAAATGCACTCACAAATTTTCATCGAAACATCAGAAGTTAAAATTTCATAATACCTTATTTTCCCTATTTGAAACTCTCCTTATCCTCTTCACCTCTTCATCTGTTAATCTCTTCAGAAGAACTATCTGTAATAGTTAAGCACAAAGGCTTTGGAGTAAGACAGCTGAGTTCAGTTCCCAGTTCTTTCACTTTCTGGCGATTAACTTCCTTGTGCCCTACTTTCCTCGTCTGTAAAATGGGATGATAACAGCACCAACCTCATTGGGTGGTGTGAAGATTAAATGAGATCATCCACGTAAAGTGCTTGGAATTGTGTGATATTTAAGAGTGCAGTCTCTATTATTATTACTATTATTTGAGACAGTCTCTGTCACCCAGGCTGGAGTGCAGTAGCTCGATCTCAGCTCACTGCAACCTCAGCCTCCTAGATTCAAGCAATTCTCCTGCCTCAGCCTCTTGAGTTAGCTGGGATTACAGGCATGAGCCACCACACCAGGCTAATTTTTGTATTTTTAGTAGAGATGGGGTTTCACCACGTTGGCCAGGCTGGTGTCAAACTCCTGACCTCAGGTTATCCTCCCACCTTGGCCTCCCAAAGTGCTGGGATTACAGGCATGTGCCATCACGCATGGCTAATTTTTTGTATTTTTAGTACAGATGGGATTTCACCATGTCGGCCACGCTGGTCTCGAACTCCTGACCTCAAGTGACCTCCCGCCTCGGCCTCCCAAAATGCTGGGATTACAGGTGTGGCCTGGCCTTTTTTTTTTTACTTTTTTCCTTTTCCTCGAGAGAGGGTATTGCTCTATGGCCCAGGCTGGAGTGTAGTGGTTTGATCATGGCTCACTACAACCTCAACTTCCCAGGTTCGAGGGACCCTCCCACCTTAGCGTCTGGCATAGCTGGGACTATAGGTGGCACCGCCATACCCAGCTAATTTTTTTTTTTTTTTTAATAGAGACAGGGTCTCACTATGTTATCCTGGCTGGTCTGGAACTCCTGGACTCAAGCAATCCTCCCACCTTGGCCCTCCCAAACTGCTGGGATTGCAGGTATGAGCTACCATGCCTGGCCCGCTATTTGTTCTTGTTCAGGTACTACCCATTCGTAGGATTCCAACTGCAATAATAAATTCAAACAACTACAGAGCTGGAAAGGAAATAATATCTAATCTAATTCTCTCATCTTATAAATGAGAAAATGAAAGTTTGCCACTTGCTAGCTGTGTAAGATGGAAAAGTTCTTCACCTTTCCAATCCTGTAAAAGGGAATAATGAGCCTCAACATTCTCTTGAAGCTGTTGAGAGAATTAAATGAGGTAATGTACATAAAGCTGTCAATATCACACAAAGTCACTGCTCAGTTCTTCCATACTAGGGTATGGTAAAAAAACAAAACAAAACAAACAAAAAACACAAGACACTCCAGCCAACTACAAACCCTAGCCTTTCAAGAAAAGATGGTCAAGCAGTTTCAGATTTTACAATCATCCTTCTCACCAAACCAAATGAATGACACCCGGAAAGACTATGCAGGCTGTACTCACACAAAGGAAGGGCACTCCCTCATACCTCAAACTTTAAAGTGGCAGCTGGAGATCAAAGAGCTTGGAAATTAAAACACAGCCTAGACCTCTCCCTTCTAGGGAGGAAGAAGAGTCTAGAGACTGAAAGGCAGACAGCCAGGAGGAAAAGACATGGAATGTTCCTTGAGGCTAAATTCCCTCTTGGCAATGACATTAGAAGAGCTGAGCTAAGAAACATATTTTTCTCCCAGTTTAAAAGAAAGCTGGGGAGAAGGGCTGAGGAATGAATGCCTTATTCAGTCGTCTCAGATTGTGAGCAGAAGCTTGGGTGGGTGCAGGTGAACATCCCACTAGAAAGCAAACTCCATGAAGACAGGAGTTGTATCTGTTTGGTTCATTACTATATTCCTGCCACCTGGATTAGTGCCTGGCACTTGGCGGATGCTCAGTAAATATTGAGTAAATATATCGAGACACTCCTTAGAGTAGGGAAAAGTGCAAACCTATTTTTGGAGCTTGGGGAATGCAAAAATAAATTTTAATGAAATTATATATATTTTCTTAAAAATTCATGCAAATTTTATGCTGTGTCATCTATTGGTGTTTATTTTTACATCAATGAGTGACAACACTTGTAGCAGACAGCTGTACTGTTTTATCCAGCATCGATTCCTTATTTCCTTTGTGGCCCGCCCCTTCCCATTCCCCGTCCTGCAGGTGACTCTAGCAGCAATTCTACTTTCAACTCTAAGGCTGGGCCTATGATTCACTTCTAGCCAGTCTGAACGTTTCCTTCCCCGACAACAGCGATTGTTTTAGGGTTAGGCACATTACTCAATCAGACCTCATGTGACATAATTCCTATTTGGCTGTTAACCATGAAAAGAGATGCACTGTCTTCCCTACTGGACCTGGACCTGTGCGGGTATTTGTCTGTGTAGGAGAGGAAAACCAACCTTTCCTTCTATCCTTCTAAGTTCTTAGCTGAAGCCCCTATAACCAAGGACAGATTAACAAGAGAAAGTCATATGAATGTATTTAAGATGTTTTATGTGACATGGAAGCCTTCATTAGGAAATAAAGACCCAAAAAGGAGGTTAAAGACAGTCCCAATAAAAATATGAGCCGTCAGGTTTTAGCTCTCCGTGGTGCCATTTTAGGAGGCTAGAGAAAAATGTGAAACATTAATTTGAAGAGCTGTAGACAGATATTGGAGGAAACTAGAAGATTCAGGACTCAGTTTATAGGTAGATAACAAAACCTTAAAGACAATGAACAAGACTAAAATGGAATACTCACAAAGCTGTGCTACAGGTTTCCATTGAAACATAATTTTTCTCTCTACAATCACCTCCATTTCTCTAAAAAATAATCAAAGTGAAACTAATTTGTTTGCAAAAGGAGCCTAGTCTCATTAAACTTGGTCGGATTGTTGACAATACTACAGCAAGAATAGTGACTGACCACATAGGTCCCTTTCTTTTAGTTCGCTTTGCTAAAACTTTGCATAAAAAAATCTCAGATTAGACTTTTAAAAGCCTCTTAAGGCTAGGAAGCCATGCCAGGGACTTGCCATCAGACCTTGCCTGCAATCTCTGCATATTTAGGCAAATTCCTCTTTTCTTAAGGTTCCCCCAATATTATGAAGTTCCTGGGCCTGCAAGAACTGAAAAGACAACATGAAGCACAGGAAATTATTTTGATCAGACACAAATCTTTGTTTGCTAGGCAGGTTACTTAAAAGGTAAAGAAAAGCCATTTTACAATTTCTTTTTAAGAGAAGACCCATAATCCAAAAAACCATCATTTTACTGTTGCATCATACATTTATGACACTAACATTCTTTTTTTCCCTTTTTCTTTTCTTTTCTCTCTTTCTTTCTTTTTTTTTTTTTTTTTTTTTTTTTTTTTTTTTTGGAGACAGGGTCTTGCTCTGTTGCCCAGCCTAGAGTACAATGACACAATCACTGCTCACTGCAGCCTCACCCTTCCAGGCTCAAGCGATCCTTCCACCTCAGCCTCCTGAATAGCTGAGACTGTCGGAATGCACCACCACACTTGGCTAATTTTTTTTACTTTTTATTTTGTAGAGATGGGGTCTTGCTATGTTGACCAGGCTGGTCTCAAACTCCTTGTCTCAAGTGATCCTTCCACCTCAGCCTCCCAAAATGCTGGGATTACAGGCGTGAGCCACCATGCCAGCCTCATCTCACATTTCTTATAGGTATATGCTGTTTCCTCATAGTACAATTTCTCATATTTATTAGCAGACTCAAATATATTTAGATTCTCTATACTGCATAAAAACAAGATGACAGAAGTATACAAACTTAAACTTATATTCAGCAATTAATGTTTCATTGTTTCATCTTATTTGGAAATGATCTAGATGTTCAATGAATACTCATAATTTAACTTAACTTACTAAAGCTTTAAGGTTTCAAATTACCAAAAAGAGTGGAAACTATTTTTAAGTAGACATATTAAAAACCATAATTTATACATCATAATTATTGCTGAAAAGTTCATTTACAAACTTTTATCCCACTTACAGTAATTCACTTGTTCTTAGTAATTATGCTTGAATTGCTCATGAAAATTTCATGAGATATTAAACACAGCCATCACCTCAAATTATTTTTTGTTTTTGCTGACAAATCAGGCAAATATCAAAAATATCACAGGAGCAAAGAACCTAAAAAGTTAAACATATAGCTTTTTAAAATTTTACTGCTGTACTTGATATATGTCAAGCAATTCATTTTTATTGTATATTTTGTTCTGAGGTTGGATTTATAGTCTTACAATCTTAACTAACCCAGTAAAGATAACTAAAGCTTGTTTGACTAGTAAAGCTAGGTAGAAAATATGTCTGCATTATATTTAATGCTGACAACTCTAAAGGCATATTTATTTTCTTTAACTAAACCAACAATATTTTTATTTACCAAAGATTACCCAGGGCACATGAACTTGAAAATCATTTGAGTTAGTTCCTATATTTCTGAGAGAATACATAATTTATATGAGTATTTTTTAAAGCTGATTAAATAGAACTCTTTTACAAATTAATTTTGGAAATACCATTCAGAGCTAGAAAAATATCACACGTACATAACATTACATGCCAGACACATACATACACATATAAACATATGTACAGATACAAAAAGATCTTATCGCTTTCATTCTAAATCTTAGCAATGAGTTAGATATAAACACAGAAACACAAAATTCACTAATCTACCAAAGAGTTGATTTTCATTTTTGTCTTATTTTTGTAATGCAAATTATGTTTTTGGCAGATGGAACAAGTTAAGGTTACCTACACAATGATGGCTAAAGGAATTTATTTTATTTTATTTTACTTTAAGTTCCAGGATACATGGGCATAATGTGCAGGTTTGTTACATAGGTATACACGTGTGCCATGGTGGTTAGCTGCACCTATTGACCTGACATCTAGGTTCCCTCCCCTTGCCTGCCACCCCCCAAAAGGCCCTGGTGTGTGTCATTCCCCTCCATGTGTCCATGTGTTCTCATTGTTCAGCTCCTACTTATGAGTGAGAACATGCAGTGCTGGTTTCTGTTTTTGTGTTAGTTTGCTGAGGATGATAGCTTCCAGCTTCATCCACGTCCCTGCAAAGGACATGATCTCATTCCTTTTTACGGCTGCATAATATGCCATGGTGTATATGTACCACATTTTCTTTATCCAGTCTATCATTGATGAGCATTTGGGTTGGTTCCATGCCTTTGCTATTGTAAATAGTGCTGCAATAAACATACATGTGGATGTGTCTTTACAGTAGAATGATTTGCATTTCTTTGGGTATATACCCAGTAATGGGATTGCTGGGTCAAATGGTATTTCTAGTTCTAGATCCTTGAGGAATCGCCACACTGTCTTCCACAATGGTTGAACTAATTTACATCCCACCAACAGTGTAAAAGTTTTCCTATTTCTCCACGGCCTCACCAGCATCCATTGTTTCTTGACTTTTTAATAATCACCATTCTGACTGGTGTGAGATGGTATCTCACTGTGGTTTTGATTTGCATTTCTCTAATGATCAGTGATGTTGAGCATTTTTTCATATGTTTTTTGGCCACATAAATGTTTTCTTTTGAGAAGTGTCTGTTCATATCCTTTACCCACTTTTTGATGGGGTTGTTTGTTTCTTGTAAATTTGTTTAAGTTTCTTGTAGATTCTGGATATCAGACCTTCGTCAGATAGGTAGATTGCAAAAATTTTCTCCCATTCTGTAAGTTACCAGTCCACTTTGATGATAGTTTCTTTTGCTGTGCATAAGCTCTTTAGTTTAATTAGATCCCATTTGTCAATTTTGGCTTTTGTTGCAATTGCTTTTGGCATTTTCGTCATGAAGTCTTTGCCTATGCCTATGTGCTGAATGGTATTGCCTAGGTTTTTTTCTAGGGTTTTTATGGTTTTGTGTTTTACATGTGAGTCTTTAATCCATAGCAAGTTAAGTTTTGTATAAGGTGTAAGGAAGGGGTCCGGTTTCAGTTTTCTGCATATGGCTAGCCAGTTTTCCCAGGACCATTTATTGAACAGGAAATCCTTTCCCTGTTGCTTGTTTTCGTCAGGTTTGTTGAAGATCAGATGGTTGTAGATGTGTGGTGTTGTTTCTGAGGTCTCTGTTCTGTTCCATTAGTCTATACGTCTGTTTTGGTACCAGTACCTGCTGTTTTGGTTACTGTAGACTTGTAGCATAGTTTGAAGTCAGGTAGCATGATGCCTCCAGCTTCATTCTTTTTACTTAGGATTGTCTTGGCTATATGGGCTCTTCTTTGGTTCCATATGAACTTTAGTTTTCTCTAATTCTGTGAAGAATGTCAATGGTGGTTTGATGGGAATAGCATTGAATCTATAAATTACTTTGGGCAGTATGGCCATTTTCACAATATTGATTCTTCCTTTCCATAAGGATGGAATGTTTTTCCATTTGTGTCCTCTCTTATTTCCTTAAGCAGTGGTTTGTAGTTCTCCTTGAAGAGGTCCTTCTCATCCCTTGTTAGCTGTATTCCTAGGTATTTTATTTTCTTTGTAGCAATTGTGAATGGGAGTTCATTCATGATTTGGTTCTCTGCTTGTCTATTGTTGGTGAATAGGAATGCTTGTAATTTTTGCACATGGATTTTGAGACTGAGACTTTGCCGAAGTTGCTTATCAGCTTAAGAGTTTTGGGGCTGAGATGATGGGGTTTTCTAAATATAGAATCCTGTCATCTGCAAACAGAGACAATTTTACTTCCTCTCTTCCTATTTGAATACGCTTTATTTCTTTCTCTTGCCTGACTTCCCTGGCCAGAACTTCCAATACTATGTTGAAAAGGAGTGGTGAGGGAAGGCATCCTTGTCTTCTACTGGTTTTCAAAGGGAATGCTTCCAGCTTTTGACCATTCAATATGATACTGGCTGTGGTTTTCTCATAAGTAGCTCTTATTATTTTGAGATATGTTCCATCAGTACCTAGTTTATTGAGAGTTTTTAACATGAAGGGATGTTGAATTTTATCAAAGGCCTTTTCTGCATCTATTGAGATAATCATGTGGCTTTTGTCACTGGTTTTGTTTATGTGATGGATTATGTTTATTGATTTATGTATGTTGAATCAGCCTTGCATCCCAGAGATGAAGCTGACTTGATAGTGGTGGATAAGGTTTTTGATGTGCTGCTGGATTCAGTTTGCCAGTATTTTATTGAGGATTTTTGTATCAATGTTTATCAGAGATATTGGCCTGAAGTTTTCTTTTCTTTTCTTTTTTTTTTTGTGTGTGTATCTCTGCCAGGTTTAGGTATCAGGATGATGCTGGCTTCATAAAATGAGTTGGGGCGGAGTCTCTCCTTTTCAATTATTTGGAATAGTTTCAGAAGGAATGGTACCAGCTCCTCCTTGTACCTCTGGTAGAATTAGGCTGTGAATCCTTCTGGTTCTGGGCTTTTCTTGGTTGGTAAACTATCAATTACTGCCTCAATTTCAGAACTTGTTATTGGTCTATTCAGGGATTCGACTTCATCATGGTTCAGTCTTGGGAGGGTGTATGTGTCCAGGAAGTTATCCATTTCTTGTAGATTTTCTAGTTTATTCGCATAGGGGTGTTTATAGCAATCTCTGATGGTAGTCTCTATTTCTGTGGGATCAGTGGTGATATCCCCTTTATAATTTTTTATTGTATCCATTTGATTCTTCTCTCTTTTCTTCTTTATTAGTCTAGCTAGCAGTCTATCCAATTTGTTATTTTTTTCAAAAAACCAATGAAAACCTGGATTCATTGTTTTTTTGGAGGGTTTTTCATTTCTATCTTCTTCAGTTCTGCTCTGATCTTAGCTATTTCCTGTCTTCTGTCAGGTTTTGGATTTGTTTGCCCTTGTTTCTCCAGTTCTTTTAATTGTGATGTTGAGGTGTTGATTTGAGATCTTTCTAGCTCTCTGATGTGGGCATTTAGAGTTATAAATTTCCCTCTTAACACTGCTTTAGCTGTGTCCCAGAGATTCTGGTATGTTGTCTCTTTGTTCTCATTGGTTTCAAAGAACTTCTTAATTTCTGCCTTAATTTCATTATTTACTCAGGAGTCATATTGTTCATTTTCCATGTAATTGTGTGGTTTTGAGTGAGTTTCTTAATCCTAAATTCTAATTTGATTGCACTGTGGTCTGAGAGACTGTTATGGTTTCAGTTCTTTTGCTTTTGCTGCAGAGTGTTTTACTTCCAATTATGTGGTCAATTTTAGAATAAGTGCCAGTAGCACTGAGAAGAATGTATATTCTGTTGATTTGGGGTGGAGAGTTCTGTCGATGTCTATTAGGTCCATTTGTTTCAGAGCTGAGTTAAAGTCCTGAATATCCTTGTTAATTTTCTGTCTCATTGATCTAATATTGACAGTGGGGTGTTAAAGTCTCCCACTATTATTGTGTGGGAGTCTAAGTCTCTTTGTAGGTCTCTAAGAACTTGCTTTATGAATCTGGGTGCTCCTGTATTAGGTGGGTATATATTTAGGATAGTTAGCTCTTCTTGTTGAATTGATCCCTTTACCACTATGTAATGCCTTTCTTTGTCTTTTTTGATCTTTGTTGTTTTATAGTCTGTTTTGCCAGAGACTAGGATTTGCTTGGTAAATTTTCCTCTATCCCTTTATTTTGAGCCTATGTGTGTCTTTGCAAGTGAGATGGGTCTTCTGAATATAGCACACCAAAGGGTCTTGACTCATTATCAAATTTGCCAGTCTGTGTCTTTTGATTGGGTCATTTAGCCCATTTACATTTAAGGTTAGTATTGTTATGTGTGAATTTGATCCCGTCATCATGATGCTATCTGGTTATTTTGCACACTAGTTGATGTAGCTTCTTCATAGTGTCATTGGTCTTTATATTTTGGTGTGTTTTGCAGTGGTTGGTACTGGTTTTTCCTTTCCATATTTAGTGCTTCCTTCAGGAGCTCCTGAAAGGCAGACTGGTGGTAATGAAATCCCCCTGCATTTGCTTGTCTGGAAAGGATTTTGTTTCTCCTTTGTTATGAAGCTTAGTTTGGCTGGCTATGAAATTCTGGGTTGAAAATTCTTATCTTTAAGAATGTTGAATATTGGCCCCAACCCTCTTCTGGCTTGTAGGGTTTCTGTTGAGACATCTGCTGTTACTCTGATGGGCTTCCCTTTGTAGGTGACCTGGCCTTTCTCTCTGGCTGCCCTTAACATTTTTTCCTTCATTTCGATTTTGGAGAATCTGCTGATTATGTGTCTTGGGATTGATCTTCTCATGGAGTATCTGAGTGGTGTTCTCGGTATTTCCTGAATTTGAATATTGGCCTGTCTTGCTAGATTGGGGAAGTTCTCCTGGATAATATCCTGAAGTGTGTTTTCCAGCTTGTTTGCATTCTCCCGTCTCCTTCAGGTACTCCAATCAATCATAGGTTCGGCCCTTTTACATAGTCCCATATTTCTCGGAGGCTTTGTTCATTCCTTTTCATTTCTCTAATCTTGTCTGCATGCCTTATTTCAGCAAGGTGTTCTTCAAACTTTGATATCCTTTCTTCCACTGGGTTGATTTGGCTATTGATACTTGTGTATGCTTCATGAAGTTCTCATGCTGTGTTTTTCAGCTCCATCAGGTCATTTGTGTTCCTCTCTAAACTGGTTATTCTAGTTAGAAGCTCCTCTAACCTTTTATCAAGGTTCTTAGCTTCTTCGCATTGGGTTAGAACATGCTCCTTTAGCTCAGCAAAGTTTGTTATTACCCACCTTCTGAAGCCTACTTCTATCAATTCACCCATCTCATCCTCTGTCCAGTTCTGCACCCTTGCTGGAGAGGTGTTGCAACAATTTGGAGAAGAAGAGGCACTCTGGCCTTTTGGGTTTTCACTGTTTTTTCGTTGACTCTTTCTCGTCTTCATGAGTTTGTCTAGTTTTGATATTTGAGGCTGCTGACCCTTGGATGGAGTTTTCATGGGCACTTTTTTTTGTGTTGTTGATGCTGTTGTTGCTTTCTGTTTGTTTGTTTTCAATGGTCAGTTCCCTCTTCTGTAGGGGTGCTGCAGTTTGCTAGGGGTTCACTTCAGGTCCTATTCATCTGGTTCGCTCCCATGCCTGGAGATGTCACTCAGTGAGGCTGGAGAACAGCAAAGATGGGTGCCTGCTCCTTCCTCTGGGATCACTGACCTCGAGAGGCATCAACCTGATGCCAGTAGGATCACTCCTGTATAGGGTGTCTGACAACCCTTATTGGAGTGTCTCACCCAGTTGGGTGGCATGGGGAACAGGACCCTTTTAATGAAGCACTTTGTCCCTTGGTGGAGGGAGTGTGCTTCCCTGGGGGGAAACCCACTTGCCTGGGCTGCCTGGATTCCTCAGAACTAGCAGAAGGAAAGGTTAAGTCTGCTGGTCTGCAGAGACTGTGGCCAATCCTCCCCATAGGGGCTTAAGCCTAGGGAGATCAGAGTTCTGTCCCTGAGATCCTGGCTGGAGTTGCTGGAGTTCCTGCAGGAAGGCCCCGCCCAGTGAGGAGGGATGGGTCAGGGTCAGGCCTGAAAAGGCGGTCTGGCTATAGTCTGCCTCAGCTGGTGTGTTGGGTTGTGGGGCACGCCTCTTGGGAGCAAGCCATCCTGCCTCCCTGGCTCCAGCGGGGGCCGGGCGGGGGGGTGGGGGCGGTGTGAAGCGCAGCCTGGAGCTATAGAGATGGCTTGCGTCCTACTCCTGCCCAGGGAGCTTAGCGTGTTAGGCAGTTATCAGTCCCAGTGCTGGCTGCCGCCCCTCCCCCAAGGAGCTCAAAGGGCTTAGACAGTAGGCAGCCGCAGCTGTGGTGATGGTTGCCCCTCCCCGCAGGAACTCAGCAGGCTTAAGCAGATTTTAGCTTACTGGCTGTTGAGAATCTGCATGGCTCCATGGTTGGGACCCTAGGCCCCGGTGGCATGGGTTCATGAGTGGGATCTTCCGATCCGTGGGTTGCACAGTTCCGTGGAAAAAGCACGGTTTCCCCGCTGGGTAGCACACTCGCTCACCACCTCCCTTGGCTGGGGGATGGGTGCTCCCCCGGCCCGTGTGGCTCTAAGGTGAGCTGCTGCAACACACTGCTCTTCCTTCCTCTCTGTGGGTCATGCTAGCCACCTAGTCAGTTCTAATGAGAGAACCTCGGTTGCTGGTGCAGGATTTGCACGCTATTATGGTTCTTTTAAATGGGAACCTCCGATCGCCACTGCTTCTACTTGGCCTTCTTGGCCCCACCCCCAGGAATTTTTTAACCAATATTTGTGGAAAAATATGTTTAAATTCTCATTTGCCCTGACATGTAATCTTATGCAGGCTGTGAACTACATTCTAGGCAAGTGACTAGAAGACATCTAGCAGTTATCTGTGTGCATGTGTGTGTGTGAGTGTGTGTGTGTTTCAAGAGACGGAAGCTACTATGTTGCCCAAGCTGGTCTTGAACTCCTGACCTCAAGCCATCCTTCCACCTCAGCCTCCCAAGTAGCTGGGATTTCAGGTATGTGTCACCACACTGGGCTCTATCTGGATATTTTCAAAGCACATCTGAGTGGATAAAATAGACTATTTCCAATTAGGCTTTTTCCTTTTCAGCCTCAGATACTTGCTTTTGGGGGCCCTCGAGTCTCTTGAGAGCAGAGGAGCTGAAGGTTCAAGTGACTGAGGGGCTGGGGTGGAAAAAGGTCTGGCAGAGATGGACAGAAGAATGGAGGAGGTAGGAGCTTGAAGGGGGACATATCAAAGGATTCAGGAAACTGAATGGAAGATTGAAAGTGGCAAAAGGATGAAGGAGGAGCAGAAGCAAAGGGAAGGCAGAAACTTCAGAGGGGCCAGTTTTGGGAGATCTTAAGTTTCCCCAAGGAGCCAATGGAGTTCCAAATTATCCTCAGCAAAATTGTGCCAACAAGAAGGAGGTGGACATCTAGTCAGCAGGGGCTTGAGAAGGGGATTTCAGTTAAGTGAGAAGTTCCCATGGGAGGAGCAGGATTAAACAGAGAAAACAGAGAAGACTTAAACAAAATTGGTTCCATTAGGCCCTGAATATCAGCTTCCAATTAGGCCAATTTCTGACCATAGATCTTTAAAAAAAAAATTCTTTCAAATATCTTATTATCAAGTTTTAGCTGGGACAAACAGTAAATATCTCTGGCAATACTGAACTTCTTTTTAAAATAATTTTTTTGAAACTAAAGGTATCTATTTCAAGTGACTCAAAACAAAAGCCAATAAGCCTTTTATGACTTACAACCAACAAGACTTTTATAGCTTAACCGTGGACGCAAGAGTCATCTTCAAAGAGAGTGCAAAAAAGGCAGCCTTTCAAGATCCAGACCACTCCCAAAGATAGCCACAAGAAAGACAGACTTAGATGGCCCTTCTTGAGGGCTGGCAACAGTCAGTAAGACATTAGCGGAGAATGAGATGCAACCTACATTTCCATCAGGCCATATTCTCAGGGCCAACAACCTGATGGTTGACTGTCTGCACATTTCCCTGGCAGGCAGAAAGCCAAGCCAAGCTCTCAGGATGCAAAATGAGATAACTAGGAAAGCAGTAGCTGTCTCTGGCATGGAAAGAATCAGTAAACAAGATGTACCTCAAAACCAAGTTAGCCAAATGTGCAAGAATCATAATCCAAAGAACTAATGTTTGCAAGTTTTTCTTCTGCAAATATGAATATGGAAAAGAAAAAGTGACAAGGAGAAATTTTTACCTTTGTCTCTTAACTGGGTGCTACAAACAGAGATCTGAGAAAGCTGACTTTGGGAGAATGCTTACCTTTTTCTGGCTTTTGTCAGTTTCCCTGGATCCCATCAGCAGGATCTGAAATGAGTGAGGTGTCCAGCCGTCCCTTTGTGGTCACCAGAAACTGTAGGGGAGGAAAAATTTCTTTTTATCCTTCTAAGTTCTCAGCTGGGGCCTCTGTAACAAAAGGCAGATTAAGAAGAGAAAAGCATACAAATTTATTTAATGTAAATTTTATGTGACAAGGGAGTCTTCACAAGGAAATGAAGATCAGAAGTGGTTAAACCTGAGCGTTTTTTGATTTGTCATTTTAAGACGGAGTCTCGCTCTGTCACTCAGGCTGGAGTGCAGCGGTGCAGTCTCAGCTCACTGCAACCTCCACCTCCCACGTTCAAGTGATTCTCCTGCCTCAGCCTCCTGGAGTAGCTGGGATTACACGCACCTGCCACCATGCGCGGCTAATTTTTTTTTTTTTTTTTGTATTTTTAGTAGAGATGGGGTTTTGCCATGTTGACTGGGCTGGTCTTGAACTCCTGACCTCAAGTGATCCACCCACCTCGGCCTCCCAAAGTGCTGGATTATAGAAGTGAGCCACTGCTCCCGACCAAACCTGAGTGTTTTTATGCTAGGTTTGAAAAGTCATGGAAAGTTAGGAAAGTTGTGGGAAAATGTGATAGGACAAAAGTAACAAACTGGGGGAAATTTAGCAAGACCTGTTCATTCATATTTCTTTTGGTGTCCCTTCATCTTTAGGAATATGGATATTCCTTTCCTCCGGGTATAGAGTAAGGTACCTCTCACCTGAAGGTCTATAACCTGCTTCAGGATAGAAGGGCAAGGGAAAGTCAGAGAGTTCCTCCTACTGTTTCTCAAATTACTTCAGCTTAAAAATATTCAATATGCCAAGCTCCTATATTTTGGGGTAATGTGTCTTTGGGGTAGGCATCCTGAACTCCATTATCTCATGTAAGCCATCATGCCACCTTGGGAAGATCTATCAAGGAGTGAGGGCAGAGCAGAAGTAAAGCGCAGTCAACCAACAGAGAGAGAAATTGGGTCCTAAGGCCTTGTTTGCTATGATTATGCAGGCCGGTAAATTCTTTTCTCATTGCAATCTCTTGCAACAGAAGTAATCCAAACTGACGTGGCAGTTATATTTATTAATTTCTTACTTTGTGTCTATCCCTGTGCTAAGCGCTTTCCATGTCTTATCTGTTTTATCTTCTAACTGTCATAATAGCTCTATTAAGTAGAAATGAGATAGGCACTACTATTTTGGGGAAACTGTAAAAACCATGAAATAACTCATCTGAGAGCACACAATTTGTAAACGGAACAATCAGAATTTGAATCCAGTTTCAGGCTTTTCTTATAAAACTAGTATTCCCAGAAATGACACAACTACTCCCTAATGTAATATACATGCTCTAAAAAATATGACCTTGGTTGGTTGTCGCTCTAGGTAAGAGTAGCACATTTCTATCTATTCAAAGTTTCATTGATTTCTCCTTTCTCTGGGTATTGGTCAGGGTCACCATAGTCGAAGCCACCAAAATTTATCTCTCATTTGCATATTGTGCTATATTACTTGCCAACTGTCTTACTAGAATGAACATTCTATGAAAGCAGGAACATTGTTTTGTTCACCGTTGCATCCCTAACACCTAGAACAGTACCTAATCACCAAGGCATTAAATAATATGTTGCATGAGTGAATGAACAAATGTGGATCAGCTTTCCTTGACTATATTGGACAACTTGGAGAGCAAGAGAATACTTGAGAATGTTACACGCTTGATAATATTGATCGGAATCCTTTTTGTATCTTCCATATCTTCATATTGTAGAGGCTGAATGCACTTGGTCACACATACATACATGCAGGCAGGTATGCACGCATGTTAACAGATAGATACGTCAACTGCACTCTTAAAACTCACTTGTTTCTCTCAGCTTCCACAGCAGGATCTGAGAGCATCTGGTTAGTGCCTTGAAACTGAATGTGAATGTTCCCAAACCCTGTTCTAGGCTCCTTTGCTAAGAGCAAAGCAGGGTCTACATTCTTGGCACTGTTGTGGTGGAACTGGCCCCAGCAGAGGAGCCTGAGAGATCTGAGGTCTCATCCTAGCTTTGCCACTTACTAGCTTTGTGGCCTTAGGCAGAGCCTTTTATGTCATTGTACCTCCATTTCCTTGGGCATAATACAGGAATAATAATTCAGACCCGTTTATCTCCCAGCTTTTTGTGAGAAGCAAATTCTATGGCTATGAGAAGACTGAAAAACCAAACAGGATATTTAAGAGTATAAATTGGATTCATACCATTTCTGGGTAAAAGAGGTTAAAAATCTCATTTTGATGCCTAAATCCCTTATATTTATTGACTGTGTGGGTAGCACAGGATTTGACTGAATGCAAATTGAAAGCAATTTAGCCAAATGATTTGGAAGAAAGAAATCTGGTTGAAATTAGTTGGCTCATAAAACAGATTGGTCAAAATAACAGTTTGATAAAGAAAACTTGATTTTCCCAATTATTGGTTTTACAATAATTGGTTATTTGGTTTTACTTTGATGGGGAAGTCTTTTCCCATCTTTTGATATTATTTTTTGCCTTAAGGAATTTCTTAGACTTTTAAAAATTTTACCTGTTTAAGTCATTTTAAGGACATTTTTGATTTGGGTCTTTCATCAGTTTGGCCATGTATCAAATGTTCCTCTCAGGAGATCTTACTAGCATCCATTAATTATTTATAACTGGGAATTCATAATTGAATAATTAAAAAAATAGATTGCCGGAACACACTCAACTTCTCAGCTTGATAAATGTTGGAGTTTCCCTTTCAAACATTTGGACTCTCGGCAACTGGCTGCTTTTGGGTCCCTTTTACCACTTTTATGCAATTTGCTGTTAAGAGAGAGCAATGAAGGGGAGAAAATCTTGAGTGCAGGGGAGGAAGCAGTCAGGATTCCAGTGTGGACAAAGACACTATTATCGGCTAAGAGCCTTCTAAAACCTCCATTTAAATTTAAAACTAGCGGGCAAACTCAACTGTTGAAGTGGAAGAGGAAAGATTGGGTGGGAGGAAGGCAGTGAGGGGATATGCATCAAGCCGTAAACTCCGTGGAAAGCACAAGAGGGCGGTGTAACGCTAAATATTTCAACACCGACTGCTTGAAATCCTAACACTTGGACCTAAACATTACATTAAAATTCAAAGCCTTGAGATAAGAACTATAGCATCTATTTATGAGGCCATCAACAAAATACTTGCAAGTGGTTTTTTTCAGTGCTTTTACTAGGAAAAATTGAAATATACACACAAGTAGCAAGAGTTGTATATTGAATTCTCACGCCCATCACCCAGACAAAATAATCAGCAAGAGTTCACCACCTGTGCTTCATCTTGCCTTTCTTCTTTTCTCTAACTTTTTTTTGGAAGTATTTTAAAGCAGATCCCAGACAGCATGTTATTTTGTCCCTACCTAGTTCAGTTTGCATTCCTGAAAGGCATGGAGATTTTTCTATTTTACATAAATATAGGCCATTCTCACTCTTGACAAAGTTTCTTGTTATTTTAAAATATCCAATTCATTATCCAATAATTCCAGTTGTCTCTAAAATATTGTTTTCTAGTTTTGTTTGAATCCGTAACCAAACAAGGTCCATAAATTGTATTTGGTTGTTCTATTTCTTGTCTCTTTTAATCTAGATAGAACAATAGTCACCCTTTCCCTTACCCTCATGCTTTTTCTGATGCCACTATACATTCAAGAAAGATCCAGATTCTGGATTTGCCTGTTTGATTCTTCATAATGTTTAGAAGTAACTTTTTATATTTTTTTAAGCAAGAGTAAATAAATGTTGTATTCTTAATAGATCGTTTAGGATTCTTAGAGTATTTGGATTGCAGATCTTGGTTTTATGCTGTGTTACTCTTAAACTCAACAGCACAAACTATGAAGGCAGATAGAACCACGTTTAAATCCCAGCTTGGCTGTTTAATAGCTGAATATTCATCAATCTGAGCCTCAATTTCTTTATTTGTAAAGCAGATGTCTTGGGACATATGATTCTTGGGAAGATTAAATGACAATTTATGGTAAGCTCTTGGGACATAATAGCTGTACCATAATTGATAACTATTATTGATAATTGTTAATTTGATAGTTAATAATTGATAACTATTTGATAATTGATTACTATTATCACCAAACTGTATTTTCATAATGCTTACCATTTCTGAACAAGACAGGTAATACACAATCTGATGACAATAACAGACAGTTCATTTTCATTCTCAAGGGTGAAAAGTGTAATTAGTTTAGGTCTGCCACATTTATTCTCCTGCTGAAAATCATTTAATGACTATGGAAATCAGTATAACTCATTCAAATATAGAAATTAGTGTTCTGTGGAGCCATAGCAAATGAAAATGTCCTGTTATGTGTTAAGATGTTAAAGAAAGATTTATGAGTAGAGACTAGCAAGCCAAGAATTTATAAACCCATTTTTCTTGTCAAATCTCAGTACCTGATCCAATAACAACAGTAACCATAATAATAACAGCCCTTATTTTTCCAATTGACAAGACTGCCAAGCTCTAATTGATGAAAAGAATTCACCTGGTGATCCAACAGTCACCCTGCCATAATGTCAATCATAATAAATTGCAAGGCTGCAGATGAAGCACTCAGAAAATAAATATTGGCTGTTGAGGGTTTAAAGGAAAGAACACCTAGGACTGGAGAGTCACTGATGCTCCCGACTCCACTGGAGATGATTGTGTGAGATGTAACATTTAATACAAGTAGTAGTATTCTGCATGTTCAGAAAAATTTCGATCACCACTATTGGCATGGACTAATTCAGTCTAAAACAAAAATCCATTAGGGAATTGAAAGTAGAAGAACTTAAGTCTATTCTCAAATTGTGTATAAACAGAAAGAGGAGAGTGAAGTTAGCTGCTAATATTTTAAGTGTCTTTTATTGACCTGGAATAGTCTATTTACATACATTTTAAAAATCTTACATTTAAATTAAAATATAGCATTCTGCCTCCTATCCTTTTTGGTACAAATCCAACTACATGTAAATAAATAAAATAAAATGAAAATATACTAATTGCATTTTAAAATAACATGTGCTTATTATGTTAAATAATTGTGTATGCTTATTAAGAAAAAAGTCCAATACACAAGCATTTATTTGAAGGTAATATAATTTGGCAACAGTTTTGTTATTATGCTGATCCAATAAAAAATCAACCCTATAAATGCATGTTACGTTGGAGATGATGATTCACTCTTCCACAGTAACTTTGAAAGTATCTGCTTTAATTAGCACTGCTTATAACAAAAGCATCATTCTGTTTTCTAATGTGCTGTAAAAATGGATATCAAAATTATTCTCTTAAATGTATTGTACTTTTGTAGTGAAATTCATACTGCAAATATCTGACATGCAAGGACTATATATAAAGGACTATAAAATAAAGAACAAAAATGTGTTCCTTATAGGAAAGCTTGATTAGTTTCTACTTTTCTAACTAATGATTTACATCAAACCTACTGCAATCCAAAGAGACAAATGGTAATAAACTGGACAACTGTGGTCAGTGGCCACATAAATAACTTCATCTGCAAACCAAATCCCTCAATTTAAAATTGGATGGCTCTTTCCCTTGAAATTACAAGAAGGAGATCATACCCTTCCAACAAGGCCAACATGAATTCATTTGGTTGTTATTACTGTCTTTCTCCGGGCAACATAAACTGCCAGAGAATATTAGTCCTTTCGTAGTCATGTTTCAAAAGCAGACCTAATTGTTGGTAAAACATGCTAATTGTCAGAAACAGATGCTTGAAGATGGGTATGTCATTTTTGACAATGTAATCAAAGATCTTGTAATGATTATCTGCTCTTGAATTATGGATTCCAGAGTTCCAGAATTTCAGTGTTGGAGGGACCTTCAAGTCTCTTTTAGCTCTTCCTCTAGCGTCTACCCAGATTAAGCTGGAGACTCTTCTGATCTTGTAAAACTCCCCACAGATGAAGATTCTATTCTTTTTTTTTTTTTGTCTTTTTTTTTAAGACAGGGTCTCACTCTGTTGCCCAGGCTGGAGTGCAGTGACATGATCTCAGCTCTCTGTAACCTCCACCTCCCAGGTTCAGGCGACTCGCCTGCTTCAGCCTCCCGAATAGCTGGGACTACAGGCATGCGCCACCACGTCTGACTAATTTTTGTATTTTTAGTAGAGACAGGGGTTTCACTATATTTGCCAGGCTGGTCTCGAACTCTTGACCTCAAGTGATCTGCCCGCCTTGGCCTCCCAAAGTGCTGGGATTTCAGGTGTGAGCCACCGCGCCCAGCCGAAGACTCTATTCTTATCTTACTAATTGATTTCAAGAGTTTACTAACACAGATGTTTAAGTTCTTTCCCAGAGCCCAAAGTGAATCTGATATTTTTGTAGTAGTCTCCACAAACTTCCAAATGTGTACACCATGCTGTTGTAGAAAGAGCACTGAACTTGGAAGCAAAAGACCTGGATTTGACACTTCCTATTTGACCTTTGACAACTCCTTAATCTTTCTTGGGTTCAGTTTCCTTATTGGAACAGTGAAGCTAGTAATTCTTCACTAATCTATCTCAAAGGAAGTTGTGAGAATCAAATGAACAAAGATATGTAAAAACACATAACAATTGTAAAGTTGCAGACTTTTAAGTCTCATGATATTTAGGAAGTATAGAAAGAAGTAAAACTTTAGGTCTTAAGTATTTATTTTGCTACGGATTTTGGTTATGATTGTTTTCAGTTTACATTAGACATACCCTTTATGCAGGGGTCTGATCCCCAGGCCTAACATCTACAAAATTTCAACATCCATCCATCGCTTAGATTCTTTTTAAGCATATTGGGAGCTGTGAAGTCATATAAATTAAGCTGTTGCAAAAATGGTTAGTGCTATTCTATTAAGAATTACAGTGAACCACCTGTTTCAGAAAATCCTGAGGCTACATTGTTTAATGAGGGCTAGGCTGAGTAGTTTTTCTTGGAAACTATAAGGCATATCCTTTATGAATGAATCTAGTTTGCAAGGAACTTGACTACACAGAGAATCATCTGATCCTAACATGGTAGTCAGCATCCCCAACTCAAAAGACCATATTGAAATCAAAGAAGCAAGGAGAGTATCTGCCATTTGTATAGTGCAGTTTTCTAAGTTCTTCCATATATTACAAATAGAATGTGTAATATGACTTACATCATTGGAATAATCTCAGTAATTTGAGAAGTGGCAACAAAAAGTAAGGAAGTAAATGTCATAAGTTCAACCACTTAAATATCTTAAGGCAAAACTGTAGGGAGATTAAAAACACAGATGTAAAAAGTGTGTATCCAAACTCAGGTGTGATACTAACATCCATCAGAATACAAAGCTGTACCATTTATGCAATGGAGTGGAGATTTGTACCTTCTCCTCATTTGTTTCCTTTTTCTCATTCTAACTTTCCTTTGGAAAACCATCACTCATTGCCTAGCATCCATACACTTTGGGTGTTATAGACGTTATACTTTGGTCCTGGGGTGGGCTCTGATTGCTCTCAATCAATCTGGTTGATCCTTACTTCTTTGACATTATTCAGGATTGGTCTAAGCACAGTGAAACTCAGACCTGTGTTTGAAGGATGCGTAAAGCATCCTCTTTTCCAGGATGTGAAGGAGAAAGCCCAGTCTTCTGCTGTCAGCTATCTTAAGACTATGCCTGAAGCCCACCTAATGATAAGTTCACCCACACTGAAGAGCAGGGTGGAGAGGTGTGTGGAGAAAAGAGGTGAAGCCTAAACCATCTCATGGCTTATCAAGTATGAAAGCCAACACATTTTCTGCATATTTAAGCTACTTTGAAATGGATTTTCTCTTACTTGCAACCTAAATCACCCTAAATGATATATTTAATATACAAAGCACTTTTTGGTTTTGTTGTTGTTGTTTTGCTTTTTGAGGCAGGGTCTTTCTCTGTGTTATCTAGGCTAAGTGTAATGGTGTATCACTGCTCATTGCAGCCTCAACCTGCTGGTCTCAAGCGATCTTCCCACCTCAGCCCCCCAAGTAGCTGGAACTACAGATGCATGCCACAAAGCCCAGGTAATTTAAAATTTTTTTGTAGAGATGGGGTCTCACTATGTTGCCCAGGCTGGTCCTGAACTCCTGGGCTCAAGTTATCCTTCTGCTTTGGCCTCCCAAAGTGCTGGGATTACAGGTGTGAGCCACCATCCCCAGCCATAAAATACTTTTGCATCATATATTGCGTAATTGTACATTCACAATGACTCTGTAGAGTGGGTTTCACTGTTATTCCCATTTTACAGAAGAGGAAGGGAATCTCAGAGGTTTATGACCTGCATAAAGGCCATACCAGGCAAGTGTTGGAGCCAGAAATTGAATCAGGTGTTCTAGCCTAAGAGCAATTGCTTTCTGCTCTACCACGTCATGTTGAAAAGCCAAATTAAAGGCAGATTTTTGGGTTTTTATGACCTAGGAAGCATATAAGATTGTTTAATTATTAATATTATTAAAAATGGCAGGCACAAATTATAAAACTTAAAATCTGAATCTTTTGTTTGCAGCAGTGGTTGGATTCCTTAATTTAAAAAATCCTTTTGACATATGGGCCCTAACCTGTGGTCTGAGTATGCTGTAACTTTCATTGACTATACTGTAGTTTTAGCTCTGTACTGTACAACCAGGCAGCAATGATGATCTTCCGTTATGTGAAAGCTGGGATTATACACCTTTATGGTTAGTGCTACTAGCCCTGCAGTTAAGAGTGTCCAGCAAAAATCTTTGAATTGCTACCAGTTTCAAAACCCTATTCTTTGAAGGCAAGATGAGAGGCTACATAATCCTGTTGTTTGTTTTTTAGTATTTCACTAAAGAGCCCATTTTCCAATGTCATGGGTGTGGAGTCTCATTGTATCAGAAAGGCTCAAGTGATATTCATTTATTTGGCAAAAATGTATTGAGCACAAACCAAGTGTCAGAAACTACTGGAACCCAGTTATACATATGAATGAACCATAGTTTCTTCTACCCCAGGTTCGCCTGTCCTTTTGTTTTAATTCAGACAGCCAATAATTAGCTTTTATTGATTGAGTACCTTCTAGAGGAATGTGAGGGAATCAAGATGTGGTGTTCACCTTTGAGGAACTCACAGTAGAGAAAAAATAATGAAACATCAAGCTATTCAAGAACAACTAAATTATACATTTGTGACACTAAATCTGTTTATACTTGGTGGCCACATAAGGAATATCAGGGTGGGCCCAGTTTTCCGTAAAGGCTTTGAGAAGGTAGTAGAACAGAAATCCAGTAAGAATAGGAGTATCCTATTTTCCTTAATGGAGGGTCGCTATACCATGACAAGACCTACCTCTACAGATCTGTCTATAAATTATGTTTGTTTCAGGCAAAGATCCTGCTTTTGCAGCTGGTGTCACCATCTGTAAAATGGGGATGCAACAAAAACTGTCTTCATAGATTGGCTGTGATTATCTAATCATATGATGTATAAAATGAAGGCATTTTCCTCTCAGTTATAAGCTTTCAGTTGTAAGTAACAGACAACCAATTTTAAGTTTGGCTTAAATAATACAAGGAATGTCTTCTCTTTGAAATCCATAGGACGATCGGTCTTTAGACACAGCTTGATGAGAGCTCTGTATCTCTGTGAATTTCTCTAGTTTGTCCTTTTTGTTTTTGTTTTTTTCTCTGTATAATGGCTTTATCCTCAGGCTGACTTCTAGTGTTATTCAAAGCATTTATCACCCTTATCAGAATGTCCTCTTAAATCAGAATCTTGGAGTATGGGGCTGGGGAGTGGGTGTCCAGGAATCTTTTGACACGATTCCAGGTGACTGTTAGGCACATTAAAGATGGGGAATCATTGGATAGCCCAGAAAGAGGAAGAAGCTGAGAGGACATCATTTATCCCAGGTTTTTCAGTCACAAGCCTATGATTATAGGGCATTAGCTAATTACTTGGTTAAAGCCCAAGTCCCTTCATTCTTATACTAGAGGCACTCAAAGAGAAATTCAGGTCTGAGACTCTATAAACATAGTGTTTAGCTCAAGTCCCTTTTTCCTGTATGCTTCCCTTCAGACACTTGACATATACACCGTTATCTTCTCAGTGGAATCTATAGAGGGAGAGGCAGGTGGAAGGTGAACCATTAGGATTTTTTATCACAGCAACAAAAACAGACTCTGACTATATTAGGGAAAAAATAATTTATTAGGGCTGGACGCGGTGGCTCACGCCTGTAATCCCAGCACTTTGGGAGGCCGAGGCCGGCAGATCACGAGGTCAGGAGATTGAGACCATCCTGGCTAACACGGTGAAACCCCATCTCTACTAAAAATACAAAAAATTAGCCGGGTGTGGTGGCAGGTGCCTATAGTCCCAGCTACTTGGGAGGCTGAGGCAGGAGAATCACTTGAACCCATGGGGCAGAGGTTGCAGTGAGCCAAGATTGTGCCATTGCACTCCAGCCTGGGCAACAGAGCGAGACTCCATCTCAAAAAAAAAAAAAAAAAAAGAATTTATCAGATAAATACCAGGTGCTCACAGAATTGACAAGCAGATGAGGAACAGCATTTGGAGACAGGAAGGAAGCATGAAAGACCTGGAAGTTTAGGCAGAAGGAACCATGCACAGGTATGGCCACACCTACAGTTTGGCCTCTAGAATTTACAGTCCCCAGAAGACTGAGGGCATAGGGACATGTGTTGATTGTAATTTCCTGGAGTCAATCTTTATTGAATGTTCTTCCTGTAACAGGCCATGTGCTAGAGATACATGAATTAAAAAAAAAAAGAAATAACAACAAAAAACCGTCCTTGCTTGGAGGGTACTCACAGACACATAAGCAAAGTCTGAGGCTCAGAAAACTCACCCCAAAATGAAGATCTCAGAAGCAGCTCTCTCTTACTTTCTCCTGCCCTGGCCTCCCATTCTACCCCAAGGCCCGCCATAGAAACTAGAATCCCTGCTCCCTAAGGCAGCTCATAGAAACCAGAACCCTTTTCCCCAGAGCCAGCCGTAAAACCTAAAAATATTACTCTAATTTTCTCTTTTCTTCTGTGTAAAAACTGGCCATAAGGAAATCATCTGACTGACCTTACTTGAGCGTAGGTCATAAGACTTCCATTCCACAGAGAGTCCTGCCCCATACCTGGGAGGAAGGAAAGCTGCACAGAGAGGCCAAGAATAACCTAGATAGACTCACCTTGCTGGGTTTGCCTACTCGGTCCATTAGCATTCAATCATACCCTTTTTGCCTATCATATTTCTACAGGGTTATCTACACTTCATTGAACTTAAGTATAAAAATGGGCCATTCCTTTGTACCTTTGGGTCTTTATTCTGAAGGCTCCCACATCATGCAAAACTATGATCAAATACATTTCTATGTCTTTTCTCCTTTTAATCTGCCTTTTGTCTGTGATTTTCAGTGAACTTTCAGAAGATAATGAGGAAGTTTTCCCTTGGCGCCTACACAAGCAAGTAGAATAACATGTCAAAATTGTTATTATCCAAGATAGCAATTTTTTTATATATTTAGAGCTATAGGACACAGATGAGGCTGCCATTGCTTTTAACTGGGGAGTAGCGGGGAGTCAAAGAAAGCCATAAGGAAACACTGACCTGGGCAGAGCTTGGAAGAACACGGTGCAGTTCACCAGTGGATCTGTGAATGTTGGGTAAGATTTTATCTTTTTATCTAGCCTGACACTAGACCATTCAAAATATACAGTTTCAGGAAATAAACAGAAACAATTGCAGCAAAGTACATTTAGTCTTAATTTGGCTCATTTAGAAACACAATTAGATTAAAAATTAGTTTTCTTCTTGATTTTGTTAAAATGCCCTCCCGCTGAGACCTTGTCATTAGTAACATATCACTCTGGGTATCAGGTGTTTGGGGTTTATAAGGTACTGTGTGGTTAACATGCAAGTTTTTCATTGATTTTCTATGAATATTTTAACTTTATCTTTTCTAGACATTGCTTACCAACCTGGACAATGACAAAGTGAAAAAAGAAAGAAGGAAAGAGAAGAAGGTGAGAAAGAAGAAGAAAGAGAAGAAGAGGAAGAGGAAGAAGGAAGGAAGGAAGAGAGAGAGAGGAAGAAAAAAAGGAAGGGAGGGAGGGAGGGGAAGGAAAAAAGGAGGAAAGAAGGAAGGAAGGAAGGAAAAAAATAAAGAAAGAGATTGATCCTGGGGGCATATTCATTTGGAGATTAGAATCCAGTGCAAAAGATACATCAGTTCTTAAAAGAAACAGCATGACCTAGCACCAGATAAAGTATGAGACAAGCATGATGGGAGTTGAAAGAATAACAAACAAAAAGACCCAACAGGAATAAGTCAGAAAAGAATGGTGGTAGAGTATACCCAGCAGAGATGACCCAATTCCAAAAGCAGACACAAAAGACTAGGCTGTTGCTCTACCTACTAGGAAAAAGGATTAAAAGTGTGTAAAAATTTACCTCCTTGCACAAACAAAAACAAAAATTGCATCAGCAGAGGGAAAGTAGTTAAAATTGACAGTTTGTAGAAAAAGCAAATTAAAATTTCATATCCTGTGCGGAGTAGGCTGAAAACTGTCTCCCTAATGCCAGCAGGAATTGTGCTCTGAGGGTCGTTGGCTTTAAAAGATACAAGGGTAGTTGCTGGTCCTTCTGTTGAGCCTTTGGCCCAGAACAATGTCCCACTTTGATGATGATTCCTGTTTGTCACTAGCTAGGGTTCCACTAAAAAATCCTTTTCAGCTCTTTTGCAAGTTGAAATTAGCTTCTGGGGAAGATGACAAAGCCATCCTATTTCTGACTGCTATGGCTAAGTCCTAGAAAGTTCCGTTCCTTGCAAATATCTGAATCCCAGGCAGCTGCACATGTCTTGATTTTCAAATAGAATCCCGGGACCGTCACTTCCCTGGGGATTTACCCTTTAAGCTGCAGAGCGACAGGCATCAAATGATACCCATCCTCTGCCATGGGGGAGCCCAGGGAGAATTTTTACGTTTCACAGCTGAACCAAACTTCACAATGTGCCAGGGAAGAATTGGTAAAAGGTTGAGCTAGAGCGACCGTCTTCAAATTGGAATACTAATGATGACCTTTAATGAAGCCTGACAGTACAATCTGTTTCTCATTGTTGCTTAAGTGCCAGCTCCCAAGCACACTCTGGCTTTCAAGGCAGGAGCAGACTGGGATAAATGGGCCCTGCTGGTGAGCAGGCCTGAGCACAGCTGATCTTTCAGCCGGGATTAAATTAATTAAAATGATTCTCTTGGCCAAAGAATTAGTCTTTTTATCTGTCATTATTGTATTGTTTATTAATCTCCACTGGAGGCTAATTGGTATCTGAGCTTTTAGGGGCAAGGGATCTTAGAGTGATAGGGATGAAACTGCTCTCATTTAGAATGGGGAGAAGAGGAAGGGTTGTCTTAGTTCTAGATGTAAAATGAGCTTGTTAATTTAAGACCTTCATCAAAAGACTACAACAGCCCAAGGCAAGAACAGTAAGGCAAAATGGACCTATACGGAGAAAGGTTTAACTGTGTTGGCTGACCCAGATTACCAATCAATGGAATAGTCACTATATGGAATAGAAACCTACTATATGTAGAGTCCTATGCCGGGGAATTAGAGAACCCAATTCAGATGTCCTGGTTCCTCAAATAGGGGCACTTCTATTACAGAGATGCCCACGTTCCATATCCCAGAGGAATCTGGAAAAAAGTCGAACACTCATCTAGTTCAAATTTTCATTTTAACAGATAATAACGAAAATGCCATCAGTGGTGATTAAGTTTATCAAAGCTAGAGTATTTCTTAGGGTGGGAGAAAGGTGCCAGGCCAAGCTTAGAGCACCAACATGTCAGCTGAGTCCAAAGGAAATAAGGCCTCCCTTCTACTCTGCTTTCAATTCTTCCCTTGGAACTGGGGTAGATTTGGAAGGATAATCCAAGGAGAGGATCTCCAGGTTGTGCAGATATGGGTGGGGTATGTACCCAATGCTTCTTGAAACCAGCCTAGCCAGGAAAAGAGAGAACCCAAGTTCTGTTTGTATTAGTTAAGGCTTTTAGGTTGCAAATGACAGAAACCTCTTTGTCCTTTACCTTTATGGCCATTTGTGGGAGGGACATTCTGGGGAAATTCTTATTCTCAAGGCTATGCTGCTTTCGCAGTTCTCTTTCTGTTGGTTTGAGTTCTGGTGTCTAGGGATGGCAAAAGAAGGTGATCAATTACGAGACGTTATTTTGCAAGCTTGGGGCTTCTCTGGCAATACCAACCCTTAAAACCTCAAGTCAGATGCTAGACTGTTAGCACTATGTCAGGTGTCAGGGATGGTGGGCTAATGTCCAAAGCCAGAAATCTTGGTTTATGATTCTTGAATGTAGACTCCAGCCTTGGGGTTTCCGTCTCTTAGCAACAGTCTTGTCTTGCTAACCTTTTCCCACTCTGATCATTAAGTGCTTCTTAGCCTCTGCTGAGCAAAACAATAGCCGGAGAGGTAAAACACAGCTGATGTTTCTCTTGCCTCCAGGCTGCATCCCAGTGGATGGCTGCCTACAATAGGGTCAGATAGGGAGTACACGGCATAGATGTTTGGGAAAATAAGGAGGGTCAGGCTTCCCTGGTTCCATGATTATGCCCAAATTCTAAAAGTATTTTCTGTTCTATATTGCATCCTTTTCCTTTGTTGGCAGTATAGGGTGGGATAAAGGATTCAGCCTTCTCAACTCAGGCAAGATACAACCATCTTGAATCACTGACCACAGCAGAAGGGGTACCTCAACAATTCCCCTCTGTTGCTAATGCTCTCACCTGGAGCATGTAGGAGACTTACAAGGACTCAGCGCTGTAATGGCCACCTCCACCATGCCTATGTTGGGGAAGGCCTGCCCCTTGTGAAAGTTGTCACAATATAAATGGAGTCAATAATGTTAAGAAAACCCTGATGAATAGAGCCAGAGAAAGCCATGAAGAGCGGGTTTTACTTGTATGCCTGATCATGAAAAAAACTACAAAAACCACAACCTTGCACAAAGGCCATCGTAACCTTACACCAAAAAAATACTTCTGCAAGGACATCTGCCCAGCAACTGCCTGTCCAACCTTGGATTGGAGTCACCCTTGTTACTGATCTTCATAGCCAAGGATAATTATTTCCAAACAATTATGTAATCCTCCTTCTTTTTCTCCTTTAAAAACCTTTGTCTGCTTCTCAAAAGAAGACATTTATGAGGCCAAAGAACATATGAAAAAAAGCTCATCATCACTGGTCATTAGAGAAATGCAAATCAAAACCACAATGAGATACCATCTCACACCAGTTAGAATGGTGATCATTAAAAAGTCAGGAAACAACAGGTGCTGGAGAGGATGTGGAGAAATAGGAACACTTTTACACTGTTGGTGGGAGTGTAAATTAGTTCAACCATTGTGGAAGAGAGTGTGGCAATTCCTCAAGGATCTAGAACCAGAAATACCATTTGACCCAGCAGTCCCATTACTGGGTATATACCCGAAGGATTATAAATCATTCTACTATGGCAAGGTGGCTCAAGCCTGTAATCCCAGCACTCTGGGAGGCCAAGATGGGCAGATCACGAGGTCAGGAGATCGAGACCATCCTGGCCAACACAGTGAAACCCCATCTCTACTAAAAATACAAAAAATTAGCCAGGCATGGTGGCACACCCCTGTAATCCCAGCTACTCAGGAGGCTGAGGCAGGAGAATCACTTGAACCCGGGAGGCAGAGGTTGCAGTGAGCCAAGATTGTGCCACTGCACTCCAGCCTGGGCAACATAGAGAGACTCTGTCTCAAACAATAAAAATAAAAATAAAATAATAAAATAAAATAAAATAAATCATTCTACTATGAAGACACATGCATACGTATGTTTATTCCAGCACTATTCACAATAGCAAAGACATGGAACCAACCCAAATGCCCATCAATGATAGCCTGGATAAAGAAAATGTGGTACATATACACCATGGTACATATGCTGCCATAAGAAATGATGAGTTCATGTCCTTTGTAGGGACATGGGTGAAGCTGGAAACCATCATTCTCAGCCAACTAACAAAGGAACAGAAAACCAAACACCGCATGTTCTCACTCATAAGTGGGAGTTGAACAATGAGAACACATGGACACAGGGAGGGGAACATCACACACCAGGGCCTGTTGGGGGGTTGGGGGCTAGGGGAGGGATAGCATTAGGAGAAATACCTAATGTAGATGAGGGGTTGATGGGTGCAGCAAACCACCATGGCACATGTATACCTATGTAACAAACCTGCACGTTCTGCACATGTATCCCAGAACTTAAAGTATAATAAAAAATAAAAAATAAATAAAAAAAACCTTTTGTCTGCCGGGCACGGGCTCACATCTGTAATCCCAGCACTTTGCGAGGCCGAGATGGGTGGATCACCTGAGGTGAAGAGTTTGAGACCAGCCTGGTCAACATGGTGAAACCCCATTTCTACTAAAAATACAGCTACTCACTGTAATCCCAGCTACTCACGAGGCTGAGGCAGGAGAATTGCTTGAACTCAGGAGGCAGAGGTTGCAGTGAGCTGACACTGAGCCACTGCACTCCAGCCTGGGTGACAAAGTGAGACTCCGTCTCAAAACCAAACAAATAAAAATCTTTGTCTTCCTTTACCTCCCTGAATATGCACAGTTTACTATGGCATATGTATGCCCATTGCAATGTTTTATTCTTAAATAAATATCTTTTCTCTTAGAGAGCCTCTCTCTGTTATTTAGGTTGACACCTTTCATTGCTAGGGTGGGTAGAATCCCAAGGGCTTTACCCAACAGAGGTCACTTTTTCCCCTCTCTCCTTCCATCTTTTTTCTTTCATTCTTTCCTTCTTTTCTTTCTCCTCTCCTCTTTCTCTTTCTTTCTTTCTTTCTTTCTTTCTTTCTTTCTTTCTTTCTTTCTTTCTTTCTTTTTTCTTTCTCTCTCTCTCTCTCTCTCTCTCTCTCTTTCTTTCATAAGTTCTTGCTTTGTGCAGTGGCCCAATCATAATTCACTTCACTGGCAGGCACGGTGGCTCATGCCTGTAACCCCAGCACTTTGGGATGCTGAGGCCAGTGGATCACCTGAGGTTAGGAGTTTGAAACCAGCCTGACCAACATAGTGAAACTCTGTCTGTACTAAAAATACAAAATTAGCTGGGCATGGTGGTGTATGCCTGTTATCCCAGCTACTTGGGAGGCTGAGTCAGGAGAATCACCTCTGGGAGGCAGAGGTTGCAGTGAGCTGAGATTGCACCATTGCACTCCAGTCTGGCCAATAAAAGCAAAACTCTACCTCAAAAAGAGAGAAAGAGAGGCAGAGAGGCAAAAAGGAAGAAGGAAGGAAGGAAGGAAGGAAACTCACTGCAGCTTTGAACTCCTGGGCTGAAGAGATCCTCCTGCCTCAACTTCCCAAGTAGCTAAGACTACAGGCATCCACCCCTGCACCTAGCTAATTTTTTGTGGAGATGACATCTTGCTATGATGGGCAGGCCGGTTTCGAATTCCTGATCTCAAGTGATCCTACCTCCTCGGCCTCCCAAAGTGCTGGGATTACAGGTGTGAGACACTGTGCCCAGTCAAGGGGTTGGTTACTTTCAGTGCTGCTGCTGCCACTGATAGGGAGAACAGGCTTGCTGTTTCCTTGCTGACTCTCACCTGGAGTGGGCCAGAAAAAGTCAAAAGACCTTCATATTGTAACATTCCCCTGCATCTTGCAGGTCCTGTGGCTAGAGAGCATGGGATTTCTCAAGCTTTTTCTGTCCATAACCACATGTAATTCTAGGTTTCAGGCTTCCCTGGAGCCTGAGACAGGATGTATAGGAAGGAAAAGCAACCCAGGAAATTAACTTCTGGTTTGTCCCTCAAGCACAGAGTTCTTCACGCAGTGTACCTTCCAGAATCCTCTGAGAGTTGCTTTATGCATTTTGTCTAGGGTTTTAGTTGCAGTCAGTGGAAGTAACATTTCTATCATTGCAGTACTGGTCTAGGTAATTTCAGCTAAATAATGTCTTCATTATCTGTATTATTTTACATGTGAAAACAAAGCGTAAAGTCCGGTCAAAATTCCCATAACATCTACCTATTAAATTAAATACACGTAAGAGGCATACATACAACCTAGGAAGTGCTTTTGAGCAAAAGGAAGATCAATGTTTTCAAACAATCAAATTGCTTTCCAGGCCAGCAGTTTATCTACTTAAGTCAGTTTTCACTCTCAAAAGAGACTTGAGATTATAACCAATACATTTCTCAAGAATTCAGAGTCCAAGATGCAGTACCATCTGAAGTGAGAAATTCTTTATTTTTATTCCCTGTTTGTATTTTTTCCACTGAGTCAATGAGGGAGGGCTACTAAGTAAACACATTGTTGATTATACAAGGCACGTCCTAGCAGTACAATACATAAAGTCCGTCCTCTCTAGAGGACCACAGGATGGAGCCTTTGATGTTTTGACAAAAAATTGAAGAAGCTGACACAGTTCTCATTTTGTTAGCATTCTTACTAAAGTGTCACAAATCCAGGCCTGCTGACAGACTGGCTAGAGAAAAAGGAAAAAAATAATCTCAAAATTGTGTCCATATTGTCTCAAATGTTATCACATAGCTGGTGATACTGGTTTTTGAGAAAACGATTCAACAATTACCACCATACAACAAACATCAAAATTTTCAAAAATTGAAGCTACAATGTCTTTAGCCTTATATTAAGAGGAGCATATAATCAGAAAATTTAAAACAGTAGTAAATCCAGTTGCTATAGATATTCTATTCCCATACACTATTGGTATTCTTATTCTCTACCAACCAACTCTCACATTATTTAGCTGTTATTTCTTTATCCTTCACACAAATACATTCTGTCACACACACACACACACACACACACACACACACACACACACACACTCAGCTCCTTTAGAAGAACTTGACCATTATGTTTATCTTTCTGAATTATTCTGACTCTTTGCACTTAAGACTTATAGCTCCTTGAGTGGCAATATGCCTGAAAGACAAGAGAAGATCAGTTGAAAAACATGAGTGGAGTTGCTTAGAAAACTGCAAGCCTCCATCACAGGGCTGTTGTGAGGATCAAAGTGAGAATGTACGTGAGTCCGTTTTGAAAACTCCAAAGGCGTTTTCAAGGGATGGAAGGGATCGCTATTGTCATCATACTAAAAACAAAATACCACCTCTTCTTCCCAAAACAATTCCCCCAAACACAGATCAGTGGAAAGGCAAAGCCTGTGGTTCATAGCCTTTCTTTTTATTGTCAGACCTCAGATAATTTGTAGGTTTTTTTGTTGTTGCTGCTGTTTGTTTCACTAGCTTGCATAAGACTTGCACAAGCTTATGAACACTGTGCAGTAAGATTCATCTATGAATTGGTCCAACAGATGACACATTTTTTCAGGGAAATTTGCATTTGTCATTGCAATAATTGATTCATGCTCAACACATGAGTACATTTCTGAAAGATGTCTTTGTGTTGTGTTTGGGATTAAGAGTATTTTTTTTCTGTCAAAGCAAGGCAAATTCTGCCTGAACTCAATTCCTTTATAAAGCACAAAAAAGTAAGTTTGTAAAAAGATGCTAAGACAATCCTTTGGATGTGATGACCTCAGCTGAGCCTTCTTGCCATGTGGCCTGAGTAAAACATCATAAAACTTCTCCAGGTCACAGTTTTTCTAGCTAGAAAAACTGGATGAATGGACTAAGACTTTGTAATCCATTCAGACACTCACATTTTATGATTTTATGATTCTTCCCTTCTGAGATGCTCAAATGATTAAATGTGGTGCACTTAGGCCTTTAAAATGGATAAATCCTAGCATCTTCTCCAATTAACAGTGACATCGCTATTTTTGTTTTTGGCCAATTTGATGGCATAAGATGGTACCACATCATTACTATATTTGGCATGTCCCTCACTACTGAGGTTAAGTCTCTTTTCATGTGTTTTAGGACTTTTAGATTTCCTCTTATGTGAGTTTCTTGTTTATGTTATTTATCCAGTCCTATAGTTTGCCTGTTAAAATTTGTAGGAGCACCTAGCATAGTACAGATATTGTTTTCATTTGTCATATATTTCATATTTTTTTCTAGGCTATCACTTTGATTTTGTCATTGTATATTTTGCCATATTAAAAAAAACACTTCTATTCCTTCATGGCTTCTAGGTTTCCTGTTTAGATTAAGAAGGTCTCTCACATAAAATGTTTCTACAAATATTTTTAAAATTTTTTAATTCTATTTTTAACACACTGAAATATTTTATCAATCTGTTACTTTTACATAGGATATGAGTTAGGAAGTCTTTTTCTTCCAGGTGGAGAGCCAGTACCATTTCTATAATGGGCCATCTATTTGTATTGAATTATAATGCCATATCTCATATTTTAAGTTCTCACTTGCACACGATCTTTAGATTTTCTATTTGGCTCCATTGTTTTATTTACTTAAAAAAATTTTCTGTGTTGTGGCAATCCTATACTGTGAGAACAGTAGACTTGTGATAAGTCTTTACTTGCCTTAGTTAGTTGTCATTTTTTGATAAGAAAGAATTGAGTAAAAAGTCAAATTATTTAAATTGAAAAGCTTATTACTCAAATGGAAGAACAAATGAAAACAAGCAATAAGCTAGTTTTATCTAACTGAGCTATTTTTGAAATGTCCTTTACCTTCCTCAACTTCAGACTTCTCATCTCTAAACTGGGTGTTGATAATTGACACCTACTCCCTGGGTTTGTTGTGACAAGCTAAGGAAATTGTAACACAGTTCATCTATCTAAAGAATGTTACAGATGTCTGCTGTTATTATTTACATATGTCACAATATGTGGGATACTATTTCTTTATGGAATATGTGTGAATATGTAAACATGATGACACCTTGTAAAATGTCATGAGCCTGCTCTTGTTTCTCTCCACTGGGAACAGAGGAATGGGCTACAAGGCATTAAAATCACATGGTTTTCAAAGCCTTGGCCAGTTAATTGAGAGGAACTACAGAAAACAAATGGCAGTGATGAACAATGTGGTGTGGAAAAGCTGCCTCCCCAAATCCCCAGGTTAAATAGATTTAAGCATCCTATGTTGTGGGCCTTGCCTGGAGAGGATTCAAAGAGGATCACTTCCCCATGGCAGGCTGGGTAAAGGGTGAAAGGTTAACAGGCCAATCCCAGGACAAGGTGTTGGCCCAAATTAAGTATTTAGAACATTTGCTGAAGGACTTAGTCAGCTGAGTTCTTTATTTCCAACAGCAAAAGTATTTAGGGAACAAAAAAACACTTTTGTATGGAAGAATTTGAGAAATCTAGTTGGGTCCTCTCTTCTTCAAGGGAACCAAAAAAGTAAAAAAGTTTTCCTTCTATTTCAAGGAGACAGTTATAGATTGAAACTTATTTTGTGTTCTGAGAACCAATATCATATGTAAGACTCTGTGCTCAATAACTTTCATTTGGAATTACTCTTCCAAAGACCAACCAGAACCACCAAGAAGTACATACGTTTGCCTGGTAATCTGGCATCTCAATACTTCGATAGGTTGGTGCAAAAGTAACTACGGTCTTTGCCCTTACTTTCAACCTAATAATTTTTATTTTTATTTTTTTTATTTTTCAGAGAAAATGAATTCTCCAGTAAAGCCTAGACTGGGGCAAGGGCAAGAAGAGGCAGACGATTTTAGAGTTTGGGGAAAGAAGTATAACTGGACACCTGCCCCCATTCACTCCAAGGTCAGAAGAATTTTCTCCCATCAAGTTGCAAGGTACTCAAGCACTGACTTTTGGCTACATTGTTATCCAAAGATGGAATTCCACAGCAAATAGATCACAGACCTGGAAAATGGCATTTTTGAAGACAGAGAAAAGAATTTCTTCAGATATTTATATAATACACTCTGTAAAGACCTCTGGTGAATTTTATCTAGTGCCAAAACTCTCATATCATCTTTCTAAATTCTAAAGATGTTGGCATAGATAGAATACAAAGGATCACATTAGCAAGTCCCTAGGAAACTGATGCCAATCAATCAAATAAGGATTTACCTTCATTCTGCAATGACAGGCAAGATAATTTTAGAAAGCAAAGTCATTGTACATGAGACTAAAGCCTATAAACTACAGAATTTAGAAAAATAGGTGTTTGGAATGGGATAAAAGGTAAATATGGGAGGGAGAGGGTAGCAATTATTCACTTTACTGAGGAATTGCAAATATAGCAAGATGCCTTAATGGATTTAAATGATATGGTATACAGAACAAAAATCTGAGTTTCATACATACCTTCGGCATAAGATAAAATAAAATGCCACAAAAGCAAGGACAAGCCTGAAACACCAGTTTCTTTTTTTTGAGACATGGTCTTGCCTTGTCACCAAGGCAGGGGTGCAGTGGTGTGATCTCGACTCATTGCAACCTCAACCTCCTGGGCTCAAGCTATCTTCCCATCTCAGCCTCCCGAGTAGCTGAGACCACAGGTGCACACCACCGTGCTCTGCTAATTTTTAAATGTTTTTGTACAGATGAGGTCTCACTACATTGCCCAGACTGGTCTGAAACTCCTGGGCTCAAGTGATCTGCCTGCCTCGGCTTCCCAAATTGCTGGGATTACAGGCATGCGCCACCACACTCAGCTAAATTTTTCTGTGTTTTTAGTACAGATGGGGTTTTGCCATGTTGTCTGGGCTGGTGTCGAACTCCTGGCCTCAAGTGATCTGCTCACCTCGGCTTCCCAAAGTGCTGGGATGACAGGCATGTCCCACCATGCCCAGCCTGAAACATCAGTCTTCAGCTCTGTAAAATCCTTCTCATTTTAGGCCTCTTGTGACCAAGCGCATATACTCAAAAGATGGCTAGCTAGGGTTTAGGTGCTATCTGTAGAAGTTGGAACAAAGCCATTTTCTCCTGGAGAACCATCCCAGGTGACCTCACGGCCCGGGCTATTCTAGTTGCTTCTCCCTGTAGATAGATGCTTCCAACAAACCCTTCCCTCCCGGTGTCCTGCCTGCCTCCTTGCTAGACCATGAGCTCCTGCTGAAATGCAGCAGGGGCTTTTTGTCTTTGTTTCCCTATACCTAGCCAAGGACACAACATGTAGTAGAAGTTGGATCAAATTTTGTCAAGTAAAGTAAGCAAGGATGGGAAGGAAGAAAGCCAGGAGGAGGCCCTCCTTAGCCCTGAGCTTTTCAGGAGGTTGAAAAAATGGCAGATGGAGGGGCTGTGTCTATTCAACAAACACTCATTAAATACCTATGACTGCCAGACACTGTACTGGTTCTGGGGACAAGTAGGACCCAGTTCTTGCTTTCAGGAAGTTTGTAATGTACCAAAGTATTATGAAGCCAGACAGTTTATTGCAACTGAGGTGATGAAACAACATGGGGAAAATACAAGGGTAATAGGAAGGGGTTTTGTTGCCAGAGAAAGCTGGTTTGACTCCTTTCTTGGTCCTTCAGGAGCTGAATTACCTCAATAACCAATTAGTAATAGCCTAATATCTTATTATGTCACTGAACTTCTCTGTAAAATTCTGTATAATGCCCACTTTATTCGGTAATTGTAAGAATAAATTAATAAGACAAGGTATGTTACAACATCTAGCAGTCTCTGGTAGTCAGCAGGAACCCAGTTGTGTTTATTTTTCTCCTTGCCTTAATAAAAAGTAAGGGTAGAATATAAAATGATTTCTATGCTATGATGACAACATGTATTCATCATGGCTGCTTGTGGGTCAAGCCTGAAAGAGATCATTAAACACACAAACAACAACAAAAAAAACTGTGTGGGGGTGGGGTGGGGGATTAAAGGTAATTTTTTTCTTTCCTTTTTTTAAAAAGGCTTATTAAGTTGCAATATTCCTTGGGAAGTAAATAAGAATTACACTTTTTAAAAAGAATTTTTTTTTTTTTTTTTTTTGAGACAGAGTCTCACTCTGTCACCCAGGCTGGAGTGCAGTGGTGTGATCTCGGCTCACTGCAACCTTCACCCGCTGGGTTCAAGCAATTCTCTTGCCTCAGCCTCTCTAGTAGCTGGGATTACAGGTGTGTGCTACCGTGCCCGGCAAATTTTTGTATTTTTAATGGAGACGGGGTTTTGCCATGTTGGCCAGGCTGGTCTCGAATTCCTGACCTCGAGTGATCCGCCCGCCTCGGCCTCCCAAAGTGCTTGGATTACAGGCATGAGCCACCACAACTGGCCAAGAGTTACACTTTTAAAAGTCTAACTCTTAAAGTCTAACTCATCATCTGATTTTCGCCAGAAGGATAATAACGATCCCTTATGATAATGGGGGTGTAGATTTGCTATTTTCCAGAAGTGACAGTTTGCAGAAAGTCAGGTCAAAACATGTAGCAGTGTGTTTTCACTAAAAGTAAATGAAATCTAAAAATTAGAAAGGTCTAAAATTCTCCAAGCCTGATTTTGCATTACACACTCTTCTTTTCTTTCTGTTTGTGCCAAAGATCACCAACATTTCAAAGGCCTTCAGGCCAAAGAGGACCTCACAGAGGTGCTGATAAGTCCCCAGTTTTCCCTAATCAGGAGAGTACACTCTGGTGAGGACCTCACCATTTTCTTTTGCAGTGTTTTCAAGTTTGCACCCTCATAAGGACTAGGAAAGCAACATAAATGTGGGAATCAGGGGGAGTGTATGAATGGGGAGTGGTGGGACCTGGAACAATTTAAACTTATCAAACACAGTGCCAGCTAAACAAAACACAGTCCCAGGATACATATGCTCCAGACCCCAGCAGCCAGAGTCATCATTCTAAATTGCAGATCAGATCAGATCAGATCATGACCCTACTTAAAGACTTCCTGTAGCTTCCAGTTGCCCACTAAATAAACACAAACTCCTAGGCAGGCAAAGCAGACAAGGCATCCCGAGCTTCAGAAGCTGTCCCTTGCCCTTCTCCCTTGCTGCCCCACAAAATCACAGGTCCAGCCAAGCTGACCTTCTTATGGTAATGAAAGTGCGTGCCCTCCTGGCTTACATAACCTGCCTGGCTTCCCCTTCACATCACCTTCATTAAGCAAACTCTTACTCATTCTTCAAGACAAAGAATAATATCCCACTAGATCAGTAGCTTCCAAATTTTTTGGTTTCAGAATCCCTGTATACTTAAAAATTATAAAGAACTCCAGAGGATTCTGCTGGTGAGAATTATATCTCTTGATATTTGTAGTATTAAAAATTAAAACTGAAGTTTAAAAAATATTTAATTCATTAAAAAGAATATAAATGCATTATATATTAACAAAGACAACATTTTTATGAAAAATAACCATTTTTCAAAAGAAAACATATTAGGTAAGAAGAGTGGCATTATTTTACATTTTCATAAATCCTTTTAGTATCTAAGTAGAAGACAGCTGGATTTTCATAGCTACCTCTGCATTCAGTTTGTTGGAATATGTGGTTTTGGCTGAAGTATATGAAGAAAATCATCCTCACAGATATGTAGTTGGGGAGAAAATGTGTTTTAATAACCATTTCAGATAATTGGATTGTATTCTTTGCCATTATACCCTAGCTTGACAAGTGGTGATTTCTTAAAGGTTGGTCACAATATGTAATTTGAAACCATTTCAATGAAATTTTCATACTCTCTCATGTTAAAATTTGTTGCTCTATCTGGCACTCTGAATGGATCTTTTACCTGTGCCTGATTTTGTGCCACCATGCACTGGTCAATTGGAAAACACTGGTTCACTGAGTTATGCAGATCTTTCAAACGTTGACACATTTCATCATGCAACACCAAAACATCACTTTCTTTAATATCTCCACTAATCTAAAGAGAAAAGTCATTATATCAGGAGATGTCAAGCTCATGATGGAGGATACATACACTTCTAAGATTTTAATTTTTGCTTTGAAATTTCAAATGTTAGGCTGGGCGCGGTGGCTCATACCTGTAATCCCAGCACTTTGGGAGGCCGACGTGAGCGGATCACGAGGTCAGGAGTTCAAGACCAGCCTGACCAACATGGTGAAACCCCATCTCTACTAAAAATACAAAAATTAGCTGGGCATGGTGGCACGTGCCTGTAATCCCAGCTACTCAGGAGGCTGAGGCAGAAGAATCGCTTGAACCCAGGAGGCGGAGGTTGCAGTGAGCTGAGATAGTGCCATTGCACTCCAGCCTGGGCAACAGAGTGAGACTCCATCTCAAAAAAAGAAAAGAAAAGAAAAGAAATTTCAAATTTTATTGTTCGCAACAAATATTCTCTGCTGTTTCCCCTGAAGTGATCAGGCCCACTTCATTCATTTGCAGGAAAATGTCTGTCCCGTACCCAAGTCTGAATAAGTATAGTTTGCTCTTTGAAATAAAAATGTTTCATGAAAAAGCAGCTAGTGCTGCTTCAGCTCAGAACCTGAGCAATCCCACAGTGCTTTACCTTGAGGTGATCATCACGTTTGAAGAAGTATGTTATATGCATTTCCCAAATAATCACACAGAATATTTAAAAAGACATGTATTCAAGGATCAAGATTTAATAAAATTAATATTGTTTGCTGTTTCATCAAAGGCATTCTTAAGAAAACCTGGAATTTTTAATTTTCCTGCAAGTGTGTGGTGGTGAAGAACACAAAGATTGTGCTACGAGTGCCATGCCTTGATTCACACTAAGGCTCCAGTGTCTCCTGCCATTGCTTTTGCACCAACTGTGCAAATGTCAACACAGTGAAAAAAGGCAAAGAACCCAGTGAAAAAAGGCAAAGTATAATGTGAAAGTAGTGTTAACCTCACAGACACCCTTTGAGAACTACTGCCCTGGACTGTAAGTGGTATGAAGGCAAGGCCTATGTCCAGTGGCATGCCAGAGTCAGTTCATACTGGCTAGCAAGAACTTGTTAACTTTTCAGTGATTTTTGCAAGGCTGTTGATGTCACATTGGCTGTCTGGCATCAGCCATGGTCGAAGTGTTTACTCTATGGAAATCAGCAGACATTACAAATCAGGGTCTTTTTTTTTTTTTCTGGAAAGCTTATTGTTAAACATCTACCAATATACCACTATCTATGTCTTTACTTCTTTGTGAATTAGCATCTTCCATTGTTTGTCACATATAGGTATTTAATAAATATTTGTTAAATAAACAAGAGAAAATGAATAATTCAACCTATTGATGCTACCCCCTCCAGGAGGATTTCCCAGGCTTTCCAGGAAGAGTCAGTCTCGCCTTTGTGTTCTCAGTATTTGACATTCTAACATTGATTACATTGAGCCATAATTATTTTACAAGTCAGTTTTCCCCACCAGTGTGAGAACATCTCAAGAGACTATTTCTTGCAGAGTGGTAAGACAGCAAATTTCAGCATAGATACTTTGTTGTGAAATCACCTGAGTTCTAATCTCAATTTTGCTAATGCTAACTGTATCACCAGGCAATTGATGTCTCTTCTTTGGGCCTTATGATCAAAGTAGAGATCACATTAGCTTATCCTTCCAGGGATTTTGGGGAAAATTAAACAGATTAACACATGTCTATCAATGCGAACAGTAAATTAGTTCAACAAACTTTTACTTTTTCTTTTTTCTTTTTTTTTTTTTGAGACAGAGTCTTGCTCTGTTGCCAGGCTGGAGTGCAGTGGCACTGTCTTGGCTCACTGCAACTTCCACCTCCCAAGTTCAAGCGATTCTCCTGCCTCAGCCTCCCAAGTAGCTGGGACTACAGGCGCACGCCACCACGCCCAGCTATTTTTTGTATTTTTAGTAGAGACAGGGTTTTGCCATGTTGGCCAGGATGGTCTCAATTACTTCTACATCAACTATTTCTTCATCCATTCTATCTTCCTAGAATCTGGTATATAGCAGAGGTTCGTGAAATATGTTGTGAATGCATCCTGTATTTCAAGCCTTGTACTAGTTGCTTATGAGGATAAATTAAGTCTGGAATTCTAACCTCAAGATATTTTATAGAAAGGCACACATATAATACAAATAAGAAAGGAAGAAAGCAGAAAGCTCCACAAGATGGTAAAGGTGAAATGATGAAGGCTCTATTCTCAAGAAGATGAGGATAATAGAAAAGAAAACAGAAATAGGCGACTGACCAGTTTGAGGAAATGGTGAGACAAAATAACCTTCAGAAACAGAAGTTGCTGGTAATACTTGGCTAGCTTCTGCTATGCCATCTGAAGGGGAGGGGAAAAGTGAATGTGTTCTGGTTACTGGAATAAAGAATTCTATTCTGGGGTAGTTATAATTTATTGCATCTTACCTAAGTCTGGATTAAATATTCCTCAAAATACTTTCAGAATAGTAGCCCTCTTAGTCTTGGTTCCTCCACTTATAAAATGGGAATTATGATAGTGCCAGCTTCAGAGGTTTTTGTGTGTGCTAAACAACTCAGTGTTTGCAAAACATGGCACATAGGAAATACTTTACGAATATTAGCTATTGTTACTGGTTGTTCAAATTATTCTATGCTTTCCTTCTAACTTCTGATTACTGTTTTGCTTTTTAAGGTACCTTGATGACTAGGAAATGGTTAACCTGTACTGATTACCAGTATGCTAGTCATCAGAAAATTATTTTGGTAGACATAATAATGTAGTGTTTTGGTGAAATGTTCCTCTGGTGCTTGATTACCTTTGGGTTAACTGATGATTCAGTTTTCTAACTCCTTTCCTGAAACCCTTGGGCCAGATTTGTTTCAGGATTCAGATTTCTAAAGAAGATTTTTAGAATAATATCAAGTATATATCATAATTTAGATAAAACCCTGTGTGTTTTATCTAGTGTATGGTATATACTTTATATTATAAGCACCTCAAAATCAGACATATTAATAATGTTCGTGCAATAAAATACATAAATACTTAATGAGATAGAAAGGTTATAAGTAGCTTCATGTCAGGTTTTGCTGTTAAATGAGTTATGAAAAAAAACCTCTTTGGTTTTTCTGATCTTTGAGGATTTCAGAATTGCAGAGAAGGCGTGTAGGCTGGTTTTGGGCTTTGGGCTGGTGGAGCTGGGGATCCGACCTGCCTGGTAGTGACCTCTCCAGAAACAACTGCTCAGTTGCAGCCAGTCAGTCTCTCTCTGACCTTCTCTTTTGCAGCACATTCCGCAGATAGGCTGTCATCCTCTGTAGGTAAGTACTTGTCTCAGGACACAAGAAAAAAGAAAAGATGAGGGGCTAGGTGCAACTCCCAGATAGCATTCCTGGTGGAGGCTGCAGAGGCAGCAGTGAGTGGTGAATAATATTGGATACAATGCCCGCTCACTGCTCCATAGCAGTTTCTCAGGCCCTTCCCCATGTGGGAAGAGAAAGAAAGCCCCTACCGTGAGGCCACTCTCATGTTGCTGTGTATGCCTAAACACCCAATGGCCGGATTTATTAACTTCGTATCTTTTAGTGAGGAGTTCATGTCAGACCTACCACAGGCCTAAAGATGGCTCCTGCTGGCCCCCAGGGTGAGGACAAATGTCCAGGCTAAGAGTGTAAGCGCAGCATGAATAGGCCTAAATTAGGCCAGGCCTAATAACCCGTTCACTAACACCTGTATTAGTCCTCCATCACTAGGGGTGCACTGCTGTCCGACAAGCCATAATCCCATAAGCTTTTCATTTGCATGTACCTCATTAGCTGATTAAAACTTGAAGAAGGCAGGTTTTTGCAGCTGGCGGGCCCATTCCTTCACACTGCCTGCCTGGGTGGCTTTGGTAATGAAGTCATGTGGGTGGATGTGAGGTTTATATGTATGGAAGAGATTAAGAGTATTAGAATTTGTGTGAGCTGATGTTGCCATATTCTCTCTACTGGAGCCCAGTAATTGGATGGGAGGAGAAATGGCAGACCCATTAGTTTTGTCTGTTTACTCAGGAGCAGGGTGCTAGAGATTCAATTTTGCTTTCTTTGGCTCCCTCGCCTTTGTGAAGCAGGCCTGCTTTGTCTCCTCTGGCCCTGAGCACCTCCAAACACCAGCCCCGCTAAGGCGATTCAGCCTCAAAGAAGAGACATCGGTGACTAGGGGCCCAGGGAGGAGAAAATGCAGCCCTGACTCAAGTACTACTTGAAGGCAACCTCATCCCGTCTAGTCCAATCCTGGGATAGAGAGCAAAAGATAATTGAAATTTATAAACACTTCTGAGGCCTTTTTTGATTATTTTATTAGTTTTCCACATTTGGGATTAACAATCCTCAGCATCAAACGCACCGCAGGCTCCTTATTTGAGAAATGAATGGTTAGACATTTCGGAGACTTAACAAAGCAATTGTTGTATTTGCTGGGTTTGCATAATTTTAATAGACAAAAAATAACACGAAGAAAAAATCCATTTCCTGTGTTGTTTGTACAGCTGGAGACAGAGCTCCTTGTGTTTGATGATGTAAGAGATGCACCATTGTCTCACCCCTCACCCCGACAATGCGGTCCCACTAATGTCGTTAACAAAACCGGACTGGGCAATTCTGAAAACTTTGAAGCTGAACATTGTCTCCAAAGTGTATGGGGCGCCACAGACACAACGATGTTTATTCATCAGCAGGGCTGGGTTTTGCAAAGCCCGGAGATGAGGACTGGAACCAGCAAAGAGTGAAGAAAAACGTGGCCTGAGCTTGAAGCCAGGGAATATACAGGGAAAATGTGGATTTGGAAATTTTATTTTTCTTCCATAAAGATATTACGGAAGCATAGAATATTTCAGGTCACTTATGTTCTGTGAAGGTTTATTTTATGTTTTCAATTTGCTTCATTAAAAGCCACAGTTCCCCTTCTCCCTCCAAAAATTTCTGATGTGAAACTGTGCAAGTATTTTTATCACTTACTGAAATATTTCATTTTAATTTGGTTTATGTTTTTAAATGTCTTTAGTGAAGAAACAAATTAAAACACCCATCACATGCAACTCTTGAGTTTCGGAGTTGGGTCATTGGTGGCGTTTTTAGTGAAATCACTCAGCGAGATTACAGAATTCTAATGAGACTCTCATAGGGAATAGAAAGAGAAACAGCAATACTGGTCATTGTAAAAAGTTTCCCATAGTACAATTGAGATGAAATGTTTAAAAACAAAACAAACAAAACCAAGCAAGCCAAAAAAAGCAACAAACAAATAAAAACCTTAACAATAATGTAATAACCATCCTATGGGAATATTTATGTGAGTTTCACCAATCATTAAAACAAAACTTTTCTATTTCTATCTCTCTCTGCCTTTTTTACTGTAATGATTTTTTTCTGCTCCTGTTAACACTTTTAGTAAAAGCAATGGAATCCCCTGTGCTTAGTGTTCAATTCAGCTAACATTTTAGATCCCCTACTCTGCTGTACTTAACTTGGGGTTAGAAAGAGGCCCACTAACAAAGCCTGCAAGATTTCAACCACAGCTCGGCATTACCAGTGGGCATGAAAGGAAATCTGGTTGTAAAGATAGTGAGGAAAAGAGAATAGGAGAAAGTTTTATCCTGGCTCACGTAGTGATTCTTAGAGCCAGAGATTAATGGAATCTTAAGAACAGAATGACCTTTAAAGGTCCCCAAGTCCATCCATGTAACCTGCATTCTGCATCCCTTCTTAGTAAAAAATTCAATGGATCTACTTACCTGTTCCAAGCATTTGTGACCTATCATGTTCCTAAATTTTTGTAACCCTAATCTACAAACTGATCTTCCAGCCACTTTGCATTCCTCTCAAGCTTATCTTTAAGTAACATATTCTTCATAAAGAAGGAATTTCACATTTTTTGAGGACCTACTTACCATATAGCAAGTAACATGCAACATCCTGGGAAGTGGGAATAAATATTCTCATTCACAGATAAAGAAATGGAGGCTCCAGAGGGCTAAGCAGCCTATCCATGAACAAATAGCCCCTAAGCAGATTGGCCCCCGATCTGATCTCTTGCTACATAACAAACCACTCCAAACTTTGTGGTTTAGAACAACAATTATTCTATTACTTTTCATAATCCTGTGGTTGAGCAGGGATGTTATGCTGTTTTGGACTGGCTTGGCTGGGTGATCTAGGAAGGCCCCACTCACAAGTCTGGGCCTCAGCATGAATGGCTAAGACAGCTGGACCTCTCTTCATGTCATCTCAAGGAGACTAATGAAGACTTGCTCATATGGTGGCAGTATTTCAAGAGAGCAGAAGCTGCGAGTCCCCTGAGGTCTAGGCTCAGAACTCACAGTCACTTCCCTTGCATTCTGTTGACCAAAGCAAGTCACAAAATAAGCCCAAGCTCAACAGGTGGGAAAACAGATTCTGCCTCTTGATAGCAGTAGCTGCAAAAAAAAAAAAAAAAAAACAAAAACAAAAACAAAAACAAAAAACAGAGAAAAAAAAAACACAAAGTTTGGCCATTTGCAACTGAATACATTATCTGGGTTCTATTCACTTAATTCTGGAGCCAGATAGTGTATGTTCAAATCTTGGCTTTGCTAGTTTTTAGCTGCGACGCTTTGGGAAAGTTAACAAACTCCTTTCTCTGTCTGTTTCTTTATTTGTAAAACAGGGATAATAATAGTACCTTAGTCAGAGGGTGGTCATAAGGGTTAAATAAATAGCTCTCCAGAAAGCACTTAGAATGCTGCCTGGCACAGAGTCTGCACACAGTGGAAAACTGTGTGTTTGTGACTTATTATCGTCATTCACTCATATGTTATACTGTCTACCTCGATATTTACTAATGTTTAGCATGTGCTAAGACATGGGGACCCAAAACCAAAGAGTTAGGTGGGAAAGATTTTTATCACCTATTTATGTAGGCACCAGGCTGGGTGCTTCATAAGTGTATTTTATTAAGTTCTTAGAAGGATTCAGTAGGGTAGATGTTATTCTCTCTGGTTACACGTAAATAGTGTCTCTTTTCTCAAAAAGCTCATAGAGTATGGAAAACATTACAAATGATAACAGTTGTTTGGTAATTTTATAACACACTCATATACATTATTAACTCATGGGAACTTCATGTTTTTGTCATACCTATGAAGCAGCTGAAGACACTGATGTGCAGAGAAGTGAAGCATCGGGAGGTCACACAGCTAGTGTGAACAGCCTGCACTAGGACCAATGTCTCTGGCACTCCATTCTAGGCTTTTCCATGATGCCCCAATGTCTGTCTTATTTATATCAGCATTTAACACATTAGGAGGGAAAAGATCTCCAGAAATTGCTGAAGATCTCCAGACATTGATTAGATGAAGGCAGAACCGCCAAACAAAGCATATGATGGCTGCCCCTGGTGCATTCCATGCCTTGCCATAACACTTCCAGTTGTTTGCTGAAATCATTTTGGATGTGGTATGCCTCTTAAGCTGATACAGCAACACTAATGTACCATGGTCTTCTCAGGACTAGATGTATAGTCCAGTTCATAAAAGGAAATCATGCGATAGCTGGCTTGATGAGTAATCAGCTCACAGATGCAAAGCGTTAGTCAAGGACTAGGATGGTCACTATGAGAACAGCTTTAGAAAAACTGGGGATCATCTACGTAATTTAGGATTGTCACAGTTCCCGGTCAAGGTGACATTGGCACATGGGGGCTCCTTTCGTACAGTGGAGGGGACCCAGTATCAGCCATCGGAAAAAGCAAGAGTTGGAGTCAGACAGACCTGAGTTTTGATGAACTGCCTCTTATTGGTTGTGTTACCTTGGGCAAGTCCTTCACCCCGTGAATCTCGATTTCCTCATCCATTATAATAGCAGCTTCCTCAGATGGCTATTATGAGAACTATGTGAGATTCTGCACATAAAGTGCTGAGCATAGTGCCTGGCACAGGGAGAACCCTTCTTTTTGGTGAAAGATGAATTGATAGTGTCAGAGTAAGGAAAACCCAGGCATTCCCAAATCCTGCCCTGCAATCACCTTTCCTACTGAGGAAGCTAAACACATAGGAACATGAGCAGAATGGAAATTCAGGTTCCATTTTGGCATTCAGCTGCTTGTACACCCTTTTCTAAGTTCTGGAAAAGCTGTGGGGGATCTCAGAGTTTTAACTTAAGGACAAAGCAGGGCCTTCACATTCTTCTTTAAAGTAGAAATCTCAGAATTACCTACTCTCTGATGGGTTCACGAAGGAAACTGGTCAAAGAGAAGAGGAAGGACAAGTGGGCATGTTGACCAGGTTTGGAGGGAGGAAGAGAGAGAGAGAGAAAAAAAAAAAAAAGACAAGGACAGGAGGAGGAGGTAGTGGTGGATGACGAGGAGGAAGAAAAGGAGATGCTTGGCCCCTTTGATGTGCCAGGCTTTGTCTAGGTTTGCTAACCGCACAGAGGTAGAAAGAAATGGAAAGGCTGTTTAACACAGTGATACTGCCTTTTGGTAATCATAACTCACTCAGTGTTTTAGAATCTCATTATTCAGATTAGCAATTCTTCTTCCCTTGACAGGGATCATGGAAAAAGGTGGGTGGAGGTAGGCTTGGCATTGGGATACAAGGCTGAAGACTCGTGTCCACTATGGGACTCAATCTACCATACCATTGTCATTGTTGTTGTTGTAATATGCCTATACTTCAGTTTCCCCACTAACAGTTATAGAGAAATTGAATAGTGAGGGCTAAAGTTCTTTTCAACTTGGAATTAATGACAGTAATATTTTAGAAAAACTGTAGGTAAGTAAAATTCATTATTTTCTAATGGTACGTTGAAAGAAAGAGAGTAGCATAAAAATAGAGCACAAAGAGAAAACCATACTTGGGCAAATTATTTAACCCCTCTAAGTCTTAGTTTCTCCATCTGTAAATAAGAACTCACGATAACTATCTTCCAAATTTGGGAGAATTAACGAGCTAATATAGAATAAAACCTTGTATATGGTCAAGGTCCAAGAAGTGGTAGTTTATTATTATTCTTATTCATTAATTCTGATCTTTATTATGTTACTCAATGTACTCCTACTTTTTCAGCTTGAAGTTTATCATTCCTTACCCACCCACACCCCACAGCCCCACAGTGCCATGTACAGGTGGAGCATCATAATAGAAGTATCACTGAATTTGGATTTAGGAAGGACTAGAATTAAGCCCAGGACAGTTTTCTAGTTTTGTGACTCATGACAAATTATTTACTATCTCTGAACTGCTTCCTTATTACATAATAATTCTGTGGCCAAATTTCTAACTGTCAACCCCCGTATCCATTCTTTTCCTTTTTATCTGGGCATATTGCTGCTTGGTTAGAAGACTACATTTCTCAGCTTTCCAGTGGTGACCACATGATTAAGTATTGGCCAGTGAGATACAATTGGGAATTTGTCATGACCCTTCTTTAATTCTTTCCTGTTTCTCAGGACAAAGATATGATGTCTGGAGCTTGGTCCCTGGGGACAATTGAATAGCTGGAAACAGGCTAAAACCCTGAGATAGTATGGGTCCCCATACCAGCCCTGTAACAACTACCTTTTAACATCTCCTATGAATGACTAAAAATAATCAACCTTATTTAAACTAATATTTTAAGTTTTCTGTCACATACAGCCAACTTTAAATAAAATAATGAATGTTCAACTGTTTGGTGTATTGTAGGCACTTTTAAAGAAAATTTTAAAGAAATTTTAGTTTCTCTCTTCTTCCCATCAAATCCATTCTTCTTGCTCTAGTCAAAGAAACTTTCTTAAATTCAAATATTAAACAACACATTCCACAGATGTGCTTGTGTTATCCCCACTTCAAAGTCCTTGGTAGGATTATAATGAGGGTCAATTGAAATGATTCTGTAAAAGTACTCTGTACTTTGTAAAGCCTTATCTAGGTAGGAAGCCTGGGGGCCCTTCCCATCCTGACTGCAGACTTTCTGACCAGCCTTTTTTTCCACTGTTTTCTCCTGCCCATCCCAACTCTGTCTTTATGTACCTTATTTTCCAGGTGCACCAAACTGGACATGTCATACACAAGTCTCAAATGTTCCTACCAATGGCAGAGAAGCAAAAGCTCAAACCCCGGGAGTATCTAGGGACAGAATCTGAAGCAGCCTTAAACAAAAGCCCCAAATTTCTTGGATGTATTAGATTTTTATCTCAAAAAATTAATCTGAATTTTTACTCTCTTAATATCCTGTTTACATGAATAAAACTTTACTGTTTAATTAACTCACCCTTGGGTAGCCTGTAGCTTTGAGAACTCCTGAGATCCAGGTCTGGGAAAGAAGAGCAAATTTGTCACATCTCTGTTTTTCTGTGCTGCTGCTTCTTCCAGAAATGTCTTTCGCTGAACTTTCTCCTTGCTAGCCTCCTCTGTAAAAATGTTCTTGACTTCTTAAAGCAGACTTGGTCATTCTCTAGCATGTTGTATATCCGTCCACTATGGGTATTTAAGACGTTGTATCTAAAGTGGTCTTGAGGTAGGGAGGTGTTGGGTGGGATGGGCTCTTTATGAGTCTGCAATATCTTCCAGAAAAATTACTTCATTTTTGTACGATCACCACTGATAAAACCACCATACCCCCACCTCCCTTAGGGCCTAGCACTATACCTATGTCCATAATAGATACTCATTAAAGATTAGATGGAATGAATAAATGAATGAATGTTCAGCAAATGAATGCCCCTCATAACATCAAAAGAAAGGTAGCTTTGTGGATCTTAGACCTCAGATTTCACCCATGTGCACTGTCTAGTTTGGCCTGGGGCAATGCCAGTGGTGACCTCCTCCATGTACATGGCTTACTACACTTCTGAGGTGGGCCCTGGACCCTTCTCCGAGTTCAATGGAAAGATAAAGGCAACCACCTACAATTCAAGTCAGCCCAGCTAGGAAAATCCACTGCCAAGGTCCCAGTGGTCTCTGAAATGTCAATACTATGAAGGTTGACGCTAAGCTTTGCACACCCCACATTATCAAATGCCCTTTTGCTTCATGTTTTGTCTGGTCTGTCAGCACCATTTACTGCTGAGCAGGTCCCTTATCTTTATTGATCACTTAATTTGTCTTTTCTTAACTTCCCTTGCACCGTCTGGTGCTGTGTGTCCGTCTGTTGAGGCTGTCATGACTGGTTTGCTCTTGAAATAATAGGGGCAGCAGGTGGTGTGACTAAGTCGACCCTGTGCAGAATGGGGGACCATTCCCAGTCCCTGTCTCAACCTGCCAGTGTGTCTACACCCTCCCAGCTGTTCCACATTAAAGCAGTCAACTGTGACTTTACAGTCCGAGTTTTACACAACTGTTTTACAAACTGGGAAGAGGGTCTTTTGTGACAAATCCTTTGTCAGGCAGTAGAATGGGGGGAGAGAAAGCCAGTTCCAAGACTTGGTGCATTTTAATGAATATGCAGATAGACACACAACCCTTTGCCTTGGTAAAGGGGGTATGTAACAGAGATGGGCGGCTGGCTGGAAGGAGAGAGAGCAGGCTCACTTCTTGCTCTTGGGACAATTTAGTATGAGGAGCAACTGCTCTTTCAACACTAGTTTCTGCTTCGAACAGACCTCGACTCCATGAAAGCCTTCATTCCTCTTGTATGAAGGGCAGTTAGTTAAGAGCTTTATGTCCTAGGGTCAGTACTCTGTAGGCAGGTGTTATGCAATTGGGAAAACAAGAAAAGTATGCCTTTGGGAGGCAAAAGCAAGTCCCTTTATGATTTGAAGCTCGTACTCACATGTGAGAAGACATGAGACAAAATAAAAAGAGCACAGAGTTTTGAATCAGACAGACGTGGCTCCAAAGTTAACTGACTTTGACATAACTCACTATTAACAATATGTTACATTAAAATTTCTATTTCTTAAAACAGAAATCTTTGATATGACAACATCTCTATTAACCAGAAGTCGATTAATCAAAAATTTTAAGTAATTAAAATCTACCTCTCTCTCTCTCTACACACACACACACATACACACACACACATACACACACACACCCCTATACTTTAGTTATAAGCTAAAAGGCAAGGGAGAAATGATTTAATCTTAACACTATGGAAAGCGTACATTTGAGGAAGAGTCAGGAAACTTTCTATGTTCTAATACTAACCAGATGATTGAGTTTAGGCATATCACTTAAGTATTCCAAGCCTTAGTTAGGAAATTGTAGTAAATTATTTTATCTCTAAGGTGTGTAAATTGGGAAAGGTGATGGTAATAGCTAAGCATGGTGGCTCATCCCTGTAATTCCAACATTTTGGGAGGCTGAGAAGGGAGGATCATTTGAGACCAGGAGTTTGAGACCAGCCTGGGCAACATAGTGAGACCCCATCTGTACTAAAAACAAAAAAAATAGCCGGGCGTGGTGGCACATGATTGTAGTCCCAGCTGCTTGGGAGGCTGAGGTGGGAGGATTGCTTAAGCCTTGGAGATTGAGGCTGTAGTGAGCTGTGACCATGCCACGGCACTCCAGCCTAGGCAAGACAGCAAGACCCTGTCTCAAAAAAAAAAAAAAAAAAAAAAAAAAGAGGAGAATGGAACACTTGTTTTCTTTTCTCCCTTGGAACACTTGTTTTCTTTTCTCCCTTATTCATGTTCACGCAGGTCCATGGAATGGGAATTCCTACTCTCTTTTTGGTATTAAAAAGGCACTTTATTTAACTCTTCCTCACCTTGACTCCTTTCTAAGGTGGGAGAGGACTAGAGCCCTATCCCTTGGATCCACCTCTCTAACACACTATGTGGGGTGTTAAAGGTTGCAGTTTCCAACGGCCTGCTCTCCTCTTTCTGGTTGGTTGCCTGAGTAGTCACAGATACAATATTCTCCCTCCAGCCTATACATCTTCATCCATATGCTGAGCAAAGCTGGATCAAAACCCTGGTCCCATGGAGTCTCGCTCTGTTGCCCAGGCTGGAGTGCCGTGGTGTAATCTTGGCTCATTGCAACCTCCACCTCCCAGGTTCAAGCAATTCTCCTGCTCAGCCTCTCGAGTAGATGGGATTACAGGCATGTGCCATCATGCCCTGCTAATTTTTGTATTTTTAGTAGAGACGGTTTCACCATGTTGACCAGGCTGCTATCGAACTCCTGACCTTAAGTGATCCACCAGGCTCAGCCTCCCAAAGTGCTGGGATTATAGGCGTGAGCCACTGCACCCGACCCCTGGTCACATCTTCTAATGCAGAGATACTAAACATTTGATCCGTTGACCAAAATGTTTATTACTGATCCAAGACAAGTAATGCAGACACTGTCACTAAGCATTTAAAAATATGTCAGTGTAACCCAGGCTAGATAAATTAATCACAAAGCAAGCTTATTTTTCACATTAAAAACTCATGATGTAGCTTAGAGGAGAATGTATAGCATTATATGTTCTTATTAGAAAACAAGTAAGTCCTTTAATCAATAATCTAAGATTCCACCTTAAGAAACTAAAAAAAAAAGAAGAAGAAAAGAAATAAAAATCAAATGCAAACCAAAGCAAGAAGGCAAGCAAAAGGAAGGAAACAATAAAGAGCAATAAATAAATAAATAAATAAATAAATTTAAAAATACAATTTAAAATAGAAAATGATAGAGAAAAAATTTTGAAGTTAAAATTTGTTTCTTTGAAACGGTCATTAACATTGATAAACTTCTAGACAGGCTGATCAAGGAAAAAAGAGGGAAGACAGAAGTTATCAAATCAGTAATGAAAAAGAGAACATTAATATATGTACTACAGAAATTAGAAGATAAAATAATATTGTGAATATCTTTATGTCAATGAATTTGATCTTAGGTAGATGTACAGATTTTTTTGAAAGACAAAAACTACTCAGGAAGAAATATAATCTGAATTGTCCTTTATTTATTAAAGCAATTCAATTCATTACTAGAAACTTTCTCACAAAGAACACTTCAGGCCCAGAGGAGTTCACTGGTGAATTCTACCAAACATTTAAAGAAGAAATTATGCCAATCCTAAATAAACTCTTCCAGAAAATAGAAGAGAAAGAAATACATCCAAAGTCATTTTATGAGGTCAGCATTACCCTGACAGCAAAACCACAGAAAAACATTATAGGAAAAGAAAACAGTGTAATATTTCTCATGAATACTAAACATAAAAATCTTTAACAAAATATTTATTTAGTTGAATTCATCAATATATAAATGACATATCATGAATTTATCCTACAAAGCCAAAGTTGAGTCAACATATGAACATCAATCAGCATAAATAATCACGTCAAAGGACCAAAGAGAAAAATCCCATGCTCATCTCAATAGATGCAGAAAAGCATTTGACAAAATCCAACATCAATTGATGATAAAAATTTTTAGCAAGCTAGGAATAGAAGGGAACTTCCTTAACCTTATAAAGGACATCTATGAAAAACCTATACTGGTATCTTACTTTGTGGTAAAAGACTGAATTCTTTCTCCTTTAAAATCAAGAGGAAGGCAAGGATGTTTGCTCTCACTACTATTATTTAACATTGTATTAAAGATTATAACCAATGCAATAAGTCAAGAAAAAAAAGGCATACAATTGGAAAGGAAAAAATAAATCTCTCTTTACTAGAAGATTTATAATCACCTATATACAAAATAAAAAAAACTATTTAAAATGCTACTAGAAATAATAAGTGAGTTTAGGATAATTTCAGGATACAAGCTCAAAATACCAAAATCAATTATACTTCTACATACTAACAGTGAACAATCAGAAAGTTTAAAAGTTTTTAAATGCTATTTACAATAGCTTCCAAAACCATCAAATACATAGAAATAAATCTAACTGAATCTGTGCAAGATTTGTATAATGAAAATTACAAAACCCTGAAGAGAGAAATTAAAGAATACTTAATAAATAGAGAGATATACTATATTATTGGATTAATATTGGGAATATGTCAATTCTGCCCAAATTGATCTATAGATTTCAATCAATTCGAACCAAAATCCCAGCAGGATATTTTGTAGAAATCACAAGCTTATTTTAAAATATGTGCTTTATTTTAAATAAGTATTATTACTTGTAATAATACTTTATAAAGATTATATATAAATAATATAGAAATATATAAGTATATTTTTAAAAATAATATTTTAAACAAAATGTATACTGTATTTTAAAATGTATACAGAAAATCAAGGCCCCTAAATAGCCAGAACAACTTTGAAAAAGAACAACATCAACTGATTTCAAGGCTTACTGTAATGCTACACTAATAAATACCATGTGGAATTAGAATAAAGACAGACCTATTGATCAATGAAACATAATATAGGGTGCAGAAATATACCCACAGATATATATTCAACTGATTTTTGACAACAGTGTTAAGGTTATTCAATGAATAAAGTATAATCTTTTCAGCAAATGGTACTTCAAAAGTTGAATATTCATGTAAAAAAAAGAAAAAAAGAAAGAAAAAAAGGAATTGCAACTCTTATTTACAACATATACAAAAATTAACTCAAATTGAGTCAGAGACCTAAATGTGAAGCCTAAAACTACAGAGCTCCTAGAATAAAGCACTACAGAGAATCTTTGTAATCTTGGATCAGGCAAATATTTCTTAGATAAAATGCAAAAAGCTTGAGCCATAAAAGAAAAACCTTGATAAAGTATATTTAAACAAAATGTAAAATTTCTGCTCTTTAAAAGACATTATTGAGAAAATGAAAAGTCAAACCATAGACTGGGAGGAAATATTTGCAAATAAAACATTTGATAAAAGACTTGCATCCAGGATATATAAAGAACTCTTACAACTCTATAATAGTAAAAAAATTTAATGGGCAAAAGAGTTAAATAGACGTTATCAAAGAAGAGATTTGGATGGCCAATAAGCACTTTCAAACATGCTAACATTTTTAGTCATTAGGGAAATACAAATTAAAACTACAGTGAGATATTACTACACACTTTTTAGAATGGTTAAAAGAAAAAAAGAAAGAAAAACAACTCCAAATACTAGTGAAGATGTAGAGCAATTTGAACTCTCATATAATGTTGATGAAAATGTACAATAGTTTAGTTATTTAGAAAACAGTCTGACAATTTCTTATAAACTTAAAAATACCCTTACCATATGAACTAGCAATTCTACTTCTAGACATTTATCCAAGAGGAATGAAAATATATGTAGAGACAAAATCTGTTCATAAATGTTTATAGTAACTTTATTCATAATTACCCTAACTTTATTCATAATTGCCCAAGACTGAAAATAACCCAAATGTCCATTAACTGGTGAACAGATAAATGAATTTTGCTACATCCATACAATGAAATACCACTCAATAATGAGAATAAACTACTGATATGTGTAATAACATGTATGATTCTGAAAATCATTGTGCTAAGTAAAAAAAGTCAGATACAAAAGATTGTGGAATCAAACTGTGTGGCTCCATTTATATGATATTTAAAAAAAGGTAAAACTACAGGAACAGGCTCAGAGTTACCAAGGGGTACCCTGAAAGGACTCTTGGGGGAATATTGGAATATTTTGTATCTTGATTGGTTGGCGGTTACCTGACTGCATGTATATAGCAAAACTCATTGAACTATATATGAAAAAAGGGTAAATTTTACTTGATTTAAATCATAACTCAATAAACCTGATTTTTTTCCATTCCAAATACTTGGATCAATAAATCTGATTTAAAAAAATGTTTTGGATGATACGTTTGTAAAAGTCTTGAAACAAAACCAACATATAGATGAGTGAAGCCCATCTTTTAAGCAACAAGTATGCTTATGCAGTTAAACTGTTGTAGACAATAGAAAAAGATGAAGAGTTTCCCAGTTTCTCAACTGAGAATAGCCCAAAATTGATAACATACCTTAACAATTATAGCAATTAAAATCCAAAATTATAGTTATAGATACAAATATATAAAATGAAATATTAGCAAACCTGTTTGAGAATTATTTTAAAATAATTATGTATTATAGCAAAATAGGGTTTATTCAGAATTTTTTTTTTTTTTTGAGATGGAGTCTCGCTCTTGTTGCCCAGGCTGGAGTGCAATGGCGTGATCTCGGCTCACTGCAAACTCCGCCTCCCAGGTTCAAGCGATTCTCCTGACTCAGCCTCCCGAGTAGCTGGGATTATAGGCATGTGCCACCACACCTGGCTAATTTTGTATTTTTAGTAGAGAGAGTGTTTCTCCCTGTTGGTCAGGCTGGTCTTGAACTCCCGACCTCAGGTGATCCACCTGCCTCGGCCTCCCAAAGTGCTGGGATTACAGGCGTAAGCCACCACACCTGGCCTTCAGAATTTTTTAAATGGTTCAATATAAGGTAATCTATTGACATCTATTCCTGGTTTTAAAATGCCTCAATAAACAAAAAGTAATAATGTAACTTAATATGCAACTAAAATGTAATGTTATGAGGAATTGCCTAAAATTATCAGCCAAAATCCTTCTAAATAATGAAATATCAAAGAAATGAGATACAAAAATCAGAAAAGTAGAGATAAAGTTATAATTATTTACAGATTATATAACTATATATTTAGAAAACCCCTCAAAATAAGCTCAAATACTTTTGAAACTAATTAGAATACTTACTTTTTTAGTTTTAAATAAAAATCTATAAATATAATACCATGGAAAAACAGTAATCAGTTGGAAAATATAATGAAAAAACAGGTGCCAGCAGTAACAATAAGAACAACAACATAATTCTTTGCATAACCCAAAACATACAGAACCTATTAAAGAGCTATAAAACTTGGCTGGGTGCAGTGGCTCACACCTGTAATCCTAGCACTTTGGGAGGCCAAGGCAGGCAGATCACTTGAGGTCAGGAGTTTAAAACCAGCCTGACCAACATGGTAAAAACCCACCTCTACTAAAAATACAAAAAATTAGCTGGACGTGGTGGTGCATGCCTGTAATCCCAGCTACTTGGGAGGCTGAGGCAGGAGAATTGCTTGAACCAGGAGGCGGATGTTGCAGTGAGCAGAGATTGCACCACAGCACTCCAGCCTGGGCGACAGAGTGAGACTGTCTCAAAAAACAAAACAAAACAAAAAAACTTTACTGAAGAACGTAAGTGAAAACATGAGTAAATGCTAAGACCCAGCTTGTCTCTTAATGATAAGGCTGATTGTTATAAAGATGTAAATTCTTCTCAGATTCATGTATAATCTATAAATGTAATGAAATGCAATAATCTATAAATCTAATGAAATTGCAATAAAAATTCCAATTCCTGTTTTAAACTCAAATATGCTTTTAAGAATTTCCAGAATACTAAGGTCTGAGAACAGTCAAGAACATCTAGAGAAAGTATTGTAAAGGGTGTGATAGGGACAGTGCTTGTTACACCAGATATCAGAACGTATTATAAAACTATAGTAATTAAAAGACTGTAGCATTGTCTTTCACTTCAAATGAAATAATTTCATTTTCAGAGAAGAGAGGAAATTTTGTGGAACAAAATTCAAAGTTCAGAAACATACCTAAGTGTATGATAAATTTATACATGATAAAGGTGATATTTCAAAATAGGAGAAGTTCCACAAATAGAGCTGGGAAAACTGGCTCAAAATGTGGGGGAAAAGTTAAAGCTTTACTCCTTTAATATATCAAAATCAATTCCAAATGCATTAAATACTGAAATGTAAATAGGGAAATATGTAAATAATCAGAGAGAGGAAAAGAACATCATGAGGGTGACTTCTGACACAGGTCTATAAGAAAAGATTGACAGATTAAAATACATAAACTTAAGGCCGGGCGCAGTGGCTCATGTCTGTAATCCCAGCACTGTGGGAGACTGAGGCGGGTGGATCACCTGAGGTCAGGAGTTCGAGACCAGCCTGGCCAACACGGTGAAACCTCATCTCCACTAAAAATACAAAAATTAGTCAAGCGTGGTGGTGGGCACCTGTAATCCCAGCTACTCAAGAGGCTAAGGCAGGAGAATTGCTTGAGCCCAGGAGGTGGAGGTTGCAGTGAGCTGAAATCATGCCATTGCACTCTAGCCTGGGTGACAGAGTAAGACTCTGTCTCAAATAAAAAAGCAAAAAACCATAAAATTTTGTTGAAAAAAAGTATAAACATCATTAAAAGAGGCAAATCATAAGAGAAACACATTGGTTATGTGATATATCACCAAAAGAAAAAGAGTTTTTACAAATTATTGAAAGATAAATAGGTAAAAATACAGGCCAAGAACATAAATGAAAAATTCATGAAAATTTTATTAATGCATAGAAACAGAAAATACACATAAAATATTCAATTTTACTACAAATCAAACAAATGCAACTTATGATAGAAATGTTCATATTTAAATTGTTTTTATTTTAAGGATATCGCCCCTACATTAATCTTTATTATGTTATTGGTAGATATAAATTTATATAACTTTACCAGGAAACACTGCAGTGTAGGGTAAAACTCACCAAGGCTTTAAAAATATTTATTTCTTTTGAAACAGCAATTTCCCTACCAGGAATTTATCTTAAAGAAAACATTGCTTAAGTGCGCAGCAATTCATCTCCTGAATGTTCAGTAAATGATTGTTTATAGTTATGGAAATTTGGAAACAACTAAAATGACTTACTATAGGAAATTAATTTTAGAAATTTATGAATGTTCCTACATTGTACAATCGCATACTGATGGTGTTGTAGAAGACTATTTAATAGCATGGAAAGACGTTCAGGTTAAAAGGCTGGTATAGTATGATCCCATTTTGATAAATAAACAAAAAAATACTTATAAGGAAAAAAAAAAGTAAAAGTACATAGACCAAAATGTTAATAGTGATTTTTCTTCTATCTGAAAGCTTCTTCTAAGCTTTCTAAAGTGGAAAATTTTATTTAAAAAGATCTAATTGGTTTTATATTGTTTATGTCATCTGTGTCACTCTTAACATTGCAGAATGACTGTGATGATAAATATCTTCATGCATATGTTAGTCTGTATGTCAAGTGTGGGCTATGTTCTTACCATACTGTATTCTAGTTCTTTGATTAAATATCTCTTTCCAGTAGACATAGTATTATTTAGAGTTCTTCTTCTTCTGTGAATAACACAATATCTGGTGTATGTGATAAATAAATATTTAAACTGGAAAAAATATGGGCTAAAAATTTGAACCAATATTTCTCCAAAAAAAAAAAAAAGAGAGATTCTGGAGACGAATACATGTCAAGATACTCAACTTCATTAGATATCAGAGAAATCCAAATTAAAACCACAATCATATACCATTTCACACCTATTAAAACAGCTAAAGATTTTTTAAACGACAATCCTGAATATTGGTATATCGGTGAGCAATGAACTCTTACATATTGCTAGTGAGAATGCAAACTGCTACAGGTACTTTGAAAAACTTCGGCAGTTTCTTATAAAATTAAATATGCTATTACCATAAGACTCAGTAACTCTAGGAATTCACTCAAGAGCTATGAAAAAATCTGTCCACACAAAATATGTGAATATTTATGGCAGCTGTATTTGTAATTACCCGAAACTATAGACACTCCAAAGGTCCATCTACTGGAGAACAAACAGATTGTATTATATCCCATACAAATGACATATTTCTCAGCAATGAAAACTAATGAACTATGGATACATGCAACAACATGGCTAAATCTTAAAAGCATTATGTTAAATGAAAAAAGCCAGACACAAATAGCTTCATCGTATTTGGTTCCATTTATATGTCATTTGCGGAAAGAAAAAAAAATCATACTATCAGAAATTAGATCTGGTTGCCAGAGGCTAAGAGTAGTGAAAAGGGTTTAATTGTAAGAGGGCATAATGGAAATTTCTGGGATGTTGAAATATCCTATATCTTGATTGGTTACATGACTTTACACATTTGTACTTGTCAAACTGTGCACCTAAAAGGGGTGGATTTGCCGGCAAATTATAACGTAAATTATAATAAACATAAGTTATACTTCCAAAAACCTGACTTATAAAAATAGCATTGATATACATAATGTTCACGCAAAGCACGCAATAGGTATTAAATGTGGGGAATTGCTATTTTACTCATAATTTTAAATTTTGTTCTGATTTAGGAGTGGCAAAAAGTTGTGAGTATAATAGTAATTCTACATATTAATTGCCCATATGCACACTTTCAATGAAATGTATATAAAGCTTTGTAATTCTCTGCTTTTATCTATGTGATTTGGTTTCTGTTTGTTTAGTGATGGGAGTCTATGTTGCTCAACTGGCCTTGAACTCCTAGGCTCATGCAATCCTCCCACCTTAGCTGTCTGAGTCGCTGTGACCACAGGTGCATACCACTGCATGCAGCTCTTACTTTATTATATTAATTGAAATATAATTTTATATGTGTCAAATATAATAAACATTAACATTTGTGTTTTACATATCTTTTCTTTCTTCATTTGTCTAGTAATTCATACTTACTGCATTTGGAAAATTTATAGTGTGCTATGGATTGGAAATTTTAAGAACCTAGTTCTTCAATATAGATAGTGTCTAGAAGTCTCTAGAGCCACTATTCTAGAGACAAGTCTAGAGGTTCGTGTGAATGTGTGTGTGTGTGTGTGTGTGAGAGAGAGAGAGAGAGTTTGTGAGTTATTTCCCTTGCAATTGGATTGAGTGACTGCCCATTCTTCAGACCCAATCTCCTCTCTATAAGGTAACAATTTTAGAAATTCCATTGGTTTAAAATATAAGATAAATTCTCCAATATAGCCCTATTGGCAGTCTGTAGCTAATTCTCAACTTTTTCTGAAACTGGAGGAAACAAGGTGTGATTGGCCATATCAAACCTCAAGATGAAGTTCCTTCCAGTTTTAAAATCCTAACTTTTGTTCCTTGAGCACTGAAACAGTGCTCAACGGTGGTTGCCAGGGCCAATTCACAGAGAAGTCTCCTTCCACTAGCCATTTTTGCCAATTTTGGGCACTTCCTTCTAAACTAGCAAACAGTTACAGGTGCCTGGTCTGCATAAGGTCCCTGCCTAGCACTATAATAGGGAAGATGAACAAGGCCGTCTGTGCCCACAAGGATTTATAGCTTATCTTATAACAAGAATTGCTCTCCAAAATGATGGTCCCAAGGTCAGAAAGATCTATAACTATCATGAAACATTCAATTGTGTTTTCCTTCTTATGTAATAAAGTAGTGCCAGAAATGCTAGAGAGGTTTTATACCTACAATCATGAAAATTAATAGCTTCTTCCTTAAATTTCAGCAAACTAAGCATTTATGTTATCCAAATATCCAAATCTCAAATTCCTCAAGATTTTTATTCCTTCTAGTTAAGGATTTTTTTTTTCTTTGAGATGGAGTTTCACTCTTGTTGCCCAGGCTGGAGTGTGCGGTGGTGCTATCTCGGCTCACCGCAGCTTTTGCCTCCCAAGTAGCTGGGATTATAGGCGTGTGCCACCACGTCTGACCAGTTTTTGTATTTTTTTTTACTACAGACAGGGTTTCACCATGTTGGCCAGGCTGGTCTCGAATTCCTGACCTCAAGTGATCCGCCCACCTTGGCCTCCCAAAGTGCTAGGATTATAGGCGTGAGCCACTGTGCCCAGCCCCTACTAGTTAAGGTTTTCACTGCCCACTTGGAACTGTTATCCGAGCAGGGTAGGACCTTCACTCCTAAAGGACCAAACCACTGTCTGCAAAACAGCCACAGTCAATCAGATAATTAGCTTGATTCTGATACACCTTCATTTCTTCCATCGTCTTAGTTTTTTAGCTTACAATTTAATGTATTTATGTAACATAAAAATACTTTAGAGATTTTTCCAAGTAAGATAATAGATATAGCATTAATTTCTTCTAGTTTGTTGATACTTTCAAATATTGGAATGCAAGGTTTATATAGAGATCTAATTTCCAGGCTTTTCTTTTGCTAAAATGTGAAACCCTGGACCTTAAGAAATAATGATCTAAAGGCTTTTCATTTCTGGAGCAAATAGTTTAAAACCCAACCATTTATCAAGAACATCCTTCTAGAATATTTTGTTCAGGAAAAGGTCTTACTTTCCTCATAAACCCATATAATTACATTTAACATAAAATGGGAGATATATGATTTATCACATATCCCCTTTTGGTTTAAGCCAAACACTTTTCTCTGGTTCACAATTACTTAACCCTTCCTAATCTCTGATGTCTCACTTTATCTGTCTTGCACCTTTATGTAAGGTGCCTCTGAACTTCTGTGGAAGCAAGAAAGTATATAGCACTCAAAAATAAGCTGATTAACCTAATAATTGCAGTTTAAGAATGGGTTTTCTATGAGGTCCTTCCCCTCCTTCACCATTATTTTGTTTAATTACTTAGATCTGGAGGTCTTTCAAGACCCTAAATTTATTTGTTTTAACTAAATCCATGTAATGATATAATCAGGTAAAAATATTTATTAAAACTGGATGTTATTCACTCTTTCTCCCCTAATGAAATCAGAAATAACTCTTACTGGGTTTCTGGAAATGATAATTTTTTTTTATTATTATACTTTAAGTTTTAGCCATCATTCTCAGCAAACTATCACAAGGACAAAAAACCAAACACCGCATGTTCTCACTCATAGATGGGAATTGAACAATGGAAATAATTTTTTAAAACAAAAATAAAAAATGTTGCAAGCAACTAAACTCAGATAGTCCGTAACGGTGTTCCTCAACAAAGTACTAGAATAAGCACCTGAAATTAGTCTTTAAGAATAAAAATTCAGGCCACGTGTAGTGGCTCATGCTTGTAATTCCAGCTACTCAGGAGGCTGAGGCAGGAGGATAGCTTGAACCTATTCAAAGCAATATGCAAGATATTTGATATTTGGATAACATAAATAAAAGCAACATGTTTTCTTAAAGATAGCATAAAATATTTAACTTATAACCAAAATCTGGGGCTCAGGTTTACCCCTGAATACAAGTCTTATAAAGGATGACCTTTTTTCAAACATCTCTTATACCCCTGTGTCAGTAATAAAACCATGAGAGCAAGCAACTTCAATGCCTGTCATCACATTCAGAAAGCTGGATTCTTTCTAAACTCCTTCAGTTAAAAGTCCTCCAGTTGGTCTTATTTACTGTGGTCAGATGATCAAATAGTAGGGTCTCTCGCCTCAGGGATCCAGGGTATAAATTACAGAGAAGGCACAAGCGAACTGAGTTTGGTGGCTTCAGTTGAGACCCTGATGGACATTTGTCTACTCCACAAAAGCCTCTGTACAATTGGGTTCAATTTGTCACAATTGACAGTTTCTGCTCTAAAGAATCTGGAGTGGCACAGATGTTATAGTTTGTATCCTTCCTCAATTTGGACCAGAGAGACTCAGGAGAGTTAATAATTCCAAGCAATCTGCCCAACCCAAAATATAAACTGTTTTATATTTTTTCCCCTATCTCTCTGATATTATTTGAGATCAGATTCCTTAGCATGAGAGAAGTAGTTTCCCAGCCATTGCCAGACCCAACCAGGAGACCTGCAAAAACGTAGTCATTTTATAAACTCTTAAAAGAGCTCTAAAAGGTACAAGCTGAGAGAATATCCTAACAGAAGTCCACAAGCTTGTGGAAGGCAGAACACTGCCTGACCTGTTACTGTATTCCCACATAGTGTGTGAGTCAGTTGATAGTGCAATAGTCCCTCAGCACAGGTAATAGATACTGCAATAGTCCCTCATCACTGGTAACAGAATTGACAGAGGAGCTTGACACGTTGCCTTAAATGCCAATGGACTCATTTAACTCAAATCTCCCTTAGGCTAGTTTCAAAGAAAGCCCAATTTGTAATCAAACATTGACAGCAGGGCCATAAGAAGGCACAATTATAATTGCTTTTGGGACAAAAGTCACCAAACTCATGTTTTTTTGTTGTTTCCAGGAAGATGACTGAGGAAAACAAAAATTGTTGTGTAGGCACCTTGCAGTGAGTGCAGTTTCCATATAATTGTCTTAAGAGTAATTGAATCTGTCCTTTAACAACTCACAAATTATCTCCTGACAACTCGAAATAATAGACCTTTTTGTTAAAAGGAGAAAGCTTGTGGAGACCAAAGGTTAAACAGGTCTTTTCATCATGATAAATCACTGGTTAATGAGGTTACTATTGTTGGGTATTATGACCATTCCCTTTAACGCCATTACCTCCTGTTTGTAAAGCTGACACTAGTAATGATCTACATTCTTTGAACTTTTCCACAATATTGACTGGCTTCTCTGAGCAGATGTTCCTTGGATGCAACTGCGATAGGGACTGCAATTCTTCATCATGGAAAGAGCTTCAAGAAAGTTTATGAAATCCAGACGGTCTAGGCATTTGCAGAGAGGCAGGAAGAGGTAGTAGAAAACATAAGAACACAACATTTTAATTCTGTGATAACAATATCAATTTGCTGTAAGGACCAGAATGAATAGCCCTTAATTGGAAGGTCACACTGCCATTGCCACCAGGAGAAGAAATTAACCAATTACTGCAGTAGACTCTGTAGTATCAAATATCAAAATTAAGATTTTTCCCTTACAAATGCAATTCCACAATAAAGTAGTTGTTCATTTGAACTTGATGATTGAACAGAAATAGAACTATATAATTTTCACAACGGAAGGATTTTGAAGATCAATTACATAGGGAACAGATACCCAGAGGCAGGCATTTTAGCAACATTGGAAGCCACATAATGAATATATTATCAATGTTACATTTGTAGCAGCGTTCTCAGGGCAGAATGGTTTCCAGGGCACATTGCAATTTTTGAATCACAAAATCACCCTTCTTTTGTTGTTCATTTTTGTTATTGTTTTGTTTCACTTTTTGTTTTGCTTATCTGATTCAAAAAAGAAAAAAAACAAATCAATAATCCAGACATACTGCTAATATGAAATAAATTATGCACAATGCCTTCCAAATATACATATGATTAGTGTGGTATAGGCTGGATATCCTGGTATGTTGGCATGAATTATATGTGCTGTTTGTCACTCAATGTCCACTGCCTTCGTGAAAGAAGAAAACAATAAAACCGTGCAATTGCAATCACTCAAGAGCTAGCAGGCACTCAGTTAATATCAGTTGAGTTAAACAGAAAAACATTTGTATGAATTTATGCCATTAATATTTGATACACTGAGATATTATAAATGTTTTCTTCTTTGCATTGCCGGGAAAGAAATTTTCTTATAGATGAATGAATCTAGAAATACCAATGCTTGTTACTTTTTCTCCCTCACAGTAAGTAATCCCATCAGCAGGTTAGCTAATCTTTGGTACTTCAATCTTGAGCCCAGCTAACACAGTGTGGGTTTGTTTCACTTTTGAGAGGACATTGATGAGATTCAGAGAGAAAAAAATGAAGCAGTTAAAAAAAAATAAAAAGAGAAGAGGGGGAAGTAAGAGAATAGTCTGTATTCAGCATGTGAAAACTCTCCTTAATGGCAAGGACTATATTTTATTCACTTAGTACCTGTCAGATGGAAGGTATTCAATATATGTTTGTTGAATTAATTTCACAAATACATAAAGATACAAATTCACGCATGAAAACTTCATGTACACACTATAGTTTATGGCTTAACTATTTCAGAATTCCTTTTCCAAATTTGGCTCACTTCAAATACTTAATTTGTTATTACAAATTCCATGAGTCAATTGAGCGGGGAATCATTTTGTCTGTTTTGACGGATTAAGGACATGGATCCACAGAGCAGGTAACAAACTGCATAAAAAGGAAATATTGATTTCAAAGGGACTTTGTTCTACTTTTAAAAATTGCAAAAAGGAGACTGTCCAAAGTAAAATGGATCAAATTAATGCAATAAGAGGTGGTCTTGGCTGAGTGCCTTTCTTGAGGAAAGAGGTTTCCATCCTTGGTAAAAGAATCAAAACCTTTCCTTTTGCACAACAAAGGGTAAAACATGGTATTGAAACATTAATCTCTTAAGTGCTTTGTCTCTGCACCACCAAAGATTCTGAGATGGGGGGAAAACTCTGGATGTCTGGAATCTCATATCAAAGCACTAATAATTAGCTGTTTTTCACTTTTTTTGAAAACACAACCCTGGAACCACAGGGGGGATTAGGCAAATGTTAAATAGTAGGGCTTAATTTCCAAACCAAAGCTCAGACCAGGCCTATTCAGCATTCAGCTGAAATCTGGGGGGAAAAAATCAAGAGGACATCAGGATGTTTTGAAATATATGAGTATCAAGTCCCATATAAGCAAAACAGATATTCCACTTAATTTCATTTTTCACCACATTGAGGTATCATAGATAGTCTAAATTGGAGATTAAGCCTATTTTCTCATTTTCGGGGCTTACAGAGTTTCAGTCATCAATTAACTTGTGATTCTGAGAATCCAGAGACAGGTCAGTAGACAGAGACATGATGAGAAAATGACAATTTACATTTCACTTGAGCCTCACAACAATTTTACATTGTGTTAGCTTTGGCTGGTATTATTATTCCTGTTTTAGATGAGAAAACTGAAGTTCTAAGAGGCGAGATGAGAGGCTAGATAAAGTCCAGGGACATATGACTACTAGGGAAAGATGCTCATGTAAACTAAAAATAAAATCCTAAGCCCCCTACTGATTGAATGGACCCCTTCTTGGCCAAGGGGACCCAAGAAAAAAATAGAAAGTGAATTCCTGGCCATGACTAGAAGAGAGGTTGAACACGTCTCATTGTATCCCCTTCCTTTTGGAGTTCAGACACAACTGTCCAGCATTAATATTAAAATAGAGATCATAAGACTGACAGAACAGATTCTTTGTGGCACTAAGATACCGAAGTATACATGACCTAAGGCCATATGAGGCAAGGGTTAAATTGATGCCTGTAGGTCATCAATTTTGTTACATAAGATCCTTATCTTTACTTAAAACAACCTTTCTGCTGACTCCAAGTTTTAGACAGAGACTTACTCCTTTAACTAATTGTAAATTAAAGAATGTCCAAATCTACCTTAATCTGTAAGCCCTCACTTCAAGATATCCTGCCTTTTGGGGCCACACCAATATATATCATCCATGTACTGATTTGTCTTTGCCTGTAACTCTTGCCTCCCTAAAATGTATAAAACAAACTGTAATCCAACCACCTTGGGACCACTTAAGCGAGGCTTCTTGGAATTGTGTTTTCCCTGGGCTGCGGTCACTCATATTAGCTCAGAATAAACCTCTTTAAAATACGTTACGGAGTTCATTTTTTCTGTTAACACTTGCCTCTCTCCTGCTATGACTATGGGGATTTTCTTGTTGCACATAGATAACTAGACCCGTTTCTGTCACAATATACAAAATTCAAATCCAAATAGATTAAAGACTTAAATCTAAGACCCTAAACTATGAAACTACTAATAAAAAAACTTTGGGGAACTCTCCAGGACTTTGGAGTGGGCAATAATTTCTTGAGTAATAATCCACAAACACAGGCATCCAAAGCAAAAATGGACAAACGGGATCACGTCAAGTTAAAAAGCTTCTGCACAGCAAAATAAACAATCAACAAAGCGAAGAGATGACCCACAGAATGGGAGAAAATATCTGCAAACTTCCCATCTCACAAGAGATTGATAACCAGAATATATAAGGAGCTCAAACAACTCTACAGGAAAAAAAAATCTAATAATCCAATTTAAAAATGGGCAAAACATCTGAATAGACATTTCTCAAAAGAAGACATACAAATAGCAAACAGGTGCTCAACATCACTGATTATCAGAGAAACACAAATCAAAACTACAATGAGATATCATCTCACCCCAGTTAAAATGGCTTTTATCCAAAAGACAGGCAATAACAAATGCTGGTGTGGATGAGGAGAAAAGGGAACCCTTGTACACTGTTGGTGGGAGTGTAAATTAGTACAACCACTATGGAGAACAAAAAACTAAGAATAGAGCTATATATAAAAATGTATAAACATTAATGTAAAAATACTACATACAAAAGTGTATAAACATAACTGTAAAACAAAAATGTACAAAGTATGCTCTTATTTTAAGAAAGTTATAAAAATTGCTCTGTGTTCAGCTGGTGAACTGTACTTCTAAGTGTCTACACCTGTATCTGTCCTCCTAGCATCCCACCTAGCTGGGGTTCCATTTCCCAGATGTAGTCCTTTGCAGGCCATGGGATTATTGCAACTATTGGGCAATTCTAAAATCTATAAATGAAGTGGCACAAAATGACCACAGCATAAGGCACAGTGAAAAAAAAAACTTAGTGCTGTAGGAATTGAAAGAAGGGAAACACCACATTAATGAATGAAAAGGCCAAACACAGTGATAGCAAAGTCAACGGGATGGAATCTCATGAGCTCATAGCCTCCTTGGCAGGAGCACAGGAGCCTAGAGGCTTGTAGGAAATCTAAGGAGGTTGGGGATACCTTGTGAAGGACTGAAAATGCTCACCAGAGTATGTGTGTTTTGCCTTATTCTGGAAGCATTCATCTATAGTTGCATTGGGTAGGTCTGGTTAATGAAGGCTCTTTTACTTGCCTTTGCCCCTGATTCTGGAGTCAGTTTTCCCTGTACCCTCCATATGGATCATCCTCTCCTCAGATAGGTGAGTATTGTTGGGTTCAGGACACACCACCCCAGAATTTGACTACAGAAGACCAGAATATGCCACCCCAAAATATACTTCTGTTAAAAGACAAAATTACAACAAATCTATCCTTATATTAAGTTTAGCCTAAAGCTGCCTCCTTACATATTTTAAGTTTGGCCTAGAGATTTACCCATATATAGTGAACTATAACCTAACTGGATGTGTAAACAGACTGTCATCTATACTTGTACCAATCACCAAGTTTTGGGTGGTCACAAGTGGCCAACTGTTCAAGCTGTGTTCAAATAAGGGAGATGTTGAGCTGTAACCAATCTGGCTGTTTCTGTAAGATGTGTGCAAGGCTTTAGGAGAGCCTAGCAGCCACCTATTTTATTATTTATTTATTTAGGAGACAGAGTGTCACTCTGGGGCCCAGGCTGGAGTGCAGTGGCATGATCTCGGCTCACTGCAACATCTGCCTCCCAGGTTCAAGCAATTATCCTGCCTCAGCCTCCTGAGTAGCTGGGACTACAGACATGAGCCATCACACCTGGCTGATTTTTGTATTTTTAGTAGAAATGGTGTTTCACCATGTTGGCCAGACTGGTTTTGAACTCCTGACCTCAGGTGATCTGCCCACCTTGGTCTCCTAAAGTGCTGGGATTACAGGAGTGAGCCACCACACCCAGCCTGTATCTGACTTCTGTTTTCTGTATGTCACTTTCCTTTTTCTGTCCACAAATGCTTTCCAACCACATGGCAGTGCAAAAGTCGCAGGGAAACAGGCTATCCAATTCAAGAATCCTTCTTTGCTCAATGAAACTGTTAAATTCAATTTAAGTTTTTTGTTTTGTTTTATGTTTTTTGTTTTTTAACAGATGGTGTCAGAAGTGCTGTTAGAAGTAGAACTTTCAGTGACCCCCAAAAGCATCAAGTGGCCAAATGAGGTACATGCCGGGCCCATTGTGTCACTGCTGTCTTGGATTCTGAAGCTCCATGACTTTGTGTTTTGGGCTATCCAAGTTTGTTTGAGCAAATTTTTTATCCAAACTTGGTTCAGAAGTCACAACTGAAACTGGACTGGGTCCAGGATTTGATCGAATCTGATAATTAACTGGTCTAGATCCAGATAGAGGGTTTAGATGTCTGACTGGGTTATAGACAGAAACTGGCAGCAAATGTCAGTACTGCAGGAGGTGTGGACTTCAGCTTTCAAAAATTTGCAGACATGTTTGTGTTCTATCCCCTTTGTTTCCTTTTCTTGCTTGCTTTAGGTAGGGAAAAAAATCACTAAGTTGATCAAAAGGGGATCCAAGAGCCAAAGGCAAGATTCAATGTGAAAATGGGATTTTTAGTTTCTGAAAAACTGAGTACTCCATCTTTTGGCTACATCTACCTATACACATATAAGTATTAGGCCCTGAAAGTAGCAAATGCTTATAAAATGGCAAAATCTTACTAAAGCTAATTTAAAATTATAGTGGAATTTTCCAAATGAACAACACTGTACTTTAAAAAATCCATTCAAAAATCATTGTTGGTGTGTCTGTATATCTACACATCTATGTATGTTATATGTATGTGATAATCCTTGGTAAATGAAGCTAGTTTTCGAATTGTTAGCAAACTAAAATATAAAAGGCTTCAAAATTGTCAGTTAAACATAATTGAGACATTTTTACCTGAGTCTACTGGTCAGACAGGTTTATTCTGTCTTAGCTACATGTTTTAAGGTCATAAAACTGATACTTCTGTAATATTTGTCACACTTGTTTGACTTGTCTGTGAGCTAAAGCTGTAAGAGTTGGCTGCTAGACTCTCCTAAAGCCTTGCACACATCTTGCTGTGAGCCTGTCTTAGGTTTGAGCCTCTAGATTTTTGAGGTCTGGACAGGTGACCATGCTGAGGCCTAGGGACATAGTCTCAACAGTTCAATCACCAGCTGCAAGGCAGAGCCACGCCCCACATGGCCCTATCCTCCCTGGTCCAACTTTGCCTCCTGGCCATTTTGGGATTGGTTGGATCCTCCAAGCAACTCTTCACCACTGTGTTCTCTGTCCTGAACTCTATATCTGGGACATAGAAGGGTCCTGCCTTTCATAGCTCTTCTGGGTGCCATGTGGTTACTTGGGACCCAGGAAAACTGGGAAAGACATTAGGGAGTTTATCTATGTCACAGTTTCAAAACTCTTCAGTAATTTAAAATCTTACAGTCATGTTAATAATTTAATAAATTAAGTAAAAATAATATAGTGTTTGAGTCATTTCTAAGTTAAAATACTGAAACATTAATTATTATTATTATATTACTTTTTGAGACAGAGTTTCACTCTGTTGCCCAAGCTGGAGTGTAGTGGCTCAATCCTGGCTCTCTACAACCTTTGTCTCCCAGGTTCAAGTGATTCTCCTGCCTCAGCTTTCAGAGTAGCTGAGATTACAGGCATGCACCACCACGCCTGGCTAACTTTTTTTGTATTTAGTAGAGACGGGGTTTCACCATGTTGATCAGGCTGGTCTCAAACTCCTCACCTCAAATGATCCACCCGCCTCTGCCTCCCAAAGTGTGGGATTACAGGCGTGAGCCACTGTGCCCAGCTGAAACATTAATTATTAAACATACGTTTAAGTTTATATACTTTGGCATTTTATTTTTATGTGGTATACAAAAGCTAAATATATTTAGATCTGTTAATAAAAAAATTGAGAAAGTATATCTTTTTAAAAATATGTAATATGGTTTTTATCTATAAATAATAATATAAAACAATTAAAACTTAAATCCTAGGTTTTCACTAGAAATTTGGGTTACTAGAGTTAAAATTGTAGTTAATATATGTAATTCAAACTACTAGATACTTTAAAATTCTGTACACAAAGTATATAAAAAGCAAAATATGTTTTTGGTGAGGAAAGTTGTAAAGGAATAAAAATGTGTGTTTGTTAAAAAAATAATTTTGTCTAGTTTAAAAGTTATTTAAAGGTAATTTTTAATTTCAAAAATAAAAAATATATAAATAAAACTAAAATATAAAAAGCTTAAAAAAGAAAAAAGAAAAATCTTGTAAGAAATTATAAAAGGTTTATGAAGATCTTATGTGGTTAAAAGCTGACTGAGATTGGATGATATATTTATAAATTTATTAAAATTAGCTTAATATTAATAATACATTAATACAAAAGTAAAATTTGGTTTTTACTTTTAAAAAACTTTATGTAGTATTAAGAAGAGACAGTAAAATACTTTCATTCAAATTTGCATAAACTACAAAAAAAGGTGGGGAGAGGGAGACAGATTCTATCTCATACCGTTTTTATTAGGTCTTTTGATTTTTTTGGAAAATAGTCTCCTCTTTATCAAAGAATAAAGGTTTTTGCTTTTTAAAAAAAAATAGTTGATTATCTGTTTGGCTAAGTGAATGACTTTTATTTTACAGTGACTTGTGATTCTTTTTTTTTTTTTTTTTTTTTTTTTGAGGCAGGGTTTCACTCCCATCACCCAGGCTCGAGTACAGTGGTGCAATCTCAGCTCACTACAATCTCCACATCCTGGGCTCAAGTAATTCTCCTGCCTCAGCCTCCTGAGTAGCTGGGACTATAGGTGTGCACCACCATGTCCAGCTAACTTTTGTATTTTTAGTAGAGACAAGGTTTCACAATGTTGGTCAGGCTGGTCTCCAACTCCTGACCTCAAGTGATCCACCTGCTTCGGCCTCCCAAAGTGCTGGGATTACAGGCATGAGCCACCACACCTGGCCTCTGTTTTGATTAAGTGTTTTAAACTTTTGATATATTTGACAGGCTTCCAAAAATCAAATTTCAAAATCAGAATTAAGGCTTTTCACCTCAAACTAACTTTGGGATGTTATGGAGGGCCCCTGCAGCATCTAAAAGAGATAATAAATAGGCTTATTAGATATGTTAAATTATATGGGAAACCTTGTCAAATAACAAATAATGGTTAACCTTCTTCAAGTTACATTTTTATGAATATGTTATTAATATATCTTTCAAAATTGCATGAGATTCCTAAAATTCTAGTAGGTCTTTATATGTTACCCATCATAACTATGGTTATTATGTTAAATTATTATAGGCCACAGAAATAACCAAATTTTCTTGTCAACTGTGTCTTTAACCATGACCATTCTAAGTCCTTTCCACAGTTAATTGCTGAATTCTGATGCATTTCCTGGAAGTTCTTTGCAAGCAAGTAAAATCCTAGAGTGTTGTGTCTTCAAGGAAGTTCATGGAAAGTATGGAAAGGACCCTGAGAAGCACTGCTGAATAGAAATTTTTGATAACTTTAGGATAATATCGTTTGGACTGGGTAAGAATTCCTGGAATTCTAATAAAGAGACTGGCTGGTTTATAAAACTGCTAACCCAAGCAGAACAAGAATTAGTTATATACCAAGGAAATACTTTGCCAGACTTTCATGCTAAATCAGCCAGTACTGAAATTGTTAAGATAGACAATTTGAGTGAATTCCATATCCAAGTTAAATTACCTATGATAACCCATTTAATAAACAGTTAAGCACCTGAATTGGAGAAACAAAATTGATATTTAAGAGGATATTTAAATATCAATTTAAGAGGATTTATATCCTTTTAAATATCAATATAGAAGCTTTCCCATGGAAGAAGGCTGATGCTATAACAATAGCTAAAAGATTATTAGAAAGTGTGATTCCCTCATAGGACACTCCTGGAAAAATCTCTAACAATAAAAGTACTTGTTTCACTGGACGAATTACAGAACAGTTAAATATGATATTATAGATACAATGGCATTAGGTAAAGCTAATTGAATCGACAGGATTGCCTTGGTCAAAGGTATTGCAGACTGATGACAATCAGATCTACTTCCAGTGCAAACTAAAAGTTAATCTTCTATAAATAGTCACTGGTAGGCTTATGCCCCTAATAATAGAACCTCATGTATCTCCTGCTCCTAAACTCCCATACGACTAAATGCTGCAAGCTTTAATGCATTATGCCAAAGTGTATTGTCACAAGGTAAAGAAAGCTTTTCCATGATCCACCAACTGAGGACCATCATGATCTAGAACGCAGAGATTGGGTCTTCTGGAAACGACCTCAGAGAAAGATCAACCTTGCCACTCACTCTGCAGCAGAACTGCAGCCAACTGTTTAAACCATGTTTAAATAAGGCAAAGATTGAGCTGCAACCAATCTGGCTATTTCTATACCTCACTTCTGTTTTCTTTATGTCACTTTCCTTTTCCCATACATAAATCTTCTCCAACCACACAGCCACACCAGAGTTGCTCTGAACCTATTCTGGTTTGGGGGGGCTGCTCATTCAAGAATTCTTTGCTCAATTAAACTCTGTTAAATTTAATTTGTTTAAAGTTTTTCTTTTCACACTAGTTTTGCAGATGTTAATTGGCTTCTATCTGCAATTCTAGAATTGGGCAATATTTTACATCAAAAATGGTTCAGAAGCCAGGTATGGTGGTGTGGACCTGTAGTCCCAGCTACTCAGGAGACTGAGGTGGGAGGATCACTTGAGCCCAGGAGTTCAAGGGTGCAGTGCGCTATGATTGTGGCTGTGAATAGCAACTGCATTCCAGCCTGGGCAACATGGCAAGACCCCCATCTCTAAAACAAATAGAAAAATGGTTCAGAATGCTTCATCCCACCACATGTGCAGGTTATATTTACAGTCAGAGGAAATGAAATGACATACAGAAAGCAAAAATGAGGTATAGAGACAGTCAGTTGGTTAAATCCCTGCATTTGCCTTAACTGAATCTAGTTTGAACAGTTGGCCACCTGCCACAGGCTGAAATTCGGCTGCTATAATTGGCTGAGACTCAGTTGTTGTTACAAAGGCAAATTCCTAAGTTAGGTTTTCTGTTGGTTTATTTGCTAAGTTAGGTTGCAGTTAGTTACACGGACTTGTACAGAGGCTTCTAAAGCCCAAATGTAGTTTGATTTAGAAATTTTTTCATACATTTTCAGCTGGTCATTCTAAGAAACTGCACACACAGGAGTAGCTCTAAAAAGCTGTCCTTCTGTAAAGGAAATTTACATCTAGAACAGAAATCTACATTATTGGAGTATCTGTATCAGGAAAAGGGCTGCTGGGAGATATATTACCTGAGAGAGACTTCAGCTGCATGACAAGACAACCTTTATTCACTGTACAATTCCTCCCCTCACTTTCCCATAACTTGTGCTGTCTGCCACTCCCCGAACCCACAAACTCAAAGCCTCTATTTCTTTCTGTAACTCAGGATGCTACAGAAACTTCAATCATCTGACCCTTCTTTGAGTCTCATATTTTGTGGGACTCCCATGGTTATGCATGTAATTAAAATGATTTTTTTTTTCCTGTTAATCTGTCTACTTTCAGTTTATTTCACAGACTCAATTCTCAAACCTTCAGAGGGTAGAGAGAAAGTTTTTCTCTCCCCGAAATACATTAGTTTCACGTCCTCAAACACAGCCCACGCCAACACTGCCCACAAATGTGCAGGGCTTCATGTTGAAGAGATGGGCAGGTCTGACAGGCTCTGTCCAGTTCTCCACTGCTGCGTACTTTCCTGATGTCAGCCCCGCTGGCTGTGTGCCTCAGCTGAGGAATGTGGCTGTATAGACTCCCCTCATGTATCATGTCTCCAAGTGAAAGAAGTAGAATTTGTAAAAAGAAAAAAATTTAAAAAGCTTATTTCATGTACACTGATTAGCATAAAATTGCTCCTTTGTCTCAGCTTCAAGGGAGGACAATGGTGCTGAGACTCCTGGCTGGGGGGAGTCTTCCTTCCTGCACTCTGAGCTCAGCAAGCCACCCCACACACAGACCCCATCCGCACGGGAAACCAGCATCAGCCACACTTTCAACTGTTAAACAGCAAACAAAGCCATTGCTTTTTCCAAGAACACGGAAAAATACAGCAGCCCTATGATGCTGAGATCCAGGTACACATATTGGATTCTAAAATATACAACTTTCTACATCGTAACACCTCTCAAGTAGGGATAATCCTAAAATTAATAGCACTCTGAAATCAGTAGCACATAAAATAAAGGCATGTCTAATAATGGAGGGTGTCTTGGATAAAAATCTTACAGTGAAAGGCAATAACAGAATGTTAGAAACCGAGAAATTAATAAAAAAGCCTCATAGTTATAAAGCTCTGCGCATCTCATAGAAATTTTCCTTCCCATTCCAACCCTTTAAAGAAATGTCTTCCAAAAGACCGAATTATGTCTTATCAATCTGAATATGAGACTGTGTATTTAAAATTATCTAAGAGTATTTTGTTCCTGGCAAAATTGCATGGAAACAGAACCAACTTTGGGACAACAGAGCAAACAAGTCAGTAGACAGACTTGGTTCTAACTTCCATTTCAGGTATCTCCGATTCCTTTTCCTTTTTGAAGCCTTATTTTCCTGATCTATAAAAGATAGACGACAACATTCCCTTCCTTGTTGTTGTTGTAGGATTAAATGAAATAAAGCATGGCACATAAGAGATATTTAATAAGTTACTTTCCTCTTTATATATAATTCCAACAAGTTCATTCGATCTGCAAAACGTGTCTATCAAGTGAGGAACTGAGGAACTTCAGCAAGATCACGCAGCTTGTGAAAGAGTCACAGCTGGTGTCTCCAACAGATCTTCCAGAGCCAAAAGTCTAGTGCCCTATTTTCTAGAAAATGGACAATTCTGTCAAAATCCTCACCACAGGATTTTCACTCTCCAGAGCAGGGTCTCCAGCAAGCCCCTTATTTAGGAACACTCTGGTTCCTGAAGAGCCACAACTCATTCAATAACAAAGTTCAGAATAAACAAATCCAGAGAATGACATTAAAACGGCTAGGCTACTTATAAGACATTTGATTGATTCTAGTGAACATTTGTGTGAGTTCTTGTGTCAAAGATGCAGGGGTCATAATCAGCTCTGATATGATCCAATGCCTGTGACCCTCTCCTCCTGACACCCTCTGGGGCCCACCAGTTCTGGGCCGACACAGCTGCTCTGCTACCCCAGTTTGCAGCTATATTGACACAGCCATTTTCATGGTAGGCCCGTTGTAAATGTGTTGTTACATGGTGCGTCTGCCCCAAATTGCACGGTGTACGTCAATTTTTGTGTGTGTGGTGGGGCTGGCACGGGGGTTGTGGGGGTGCTAGGGCCGAATGGAGCGTGTGATGGGGCAACCCGCAGGAGACCTAACCCTGATAAATTGTTTACTTGTTAGCGATGGGGCTCAAGAGTGGGCTGGGGGCTGCAGGCTCAGCAGGACGGACGTAGAAGGTGGACCCACGCCAATTACCGGCCATTGTGGTGTCCCACCCCATGATTGACACCAATGTCTCCCCTCTCACCATGGGTCCTTTTACTATCCCGGACCCAACACAAGCCCCACTGTGCTAATACTATGGTGTCTTCAATTTCCTTTGCAGCTAGCAAAAATTAACCTAGGCCTCCGGCCTGTAGGAGACCCAAGGGCCTTATTTTATTATGCATTTTTCCCCAGTTTTTCAAGGATGAGTAAAAAAATAGAGGTTGCTAAGGCCAGTTGGACAACAAAGGAAGCAAAGGGACAAACATTATCTTTGGATGACTGACTTCAAAGTTAATGATCTCCCCCACTGAATTGTGCCCTCTGCAGCTCAATGAGGTCTTTGCCATCAGATAAAGAAGCACCTCTTTAATCCACTAACACTTCTTTGTCCCATTGTGGCAAAATGATCATTTCATCAGTTTCGGGTACTCTCTGCCTGGAGAGTTTTTTTAGCCTGAATGATTCAGAGCAGGGGAGACAGAGAAGGGTATTTCTCTACTTCATTTTTCCTCAAGTGACGGCTGAATAACTATGCAAAAAAATTAAGGCATAATGACCCGGCAACAGTGACAAAACCTAATTAGTCACGGAGGCCACTGGGTAATGAGCCGCAAAACCCGGCTCTTGAGTGTGTAATAACTGTATTTTTCTCCATTTCTTCCCCTTTAGTCACAGTCTTGTGTGGCATTTTTAACAAACTAAAATGGCACCAGATGCAACAGGGTTCAGACATTTTAACTTGAATTAAGAAACCATATGTTCCGATAAGTCATGGTCTCTTCTTTCCCACAGGCTAGGTCCTCCATCTGTGAGGTAACACTCCAGTGGTGAGGGAGTGATGGCCATTGGGACGATCACCCCACGAAGGTGACTGGGTGTTAGGGTTGGGAGTGGGTCCTCCAGAACCCGCCTGAGACTGAGGGTCCAGCTCTTGGAAGCAGCCCGGACATTCCAGCTGTGGGCCCCAGATATGCTCCCAAGCCACAGCAAGTCTGAGAGGCCAAAGCTGGAAGAGAAGATGGGAGGGAGGGGTAAGAAGTGGGAAGGGCTCTGTGTTCAAATACCAGTGTGGAAAGCTGAGAGCTGCCTTTAACAACGTTATCCGCTTTCACGTAGAAGAGTGCTTGGCCATCTAAGGCATACGTTAGCCAACCCTGAGTGCCACAAAAACCTTGGGCCTTAGTACCTCCATTGTTTTTGAGATGAAGGAACTACAGACCAGTGAAGTTAGGAAATTGCCCATGGTCACAGTTAGAAATGCAGGAATCAGGATTTCAAGCTCTATTTGTGATCATTATCCTAGTATGTTTACTATGTTTGTGGTCATTATTACTGTTAATCATAATTTCTTCTTAGAATTAGGAAAACTTAAAAGGATGGAAAGTTTACGTATCATACAGCTTGGCATGATGTATCTCTTCAATCCTTGGACAGGGAATTACTTTCCAAAGTCAGTTAGGTAAAGTGTCATTAAGACATAATTTTTATTTAAAGCAAGCCATCATCTACGGTGTGTTCTTGGTCCCACTCTGGGTTTAATATGAGACATTTCCAATCCCAGTTCGTGGAGGAGACACTGCCCCACAGTGCTAAGTTGAATTTCTGTTCTACTTTCAAGAATGTCGTCTTCTGGTTGTCACTAACATGGGGACTGTGAGTGGGTTTACGAAACAGCAGACATTATGATCTCTGTTCTCTGAGAAACAGGAAAGCTGACCTTTCTTTTGTTTTTCTCCTTACCCAGCAGATGAAGGAAAAAATCTCCCCAAGATGAATCCAGTTCTCCCTTGACTTCAATAAGGGATTCATTTCCTCCTGAGCCTCTCTGGTCATGGAATCACATAAGGGAATCCTGAATCAGGAATTCCATGTAGAATGTGGAGAATAGAATTAACCACAGAACACAGACACAGTTTTGGACAGGGACTGCTGTCTTCTTGAGAAATCTTAAAATAGCATGCATTAAACAATAAAAACAAAAAATGTGGCCCTTCTCTCCCTGTAACAGGAACAAGACATGAAATGAAAATGCAAACAAAACAAATAAACAAAAACAGATGTATCTGTGCAGTTTGAAGGTTTATACAATGTAAATTATATTCTTAACTCCTCATACAATTCTGACACAGCAAAGACCTGGTGTCTGGGACTGTATAAAGTGACAGCTCTTTGTCTTTCTAAACCAGGACTGGCTGCATAATTTGCTGGGCCCGATGCAAACTGAGAATGTGGGATATCTTGTTCAAAAATTATTAAGAATTTCAAGATGGCTATGCAGAGTGTTAGACCTTGTGCAGGAGGACCTCTTTAGGGATGAGGTCCTGTGTGACTGCACAGATTACACTCCCATGAAGCCAGCCCTGTAGAGAAAGCTAATGCATCAGTGTCCATGTAGTGAAGGCACACACTAGACAACTGTGAATAGTTCAGAAGGCTGCCTACCATTATTCCAGCTTCTCACTCAGAACCGTTCAAAGTTGAGTCTTTCTTCTTTAAACTTTGAACTTCAGAAAGTCTACTTTAGCATCTCAGAAGTACTGTATGTAAAATGGGGAGTTTCTCCATGCAGACAATGCCATTTCTTCTCGACTCTTCTCCAAACTTTCATCTATTCTAGTCCCGGCAAGCTTGGCTGCTCTGTTCATTGGGCCTTTTCCTGCACTGAAGTCAAGTCATTATCCTCTTTTTATATACTGCACTTCGTGCCCTTGTGAACCTGTTGAAAAATAGTGAAAGAGAGTTGAAAAGTACCACTGGCTCCTAAAAATAGTGCTGACTAGGAGGCAGAAAGGGGGAACTCCGGTTTTATTCAGTGCTAAAGATAACACCACCAGAATGATAGACTCCTCCGAATTGTTTGTCCCCACTGGCCATTGTCCCTTGGGCCCTGAATGAGCCTCTTAGCAGCTCTTGAGGGCCTGTCACAGGTAGGCACCCAACAGAGATAATTCCCAGCCTATGCTTGACTGCCCCTTTATAGACACTCACTCATGGCTCTGAAAGGCCTCAGACACTGTTGAATAAACTCCTACTCGCTTCCATAAACTTTTTCTCCCACTGAATTTTCCGGGGATGTGAACAGCTTCCCAGCCTCACCAGAGGATGCTTCTGAATGCACTCCTGTTCTGAATCAAAGCCTGACAGCCAAGCCTCTTTCGAAAACAAGAAAGAAAAAACGGACCATCAGTCCCCAGGAAGAATCTCTGTGCTTTCTTCTGCAGGTGAGGGCCAACTCCCAGAGGCTCTGGTCTGCTTTCCGCTCTTCTTATGGGTTTATTTATTTTGGTTGCAGGAGGCATCTTTTTCTATGAAGAAAAAAACCCTCTGTTTGTGGTTCAAGTCTGTCTCTTTTGGTTTTAAAAACAGAAGGGCCTCCCTATAGGGCAAAAAGACTCCAGGGTATGCTTATCGGGACGTCCTAGAAAAGCATGGGCTTTAGGGCTCTGCCAAGCTGGAATCTGGCTCCCACACTCGCTTGCCTTTCTGAGGCACAGTTTTCTCATCTATAAAATATAATAGAGCTGCCTGTAATCCCAGCACTTTGAGAGGCCAAGGCAGGCAGATCACAAGGTCAGGAGTCGAGACCAGCCTGGCCAATATGGTGAAACACTGTCTCTACTAAAAATACAAAAAATTATCCGGGTGTGGTGGCAGGTGCCTGTAATCCCAGCTACTCAGGAGGCTGAGGCAGGAGAATTGCTTGAACCTGGGAGGTGGAGGTTGCAGTGAGGCGAGATGGTGCCACTGCACCCCAGCCTGGGCGACAGAGTGAGACTCCATCTCAAAAAAAAAAAAAAATATATATATATATATACACACACACATACACACACACACACATATCACACACATATATAATAGAGCTAATAATAACCTATCTCAAAGGCTTTTTTTGGAAGGTTAAAATAGATAATGTATGTAACATATTTAGCATAGTTCCCAGCAGATTTTATGACTATATAATTATTATATTTTTCTTATATTATTCTTCTGACTTACCAGATTCTTGGGAGCCCCCTACAGCCAGTCCTTACATTCTGAAGTTATCATTTACCTATTGGTCATTCAGATCTTTCTAAACTGGCTTCTTGAAGGAGACATTAATTCCTCCTTAATACTTACAATTCAACTCTCCAAAATATCCCAGGTAGACACACAGTGGGCTGTTCCAAGGAAATCCTGCCCCAATTCTAACTCACCCTGAAGAATCCATTCCTCTGAAACATCTCTCCTCCAAGTTTCATACAGCAGGACTGCTTTTCAGTAACCACTTACTCTTCGGCTACTATTTATTGAGCATCTACTCTGTGCCCAGTCCTGTTTAGGTGTGGTGATATAAAAATGAGTCAGGAACAGATCCCCAGGGCAAAGAACTTACTGTCTAGGTGGGATAATGGGACTATATACAAAAAAAATGGGACTATATACAAGTTTTTTTTTTTTAAAATACACTATGCCCCAAAAGGGGTACAGATAAAATACTGTGAGGGTCCAGAAGAAGAGAGATTAGTTCAATTTTGAAGTGTAAGAAGGAGAGAGGATAGGGTCAGGAAGGCCCTCTTGAGTTTCATCTTACAGGATAAAGTGGATTTGTCCTTGCTGAGCTTGGCCAGGGGGAGGAAGGGAGCTCTCAGGTGGGGAAACCATCAAAGCAGGGAAATGTGGGATCAAGGGGCATGTTCAGGAACCAGGGGCTGGGCACGTATCCATCAAGTTCTCAAATAAGAATGAACTCAGAGAAACGGACCTTCCTTACCCATAGCCTTAGCAGTCAGCAGGCCTATTTGGTGTGGCCTTCTTGTTCTTGGTTAAATACCACAAATGCTTACCTCTTTCCAAAGGGCAGAAAGTTACACTAGGAGTTCTGGGAAGTCAAACCAACGTGAGACTTGGTCCTTACTCTCCCAGGAATAAAAGCCCTGCTTCCCAGCCCTCTCCTTCCAATAGCGTCATTTAGTTTGCTACTACGTTGAAATTATCTCTCTATATTATCATATGTGATATAACCTACCTACATATGTGATTTCAAAAAAGCAATGTGATGCCCTATCAGTAATTTAAAGGAGAAACATAAAGAAAATAATTTATAATAAAACTGAACATATTTCAATATGTAAGTGCTTGAGGAAAAATAGTTATGAGAGGTCAGCAATTTTCATCTATAATCATTGTAAATGCAATAGCTATAAAAGCAAACTGACATAGCTATACTTTGTTGGAGACTCAAATGCCACAAGCAGTGTTGCCATTGGTGGGTATAATTTTCTGCAATAGTGAAAAACTCTTGGCCCTTTAAAGACCAAACTAAACAAAGTATAATTGTCTTTTAAATTTTTGTTAGCAATGTTAGTTCCTTTCCTGGAAAGTTCTCTGGGTCAGTTTAAGCTATGCAAAAATTATTTAGTGCCTATATGTAAAACAGTATTTGGTTTGAGCTTTGGATAATTATGAACAGGTTTTTAATCTTGGATATCTAGTGGGACATCCGAAGTTCTAATGGGTTGTGGGATGATTCTTTGTTGCCTGGGGCTGTGCGGTGCACTACTCCTGCAGGGTAAATGACAATGGTTCTCCCCAGTCAATGTGACGACCAATCTCTCTACACATATAAATTTCTACAATGCCTCCTAGGGGCAGTACCACCCCCATTGAGAACCACTAGCCTAGAGTTTAGTTGGGGAGGGAAGGTCTACATCCCAAAGGAAGGTCTATATCCCAAAAGACAATTTGTATTGTAAGTAATCATTGATTAAATGACAAATCAGCCATTCAGAAGAGACATCAGGTACTCTTCAAAAGAGGGCAAGCCACCATGGGTACAAGTCATCAGGAAAGTCTTCATGACTAAGCATGGTGTCAGAAAAAGTATAGACTCTGAAGTCGGGCAGGCCCTGAGTTCAGAATCCCAACTTTGGCACTTATTCCCTATGGGAATTTGGGTAAATAATTTAACCTCTCCAAGCCTCCAGTTTCCCACCTGTAGAATGGGAGCAATGGTACCCACTTTGAAAGGTAAGTAGAGGGGATTCAGTAAGATTATATATATAAAGTACCTAGGAGAACACCTGGTACATGGCAGATGCTTAATAACAGTAGCTAGTATTGGTATAAAAAGAGCAACTTCAGCCAGCCTTTGAAAGATGACAGGGGTTGGCGAGGGCAAGGCAGGTATAGCGTGAGCAAAGGCTTAGGGGGAAGAATATCTAAGGTGGGTTTTTGGGCAAAGTAAATAGGTAAGTCGGGCTAACAAAGAGGGTAAGAGTGGGAGGCCCGACTGGAAAGGTGGGCACATTTAAGAGTGTAAAACCTTAAATGCTTGGCTAAGGAGTATGGCACTTATTCTTGTTGACTAGACAGAGTCAATGAACATGGAGCATTCCTAGACACAACTTAGGTGAAAGCCAACTACAAACAAACCCAGTGAGAGCTACAGCATCTGCTTCTCTAAACAGCCAAGTTATATACCACAGGCTTCTTCTCACACTGCCCTATACCTCACCTGATGTGAAATGGGGTGGCCTTGGACTTGAGAGCAGCCTGTCCAGTAATCTGTAATTTATTCTTAAAATGCTTCCTTGTGGCTGAATGTGGTAGCTCATGCCTGTAATCCCAGAGCTTTAGGGGGCCAAGAAAGGAGGATCATTTGAGCCCAGGAGTTGGAGACCAGCTAGGGCAATATAGCAAGACCTTGTCTCTACAAACAAAATGTTAACAATTAGCCAGTCATGGTGGTGCACACCTGTCATCCTAGCTACTCGAGGAGGTGAGGAAGGAAGATCACTTGAACCCAAGAGTTTGAGGTTACAATGAGTTATGGTCACGCCACTGCATTCCAGCCTGGGCAACAGAGAAAGACCCTAACTCAAAAACAAACAAACAAACACCCCTACCTTGCTTACAAAGTTGAGCTGGACCAATCAGACAATGAGATTCTTCTCTCGGGAATTTGAAAAGAAAAGATACAGTTGCTAGAGCCAAGCAGACCTGGTGCTGGAGACTTTAGTTGGGGCCATGGGGAAGTTAGGAGGAGGCCAGTTGATAGAGGGCTTGAGGACTGGATCAAACACGGACAGAAGCAAAAACATCATTATGAGAAACCACGTGGCTTCTGGAGAGGCTGAGAGAGTAGCTGCACCCTACCATTTGTACTGGTGGTTTTCTGGATCCAGATCCAGTTTCCATACAATTCTTATAAAAATTCCCCTTTTCTTAAGGTTAGTTTATGATCCTAGATACCCAAACTTCTCTAAGCACACTGATGTTTATCTCTTCTGGAAATTCATGGATAAAGTGATTCCAACCCTTTAAAAACCTTATGCATATTCATATTTCAACTTTGTATGTAGCCTAATTGTGGAGATGATATGCTAAGTTACAATCTATGACACCATAAGAAAGACAAAGAATGGATTCTGGTGAAGAATGTGATCATAGACCTAATGCTTGATGTTCCCTGCCTCAACAAAATTTCCACTAAAATTATCAAAGAAAATAAACTGTGTAGAGTTAAAAATTCACCTTATCCCTGGAAGCTAGGGAATTGTGGCACTCACATGCCAGCAATTTTGAGGAATTTCTGCAGATTATAGCACAGGCAGCACTGAATTGGTGGAGGGACTACCAATACACTGTGTGGGGAAATAACACTGCCTGAGTTGTAAATGGAAGAAATCCCAGTGAGCCCCATATAACGATCCGTAGTTTGCAGCATTTTTGGGGGGGAAATCAGTGAAAGGGCACATTTCAAGCTTCCTAAAGACTCTAAAGAGGCAGCATGCTATAATCCTAAAGGAATTAGGGATCCTGTTGCCACAGGTTGTACCCAACACAGATGGATAGTCTGTCAAAGTATGAAGACAATGGCCACAGGTGGTCCCTAGCAAGAGCAGCCCTGCAAGTTAGAGAAGAGAATGGGGGCACAGTTAATTCAGACAATCAATCCCAAGGAAGAAACAACTCATACACAAAAGTAAATACTCCAGCTTTGACACTTCTGGTAGCCACTTGTTTCTACTCCATGATCCATGAGAGTGACAGACTGCTGGTTTCCCCTCAGAGCCATTCTGTGCCCCTTTCTAAGTAGTGAAATGTTTAGTGGAGCACACAACTGCTTAGAATAAAAAGTGTGTTTCCCAGCCTTCCCTGCAGGTAGGATTCAGCCATGTAACTAAATTCTGGCCAATAGGATGCAAGTGAAAGTACAATGTGGCAGCTTCCATAAGCCTCCCTTAGTCCCTTTTTCCCCCTTTCCTTCATTCCGCCCCTTGGAATGTGGATATGATGACTGGAACTCTATCATGGACAGGGGAATAAGGAACACACCCTTATGATGGCAAAGCAGAAAGCTAGAGGGAGCCTGCACCCTGAGGACTTGAAGAGGGCTGCCTTACCAGCTCCAGGTTGATTCTCTCTGGATTTTTAATCTCTAGAAATTTGTTTATGTTCCATTTAAAATAGTATCATTTCATATCTTTGATACAGCCAGACCTAATTCTAACTGATTCAAAAAATAAAACTATACCAAATCTGAGGTGTTCACTTCCCCCTTTATCTGAGTTTAAAGAGCTGTATAAAGGTCAGATATAATCACACAACCTTGATACTCAACAAATAAGCACACCACATTGTAATGCTAAACAAAAAGAGAGAATCCCCTGGATACATAAAAATATTCAGCAATTCAAAAGAGGGTTAGTATGAGGAATGAGAAGATGTACATCTCTAAGAAACAAAGAAAAATTGTAGGAACATCTACAATTTGTATTGTCAATAACCTCTAAAAGCTATTGATCTATAAAACAGGATCAAACTGGCAACAAGAAAAAAAATCTGCTTAGAGGAAAGTTTTCTTAAAGAAACCAAACATGACCAGGTGTGGTGGCTCACACCTGTAATCCCAGCACTTTGGGAGGCTGAGGTGGGTGGATCAGCTGAGGTGACCAGCCTGGCCAACATGGTGAAACCCCATCTCTACTAAAAATACAAAAATCAGTCGGGTGTGGTGGCACACACCTGTAATGCCAGCTACTCAGGAGGCCGAGGCAGGAGAATAGCTCAAACCCAGGAGGCGGAGGTTGCAGTGAGCCACAATCGTGCCACTGCATTCCAGCCTGGGCAACAGAGCAAGGAAAGAAAGAAAGAGAGAGAGAGAGAGGAAGGAAAGGAAGGATGGAAAAAAAGAAGGAAGGAAGGAAGGAAACAGGAGTAATGAATTTTAGAATGCAATGAAGGCAATAAACAGCAGATAGAGTGTTGCAGAAATCTGTGTGCCCCTGGTTATTTACCTTGCTCATTTCAACTTATAGCAAGTGCTAAATCAAACTAAATTTGGGCTTTAGAAGCTTCAGTATGAGTCCTAAGTAATGAACTGCAACCTAACTTAGTATGTAAACAAACTGGAAACCTAATTTAGGAATTTGCCTTTATAACAAATAGCTGAGGTTCAGCCAATCACAGTAGCTGAGCTTCAGTCAACGATAGGCAGCCAACTGTTCAAACCAGGTTAAATTAAGGCAAACACCAGCTTTAACCAATTAAGCTGTCTCTATACCCCACTTCCATTTTCTGTATATCACTTTCTTTTCTCTATCAATAAATATAACCTGCACACGTGGTAGGGCAGAGCATTCTGAACTACTTTTGACTTGGACTGTAATTGAGTCTAAAGTCACAAATAAAAGCCAACTAAGATCTGCAAAGTTAGATTTGTTGTAATTTTGTCTTTTTTAACACCATTTTTTCTGAAGCTTACAACACAAATCTATTCTATTCTTTCCAACATTTGGCTTAACCTGTTTCATTGTGAATATTAGGTCTATTAGGTATGAAATCCATCAAGTTTTTCTTTATACTTTATACCTCGTCTCCACCTGCCTGTGTCTTCACCAAAAAAACTTCTAAATCTAAGAGAAATATTTATATTCTTCCCTGTTTTAAGGCCAACCCTTTAATCTGCATGCTTGATCACCCCCTTTTCTGATTTCTCTAAGATCAGGAACTTGTACCTTTCTTTCTCCCCTATATTATAACTGTTTAATCCTTTCCTGAGTCCTTTCATGCAAATTATAAATATGCTCAAATTACCTATCTTTTAAAAAGCCCTGCCATTCTTCATCCACCATGGGTACCACACCACCTATCATCTCCTGTCTCAGTCATGGTCCCCAAAAGAACAGGTGATACTATCTCTATTTCCTCATTTCCCTAGCACAGTTTTTAAATGAGTTGCTTTCATTGTTATAAAATAATTTTTAATTATAAAAATTTTGAAAAATGTAAAAAGATACATAAAATAAAAATCATCCACAGTTATGTGACTCACTGAATATTACTGTGACTATTTTAGAGATTTTTAAATTCATCCAGTCTTTATATATTAGACTATAAAATTGAATCCTACCACAATTATAATTTTGTAAGCTTTTCTCATGTTATACAGTATTTTGCAATTTTTCTATATCAATTTTTGTCAAAAATGATATTCATTCAGACAAAAATTTATACATGAACATTCATAGCAGCACTACTCACAACAGCCAAAATGTGTAAACAACCTAATTATCTTTTTTTTTTTTTTTGAGACCAAGTCTCACTCTGTTACCCAGGCTGGAGTGCGGTGGCAGCATCTCAGCTCACTGCAACCTCTGCCTCCTGGGTTCAAGTCATTCTCTTACCTCAGCCTCCCAAGTAGCTGGGACTACAGGTGCATGGTACCATGCCCGGCTAATTTTTGTATTTTTAAAATGGGGTTTCACCATGTTAGCCAGGCTTGTCTCTTAACTCCTGACCTCAAATGATCCGCCTGCCTTGGTCTCCCAAAGTGCTGGGATTATAGGTGTGAGCCACCGTGCCCAGCCAACGACCTAATTATATATCAGCTGATGAATGGACAGACAAAATACCATATAGACATACAATGGAATACCATATTGTTCAGCCATAAAAGGGAAGGGAGTACTGACACATGCTACTATATGGATAAAACTTAAAAACATTATGTTAAGTGAAAGAAGCCAGACACCAAAGGTCACACATTGTGTGATTCCCTACATAAGAAATGTCCAGAATAGGCAAATCCATAGACAAAAAGTAGATTAATTGCTGCCAGTAGATAAGGGGTGGGGGGGAAAGGAGTAACTGCTTAATGGGTATGGGGTTTCCTTTTGGAGTGATTAAAATATTCTGGATCTAGATAATAGTGGTGATGGCACATTAGGTTATGTATATTTTACCACAATAAAAAAATGATATTCAGTGACTACAAAAGTTAACATTGTATGGTCATGCCATAATTTACTTCTTTTCTCTATTGTCTAAATTTTAATGTATTTAAAATTTGATTTTAGCCTATTACAATAATTTTTCATTAAATCTGACTCACAGTATAATAATGACTGTTAATTTGATGCATATGCTTTTATTAGTTTGAGGAAACATTAATCTATTCCTAATATTCCAGGAATTTTTATCAGAAATAAGTGCTGAATTTTATCAAGCACCTTTTCATTACCCATTGGTTGAAATAATTATTTTATTATGTGACCTTTTGCCATGATATATTTGCACATTTCCTTATAGCAAACTGCTCTTGCATTTCTGTTATATATCTTGGTCATAATGTACTGTTGAATTCTATATATTAACATTTTACTTTGGACTCTTCTACCTATATCAAGAAATAAGATGATCTACAGTAGTGTTTCCATGTCTGGGTGTCTCAGGATATCTGCCAAAGCCAAACAGATTCAGAAAATTTGGGTAAATGCATTTAAGGTGTTTTTTTTAATTGCAGAGTTCCTCAGATTCTTTAATATGCAAACGTATATTGTGAATCTCCAAGGGGAAGATACAATGTGAGAATTTCCCACATTTATTTGACCACAGACACATTTTTCAAGTCCTATCTGTTAATGGAACAGAGTTCCCTAATGTGGAAGTGTGTTCCACAAAATATCATTAGGAAACTGGCTATATTTTTTGTGGACTAAATTTGAATATATTATGTTTAATTTATAAAATAAGTTGGCCATCTCTTCATCTTTTCCTCTACTTCAAAACATATAAATTCCCTGCCGCCTTCAAAATATGATTTTCCAGAGCTCTGTCTCTTGATTTTATTAAAGAACTACTTGGGCCTGTAATCCCAGCACTTTGGGAGGCCGAGGAGGGTGGATCACGAGGTCAGGAGGTCAAGACCATCCTGGCTGACACGGTGAAACCCTGTCTCTATTAAAAATACAAAATATTAGCTGGGCATGGTGGCGGGCACCTGTAGTCCCAGCTACTCAGGAGGCTGAGGCAGGAAAATGGCGTGAACCTGGGAAGTAGAGCTTGCAGTGAGCCGAGACCGCGCCACTGCATTCCAGCCTGGGCTACAGAGCCAGACTCCGTCTCAAAAACAAACAAACAAACAAACAAACAAAAAACTACTTGGATCTATCTGTAAATTCAGTCTCTAATTTGGTGATTTCTGTTTCCATCTTTATTATTTCCATGCGTATCCATCAGTATCCTATCAGGAAAATAGAAACCATGGCAGTTATGTGGCCCGAGAAGATGTAACATAAGGAATGAGTGAAATAACGATCAGAAGGCTGAAAATTGAAAGGGGACTCAGGTAACACAGAGCTAGTAAATACTGGAAACAACTCCCACCCCCGGGGAAACAAAGGACAGAGCTCGGGCTTTTAGAACCTGAATCTTGGAGAAGGGAACCCTGTAAAGTCAGGGCCCAGTCTCTGAGGAGGAGGGGCTGCTGTCTGGCTGCTGCTAGCATCTTTTGAGGGGACATTGTGGAAAGCATCAGGACGCTGGAACCAATGTTGCTGCCATGGTCAAGAACTGTTGCCAGGGTGGTATCAAGAGGAACAGCAAGCAAACCACAGAAGCATATCCCTCTTCCTCTTCCACTTCCCAGTCCCCCTCTAATCCCTCCTAATTGGCACCTAGCTAGCAAAGGAGGAATGTGGCTTGCAGGTTCCCAGCCTCAGCACCACACGGCAGGTATAGAAGGACGGGCTTGGAGCTGAAGACCAGAGCTTAATGGCCGGCACACCTTCCTTTTCACTCTTGTTTGTTCTTTCCTCTGGTCTTTTTTTTTTTTTTTTGGTATAGTTTTATTGAAATACAATTCACATGCCAAAAAATTCACCCTTTTAAAGTATACAATTCAGTGGTTTTTAGTCCATTCACAATGTTGCATAACCATCACTACCATCTAATTCCATATTTCCATCACTCCATAAAGAAACTCCATACCTATTAGCGGTCATTTCTCTTTCCCCACTGCCCCCAGCCTCTGGCCATTCCTAATCTACCGTCTGTCTCCATGGATTTGCCTATTCTGGGCATATAAATGAAATCATCCAACATGTGGCCTTTTGCATCTGGCTTCTTTCACTTTAGTATAATGTTTCCAAGGTTCATCCTTGCTGTAGCATGTATTAGTACTTCATTCTTTTTGTGCGTGAATAATATCCATTTATATCAATATATGGCATTTTATTTATCCATTCATCATGATTCATCTTTTGTGTTCTTTTTGCTTGATATAAGAAAATGATATCAACATATTTCACAGTAATTTTGTCTCTCAATTTTTCTCTATAGTTTCTGGTTAGTTGACCCATAAAAATGGTTAGTTATCCATTCATTGTGAGTGGATAAATGAAATGTTGTATATTCATGTAAATGGATATTATTGTTTTGTTTCTACTTTTTGGCTATTATGAATAATACTGCTATGAACATTTGTGTATAAGTTTTTGTGTGAACTTAGGTTTTTCAATTTTCTTGTGTATATACTCTTTTGTTTTTTATCTTTATTTTGAGACAGGGTCTCACTCTGTTGCCCAGGCTAGAGTGCAGTGGTGGGATCATGGCTCACTGCAGCCTCCACCTCCCAGGCCCAAGTGATCCTCCTGCTTCAGCCTCTGAGTCGCTGGGACCACAAGTATGTGCCACCACGCCCAGATGATTTTTTTATTTTTGTAGAGACAGTGTTTCCCTATGTTGCTTGGGCTGATCTCCAACTCCTGGGCTCAAGCGATCCTCCCACCTCTGCCCACAAAGTGCTGGGATTACAGGTGTGAGCCACCATGCCTGGCCTCTTTCATTTATTCTCAAACATAATGTTTCATGTAATTATTGGTTGTGTTTAAAAGCTGACCCCTTTAACATCATTAGTCTTGCTGTGGTACAACTTTTCCACATCTGATAAAGTTTGACATGCAGTGTTCTCATGTATGCCTCTTCCTAAATAGTCATTAGTTGGAGGGTTGTTTTTTTTTTTAACCCAATGATTATTTAGGAGAGTATTTTAAACTGCATATAAAACTTCTTTTAAAATTGCGTAGATCACTTAAAGCTATTTGGAATGTGTTGAGCTTTTCTTGGCAGCCTAGTGTATTTTCAATATTTTATAAGACCCATGGTTGCTTAAAAAATTTTGTTATATACATTTTTCTAATTTTATTCTGCAAATTGTTTTTTGTCCGGTTGATATAAGAAAATACTATCAATATCTTTCACAATAATTTTGTCTCTCAATTTTTCTTCATAGTTTACCTAATTTCAGCTTTATGCATATTCACCCTTGGTTAGTCGACGCATAGAAATCTTTGACTATTAATTCTTCCTTGTGAATTTTGTATTAATATAAATTATTCGATTTAATACTTTTTAAATTTTGAACACATGCTAAACAAGGGAATAAGCATGCTTTTGCTGATTATCTTTTCTTCCTAGATTACTTTTGCAATTGTTTTCAGTATGAAAACAACTATTTTTATGGAAATCATTCAGTGTTAATTCTAAATTTACTTTTGTCCCAGAATATTTCCTCTCATGTTCCAGTCAGGGTATCCAAAATGCTTCTATTATTTAGTCACTGGGGAAAAGGAGAGTGAAGTGATTATGTTTTGGGTAACTGCCTAAAAAAACGAAACCTAAAAATACTGAATGCTTATTGAACATTTCTACATGCTAACATCTGTTTTTAAAGCCCTATTTATATTAAATTATTTAATACTCACAGAAAGATGCTGACCTGACACAGTTAACCACTTCATTCCCCGACTCTGCACACCCGACCACCATCTCCCTGTCTTTGGCAGTGTCTCCTCCTCTGTCCCCTGCCGGGAAGTCATGTTCATATAACATGACATGGCCGCACTCACCACAGTGATGAGAATAGGGCTAGTGGGAATAGGGCTGGGCCTCTGACCCAAGGTAACAATCTGTAGATTAGGCTGAATCATTTATATATTTTGTCCAAGAGATGCTGAGACATTAGAGGGGTAGGGGCACTTGTATAGAAAGGCTATGTGGAATCTATACTGGGCAGCCATTTCCAACCACAGGAATGTTGATGACGGAGCCTGTGAGAGGCTGAACCAAATGCAAAGAGAGATGCAGTGTCAGAGGCCACGTGGATCCTGAGAGAGAGGACGATAGAGTTCCTACAAGGCTGAGCTATACTTCCTATATATTGTTACTGTGAGATATCCTTGCCTTCTTTTAATAATCCCTTTTAACTTTTACTGGTTTTGGTGTCCTCTTTCTTAGATGAGCCCTGATTAAAATAGAGCCAAGATTAAAATGCTATTTAACTAGAGAAGATATTGTGGCAAAGTATATTTTCCAAAGGCAGACACCATAATATCCCCCAAACCACATGCTCTTCTAGACCCTTGCTATTTCTCAGATAAGAGGTGGAATCTATGTCCTCTCCCATTGAGACTGGGTAGCTCTTAATAATTGTATTGCCCAATGCAGTATGGTGGAAATGGCACCATGTGACTTCCAAGGCTAGCTCATACAAGTGGATATTATGGTGTTTATCTTTGGAAAATACACATTGCCACACTATCTTACATAGTTAAGTAGGGACACTTGCTCTTGGAACCCAACACGTTGTTGTAAGGAAGCCCAAGTAGTTAGTGGAGAGGTCCATGTAGAGAGAAATGAGGGCTCCAGGCCCAAACCCAGCTGACGACCAGCATCAACTTGCCAGCCAAGTAAATGAGCAATTTTGAAAGTGTATCTTCTAGTCCTGAGTTAAGCTGTCCCTGTTAATACCACTGAAATCATAGATGGAGTTGCTCCTAACAAGTTCTGCTCTAATTGCAGATTCATGAGCAAAATAAATGATCACTGTTCTTTTAAGCCACTAAATTTGGTGGTGGAGGGGAGAGCTTTTTCCTGCTTTAGGAATATATAAGTGATATAAACACCACATTAAATTATAGTCATCAATTAATATATAGTTATTTCTTAGTGGGGATCTATAAAAATTGGACTTGGGGAAAGATGTCTTAAGATGGAGAGGCAGGGAACAAACAATGAGGAAAAGAGCCACCTTGCAGTCACCCATAGTCAGTGCATTTTGCCTTGAGGGCAGGTTACTAAAGAAATGGATGAAAAAAGGAAGAGAGGATGGAGGGGAGGACGACTTTGGTTTCCTTCCCTGTGCTCTGCAGAAATCTCATGAGTGGCTTGGAGGCAGTGGTGGAGGTGGTGATGGGAATGCATGAGATGCTGGCATGAACTGTAGAGTCCTCAGGAGTATATCCTGCTCTTTATTCCTTATGGTTTCCGCAGAGGCTGGCACAAAGCCAGCCACATAGCAGATGCTTAATACATATTTTACATTAAAGAAATAAATGAAAATTCCATGGTGTCCTGGTCAGAATCTTTGTTTATAAAGAATAAAAACTCCATCAAATTAACTTGGGTAAAAGTGAGTTTAGTGTGCAGATAAAGGTGAATTGCCTATAACCCAACTGTACAATGTAGAGCAGGGTCTTGTGAGAACAGAAAGGATGTTTATATGTTTCCCTCTGCCTGGAGCCATGTGCATCTCTTACCTTGGCTCCCTTCTCCATGTCTAATCAACTTTTCCTCTTTACAGGTTAGCTTCCTCTGCCAAGCTTTTAGTTTATTTTTTCCTAAAATTCTTCTTGCTTTATAGAACCTTGTTGACCACCCAACATGCCTACTGCTCTATGACCAAAACTAACCGGCTCTCTCAGCCTAAATTTCAAACTCCTGTAAGGGAGACTTTAATTGGCTAAGTTGGGGCTTCGTGTCCCCATGAGTCTAAGCAGCTGTGACCAGGCTGGAGCCATGCAGTTCTTTGGGCTTTCTCTTCTAGACTGTGAGTGAGACAGTTTTCTAAGATGGGCATTGTTGAGGAGGAAATAGTGAGGCTATGACAGGGTTAAGCACAAGAGTTAAGGGGCTTGCATTCCACCCTCCAGAGCTTTGCTACAATCTATGGTCCTATGAACATGCCTTTAGGATATAAAATACCACCATTGCCATAAAAATACCATCAACAAGATGCTTCCACTGCCCATCTGTTTTTCAAGCCACAATGTAAGCCTCAAGGAAGGAGATCAGGCTACAGGGTGAACCACACAGTCATGACTCATGTTGTCCAAGATTCCCTATGCTTCTAAAAATTAGCACCTCTGGACCCATGGGCACTCTCAGGCTAAACAATGCGATCCACAGGCAGCCAATGATTAAGATTCAGCGTTCCTCCCTGATGGAGAAGTGCAAATACCAATCCCCTTTCTCAAAGTTCCAGCATTCCAGTCTTCTAGTAACCTATATAGAAGCATACAGGAACCAGGATGTCAATTTGAATCAATCAGCTGTGTTGAAGCAGGAAAGCAAACAGAGGGTTTCTGTAGAGCCCACCTTAGGCTGATGGTCTGGATGGATCTTCAGACTTTCAAAGGTCTCCTAGTGATCTGACAGGCGCAAAGCTAAATCTCCAGCTCCACCTTCTTCTTGTAGAGTAGCTCCCAATGGTTAATTACTTTTTATCATTTGGGCCACACACAAGAGTTGAACACACATCGAGTTACAAACACATTTTCTAGGCCACACATCAAGTTGGCCCAGAAAAAAGAAAAAAAAAATTTTAAATATGATATATTTTTATACTTGCTTGGTCATGTCTTTCGGATAACAGCTGATCAAAATTCTAGTTGGACAGTTTAAAAAAATAGCATTTTCTTCATTCTGATATTCTGCACAGTGTTCTAATTAGTGTGATAATAGGACCCTCTAAAGACATAATGTGGGGGAAACTTTTATATTTATTAGTGACAGCCCCTAATGTCAAGTTTATATCATGTTAGTTTCTAAAATGTTTACAATCCATTGCTCTATTTCTAAAAACTTAGTCTGAGATGGGGTTAAGTGCTGAAATAAACCAGATAAACTTAAGTTCTTGCCCCAAGATACTTTTCTAAAAATTCCTTTTTAAATCTTTAAAGGTCCAGGCTGTTGGTTAACTGAGAGAAAGCCAGGGTTGATTGACAGTATCTGTCAGAGGCAATGAACTGCACTTCAATGATGCCTTTATGCCGGCGTGTCAAGTTGTTCAACTGTGACCCTTCCATCTGTTCCAGCTAATCTGAAAGTCATTTAGACCCGCTTCCCCATTCATTTGAAACACAGCACATTCTCCTGTTAACACACATATGCAAAGTTGTCCGCTGTCAGCAACCTAAGGAGTTTGTTGAAAAGTCTCACTTACAACATCTGTATAAACATTTACACAACAGAAAATCCATTTATGGACGATTACTGCCTCCCTAACTTAATTTTTTCGGAGATTTCCAAGTATGGGGTCAATTTGAATGCATGTTTAGAAATTTACCTCCTCAAATTATTTTTTAAACAGGTATGGTCACTTGACTTTGATATTTGAAAAAAAGAATCATTCTGTATTCCGTATATTAAGACTTCTTAAGAATATGCAATCTTATTTTCAAGGATTCAGTTAAAATTGAAAATGCTTGCGTACTTTGGGGTTTTCTTCAAGCAAGTCTGGGAGCAGATAGTCAAGTTCATTGTATCTACTGAATCAGAATCTCTGGGGTGGGGTTCTGAGAATCTGTATTTCAAAAAGTACCCCAAGTGATTTTGTGAATCAACCAGGCTCAGAAACAGCTGATCAGGTTTATTTACACCCTAATAAAGTGCCTCCTACTTCATGATTCTATTTTCTTATTCATATGACTCACATGATCCCATTGAATAAATTTCTTCACAAAAGGTAAAAAATAAAACATAACAAAAACAGGAAAGTTTATTTGAGTGATTTACATGAATGTTTCCTTGTGTTATTTGTAAAATGAGATTGTATTTGGATGTAATACAAAAGCATTTATATTAAATAAACACCTCCTTTGGTCCAGAACTAAAAATAATTGCTTTGCTCTATTTTAACCTGGTTCCTTCCTATACTTTGTCCGGATTTACATTGTATTGCTCCAGTATCCTCAACCCTGACACTGAATCTCTGTGTGACCTTGAATGAGTTAATCTCATCTCTTAGTTTGTATAAAGGAGTTGGAGAAGATGATCTCTAAAGTTCCTTATAACTCTGACATTCTCTGTGTATCTAAAACAAGTTTCCTCAATGATAAAATCACCTCCAGCTTTGAACATTATCTCCAACCACACAAAATCAGAGCCCAAAAAGGTACAAGTTTATCAAGGTATCTTAGAAAAGTAATTCAGAGGTATAGGAGCTTAAGGGACCACCTTTGTGAAATCTTCCTAGAACTTAAATGTACACCTCAAGCTCCAATAAAATTTTTATTGACCTGTTCACAAGATCTTCCACTCTGTTCTTTGAGGTTATATTTACAATATCCAATGGTTCTTTTCATTACATTTGTCCCTCCATTTCCCCACCTCCTCTTCATTTTTGTCTTTAGCCCTCTTGGTGCGGTCAAAAACACATAAAAGACCTCTGATGAGGTGTGTGAACTTGAGCAAACAAGTCATTTAACCTTCCCAAGCTTTAGTTATTTTCATCTGTAAGATGGAAATAATATCTGCTTGAGTACTAAAGGAGGTAAGTGAATGTCAAAGCACTTTCTAAGCTTTAACTTGTAGAGAGGTCATTATCATTATTTATTATAGTACTTCTGGTGCTGCTGCTGCTCATAAATTGATCCTCTGTTTTACTATTGTGAATAAAATGCCTTCTAATAAATTACTGTTTTGGACACCTATGGAGAAAAATGGAATTGCAGACATGTATATCAAAAGACATGTATATTAAAATGTTTAAAAACATTCATAACTTTTGGCACGTGAATCTTTTTTCTAAAAACATATCAAAATATGTATCCTATATTTTACATAAGAATATCCATAAAAACACTGTTTATAATAGCCCCCATTAAAACCAATCCTATATCCATGAGTAAATCATTATCTAGCCATCAATGAGATACTATGTGGCCATTCACAATGGTGTTTTGGAAAAATATTTAATGACTTAGGAGATGCTCTTATTATGTTGTAAAGAATAAAAATAAAGCAAGATTCAAATTTACTTTTTTTTTTTTTGAGACAGGGTCTCACTATGTTGCCCAGGCTGGACAGCAGTGATGTGATCTAGGCTTACTGCAACCTCTGCCTCCTGGGTTCAAGCGATTTTCCTGATTCAGCCTCCCGAGTAGCTGGGATTACAGATGCCCGCCACCAGGCCCAATTAATTTTTGTATTTTTAGTAGAGACAGGGTTTTACCATGTTGGCCAGGCTGGTATCCAACTCCTGGCCTCAAGTGATCTGCCTGCCTCGGCCTCCCTAAGTGCTCGGATTACAGGCGTGAGCCACTGCGCCTGACCCAAACTTACATTTAAGTTTGTATCTTATTAAGTATGTGAAATATATTCCCTAAATAATCTTAAACAAAGAAAAACAACTGAGATATATTGAAGTATTTACAGTGGTTGTCAGCAATGGCAGTATAGATAACTTATGTTTTCTTTGCACCTCTGAGTTTTCTAAATTTTCTTTTAAAAATATATATTTTTAAAACCTGCAGCACCTGCTCCTCTCTCAAATTTCAAGTCATATATACATTCACCCAAGGAAAACATTTTTAGTATCTCCTGTGTATCTTTGTGCATCTTTGTACTCTGTTGGACACAGTGGAGACACAGAAATATATATATTAGGCTTTAAGGCACTTACAATTTAGAGGGAGAAATTGTTCATTATACCAAGAATGGCATGTGAAAAGGGTCCTTAGAACAGTACAAATGAAATGCCAAAGAAGTTAACAGAGGAGGTTTCTCTGAGGATGTGAAAGTTAAGCTATTTATCAAATCCCTTAAGAACTGCTATTGAGGTAATAAACAATTGATAGGACTATTTTAATCTGGTAAGAGTCTGCATAAACTATACCTTCTCACTGGAAAATGGGTAATATTTTAGCTTTTATTTACTGAATGTCTCCTATCAAATTAAGGCCCAACCTGGTGAGCCCCTTATTTTTCTGAAGAACAGATAAAAGTTAATTTATCAACAATTCATTGTTAGGAAGTAAGATATCTAAGAAAGAATTTGAGGAGTCTTCAAATAACAGGTCACTCAAATCATATGAGGGCACCTGGCTTCATCTTATGATGCTCACTCAGTCCCCTAAACTCAGAGGTAGGACTTCACATGGAAATGAGCAGGAGCTAATGTGAGGAGGGAAAGAACACTTTCTATCCAGTTCCAAACTGCCTAGCTAGGGGAGAAAATAAATAAATCATAGTTGGAGTCTATAATGGTTGACCTCACTGTAGAAATACAAATAAAATTGCCCACATAGCTGTCCCATCTTCCACCTTCAACGGCACAATTTTCTATTGGTGAATAAATTGGGGATAGATTATTCCACTTGGATGAGCACTTCTATGTCTAAAGCATGGACCATGAACTTTAGTTGCTTACAGCAGCCAGGACAGGCAATATAGATTTGCGAACTAGATGGGTATTAGACCCTGATACTGCAGTAAATTGGAAAGTATGCCTCACCTAGAGGTATACTAAAGTATACAAAGCACCACGTCAAACATTTGCTTCCCTATATTGTAGCCAGTTTGTTCCTGTACAGAGTGGCCCACAGAAGACATATTCATCAACACACTATTCACAATTCCAGGTAAGAGCTATCAATTTCTCCACCAATGCTAGCATTCACATCCTGGAAATGATTCCTTTTCAATGAGAAAGCTAGAACAATGAGAAGCTGAAAAAAAGCTCAGTGTGACCAGAGAGCCAAGCAGAGCTTAAGTCTTAAGTCAGGAAATGTAAATGGTGAGGGAAGTTACACCCTACCTAAGGAAATGAATGAGGAGCTGCTGGTCTTCTTCTGATGCCCCCAGATGATATGATGAATTGCTTCATATCAGTGGTTCTCACTGGGGCAATTTTGCCCCAAAGGCCATTTGGGAATGTCTGGAGACATTTTTGGTCATCACAACTGGGGGACAGGGGACAATGTGACTGGTACCTAGTAGATAGAGGCTAGGGATACTGCTAAACATCCTACAATGCACAGAAGAGTTCCCACAAGAAATACTGTCAGCATCCCAGAGGTCGAGAAATCCTGTCCCATGCTCATGACCAATGGGTGTTAAAGGTAACACATTGCTACACTGAATCACAGAATTATATATTTGCATGTTTCTTCATTTCTAGGAGTAATCCTAGAGGGCATTTCGGAGTCTGTGGCAGACTGATGGTAGAAATGTTGAGGCAGGAGGCCCTTTGTTATCAAATCAATCCTAGCTCCACAATTGTGATTCAGCAGGTTGTCACAAAGTTTCCACAACAGAGTCTCCTGCTCCCAAACCTTCCAGGCCTCCCTACTGCCCTCAAGATGAAGACTAGGCTTCTCAGTGTACCTTCCAAGGCATTTCATAATCTGATTATATCCTGTGCTGCCAGCTCCATCTCTAGTCAACACCTGCCACCTGTTCCAGATCTAGACTGTCTTGCCTTCTCCCAAACGTGGCTTGTTATTCACACCTCCATGCCTTTGCCCATGGAATTCCCTCTGCCTCAACTGTCTTCTCAGCTCCACTCCCCTTCCCTGATTTTGCCAAAGGTAAAACCTCATTCATCCTTTTAGACCCAGTGAAAATGTTATACCCTCTCTATCCCCAGGAACCAGGTAGAATGAACAACTTCTTCCCGTGTCTTCTATGGCATTTTGTGCTCACCTCTGTTAACCTACTTAGCACTTACCATCACGTGTTTTAGTTGCAGGTGTTTCCTTAGCACTTTACCGTCATGTGTTGAGTTTCAGACTGTGCCTGGCACTATGCCTGGCACAGGCTAACCCTCAAATCTTCCCTAAACTTAGTTCAATTGAATCATGCGGCACTGTAGTTCTTTAGTGCTTACTATTCATTCATTCATTCGTTCATTCCTTTTTGGACACTCACTATGTATCAGGCATTAAACAGGCCATATGATCTCTCATGGGGCAGAAGTTCTATTGGGGGAGATAGATAATAAAGCCGATTCTGAGGTGAGAAATGGACTCCATAGGCTTCCTGACCATCAACTGCCTCATCTCTGCTTGAACTCTCTCTGTGATGAGAAACTCACTTTCTGAAGAAATCTAATCCAATGCTGGTAGACTCAGACTCTCCTTTGATTGAGCTGGAAACTCTCCCCCTGTACCTTCTACAAATGGATCCCAGGTCAGCTCCCTGCAGCCATGCAGAAAAAGCCAGCTTGCTCTTTCTCATGATGATGCTTTGTGGATTTGAAGATGGATCTCCAGGCACTCACTTCCTTCAGTAATTCTCACACGCCATGGCTCAGACTGCTAACTGCTATCATACTGCTCCTACTCCTTTGGGGGTCTCCCAGAATCTCTAACCTTATAATTGTGATCATTGCCATAATAGCCAAGATATATTAAACATTTACTATCAGCCAGGCATTGTGCTAAGACTTTTTTTTTTTTTTTTTTTTGAAACGGAGTTTTGCTCCTGTCGCCCAGGCTCACTGCAACCTCCACCTCCTGGGTTTAAGTGATTCTCCTGCCTCAGCCTCCCAAGTAGCTGGGACTACAGGCATGTGCCACCATGCCTGGCTAATTTTGTATTTTTAGTACAGATGGGGTTTCACCATATTGGTTAGATGGGTCTGGAACTCCTGACCATAGGTGATCTGCCTCGGGCTCCCAAAATGCTGGGATTTCAGGTGGAAGCCACTGCACCCCTCCTGTGCTAAGATTTTTAAAGGCCTTATCTCACTTAATTTTCATAACAATTCTATGAGGTGGGTACTATTATTATCTCCATTTTACAGATGAGAAATCTAAGGCTAAGAAGAATAAATAACTTGCCTAGGTTTACACAGTTGTTACATGATAGGGTTGGGACTCATACCCTGAAATGAATTTGTAACTATTATATAACACTGCTTTTATGGCCTGTGTAAGGGGCCTTTTATAAACCTGGAACTTGGGTAATAACTCTACATCATATTGCATTTTTACAGATGACCACACAATCCTAGTGATTCATTGACTTCCATCTTTTTCAGTCCTGGTACTGCTAAGGTCCCCGGTTCAGTGCCTGGCAAAACTCGGTATCAATAAATAGTTTTTTAAAAAAATAAATCAGGTACATCTTCTAGCCATATCTGCACATTTTTTTTTTTTGTTTTATCTTGCCCAAGTACAGGACTTCACATTTATGCCTGAAATATTTAACTTTGTCAGATCCGACTCCTGGCTTTACAATGCTGTAGTAGGCTGAATAATGGCAACCCAAAGATATCAGGACCTAATTCCTGGGACCTGTAATGTTACCTAATTTGGAAAAGGGTCTTTACAGATGTGATTAATTTAGGGATCATGTGATGAAGAGATGACCCTAGATTATCTGGGTGGGAACTAAATGCCATCACAAATGTCTTATAAGGGGGAGGCAGCAGGAGATTTGGCACACAGAAAGAAGAGGTGTGGGCAATGTGACCCGGGAGGCACATGTTGGAATCATGCTGTCATAAATCAAAGAATACCAAGAGGTACCAGAAGCTGGAAGAGACAAGGAAGAGATTTTCCCCTGGAGCCTCTAGATGGAGTACAGCCTTGCTGACACCTTGATTTTGGCTCAGTGCAATTGATTTCAGTTTCCAGCTTCTAGTACTGTGAGAGAATACATTTCCGTAGTTTTAAGCCACCACGTTTGTATAATTTGTCGCAGCAGCTACAACGAACTAATACAAATGCTGAGTAGTTTTGGATCCTAATTTCCTAATCCAATGAATTAATTGTATCTCCCCAACCTTAAGCCATCAGCAATGTGAAAGATCTTGATCATGTCTTCTATTAAATATATATACTGTACAATCATGTAACTGCCAAAATGTAGACCAGATGCAAGACCACAGGCATTGTCAGCCCAGGCATTTTCAGAATATGTTCATAGGATGCTAGTTTCACAGTAGGAATTACCACACAAAAGAAGCTTCATGGTTTAGCAAGGAAGTTTGGAAAACGCTGGGTTGAAAACATTTGAAAAAGTTTCTCTACTACAGGACTTCTCAGAGCCTTTAGCATGCTAATGCACGCTGTGAATGTCCAAGTAGGCACGTGGTCTGGTGTGTTTCCCAAGCTTGTTTACTCACATTCATTTCACCCTTGGAAAAAGCACTTCTACAAACACATCTTGCAAGGACCACAGTTAAGAGAAAAATATGTCTGGAAGTCCAAAGCAATTGCTTTGCTGAAATCCACTGTTGGTACATTCAGGACTATAACACAGGTCTCCTAATATTGTGTCCAGCATTCCTACTACTAAACATGTCGAACATCCAAAAAGGAAGCACTGAATCTTACCTTTAAAATAAAGGACACAGATTCTCCAAAGACAACTTTATTGAAAGGAAACTTTATTTTATTTTTTTTTTGCAGTGAGTTAACAGCTTATAGAATACAGCAGTGAGATATGAGAAAGGGTGAATTTTTCCTATCTTTTGTTATTGGCATTGACCCTGAAGGTCCTTAGTCCTTTGCAGAAGCTTAAGGAGCTTAGATCAAGGGCAGATTTTGAAATTGAATTTATTCAGATTAAGCAAAACCTTCAGTGAGAGGATTTACTCCCCACAAGCTGTTGCCAAGTTGGGGCTGCCCAGGCCAGGCCCATTTTCCTGAGTCATAATCGACCTGTTTCCAAATTGCTGTCAGTGTATGGGCAGCCAGTTTCCCCAGGACATTAAACATTCAGAGCTTCCTCAGCCTTCTGGATCATTTTCTATCTCTCCAATATTTTTAGACAGGTTTCTTGCAGGCTGCATATTTTATAACAATTGTACAGGAAAATGATCCTAGGGACAGTAGCCAGAGATTCAAAGTTTAGAAAAATGCTCCTTCCTTATCAGTTGGCAGGTGACAAATCACAGTGAGATTACTTTTGGCAAGGAGGATATTTTCCCATAACAATCTAGAAGACAGAGTGCAGTTGGGAGCCCAGTGTTACGAGTAGTTGTTTGGAGATTTTTCTTTTAATGCCATATTCTCCTGGTTTACCAGACGCTACTTTTATTCTTCAAGTCTGAAAAATTGCCACTGATTTTGAGAGATCTGCCTGTGGCAGAAATAGTAGTTGTAGTGATATCTCCCAGAGTAGATGTCCTGCTTCTGAGATGCAACATTATCCACCTTCTATTAATAGTTTAAACCTACTTTGCTTTAAGACCTAGCATTTGGAAGGCCTTAGGTCTCAAGTTTTGTTCTTCCGTGTCTATATTTTAAATGCAGCTTTTATGGATGTGTTTCAAAAGTAATGCATATTTCTTTTAGAAATGTTGAAAATACAAGAAAAGCATAAAGACAGAAGTTAAAAATCTCCTCTCTTCTCGCCACTAAGAGATCAAGATCATTAACACTGTAGGCTCCTTTTAGAGTCATTTAAGAATATCTCAGCAGGATGCTGATGAGGGCAAACTTTGAGATTAGTCCCTCTAATCCCCACAAAATGGAAGGTAGTCTGTGTGATTCAGCTCTGTATCAAGCACAAAGAGAATCACCTATAATTCACTGAGCTACTATTTTTTTAAAAAATTATAGTTTGTGAAACTGAATGGGGTCTGTGAACCCCAATGAATAGATGAGGAAACTGAGAATCAGAGAGTGGCTGACTGTCCCGATCACCCAGCATTTCAGTAGTAGGGCAGAGAGTATGAAACTCTTCTGATTTTCATTTAGTGTAGTTTCCCTTGTTATAACAGCTGTCTCACTACAGAAAGAATTCTAGCTATAAAATTCCACTTGAGTAAGAACATTTGGCTATGACCTCAAAGCACGGGCAATTTTCATGCACCAATTTGGCATTATGGAGAAAGAAATGATCTCCACATAAATCCGAATTTCCAAACACCTAAAGGTGAGCTCCTTTAAGCCCAAAGACTTTTATCTTAACTTTAACACATTTCAGTGAAAATTATTCTAAATATACATTTGAAGGTCAGGCACACAATAACATTTAATAGTTTCTTGATGACTCAAAATTATAAGCATCAGTTTTTATTCTGTGCTATAATACAGTGAGACCTTCTGGGATTGGTAAATCGTAAAACCCTGAACTGCTCTAGACTGCTAAGCTTTTATAGTTTTATGTTTGCTTTATTTGGATTTTCTGTCTCTCCCTGCGCAATCAAGCTGTCGGCTCTTATTTCTTGCTGCTCCCAGTATGTCTGAGATCTTCTCTTTATTTGTTTCCCATCTGCTATGCTGTTTCTAATCTGTATGTGCGGGGGAAGCAGATACTCATGTTTGTTAGAAGCATTTGTAATGTAAGAGTAAGTAGGTTCTGAGTGAGTATTGAGGGTCATAAAATTAGTGAGCAGACTTAGGGACATATATTTTGGTTACTCAGAATCCTCGTTAACTTTATTTTCTTTTTAGATTGGCAAATAAATGATGTCTAGATAAATGATACAGGACAGTACTTTAAAAAATAGGCATAAAAAACACAGACATCCTTTGCTTATTTATATACATCAGTCTTTCCTTGGGAAGTGAACCAAATCTCCAAGCAACAGAGTGGGTCCCGGGTTTTTTAAGTTATTTCTTTCATTTCTTTTAAATTTCTAAAATCAATTTCCAACTTAAAAGTGGTCTTTTCTAAACTCAAATGGAGAGTAAATGGAAACTCAGCCAAGGTATCACTCATGAGAGACTGGCAAGTACAGAGGACATATCTCTAAACATTGAGGCTGCTTCTCTCCCTAGCAGCTGCTATCTTCCCTCTGCCAATATTTTCATTTCTTCACTTGTTGCTTGTGTGTTTTTGAAAAAATTTAAAATATTTCCCTTCATCCAAACTTTAAAATGCAATTTTTCTTTTAAATAATTGATAAGACTGATTTTTCCTCGTCACAATATTTTCTCCCAGATTCCAAATTTCTAAAAATACAGTCACCAAAAAACAAACAAGTAAACATGATGGACTTGAAAACTTCAAGCTCACTTGAGGCTGAAATCATTTTTAAAGCTACCATTAGCAATGGTGCTGTGGGAGCGATATGGGCTGTAAAAGCCAAGCAATTTGCAAAATTACGTTAAGACAAGGAATTACTCAATGCAAACACCTGCTTCAGAGTGATCATCAAATTATTCACAGCCTAGCTATGACCCTGCAAGCTGACTTCCCTGCAAGCTGACTTTCCTTTACTCCTACTCTGTGGTCATTTGCGTTTATCAGTAAACACCCACAGACCCACTACACTTTGCTAAACCAAGAGGCCAAATTAAACAACACATACTGGAGTTAATGATGGGTTGTAATAACAACAGCCCAGAAACATTTGAATGGTGCATTAACAATTTGCAAAGGACTTCACACGCAGGATCTCACTTACACTTTGTAATCACTCTACGCTTAGGCTGTTCCCTGGGAAAGTTGCCACCAATGAGTTTTCCCAAAGAGTATGCAAAACTTTAAAATAAAACTGAGGTTAATATACTACCCTAAGTCTCCTTTCTACTGTCTCCTCCCCCTTTTCCTTTCCAGCTGTCAGTTTTAAAAGTGTATGTTTTAATTTTCCACAGTTGACCACATCCAAAGCTGTTTTAAGAGGCACGGGATTCTATTCTTCTCTAAAATCTATATGCAGCCATGGATTACCACAGCTGGTTCTGGTAACATTTGCAAATTCTAAACTATCTAAGACTATTTCTAAGGCTATTGTGAGTGACATTAGGCCCATTTCTGGCAAGAAATCCTCTAGTTGTAATGTATACTATCTTAAATGGTCTTTTTGTGACCATGGTCTCTACCCTTAAACAAATGAAAGGCATATTTCCCCTGATGGGTGTCCCAAGGAGAGCTTGGGAAGAAATCATCATTATCAAGGCGGTTCACCCAGACACACAGACTTGCTTGTTACCGTATTTAAAGAAGTGGCCACAAAGAAATAGTCATTGGATTTACAATAGGGGAAACCTAGTATGCATTTCCAAGGAATCACATTTTGGGGAGAATTACAGAATAATTACACATATGCTTAGATCACGAGCATTCAATGAAGCGGACAGTATTTTGAGGATTTAAGATGTTGGTGTTGTGGTCGTCTCTAAGAAACCGGGATAATTCAGACATTCAAATGCAAAACCGCACCATTTGGAGAGTGTAATGCGGTCTGTTCTGGTCACTGTTACAAATTCGGAAAGGATTCCCTGGCTGCAGACATTAGAGGCACTTAATACTTAAATCTGTTTCCAAATGTAAAGAATAGAACAAAAGTGCTGGGCATTAATGAAACGTATCCTAACACTGGTGTGCTGACACATTTCATTAAAGTGTCACTTTGGGAGAGTAAAAAATAATGACAAGAGCTTTGCTGTGTGCAACTTGATAAGGTCCTCAGATGAAATATCATTAACTAATAACACATTAAACATCCATTTTAATGCTATCAGGGTTTTCAGATTGGGACTGAATTAATTTCATGCCTAGGATGTTTCCTATAACCAATTACTATAAATAAATCTCTTTCATTGGTCTAAATACTTATTATTTATTCATGTCAGTTTCATTTTAACTTCCAGGAAATCAAGTATTGTTAGAAATTACCTTAATAAAATACTTTGACATATCAAATATCTTGTTTACTTATAAGGCCAGCCATAAATTATTTCCTGAAGGAATGTATTTTGTGAATATTTTAAAATACAAACTTTCTCCATTTTTGTTGGGTAACTGGCAAAATAATTTTCTATTGAACTCTAAAATGCTAAAGTTCTCTTCTACACTCAAAATAGTTTCTTTAATTAAAAAATTGTGATAAAAATACTTAACAAATGTAGTCCTAAAACTCAGCATTTTATAGGTTCAAAAAGACTGCTAATTTAATGTTCCAGTTTAAAGCTAAGTTGTTTTCTAGAAAATTTTCCATACATAAATATATGTAATTTGTATTTTCAGTAAACTTTAAAAACTTCCTCTTCTAAGATCTTGTATGCAAAATATCAAAATAACAAAAACTTTGCAACTTTGATAGCCACTTCGATACTCTGGCAGATTTACATGGTGTTCTCCACATTTACAGATTTGTTTGGTTTTGTGCAGAAGAGTCATTTGGTGAAATGAACCAAGACAAGAAATTCTCCCAACAGGGCCTATGCAGCCAAGAATCAAGTTGCAAAGTAACACACAGCAGGAGAGATGAAATAGAGAAATTAGTCCACAACAAAACAAGAAAATTGCTCAAGGAACTTGGAGCTGGCAGTCTCGCAATGTGAAAGGTTAATCACAAGATTTAAAATCTAATCTTGCTTTCAAAGGCAGTTCATGTAATTGCATACATTGTGAAGGAACATGAGAACAGTGGGAACAGAAAAAAAATTTAAACAAGCGGGCTTGATATAAGCTGTAAATTTAATATGGAGAAATGTAAAAAGTTAGCAAGAGTAAGCACAGACCTCAGTAAAGGGTCAGCCCGGGACCTGGGACAGCAGAAATGGCCACAAATCGCCACCTTGAAAGGAAAAGAAAGTTTAAATTTTGGATAAACATGTATTCGGATGGGATACTCCCTAAAAGACCCATTAAATTAAATTCCATTCATTCATGTTGTCTAACCCATATTTATAGGGGACCTATCATTTGCTGATATCGTGGGAATACGCAGATAAATGAGACACTAGAGGAAGAAAGTCATAGTTCCTTAGAGCACGAAGCAGAAAGTTTGGAAGTGGAAGAACTCACTCCATAAAGGGGATGGCATTTAAACTATGCCTTGAAGAAGGGCAGGACTTGGTCATACGGAGGTGGGAATGGGAAAACACAGCTGGCAGAGGCAACTTCAGGAGCAGGACACTAGACTATGCACAGAAGCCAGGGAGCACTTCAGGCTGAACAGCAGTGGCTTCCTATGTGGGAACAGTGGGGGCTGGAAAGGTAAGAGGCCTGGAGGAGTTTCGCTTAATTCTATGGAAAGCAGGAAACCTTCCCCTGGAGGTTTTAGAGTCCAAGAATAATATGATGCTAAAGGTTAATTTATTTATTTTTAAAATTAATTTTTTTTTTGAGACAGCATCTCTGTCTACTAGACTAGAGTGCAGTGGCACGATCTTGGCTCACTGCAACCTCCGCCTCCTGGGTTCAAGCAATTCTCCTGCCTCAGACTCCCAAGTAGCTGGGATTACAGGTGTCTGCCACCATGCCTGGCTAATTTTTGTATTTTTAGTAGAGACAGAGTTTCGCCATGTTGGCCAGGCTGGTCTTGAACTCTTGACCTCAGGTGATCCGCCCGCCTCAGCCTCACAAAGTGCTGGGATTATAGGCGTGAGCCACTGCGCTCGGCCCAAAGGTTAATTTGACATCTATTGTGAGGCAATCTAGAAGAGGAAGAGGATAATATAATCTTAGCAGAATATATTTCAATATAGCAAAAATGTAGAGGTCTATATTCTTGGACTAGAAAGTACAGAAGCCGTATTTATGAGTTAAGTGTTTCTAAATTCCAAGACTACTACTTCTTGTTAACTGGAAAAGCAGTAAGAAAGAGGTGCCACTGAGGAACGTGGTTTTTTTTTATTTTTTTTTCCTTTTTTTGCGACGGAATCCCGCTCTGTTGCCAGGCTAGAGCACAATGGTGCGATCTTGGCTCACTGCAACCTCCACCTCCCCGGTTAAAGCAATTATCCTGTCCCAGCCTCCTGAGTAGCTGGGCCCAGTTAATTTTTGTATTTTTAGTAGAGATGGGGTTTCACCATGTTGGTCAGGCTGGTCTGAAACTCCTGACCTCATGATCTGCCCACCTCGGCCTCCCATGGGATTACAGACATGAGCCACCACACCTGGCCAGACATGTGGTTTATCAAGGGACAGTGAAGGCCCTGACCAGTTGGTGCTGTCAGAGCAAATTCCCTGGTTTCCCCAGAGAGAGGTGCAAGTTCTAGAGTGGTTGGGGGAGGGGGGCTGATAAATGCCAGGGACTGAAAATAAGCACCCCTAAGGGCATATGTAATTCCCCCATCATAGCATAAATTTGAATTTGGATACATCCCAGATCTCAGCCCCAATCATGATATACAACTGCTGGCCAATCCATGAGCACCACCACCCCTGCCTAGAATTGTGCTAATCAGGATAAAAACTGCCTCTGCATTAATATCTAGGAAGGAAAGCAGCCCTCACCATGTCGGCAAACACATTTAGGGGCCCTTGGTAATAACTCTATGATGTTAAGGTGTTGGGGAGACAGTACAAAAACGGGTAGTGGACAAGTGAGTAAAAGAAAGAAAGTCTTGGTTTTCATAGACGTATTTCTTTATCTGTCATATTTATGCAGCATTTTATACTTTTCAAGGTGCTTTTAAATATCTGATACTATTTCATTTCTCCTAATAACTCCATTATTTCCATTTTACAGAAAGAGTTATGGAAGCCCAAAGAGGCTGTGTGACGCATCTGACAGCCACTTGGCAGACGAATGAGAACCCAGAACCCTAATTTTTTTATTCCTCCACCACTACATCACCTGGTCTCCTACTTATATCAACAGATTTTTTTATTGAGAGCCTATTCTATAGAGGCCATGCTTTAAAACTGAGGAAAACCTATGTTGCGTGAAAACTCCCCTGCACAGGGCCCTCTGGTGGCAGGTAAATTAAGAATTATAAGGTAGGAAATTGAGAAATGTTTAGGATCTGATTTTATGGAGAGAGGAGGATACTGAAATATAGAAAGTTGTTCAGAAGGGCTTATCTAATATAGTTCTCTCACTTGGCATATTAAGAAATTGATGCCCAGAGAGGTCAAGCAATGTGCTCATGGTGGCACAGCATCCCAAGTCAGCACTTCTCTCCAATCAGAAAGGCACCTCTCAGCATCTTCCTCATTCTCATTTGTCTTAAAGAAGATTAATATTCGCCCTTCTTATCCCCTTTTGAGCTTCAGTTTTCTCATTTGTAAGCTAGGAATAGGGACAGTTCTCACCTCATTGGGTTGTTTTAGAGACTGAATGAAATAATGCAAGTCACACACTTAGCACAAGCCTGCCATGTAGCAAACACTCAATGTGTGGTCATTATTATAATGCTTAATGAACCATCTCTGTCTTGATGTACTCAGAACCATTAACCCTAAAGCTTTGTGTTTGCCCTCATCTGTAGATCAGAAATAAAAAATATTTTCAGGGGAAGTGAGTGCTTTAAAGATGGTTTCTTCTCCAAGCTGAAAATAATGATCACATAACCTCTGAGACAGCGTCTCTCAGTGTGCCCAGGGAGCCTGGTTATTCTTCCGGGGTTAATGAGATTGGTCCTTCTTGGGGCAGGGCCAAAGGAATCTACCTCCTGCCCATTTTCTGAATGCAACCTCAATCCCATGGGTGGATCAGGGAAAAGGAATTGCAACATTTCCCTGTGCTTTTCTATTCGCCCCTCAGTGCCTCTTCTAAGTTGCTCAGTTAAGAGGCATTGTTAGCACCTCTCATCCACAGTTGTAAAATGGGAGTCAATAAAAATGCCTTGCCCTTCCTAACCTCAGTGAAGATATGAAGAGCACAAGCAGAATACAGTAGCCTCACTGAACAGAGGTGACAGAGGTCAGATCTCAGTGAGGCTGAGACGACAAAAGTTTGTGGGGAACACTACTGGAAAGCAGAAAGCTACTTGGTGGAAGAGTGCTATAAATCTGCATGGGGTCCTATGAGTCTCTGATGGAATATTAAGCTGACATGCATAGAGTGAGACTTCACAAAGTCAGGGAAAGGACAACTGCTGGAGTGCTATAAGCTGAAAAATTATAGGAGCTTGCACAGGGATGGGAGACATTTGAGTTCTCCAGAGTAGTGGACCTGACAGAATATCAAGAATATGTCACAGAGACCCCAAAAGGCCACAGCTTCAAAGTACAGTCATTCATCTCTTAATGAGTGAGATACATTCTGAGAAATACATCATTAGGCAATTTTTTCATTGTACAAACATCATAGACTGTACTTATATAAGCCTAGATGGTATAGCCTAGGTGATATGGAATAGCCTATTGCTCCTAGGCTCCCAACCTGTATTGCAAGTCACTATATTGACTACTGTATACAACTGTAATGTAGTGGTATTTGTATATCTAAAAATTGAAAAAGTACAGTAAAAATAAGATATTATAATCTGGTATAATATGGTACTATAATCTAATGTATGATGAACTATAGGTTTAAATTAGCCTAACAGTAAAGAGTTTTCTAGTCCCACCCTAATAAAGATTTTTTTAAGTCTTTACAGGATAAATCTGATCTTACAGAAAATTAGCTATCTATAATAATAAAGCTCAAAACTCAACATGCTTTAAAGGGAGACAACAAAATCTGAACTCTCAAATATTTAGCATCCACATTGTCCAGAATATAATTTTAAAATTACTGGCCTGCAAAGCAGGAAAATATGACCCATAACCTGTACAAAACTAAGTCACTAGAACAGACCCAGATATAAGAGAAATGATGGAAGAGTGAAAAAGAACTTTAAATACCTATTATAAATATGTTCAAGGATTTAAAGGAAAACATGACCACAATGAGGAGACAGATGGAAATTATAAAAATAAAACAAAAGGAAATTCTAAATCTTAAAAATGCAACTTCTGAAATTAAAAATGTACTGGATGGGGTTAACAGAAGATTAGATATTGCAGAATAAAAGGTTAATGAACTTAACATTGCATCAGAAACTATCCACACTAAAGTGAAAGGCTCGAAAATTTAACAGAGCCTCCATAAACTATGGAACAACATTAAGTGGTAATTGGACTCCCAGAAGGAAAGGAGGTGGGAGATGGGAAAGGATACAATTTGATGAATTAATTACTGGATATTTTCTCAATTCAATGAAAAGCATCAACCACAGATCCATAAAACACAATAAATTTCAAGAAGGATAAACACAAAAACACACACCAAGGCATATCTTAATAAAATTGCTGAAAACCAATAACAAAGAAACTATCTTCAAAGCAGCCAGAGAGGGAAGAGGACATAATACATAGAGAAATGAATGAAGATAGGAATTATTACTGATTTCTAATATAAACAATGCAAGTCAAAAGATAATAAAGTTTTCTTAATGCTAAAAGGAAAGGAAAAAAATAACTTTATATCTGTAAATAAAGCTGTATTCAATTCAACATTTAGACCTATCTAAATCTGTATTCTATTCTGTTCTATAGGTATAACTATTCTATTTTATTCACATCTGGCTAAAATATCCTTCAAAAATAAAGACAAAATGAAAACATTTTTAGAAAAGGAAGAATTGAAATAATTTGTAGAACTGCACCATAAGAAATGTTAAAGAAAGTGCTTTAGGTTGAAGAAAAACAATACTAGAAGGAAATTTAGGTCCACATGAAGAAATGAACAGCATTAGAAATGGTAATGATTTTTACGCTTTACATGAAACAATAGAATACTATTTATTAACCTATAATAACATTATTAACTTATATATAATTTAGTAACTGTGAGAAGTTAAAAATGCATATTGTAAATCAGGACATAGGGATAAGCTTAAGAAACTATTCTCAGAAACAGTATAATGAAAACAATACTGTTAGAAGTTAAAGAAGACCTAAATGTTCATACATTGGAGGCTTCAATATTACCAAAATGTCCACTTTCAACTAACTGACTATTTAAAGTAATCCAATTGAAAACTGAAGTGGTTTGTAAAAAGAAGAAACTGAAAAGCTGATTCTAAAATTTATATGAAAATGCAAAATAATTAGAATAGTCAAAACAATTTTGGAAAAGAAGAGCCAATTAGGGAGGCTTTTCATACCTGATTTCAAGATTCATTACTATAGTAAGTATACTTAGTATGGTATCATTTTGATAGACATACAGATAAATGGAAGAGAATAGAGAGTTTAAGTACATATATATGCATATATACCTATGTATATGTTCAACTGATTTTTAAAAAGCTTAGCAACATAATTTAATGGGAAAAGGAAAGTCATTTTAACTAACAGTTAATGATACTGAACAACTGGATATCCCTATGGGAGAAAATAATGAACCTTCACCACCAGCTCTCACCATATACAAAAATAAACTCCAAATGGATAATAGACCTAAATATAAAAAATAAAACTATAAAACTTATAAAGAAAATCTTCACTGCCTTGAGATAAGCAAAGTTTTGTTAAATGTGATAGAAAAGCACTAACCACAGAGAAAAATATTGACAAACTGGATTTCCTCAAAATTAAAAACTCTGCTCTTCAAGACACACTATTAGGAAAAGAAAAAGCAAGCCCCTTACTTGGAAAAAATACTCACAGTACAGATATCTGACAAAGAACTTGTGTTTAGAATAAATATTTTTTAAATGGGCAAAAGATTTGAACAGTCACTTCACAAAAAGATATAAACATCCCATTTATACTCACATACTATTGTCAGCCAAAAAGCACAAGAAAAGTTGGCCATGATTCATAAACAGGGAAATGCAAATTAAAACTATAATCAGATACCAACTCCTGATGAGAATGTGGAGTAATTGAAATTCATACACTGTAGGTAATACAACCACTTTGGAAAACAATTTGGCAGTATCTTACAAACTTGAACATAAGCTTTACATATAACACAACAATTCTACTCTTAGATGTTTACTCAATAAAAATATATGTCCAAGATTTAAAAAAAAAAAAAAAGCCTTGAACATGAAGACTTATAGCCGCTTCATTCCCAACAGCCTCAAACTGTGAACAATTCAAATGATGTTTCATCAGGAGAATGAATAAACAAACTGTGGTTTATTCATATCATGGCATACTACTCAACAGTAAAAAGGAACATACATGAACCTCAAGAATATTATGCTGAGCAAAAGAAGTCAGACAGAGTACATATTGTATGATTCCTTAATATGAAGTTCTAGAACAGGCAAATTGAATCTATAGTTATAGAAACCAGATCAGTAGAATGTTCTGGTTCTAGGCACAGAACCAGAGGGACAGAAATAGGCACAGAAATAGAAATGTTCTGTGCCTTGATTGGCAAGGCAGTTACATGGGTCCATATATTTGTCAAAACTCAATGAACTGCACATTTAAAATGGATGTATTTTACTGTTAAATTATACCTCAATAAAATTGTTTTTTTAAGAAAAGTGAAAGGGGAGGAAGACATGGGAAAGTTATAAAATAGTATGCAGTTATTAAAAGGAATAAGGTAGATAAATATTTCTGAATTGAAAGATATAGTGTTAAGTGGAGGATAAGAGTTGTTAAATAGTACACTTGATCTAGTTTACATTTTCAAAAAAAGTAGTAGAGTGTGAGGGCAGAACAAGATGGTCAAATAGAAGCCTCCACCAAATTGCCCCCCTATCTGGCAGGAACACCAAATTTTAACAAGTAACTACACATAAAAAAGCACTGTCACAAGAATAAAAAATCAGGTGAGTAGTCACAATACCTGGCTTTAACTTCATATCACTGAAAGAGGCTCTGAAGAGGCTAAAAAAGAAAGTCTTGAATCACTGATGCCACCCCTCCTCCATCTTTGGCAGTGGGCGCATGGCACAGACAGAGAATCTGTGCACTTGCTGGAAGGAGAGCACAGTGACTGGGGGACTTGGCATTGAATTCAGTGCTGCTCTGTCACAGAGGGAAGCAAAATCAGGCTGAACTCCTTGACCCCTATGCGGGGAGCATTTAGAAGACCTCTAGCCAGAGGGGAATTGCCCATCCCAGTGGTCAAAACTTGAGTTTGTCAGCAAACCTTGCCAATATGGGCTGAAGTGCTCTGGGATCCCAGGTAAACTTGAAAGACAGTATAGGACACAAAGGCTGCAGTTTCTAGGTAACTCCCAGTGCTGGGCTGGGCTTAGAGCCAGTAAACCAGGGTGGCACGTGACCTGGGGAGACTTTAGCCAGGGTGGCTAATGGAGTGCTTGTGCTAATCCTCCCCCAACCTCAGGCAATGCAGCTTGCAGAAACAAAAGTAACTCCTTTCTTCTTGAGGAAAGGACTCAGAAGTAAAGAGGACTTCATCTTGCATCTTGGATACCAGCTTAGCCACAATAGGATAGGGAACTGGGGAGTCATAAGGTCCCCATTCCAGGCCCTAGCTCCCAGCTGACATTTCTAGACATACCCCGGGGCCAGAAGGGAGCCCACTGCCTTGAAGAGAAAGACCCAGTCCTGGCAGGATTCATCACGTGCTGACTAAAGAGCCCCTGGGCCCTGAATGACCAACAGCGATATCCAGGTAGTATGCTGTGGGCCTTGGCTTCAGGTGAGACCCAGCGCATTCCCAGCTGTGGCAGCTACAGTGCAAGATTCCTGCTCAAGAAAAGCGGAGGGAAAAGTAAGGGGGATTTTTCTCTTGTACTTTAGGTACCTGCTCAGCCACAGTGGAGTACAGCAGGGGTCCCCAACTGTACCATGGTACCAGTACCAATCTGTGGCCCTTTAGGTTCTGGGCCACAGAGCAGGAGGTGAATGGGGGGGTGAGTGAGCATTACTGCCTGAGCATTGCCTCTTGTCAGATCAACAGTGGCATTAGATTCTCATAGGAGTGCGAACCCTATTGTGAACTGCACACGCCAGGGACCTAGGCTGAATGCTCCTCATGAGAATCTAACTAATGCCTGACAATCTGAAGTGGAACAGTTTCACCCCAAAACCCCCAGCCCCCGTCTGTCCATGGAAAAACTGTCTTCCACAAAACTGGTTCCTGGTGCCAAAAAGTTGGAGACCACTGAGGTAGAGCACGAAGCAGGCTCAGAGTCCCTGATTCCAGGTCTAGGTTCATGTACAACATTTCTGGAAGTGCCCTGGGCCAGAGGGGGGCCCACTGCTCTGAAGGGTGAGTTTCAGGCATGGCAGCGTTTATCACAAGCTAACTGAAGAGCCCTTTGGTTTTAAGGGAACATTGGTGGTGGCCTGGCAGAACTCCTCATGGGCTGGTGGTGGTGGTAGCCACTGGGAGAGGTTGTTCTGCCTGTGAAAAGGGGAGAGAAGACAGAAGGGCTTTGTCTTGTGGTTTGAGGGCCAGCTTAGCTGCAGTAGAATAGAACACCACGTAGATTTATAAGGTTTTTGACTCCAATCTCTGGCTCTCAGACAGTGTCTCTAGACACCTGGGGCCAGGGGGAACTCACTGTCCTGAAATGAAGGACACAAACCTGGCTGGCTTCCACACCTGCTAATTGTAGAGCCTCAGAGCCTTGAGTGAACACAGGCAGTAACCAGGTAGTGGTTACAGTGGCCCTTTGGAGAGACCCAGTGTTGTGTTGGCTTCAGGTCTGACTCAGTGCAGTCTCAGTGGTGGTGACCATAGGGGTGCTTGTGTAACCCCACCCTCAGTTCAGCACAGACAGAGAGAGAGAAAGACTCCATTTGTTTGGGAGAAAGCAAGGGAAGAGAACAGGAGTCTCTGCCTGGTAAGCCAGAGAATTTTTCTGGATCGTATCAAGACCACCATGGCAGTACTCCTACAAATCTGCGAGAACCACAGCATTTTGGGGCTTGGGCTCAACTCCCTTTGAATGCCTGGAAAGCCTTCCCAAGAAAGATGGACACAAACAAGCCCAGACTGCAAAGACTATAATAAATACTTAACTCTTCAATGCCCAGACATCGACGAACATCTATAAGTATGAAGACCATCCAGGAAAATATGACATCTCCAAACAAACTAAATAAGGCACCAGGGACTAATCCTGGAAAGACAGAAATATGTGACCTTTCAGAGGATTCAAAATAGCTGTTTTTAGGAAATTCAAAGAAATTCAAGATAGCACAGAGAAGGAATTCAGAATTCTATGAGATAAATTTAACAAAGAGACCAAACTAATGAAGAACCAAGTAGAAATAGAACTGAAAAATGTAATTGATTATTCCCTCAAGTAAGTTTTTTTAATTTCATATTTTATTTTTTTTTATATATATATTTTTATTATACTTTAAGTTCTAGGGTACATGTGCACAACATGCAGGTTTGTTACATATGTATACATGTGCCATGTTGGTGTGCTGCACCCATTAACTCATCATTTACATTAGGTATATCTCCTAATGCTATCCCTCCCCACTCCCCCGACCCCACAACAGGCTCTGGTGTTTGATGTTCCCCTTCCTGTGTCCAAGTGTTCTCATTGTTCAATTCCCACCTATGAGTGAGAATATGTGGTGTTTGGTTTTTTGTCCTTGTGATAGTTTGCTGAGAATGATGGTTTCCAGCTTCATCCATGTCCCTACAAAGGACATGAACTCATCCTTTTTTATGGCTGCATAGTATTCCATGGTGTATATGTGCCACATTTTCTTAATCCAGTCTATCATTGTTGGACATTTGGGTTGGTTCCAAGTCTTTGCTATTGTGAGTAGTGCCACAATAAACATACGTGTGCGTGTGTCTTTATAGCAGCATGATTTATATTCCTTCCCTCAAATAAGTTGTACAAACTTTTAGATTTCTCTTCTTCCTCAGGAACACCAATTATTCTTATGTTTGGTCATTTAACATCATCCAAAATTTCTTGGAGGCTTCATTCATTTTTTAAATTCTTTGTCTTTGTCTTTGTTGGATTGCATTAATTCTAAAGCCTTGTCTTCAAGCTCTGAAGCTCTTTCTTCTGCTTGTTTGATTCTATTGTTGAAACTTTCCAGTGCATTTTGCATTTCTGTAAGTGTATCTTTCCAGAAGTTGTGATTGTCTTTTCTTTATATCTATTTCTCTGGAGAATTTTTCACCCATATCCTGTATTTTTTTTAAAATTTTTAAAATTTGGTCTTCACCTTTCTCTAGTACCTCCTTGAATAGCTTAATAACCTTGTGAATTATTTATCTGGCAATTCAGATATTTATTCTTGGTTTGGATCCATTGCTGGGAGCTAGTGTGATATTTTCAGGGTGTAATAGAACCTTGTTTTTTCACATTAACAGAATTACTTTTTTCATTTGGGTAGACTGTTTCAGTGAAAGAATCTGGAACTCAGGGGCTGCTGTTCAGATTCTTTTGTCCCACGGGGTGGGACACGTCATGCTCTCCCCCTTCCCCTAGGGGTGGGGCTTCCTGAGAGCCAGACTGCTGTGATTGTTATTGTTCTTCTGGGTCTAGCCACCCAGTGGGCTTGCTGGGCTCCAGGCTGGTGCTGGAGAATGTCTGCAAGGAGTCCTGTGAAGTGATCCATCTTCAGGTCTCCCAGCCATGGATACCAGCACCTGCTCCCGTGCAGGTGGCAGGGGAGTGAAGTGGACTCTGTGGGAGTTCTTGGTTGTAGTTTTGCTTAGTGCACAGGTTTTCTTGAGTGTTGGTTATGCTAGCAGTCACATAAACAGACTCAGGACCTCTGGTTAGTGAGGCTATTGCAGGTGGTGAAATTAGCTGTTGTTTTCTCCTTCTTTGGAGTGGGGTTGTTCTGTCATGAGTTACTGTAATGGCTTGAGTTAGTTGGCCTCCAGCCAGGAAGTGGCACTTTCAAGAGAGCACCAGCTGTGGTAGAAGAAGGGAGATATAAGTTTGCCCTACATTGGCTGGGATAAGTATTTTATAAGAATTTTATTTTTGGTTTACACACATAGACTGAAAATAAAGAGATAGAAAAAGACATTCCATGTGAAAGGAAACCAGAAAAGGGCAGGAGTAGCTCTACTTATATCAGAAAAAAATAGATTTCAAGACAAAAATTGTAAGAAGAGACAAAGAAGATCATCATATGATAATAAAAAGGTAAATTCAGCAGGATATACTAATTATATAATATAATAGTTACAATATAATAATCATAACTATATATGCACCCAATGCTGGAGAACCCAGATATATTAAGCAAATATTATTAGAGCTGAGAAGAGAGACAGACCTGAATACAGTAACAGCGGGAGACTTCAACACCCCAATTTCAGCGTTGGACAGATCTTTCAGACAAAAAATCAACAAAGAAACATCAGACTTAATCTGTACTACAGACCAAATGGACATAATTGATATTTACAGGATGTTTTACCCAGTGGCTACAGAATACATATTATTCTCCTCAACATATGGGTCATTCTCAAGGAAAGACCATGTGTTAGGTCATAAAATAAGTCTTAAAATATTCAAAAAATTGAAATAATATCAAGCATCTTCTCTGACCACAATGGTATAAAACTAGAAATCAATAACAAGAGGAATTTTGGAAACTACACAAACACATGGAAATTAAACAATATGCTCCTGAATGACCAGTGGGTCAATGAAGAAATTAAGAAGATAATTGAAAAATTTCATGAAACAAATGCTAATAGAAACACAACACCAAAACCTATGGGATACAGCAAAAGCAGCACTAAGAGGAAAATTTATAGCTATAAGTACCTATATCAAAACACCAGAAAAACTTCAAATAAATAACCTAGTGATGCATCTTAAAGAACTAGAAAAGCAAAAGCAAACCAAACCCAAAATTAGTAGAAGAAATAATAAAGATTGAAGCAGAAATAAATGATTTCAAAATGAAGAAAATTATACAAAAGATCAGTGAAACAAAAGGTTGTTTTTTTAAAAAAGATAAACAAAGTTGACAAACCATTAGCCAGACTAAGAAAAAATGAGAGAAGACACAAATAAATAAAATCAGAGACAAAAAAGGTGACATCGCAATTGATATCACAGAAATTCAAAGGATTATTAGTGGCTACTATATGCCAATAAATTGGAAAATCTCAAGAAAATGGATAAATTCTTCTTAGACACATACAATCTACCAAGACTGGACCATGAAAGAAATCCAAAACCTGAACAGACCAATAACAAGCAATGAGATTGAAACCATAATAAAAAGTCTCTGAGCAAAAAATGCCTGGGGCCCGATGGCTTCACTGTTGAATTCTACCACACATTTAAAGAAGAACTAGGCTGGGTGTGGTGGCTCACACCTGTAATCTCAGCAATTTGGGAGGCCGAGGAAGGTGGTTTGCTTGAGCTCAGCAGCTTGAGACGAGACTGGGCAACATGGCAAAACTCTGTCTCTACTAAAAATACAAAAACTAACTTTGCATGGTGGCACATGCATGTAGTCCCAGCTACTTGGGAGGCTGAGGTGGGAGGATCACTTGAAATCAGGAGGTCGAGGCTGCAGTGAGCCATGATCATGCCACTGCACTCCAGCCTGGGTTACAGAGTCAGACCCTGTGTCAAAAAATAAAAATAAAGAAGAACTAATACCAATCTTATTCAAACTGTTCTGAAAAATAGAGGAGGAAAGAATACTTCCAAACTCATTCTACAAAGCCAGTATTACACTGATACCAAAACCAGGCAAGGACATATCAAAAAAGATATCAAAACAAAAAACAAAAACAAACCTACAGGCCAGGCCAGGCACAGTGGCTCACACCTATAATTCAAGCACTTTGGGAGGCCATGGCAGGTGGATCGCTTGAGGCCAGGAATTCGAGACCACCCTGGCCAACACGGTGAAACCCTGTCTCTACTAAAAATACAAAAATTAGCCAGGCATTAGTCCCAGCTACTCCGGAGGCTGAGGCAGGAGAATTGCTGGAACCCGGGAGGCAGAGGCTGCAGTGAGTCCAGATGGTGCCACTGCACTCCAGCCTGGTTGACAGAGTGAGACTCCCTCTCAAAAAAAGAAGGCGAGGCGAGGCGAGGCGAGGCGGGGCGGGGCAGGGCAAAGCAGGGCAAGGCAAAGCAAAAATCAATGGAAAAAAAAATCAACATTCCTATGATAAAAATCCTCCAAAAAATTGGGTTTAGAAGAAACATACTTCAACATAATAAAAACTACATACAACAGAGCCATAGCTGGTATTCTGAAAGGGGAAAAACTAAAAGCCTTTCCTCTAAGATCTGGAACAAGATCTTAGGATGCCCATTTTTACCACAGTTATTTAACATAGTGCTGGAAGTCCTGGGTAGATCAATCAGACAAGAGAAAAACATACAGGGCATCCAAATGGGAAAGAAAGAAGTCAAATTATCCTTGTTTACAGACGATATAATATTATATTTGGAAAAACCTAAAGACGCCACAAAAAACTATTAGGACTGATAAATTCAGTAAAGTTCCAGGGCACAAAATCAACACACTAAAATCAGTAACATCTCTATATGCCAGCTGTGAACAACTTTTGATATAGGCATGCGATGTGTAATAATGACATCATGGTAACTGGGGTATCCATCCCCTCAAGAATTTAATCTTTGTGTTACAAACAATCCAATTACACTTTTCTAGTTCTCTTAAAATGTACAATTATATTATTGACTACAGACACTCTGTTGTGCTATCAAATACTAGGAGTTATTCATTCTTTCTAATTATTATTACTTTTTGTACCCATTAACCATCCCCACTTATCCTTCTACCGCACGCCCCCATTACCCTTCCCAACCTCTGGTAAGCATCTTTCTCCATAAGTTCAATTGTTTTAATTTTTAGCTCCCACAAATAAGTGAGGATATGCAAAGTTTGTCTTTGCATGTACCCCATATATATGTACAATTACTATATAACCAGAAAAATTAAAAATTAAAAAAATGTTTTAAGAAGTGGGGGGGAGAGAGAGAGAGAGAGAGAGAGAGTGTGTGTGTGTGTGTGTGTGTGTGTGTGTGTGCCTGTGCGTGTGCACCCAGAAAGAATGCCTGAAAGGATACAGAGGAAAGTATATCAGTAGTTACTTTGGAGAGCATCAAAGAGGGGGAGAGGGCTTTTATTTTCACTCTGGGCTCTTCCACACTTCTCAAAATTTTAATGAGCCTTAATAGTTTTAAAATAAAATAATTTTTAAAACTTTAATACCCTCAAAGACAAGCTTTCTTCTCTCTAAATGATAGGGTTAATACAATAAAATAGAAAAGCATTTATTTTTCCAAATATTTTTATTATTCATACTTTAAAAATGTTTAGAAGCCTATACATGTTTTACTGTAGTTATATATACATTATAACTATACATATTTTTCTGTAGTTACATATATATATACACGAAACTGATCATTTTAACCATTTTTAAGTATACAGCTGAGTGATAGTAAGTACATTCCCATTGTTGTGCAACCATCATTGCTATCCATCTCCAGAACTTATTCACCATCCCAAACAGACACTCTGTACCCAGTAGACCATAACTTCCCACTCCCTCCTTCTCACCCCTGACAATGACTAATCTACTTTCTGTCTCTATGAATTTTACTATTCCACGTACCTAAGTGATTAATACAATATTTGCCCTTTGTGTCTGACTTTATTCACTTAGTATAATGTCTTCAGGGTAAGTCTATGTTGTAGAATATATCAGAATGTCATTCATTTTTAAGGTTGAACAATATTTCATTGTGCATATATATTACACTTTATTTATTCATTAATCCATCCATGGGCACTTGGGTTGCTTCCATCTTATGGCTATTGTGAATAATGCTGCTATGAAAATTGGCTCAAATTCCTGCTTTCAATTCCTTTGGGTATATATCTAGAAGTGGAATTGCTGGGTCATATGATTATTCTATATTTAATATTTTGAGGAGCCAACATACCATTTTCCACAGTGGCTGTACCACCTCACATTCCCACTTGTAATGCACAAGGGTCTCCATCTCTCCACATCCTAACCAACATTTGTTGGTTTCTGGGATTCGTTTTTTGTTTTTATAATAGCCATCCTAGTAAACGTGAAGTGATATCTCATTGTGGTTTTGATTTGCATTTCCCTAATAATTAGTGATGTTGAACATCATTTTATGTGCTTATTGGCCATTTGAATTTCTTCTTTGGAGAAATGTCTATTCCAGTGCTTTACCCATTTATAAATTGTGTTGTTTGCTTTTTGTTGAGTTTTAGAAGTTTTTAAAAAATATATTCTGGATATATAATTGTTTATCAGATAAAGATTTGCAATTATTTTCACCCATTCTGTGGGTAGCCTTTTAATTTTGTTGATGATGTTCTTTGATGCTCAAAAGTTTTTCCTTTTTATGCAGACCAATTTATCTATATTTTCTGTGTTGCCCATGCTTTTGGTATCACATCTAAGAAACCATTGCCAAATCCAATGGCATGAAGCTGTTTTCTTCTAAGAGTCCTATAGTTTTAGGTCTTATGTTTAAGTCTTTGACCCATTGTGAGTTAATTTTTTATATGGTGTAAGGTAAGAGCCCAACTTCATTCTTTCACATGTGGATATTCATTTTTCTTAGAACCTTTTGTTGAAAAGCCTGTCTTTTCCTCATCAAATGGTCTTGGTATCCTTGTTGAAAATCATTTGACCAAATATAGGAGGGTTTATTCCTGGGCTTTCTATCCCTTTCCATTGGTTTGGTGTGTCTGTCTTATGCTAGTACCACACTGTTTTGATTACTGTAGCTTTGTAGTAAGTTTTACACTCAGTAAGTATGAGTTCTCCAACTTCATTTTTCTTTGTTCAAGATTGTTTTGGCTATATGGGGTCCCTGGAGGTTTCATAATAATTTAAGGAAAGACTTTTCTATTTCTGTAAAAAATAATGTCAGAATTTTAATAGGGATTATATTTAATCTGTAGATCACTTCGGGTAGTATTGGCATCTTAGCAATAGTAAGTCTTTTAATCCATGAACACAGGATGCTTTCCCATTTATTTATGTCTTTAATTTTTTTCAGCAATGCTTTGTAGTTTTCAGTATATATCTTTCACTTCCTTGGCTAAACTAATTCCTAAATATTTCATTCTTTTTGATGTTGTTGTAAATGGAATTGTATTTTAAATTTCCTTTTTGGATTATTAATGCACAGAAATGCAACTGATTTTTGTGTGTTGATTTTGTATCCTACAACTGCTGAATTTGTTTATTAGATCTAATAATTCATCTAAATAATTTTATGGGAACTTAGACCTCTCCATACAAGATAATGTCATCTCTCTAGTGTTTTCTTATTCACCACCTGATGTTTTATACACTGGGTTTTAATCATGTATTTGTTTGTTTCCTATCTCCTTTGCTAGAATTTAAGCTCCATAGGAAAAGGAACATTGTTTCCATTGGTCACTGCTGCCTCCCCAGTTCTGTGGACAGTATTAACACAAAACAAAGGCTTGATAAGTATTCATTGCCTAAATAAATGAAAGAGTAAAACTTTTCTAATTGGAAAACGAGATTATGTTTCAGCAAGCTTGAGCTATTTCTTCATATGGAAAATATTTTCTTTCTATTTCCTTAACAGTTGCGTCCAGACAATAGTAAGTGGGTAATACTTGTAGTCAGGGCAAAATAGAAGCTTTCTAAAGCAGGGTTTTCAAGGCATGGTCCGTTAATCTATGACACTGGAACCACCTGGTGATACATACTAAAGATATAGACTGTTTCCTGAGGTCTATAAAATCAAGCATCTTTTGGAAATGGATTCCAAGTATCTACACTGGTCACAAGTTCCCAGTTGCTTCTATTTATACTAAAGTTTGAGACTCACTGCTAAGATGATGATATGACTCCTCTATGGTCCCCATTATCTCCACCTGTAAATGGTGGATGACAATGACAATAGTAAGATGTGGTGATGAGCAATGGAAAGGATAGAGAGTTCTCACTCATAAGTGGGAGTTGAACAATGAGAACACAAGGACACAGGGAGGGGAACATCACACACCGGGGCCTGTTGGGGATTGGGGAACAAGGGGAGGGATAGCATTAGGAGAAATACCTAATGTAGATGATGGGTTGATGGGTGCAGCAAACCACCATGGCATGTGTACACCTATGTAACAAACCTGCACGTTCTGCATATGTATCCCAGAACTTAAAGTATAATAAAAAAATACAGATAAAAAAAGAAAGGATAGAGAACTAGAAGTCCAAAGAACCAGGTTCAAGACCTGATTTTGACACTTTCTAGCTCTGTGAGTGCAAGCTAGTCGTTCTGTCTTAGTTTCCTCATCTGTAGAATTGGTACAATAATCCCTGCTCTGTCCATACCTATGGGGCTATGAAAACAAAATATGAAACCCCCTTATCAGTTGCTAAACACTAAGTTCCTGTAAAGAATTATGAGAAAGTTTTATGAGGAAGAGAATAATCCTAAAAATAAAATATTTATAAATAATTTTAAATTTTAAAATGCAAATTAAGAATAACAACTAAAAGAAACATCTACTGTGCTTACATGTGCCAAACACTGATGTCAGTATTTTACAGGTATTAACAAACTGAAGCCTCATGATATCTTCTGAAGTATTACTATGATAATAATAAATAAGAAAACAGAGGCAAAAAGAAGTAACTTTGTAACTAACTCACCCAAAGTCATGCAGCTAGTAAATAGCATAGTTAGAAATAAATTCAAGTAGTAAGGAACTTTCCCCACACAACAGAATTCTTTCAATATTTAGTAGGTTTTGTTATGACTTACAGTTACCAATTTTGAGAATAAAGTGCATTTTTCTAATTTCAAAGCCATATGAGTAGTATAGGGAAGACAAAGGAAAATACATTTGTTGTTATAAATGCTACATAAGTTTCTCTATAAATGGTTCCTACTTTGATTCTGGAAGGCAAAAAGAGAAGGGTCTAGACTTTATAGACACCAACATTATAAGTACCCTAAAAACTAGCTTTGGAAAAGATTTTGACCTCCTTGTTACCTGAGAGGATTGGGCAAGGGGGCAGGAGGGTGGGGCATGGAAGATGGAAAGTAATGTCTACCCTTGGTGTTAACATCAAGGAAAGAGAGAGCAAAGGAAAGCCTACACCAAAGGCATGTACGAGCCAACATGAGATACACCATATTTCTAATGAGGTCTTCATGCCTTTCCTGCCTTCAAGTAAAAACTGGAGCCATGAAATTCCTTTTTTGTTAACATAAAGATATGGTAATGCCAAGCATTCATGACCGTAAGCATGGAAAATTGATGAAATTACAGTCTGTTCAGGGAAATAATATGGTGATGAGAGAAAGAATCTTTGCCTGTGTCAGGATCTTAGTGGCAGCTTTTAAAAACAGGTGAACATTTTCTTCTCCCTTGGCTGAAAAACATCCCTTTGTACAATATGCCAAGTAGATGTCTATGGAGAAAGGTCAAAGGAAAACAGAATGACACAAATAATTGAGATATTTTTAAGGGCATGTAAGTCAGTGAACATTTCATGAGTATCATTTCAGAAATTTTCTGCTCTCAAAGAAGTAGCCAAATTGAAATCATATACTTCTACTTAATGAGAAAAAGAATGTGATTATGTTGCCATAACATTAAGATTTGAGATGGTCATGTGACAAGCATCAGAAAAGTCAGAGTTTAAAAATCTAAGTAAAATCAACCTGGTCCTTTCCCATAAATACTTTTCGCAGAATGCATTAGAGAAATCACTAATTTATGAGCTAGTGGCAGCCACAAGTTAATGTTCAGAGTGATGCATTTCTAGTATATGCTATATTAAAGTCTCAAGTGATTGAAAAAAGTGTCGGTGTATCCAATCATGGAGTACTCAATTTCCATCGTAAGTACCATCTCCCAAGGTTCAAAGCTGCATAAGTGTATCAGTTAGTTATTGCTGTTTAATAAGTCAAAATTTTGTGACTTAAACTCAACCACTTATTAACTTTCATGAGTTATGCTGACCTGTATGAGCTTTGGCTGATCTCAGCTGGGCTCACTCATATGGTCAGCTGCTTTGTTGACTGGGGGTTGGCTGGTTTAGAACAGCTTTGGCTAGCATGACTTGGCTCTGCTCCACATGGTGTCTCATCCTCCAGCAGGCTAGTCCAAATGAAAGCAGTCAGAATCTCTTGAGGGCTAGGCTCAGAATTGGCACATTATCTCTTTATTACATTCTATTGGCCTAAGGCACCTTGATTCAAAGGGTGAGGAGGAAACAGTTCATCTCTGGATGGGAAAACTGAAAAATAATATTGCCAAGGGGTAGATAGAAGCCATTTTTGCAAGAAACCACTATAATTAGCTAATTGAAAAAAGATTGCCCCAAATTTACAAATAGACTAGGGTCATCGTTTGACTCTTAGGCCATATATTCCTCGGGTAACAAATGTTAGATTATGGTCCCAGATTTATTCATAAGTCTGTTATCTTAAAAGGCTGAAAAAACAATTATGCATTGGCAACATAATTTAAAAATAAATAATGTAGTTGCTAAAAAATTACAAAGAGAAAATAAACAGCATTAAATCAGGCATTTATTTTTTAGATACAGGTGCCTGAGAAAAGCAAGTTTTGTTAGAAGATGCCTATATGGCATTTTCAAGCCACTGGGATACAGTAAGTAATCTATAAAATTAGGAATGCCTTGTCTCTAAGCCCTTTTTTGCCATCTGCTACTTGCACCATTCCCTGCCCACCAAGAAAATGCAGTTTTAGTTCTAAATTCCCATCCCAATTTCTTTTTTTCATTTACTACTGGGAAATTCAGGCAACTGCAATAATGCTTAGGCTGGAAGCCTTGATTCCAATGCAGATTTTTTTTTGTGATGACTCTAAAAAGAACTTCTGTTCACTTTCAAGTGCTTAGAATTTAATGTCATTTATTCCTTTTCTTTAAATGCATTTTAATGTGCTTCAACCACACAGAAAAATAGAGAATCACATAAGAAACACCCCATGTCCATTGTTCAGCTGTATCCCAATCCTAAATTATCATATTTGTTTTATATTTCTTTTAAAGAAATAAAACATTACTGAAACGATTGCCCCTGTGTATCTCTCACTCCCTCAACTTTCTGCCCCTAACTCTGTACAAGTAAGAATGCCTCAGAGTTTGATCCTAGCCCCTTTTCTTGAACTGTACTTTCCTCCCAGGTTATCTCAGCCATTCTGCTGGCTTAAAATCAGAAGAGTACTACTCTCTTAAAATTACTCCTAGAGGCAGGACAGTAGGAGTTTTCTATCCGTGGTGCAAATAATAATGAGTGCCTTATCTGTAGACATTTTAGAAACAATATACGAGTGGGTCTAATTTTTATTATCACCATTTCTAAGCAGTATCAGTGATTAAATGGTCCTTCCAAGGTTGGGAGGGGGGATCTTTTTAAAAAGTTAACTTATGGGCTAGACACGGTGGCTCACTCCTGTAATCCCAGCACTTTGGGAGGCCAAGGTGGGTGGATCATGAGATCAGGAGTTCAAGAAAGCCTGGCCAACATAGTGAAACCCCATCTCTGCTGAAAATACAAAAATTAGCCCAGCATGGTGGCACATGCCTGTAATCCCAACTCCTCAGGAGGCTGAGGCAGGAGAATAGCTTAAACCCAGGAGGCAGAGGTTGCAGTGAGCAGAGATTGCACCACAGCACTCCAGCCTGGGCAACAGAGTGAGACTCTGTCTCAAAAAAAAAAAAAAAATCAACTTATAAACAATGGTTACAGTTACTGTTGAGTTTTTATTAAAAAGATATGAGTTTTAAATTTATACATTTTTATTACTGATTCTTTAATAAGCATTGTATCCTACAAGGAAGAAAATTTGGAGGATGCCCATTTATACAGTCAGCTCTTCTCCTCCCCGTAGAACACAGATAAACTCAGCTATATGCATTCATTTCAAGAGTGGTTCATAAGAGTTGAAATTATTTAGTCTGTGTCAGGTATGGTTCACTCACTTTCCATATCTAAGTAATCTCCAAGGGGTTCCCACTAGTATCAATCTAGCTTAAGCCATCTGGGTGCCATGACCTCCCAGTACCCCTGCATTTTCATCTCTCTTCAATCAGTGCCTCCTATATCCCCTAGAGCAGGTGACGCTGACTCCTCTCAAAATCTTTCAATGACTTGCGACTGCACTAAGCATCATTACCATGGCCTGAAAGCCTCTGTCTTTCCTGTCCATCATCATCTCAGAACACTCTCATCCTCCCTTCCTCACTTCTATCTACAGAGGGCTTGTTTCTGATTCCCAAACACCCCAATATGTTCCCTAACTCAGAGCCACCACACTTGCCCTCTCCTTTTCCTGGAAGAGTCTAGAAGGCTTTTATTCCAGTTCTTGCAAGGACTCATTCATTGTCATCCTTTATCTTATAGTTTAAAGTCACTTCTTCAGGGCAGTATTCCTTGACCCTGTCTACATTTGTTATCAAGTTCATAATTGTAGTGTTTATTTGCATCCTAGTGAATGATTTATCCCCTTCACTATAATGTAAGCTCCAAGAAAGCAGGAACCTGGTCTGCTTGATGTTTAGTATCTAGCACAGTGTGGGTACACATTGGGCATACAGTAAATATTTTTTGACAGTGAATGAATGAACTCTCCCTTTTTGCTCTGCATTTGTATGATTGCTATAGAAGTTGCCATGTTTTCATGTGATATACTCCCACTGTACAGAAGGATACCCATGGCTTATGTTGAAACAGCAAGCCTCTGCCTCAGGATTTTTGAACTTGGATTGAGAAAGAGTCATTCAATTTCTCTCAGGTAGATAAAGTTGTACCGTAAAAAACTCATTGGCTATCAATGACTTTGCTTTCTGTCACGTAAGCCAGAAAAACAGAGACAACACATTGGCAGAGAGACAAACAAAGCAGATGTGCGTGGAGTAGTAAATACAAGAGACAGCATTCCTGATGGTGTTATTGTACCTGGCTCCAGGGGTTCCTGAGGCCCCACTACAGCCCTGTCCTTGGTGTCTACTAGAAAATGACAAAATCCACATACTAAAGATCCCTTTTGCTTAAATTTGTTCAGATTGAATTCCTCTCATTTGCAATCTTAAAAATAACACAAGTGCACTATGCTTTACCCAAAAAGTCACGTGGATAAACAATAAATTGTTGTGCCCATCAAGTGAGCAGTTTAAGAAGGCAGTTAAGTGAGTGAACATAAGTCAATGTCACTCTTATAAAAGACACTGATAATCTGAACTCACATTTACCAGCCAAATAGGACAATAAGAAAATGAGATAAATGACCAAAGGACTCACTGAGAAGACTCCATTGTCATGAGGCAGGAGGATGCTAGCACCAAGTAAGAGGGTGTCCTCAGAGATAAGGGGGAGGAATGATGTCTTGGAGCACGTTCCCTTTGGTGGACTTGGTACTTGTAATGATCATCAGATTAGCTGATTTCACAACCTAGAAGACATTCATCCATCAGACATTCACCAAGTATCCTCTGTGTGCAAGGTACTAAGCATGGCCTGCACCTTTGGTTTGGTATGCAGTCTCTGTACTCAATAAGGGGGAGTGGAGTTAGTGGTCTGAAATCCAAGCCAAGTTCTGCTTGCCAAACTGTGAGCAGGAGCTGTAATAAGCAGAAAGACAAGGGGGCTAAATGTTTTGACCAAGGGAACAGCATGTGCAAAAGCTTGAAAGCATGACACAATGACACATAGTAGTTTGTGTCAGGTACTATAAGCAAGTCAGAAAAGCTAGCAAATTGGGAACAGAGAAGAAAGATGTAGGAAGGATGCTGGAAAGGGAAGAAGCCATCAAGGAAGGTCCCCTGAGGGGGCCCTTGTTTAAAGTTCACACAAAAATCAGTAGTGGTCCTGCCTGAGGTCCCAAGCTTCTAGAGAATAATCAAACACAGGTATCACCCTCAGGGTACTCCTAGGCTAAATCCACACATTGTTATATGGCAAAAGTCTTCCCAAAGTAGAGGACATTTGAGCAAAATCTTGGATGATTTATAGGCAGAAAGACAAAGGGGCTAAATGTTTTGAGCAAGGGAACAGTACGTGCAAGAGCTTGAAAGCATGACATGAGGTAGTTTGTGTTAGGTACTGCAAGCAAGCTAGAAAAGCTAGAGAACTGGGTGCAGAGAAGAAAGAGGTGGAAAGGATGCTGGAAAGGGAAGGAGCCATCAAGGAGGGCCACGTGTTCTACACTAAGGAGCTTCGTGTTTATCCTGCAGTGCACAGAGCTGCTGAAGGGATTTACTCCAGAAAAATCATATAAATGGGAATGGTGGATGAATTTCAGAAGGCCAGGTCTGGAAACAGGGAGACCAGTTAGGAGGCTGGTGCAATAGTTGGCGAGGGGGCTAGTGAGAAAGCAGTGGCAAAGGCAATTGAACAGAGGAAACAGACTGAGTGACATTTAAGGGGTGGGATGGAGACAATCCGAAGACCATAGGTCCTGTTTGCCCCAGATGATTTCAGTTTACATCTGTTGTCTGGCCTAATTATTAACAGTGCCTCTTGCACCCATAAAAATGTTCAGGTTTGGGTGATAAACTGTGTGTTCACCCCACCTGTAGGGCATAAAAGAAAGAGGAATCTAGGGTGTCCTTCAGGATCTGGTGTGGACATCCTTGAAGATCATCGTCTCAGTTAGTAGTGTAGAGTAAAAAGGAGCAGTTCTGAGCCAAAAATAACAAGACTGTTCCATACTCGCTTTAAGGTGTTTGTGGGACATTTGAGTGAAATTACTGAGTAAGTAGTTTCAAATGTACTACAGTATGGTATGCGATGTTACAAAATATCATAAGTGACTTTAGGGCCATCTGTCATTGTTACATAATTCTTTCCCCTAAAATGTTCTTCCAGTCCTTAAATGTGTGAAGTTCTACACCAGAAACTCAAAATCATTGATAGAAAGCTAAAGGCACATCCATGACACATGGAGAGAGTAAAACCAATGGATTTTACTGATTGACACTGACAAAGGAATCTGGTTTCTTTTGCCAAATCCTTTTCCAGAGGAAACTCTCCTGCCTGGGACAGAAATATTTTACAGAAATGGCAGCATCCCAGGCTCTCAGAGGAGAGACTGAAATTATAATATACAATAAGTCAATAAAGGAGCTTAATTTTTCATCTAGTCATTTGAGGCCAAAGCATTCCAAAACATAAAGTGGAAATTCACAGACTGCAATTAAAAACTACACTCCTCATTCTGGATTGAAAATTAAATAGGAAGAATAATGTAAGATAAGCTGACAACTAGCTTCTTTCATGACTACTGCCTCTCTCTATGGCTTCTTAAAATTTAGCTTGCCTTCTTAACTAACCCCACCTCAGCCCCCCAACTACACATGCACATACACACACACACCACTGATACTTGGGTTGAACTTCAGCAAAGAACCAATTTGTCACAGCAACAGCTGAAACAAGAAGTGTCAGCAAGATTGATTAGACTTATTATTACAGGCTCTAGCACCCATCAGAACCATGACAACCATGTCTTCTCCTTACAGCCTGTGCTGGGGGAGTAGTAACCAGCCCAAAACTGACGGCCACGGAAGCCAACGACACCCATGCTCTCCTGGGCTACTGGAAACAGGCAGCCCACTCCACACCCCACCAACTGAGCCCCCATCTGACATGACCACCCTGCTCATCCTGCCCTATTACCAGCCTCATTAGGCCCTATTTACGCCTGCAACAATCCAAACATCACACAGCAGCACCATCATAATTGATTAAGGAGATCTACCAAAGAGCAGTTTTGCTCAGAGATGTTTTTGGAATTCCAGTAGTCCACCCTAAACAGGGAGGGCGCAGAGTCATAAAGAGTGTGCTCACTAGGAGATATACCTAATGTAAATGATGCATCAATGGGTGCAGCACACCAACATGGCACATGTATACATATGTAACAAACCTGCACGTTGTGCACATGTACCCTAGAACTTAAAAATATTATATGTGTGTATATATATATGTGTGTGTGTGTGTGTGTGTGTGTGTGTGCTCACTCCTCTCTTGCTTTTAACTGGGTGAGGTTTAGAGAAGAAAGAAAATGGGGAGGAGGATGGGAAATGCCTTATCTAGAAGAGTGAAAAGCAGCATGAGCTTCAGGATACTCTCTGCTACTAACAAGTTGGGTGAACACAGGCAAGTCCCTTCCACTTGCTGATTCCTAGTTTCCAAGCCAGAAGTCTGGAAGCAACCCTTTTTCTCCTTATTCATCAGGCACCTCAATTCCCAACTATATTTTTATTAATAAAATCTGCCTTGGTTTTAAGCATCTGTTACTCTACAACTTAAAATCCTTCATTGGCTTCTCAGTGATGGGTAGGAAAAAGACTCACCTCCCTTTTGAGACATACAACCTTTTAGGATTTACTCCTATAGCAGAAATAGGAAAATAATGACCAAATCAACTGGACTTTCCTGACACTGATCCTTCTCCTGGATTACCTCATCTTTTAACCCCATATCCTCTGGATGCTACGGTCAACCTGCATGGCTGGATCCCACCCATCACTTAGAACTGAAATGTTCATATATATTCTCCCCCTTTTGAACTCAGGATCCCCTAACTATCTTAAAAATTATTGAGAACTCCAAAGAGATTGTGTTTATATAGATTATATCTGTCAGTTATTACTCTATTAGACATTAGAACTGAGGGTTTTGAAAATATTTGTTAATTCAATATCCAGAAAACCATAACTTGTTAACATAAGTAACATATTTGGGTAAAAATAACTATATTTCCAAAAGAAAAACAACAGGGCATAAAGTAACATTGTTGTGCATTTTTGCAAATTTCTTTTAATTTCTGGCTTAGTAAAAGACAGCTGGATTTTCATATCTGCTTCTGCATTAAATGTTACAATATTATATGTCATGTAGCCTCTGGAACACTATACACTTGTAAGACAATGAGAATGAACAAATCAAATTGCACCTTAGTATTACTATGAAAATAATTTTGAGCCCCTGAAAGACTCTTGGAAACCCCCAGAAGGCCAAGGTCACATTTTGAGAACTTCTGATCTAGTGCAAATGGGAATGAGTTAAACTTCTTAAGATCAAAGACCATGGGAAGCAGTAGGGCAAACCAGGTAACACGCAGATTTAGAATCAGGCAGAACTGGATTTGAATCTCAACTTTGCCACTTACATGCTATGTAAGTTACATAAGCCTCAGTTTACTCACTTCTCAAATGGGAATAATGCCATCTAAAAATAGGGCATATAAGTGCTTGCCACAGCCTAGGACATGGTAATTATGAGAAAAAGAGAGAGAGTGTGTGTCATTAAATGACCTCAAAAAGTTATGTGCTGTCCTGACATGTCCTGGCACACTTCGGCTCTTGCTATCTAGTTTAAGGGGGAAAAAGGTACAAATGTATATGGTATATTATGGCAATGGTATACCATTGCCATTCCATGCTATGCCATACCACGCCATGCTATAATATATTATGCTATGACATGACATAGGATGGTATGATACAGTATGGTACAGCATGGTATGGTATGGAATGGTGTGGTGTGGTGTGGCATGGCATGGTATGATATATGGCATGGCATGATATATGGCATGGCATGGCATGATATAGTATGGTATGGTGTGGTGTGGTATGGTATGGCATGGTATGGTATATGGTATGTCATAGAATACCATGGTGAAGTTCCTGCATCCGGGGCTGGCCGTTCGTCAGCTAGTTGAAAGAGCAGTTAAAGCAGACCACAGAAGGTAATGCACGTTTACCTGAAACATGTTATCTTAATCTAAAATGTGTGTAAAGATTCATCAATTTTCCGAAATGGGGTCAATGCTTTTGAAGACAAGTCTTCTCATTGGTGTTCTGTGTTATTACTCTTATATAAACCACACCCAAAAAATATCAGCTATACTTTCAAACTTCAGTTTTTAAGTGTAAGGAGAAATTAAAGACACTTGAGAAGCAATATGAATACAAAATCCTTTTTAGATTTTTACTATTTTCCCCAAAATATCCCCAGTTTTCTTTAGTTGTATAGCAGTGGCTTTTAGTGGTCAACTTTGACCTTAGTCCCAAGATATTAGACTTTATTTTTATAGAAACAACAGCTGTCTTTCATTGTGCACTTAAATTTCATTGACTTATCTAATATTTAGTTAAGTTATATATCTACAATAGCAAGAACAACTGGCATAAACGGGTTTGGGAACAAACAATTGACTCTTGGTGAACATACAACTCACCTGATGAGGGCAGACATGCTTGGGTGTGCTACGGAGTGGCCAACAAGCCAAGAGTGTTCACGGTGCCTCAAGCATAGGTCTGTATATTTAATAGAGAAAATGGAAAGTGATGGTTTATCAGAATTGGTTACATGGAGATTGCTTAAGAGAGTTTCTATAGATCTGTCTATACCATAATGGAAAAATATTCAGAAATCTCAAATGGAAAATACTAGTTGCAGAATACCTAGCTTCACTTCATTGAAAACAAACCAAAAAATCTGTATATGTCCAAATGATATAATGCATAGAAAAAGGTCTGGGAAGATGCACACCACATCCTTGGTTGTAGTGGTCACCTGTGGGGCAAGCAGAGATTTAGGATTATAGTAGAAAGTGAGTTTCACTTTTTTCTCTAGATACTTCCATATTGATTGAATTCTTCTACAGTGGTGATTACTTCTATAATAAAAAAATAAGTAAAAGAGTAATGCAAAGCCCTCCCCAAATAGTAAAATTAGAGGATAGCAAAACAGCTGTCCTCAGCCGGCTAAAGCAAACTCCAAAGTCCCCAGTGTTTGTCCTTGATGCACCCTCATTCCACTTCTGTGGCCTTCCCCATGTGGGTCCCAGTGAGCTAATTCTGCACTGCCACTCTTCACTGCAGTTAAAGGCTGGCCAAGGAAAATGACTTTTATCAATTAATTGTACAAATATGTCCCCTGATAAGAAAGGAAAAGTGCTATGAGAACAAATAGAGAAACCAGACCTATTCAGGAAAGGCATATAAGGGTGAACTGAGATCCAAACTAGAAGTTAGCCCAGAAAGGAGATAAGGGGTGGGAAAAGCATTCCAAGTAGAAGGAACAGCATGCATATGTAAAGACCTGGTGATGAGAAATGCTGAGCATGCTGGATATTTGAAAGATGAGCAATGCGACAGAATCATAGAAAGAAAAGAGAGGAAAGTGTGGTAAAAGAAGCATCTGGAAGAGTGGGAGCCTTGGGGGTGGAAGTAGCTCATTCTCAGTGTCATAGGCCAGGCTAAGAAATTTGGTCTTTATCTTATGAACAGTGGGAAGCCATGAAAAGATTTTAAATGGGGAGTGACATGATCAGATTTACTTTTTGTAAAGATAGTGCTGGTGGAAACATGAAACAGTTCATATCAAATGATACAATTTTTCTAGCTGGTGGTTACCCTTGATAGGAAGGTTAGTGATTGCAGTAAGGCACTAACTAGGGAGCTTCTGGGGACTGGTAATGTTCTGATTCTTGATCTGGGCACTGCTTACATTGGTGGGCTCAGTTTGTAAAAATTCAGGTTGTACATCTATGACAGGTATACTTTTTATAAATATACTTCAATAATAATGGTTTATTTTAAGAAAAGATGATGCTGGCTCTAATATGGACAACCAAGTCAGAAGCAACAAGAGTAGAGGCAGAAAGGCCAGTTAGAAAGCAACTGCTGAGGTAGAGGCAAGATGGAGACTTGGGCTAATGCAGTGACAGTGGAGATGTAGACAGTGGAGATGTAGGGGTGGATTCGAGAGTGGCTTAGGAGATGATGGGGAGTAGGGATGTCAAGAATGTCTCCTAGATTTCCTCCTATATAGTTTGATGGATGCTTATACCATTCACTCAAAGAAAACAAGACACTAGAAGAAGACAAAACTGGTTCTTGTTGGTGCTGCTATTGTCTTAAGGGCAGGGGAGGCAGGAATGCATGAGATGAAATTTAGGCATGTTGAGTTTGAGACAGCATGAAAACATCTAAGTGGAGATGCTAACAGCCTGCTAGATATGCAAGAGCTGATAGGGGATATTTGGGTTAGAGATTTATACTGGAGGATCATCTGGGAAGTTGAAGCCATGGCATAGATAGCCTCAAATATGGAGAAAGTCTAGTGTTTGAAGGGAAGGGAGCTCAAGAACTTTGAAAAATGTCAGCATTTAAAGGACTTCATGGAGGAGGATGAGCCAATAAATGAGAGGGAGAAAGAAAAGTCAGAGAGAGAGGAGGAAATCCAGACATGTTCTATTTGGGGAGCCAAATAGAGAAAGAGAAAGAATGCTTTCAGGACAGCATGGTGAGAAGTGTTTACTGCTGTTGAGAAGTCAAAATAAAATATGAAAATGCTCATTGGAAAAAATATGCCCTTTGGATTTAGTGGCTTTTTTTTTCCAATGAGCATTTTCATATTTCATATTGTTTTCCAATGAGCATTTTCATACAAAAGCCTCTTTTGTAGGCAACTGGTGAACACTGCTGATGATACGCCTGATGGTGCCCACGCCCAGGCCAGCACAATGAGCATTTAGAGGTCACCAGCGGCTTTATCAAGTACTCTTTTGATAGAATGATGAGGCTACATGCTAGCCTGGAGTGGTTGAGAGGTGAGTGGCAGGTGGGAAAATGGAACAGTGAGGATGAAGAGAGCTTCTGAGAAGTTTGGCTGTGAAGAGGGAGGAAGGGGAGACAGTAATTGCAGTAGGTAGGGTTTTCTGTTGTTGTTGTTGTTTAACATGGCACAGAATTGAGCACATTTAAACAATAAAGAGAAAGATCCAGGAGATAGAGATTGGAAACCCAAGAGACGGAAAAGGAGAAACAATAGGGACATTTCCTGAAGAGCGAGAATCCAGTGGAATTGGAGCACAGGTAGAGGTTTTGGTTTTAGACAGAAAGTGAAATATTCCCCTATTATAGAGAAGAGGCAGAGGATGAGTACAGAAGCTGGTGGGAGTGGAGGCAGCAGAGCAGGAAGTTGGGAGAGTTCTCATCTGATAACTCCTATTTCTTTCCAAAATGGGGCCATTTGCTGAGTGTGATGGGGAGGCAATTGTTACACATACCCTGATAGTACCACAGAAATTCCAATGTTAAACACCCTCAGTCCAGCGTTTTACCTCCCACTCCAGTGTTGCACGCGTTCATTGACAGCTCACACATAGGGATGTAACAACACAGGCATTCAGGTGTTACACACATGCTCACATCTTACGGAGTAGCTCAGGTGCTGTAGTGCATGCACACACATATTCATCCACCTATTCAGGTGTTCCCACGTAATGGCTGCCAAAGAGGTGGCCAATCCAGTTGTGAACAATGCAGGGAGGCTCTAAAGCTCTGGCATGATCTCCCTGATCAGTCACCTATTTTCCTCCCTCTTTCCTCAGAAGAGTTCCACCTTTTCTCTTATATGGTTTTATTTTAACATCATCCAGTGTGTTTCTGCTTTCGGAGTACATGACATTCACTAGATGCCAACGGGTTGTAATCTAGCTAAGGCCTAATCTCCAGAAGCCTCTTTTGTAGGCAACTGGTGAACACTGCTGATGATATGCCTGATGGCGCCCACGCCCAGGCCAGCACATGGTCCCCGAGTGCTATGTTTAGGAAAACATGGCAATTATTGTTACGAGGCATTTCAAGGCTCTAGTGACCTTGTGTGATCACAGGTCACAGTCTCTTGACTATTGTCATTATAAATGGCTTTAAATAGCCTCTCCTTGTTAGGCTTCCATCTCCTTATTTGTAAGTTGAGGGGCTTGAATAGGTCATTTTTCAAGTCCTTTTCATCGATATCATTCTACGGTACCAAGCCTCTTTGGCTTTGACCTCCAAAACCAGTTTTTCAATGGGGCAATGTCCACAGACAGGCCAGATCATTGAAGAAAAAGAAACCAAGGCCAGATATGTTTTTTTCCCAAAGCCCAAGAGATTACCAAGCACAAAGCAAACGTTGGACCCAGAAGTTGCTAGCCACTTAGTGTCTGTGATAGCTAGCTTTATGTGTCAACTTAGCTAGGCTATAGCAACCACTTATTTAATCAAACTCCAAGCTAGATATTGCTGTATGTTCTGTAGATGTGATTATGATATATAATCAGTTCACTTTAAATAAAAGAGATTGCCCTCAATAATATGGATGACCCTCATCTAATCAGTTGAAAGCCTTAAAAGCAAAAACTGCAGTTTCCCAAAGAAGAAATTCAGTCTCAAGACTGAATTCTTGAGAATTCAAGAATTCAATAACAACAACTCCTACCTTAGTTTCCAGCCTGGCAGTCTGCCCTATAGATTTCAAACTTGCAGCTTCCACAATCTCATGAGCCAATTTTTAAAAATAAATATCTTAACACACATATATGTGTATGTATATATATATAAATACATATGTATATGTATACATGTGTATCTATCTACATCTATATTTATAGCAATTGTCTAATCTAATCTATTTATCTAATTGGTCTGTTTCTCTGGAGTATCCTGACTGATGGTATCTGAGAGGTCTGCAGGGAGAAGGGACAGTTGGTGATGTCCATTCTGATGATGATAAATGCAGAGGATGAAAGTGCAGCTGAGTTTTTAGTTTTCATCTCAGAAAGAAGCAAGAACACTAGTTCATAGGCTTTGATTCCAAAATCCTGTAAGACTTAAAATCACTGCACTATGTTCAAGTTGACCACTTTTGTTACTTTCCCCGTTTCTGCACATTAGCAGTGATAAAACTGTTCAATGCCAAAGTATTATGTCTAGTTTCAGATGTGGCATAAAATGTGCAAAAGAGTGAGATGCACCTGACTGCAATTGTACTTAGGAAAGGGAGAATCTCAAAGGGAAGGGCTAGGGGCAGGACCCTAAGTCCCAAGAGCAGGCTGAGACCCCAAATCCATGGCCATCAGGAACAAAATATACTGGAAGGCACATTCCAGGCAAGGCCCTAAGGGTTAACAGCAGAAAGGCCTCTGATGTCTCCCCTTCCCTAAGAGTCCACAGTTTTTAGCACTGATTAGAGGGTATATAGAGATAATCCTCATGCCCAATACTGCTTTTCTCTTCTGTGCTGACTTATAGGATGGTAAGCATCTAGCAGCAAAAAAACTACAAACGAGGCTGGCAGGTGTACTCATGATACATGTATGCTTTCCCAGGCAGTCATTCTAAGAAAGCCTTTATCTGTCATGGCCAGCTCCAGCAGGTGATGCTTTCAGTTTCCACTAATTCAATTTGTGTAGAAATAAGCATAGCTCATTGGCTAAATCTGTCTTTCTCTTAGAGAGGAACTTGATATGGCTTGAAGTGGCCAGCTTAATTCTCATCTCCTATTACAGTCAGGAAGCTATATTTTTATTTGGTTAAAATTAAGAAATCTGATATCTGGAAAAGACCTTAGAACACATCAAGTTTAGCCTCTTCTTTTAATGGTAAGGACCTGGAAGTCCACAGAGAAACACACCCAAATAAGGCAACTGAGAAAATAAGTGGTGGGGATCAGAAATGACACAGTAAGATATCAATCCAGGGTGCTCAAGTGTGGGGTCAGGTGGAAGTGAGAATGCATGTTGAGGGTGATGACATGGATGTTCATCTGCCGGTAGGAATGGCATCCTGGTCATCTGGTCCAAACTCTCCCCCAAAACCCCTACACTATTTCCAATCTCTGCTTAAATACTTTTCAGGATGAAAGTCTCACAATTTTTTTTTTTTTTTTTTTTTGAAACACAGTCTTGCTCTGTTACCCAGGCTAGGGTGCAGTGGCACGATCTCAGCTCATTGCAACCTCTGCCTCCCGGGTTCAAGCGATTTTTCTACCTCAGCCTCCCGAGTAGCTGGGACTACAGGCGCAAGCCACCACGCCTGGCTAATTTTTGTATTTCTAGTAGAGACAGGGTTTCACCATATTGGCCAGGCTGGTCTCAAACTCCTGACCTCAGATGATACGCCCTCCTCGGACTCCCAAAGTGCTGGGATTACAGGCGTGAGTCACTGCACCGGGACCAGAAATGGTAAAAAGGCTAACGAAGGTCAAACAAGAGACAGAATCACGGGCAAAAGGGGCACATTAAGGGTTTTCTGGACGTCAGGAAGGGACTGCGGGGGCAGCTTTAGAAGGGGCCGGAGCCCGCCCCTGCACGCAGCTCACGCAGAAAGCGCCTGGACACTTCCTTAGGACCTTTTGCATTCTGGCCGCTCGACAAAAACACCCTTTTGAAAAGGTGGTATTCACTGGGCTGTCAGAATTGAGGAACACCAAATTAAGGCCAACAGAACCGTGTTGGGCTCAGAACTGAGCCTTGGTTTTAATCCTGATGCTTTGGATTAATACCAGGTGCTAATTAGTTGACCCAAGACAAAGGTTTGGATTATTTTCAGAAAGAATTAAATCTGTCTCCTTAAAATTTCTATCTATTGCCCCAGTGATTCTTACCTTGCCTGCACATTAGGCTCACCTGTGGAACTTTTTAAGTGTCCTGATAGGCAGGTTACACAGCTGGCCAATCAAATCAGAATTTCTGAGGGTAGAACCCAGGCATTTGCCTAAAGCTCCTCAGTGATCCTAATAGGGAGCCAAGATTGAAAACCACTGCATTTGGCTCCATTCTTGTATTAGTCTGCTGGGGGGTGCCATAATAAAATACCTTAGACTCAGTGGGTTAAACAACAGAAATTTATTTTCTCATAGTTCTAGGGGCTGGAAGTCCGAGAGATGAGTGCTGGCAAGTTTGGTTTCCCCTGAGGCCTCTCTCCTTGGCTTGCAGAGGGCCGCCTTCTTGCTGTGTCCTCACTTGGCCTTTGCTCTTTGGGCTTGCATCCCTGGTGTCTCTCCCTTTTCTTAGAAGAACACCAGTCACATTGAATTAGGGCCCCAGCCCTATGACTTCATTTAACTTTAGTTACCTCCTTAAAGACCCTTTCTCCAAATATAGTCACATTGGAAGTTATGGCTTCAACATATGAATTTTGGGAGGACACAAGTCAGTTCATAACAGTTCTGCTCATTGACTAGAACTGGTTGGGTCAGAGTACCTTACCCAATGTGCTGTGGCACCCACCGGTAGCATCATGTTAGGCTGTGAGGGTGGCCACTAGAGGCCCTGGGATAGCAACCTCTGGCTTTATGGGATCTACTCAAGCACCCAGTGAGTTGAGCATGGCCTGGATTTCTCCTTTCACAGTCAGCTGCAGGGCACCCACGGAGATACTAGAGGAATTTCAGGTGCCCAAAGAGCCCAGAGCTAGAGGGCGGGAGACCTCTGTAGAGAGCTACAGACCAAGGAGGCGGGAGCTAGAGACCACACAGGTGCATCTCCAGGTGGTGGTTTCTACCCTCTCCTTTCCCATATGTCAGATGACATATTGTAACAAATGAGCTGGTGTGTTAGGCAAGCAGACTCTGCAAATTAGAGTTTCATTATTTTGAAGTGCTTCGTATTTATGTGGCTAGAACAGTACCTGAACATAGTAATCTTCAATAAATATTTGTTGAATGAACACATAAATACAGTAAATGAAAACATTTGATTGGATTTGAAATTCATTTAAAATACCAAAGATTTTAGCACTAAAAGTTCTAAAATTTAACTGCAATTATTAAAATTTTTGAATGATGATAAAAATAGTTTAACTTATGTTTCCTGTGTGAATACAAGTTTTCACTGATTGTGTTTTTCAGGAATTTTAAGAGCTTATTGTTAAGTAGTCTTTGTTAGAATTGTATAAGCTATTTCAAGCTTAAAACCATTTTTTTTTCAAGTCTTGATCATTGAAGCAATGTTCCCCCTTGTTCCCAAGCAATATTCCCAAACAAGTTTCTCATCACATTTTTAAGAGATTTTATTTGAAATATATTTTTGACGTATTTACTTGTGTTACATATTTGAGATTTAAATCCTTCCTAATACTTTGTATTTGATTTTTCTTATAATCGTATCATATATAGAAAAACAGTGAAAAATTTCACCTTAGACATCTGCAAATCTCCTCTAGTTTATCCAGCTAAATCTTACAAATATTATCAATTAGTATATGTGTTATGACACGAAAATGGATAGAAAACAGTCTTCTACTTCTCTCAGTAAATGGCACCCCCATCTAAATTACTAAACCAAAAACCTGGGAGTCATCCTGATTTTTGTTCCTCCTGCTCTAAATCCCATCCTTTCAAAATTATCCCCACTGCCCACTCCTTTCCCTTTGACTAAGCCACAATTATCTCTTGCCTGGACTACTGCAAAAGACTCCTAACTGCTCTGCCATCTTCTGCATTTCTTGCCCTTCTACAATTTCTTCTTCTAATGACAGCCCGAGTGTCCTTTTAAAACCTTAAATAGATCAAGTAATGTCTCCCCAACTCTCTGAACTTTTTAAAACCACCCAAAGTCACTTCAAATAAAACCTAGGCTCCTTCCTATGGCCTAAGGGGCTCTACATGAGCTGGCTTTTGTCTTCCACTCCAGCCTTATCTACTGTTCTTCCATAGCATGTCATGCTCCAGGCACACTGGCCTTCTCTCTGATACCTGGGGAGAGAATACCCCAAACCAAAGACCAAGGCCAAGTGGAGATACCAAGCAAGCAAATAGATATACAGAGAGTCTAGGGTTCAGGGGGACACTGAGCTGGAGGTATAACTCTGGGTGTCTAGTAGAAACCTACAAGGCTGGAGGAGTGCACCCAGGAGGTGAAGCCTAAAAAGAACAGTACTCAAGACTGAGCCATGGGGCTCTCCAACATTTTGAGGTCAGGGAAATGAAAAGGCATCTGTTAATTAGCTCAAGTGACTCTTTCTATAATGTGTACATAGATCAAAACATCACACTGTACTCCATACACACATACAATTATTTATCAACTAAAAATAAATTTTAAATTTTAAAAAGGAATCTGTAAGGCTCAGAAGCAGCAACCAGTGGCATAGGAAAAAAATCAGATTTGGGGGCCTTCATAGCACTCTGAGAAGTTTGTTAAAAATATACATTTTTTCCCCATAATCTATCCACCGGAGTTTTGTTTCAGTATGAAGATGGACACCCAAAATTTGTTTGTTTGTTTGTTTTTTAAACAAGCTTAGTGTTGTTATCATAAGAGAAACCTGGGAAACGCTGCGTTAGAGCTTGGCCCAATCAGAAGAATCACCTGTGTGGGGCCTTGTTCAACCATGTACCTTCCAGGGACCATATCCCCCAAAACACTGAATCTGGATCCCCAGGGGACTTAGAGCTTGGCAGCTCATCATCCAAACTTCAAACTTATTATTCCTTCTTAGGACTTGTTCCAAAACAAGCCACATGGTTTTGCTTCGGAGCCGATGAATCAGTAGTTCTCGCTCCATTTACAAAGGCTGATATGCTATTTCTACCACTGGAGGTGCTTTCTCTAAAACCATGTGGAATTTATTTCAGTTCATGTATGGTATGTTAGGGTCTTGGCCAAGAGTCTTAAGTAGGAACTAGAATTACAATAAACAAACAAATGGGAATCTCTCATGTAGACCTAATGGTAAAACTAAGAGCTTGAGCTCTTCACCCAAGCTTCTCAGCTGATCTTGGCTTTCAAAAGCACAGGGAGTTATTTTCTCTGAGTCTCCGGAACCACATTTACTTTTCCCAAGTGTTCTGAATCTGATGATGCCAAAATGGTACTTAACAGCCTCTCTTACTGATGTCCCCACACTTCACTCAACCCAACCTGCAGACAGCTGGCTTTTCGGATTCTGCATTGAGGGTCTTTCTACATTTCCTTACTCTGGATGTTAACCATTCCCCCTTCCATTTGCTCAAAATGGGAAACTTTTTGCCCTTTCTGACAGAAATCATTCCTTTTTGGCCACCTGATGGGTACTTGGGGTTAATTAGAAAATCCCCATCAAGAGTTCAGAGGCCAATATCAGCTGTCAAAATCCCACATTCCCCTCTTTCCTCTCTTTCAAGTGCAAAACAACCTGTGTCTGAAGATGTGCCGGAGATAAAAGGGCACACACCAGCGCAGGGGGCTTTAGCCCAGCCCTATTCACGGCCCCACCACCATGAATACAACAAAATCTCAATGAAAGTTTTAATCTCCCCACTGCATTCAGCCTAAAGAGAAAAGGGCTTCCTTTTAACAATTTCCCCCCTTAAATCTTTTGTGTTGCAATGCTCCTGAAAAAAGGCGGAGATTTCACTCTGACCCCGCAAGGGCTTTACGCCAAAGAAAGCAATGCACCTCAAACCTTTTGTGCTGAAATAAGAAGGGCTGCCGGCCCGAAGCAACCGGCTCAAAAGCAGCAACCCAGTGGTGGGGCTCGCGGGGACAGAGAGTGCCTGCGTCTCTGCAGACCCCGGCTCTGGCCTCTAGGCCAAAGGGCCTAAAAGGATTCCTGAGTATGATCAGGCCAAAGGCCCCATTGCGCCTCAAAACTGCGGCGTCTGGAGTGGGAATGCGACACGGGTGCATGATTTCCCAGCCCAGAGTCTGAAATGCACCCACAACCCGCAGGCCAGTAGACCCAATTATGCCCTTTGTTTTCACATTGGACTGAAAAGAACAAGAAAGAACAATTGCAACATAAACTCCACTCAAAGGCCAGCCCTCTCCAAGCACCCTTTGGCGAGAACTTCTGACGGCTGAAGGGTTGTTCACAAGACCCTGGCTGGTTGCTGTGAACCAGATTCCAACCGCTCCACCATGCCTACCTTTGGGCACAGGCTCCAGGCCACTCCGGGAGCTGGAAGCGGGGAGCTCCCTCCCGCCCTCTGCAAAACACCTTTTGGTGAAAAGCGCCTCTCCCTCTCAGGCTCGCCTTTCCCAAGAGGACTTGGGAAGAACTTGCAGGGCGCCGCTTCGGTCTTTGGCTGCCTTCGCAATGACTCCCTTCGCACTTTCTTAACTGTTAGGGGTGCTCTTGGCAAAAAACGCAACCCCCCAGCTCTTCTAGCATAAACAAACACAAATGTTTGTTTAATAAATCTGTATGACGTTCTTGTCTTCTTTATTTCTTCCAAAGAGCTGCCCTGAATGTTTGAAATTAGAGCCTGGTATTAATCCAAAGCATCGGGATTAAAACCAAGGCTCAGTTCTGAGCCCAGCACGGTTTTATTAGCCTTAATTTGGTGTTCCTTAATTCTGACAGCCCAGTGAGTACCACCTTTTCAAAAGGGTGTTTTTGTCGAGCGGCCAGAATGCAAACGGTCCTAAGGGAGCGTCCAGGCGCTTTCTGCGCGAGCTGCATGCAGGTGCGGGCTCCGGCCACTTCTAAAGCACCCCACCGCGGTCCCTTCCTGACGTCCAGAAAACCCTGAATGCGCCCCCTTCGCCCGTGATTCTGTCTCTTCTTGTTTGATCTTCGTTAGCCTTTTTACCATTTCTGAACATGATTTTTATGGAGGGTCAGAAACAGCACAGCAGATACTTTGCCACTGTCCATGGCAAAATTCTTTGGTTTGTTGTTTCTTTTTAAAATTTGTTGGTAAAAAGCCTCCTTTCTGGCAGGGCCCCGGGGCTCACGCCTGTAATCCTAGCACTTTGGGAGGCCAAGGCGGGTGGATCATCTGAGGTCCGGAGTTCGAGGCCAGCCTGGCCAACATGGTGAATCCCCGTCTCTACTAAAATACAAAAATTAGCCTGGTGCGGTGGCAAATGCCTGTAATCCCAGCTACTCGGGAGGCTGAGACATGAAAATCGCTTGCACCAAGAGGCAGAGGGTGCAGTGAGCCGAGATCGCGCTACTGCACTCCAGCCTGGGTGACAGAGTGAGACTCTCCCTCAAAAAACAACAACAACAAACCTTTCTCCTTCCCTGACCAGTTCTTTTTGGTGTGCATGGCTAGAGGTGTGTTTATCTTCAGGACAGTGACAGACACTGGGATAGATTTAAAAGATATCTCAAATTAGAGGTTTAAAGATACAGCGATGAGAAGGGAGTAAAGTGAGGGTGACTGTGGTACAGGAAAGGGGTCCTGATCCAGACCCCAACAGGGGGTTCTTGGATCTCATGTAAGAAAGAATTCAGCGCAAGTCTGCAGAGCGAAGTGAAAGCAAGTTTATTAAGAAAGTACAGGAATAAAAGAATGGCTACTCCATAGATACAGCAGTCCTGAGGGGTGCTGGTTGCCCATTTTTATGGTTATTTCTGGATGATGGTATGTTAAACAAGGGATGGATTATTTATGCCTCCCCTTTTTGGACTACATAGGGAAACTTCATGACTTGCCATGGCATTTGTAAACTGCATTGGCGCTGTTGGGAGTGTAGCAGTGAGGATGACCAGAAGTCACTCTCATCACCCTTTGGGTTTTGGTGGGTTTTAGCTGGTTCTTTTACTGCAGCCTGTTTTATCAGCAAGGTCTTCATGATCTGTATTTTGTGTTGACCTCCTAACTCATCCTGTGACTTAGAATGCCTTAACTATCTGGGAATGCAGCCTAGTAGGTTTCAGCCTCATTTTACCCAGCTCCTATTGAAAATGGAATTGCTCTGGTTCACACTCCTCTAACATTTCTTCTCTCCCTTTTATAAGAGAATCATTAATCTTAAGGGTTGTAGAGGGAGGAAGATCCATCTTCTGTAACTTCTTTAGGCTGAATAGGGGTGATGATATTCCTATCTCACTATGAGCGTTTCTTGCATTCAGGGTAGAGAGGAGTTCAATCAGAAAGTATCGCTATGGTGGCTGGGCGCGGTGGCTCATGCCTGTAATCCCAGCACTTTGGGAGGCTGAGGAAGGTGGATCACCTGAAGTCAGGAGTATGAGACCAGCCTGGCCAACATGGTGAAACCCCATCTTTACTAAAAATACAAAAATTAGCCGGGTGTGGTGGCAGGAGCCTGTAATCCCAGCTATTCGGGAGGCTGAAGCAGGGAGAATTGCTCAAACCCAGGAGATGGAGGTTGCAGTGAGCCAAGATTGTGCCATTGCACTCCAGCCTGGGTGACAGAATGAGACTCCCACTCAAAAAAAAAAAAAAAAAGAAAAAAGAAAAAAAGAAAGTATCAGTATCTTAAGGTCTATTCACAACTCTTGAGTTTTGACAAAAGGTGATATCTGGAATATTAATAAATGTTTAAGAAAACATTCAGTAAGTTTGTCCTGTATTTCTACACAAAGAGTAGAACAGTAATATATTCCACAAGAGTAATGTAAAATAAGTAAAGTTATTCTAAGTAAATTAAATTAGAAGGCTTTTCATGAACTGGGCAGCTGTTAGAACTAAGTTGGTATGGGGTTGTTACTTGATTCTAATATATCCAGAATTAGAATACTGATCCAGATTTTTACATTACCTGTCCCTCTTGTTTCTTCTGTGTAGTAGTCAGAGAGCCCTGGTTGGTTTACAGCAATAAGTAGGGTTAGCCTAAATTGTAGAAACAAACTTAAAAACAATTGATGAGACCAGAAAGTATAACACAGTTTTTGAAACATATTTCTCTCTCTCCAGTTTCTCATTTTTATTAAAGACAAATCATGGTAAGACTGATTTGTTTTATTATACTTGGCCTGATTATTTGTATAAAGTGTAATAAGAATAATTATTTTTCACATAGGTTTTTAATTGGCTTTGATGGAACTCTGTTTCATAAGGAATCTCAGATGAGACTTTTTTAAAGTCAAGTCCTGCCATGGGTTTTTACCCTCAAATACCTATGAATTGGGTAAATTCTTCTCCTTTTGAGGTCCCAAGATAACTTGGGGCTCCTGGACCTGTGAGAAAGTGACATTCTTTACTTAACACAGGTCAGAAACCTATACAGGGACTGTGTAGGGAAGGTATGAGGCTAGTTCCCTACAGGCCTTTACAAGTTAAGTTTGATTCCTTAAAGGAAAGTACACCATTCTAGTCAAAGTCTTAGTAAAATTAACCAATTTCTCCAATTGTGTCCTGTTACAAAAGAAAACAGAATCTTATTGTACTTATGTAACTAACTATATTGCCATAAGAATACTTACAGCTAGTTTCTAAACTCTGGAGAAATCAGGTAGAAAGAAACAAATATGTTCTAAATTTTGTTCACAGTAGTATACTTTATTCAATTGTTACAAGCTGTAAATAGCTTAAAAGTTTCCTTGACTCCGAAAAACAAAACAAAGGATTAGTAGTGTTTTAAGCAAAGTTAAAAAGATTGCTTCAGTTTTGTATTGGTTCAGTTAACTCCATTAACTCCTCTTCTATTTGATATTCATGAATATTCCAGTTCTTCATGAGAGTTCTGAAAGTTGTTTCCTCTATTCTAATGTTACAATTTTCCAAAGTTATTAGAAAACCTTTATTTAGGAACATCTGTTAGAGTTCTATAGTTGATTATAGACCACCTTCTGAAGAGGATTAAAACAAGACAACAATTGTCTGTGGAAGATAAAAAGTTTTAGGACAGCCACTGTTAAAGCCACAACTGATAAGGAAATTTGGTTACTTCTGTGGCACACAAAATTTTACATAACAATTATAAGTATTAATAACATACACTAAGTTACATTAGAATTATAGGAGTTTCCCATAATTTTGGAACATATACTAATAACACATTTATGCAAATATAGTGCAAAGAAAGCAAAATACTATTTCATATTTGATAATGCTTCCTGTATAGTTTTTATACCAAATAAGTGAAATTTCACCTTTACATTAATGTACTATTAATGTTAAACTCAATTTTTAATAAAACCTTATAGACATATTTACCTAATTTTAATGTTTAACCATAAGATTCTTATAAACCTGCTATAACCCTTTACATTTTTTTTGTGAAAGATCCGATCAGTGCTCTAAGAAAAGCCCGTTGTGCTTTTATTCCAATGTTTAATTTATGGAAAAACTGAATAATATTCCTTTAACTTTAGCCAATATGTTCACATACAGAATCTCTTACAATTAATCTTTATAAACCTTCCACAACTTGTTTAAATTTTTAGATTTTTTTTTTCACTTAAAACAATCCTTTAGTACTCTAGGCCGAAAAAATCCACATTCCCATGACTTCTTATAATATTTCACCAAAAACACATTTTACTTTCTTTACACACCTTGCATATAAAGTTGTTTCTTTAGTAGTTTTAATCATGTTATAATATTAACTCTTAGTAACTTTTACTTTTGGTGAAAACCCTGGTTAGTAAGCAATTTTAATTGTGTACTAGGTGTGGAGTCTAGTCTAGGACACCAGGCAGAAGTGTAGATAAGAGCTGACTCTCTAGCATAGTTAGGGGTGTGGCTAACTCCACATGTCCCCAGGCCTTATCTAGAATCTAATGGCTTTAAGGGAGGTAAATTGAACAATTTTCAAAAGTCAAAGAAACAGTTTGACCTTAAAGTAGTTAGTAAATCTGATATCTGGTCTTAATTTAGACCAAATGTCTACATTTTGAAGACATTTTACTTTACCTATAATCTTTAAAATTGTCTTTATTTCCAAAAGATTACTAAAGTCACGTGAACAAAAAGGCATTAAAGTTTCTATTTTTCTGACAAAATATTTTATTTAATTGTTCATTTTTCTAAGCCAGTTAATTAGAGCTCTTTTATATATAAACATATGACACATATGACACACAGAGAGAAGATTCAGTACTTGTAAGATTTTTCATTGGTCATTTTCTTAATTGGATTACTGGCTTCAGGGTGGAGCCCTTGGAAGAACAGGGCCAGGAAAGCATCCATTTCTAGGGCCAAATAAGCAGCTGAAGGCAAAGACAGATCCCCAAAATTAAGGGTATCATTTTATACTGGTTCCTGGATCCCCAAAAGGAGGGAAATACTGTGGAAGATAGTGTAGTGCTTCTACTCTGTATTTCATTGTAAAACAACCCAAAGCTAATCAGCCCATTTGGTAATCAGCCCATCCCTCAGGGAAGCCTCATCTCCCGAGGGGGTAGGGATGTTTCCTTATCTTCCAGGTGGCCAAGAGCATGTTTCTCTGATACAAGTGTGCAAAGAGTCAAGTATCCCTCTGTAACTACTATTAACTACCTAGTTATTACACATCAAAACTCTCTCATAATGTGAAGTAATTTCTGATATCCCCAAAACTCAAAACCATCATATAACGTAATGTAAAACAGAACAGAGTCTTTGATTTTGAGAGGGATCTATCTGTTTTTAATTCTTGGGGTTTCATGAGGAAAACAGATTTTTCCCCAAAACGGGGTCTGTGGCACCTCCTCTGTTTTTCCCAAGGAGTCCCGGAAAAACAAGTTCCAAGAAGAGAAAAACATAAAGGCCTTTAAAATATATCTATAGCTTGTTTATCCACTTTTAGTTAAGTTGACTTTTAACCATAGTGCTCTTTAAAAAAGAAATCCTTTCAGATCTCTTATTACCTGACTTCAGCCATGCCAAGCAGCCAATATTTCTAGCTTCTGAACTTTACCAGAGGTAACCTGCTAGCTGCATAGAGAAAGGAAAATTTAAGATAGTCCACAGAGAAGAGAATAGACAAGGTCATGCAGATATTAAGCCAGAAATGATTTACTTCCTAGGTGAGGAATTGAACCCGGACCACCACTGTAAAAGTGTAAAACCTTAGTTACTGAGTTACAGTAGGAGGCAGTCTCCATTTTCTTTCCCAGAAGAAGTCTAGAGTAGTTAATTTTGAGGTTGTAAAGGGTTTTAACTGTTTAATATGATTTTTAGAGTTGACTATGACATGAACCCTAAAATTCCTGTTCCCTGCAAGGCGGAGACCAAGAGAAGGTACCACCACGGGGTTAAAAAGTCAAGCTCCCAAGGACATGAAACAAGGTGGAGACTTCATCCAGTTTTTTTGTTTGTTTCAGACACCTGCAGCCAAGTTTGTTTACTGACCAGCTTGTTGGGACGTCTTGAAATGTGGGGTTACAGGTATTCTAAGCCCATGTTTTATTCTACAGAAAAACGAATTCATAGCATAAAATACAACAGTTTAAGACTAGCCTTAGAATTCTTTTTCACATTAATCAAAACTTTACAGAGGAGATAAACACTGGTTTTTGTTTTGTTTTTTTTTTTCCATTCATTTAACCATTTGCACAGAGAGAGAGAGAGAGAGAGAGAGAGAGAGAGAAGCCAGAAATCTGACTGGTAAGAAATGCTTACCCTTTGGCCGGCATGCCAGGCTTCTGAATGGCCCTAGTGATCCGGTTTGTGGCATCATCGCCCTGGGGGCCAAGCCGCATATAAAAGAAAATTACTTTTTTTCATTCTGGCCAGAGTAAAATACGTGTGATAAAACATAGATGTTAGCCACTCTGCTTAGCACCCAATATCAAAGTGGCAAGACTTAAATTTGCCACCAGATGGGCCCTGTCATCTTTAATCCAACCTCTGACTTGGAGTTTCGACACGACACGTGGTCTCTGGGCAAGATGGCTGCCCTGAGTAATAGAAAAGATAAGAAAGGGAAAGGAGAGAGAGAAAAGCATTGCCTGTGGCAGTGTGGGGAAGGCGAAATGCTCAGGGGGGTGAGAAAGACCCACCCATTGCAGCAATATTGAAAAGTCCAGTCGGCTGTTTCTCGGTAGCAAAGGGATATTTTCCAGCCATCCTGTTAGCTCTCAAGTTTCCCTTTTAGGGAGGAAAAAGGTCCCTATGTCCCTGGATCCTGTACATGCCTAACCTTGTCACCCACAGCCATCAGCAAAGACTGCAAGGCAGATTAATCCAAAGAGAACAGCAGTTAACATCACATAGTGCCAAACCTGTTCTTAACTGAGAGAGACTTTACTGAGAGAGGCCTCTAACCCCCTAAATCTTAGAAGGGACTCTAACCCTCCTAAGTCGGGCCTCTAACCTAAAGTCAAGCATCCTTGCCTTTTATTAAGATGGGCCTCTAACCCATTCTGTCTTAGGAGAGACCCTAACTCCCCTAAGTTGGGCCCTTAACCCAATCCCATTCTTTACCTGGGTACCTCACCACTTACCCAAAGTTGTCCCATCAGTGCTGCAGTCTATTTCCTTTGGGTCAGGCGAGGGGGGGGGGTCTCCTTAGTATTGTCCCTTTTGTGGTTCCCTAGAAAGATGTTACCGGACCCCACCACTTACCGAAAGGTAGCCTTTGGGTCGGGGGTTTCCACAGTATAGTCGCTTCCTTGGTCGCCAGAAAGACGTTACAGGACCCCGACACTTACCCAAAGGTAGCCATTGGGTCAGGGCTACTGCACTATAGTCCCTTCATGGTCACCAGAAATATGTTACAGGACAGGGGTCCTGATCCAGACCCCAAGAGAGGGTTCTTGGATCTCGCATAAGAAAGAATTCAGGGCGAGTCTGCAGTGCAAAGTGAAAGCAAGTTTATTTAGAAAGTAAAGGAATAAAAGAATGGCTACTCCATAGACAGAGCAGCCCCGAGGGCTGCTGGTTGCCTATTTTTATGGTTATTTCTGGATGATATGTTAAACAAGGGGTGGATAATTCACACCTCCCCTTTTTAGCCCACATAGGGTAACTTCCTGATTTGCTTTGGCACTTGTAAACTGTCATGGTGCTGTTGGGAGTGTAGCAGTGAGGACAACCAGAGGTCACTCTCGTCGACATTTGGGTTTTGGTGGGTTTTAGCCGGCTCCTTTACTGCCACCTGTTTTATCAGCAAGGTCTTCATGACCTGTATTTTGTGCTGACCTCCTGTCTCATCCTGTGACTTATAATGCCTTCACCATCTGGGAATGCAGCCCAGTAGGTTTCAGCCTCATTTTACCCAGCTCCTACTTAAGATGGAGTTGCTCTGGTTCACACACCTCTGACAACTGCACGATTTTGTTTTGTTTTGTTAAGACAAATAATAACAAAGGCCAGATAGCATTTAAAACTAGTACATAGATGTGGGTCATATGTCATATATTTTTCAAATAAAAGTCACCTATAAAGACTTTAAGGTTCCTTTCTTTTTATTTGCTACTTGCTGAATAAAGGGGTAGTAGAAAATACTCCTTTAAGGAGAAGGTATAGCTCAGGGGTAGAGCATTTGACTGCAGATCAAGAAAATACTCCTTTGATCATTTTTAGGCTAGGAAATTTTAGCCAACTTCTTACGCCAAATACACACATGCACACACACACACTTACAAAATGAGAGCTAGAATAAATTAATAAGTGATGATAATGCTGATCAACTTTCCTGCATCTACATTCTAACTACAAGCTCAACATTAAAAAAACAAATCTACATACAGCTTGGTTAAAGGGTTTCTCAGTTCCCTTCCAGTTCTAATGTTCTATAAATAACATTATTTCTCAGGTTTGGGGTAGTTCAGGTGAAAGCATATCTTTCTTAAAAACCATAATTATCTGGATAATTAGACAAATGCAATAAAATTTAAGATAGTAATAAGTACTCACTTTTAATACAAAATCATATTTCGGATGCACACAGATAAAATGAACTCTGATGCAAATTATCCTGTAAGGTGAATAATTTTCTAATCAGAGTAAGCACTTCCTTATTAGTCTGTTTTATATGTCTGATTTTTCTTGAACTAGGTTCCTGTAAAACCACGCATAGCTTTTTTATACACAAAATGGCTATATTCCTAATATACTCAAATTAACAATTCTCCAAAGTCCTGTTAAATCAAGTTTAGCCTAAAGTTGCCTCTGTACGTATTTTAAGTTCGACTTAAAGGTTTTTCTGTACATTGTGAACTATAACAAGTGGAGGTGTAAACAGACCGTAGCTTACACTTGTGCCAATCATTGAGTTTTGGCCAAATGTAGCCAATTGTTTGAACATGTTGAAATAAGGCAAATGCCAACCTGTAACCAATCTAGTTGCTTCTGTGCCTCACTTTCCTTTTTCTGTCCATAAATCTTCTCCCATGTGGCTGTGCTGGAGTCTCTGAGCCTACTCTGGCTGGGAAAGCTGCTTGATTCGTGAATCGTTGGTTGTTCAGTTAAACTTCTTTAAATTTAATTCAGCTGAAGTTTTTCTTTTATCAGTCAAATAAATACAAAACTGAGGAGGTTGGGTGGCATTTCTTCTCTGTAAACAAGAAAAGGGTAGGGACAAATGTCATTTATATAAATATGTCCTAGAATTTAAAATCACCTTTTTTTTTTTTTTTTTTTTTTTGAGATGGAGTCTCACTCTGTCATCCAGGCTGGAGTGCAGTGGTACGATCTCGGCCCACTGCAACCTTCACCTCCCAGGTTCAAGCGATTCTCCTCCCTCAGCTTCCTGAGTGGCTGGGACTACAGGCACGCGCCACTAAGCCCAGCTAATTTTTGTATTTTTAGTAGAGATGGGATTTCACCATGTTGGCCAAACTGGTCTCAAACTCCTGACCTCAGGTGATCCGCCTGCCTCGGCCTCGCAAAGTGCTGGGATTACAGGCGTGAGCCACTGTGCCTGGCCTGAAAATCCTTGTTTAAATTCAGATCAAATCTTAATCTTTTTTTTTTTTTTTTTTTGGCCTTTCCTGTTTATTTGCTTCAAAGGTTTTCAGGAGCAGTGATGAGAATTATTCCACATGTGCTGGATAGATTTTAGGCTTTAAAAGAGGCAAGATGCCTCTGACTTTGTCAGCATGAAAAGACTGCCCTGAGCAGTCTTCAACATACGTTGTTAAAGACACTTGACTTTTTGTCTTGTTAGAAAAAAAAAAAAAAAAAAGAGATACAAAACGTATGGCTATCTCTTGATCAGTGGGAAAAAAAAAGTCACTTAGAAAATATAAAAGTATTTTAACCCCTCCATTAAATAAATCTGTGCCAAATTTACATCTTTGTCAAGAGAAAAGATATCAAATTTAAATATTTTATATTTTAACTGAATTATGAGTAATGTATTCTTTACATAAGTCAAATTAATGTGGCTGTTTGTGGAAATGTTTTCATTTGATGTTGACGCTCTTTCCAGAAGTTTTAGAGAAGGGAAAATTGTGGGGGGAGAAAAAAAGATTAATATAATGTCTTACAGATTTCAGTTAAGCCAAGATAGGAAAGGAAACAAAGTTGTAGGTTATGGTGATAACTTGAACTTTAACTTCTAACACTGAAAATACTAACACTCCTTCAAAACTCAGCAATTTGAAAATTAATTTGTGAACTTTGCTGGAGTGAGATTTCTCACCTGAGCATTTACTCTGCTTTTTGTAAAGCAAAGAGAAGACTTGATACAAACCACCTGTTGTGCTACCCACCTTATCCAATTAGACACGTCTTTGATCTTTGTGGAAATAATAACCCATATGAGTCACTACTTTCAGACTAACCAAATCTGAAAACCCTGCTCAGGGTAGTCTTTTCGTGCTCACAAAGTCAGAGGCATCTTGCCTCTTTTAAAGCCTAAAATCTATCCAGCACATGCAGAATAATTCACATCACTGCTCCTGAAAACCTTTGAAGCAAATTAAACAGAAAAGGCCAGAACAACAACAACAACAAAGACTAAGATTTGATCTGAATTTAAACAAGTTAACAGTAACCCTATATTATTCCATATTTTACCCAGCTGTTTTGGGTATTTAATGAATTTGAACAAGGGAGCAGACCTGTGTTAAGGATTAGAGGCTATAAAGGTTCAAGAGGATTCGAAACCTTTGCTGAACTACGTATCTCTTACCCTGGCTTCTTGCTTGGAAGACTTTTAGGATTCAATGCCATTGACTTCTTTCTTATTTTATTTTACTGCAAAAATCTGGTTTTCTTGTCATTGCTTCCCAAACCAGATCCCTCAAATATTCAAAAACTATAAACAGTATATGTCATGCAGAGTGGGCTCTAAGTCATTTAGCCTCGTAGGACACTGGGGTTTATTTCTGAAGTCTTTCATAATCACCTGTGTCGACTGCAATGAAAGAGGCTTTATTTCAGTTTTACTCTTTTTCTAGGAAGGCATGAGAAAGAAAAAGACCAAATATTACCACATTTAGAGTAAAGTTGCAACCACTTCTCAAATTATCACTTCTCCAAAAAGAGTGAATCTCCTTAGTTTTCCCAGAATTGTAGAAAGATGAACATTTTCACAGATTAAAAAATTTGATGTTTAATAGAAGCTGATTCTGTGGATTAAGATCAAATGGAGAGCAAGAGGGACATACAGTCACTCCTCAGGGTAGTTGGGGGATTTGTTCCAGGACCCACCCCAAGGTTTTACAGAACATGGACAATGAGACTCGAGTTCATGCTCTTAATTAAGTGCCATTTTTGACTGCCTCTGTAGTCATCAGAAAGATTAGAGCGATGCTGGAATTGTGCAATGGCTTGCAAAATAGGTAATACAGATGAAAGGAGAAGAAAACATTGCATAAAATTGATCCGAAAACACAGCAAGACCCTGACTCTACAAAAATAAAAATAAAAAATTAGCTGGGCGTGGTGGTGTGGGCCTGTATTCTCAGCTGCTCAGGAGACTGAGGCAGGAGAATCGTTCAAGCCCAGGAGTTGCAGGTTACAATAAGCTATGATGGCACTACTGCGCCCCAGCCTGGGCAACATAGTGAGACCCTGTCTCAAAAAAAAAAAAAATCCAACAAGAGGATGTATGCTTCCTAACTCAATTTGGCATTTGGGAAAGATTTCTAGAGTACCAAGAATAAATCATTGATCAAATGGGATGATAGCAACAAAGGTGAAGATATCCTAGAAGATGGGATTGATTTTCTACAAAGGAAAGCAATAGCATCACTACTTCTCTGTCAGTAAGAGTAAGTAGACAACTATAATATGTACAAAGTAACAAATAATATTTTTTGTTCATATAGAAAATTTAGGAAATGTACAAAAATTAGAAAATAAAAAAAAATCCATAGTCTCACCACTCAGAGATAGTTGCTATTTTTTTTTTTTTTGGTAATGCATATGTAAATACATATATAATACACATGCAGAGGTACATTTTAAGTAGAATTAAATCTTATATATAATGTGTTATCTGCCTTTTTAGTCACTTACTATATTAGATAAATTTTCCTATTCCATTAAAAAGTCTTTGAAAATATTCTTCCTAATGTTACACGTATATATCATAATTAAACCAATTCCCTAGAATTGGGCATCTAGTAATTCTGTTTTTTGCTATTATAAGTAGCTCCATATTATACAAGTATATTTTTATGGAAATCTCTGATTATTTAATCAATATTAAATAACATTTTTTAAGTTCTTTATACATACTGCCATATTGTCTTCCAAAATGGTTGTATTCATTTACTTTCCCATGAACAAGATACAAAATGATCTTTTCACTGCTGGGTGATGATATATAAAAAAAATTTTTCTACCAACTGAATGGGGTTGGGGGAGAGAAGCATATTATTATTTGAAGTTGTTTCATTATTAGGTTGAATATTTTAATATGTTTCTTTACATTTTTGCCTTTAATAAATTATCTTTGATGTCCTTTGGCTTTTTTTTTATTTTTTTTTTTGCTATTGGCATGCTTGTCTTGTTTATTTTTAAGAGCTCTTTATATATTGAAAATATTAAATAATTTCATGAAATTACATTTGGACCTATTTTTCAAGGCCCAGACTAAATTATGCATCATTCATTATATTTTTCCTGACTTAATCTGCCTAAGTCAAATCTCCTGCTTCTAAGTCCTAATACAATATTCAATACTGAATTATACACTGTTTGCAATTCTTTAGAGTTTTTTCTTTTATCCTCCATAATAACTTTTCAAAGGAGAGTTCATGGATTTTAACAACTACAAAGATGATCAACTTGACATCTCTGAATTCTCAGTGTCATTTGCTGTGACAGAGTTACTGGAATTGGGTGAGGTTCAGCCCAGTTTCTTTAGCTACTATGTGGTTATTCTTGGGAGATGACCAGGGTTTTTTTTTTTTTTTTTTTTTTTTGAGACAGGGTCTTGCTCTGTCGCATGGGCTGGAGTGCAGCAGTGCGATCTCAGCTCACCATAGCCTCCGCCTCCCAGGTTCAAGTGATTCTCCTGCCTCAGCCTCCCAAAGTAGCTGGGACTACAGGCATGTGCCACCATGCCTGGCTAATTTTTATATTTTTAGTAGAGATGGGGTTTCACCATGTTGGCAGGCTGGTCTCAAACTCCTGACCTCAAGTGATCCTCCCAGCTCAGCCTCCCAAAGTGCAGGGATTACAGGCATGAGCCACAGCGCCTGGCCTCATAGTTTATTTTAAATATATCAGACATAATTCAAAGAGAGCTTATAGTAAGAAATAGAACCAAAAAAAGAAATTTTGGATTTTTTGTAAAGAGAGTTGAAATATTTTTTCTCATAATAATTTCTTTAATGATTCTTTATAAAGAATATTAAATTTTTCCAAACTTAATTTTATGGTTTGCTTACATAATAAACCAGGGGTGTCCAATCTTTTGGATCCCCTAGGCCACGTTGGAAGAAAAATTGTCTTGGCCACACATAAAATACACTAACACTAATGATAGCTGATGAGCTAAAAAAAAAAAATTGCCAAAAAAATCTCATAATGCTTTATGAAAGTTTATGAATTTGTGTTGGGCCACATTCAAAGCAGTCCTAGGCCGCAGGCAGCCTGTGTGCCTCAGGTTGGACAAGCTTGATGTAAAGCATTTACATGAGTCACCTTAAAATTACAGCACAGATAAGCAATGATAATCGAAATAAAATTAAGCATCTTAGGGCTTTCAACATTTGTTTCCTCTTAGATGACTTGCTCCAGAATCCAAGTCTTTATGAGTTATTTGGATGTCCTGAATGAATGTCTTTATCTTTCTTTTTATTACTAATAGGAACTTATTTTGAACCAGTGTTCACCCACAAAAACCTTTTATTTAAAAATCACTCTGAAATGGAGTGGCTCCAGGGAAGGTCTAGAACCCAATGGAGAGGAATCTGAAATCACTTCCTCTAAGGAGGGAATCTATCTATCTATCTATCTATCTATATCTATCTAACTAGAAAGATAGAGTGGGGTGCATACTTGATTTGTCTACTTGTATTATTTTTTGTGCAATCTAATATAATTTATCTGGGGAGAGAACTAATGAGGAGGAGGAAATGTTGTATGAAAAGGTGAAATTCATGCAACCTCTCTGGAACAGAGGCCTGATTTGAATGTTATTAACATAGCTGGACTTCCAGGCCTTCTGAAATGGTCTTTCATTTCCATATGAATATCGGAAAACGCTCCACTTAGGGACGGGGAGATGTTGGGGAACAGACCTCTTTGCCTACATCTCAGCTAATTTATATGCTCTCCAATGGAGGTCATATCGATATGAGGCCCAACCCCTGTCAGCTTTGTGGGTCCCTTAACCTGAGAACCTTGAAGCCCATTGAGAGCTATTCATACTTGGCAGATTGATTTCGTCCGTCATTTTGTCATAGTAACTGACAATTCACTGCCATCCAAGTGTATCTGGGAGCACAATGCCCACATAAATATTGTTGGCAATTCTGAGCATATCCCTTTGTGGAAATAGTAGGTTAATTTCCTTCTGCCGCTCGACTTTCTATAGCTATGTGGCAGAAGATCATTACCACTGGAGCCATATAGCCGACAGGCCCAGCAGGGCTTGTTTTGAAGAAGCACAGAGTTTAGAATCCCCCATCAGTGCAGAATAAAATTAATCAAAGCTTCAAACACAGGCTAATCTGAAAAGGGAGATGGGGTTAATAGGGACATTAAAACTTTGATGAGAAACAGGTGCAGCCCAAGTCCTAAAACTAGTCTAGAGAGTTTCAGGCATGAAATTAACAGACGCAGGAAACTGTCTTTACTTTCAAACAACAATAATCACACAAGGGACAAAAGTCATTGAACCTCCTTAATCACACCAGCCTATTTGAAAGGTGCACTCTGAGCTGTGCTGACTCACAGAGCAGGTGGGGGACTTCTTCAAAGCAGTGCACAGAGTTCTGGGGTGGCCTTGGTCTACGGAGGACTTTCTTGTTGCATCCCCCGATGTTAATCCAATCATCACTGAATGGAGAGGCAGTCACAGTATGGCATGGCAGAAAGAGCAAGAGCTTTGGTAGTAAACATTCCTGGATTTGATATCAGGCTCCCCCACTTAGCCGTGGTAGTCTAAGTCCCTTAACTTTTCTGAGCTCAGTTTCACTACCTGTAAAACGGGATTATAAAAGTACCCACTTTATGGGGCAGCCATAAGGATTAAATGAGAGAATTTATTCATTCAGTAAATCTTTTAAGTGTCTTCTTTGAATTAGGCACAGCACTTAGGACTGGTGAGTGAAACTGTTGGGGTCGGGGGAGGTCTCTGTCTTTGATTTTAGTGCATCCAGTTAGAATAGAAAATAAAATTCCTTCAGTGCAGGACTTGACTCTCTGAGTTAGCTTGGGAGAGTCAAGGAAGGCTTCTCAGAAAAGATAGCTCTTGAGATTTGAAAGAAAAGATGTTTGTCAAGCAGACCAGCAGAATACAGGCATCCCAGGATTGTGTGAAGGCCATGAGCAGACTAGAGGGGTGGATGAGGGCACATTCATTGTTGCTAGAGTTTAATGTGCAAGGAGCATGTGGTAGAAGACACTGCTGAGCAGAAAGAAGGGGACCTAATCACACTGAGCTTTGTGTATGCCCATTGCTGAGGAGTTTGGATTTTACATTGTAATCACAAGGAGCCTGTGAGATATGCCTGCCCTGCTGAGGGTTTACTATGGAGCATGTGCTGTGCTCAATTTCTGTACTATCTCAACAACTCATAAAGTGTCAGGCCTATAAAATGGCAATACGATTTCTCTAGTCAGGGGTAATCAGAGCTGTTGTCCCATGGGAGTTGATTTTCTAATTAGTTCCTTGTGATGGAAAATGGTGAAACAAGTTTGAGAGTGGGTGTGCAGGGAGAGGGATGAGAAACCTTTTGAAAAATTCTACGCATGTCTGGGGTTAAGAGGCATGCAACCACCTCTAATTGATTTCTTTATCTCTCTGAACCTCTCTTGGCCTCTCTGGTATGTGTGTAAATGACATCTGCCAAGCCTTAATGTAGCGCTTTCATGGCATGAGGGATGGCTAGCATCTTAAAAAATTCAAGTGCTATCTAAGGCTATAATCTGCTGCAATTTTCTTCTTCCTGTTTCTGAAGTGTGAGGCCAGGATGCTGGAACATCTGAAAGAGCCCAAGCTTGAAGAGAGGGGAGCTCCAAGCTTCCCAAGTCCAATTAAACAGGAGACAGGATTCTCTCGGAGGTTAGTAACATCCTTTGCTGCTGAGGCTCATGTATGAGATTCAGGACTTTGTGGGGGATATAGGGAAGACAAATCCTAGAAATCCAGATGCTTGGACTTTACCACCCACCGGCTATGTGACCTTGAGGAGGTCACTTAACTCCTGTGAGTTTCAGCTCCCTCATCTGAAAAATGAGAATAAATGGTAATGCCCACCTTGATTACTGCATGGGCCAGCAGGGGCTGGGATTACCCTGTGTTCTGGTTATCCATTGCAGCATAACAATGACTACAAAACACAGTGGCTTAAAACTACAACAGCATCTATTTTGTTTACAAACCTACAATCTGAACAGGGATCAGTGGGGACAACTTGTTTCCGCTCCACCTGATACCAGCTGGGGCTACTCAAATGCTAGGCCTGGGCAGGGCACAGTGCCTCACCCCTGTAATCCCAGCACTTTAGGAGGCTGAGACGGGCAGATCACCTGTGGTCAGGAATTCAAGACAAGCCAGGCCAACATGGTGAAACCCCGTCTCTACTAAAAATATAAAACTTAGCTAGGCATGGTGGCACATGCCTGTAGTCACAGCTACTTGGGAGGCTGAGGTGGGAGAATTGCTTGAACCTGGGAGGCGGAGGTTGCAGTGAGCCAAGATCGTGCCACTGCACTCCAGTCAGGGTGATACAGCAAGACTCCGTCTCAAAAAAAAAAAAAGGCTCGCTCCTTCCCATGTCTGGGAGTTGATGGTAAGTCTGTCAGCGCCTCCTCATGACACGGTGGCATGGTGGTGGCAGATTAAAGGGCGAGCACCTGAGATAAGCAGAGTGCCAAGTCAAAGCTATACCATTCTTATGACCTAGCCTCAGAAGTCAGGTAGCATCACTTCTGCCATTTCCCTTGGTTAGAGCAGTCACAAGCCCCCACAGGATTCAACGGGAGGAAACACAGACCCTCCCCCGCCACCCCTCTGCAGAAGGAACAGCAGTGATGTTATAAGAGGGTGTGGGATGGGATGTATGTATTGATGGAGCTATCTTTGGAAAACACAATCTTCTACTCCACGTGTAGCGAACAGCTTTATTAAGTTTAAAGCATCATACAAATGATGCTGCTAACACTTGGGCCTTTCACTTAAGTGCTGGCTCACAGATTTAAAGAGTACTATTAAGCTCTGTATTTATTCAGATAAGCAATATTTATACCTATTAAATGCAGTTACTGTCCAAGACATGTTTTTTTGTTGCTGTTGTTTTGAGACAGTCTTGCTCTGTCGCCCAGGCTGGAGTGCAGTGGTGCAATCTCGGCTCACTGCAACCTGTGCCTCCAGGGTTCAAGCTATTCTCCTGCCTCAGCCTCCTGAGAAGCTGGGACTACAGGTGCCTGCCACCACGCCCGGCTAATTTGTGTGTGTGTGTGTGTTTGTAGAGACAGGGTTTCACCATGTTAGCCAGGATCGTCTTGATCTCCTGACCTCGTGATCTGCCCGCCTCGGCCTCCCAAAATGCTGGGAATACAGGCGTGAGCCACCACACCCAGCCGTCCAAGACACTTTTAAGCACAGGAACTCATTTCTCCCATAAAACAACCATAAGAGGTAGGCTTTATGATCCCTGTTTTATAGGAAACTGAAGCTCAGGGCATGTATGTGATAGCTTTATTCATTCACTCAATAAATATGTATTGAACCTCTACTTTCTGCCAGGCAATATGTTCCAAGGGGAACAATAATAAGCAAAACAGACATAATCTCTACTTGATCTAGTGAGAGAAAAATAAAAAACAAATACTTTAATCATAAAATACATTGATGACCTTTGTGATCAACATCATGATGGGAAGACCCCCATATAGATGGAGTCAGGGAAGGATTCTCTATGGAAATGATACCTTAAATGACGCCTGAAGAAAGAGTAGGAGTGAGGACAGGCAGGAGAGCATGCCAGGCAAAGGGACCAGTCCATGCAAAGGTCCTGTGGTGGAGGGAGAAGGGTATAGCTGGAGTATAGAGAGTGAGGAGGGGCTTGCTTTGAGAGCAGCCAGAGGGGTAGACAGGCACAAAAGCAGATCTTTGCCCAGTCATAAGACAGAAGCTGCAGACTCAGGGCTTGAACGTAGGTCTTCTGCACACCCATCGAGGGCCTTCAACCCAAGACAATTGCCTGGATTGTGTTAGGCAGAGAGCTACCTTCCTGTCATCTCCAAAAGACCATTATACAGGTTTGGTTGAACCATGTGTTTCTCCACTCAAGTAACAGGCTCTTGAAGGGCTGCATGTTCTCCCTCTTTGATTAATCTCTGTGTAATATTAAGTGTAGAGCCTCAGCTAATTACTCCCAGACTGACAGTGAATAATGCAAACTCCTCTGTTAATTACTTTTTTTGAGATAGAGTCTTGCTCTGTTGCCCAGGCTGGAGTGCAGTGGCATGATCTCGGCTCACTGCAACCACCACCTCCCGGGTTCAAGTAATTCTCATGCCTCAGCCTCCTCAGTAGCTAGGATTACAGGTGCATGCCACCACACCCAGCTAATTTTTATATTTTTAGTAAAGACAGGGTTTCACCAATTTGGCCAGGCTGGTCTTGAACTCCTGACCTCAAAGTGATCTGCCCACCTCGGCCTCCCAAAGTGTTGGGATGACAGGCATGAGCCACAGCGCCTGGCCAATTCCCTCTTAGCCCCCAAAAGGCAAATGCCCAAGCACAGCCCTAAGACCAAAGGGCCTCCCTTGGAATCAGGATGGCACATTAGTGAAAGAAATAAGAAAGCAGGACCTTTTTCAAAGCCTCAAACTGCCCTTCTGTTAAATAGGAGAAATTCTGCCCAATTACTTCTTGCTGAAGTTATTAAAAATTAATAGCACCAAATCTAATATAATCAGTTCAGTTACATACCCAGTGCAGGGATGGCATCCTTTGCTGTTTTTGCAGGGGAACCAGTAAGCTGGAGCAGATGGAACAGGAAGGCCCCAGGGAGAGAGAATCTCAGCACTCAGATGCACCATCAGAAAAGAATGTTTGCAGACAGTGAAATGTGTGCTACAGCACACACTTCCTAGCAGCCCTTTGACTCGCTTACCCAGTGGCTGAACTGTTTCCAAAATAGTTCTGTATAGGCTTTTGAAAGAAAACAGCCTTGGTTTCTCTGCTGGCAATTGTTTAGGCTACTGGAAGCTTGGACATTAAAAAAAAAAAAAAAATTCTCTCTCTTTAGCCAAAGACAGATTACTGGATCCTCTGACATGAGGGAAAAATGATTCCTTGGAGACAGGCACTATGTAAAAGGTATTCCGATTGTCACTGTCATTCACAGTTTTCAGATCTGTTTTATTATGGTGTCCAGTAATAGAATAGTTAAACCATGATCCTCTACATAAATCTTTTTCTCATGTGTTTATTCATAACAACAACAACCACAACAACAAAATGCCAACTTAAATGACAGGAATTAGAATTGCTCACCAAAGCCAGGTAAAACATTTCAAAGTTAAAAAGAAAGGACACCCACTTTTCCAATTCATCTCAGCAAACTGCTCTGAGTTTCTTTCATAGTAGCTCAGTCATTATTCTGGCAACAAGACCATGACAGTTTTCATCTTAAACAGCTATTACTGATGAGCTACACTTGAAATTTCCATTCACTTAGAAGGATTACAATCTCAGTTATAGACTTCTCATCTGGGATAAAACTCAGTAAAATGATTCTTACATGAGAAACCCTCAGAATAGCCACTGAGATGAGACTAGGTTGGAAATAAAAAGGCAGTTAGGAAAAGAGTTAATCTTTGGGGGAAAATATCCTCCCTGTAGTTTTCATTTCAGTAACTCTTTCATTGTGAAAAGAATCACTTTAAGATCACACATTGATGTGCTTCTGTCTAGGAATTAATACATTCCATGTGGTCATCTACCCTTTCTGGGCAGAAGTCTTTATTTCTAACCATGTTTAGGTGCCAAAGTAGGTTACACTTGGTTGCCATAGGGTGCCAGTAAACTATTGTGAAAAGTTGTCTTTTTTTTTTAAAGTAAGCTCATAGGCAGATCTGAGGCAATGATTAAATTGTTGCTTATAATTAAAAATACCCTGAGAACATAATAATTATGCTCCCTTTGTCACCGGCATAAAAAATTTCCTGATGTTTTCAGACTAAGCTGGTAGCAGCTGTCTAGCAATCAATCAACACATCATTGACCAGATCTTCTAACTGTGAACTATAAATCCCATCTGCAGCATCCCAGGCTGAGGTTAAGAGCATTGTGGAAAATGGGGGACAGCCCAGGATAGCAAGACCTTAGAAAGCAAGGGCAAATATGAGGGAAGGTGACACTGGAGAGCTCTGTGGTGCCTGGTCTTATACACAAGATCTAAAACTCTGTACTCTGTGGCCCTTGCTGTCTTGGAGACCCAACCTGTGACTATGAGCCATTCTTGTGATTGCATTCAAACAAACCTCCACTCAGTTACAAATGAATGAGTAAATACTTGCAATGGAAAAAAATTTAGACATCATAAAAAATAATTATTTTCTATGAGGATGGAAATGAGAACTTAGGTACTGTACTCACAGGTCTAATATCCATAGATGTGATGAAAACATCCATCCATCTTGTTCTATGGTGATGTTTCAGACATAGTGTTGGACTCCTGAAATAAAGTGATTATCAATTTAGACCTTCAACTTGTTCCCTGCCATCGCGGAGCTACAACCCGGGAGGAATGCACTCAATGAACTTGTGAGTCTGAATGTGGTGGGTGTTAGAAAGGAGAAATGTCAAGTGCCATAGGACCCGAGTTTTCTGTTGGTTGTGGTTAGGGAAGGTTTCCTAGAGGAAATGGCACTGAAGCATCTAATGCTACGATCTTAAGTTGTAGGGAGAGGGAGAGGCGGTAGAGCATCCCAGGCAGAGAGAATAACGTATATAACAGCCCCATGGTGGAGAGACAATGCCTGACAAATATGCTGAGAGGAATTAAAGGTTTTAAATTATAGCCCGTGCAGCAAGGATGTGGGGAAAAGAGATGAAAAGCGGGGTCTGTAGAGATTGCCAGGGGCCACAGCGTGAACATTTGCCAGCCAAGTTAAGGCATTTGGATTTTATCCAAATTCAACGAGCCATTCAGGGTTTTTAAACAGAAGAGTGACAAGAGAGCTTTATTTCTTAAAGACCCCTCTGTCAATCGAAGAATAAACAATGGCTTTATCTGGGTCAGAGAGGTTGGGGAGAAACCAGGTAAAGGCTGTTGCAGTCGCACAGGTTAAGAGATAGTGCTGGCCTAGAGGTAGATGGTTGTATTTGTTCTATTTACTTACCCAGATTAATAGAAATCACATTTTTGCATTTTTATCTCATTATATAGCATAATCAAACTATGATAGGTAAGTTAGACCAAAGAGTTTAATACAATTCAATCCAAATTTATTATTTTTATTTATTTAGAGACAGAGTTTCACTCTTGTCAACCAGGCTGGAGTGCAGTGGCACAATCTTGGCTCACTGCAACCTCTGCCTCCCGGGTTCAAGTGATTCTCCTGCCTCAGCCTCCCGAGTAGCTGGGACTACAGGCGCACACCACCACACTCAGCTAATTTTTGTATTTTTAGTAGAGATTGGGTTTCACCATGTTGGTCAGGCTAGTCTCAAACTCCTGACCTCAGGTGATCCACCCACCTTGGCCTCCTTTGGCTGGGTTGCAGGTGTGAGCCACCACAGCTGGCCCCAACTTTATTAAATGAACCTAATCTAAGTACTAACATTTCTAAATTTGTAGAGAATTCTATGAAAATGAGAAAATGTTTAGAGGACTCAAGTTATATTAGGATGGCTCAGTTATATATTCATAAATCTAAAACTTGATATACTATAAATAATACTGAATGCTTACTATTTGTATGCCCCTCTTTGCTTCCAAAACACACACACACACACACACACACACACACACACACACACACACACACACAAAACAAAAATACAATCCTATAACTTTCTTAGTAATGGTTTTCCTCTCAGTTGACATCCTAACTTGGGTGGAGCCAAAAGTCTTTAACTTCAAAGAATGCCAATTTGGGATTCTCTGGGTCTGATTCAAGCACTGGAAACAACAGCAAAGAAAACAGGAGACTTGCTCAATACCCCCACCCATTCTCCTAAATAATTATGTCACTATTTTAGGTGAAATCACCATCACATGTTTACTATAACTGTGCAAATATTATTTATTAATGTGCTGGTATTATATTATTGTTACATTTCCTTTATTGTGTTAACTATTTTTTTTTTTTTTGAGATGGAGTCTTGCTCTGTGGCCCAGGCTGGAGTGCAGTGGCACGATCTTGGCTCACTACAACCTCTGCCTCCTGGGTTCAAGCGATTCTCCTGTCTCAGCCTCCTGAGTAGCTGGGATTACAGGCATGCACCACCATGCCTGGCTAATTTTTTGTATTTTTAGTAGACATGGGGTTTCACCATGTTGGCCAGGCTGGTCTCGAACTCCTGGCCTCAGGTAATCCACCTGCCTCAGCCTCCCAAAGGGCTGGGATTACAGGCGTGAGCCAATGCACCCGGCCTATTATATAACTTTTTATTTTTCCTGAAGTGAATACTTTCTTCTTTTTTGTTTACATCGCTCTCTATGTAACTATCATTAGTGGTTCTAAAACTCTACATCAAAATTTTATTATTATTTTTTATTTTAGTTAGTATTTTGAGATGGAGTCTTGCTCTGTCTCCCAGGCTGTAGTACAGTGGCGTGATCTCGGCTTACTGCAGCCTTCGCCTTCTGGGTTCAAGCAATTCTCCTGCCTCAGACTCCCAAGTGGCTGGGATTACAGGCATGCACCACCGCGCCCAGCTAATTTTTTCTATTTTTAGTAGAGATGGGGTTTCACAGGCTGGTCTTGAACGCCTGACCTTAAGTGATTCACTGTTTCAACTTCCCAAAGTGCTGGGATTATAGGTGTGAGCGACTGCGCCCAGCAAAAATTGTAAAACACCTCGGAGTGCTGTTCTCTTTTCCATATCGGAGGGCTGTTCTCTTTTCCATACGGTCAAATCCAACAGGTGACAAAGATTCCCTCTTCGGCCAAACTCTACTTAAACTCCCCTGAACTTCAAAGTAGGCCTTACATATTTCTCTCTGCATTGTTCAATTTCAGCCGGAATCCCGATGAATTAATTTAACCAGAATCCTCCACCCTTGATACCTGATCACCCTGGCCTAACTTTTGGAAGAAGTTTATTAGGTTTGTTTAGCCAGAATCTGTCCTTTCCCCTGTGTTAGGCCATTCTTGCATTGCTATAAAGAAATACGTGAGACTGGGTAACTCACAAAGAAAACAGGTTAAATTGGCTCCTGGTTCTGCAGACCGTGCAGAAAGCATGCTTTGGCATCTGCTCAGCTTCCGGGGAGGCCTAAGGGAGCTTTTACTCATGGCAAAAGGCTAAGTGGGAGGAGGCATGTCATATTGCAAAAGCAGGAGCAAGAGAGACTGAGTGTGAGACACCACACACTTTTAAACAACTAGATCTTGCAAGAACTCACTCACCACCAAGGTCATGGTGCTAAGCCATTCATGAGGGATCTGCCCACCGATCCAAATACCTCCCACCAGACCCCACCTCCAAATTTTGGGGATTACAATTTCACATAAGGTTTGGCGCGGACATATATTCAAACTATATCAACCCCTGATGTTTCCTGTCAGTAACTTTTCATCCAGTGACCACCACCCTGCTTTTTGGCTGGAAGTTCCCACTTGCCCATGCTGTGTTCGGAGTTGAGTGCAATCTTTCTTCCCCACTGCAAATTCTATCTTGGTGGTTTCTACACCTATCGTGAATAAAGTGAATAAATCACTTGAATAAAATGGTTCCTACACCTATTTCCCTTGAATAAGTCTGTCTTACTGTGCTTACCAAGTGTCATAGAATCATTTTTTAACACAGGTGACTGCCAGCTCTGTTTTCCTCAGAAACGTTCCATTTTCCTGCTCCTCTTTGCACCACCTGGTCCTGCTGTCCCTAGACTTGCCTTTGTTTCTCTTCTGGGTTGGATCCCTTATTTCCAGAACCCTATGTCTTCTTTCTTGGTTTATACCCTCTTTTGGTAAAACACATCTTCCCACATCTTCCTGAAGCTTCTTGAGAAAGGATGGAAGACAGGTTCCTCACTGCTAAGAGTCCCAGTCCTCATTTCTAAGAATCCTGCTCCGTTGCAGCCTTCTTTAAGGCAGAGGCCATATGCTATGTTTTTTTTTATCTTTCAGGCTCAACATTCCCATTCTTCCACCAGTCATTCTTCATCATAAAGCCCTGAAATGATCTCAGTAACTTATCTGTTTACCTGTCTATTGTTTTTCTGCCTTGCATGCTTTATTCAAATATATTCAGTGGAAAATGTATTTTCCATTCATGGGACCCCCATCTCACCCTGCCCCACCAAAACTGTTGAAAGCATGATTAACAAAAATGGTAGTGTAGAAAGAGCATGAGTTTGGGAGTTGGACAGCCTTATGCTCAAATATTGGCCTTGTGCTTTTAGTTCTGAGACTCTGAGGAATCTACTTAACATTGCTGAGATCCCATTTTCTCATATGTCAAATAAGAGTGACCATCTCTCATTTTCATACCAGGTGATGATGCTGATATAGTTAAGGGTTGAGTTGTCATGATATCTGTAACTTACTTTCAAATGGTTAGGTCTCCACCTTCCCAAATATACACATACACATGCAGAGAACAGATGTGAAAAAATGGTAACAATTAGTGAACCCAAGTTAAGGATACGCAGGTGTTTATTGTACTTTTTTTTTCAAACTTTTCTGTAGTTTGACAATTTCCAAAATACACATTTGAGGCACGGGGAAAAGCAGAGCTATCTTACAGGGTCTTTGTTAGGATTAAAGGAAGCTAATGATGAAGCACTTAGTATGCCTGGTTATATCAGATGCTGAATAAATGTTAATGTCCTTCATTCCCTGGGGCTAATCCCAACTGTAGACTGGCCATCAGCCAGCCCTGCAGAGGGCTCCCTTTTAACCTCACAACCCAGTTGTAGAAACTTGTCTCTTGACTTTGCTCCCTATGCTAGGCCCACAAATGGCCTCCCAAAAGATACCCACATCAAATCTGTTGAACCTATGTTACTTTATTTAGTTAAAGGCATTTACAGATGTAATTAAATTAAGGATCTTGAGATGAGATCATCCTAGATTATCTTGGTGGGCCCTAAATCCAATGGCAAGTGTCCTTACAAGAAACATACAAAGGAAAACAGACAGAAGAGGAGAAGGCTGGCCAGGCATGGTGGCTCATGCCTGTAATCCCAGCACTTTGGGAGGCCGAGGCGGACAGATCACTTGAGGTCAGGAGTCCGAGACCAGCCTGGCAAACATGGTGAACCCTCATCTCTACTAAAAATACAAAAATTAGCTGGCCATGATGGCGCATGCCTGTAATCCCAGCTACTTGGGAGGCTGAGGCACGAGAATTGCTTGAACCCGGGAGGCGGAGGTCCAGTGAGCCAAGATTGCACACTGCACTCCTGCCTAGGTGACAGAGCAAGACTCTGTCTCAAAAAAAAAAAAAAAAAAAAAAAAAAAAAAAAAGATGAGAAGGCAGTCTGAAGACAGAGGCAGAGATGGGAGTGATGTGGCCACAAGCCAAGGAAGCCAGGGAATGCTGGCAGCCATCAAAGTTGGAAGAGGCAAAGAACATATTTTTCTCTTAGAGCTTCCAAAGGGAGTACAGCCCTCTAACACCTTGAGTTTAGACTTCTGGCCTCCAGAACTCTGAGTTTCAAGCCACCACGTTTGTGGTCATTTCTTATGGAAGGCCTAGGAGACTAATATACTCCCCCTGCCAAGTCCTCAACTTGTGCTCCTATTCATGCAGCCTGGCTCTGCCCAAGTCTTCCCATAGCTCTTTCTAAGCTTCTGAGACTTCATTTCCACAGCCAGGGATCCACTCCTTGTCACGGGCACTCCTTTGTCTCTCACCTGCCCTCCTGGCAGCATCTCAGTCAGCTGCTTGCTGCAGCATCTCTCTGATACCAGCTAGCTGCTTCTCTGCTCTTTGCATGTGACTTTTCCTTCATATCTCAAGCCCCATTCTTGCAGTTCAGCTGTCTGGTTCCTAGAGTCTAGTTATCTCTAACCTAACTAACCCTACCAACTACCATGCCCAGTTATGAGATTTTTAATATTTAAAAACAATGAGCATAACAATCTATGGTGACAAGAAATCAGACAGGGGTGGTGTGGGAACAGATTGGAAAGGGGCATAAGAGAACTTACTAGGGTGAAAGAGATGGTCTATGTAGTGATAGAAATCTGGGATACACAAAAGTTTTCACTTGCTAAAAGTAATCAAAATGTAACAAGATCTGTGTATTTCATTATGTATATGTAAGTTATTCCTCAACCAAAAAAAATAAAAAATTAAAAAGAACAAGGCAAACCTGCTTTTAACAAAAAAACTTAAAAGAAAACAAAAGTCACAAATAAAAAAGAAATTTTTTAAAAAGGCACTTAGTAAATTCAGGGTTTCTCACCTTTGGCACTACTGGTATTTTGAGCTAAATAATTATTTGAGGGGCTGTCTTGCACATTGACTAGCAGCAGCCCTAGCTTCTACCACTAAATACCAATACCATCCTCTGCATTTCCCCCAACTTGCCCAATTTGTGACAACCAAAAACATCTCCAGACATTGCCAAATGTCCCGTAGAGGGAAAAGTCGACCCCCTATTGAGAATGGATGGGTTAGTTAACATGTAGTGTTCACCTATAGCCATCCCATACAAGGTGATTTGTGTACAATATGACAAGTTTGGGAGACAAACTGAAAGTGACCCGCCAAAAAACCTTTCTCAAGTGGAAAAAAAAGTTGGTCATTAGGGATATGGGCATGACCTGATATTTATTTCTCCACTCTTCAGTTCTACTTGTGAAAAAAATATTAATACCTACGAGGACACCTAACCAGTAAGAATACCAAAAACAATAGCAGGAGGAAGAGGAGAGAAGAAGAGGAAGAGGGAGGAGGAGGAAGGAGGACAAAGCATATCAGTTAATTTAGCAGTTGCTGTCATGGTAGTGATACAATACTAATGATAACTGATATTTATATATGTAATATATGTTTAAATCCTTAAAAATCCACTAATTTCTCCCCAACAATATCCCTTTGGGAAAGGTAGATATATTAATTTTCTCTACTTTATAGATAATAAAATCAGGGACAAAGGTTAAGTAACTGCCCAAGGTCACAGTCAATTAAGGGAAGAGCTGGAACGACCACCTTCGCCTTGGCCTTGTGATTTTTAATCCATCACTTTCTTCCCACTGCAAACCCTATTTCTAGGCATCAGCATCACTTGGAGGCTGGACGCAAATCAGAGAAAATTGTGTGCCTGGGAGGAAATAATCAATCCGTCCGTGAAGGGCTTGCCCTACAGACCCAAGTTCACCTATGTGAATAATAAATAGTAAAAAAAAAAAATTACTTTAGAAACAACAGTCATTGAAGGTTTTCTTCATCAGTAAGATGTCTGAGGAGCACACTTTGCGGGGATGTATGTGTGGGTAAGGGGACCATGTGACAGTGGTGCCCAGCACAAAGCAAAGCTCAGAGAATCCCAGAGACTGTTTCTGAGATAATAAACTCAGTCATCAAGTGAGGACTCCTCATTTCTCAGAATCTCAGTACTGTAATCTCTGGAAAGGCAGAGGCCTTGTTGTCTCATTTTTTACATGCCCCTGAGTATCTTTTAGGTAATAGATCCTAATAGACCCTGAATGGGTCGAGCTCTTTCCAAGCCTCTACCTTAAGGATTATTGGAGTTGGGAGGATTTATTTCAAATAGGGTGTTCAGAGAGGGCTTCATTAATATGGTAAGGTTGGAGCATAGACTTGAGGAATGTGAGGAGTGAACCATGTAAATATCTGGAAAGTGAGCATTCCAGACAGAAGGAAGAGCCAGGCAAAGGCCCTAAGATGAGAGTACACCTGCCAAGTTCAAAGAGCCACAAGGAGATCAGTGTGTCTGGAGCAGAGAGAGGGAGAAGACCAACAGGAGATGAAGTCTGAGATATAATAGGGTGGTGAGGGAGGCAGGGCAAGGTCATGGAGGACCTATGGGCTTTTGTGAGGACTTCGGCTTTTATTCTGAGATGAGATGCATTGGAGGGTTTTGAGCAGAGATATGACAGATCTGACTTGCATTTTCAATGGGTCCCTCTGGCTTCTGTGTTGAGCACAAGGTTAGAAGCAGAGAGACCGTTGCATTAATGGGGGCAAGGACCAGCAGATAGCAGTGAAGCTGGTGAAGAGTGATCAGATTTGCAGATGTATTTGGAGAGGAAAGCCTGCAAAAATCTGTATCTTAAAGCTGTGTATCAGGGATGGGTAGGAACAAGCCAAGACTGAGAAAAACCTTTGCATGAACTCTGAAGCACAAAATAGCTCTGCTGGTTCAAGGATCCAAAGGCCAAGGCAGTTTGAGCTTAGTAAACAGGGAGGGGATGGGGTAAGAAGCTGACCAGGTGGGAAGGGGACAGATGAGGCTGGGCACTGCAGGCCACAGGGAGGAAGTCTCTGATGGGTTTCAAGCAGGGCCATGTTTTGATGTAATTTATGTTTTCAAAGGTCACTCTTCCATATGGAGACTAAATAAACTGGCAAATGAGCCATTAAAATAGTCATATTTGTATTCGGCCAAATCAGTGTTCCTCTAGCAGTCCCAGTTTTACTTGCTTAGGGCCGTGTGAAATGAGTCTCATTTCCTTCCCTGAGACTCCTTGCTGTCATGAGAACTCATCCACTTTGTTCAGCACCTCTCACAGTTACCCATGACTGAGTGCAGCATCACAGCTGCCCTGAGGCCCACACACAGCCAAACCAAACAGGGTGCTCCAGCTTCTATGCTTCCAGCTTGAGCAGCAGCAAGGATGGGCCACTTGCCATTCTTTGCATTCTGGTGCTTGCTAGGTGATGCACTCATTTGGCCCCAATGACTTCTCCTTATCCGATCTATTTCACAATCTGATTACCACAATCATTTTGGCCTCCAGGGATAATGGCTTCCCACTAATGCTCGGCTATTGGGAATATATGGGTATGAGTGTGGGAAAGTATTTGTCTTGTTTCCCTGATAGGTAATAAGATGTTGGAGGGAATGAGAGTGAATTAGCTTCTCTCTCTCAGTAGGTAGTATAATCTTTTGCATAAAAGTTGGTGACTCTCTTTCAGAGTAAATATAAAAGAAGTATTGAGTGTACCATGACCAACTAATTAGAGAACAGGACTTGCATTAAATGAGGGCTAATTTCAACACAAAATTAGTATTACTGCTGAAAGGGTTAAAAAAAAAAAGCTATTGGAGGCTCACCCTTATTTAACAGGGGGTGGGGATATGCAGAGCTCAAAGAAAGGGTCCTCAGCTAGCTGGGCACTCCTAAAGCAGTGGAAGTGCATAAAATAGACCTTTTCTTCTCTGCTGGTATTAGGCCCTTATTCCTTGATTTTCCTAAGCAACAAGGACATCTAATTGTCATTCTGGGTATAGTCAAGAAGAGAAAATGAAATGAACATTTGTCAAGCACCTACCATAGGCATTTCTACTATAGCAGGAAGTTTTCAAAATAAAACTTGGAATTAACCATGTGATCAGTTAGAAAATAGGATTTGCCATGTTGTTGTTTGTAATGTTTCTCCATCTGGAACTGGTGAAAATAGAAGCATTTTGAACCAACATGGCAGTTGCATCTAAATGGCTTTGGTGCTTTCTTTATCACAACAGTGAATGATAAGGGAATAAAAGTAATAAGAATGAGTAAGAAATACCGAAGACAGTGCCTATAGTACTATGAAAAAGAAAGGTCTTTCTTCTTGAGCAAAGGCTGGAAGTAATCAAGGCTGGATTTGCCAAGTAATGTTTATAGCTATATTTCAAAATTCTGTTAAAATTTTTACAGAAAAAATAACTTTGGTATCAAAAATCTGAAATTCATGAACACTTAGTCCTCTTCCATCCATCCTGTGTTTATAATATGGTTTTTAAAAATAACACGCAGATTTCATTGTTATACCCACCATCACACACCAGCAGCACCAGGTTGTGCTCAGCAGGTTCTCACTGATTGAATGCACTGTGTCAAAATAGGTCATGAATGTCCTGAGTTTTATAAGCCCAATTACTTATTTCTCAGTGAAATAGCAAATAGACTTGAAATTCTTTTCAGAAACACCCAGCGAACTTGAGTACAACAGAACTGAACCTATATATTTTTGAAACTATGATGTCCTTTGACCAGAACCTAAACCTGGGGGGATATTTCACTCCGGGCTGATGTCCTGAGCCTCTACTGAACAAGACCCCACCATCTGAGCCAAGAGCTAAGACTCCTAATGCTTCAGAAAAAGGTGATTTTTTTTCCTAGGAAGAGTTAAACTTCTTGAGGCAATGGGGCTTCCCTCAACTCCAACTCTTCTCGGTCCAGAAAACAGCTCTGGGAGCCCCAGAGGGGGATTTTGCTTCTCTGACTTCTCACACCCTCTTCTTTCAAATGAATTTAAACCTTTTTTTGTCCAAATCCCTGCAGAAGAAAAAAAAAGTAACCACTCTGCAGTTTTTCTACTATTATGCAAATAGATTAATCAGGCAATGCTCCTGTGAGAATTAATTTATATTTGAATCCAATGAGGCCTGGATGCTTGCTAACTGAACCCCCAGGCCAATGCCTCAGCTAGGTAGCACTTCATATTATTCCTTTGACGAAATGTGAACTGACATAAATACTATGGCTCTCTTTCAATCCGATTACCCCATTACCTCACATCAATGCTACCCCAGCCATCAGATTCTGGCGTCTTTCCTTTCACCAGCTCCAGGAACAACGGACAACTCCTCCTTGATAAACAAGCATCCACGCTGCCATCTCGTACCCCCACTCCTAACCCATCATCCACACTCAATGGGCTCTATTCGACAAGGTATTTTATTTTGTTTGTAGGAATCAAGGATTAAAACCAGTTCAAAATCAAGCCAGGCTGGAGCTGCTCATTCAGAGCTACCCTTTCACACAATCAGTCACTAAGAGCCTCTGGAAATAACACCCCTGAAGTATCCACCCTTTAATAGACGTCATCCCCCTGGGACGCCCCCTCCACTTCATCTCCCTCCCTTAACGTCTTATGAACTCTTTTTAAAACACACAAAAAACAAATAGCAGCACAGGTTTCCCTGGACTTGCGTGACCTGAAGCTCAGTCAAAATGAACCTACGTTTTACACCATACCTTTGTACTAAACTCATGTTGACAACCACTAAATTCTTTCCGTTGCTCTGCATAGAAACTTAAAAAAAAAAAAAAAGATTTATTTCTTTACCCGTGCCTCCTCCTGTCCCCCCTTTTTAAAACTCTGCACATTTAAAAAGCTTGGCTAAACAATCCACCAGGTGGGAGGAAAGCTTTTCTATGCGGGCAGCTCTATTTCTGGAGCCCCCACCTCAGTAATTAGATTAACAGGCAACGTATGAATAGCAGCCCCGCTCTCTTCATGCTTTATGCGATTGATTGCACATAACTGATAGCAAAACATCTTCAATGGTGGCAGAAAAAAACATGGATTTGTGAACTGTTCTATGATGAAAATGCAAATGAGAGGAAGAAAACAATGCAAGCTTTATTTTTAAAAAGCAACGCCTAGTAATCATAGTACTCAGTTTTTTGAGAAAGGGTCAGAAGTTACACATGAGTAGAAACTGGGGCTGTGGGTATGTTTGTTAGCTTTGTAGTAAAATAGTTTGAGTATTTTGGTGCCCCCTTTTAACACAACCTAAAATAGAGGGGCATGACCCTGTAGGCAAAGCTTGTCTTTCTGAATTGGTGAAGGCAGAAATATCTTTTCTAACCACAGTCCCTCTAGAGGCTCTGAATTTGAGAAAGCCTTTGAAACATATTTTAACTACATATACATATTAGGAAATTGTTCACTTTTTAAAAATAAGATAAAGCAAAATAACTATTAAGAATTAAAATTCATAAACACTCATTCAGCTAACTACAAGAAAAATTATGTTTTTTTTGCCAAATACCATTTATATTTTTTTGCAATTTTCTTTTCCTTTCTGTTATTCCAGAGGATATCTCTATTTTCATAAAAAGTAGACTTCCATTGAAAAGTAAAAGAGGCATTGAGCAAACATATTGAATTGTAGCAATTAATTTTTATTAAAAATGCCACACCCCCTTTCCTCTCACCCTAACCCTGATACTTTTCAGCAAATGTCTAAAATTTGCTGCTAAGTATCTGCCAATTACAGGTTTAGTGGTTATTCAGGAATATTGTTTGATATCACATTTTTTCTCAAAAATAAATGCAACTCAGGCTGGATGTGGTGGCTCACACCTGTAACCCCAGCACTTTGGGAGGTTGAGGCAGGTGGATCACTTGAGCTCAGCAGTTTGACACCAGCCTGGGCAACATGGCAAAACCCCATCTCTACAATAAATACAAAAATAATTAGCTGGGCATGGTGGCACGCACCTGTATTTCCAGCTACTCAGGAGGCTGACGTCGGAGATTACTCGAGCCTGGGAGGTCAAGGCTGCATTGCATCGAGATTGCACTACTGCACTCTAGCCTGGGCAACAGAGCAAAACTGTCTCAGAAAAAAAAATAATAATAAGTGCAACTCCATTTTTCCCTTCCTTTGTTCTGGTTTTTCATCATTTATTTAACAAACTCCCGTTTAGTATGTACTGATGGCTAGATGCATCTGCAGTGACAGACGCTCAGGAGTGTTCAGGATGACCAGTCTGGTTAAAATCCCTCTCCCGTCACATCCTTCCTTCACCTACAATTGAGGGCCACAGGAATCTTCTCCAGCAAGCTCAGCCCTATTCAGTCCTGCCCCTCAACAGGAAACATCTAGGAGACTTAGTGCATTAGCCTAGAGGACTCAGCCTCCAGTTGCCTTCTTCTGGTGACAAACACTCCCAGACTACCCTGACTGGCCCTTGCTTTCTGGGTTTCCATAACTGACCCTTTGTGGTCACCTTCTCATTCTTCAGTCCCTTCCCAGCTCATGGCCTGCCCAGAACCAGAATTGCTCCAAGTGCAGGGCTTGCTATCCTCTAACCTAGTCATCCTCAAATGGGGCAAATAGCGCTGCCCCCCACCCCCACCCGGGAACATTTGGCAGTTTCTGGATGTATTAGTCCATTCTCATGCTGCTAATAAAGACATACCCGAGACTGGGTAACTTATAAAGGAAAGAGGTTTAATTGACTTTCAGTTCAGCATGGCTGGGGAGGCCTCAGGAAACTTACAATCATGGTGGAAGGGAAAGCAAACATGTCCTTCTTCACATGATGAATGAGAGGAGAGAGAAGAATGACAGTTAGTGGGGTGGGGCAGCCCCTTATAAAACCATCAAACCTCGTGAGAACTCACTATCACGAGAACAGCATGAGGGTAACCACCCCCATGATTAAATTACCTACCACCTGGTCCCTCCCACAACAGGTGGAGATTATGGGAACTACAATTAAGATGAGATTTGGGTGGGGACACAGCCAAACCATATCACTGGAGACATTTCTGACTCTCATGATGAGGTGTTTGAGAGATGTGCTACTGGTATCTAGTGGGTAGAAGCCAGTGATGCCATTAAACATCCTACAATATACCATATGGCTCCACATGATGTTAAAAAAACTTTGCCATAACCAGTCCTTTCCCCAGTCCCATAGGCAGTTCAGGCTGCTAAGTAGGAACACAGACTTCGGGTTAGATCATTCCAGGTCCAAATCCACTTCTGCCACTAAATTAGCTACATGACCCCTTGCAAGCTACTTTATACTTTTTGAGCCTCAGTTTCTTTGTCTATAAAATGGACTTATGAGGAGACAAGGAAATAAAATACATAAAGCACTAGCACAGTACTCCCTAAAATAGAGGCCATCATTATTGCTGCAACTGTTCTTATTATAATCCCCAAATCCAGTCCCCTGAGTCCTGCTATTTAATGGCAAACTTCCTTCCTATGAAATTTCTCCCCATTGCTTAGACCAGAGGTGCCATATGGGGGCATGAGTCCACCACTTCTGCCTTCAGAGCCTTGGAAGGCATTATTAATTAACAGTAGAAGTTTTTTCCATACCACTCAGAGTTGGCCTCAGAATCCTTCTTTGCACAGTGTGCTGAATCTATTTCAGTTCATGTGCTGAATCTCTACAAATTAGTGAGATTCAGCACATGAGCTGAAATCTAGTTGTCATCCTTAGTCCATATGCTATCTCTTACTAGAGGTTATCTCTTGCTAGATATAATGAGTTCCCAGTCACTAGAAGTGCTTAAGTAAGGCTGACATGAAAGGGATTTCACAGAGAGGATCCAAAAATTGGATGCATGTTTGGATAACCACCTTGGTAGCATGAGACCTGCACTCCAGATTGACAACCCCTGTTCTCAAAACACAAGTCACAAGGAATATGATTTTGATGAGTACATAAGTCAATGTAGGATGAATTCTCTGATAACTCCAAAATCTTATAAGAAAAGCTTGTTTCTTGCCCATGCTGCAATCTGATGCAAAGTGGGTGGCTCTCCTAAGTAACTCAGAGATCCAGGTTCATTCCTTCTTGTACCACTGCCACCCCAACATGTAGTATCCCACTGGAAGGAGAAAAAACAAAGAAGTGTATATTGGGAATTTTGTATGCCAGGCCTGAAAGTGGTGTACATCACTTCTACCTACGTTCTATTAGCCAGAACATAGTCACATGGCTCTATCTAACTGCAAGAGAAGCCAGGAAATGTCTAACTGTGTGCCCGTAAAGAAGAAAAGAATGGGTATTAGTGAGCATAAGCAGTACCTGTGGTAGAGTAAAGAAACCACGAACAAAAACCAGAAGTGAGACACAGTGATAAAGGGCAGCTACTAAGACTCAGCCCTGGTTCTAGCTTTGGGTAGAGCATATTTCACAAATCATGCTTTAATACGCAGTAACAGGCATTGTCTGTTGCCTACCCAAAGCTACACCCCCCCTTTTCCTTAATAACATGCACATGTTTCCAGGAAGTTGGGCCCTTCACTAGCCCCAGGGAGGTGAACCTTGATCTGTTTAATCAAATAATGGTGATTCCATTTTCCTTGCCACTGACTGGTCAATTGGCACTATTCTGACTGATGACGTAAAAGCAATCCTTAGGTTGCACTTCTGGAAAAGATTTTCCCTGCTGATAAAAGGAAGGAGAATAGAATAAATTGGCTCATTTCTCTTCTGCTGAACATTGTCACTGGCTTATGATGCCTGGAGGGGGGCAGCCATCAGGGACCAATTGGGAACCAGCCAAAGAGGACAATTCAAACACTAAAGATGGCTGAGCAGAGAAGGAAGGAACCTGAGTCTTTGGTGCTATCAACAAGCTGATGAATTAATGAACTCTTATCCACCATCCCTTCTCTGTCTGTCTGGGATTCTTCCTTCTGGGATTACCTTCCTTCTGGGTTTCTTGTTTTGTGAAATAATAATTTTTCTTTAGAGTTTATTCTATTTTTGGACGGGTCTTTTGCCACTTGCAGTCAAAAGCATCCTGACTGATAGATATGTACTAGACACTTGAGATATATGTACTTCAAACTGGAGCCAAGGTAGAACTGGAATTCATATTTAATCTCCCTTTGTCAGGGCAGGAATCTGAGATCTCTCCCACATGCTTGGTCCCCTGCCCTCACAAAGTTCACTTTTTAAAAATCTAATAACTACTTCTGTGAATAAGTAGGTGCTGGAAATGCTGCATTCATTTATTGAGATTGCTGTAAAGATTAAATGAGTTGACATCTAAGCACTTAGAACAGTACCTGGAATTCTGTAAGTGCTAAATATGTGGTCACATCATTGGTAGTAGTAGTACTGGTAGTTGTAGTAGTGGTAGTAGTAGTGGAATTCCTGATTTTTATAAGCCAGTGAAACTTTATTTGTTGCTGAATGCCTTCTGGGTGTCAGTTTGGCTTGGCTTATGAGTATAATGAGGTTTTAATCCCTGTTAGTATTTCAAGGAAGAAGAAGGCCCCAGATTAATTGAAACCACAGACAACTCTCATCAACCTCCAAAATCCCAAAACTTTCTTAGAGAGTGGTTCTGAGTTGGTATAGAATAATGGTTATGAACATTGGTTCTGGGGCAGACTACTGAGTTCCAAGCCTCAGCTCTGGCATTTACTCTCTGTGTGTCCTTGGGCACTGTACCAGTCAGGATTCAACTAGAGGTTCAGAATGAATAAAATATATGCATACATATATATCTTACAAAGATACTATACCTCATATATACCTCATATATATCATACATAATATATGTAGCATATATATCATCTATGTATTATGTAGTACATATGTAGCATATATATTATATATCCATATCCATATATATGTATATAGATTTGTTACAGGAGTTTAACCTGATACAATTGTGAGAGCCAGCTAAGCATTTTCCATAAGGCTGTCACCTTCACATCTAATGCTGGTGCGCGAGGTCCACGGGGCAGGCAGTCGAGAAGGAATGGGGGATGAAAAGTAAGGGGAGATCAAGAGCAGGATAGAACCCACCAGCATGAGCTGGAAGCCCATGAGAACAGACTAAAACCCACACTGGTCAGTCCCTGCTGCCCCCATCCTTGTGAGTGAGTGTGGAAGTCCTGCCAAAGCCCAGGCCTTTCTTCATATGGCTAAACATGCACACCTGGCTCTGGAGTCAGGAAAGCTGGGGAACATGGAGCACTTGCAGGCCCAGCTGCTGCCTCGTTCCAGTGAAGTGGCTACAACAGGGCTATCGCTTTTCTTTCACTCTCCAAATTTCTCAGGCTTTCTTTTGTGGCCTACCCTGACTAGAATCACATAGGGAGGGAATTCTGAAAAGTGTAGTTCAGCCTAGTCAAGTTAACACCATATAAAGCTACCACAGTTAATATTATTAACTTTCCCTCAGTTTCTGTGTCCTCTCCTTTAAATAAGCAGGAATAATAATAGTATCTACCTCATAAGGTTCTTTTGGGGATTATTTTAAATAATGCATGGAAAATATTTAACATAGTACCAGACACATAGTAAGTACTCAATAAAAGCATATATCACTATATCACTATCATTGTTGCTGTTATTATTATTGGTTTAAGTATTCTTCACCAGGCCGAACGTGGTGGCTTACGGCTGTAATCCTAGCACTTCGGGAAACCAAGGCAGGTGGATCACCACTTGAGGTCAGCAGTTCCAGACCAGCCAGGCCAACATAGTGAAATCTCGTCTCTAATAAAAATAGAAAAAATTAGCTGGGTATGGTGTTGCACACCTGTAGTCCCAGCTACTTGGTAACTGAGGCAGGAGAATTGCTTGAACCCAGGAGGCAGATGTTGCATTGAGCCAAGATTGCACCACTGTACTCCAGCCTGGGTGACTGTGAGACTCCATCTCAAAAAACAAACAAAACAAAAATCTTCACCAATATCTAAAAGGAAATCTGGTACAGAATTAGGAGTTAGAATATTTTGTTTCTTGAGGGGTAAAGGCATTAAACTTCTCATGTATCTAAATATAGGCTGGTCATTGTTGTAGGGAATATGTATTTTTTACAATCTTTTATGGTAGATATTATTATACCTATTTTAGATAAAGCAGTTGAAGAAACTAAGGAACAAAAAGGCTGAGTAACTAGACCCAAGGTCACACAGTTAGTAAGTGGCAATGCTTTATAGATATCATCCCAAGAAGAAAAAATATAAGGTGATTAAAACTGAATGATGAGAAAGTAGTATTTAAGCTGTAATTTGAAGGATGAACAAGAGTTAAACAAATTAAGAAGGCAGAGGAAAAACCACATGTGAAACTAGAGTAGTAAGAAGAAACCTGGCACCTTACAGGAGAGAGGAGATGGGGATGGCAGGAGTACAGGTAAGGAGGGGAGGATGAAGGGGCCAGCAGGACCTGCTTGCACTTTATTCTCTGTGGAATAGGAAGGCCCAGGATGGCAGCAACTGTGTATGTCTTGTTACTCCAGCATTCCCAGCTCTTGGAATAGTACCTGCTGGCATATGCTAGGGTGTCACTAAATATTTGTTGACTGAAGGAAAGGGTGGAGTGATAAGATCTAACGTATGTTTTAAAATCTCCCTTCTTGCTGTAAAGTATGCTATTCCTTGGCTCCTTCTAGTAACAGGGAACTCATTACTTACTTTCTTTCTCTAGGCAGCCCTTTTAATATCTGAATACTGCAGTCATATCTTTCTAGGTTTCCATTTCTGCAGGCCAACAGCCTCAGCTTTTTGGCTTCATTTTCCCATATTCAGGAACCCTAGTCAATGCTATCCAAAAGAACTTCTGCAGGCATCATATGACCTGATTTCAAAACATACTACAAAGCTATAGTAACCAAAACAGCATGGTACTGGCATAAACACAGACACACAGACCAATGGAACAGAATTGAGAGCCCAGAAACAAACCTACATGTTTAGCACCAACTGATTTTTGGCAAAGATGCCAAGAACACGTAATGGGAAAAGAATATTCTCTTCAATAAAGAGTTCTGGGAAAACTGGATAGCCACATGCAGAAGAATAAAATTAGACTGTTACCTCACACCATATACAAAAATCAACTCAAAACAGATTAAAGACTTAAATGTAAGACCTGAAACTATGAAACTACTAGAAGAAAACATAGGGGAAAATCTTTATGACATTGGTCTGGGCAATAGTTATTTTGAATATGACCCTAAAAGCACAGGCAACAAAACTAAAATTAGACAAACGGGTTTGCATCCAACTAAAAAAGTTTCTGCATTGCAAAGGAAACGATCAACAGAGTGAAGAGAAAACCTACAGAATAAGAGAAAATATTTGTAAACTACACATCTGCTAAGAAGTTAATATCCAAAATATATAAGGAATGCAAATAATTCTATAGCAAAAAACTCAATTTTTTAAATGGACAAAGGATCTAAATAGACATTTCTCAAAAGAAGACATACAAATAACCAACAGGAATATAAAAAACTGTTCAACATCACTAATCATCAGGGAAATGCAAATTAAAGCCACAATGAGATACCACCTCACACCTGTTAGAATGGCTACTATCAAAAAGATAAAAGATGACACGTGTTGGTGAGAATGTGGAGAAAATGAATGTCTCACACACTTTTGGTGGGAATGTAAATTAGCATAGACATTATGAAAAACAGTATATAGATTCTTCAAAAAATTAAAAGTAGAACTATCATATGATCCAGCAATCCCACTACTGGGTATACATCCAAAGGAAATGAAATCAGTTTGTTGAAGATGTATCTGCTGTTTATTGCAGCATTATTCATAATAGCCTAGAAATGGAATCAACCTGAGTGTCCATAAGTATATGGATGGATAAAATGTGGTACACATACACAATGGAATACTATTCAACCACAGAAAGGAATAAAATTTTGTCATTTGGGACAACATGAATGAACTGGAAGGACATTATGTTAAATGAAATAAGCCAAGGCAGACATCACTTTCAAAAACTTTGGTTATGAAAGAAGTACCATGCTTAGACCAAACAGGAACCTTGCTTGGGGCATGTACTTTAGATAGGTCCCTAGTCTGGGTTCTCTACAGCCCTATGCATCTCCATGGGGCAGGAGTCCGTAGGGCCACAGAGACACATGTTCACCTAGAGCCTATATATTCCCTTTTAGGCCCAGGAATTCTTTGCCCAAATAGAACCAAGCTCATTTTCAAAGACTGCACAAGCCCCTCCCAGGTCTCTCTGCCCAAGGATGGATCATATCACTGGTATGCCTATCACCAAACCTAAGGCATAGCCCAGGGATGGCTGTTTGTGGGGCTTGGGGATGGATTTCAGATAGTCAGACCAGGTGTCAACACTTTGGGTTGTGTGGCCCTTCATAATGTAGGGTGAGTAGTAAAGCAGGGTGAGCCTCCATCTGTAGGCCTCACAGGAGTTAGAGGACATTTCTAAGAAGAGGTAGTTACAGGCAGACATAAGGCCAATGGAAAGTCCTTTTGAAAATGAACACAATTTGAAAGAACCAGTGGTGAAGGGAATATTGAAGCTATATAGAGAGAATATGAAGCTATATAGAGAGAGAATAATGGAGAACAAAGTCCTTATATCATTTAGGATTCCAGCAGCATATTTTCCAGTGCATATGAAAGAGACTGTTTGTAGAGGTGTGAGTGGGTAAAGGAAATAAACAAAGGATATTAATGTACTTAAAGACCAGCAACAGTGGGAAGCCATTATATCCCATTATGCCCATAGGTGTGAAAGGGCAGAAGGTTGAAAGGACAATGTTGCTAGAGTCCAGTGACCTTGGAAGCTGTAGCTACAGTCCCTCCCAGAAATGCAACTAGGCAAGAAGGGAGTGGGAGGAATAAATACCTCTTCTGCCCTTGAGTTGGTGCTGGTGCTTTCCATTGATAGATATCAACTAGAAGAATCTAGCCAGCAAGGTATCCTGGTGTCAATGCATGGCCTAAAGGCCAGCCTCTCAGAGCAAAGCAGGAGGGAGAAAGAGTAGACAGTGGGGTTTAGAAGGGTAAACAGAAAACAACTAACCAGCACAGTTCCCAAGGAGGCAGGAGGGGGCTTATCTGCAGGGATGTGAATAGAATGGAGAGTAAGCTGGCAGAAAGGAACCTCTCTGTCTGATGACCATCTCTTTTCTCTCTGCAGTGGGAGGGGAGGTTGATGGTAGATGAAGGTAAGCAGGCAGGGGATTGTCTTATTATTCCTTCTACAGATGGAAGCTGGCATTTGGACTTGAGGCCTTTGTGTAGTATAGTAATACCAGAAATAAAGCTATTTTCCTCATCTCTTACCAATGTAAGAGAATGTCACATTCTCTTATGCCTCCCTCTCCCTTCCCTACACTGACTAAGTGGAACTGCAGAGCAGGCAAAAGTCCCTGGAGATTTCTTCTCTCTTTACTGCATTAAAGCCTACCTTTAATGCATCTAAGCCTACCTTAGCCCCAGGCAAAAAACTCTCCAGCAATTTAGAGGCTCACACAATTCAGAATTTCCTCTCAAGCATTGGCTCATGGTTCAAAACAGCCCCTCTGATAGGTCCCTCCTTTGGCCAAATCAAGACTCCCTACCTGTTAGAAGAAAAATAATTTTTAAAACTAACTTTCACTACATTATAAAGAACTAGTAACTTTGCCTCCAATCCTCCCATGGGTGTCTACCTCTTTGTCCCAACAGGGTAAATCTCTAAATCTCAAACAGAGACAAAATGAGCTTTGATGTTTAGAGGCAAGGATGCTTCTCCCACACTCCTTCTCCAGTTTACGGGTCCTGATTCTAAAAATGATTCATTTTCCTTCTGTTGGGGCTCAGAAAACAACAGCCCAAAATGTGGCGCTTTGGCATGCTGAGTGCTTTGAACAAAGGAGACTGAAAGTTCTCAGAAATAAGCCTCAGACACAAGGTCTCTCACTGACCTTCTCCTGCCTCTCCCACTTCTCCTTCTGAAGTACAGGGAGTGAGTGGCTTGCTCTGAAATTCCCTTATCTGACTGAAGGAAGTTCTTCCAAAAGAAACACAACTGGCCGGGCGCGGTGGCTCATGCCTGTAATCCCAGCACTTTGGGAGGCTGAGGCGGGTGGATCACGAAGTCAGGATATCGTAGCCATCCTGGCTAACACGGTGAAACCCCATCTCTACTAAAAATACAAAAAATTGGCCAGGCTTGGTGGCGGGTGCCTGTAGTCCCAGCTACTGGGGAGGCTGAGGCAGGAGAATGGCGTAAACCCGGAGGGCGGAGCCTGCAGTGACAGTGAGCTGAGATCGCGCCACTGCACTCCAGCCTGGGCGACAAAAAAAAAAAAAAAAAAAAAAAAAAGAAAGAAACACAACTGTCTTCAGCCCCCTCCCTAAGAATCTCATCAAGCCGTCAGGGAAGATTAATCACTTGAGAAAAGATTGCAAGTCATCACTACACCCAACAAGCTATTCTTATTCTTCTGGAGGCTGCTCCAAAACAGCTTTTAAAAAGAAATTAAAAAAAAATTTTTTTTTTGTAGAGACAGTCTCAATATGTTGCCCAGGCTGGTCTCCAACTCCTGGACTCAAGTGATCTGCCAACCTCGGCCCCCCAGAGTGCTGGGATTACAGGTGTGTGCCACCGCACCAGGCCAACTTTTTTTTTTTAAGCAGATACTTATCTACATCATAAGACAACCTTCGTTCACAGCACAGTTCTGCTCCTTTTGCCTTGGACAAAAGCAGCCCTTTCAGAGAAAAATTCTATACCCTTTCCCACCCAGCACCAATTTCATCTTCATCCAAGCCTCTTTAACCAGAAAGATTCCAGGACAGAACATCAATAGTTCCAGCTTGGGGTGGGGGGAAGGCAGAAAAGGCAAGAGAGGGAAAAGATGATGGAGCATAGAGGGGAAGGGGCTCATTGTGGCATTCCACCAGCTAAAAAGTGAGGCCCAGGACAAGGGGAGTGGGCCAGGGAGGATCCCCTCCTACTTTTCACCTAGTGTCAGGCCATGCCTCATGGTGGGACAAGAACTGGCGAGGACAGTAGGCAGGGCAGCCTGTTTGAAGGGAGGGATGTGGACTGGAATGTGAGGATGGCATGACCTCAAGGCTTTTGCTCTTGGTACCCAGTGTATCTTGAGACCCCAGGAGTGACAGCCCAGTGTGTGCAGTCCTCCCTGGCTGGCAGATTTGCCTTAGGCCTCTAGAGCACTCCACTTTCCGCCCCTCCACCAAGGGAGCACTCTAGAACCTGGAGGTGCTGTCCTTCCTGTCATCACCCTGGGCTCAGAGGCTGGGAGTTGCTGGGCCCCTTCATAAGGCAACAAAGAGCTGAGGGGTTTTAAACCTCAGGAGATCAGATCTGAAAGGGCCCTTAGAGAGCTTTCTGAGGCAACCCCCCTCGTTTTACCCATAGGGACACTGAGGCCCAGGAGACAAGAACTTTTCCTAAATACATATAGTAAAGTGAAATGGATTCAAATGTGAGTTAAAAGAATATTTAGATGCTGGAGGATCACTTGAGGCCAGGAGTTGGAAACTAGCCTGGACAACAAAATGAGACTCTGTCTTTATTATTATTTTCTTTTTTTTAAAAAAAAAGAATATTTAATCCTGCAGTCTGTGAAGAGCTGGTTAAGCAAGGAGAAACAATGGCTATTTTCAAGCAGAGTGGGACGGAATCTTCAGCTTTAAAAAGTAGCAGTATGAAATTAATTTCCCAGACAAGTGGGCAGAGATAATGATGGAGAGAGAAAGCACTCAAGGCTGGGCTTACCAAAATTTAATTTTGATTATTTTGAACGGTCTCATATCTCCTTGGCCCAACATGGTTTTAATATTGCTAGGGCAGAGGGTTGTCCAAGAAGGGAGTTGAAGTAAACTTTCTCCAAGTCCGCACTGCAAGCCCTGCACCGCTCTACAGAGATCCCCTTTATTCGGGTTAAAAAATAATAATAAAAAAAAAGAAAAAGAAAACACCAAAAAAACCCACACACACAAAAAAACAACACACAGTTAACCACCTGTCAGGGCTGAGGATACAATGAGACTCCTCGAAAAAGAGCTTTTCATGCATGCGTAATATATTTGTTCAGCTATTCACTTAATGAAGCTGATAAATGTGATGCAAGACAATAGTCAAGTTAATCTATTTAGTAAAATGTTTTGAGACTTTCAGGCTACGTTAAGGAGGGGAGCGTCCGGTGACATTTTCATTTAAATGCGCTCATCTCCTCTCTTAGGCAGCACAAGGGGGTTCGGGCAATCTATGTGAATATAATTTCTTATAAATGTGTCTTTAATGGGTTTAATTCACCCTTGCCAGCTGTTTTGGGGGCTATTTTGTAAGAGCAAAACAAACGTTTCGGGCTTGGAAAGCTAGTTAAAATTTGTTTCGGTCAGCGAGGCCAAGCTATATTTCCTGCAAACCATCTGCTTGATTGGCACAATAGAAGGATTTTCAAGGAAAAAGAGGGGAGTGAGTGTGAAAGGGATGGGGGGTGAGGGGGGAGACACTAGAAAGAGCTGGGGCAGCGGTAGCTCCTAGTGGCCTATTCTGAAGGTGAACCCCTTAGAGCTGTCTTAAAAGAGAGGCTTGCGAAGAGGGGCTGGGGCGGTAGGAAAGCTCTTTCAGTCCGAGCCTCGCAGCCCTCCTCCTTCGCCTCGCCCGTTAGCTCCCTGCCCCCCCTCCCCACACCCCCCACCCCAAAGCCAGGCGTCGGGCGCTTTTCCCTGTCGCCGCCCGGCATCCGGCCAATCTTTCCAAAATGCGCTCTCACTCTGTTGGCTGCTCCGGCAGGGAGCATGGAGGACTGGGGGTCCGAAGCCTGCAAAGGGTGACCTTAGCGTTGCAGCCTTCCCGAAACGGAGACTTGCCATCTTTTCAGAGGGCGGGGAAGCTCACACCACTCTCTGCTTTATAGTGTCCGTTTCGCCTCGCTTGCTGGCCCTTCGCTTACCCGAGACATTCCAGGCACGGCTCGCACTGGAGAGGGCCGCGCTGCTGCTGCGACCGCACGGCGCCCGGGGCAGGAACATGCTCGCTCTCCCCTGCGCGGGGGGAACGAAACCCCCAGAGTGCGTTCCGACACGCTCTTTCTACTATCCAAGGCAGGTTTCGGCAGCTTTGGCCACCTAGGCCCGGGGAGCCCCAGCCGGATCTGCTGCGGCCTCCCCCGCAGCGTAGGCAAGGACCTTAAACCCCAAACCAGGGACTCCGATTCTCTCTTTTCCCCTCCCGTCTTCTTTTCTCTTGAAAGAGAAATAGACAGAAAGCTCAGCCTTGAGACAAAGAACGCGAGTGATTTCTCCGAAATAAACTTGAAGATAACGACATAACAGTGAATGGCAGGACGCACAAAACCCCATGGGCTCAGGTCAAATGGCATTAGTCACAGGTCTTAGCCGCAGCCGCCGCGCCGCGCAGCTCCTTGGGCTATCGCGGAGTTTGAAAAGACGCGTTCAAGGAGATCACTTAAAGTAAGATCCTTTCGTCCGATTTCTTGCTTCCTTAGGATTTATTTTTCCTTTCACGGGCGGCCAGCCCTCGCCCCCTCGCCCCCGCCCTCACTTTTCCTCTTTGGCGCTTTAGGAATTCTTTAGGAGGCTGTGGAGACCGACCCCAGGAAGCAGGGTCCACGTGGATCGCAGCAAGGGGTTGATCCACCCTCCAAAAAATGGCAGGGTAGACTTTTAAAAGCCGAGAAGTTAGTAGCAGTTAGTCTATAGTGAGGCAGAATGGCTGGGGCTTGGGGTGGGGGCTAGGGGTGGCATGAAGCCTGTCGACGGACAGGAAACGGTGAAAACTACACCCCGGCAAATGCCCCAACAGGGAAGGAGGAGCTGGGAAGGGCTCACGCTGGCTTCAAGTTCTTACCGTTCCCCCCTCCAAAAAAAAACAAAATCCAAGTTGATTTTGGCAAATATAGACTCTATTCTGATCATCCGGAAGACTTGGACAAGCGCTTCACCGGTAGGGAATCAAACATCCTGAAGCCCCCGGCGCGTCCTTCTGGGAACTGGCAATTGCCCAAGTCCTTAAGACTCGGGGAGAAAAAGGGGTGGGGGGCAGAGGGAAAGGGAGTGGGAGAAGGAGGGAGGTGGGCCTGAGGAAAAAAGTAAGGGAGAGGAAGGGAGAGAGCCAGTCTTATTGCAATGGGAAACTGTCTCATGGCAAGGTTAAAGTGCAGGTGTTCAGATAGCTTATGCTTTTCTCACCTATTTTATTGCAAACTTCAAAAAGGAACTTTTGACGTTCTTCGACAGATCTCCTTCTTCCGTTTCCAGGGGACTCCAATTAACTCCAGCAAGGCGCTTCCCATATTTAAATAGCCCCTTATTTAAAAGTTGTTTCTTTCCTGATTGGTTTTCTCCCGCTGCCCATGAGCATGAGCGGTCTTGGGCTCAGAAACTCCGCACTTACGTCATCTTCTAGCATTAATTCGCCTCTGGAGCTGGGCCCTAAATAACTTTTTAATTTGAATCAAGGGAGAGTTTTAGCCGGCTCCGTTTCTGGTTTAATGTGATATAAATCGCAGATGCACTTTTATTGAATGGTTAAAGCAGCGACATGGAGATCATCAACACAAAACACCCCGAACAAAACCATCGAGAGAAATAAAGCTGGTTAATAAGATTTTTGAGAAAGCTTTGTGTTAAAAAGCAAAAAGGAAAACCAGCTGAAGGTGACAGTTAGTTCATGGTTAATAGGATCAGGGCGGCCTGGCGGGGCTGCACACTTCTCTTTGGGGAGGTTCAGCCACACTAAAGAGATGAATGGGACATTTAACACATCTGTTATCTCGCCGAACAGAGAAATGGGGGGAATCGAGTCTTAGTACCACCTCAGCCCCAACCAGAGGAAAGCGAAGGGACTGTCTCCAGGAAGATTCTCCTTTGAAGCCCCACATTCAGGGGAGGCTTTCCCGGAGTGGACCAACATTCTTGGGAACCGCATCCCTTCCCTCTGGTTTTCACGCGTTTGTGCGTTGTAGTTAATTAAGAAGCTGCCAAACCTTGGGCCAAGTTAAGGGCCCCGCAAGTGGTAGGGTTCTCTCCAGACGACGTCTGGACCTTCGCTGCTATGGCTTAAAATGTCAGGGCTGTGAGTTTCAACTTAAACTGCCGAGAGCTCCCTGTGTTTGGAGAACGGCCAGCATAGCACTCACAGCCTTTGGATACCCTTGCCCGAGGCAGTTTCCGGTCAGCCTAAGCTCTTTGCAAGCGGAATCCTGCCGCTCGGCAGCCCAGCGCCGCTCTCCTCCGCTCCTCCCGCAAGGTGAGGTGCGGACAGCCCCTTGCAGAAACTCCTAGAGAAAATCGTTTTCCAAGTTGCTGGGAATTTGAAGGAGACTCGTTTTACTTTTCAGGTATCCACCAACGCTCAAACTCAACCAGTCTCCCGAAATGAAATAACTCCAGACCTCTCCCCACTCTTACGGACACACATCCAGTGGCCCCAAAGCATCCGTTTCCAAGTTTCCCTGAGTCGTCAGAATGGGACTTCTAACACTGATTTCACTCACCCCTACATTTGCTTTATGCTTCAGCTGGAGTAACGGATAGGGCTAGAGACCGGAAAGGGAGTATATTTTCATGTCCACTGACTTGAAACTTTTCATTGCCCTACCCCCACAAGAGGGAGGGCAACTTTGCTGATAGCCTGAAGATGTATTTCTATGAATATTTATTGATTTATTTTCCAGGCTTAGCAGGGGAGCTGCAAATAAATTTAGTGGGTTCTTTAAATAATTCCTTTTCTATGAGGCAAGATGTCATCTGAAACTTCTAAATAGGCATTTAATTAGCCCGGGTGTTGCTTCGGAACAAAAACCTTTGGCGAGAGCTTTGGGGGCGCACTGTATTGCAAAGAGGCGGTCGATATGCAAAATTGATGCGCGCGGGCCTTTGTTGCCGGCCCATTGTGCGGGCCATGCTTATGAAGACTAATCCAATCATAAATTGCACCCCTGCGCCAATCAGAGAGTCCAGAGCCTCCGGCGAATGAAGCTCGAGTGGAGAACTTTGTTGAACTTCATTGTCAGAGCTGTCACTTTTCAAAGTGCTTTAGCGGGCGGGCCACTATAAAACCATCACCTCGACGAGAGGACCACGGAGGACTCGCAGACGCCCAAGTGGGATTGTTACTTGGAGACGTTTGCTAAGCCCAAGAGAGAGGACACTGTGGGGGCGGGAGGGGCGGGAAGCGAGGCGTTTACCCTCCGGCCACTGAAAGAAGGGTTATTTCGCCCGCCCGCGCCTACCATGATGTTCCCCGGCCTCCTCGCGCCCCCCGCCGGGTACCCTAGCCTCCTGCGGCCCACGCCCACCTTGACGCTGCCCCAGTCCTTGCAGTCGGCATTTTCCGGCCACTCCAGCTTCCTGGTGGAGGATCTGATCCGCATCAGCCGACCCCCCGCCTACCTGCCCCGCAGCGTGCCCACCGCCAGCATGTCGCCGCCCAGGCAGGGGGCCCCCACGGCCCTCACCGACACGGGGGCCTCGGACCTGGGCTCCCCGGGTCCCGGCAGCCGACGGGGCGGCTCTCCGCCGACTGCCTTCTCCCCTGCCAGCGAGACGACGTTTCTGAAGTTTGGAGTGAACGCCATCCTCTCCTCGGGGCCCAGAACAGGTAAGCGAGGTCAGAACCCTAAGGGCCCATTCAGGTACTAGGCATGCGCGGAGTCATCCTGGCCTCAGTTTCCTCTAGCGAGCGGGCCCCCACACACACATCGGTGCACACACAATACGCACGAACTCTGAGACCCTACGTCAGGCAATGTGAGAATAGTCCAGTCAATTCCGGGGAAGAAAAGCCTCCAGGCTCGCCCCATCCTCGGAGTGAACTTGAGCACACGCAGTCGGAGACTGTGCGCAGTCATCTGGTGCAGTAACGCTGAGCGCACGCTCCTGGACGTCTGCGTTTCTGCCTTCGAGCTTCTAGGAGACAGTTTTTTTTTTTAAACTCAATATGATATATTTATTGGATTAGCAAATATTATAAATCTGCAATTTCTTTCCTCCCCACTCAGTCCTATCTCGTTAGTGCCTAGGATGGAGATTGGGGTAGAGTGGGACGGCGCAGAGAATTACGTTGGGGAGAAAGAAAAGAGTTTTACAGATAAGACAATGTTGGGAAGATTTATTTTACCCTGTCAACGTATAAGAAAGATGTCTTTGAAACCAGATGAAGGGCTAATTATATCGTGTGTTCAGTGTGCTATACAATAGGCAAGTACGTAATCAGATTCTTTCTGTCTCCCTCTCTCCTTCTGTCCCCCCTCCATCGCCCACCAGAAACATCCCCAGCCTTGCTCCAGAGCGTCCCTCCCAAGACCTTCGCCTTTCCCTACTTCGAAGGGTCTTTTCAGCCTTTCATCAGATCTTCTTATTTCCCAGGTAGGTCTCGTCCCCCTTCTTTGCGCGAGGCAGGGCGGCGCCCCAGCCCCGGCCCATCGCTCCCTGCTCCGAAGCCGTATTTCTCCGTCCACCCCTCGGGGTTATGCTCTGGTTCAGAGGTTGCGAGGCGTATAACATTCATGAATCCGTCGCGCCAATTTGATGCCCTATTGAGCACAAGCAGTGACTGCTTGACACTTTGCACCAATTCCCTGCTCTACAAATTAGCAGGAATTGTCATGGTCCCAATTTGAGGCGGTTCCCTTCCCGGCGAGGAGCTGTTGGCATCCCTTCACGCCGCCGTTTTCCCACAGAGTCAGTGCACTTGGCCACGATTCCCCACAAAGGTTTCAGCACCATGACCAATTGGTCAGCTCCTCCGGGCAGCCACACACAGACCGGCCCTAGTCCCTCCACGCCGCCGAGAGACACCTACCAGCCGGGGCTAATTTCTCTTTAAGACTCATTCAGGGCTTCGGGCTTTTCACAAGACCACATGGGGTGCCCTCTTGTGTGGGATGCCTAGGGTCGCCCAGGGGGAGGGGGATTAGATCCTCCCCCAATCCCAACCTATTTCCAGCCTGATTTCCAAACCCCTTCTCATACTCCTTTCCCACCCTGTATTATAAAATACCGTTGATCTTGCAAAATAAGAAGCAGTTAGAAGAAAGCCCATAATTGTGTCCCAGCCTAAAACAGCAACACCTTAGGCAGCTTCCACCAGGTTTTCTTCCTGTAACCTCACTGATGATTCAAACTATGGCTCAAAAACTCTGCCACTGGTCAAAACTAAAAAGGAGGCAGGAGAGTCCCTATACAGAGAAGAAAAACTGGGTATGGCCTGCGGGGGATGGGTAAAATCACGACAGCACTCCCAAATATCAGCAAAAGAAACAAGCAATTGATTTTTTAAAGGGGAGAGATAATTCGCCCTCCCCCCACCCCCCAGCACCACCACCACCACCACCACCACCACCACCACCACCATTCACACTGCTGCTAATAATGGAATTTGCTCCCTTTCTCCCTCATCTCAATGCTCTAACAAAAACAACCCGAGCTTTATAAATAGCTTTTCATGTCCATTTAATGAAAACGATTCGGGGAAGAGAAGCTTCTGCCATCAGTATTCTCCCAATGGTCTTGGCCTGCAGTTGTGTTTAGTTTGAAAGTGTAAATCTCTTTTGTCCCAGTAATATATGGCTTTCGCTGCTTGTCCTCAGTCTTTTTCTGTTAGTTCATTACTACACAATTACCATTCACGCTTCATTAGAGTCTCTGTTTCTTTTTGTTTTGTTTTTTTCTTTCGCTTAAAGCAAAACTCTCCCCCCTTTTATCATACCAATACCCATTGGGAAGCAGTCAATGTGCTAATTAGCTGCCACTTTTCATGTATTCGGGCCGAATTCTTTACGTTTCGTGGGGGAGGGGAGGAAGGATTAATATAAAAAAGATGAATACTTATTGGATTTTTCAAAAAATCTAAATCGGATTTTTCCCTCTTTATCAAAATAGTAAAGCACCTCATTTTCATCTAAAGAATGCAAAAGCCACTGAAATGATAAAAGCTTAGGGGAGAAACACAGTGGCCTCGGCTGGATATTTTATTTTTATTTTAGTAATTTATTTTTTCTATTGCTGTTTTAGTTGATGTACGCAGGTTTGTTTCCCTAAGTCCACTGAATGGAAAAACGAAACAGGCTATTGTGGGGGCTGTTTTCTCTGTTTCCGTGGTTTTACCTAATCCGGGTTTGCACGGTTGAAAGGGAAAGTTGTTTGGGCGGAAAGCGCCTTTCACTCTCGCAGGTTTGTAGGTTCGTGGCCTATTCTCCAGGGGGAGAAAAAGGAGCGTTTTAAAGAGATGAAGGGATCAGAGCAAAAAGCCAGGGAGAGCCGTGTTGGGACTGGGGGGCGTACGCCCACTCACTCGCCACCTCCCCCCACCCTGCAGCTTCCTCCAGCGTGGTGCCCATCCCCGGGACCTTCTCCTGGCCGCTGGCCGCGCGCGGGAAGCCTCGGCGGGGCATGCTGCGTCGAGCAGTCTTCTCCGACGTGCAGCGGAAGGCGCTGGAGAAGATGTTCCAGAAGCAGAAGTACATCAGCAAGCCCGACCGCAAGAAGCTGGCGGCCAAGCTGGGCCTGAAAGACTCGCAGGTGAGCGCATTTCCTCCACAGCACCCCCCCCGCCCCCGCCCTTCACCCCTCCCCGGCGCACCCGTCAATTGCAAGGGTTCGGAAACGGCTTAGGTCCCACTGTACAGATGGGAAAACCGAGGCCTAGAGAGGGAGTGAGTACACGGGCCACTACCCTCGAAGCTCCGCAGGATAGCCCTCTTCTCTCCCCACCCCGACTCCCCGCCTTCTCTCCCGGCCTCACCGGCCCCCAACCCCGCCCTTCGGGGCAGGGTGGCAGCGGATGAGGCAAACGGAACCGCGAGCTGAGGCGGGGGCGGAGTCAATGCGGGAATCCACCGGAACTCATTTCTGGGGGTGGGGAGAGGACACAGCCCGAAGGACAGAGCCTGCACCCGACTCCACTCCCCGCCCCCGTGCGTCCCCCGGAGCCCCTGATCTGACCTCTGCTTCTCCCTTCTTCTCGCCGGCCGGGACATTCCAGGTGAAAATCTGGTTCCAGAACCGACGCATGAAATGGCGGAACTCCAAGGAGCGCGAACTCCTGTCTAGCGGGGGCTGTCGCGAGCAGACCCTGCCCACCAAGCTCAATCCGCACCCGGACCTCAGCGACGTGGGCCAGAAGGGCCCTGGGAACGAAGAGGAGGAGGAGGGCCCGGGCAGCCCCAGCCACCGCCTGGCCTACCACGCGTCCTCCGACCCCCAGCACCTGCGGGACCCGCGGCTGCCAGGGCCGCTGCCCCCCTCGCCCGCGCACTCGAGCAGTCCCGGGAAACCTTCGGACTTCTCAGATTCCGAGGAGGAAGAGGAGGGCGAGGAACAGGAGGAAATCACCGTGTCCTAGAAGCCGCTCGCACGCCAGAGTACTATTTTTAAGTGCTTTGAAATCGAAGAGGTGGGGTCCAGTCTGCGCATTCACTTTGTCCCCGTGCCCAGATGCTGCCTCTCCCGACGGTAGAAACCATCACCTCATTGAGGGCGCCACCGGCCCTGCGGTAGCCCCAAAGAGACATTTCCTTCCCAACAAAACCAACTCCAAATAGTTCTCCCCACATCAGTTCACTTTAAGTCTTGGTCCCAGCCTTAACTTTTCAGCAAGGACTCCATTCTATTTTGTTTATTACAAACTATTTTAAACACAGTGGGGTGTTCTGTGGTCCCACGGCCTGGACCTTACTGTGAGACACACTCTGCTGGTCGTTAGCAGTAACCACCCTATATGGTAGGAAACCTGTTTATGGAGGAGGAAACCGAGTTGGGAGTGAGAACACCAAACCATATAACTAACTCCAGCACCGTTGACCCTCTAGATCCCTTCACCTCCCCTAATAGGTAGCAAGGGGCTCCTATTTCACTCCAGTCTCTCATTTCCACCCCCTACCCCACTTCTGTCTTCCCATAGATGTTCTCTTAGAAAGCTCAAGATTTTCAAAAAGGAAATATATATATATATATTAGTGCCTTCTGATTCAAGGCACAACATACATATTGAGTCTTCTCTGTCACCTTCCAAAAGCTCTCTGGCGAAAGAAGTGAGTTCTCTAAAGGGGGAAAAAAGCAGCAGTCCCTATTCTTGTATGTGTGTTTTAAAGCTTTTTCTTTTTAATGTCTGTATCCATGGTATACGCACCACACACTCTACCTTGTGCCCTTTTGTTATTCCTAGGGAGGTGTTGCTGAGCTGCAGACCTCCTGGAACTGGGCATGATGTGGACAGAGAGACCTGTACAGTCTCTTTGTTTTTTTTTTTAACTGAACTTTGCTGTCTTTGCACAGCTCTTATGAACTGTACACTATTTTGTACACACAGGTTGTATGGATATTTTATACCAAGGTTATTGTGAATGACTATAAAGGACTGACTAGATTTCTCACTTTTTTGTTTTGCAATGGCTTTTAAACTTTAAAAAGGTAGCTGTTTAATTGCATAACTTATGAAGAAATACTTATTTTGTATTTTTATCATGTACAGATTTTTATATATGTATATATGTATCAAATGAACAAATGCCAAATAAAAGTAGAATGGATGCAATCAATGGTCAACTGATGTCATTAATTCACAGAATGGTAGAGCTGAAAGAAATGGAGCTGTTCTAGCCCTGGGACTGGGTTTTACAGTAGGTAAGCTGAGGATCAAGAGGTGCAGGCACTTATCCAAAGCCACCCAGCTAGTAAGTAGCCAGGCTGGAACTAGAAACCATCTGACTCTCAGGCCAGTGCCTTTTCTGCTTTCCTGTACCTTAAAGTAACCGTATTTGCTATGTTACAAGTAAAGGAGCTCCAGAGTGATACCAAAAGTTGAATCTGCAATAAGCCGCCTGCCCTTCTCTGAGGACTGAAATGATGGGATAAGAGAAATCCATGCAAGTCAAAGTGGCTCAAGTTTGTAATGGTTTTTCTTTTCCTCCTTGAAGGCATTTTTCCTGGTCCCCAGGGAAGCTTCAGAACTGGTCTTGACTCATTCCTTCTGTGTATGACCTAATTTTATCAGGAATGCCATCTACAGGCCTGACATGGGAGCCCAGATACTGACTCTGGGATCTGCATATGAAACAAAAGTTCTTTAAAGACTAGCTTTCAGCAGGAATGATTTCTTTAACCAGCAAGCTAGGGAGTAAAGAACATCTGGTTAGATCCTGGCAGGGGCTTTTGTGCCCTTTGAGAGTTTGGTCTCTGCCCCATCAGCTACACGCACCCATGTTTCTTTGCAATCCTAATCCAAACTCATGGTAGTTTGTATTATATTTGAAATTGAATATATTCTATTTTATATTAACCCTGTTTTCAAATAACACAAACCACCTCCATGCTAAGATCCCCTGCTGGGCTTGTTCCTGATGTTGGTGATCACTTTTCATTATTGTTATATATGATGTTATGAAGTTGAAGAAAATAATTGTCCTCATTTTCATAATCATAAAATTCAAAAAACCTCCCACATGTCCCAATCAACAGACACAAAAGTGTTCAGCATGGTCAGCATTCAACCCAAGTTCTTGCTTTCCTTTCAGACAGGACTCTGAAGGATTCAGGCTGTTTTCTATCTCTCTGCTGTTGCCTGGATGTCCAACATGGGAGCCTGACTGGAAGCCTGACCTGGCCTACCTTTCCCTTTCTGCCAGCTCAAAAATTCTTTCTTATAGTCAAGAATCACATTCAGGCACAGGTGCACATTAGTGTCTACATCTGGAGTCAAAGCACTCTGAAGGCATAACCGTGTTCATTGCAGTATTATTCACAATAGCCAGGAGGTGGAAACAACCCAAAGGTCCACGAATGGATGGATGAATGGATAAATAAAATGTGATATATACATACGATGGAATATTATTCGGCCTTAAAAAAGACACCCTGTCACATGCTACAACGTGGGTGAACCTTGAAGACATTACATGAAGCGAAATAAACCAGTTACAAAAAGACAAATTGTACATGATTCCACTTGTATGAGATATCTAAAGTAGTCAAACTCAGAGAAACAGTAGAATTGTGGTTCCAGGGGCTGGAGGAGGAGGAAACACAAAGTTGTTTGTTGTTCGATGAATATAGAGTTTCAGTCTTACAAGATGAAAGAGTTCTAGAGATTTGTTGCACAACAATATGAATATAGTTAGCACTACTCAACTGTACACTTAAAAATGATTAAGGTAGTATATTTTATGTGCATTTTTTTACCACAATGCTAAATTAAAAATTTGTTTTATTGGAAAAATAACTCACATGCTAGAAGGATTAAAAATCTAGCAACCATCAAAGTTATGGCAGGCAAGTGAAAAATGTGAAATAAGCAATAAGACAATGTAGAAGTCAAAGCACTTAAGATATACATCAAGTGCTTTTTAAAATCAATAAAATGTAGAAAAGGAAAAAACTTGAGTTTTTTTGTTTGTTTTTTGTGTTTTTGTTTGTTTGTATTTTGACTGTTTATTTGTTTTTGTTTTTGAGATGGCGTCTACTCTGTTTCCCAGGCTGGAATGCAGTGGTATGATCTCGGCTCACTGCAACCTCTGCCTCCCAGGTTCAAGCGATTCTCCTGCCTCGGCCTCCCAAGTAGCTAGGACTACAGGCCCATGCCATATGCCCGGCTAATTTTTGTGTTTTTAGTAGAGACGGAGTTTCACCATATTGGCCAGGTTGGTCTCGAACTCCTGACCTAAGGTGATCTGCCTGCCTCGGCCTCTCAAAGTGCTGGGATTCAGGCATGAGCCACTGCACCCAGTCAATACTCGAGATTTTTTTTAAAAAGCATATATTATTTACATATTCACAAAGTGTTACTGAGAACTACAAATGCTGTATTTTGGTTCATTCCTTTAGTGTTTCTTTCATCACAAGGGTGAGGATCATGTTCATTTCACACTGTTCCCCTAATGTCATTCACAATCCCATACATATATTGGTTATTTGATATGTGTTGAGTGAATAAATGAATTATTATAAAAGGAGGGACAGATCTTCTAGTTATACAGGCAGTGGGTCTCCACACACAGCAACCACATGGGGCTCATTGTCAGGGTGGCTGCTTTAAATTTTTTATTATTTTTTTTTTTATTTTATTTTTATTTTTATTTTTTATTTTTTTTTTTGAGATGGAGTCTTGCTCTGTTACCCAGGCTGGAATGCAGTGGCGCGATCTCGGCTCACTGCAAGCTCCACCTTCTGGGTTCACGCCAGTCTCCTGCCTCAGCCTCCCGAGTAGCTGGGACTACAGGCGCCTGCCACTAGGCCTGGCTAATTTTTTTTTGTATTTTTAGTACAGATGAGGTTTCACCGTGTTAGCCAGGATGGTCTGGATCTCCTGACCTCGTGATCCCCCTGCCTCCGCCTCCCAAAGTGCTGGGATTACAGGTGTGAGCCACTGCGCCCGGCCTAAATTTTTTTTTTTTTTAATGAAAAAGGAGAAAAGAGACACTCTAGAATCTAGACTGCAGGCCTGGAAGTTTTAAACTTTACAAATGAATGTAAAGATTACTTTGGCTGATAAGAAAAAGGGAGTAAATTAACAGGTCAGATGTATTTTTAAAAATCAAACCAATAACTTTAGTCCAAAAAGACTGAAATAGTTACATGTATAAGCTAAAGAATAAGAAATAAATAGTAAAAGAAAAAAAAAGGAGATATTTATTGAGCGCCTACAATGTGACAGGCAGTCAGTCTCCTGGGTGCCTTACACCAGCACTACTCTGTGCATAAGGACTGCTTGAGGGTCTCACTGAAATGCAGATCATGATTCAGAGCTCTGGGTATCCGCTTTGCTAATGTGGTTGGTCCACAAAACACACTGTAGCAAAATTTACATGAGTTTTAACCTCACAGTAACCCTTCTAAGGTAGATGCATGTTACAGATGCAAAAATTGAGGCTAGGAGTTTTGGTGATATTCCTGTGGTCACCCAGTCAGAATTCAAATTCAGATTAATCACAATCCTACTCCCTTGACTAAACTGATTAAAAACACATTTAACCGAAACTCAACCAGTGGGAACTCTCTAATAGAGCTTTATGTCTTTTAATGTTGTGCAGTTATGTGAAAAAAATAAATTATCAATGGTTATTAAAACCTTTCTTATGCTTCTAAATGTCCTACCCCACCACGAGATCTCCTTCCTATGGTCTAAACCTGTGATTCTCAAACTTTAGTGTTAAAACTCCTTTATATTCTTAAAAATTATTGAAGTCTTAAGATTTTTTTGTTTTTATAGGTTTTGTCTATTGATATTTATTGTACAAGAAATTAAGATTGAGATAAATTTTAAATATTTTACTAATTAAAACAAATCCACTAAATATCAATAAAATATCACATTTTATGACAAATATATTATAAAACAAAAAAAGTTAGAAGAGTAGAGCCGGGCACGCTGACTCACGCCTGTAATCCCAGCACTTTGGGAGGCCAAGGCAGATGGATCACATCTGGCTAAGGCAGATGGATCACACACAAGGCTATTCTCAAATCCCTGACCAACATGGTGAAACCCCATCTCTACTAAAAAATACAAAAATTAGCCGGGTGTGGTGGCACACACCTGTAAGTCCCAGCTACTCGCAAGGCTGAGGCAGGAGAAACGCTTGAACCCAGGAGGCAGAGGTTGCAGTGAGCCTAGACTGTGTCGTTGCAGTGAGCCTAGACTGTGTCATTGCACTCCAGTCTGGGTGACAGAGCAAGACTCCATCTCAAAAAAAAGAAGAGTGGCACTGTCGTACCTTTCTGCAAATCTTTTTTTTTTTTTTAAGACAGTGTCACACTCTGTTTCCCAGGCTGGAGTACAGTGGCACAATCTCAGTTCATTGTAGCCTCAACATTCCCAGGCTCCGGCAATCCTCCCACCTCACCCTCCCAAGCTGGGTCTATAGGCACGTGCCACTATGCTGGGCTAATTTTTGTATTTTTTGTAGAAACGGAGTTTTGACATGTTGCCCAGGCTGGTCTGGAGCTCCCGGACTCAAGTAATCCACTTGCCTCGGCCTCCCGAAGTGCTGGGAGTACAGACATGTGCCATAGCATCTGGCCACAAATCTCTTTGATGATTGACTTTATAGAAAACAGCTGGATTCTCTTATATGTTTCTGTCATTTGTTGCGATATGAAGAAAATTCGGCTTTATATAGATATGCAACTGAAAAAGGAGGAGTATTTGTATAGTCTTTTTACATAATTGGGGTTGTTCTTAGAACAACAAGACTTGACAAGTGGTAGTTATTTAATGGTTAGCTGCAATATGTAATCTAAAATCTTATTAATGAACTTTTCAACTCCTTTACATGAAGATCCATTGGTCTGTCTTCCACTTAGAATGGGTATTTTACCCATGTATGATTTTGTAACATGATGCATTGGTCATATGGAAAATATTGGGTTCATTGACTCATGCAGATATTCCAAATATTAACCCTTTTCACACATCATCAAACATCACATTTGTTAATATCACCACCCATCTCATCATCAAAGTAAGTATTGAGAAGCTGTCAAGCTTATAGTAGCAGATACAAGCTTCCAAGACTCAAATTTTTATTTAAAAGCTCTAATTTTACTATTGAGAAAAATGCTATCAGTTGTTTTTTCAATGGATAGGTTTACTTTATTTATTTTTGAGAAAATATCTGTGAGATATCCAACTCTGAGCATGGTTTGTCTGTCAGTCATATTTTCAAGTGAAAAGGGAGTTACATGAGAAACATGGCTAGTTCTAACAATTGTACGAGTGCTTTTCTTGAAACAATCATCACACTTCAGTATGCAGCAGAAATATTTATTTATTTATTTATTTATTTATTTATTTATTTATTTATTTATTGAGATGAAGTCTCGCTCTCTCACCCAGGCTGGAGTGCAGTGGCGCAATCTCGGCTCACTGCAACCTCCGCCTCCCGGGTTCAAGCGATTCTCCTCCCTCAGCAGCCTGAGTAGCTGGGATCACAGGAGCATGCCACCACGCCCAGCTAATTTTTTGTACTTTTAGTAGAGACGGGGTTTCACCACGTTGGCCAGCCTAGTCTCGAACTCCTGACCTCAGGTGATCCGCTCACCTCAGTCTCCCAAAGTGCTGAGATGGCAGGTATGAGCCACCGCACCTGGCCTAGCAGAAATATTTTATGCATACTTCTCATTTCATTATATAGAATATTGAAAGGGTTGAGTATTATATACTCTAGGGTTGAGATTTAATAACACTAATAAACTTTCCTGCTTTATCAAGCACATTCATAAGTGAAACTGGCTGGGTGTTGGGATGACTGGGGAATCATAGAGAATGTAATGACCACTAGCGTGGGTTGGTGCTACTCCCTTGATTTCTTTTAAGGTAGGCTAGCAGCTTTATTGACCACTGGTTTTACACTATCCACAAAAATCTCATCACAGTTGTTCCACAAAAAGCCTTTAAAAAGGCATTCAATACTTTAAATATTTCAGCAACACTTGTATTGTTGTTAGGCATTCGTATAAAAGAAGCTCTTTGTTAATTAGTTGGTGCAAGTACTAAATGAATACAATCAGAATAAAAGGTCCAGGTACTTCTGTATATTTGGCCATTTTCAAAGCAAAAGTACAATTTTTCAGGTGATTTATTAACTCAGTCTTTTTCGAGCTGTTATACCACTGGAAAATGGCATTGTCATAATTTCATTAGCTGACTATCCAGTAGGTGTTAATTAATGAATGTAACTGTACAGGGCTTTATTAGTCTTTTACCTATTGAGTGCACTTTCCTAGCCAATGCAAATAATAACTTATTTTGTAAGATGCTTTAGTGACCTTTTCGTTTCTAGTTAGAAAATGTGTAACAAACAGGTTTTATTTATTTATTTATTTATTTATTTTTATTTTATTTTTTTTTTTGAGACAGAGTTTTACTCTGATGTCCCAGGGTGGAGTGCAATGGCAGATCTTGGCACACTGCAACCTCCGCCCCTGAGTTCAAGCAATTCTCCTGCCTCAGCCTCCCAAGTAGCTGGATTACAGGCATGCACCATCACTTCCGGCTAATTTTGTATTTTTAGTAGAGATGGGGTTTCACCATGTGGATCAGGCTGGTCTCAAACTCCTGACCTCAGGCAATCCACTTGCCTTGGCCTCCCAAAGTGCTGGAATTACAGGCATGAGCCACTGCGCCCAGGTGAGAAAAGGTGTAACAAACAGTGTTTCAGTTTTTAAACAGTGCGTCATGTCAATGTTTTAAAAGTTCACTTCGATTCCTTTGTTTAAATTCCAATGGCTGCCCTCAAAAGGATAGTAAAACTTAATTGGAAGAATAACAATTTCTAAGAATGGTCTCTTGTGTAAAACAATAAAGATAAATTATTAGCATCAATAAAGCTGAGGGAAAAGGTAACTTTTGACATAATTTCTTTCTTAATTAGTTACATTCAGATTTTTGTGTGTGTATATTTCTCCCTTCCATGGCTCAGAGAAGCTTTGATATGTCATCTTCAATTTTTCTTAGCATTTTGAGAAGTATACAGTGCAGCTGTGGACTGAGAGAAAATGAGTCTGCTAATTTCCTTATTTTATTTTTATTTTTTTTAGACAGAGTCTCGCTCTGGCGCCAAGCTGTAGTGCAGTGGTGCTCTCTCAGCTCACTGCAACCTCCACCTCCTGGGTTCAAGTGATTCTCCTGCCTCAGCCTCCCGAGTAGCTGGGACTACAGGTGCATGCCACCACGCCCAGCTAATTTTTGTATTTTTAGTAGAGACAGGGTTTCACCATGTTGGCCAGGATGGTCTCAAGCTTTTGACCTCTTGATTTGCCCACCTCGGCCTCCCAAAGTGCTGGGGTTACAGACGTGAGCCACTGAGCCCAGTCTGCTAATCTCCTTTCTAAAAGCCAACAATTCATCCTTAAATATGAGAAAGATACAGTCATCCCTTGGTATCCATGGGGCATTCGGTCTGGTACCTCCTTCAGATATCAAAATCCACAGATGCTCAAGTTCATGGTATAAAATGGCATAGTATTTGCATATAATCTATGCACATCCTCTTGTATATTTTATATCATCTCTGGATTACTTATAATACCCAATACACTGTAAATGCTATGCAAATAGTTGTGCTGTATTGGTTTTTTTTTTTTTTTTTTTTTTTTTTGAGATAGTCTTGCTCTGTTGCACAGGCTGGAGTGCAGTGGCTTGATCTCAGCTCACTGCAGCCTCCACCTCCCAGGCTCAAGTGATCCTCCCACATTAGCCTCCCTAGTAGCTGGGATTACAGGCACATGCCACCATGCCAGGCTAATTTTTTTATTTTTTTTTTGTAGAGATGGGGTCTCACTATATTGCCCAGGCTGGTCTCAAACTCCTGGGCTCAAGAAACCATCCCACCTCGGCCTCCCAAAGTGCTGGGATTACAGGCATGAGCCACCACCATGCCCAGACTTGTCATCCATGTATTGTTTAGGGAATAGTGATAAGAGAAAAAGTCTGTACATGTTCAGTACAAACAAATTTTTTTCAAGTATTTTTGATCCACAGTTAGTTGAATTCATGGATGCAAAACCCATGGATATGGAGGGCCAACTGTATATGACAAATGAATTTTCTTTCACTTTAAAATAAAATATAAAATTCTAAAATTATAGCAGTGTTTGGTAAAATCTTGAAGTGTAGAACATTTTCAAAGATTTTTAAAATACTATATTATTGCTAAACAAGACAACAAAGTGCACTTCTTGTGTTTCTGCATAGACTCAAAGGAAACTTGGGAATTTCAAAATAACAATTGGTTGAATAACAGGGTTACAGGTGTTGTAGCAGGTATAACAAGAGAGCAGATAAGAGCACAGTAGAAGTGCTGAAGAAAAAAATGGAGTTAATCCCGAGAAATGCACATAAATCTACATCTACTTGCTTAGAAAATTCTAGGAAGCACAAGAAAATACAAGCAAACATTCCATTTGCAGCCATCAGAGGGGGAGATGGGGACATCATCACACATGTAGCCTCTGGAAAACTCCACCACACAATTGCAGAAGGGTCTTGGGGACTTGCAGGGATCCTCACACCCCACTTTGAGAACCACTTCTCTACACATATAAACTACTTTACTGTGGTGAGAGATGGGAGAAATCTATGAGGCCAAGTTCCTACCACCCCACCTAAAAATTCAACTGCAACCACACCTGTGCCTTTCACAGGTCTTCATGTCACTCTCCCTTCTTGCAAGTCTTCCTTTCTACAACCTCTTCTCTACCCACGTTCAGCCTGTCTTTCTCACTGGCAACTTCTCAACAGCGTTAAATATCCCTCACCTGAAATATACCTCAAGGTGTCTAAGCCTCATCCTTGGACTCCTCAATCTCTGTCTTTCTCTTAAATGTTAGTGTACCTCAAGGTTCTATCCTTAGCCCTTGCTCCTTCTTTCTCTACAAACTACCTGGGTGATCTGCTCCTCTCTTCTTCAGTTTCAATTAGCACCTGTATGATGCAGAACCCCAATCTGCCACTCAAAGTTTTTTCTTCTTGTTACGGTAGGTAGCTAGTCAGACATGAGCAGGGCAGGAGAGGGACTCCCCACACCTCACCAGGAATGTGAGGTGACCATCAGGTGATGGTCAGGTGGTTGTTAAACTCTCTAAAATAATTGGTCATAGCCAGCACCAGGGAAAGGCAGTCTCCCAACAGACAGAAAAAACCCAAAACTGGTCATCTGCATCTTTCTTATAAGATCCCAGGAGTTGGGTGAGTTGGCTCAAGCATGTGCATTAAGAGGCAAAATGGCGGGGTTTAACTGGTATATGACCTTCCTCTAGGAATGCTAGATGGTAATGGAAGAACGCCTCAAGTGAGCATGTGTACAACTCCAGTAAACACTCTGCGCACGTGGCCCCTCCCAAGTGCTGGTGAGCCACTGCACATGGGGATAGCCCACCCCAAGGGAAGAATCAGGGGAGAAGGGATGCAAGACATTGGAATTATGCCAACATATAAAACCCCAAGCCAAAGGTCAAACAGTGCACTTGATCTTTGAAGTTGCCTGCTTGGCCCTCTTGTAAGTGTACTTTCCTTCCTTTCATTCCTGCTCCAAAGCTTTCTAATAAACTTTCACTCCTCCTCTAAAACTTGCCTCAGTCTCTCACACTGCCTTATGCTCTCAGTTGAATTCTTTTTTCTGAGGAGGCAAGAATTGAGGTTGCTGCAGACCCCTACAAATTCACCACCACTAACACACTTTGGTGCCGGGTGACTCAAATACATTCCACTGCTAACATTCTCATCTCCAGACCCAGATGGTCAACAGTCTCTGGACATCGGCCCTGCAGTGTCCCCATGACTTGTTAAATTCCATATGATCAGTGTCAAGTGCCATGTCCTCTAGTTGCAACAACACATTCATATAAAGCAAAAATGACTCTTGCCCCTAACTTTATGAATGCCTTTATTTCTCTTGCTCAAAAATTTAGAGACCCAGTGCCATTCCTGACTCCCCCCTTTCTCCTCCACACAAAACAATGAATCAACTGCTAAGACCTGCCACTGCATGTATGCCCTGAACAGGTTTTCTGCTTCTTTCCATTTCTCATTGCTACTATCTAAAACATTAGCTATTATTATTATTGGAGGAACATACTATATGCTAGATGCAGTAATTCACATTTTACATACATTATTTTCTTTATTCCACATGATGACTATTTTAAATTCCATTTTACAGATGAGTAAACAGGTTCAGAGATCTTTTTGGTTATCCCTGACTCCAAAACCCTTCCCCTCTCACCAGCACTGAAGGCATCAAGGAAGGCTTTGTGGTGAACTTTGCCTATAGCCCTGAAGAATGGTATAATTTTTATAGGGTAAGATGGGGAAACCATAAACCATATTGTTTCAAGAAAGACATAAGAAAGAGCAGAGAGAAGAATATTGCTGGCGTGTGTTTTGTGGACAATGATGTTGAGTGGAAAGGGGTCCCTAACCCCCGGGCCATGAACTGGTACTGGTCTGTGGCCTATTAGGAACCAGGCTGCACTGCAGGAGGTGAGCATGGGCAAATGAGTGAAGCTTCATCTGTATTTACATCCACTCCCCATTGTTCGCATTACCTCCTGAGCTCCACCTCCTGTAAGATCAGTGTCGACATTAGATTTTCATAGGAGCACGAACTCTATTGTGAACTACACATGCGAGGGACCTAGGTTGCGTGCTCCTTATGAGAATCTAATGCCTGATGGTCTGTCACTACCTCCCATCACCCCCAGATGGGACCATCTAGCTGCCAGAAAACAAGCTCAGGGCTCCCACTGATTCTACATTATGGGGAGTTGTATAATTATTGTATTATATATTACAATGTAATAATAGAAATGAAATGCACAATACATATAATGTATTTGAATCATCCTGAAACCATCCTTCACCCCCCGTCCATGGAAAAATTGTCTTCCACAAAACCAGTCCCTGGTGCCAAAAAGGTTGGAGACCACTGTTGTAGGAGACGTTTTCACTCAGAGGCAATAAACTGCAACAAGTAAAACATTTCTAAAATGCTTCTTTCCCTTACTTAAGTATAAATGAATAAAAATAATGGCACTTAACGCACCATAGTGTTCTGGGTATAATGCTAATGCTTTTATTTCCTTTTCTTCTAACCTTTACCTCAGCCCTGAGTGAAAGGATCAATATCTGCATGTGACAGAATGGGAAACTGAGGCTAAGTAACTTTCCCTCAATTAACCAGACAGCAGAGGTGAGATTCGACTACATTCTTTCCACTAAGGGCAGAGACACTGTAGAATTCAAATCTCTACCACTTCTCCCCACCAACTTCAGCCCCTACAAGGGGTCCTTTTGGTAGATATTTACTCTCTCTCCTTTAAGAAGTAACTTTAGCTGGAGTTGCACAATCCAAATTTGAAAAGACAACCAGTATTAATTGACTATATACCTGGCAGAAATGTAAATAAGTTTGTAACTTTACACCCTCCAAAAAGAAAAACATTTCCTTAATTTTAACATGATAGTTTTACTTTAAAAGAAAAAAATATGACTTTTTGATGCCAATGCAAAAAGAAGCCCAATCTAATGCAAAGTAGTATCCTATCCAGATCCTAGAACAGAAAGAAGGACATTAGAGCATTAGGCAAAAACTAGAACAATCTCAATAAAGAAATGACTTCTGTGAATAATGATGCATCAATATTGGTTCATCAATGATGACAGAGGTACCATACTAACGTAAGATGTTAATATTAGAGAAGTTGGGTGATGGGTATACAGGAACACTCTGAACTGTCTTTGCAGCTTTTATGTAAATCTACAATTATCCCCAAATACAAAGTTTATGTAAAAAGAGTCCAAATGTGTTTGCGTAGAGGTTGCTAAGACCAAAATGAGACCACATTCTTTATCATGTAAATGGCAAAAATACTATTAGAATAAGGTGTTTAATAAAAGAAAAAGTGAAGTTTCAATTCATTCTTTGGTAATCCAAAGCAACAAAAGTGTACCCCACCTCCAGCTGGCTCAAGCTCAGGGGGGCTGAAGATTCTATTATTTAACTCACTCACCCCTGCTCCCCCACACCCCTCAACCATCAGGGTAATGCCTCTTGGAATTCCTTTTGGCACAAACATCTTGTTTTAGAACCATGTTTAGACTGTGATTAAAAGAGGATTATTTATACCACACAGCCATCCCAGTGTGAAAGGACAGGCCATCCCCTACATTTTACTAAACTTTTCTGTAAATACTACATCGAAGCAATCACTAGCAAACTAAGCAAAGTAGGTAAAGGGGCAAAAGAGCTGAATTTGATTGTTCTGAGCAAAAAGTTTCATTTCAACTAGCAGCTGCCACTAAACTCTTCATTCTCAAGTCAAAAGGACCCATTTCCTGGGTTTGATGACATAAGCAGTGCCAAGGTTTATATTCCAAGAAAATGCTTCCTTTAAAGCTATAGCTACAGGGGATGTGACCAGGGATAAGTAGTTATGATTGATAAGGCCTTGGACAGACTATTTTACAGAAGCCCATTCCACTTACACATATTTAAGAAAGCAGGTTCCTCTAAAACTGGGTAAGCTAAGTTCTCATGTAAGTTTCCCTTGCTTCAATAGTAAATTTCCCTGCTTCACATTTGTTCAGAGTATTAAAATTTTACCTTGCATCATCACCCTTGATTTTCATAATCTCATGAGGATAATCAGGGTAGGTCTTATTATCTGCATGTTCCACATAGGCTCTGATAGGTTGACTGATTTTCCTAACACAGCACCACAGCACGGCCTGTTAGTGGTGAAGACGGTACTTTTTTTTTTTTTTTTTTTTTTTTTTTGGAGACAGAGTCTCACTCTATTGTCCAGGCTGGAGTGCAGTGGCACGATCTTGGCCACTGCAAACTCTGCCTCCCAGGTTCAAGCGATTCTTCTGCCTCAGCCTCCCAAATAGCTGGGATTACAGGTGCCCACCACCATGCCCAGCTTATTTTTTTGTACTTTTGGTAGAGACAGGGTTTTACCATGTTGGCCAGGCTGGTCTTGAACTCCCGACATTGGGTGAACCGCCCACCTTGGCCTTCCAAAGTGTTGGGATTACAGGCATCAGCCACTGCACCCGGCAGTGAAGATGGTATTTGAATCAAGGTTTCTTAACTCTAGTTCAGGGCAGTTTCCTTTAGCAAGTATTTATTGCATGCTTTCTGTGTGTCTAGATATATGATTGTTTCTGTGGATAGAGTGATTCCTGAAATAAACAGACACCTTTCTCTTGGGGAGCTTATAGCCCAGTAGGAGAAGAAAATAATCAAGTAAATTAACAAGTGCATACATAATTATAAATTGTGAGAAGGGCTATGAGGGAAATAAGTACGATGTAAAGCTAGCCAGAGGAGCCTCTTTAAGAAGGTGACATTTTAGCAGATATCTGAAGAAGCCAATGAGGCACATATTGTAGAAAGGGTGTTTGTATCAGTCTGTTCTCATGCTGCTAATAAAGATATACCCAAGACTGGGTAATTTATAAAGGAAAGAGGTTTAATTGACTCACAGTTCCACGTGGCTGGGGAGGCCTCACAATCATGGCAGACGGCAAAGAAGGAGCAAAGTCACATCTTACATGGCAGCAAGAGAGCTTAGGTAGGGGAACTCCCATTTATAAAACCATCAGATCTTGTGAGACTTACTACCACGAGACTAGTAAGGGGGAAACTGCCCCCATGATTCAATTATCTCCACCTGGCCCCACCCTTGACACGTGGGGATTATTGCAATTCAAGGTGAGATTTGGGTAGGGAAACAGCCAAACCATATCGGTGTTCCAGGCTGCTTATCACTGAGTCTGTGAACGGCAGGAAGAGGTGGAACAGGCTTGAAAGGAAATCGATACAATGTGGTCAAAGAGAGTGATAGTCTGGACCAAAATGGATCCAAAGAGATGAACACAGAATAAATCCTGTGGATGTTTGTGGGCCCATAAAGGACTTACATTTCATTCTATATGGGACAGGAAAGTACAGAAGGGTTTTAAGCACGGATTGATATAAATTGATTTGTGTTTTTAAAAAATTATCCTGAACACTATGTAGAGAACGAATTGAAGAATGAGCTAGTTCTATCTATGGGCAAAAGTTGAGGCAGAATGACCAGTTGGCATCAGTTATAAATTATGGTAGCTTGGATGGGGGGAGTGGCAATGAGGGTGCAGAGAGGCTGAGAAGTTAAAGGTAAAATCAACAGATGGTAGGAATTAATTAAGTGTGAGAAGTGAGGGAAATGGAGGAATGTACTGTTTGGTAATAAAAAAATTCAGCCACAGAATCACATATGGACATTTTATGAAAAAGAAAAGATATATTAGCATGTAGTTAGATAAATTTTGAGTGTGAGAGAAAATCTCAAATGATAATAGTTCACAAAAGCATGCACATTTATCACCTGTGTACAAGTACGGGATGGAATGGTGACTCCAAGATTATCGGTGTCTACGCCTTTCTAATCTTCCCCTCTCTCCCTCAACACACAGCTCCTACTTTATGGTTCCAGGTGGTTGCTCTGGCTCTGGGCATCCAATAGTGGAAAGGAGAAAAGAGAGGGAGAAGAGCGTGTCCTTTCCTTTGAGGGAATGTCCTTGAAGTTACACACACCAATTTCCCTTCTCAACCCTCAGCCACAACTCAGTCACAGGACTACACAGAGCTGCAGGGGAGGGAAATGTCAGCTCACTTCTGGGCAGTTCGATCACAGAAGATGAAGGGGCGAATGGATATTTGGGGCAGCTCCCATTCTGTGCCCCATGTCTCCAACTGTCTACAGTACCTCTGTGGGGAAACAGGGGGAGGCAGAGATGAAAAGATGCTTCATGTTTCCTCTTATAGCTGTGCCCTGCTTCATTTATCTACTTTAGGAATGTGTTCATGCATTATTTACATACTTTTTTTGAAGATAAAGAAGGGTGGAAAAAGAGGGAGGAGGAGGAGGCGGGGGAACTGGTACCAAGGCTGGATAGAGTAGAAGGCACTAGTGAAGGTGATGGAAAGGATGCTGCCCTAAATGTGGGCAGAAGGCCAGGAGAGTAAGTCCTCATAGAAGCAAAGAGGAGAGAACATTTCAAAAAGCAGGATGCCAACTCCCCTGAAATTTCTAAAATGTCAATGAAAATGAATAGAAACTACTCTACTAGGTAGAAGTCACCAGGGACCCTGACAAGACCACTTTTCCTTGTGAGATGGATGTAAAAGCCAAATGGAAGTGAACTGAGGAATAAAATGCACCAGAAACAGAACCAAATATATATGAAAGCTTGCTCTTGATAGAGAAGCCATTTCAGATCAATGGAGAGAAAACACACAATTCAATAAAGGATGCTGAGACAATTGGCTCTTCAAAATCTTGTGTACTTCTGATCCTGAGCTCCTATCATATGCAAACGTTTACTCCAAATAAATTAACGAAAATGTAAAATATAAAATTTTCAAATTGGAAAAATATATCTAGTAGATATACATAGATTTACTAAAAGTGAAGAATGCACACAGGATACACATCCAATTCTTGCCTGGAAAGAGGGAGAAAGGGAAATAGAGCGAGGTGGAGGTCATACAGAGGACTTGAATTTTGCCAGGTTTTCACCTGAAGGAAATATGGCAGTTAACATTTGTAAATTCTAAGTAGTAAGAACAAATTTTATTATACTACCCTTTGACCTCTAACATATTTAAACATTTCTTAATGCCAAAAAATTTAATAGGAAAAAAGGAGGCGGACAAAAATGTAGGTTAGTTTTTTTAAAAAAAATTAAATAGCATAACATAGTATAGAATTGAACAGAAAAATCTTAGCATGCATTCCATGAGTAATGTTTCATAAAACATTTGTTCCCATTTTATATGTGTGTTTGTGTGTGACTGTGTGTGTGCAGGTGTCTGTGTTTGGGTGTGTGTGCTTGTGTGAGAGTGTATGTGTGCATTGGGCTGCTTTATAAAAATATATTTCCTACTGTGGGTCATAGTCAAAAAAATCCGAAAGCTGAATATAGACAAGTTTTTCAAGCCGGTTAGCTATAAAAGGAAGCAGACCAATGAAACAGTAGCTGAGAAGGTACGTGTTGTTAAGGAAAGTTCTTGATTTGTTTTGCCTTTGTCTTATTTTAAGTCTATAGATACTGGGCTGATGCAAGATAAATCAGTAGGGAAGCAGAGTTTGGTGATTCAGACTGGGTGGGGGCCATGAAAATGAGAAGAGAAGTGAGTGAATGGATGGTGCAGTCAGACATCCAGCAGGCTTTGCTGAGCACTGATTACATACACAGGTATAATAGTGTGTGTATGCATGCATATGGGAGAGGGTGCAGAAAAATGCATAAGATACATTCCCATCCCTTGCACTCCATGCCGTGGCTGAAAGTCTGTGTGATGTGATGCACAGTCTTTGACACAAAGTCTGTGTGCTGGCAGCCACACAGAACAGGCCAGCCAACAGGCAGGCAAGACTGGGCGGTAACAGTGTGCAAGTTGGAGCTTAGGCAAAAGACAAGGGATAGAAGTGACCAAGGGGGAGAAGCCTTCTTAGGGGACATGGACCTTGAGGTGGACTTGGGGATAGGCACTGAATGGGGGCAAAAAGCAAGAGGGCATTTGGGAAAAATGGTATTTCCTTGTGGAGGGGATATGGGAGGAAGAAGAATTGGGTCTTGGTAAAGGAGAGCAGAGGGGAGATAGACCCTGGGCTTTGGATTCCAGTCTGGAGAAGGGGACTGGGACGCGAAGATGGAACTCTCTTACTCAAGGCCGAGTTACAAGTAGACAGAATAATAACATTTACAGAACATTTACTGCATACTAGGTACTAGTCTACACAAACTACATGTATTTACTTTCCAAGTTATTCCTCATAAGAACCCTACAGGGTAGGTTCTATTTAATATATTTATTTATACTGACAGTGAAACAGAGGCACAAAGTGTGAAGGAGTTTGCTTGCTGGAGGTCACACAACTGGCAACTGGCAAGCAGAGCTTCAGACCTAAGCAGTCTTGCTCCAGAGGCTCTGCACTTCCTAATGTGTGCCACGTCTAACAGTGAGCTGCTTTATGGTAGATGGCACTTAGTAGGTATTCAGGAAATGATTGAATTACAAAAGGAAGGGCATGACTTGGAGAAAAAAAAAAAATCCCTACTCTGTCCTTCTATTGTGCCTCAATTTTTTGCAATTTAGCCTGAGTTACACCCACAAGTCATTCATTGAGAATCCACTATGTTCAAGTCATGTTACTGAAGTCAGTTAAAACACTGCCTATTAATACTTCTGTGACAAAGATACTTGTGACCTGACTGAGAAGAGCAGCAGGAGCCAGTTGGATCCAAACTTCTTTGATTTTGGACTAACTTGTAAGTTGAAAGACATTGTCAAAGAGGCAGTTGTTATGTGAGTAAAGAAGACAGAAATGTCTTAGTTCACATCTTAGCTCTGTCATTCACTGCTGTGTATGCCTTGGCCGAGTTATTTAATTTTTTAGACCTCAGTGTCTCCATAAATAAAATAGCAGCATATTGGTAGTGGTCCAAGACAGGGAGAAAAATAGATGATATTGTTTAATTGGCACTCCATGACCATATTTTGATCCATCAATTAGCATTGAAGAAGCTCCCACATTTATTTTTCTTATTTTTTATTTTTTTATTTTTTTTGAGACAGAGTCTTGCTCTGTCACCCAGGCTGGAGTGCAGTGGTGCAATCTTGGCTCACTGCAAGCTCTGCCTTCCTGGTTCAAGTGATTCTCCTGCCTCAGCCTCCCGAGTAGCTGGAATTACAGGTTTCTGCCACCATGCCCAGCTAATTTTTGTATTTCTAGTAGAGATGAGGTTTCACCATGTTGGCCAGGCTGGTCTTGAACACCTGACCTCAGGTGATCCACCCACCTCGGCCTCCCAAAGTGCTGGGATTACAGGCATGAGCCACCACACCCGGCCTTATCTTGAAATAGGAGGAGAAACTAACATAGACCAACCTGTCACCAAGTAGCTCACATAGGATGCGAAGGCCCATAGTTAGTGGCATCGTGTCTTCATCAGGGGATCATGCCTGCACCTCAGGTTCTGTGGCACAGCTTATCATGTTCTGCAGGTAGACCATTCCATGCTCAATACTGTAGAGATTTATTTTGTGCTTTCTTACAAACTCTCATAATCAGTCCCTACCACCTTTCAAGGTCAGTTCCCACTGGGAAAAGAAAGGTTTTCTTTTTACATTCTTTCCAAGTTTTCTGCTTGCCAATATTCCTTGGAGCCACAATAGTTCTCCTACCACTTCCAGCTGCCCTAACTTCTTTGCTCATGACCACTCTGGGATCTGGGACCCCATTTCTCGGTAGGATACTGCCATCTCTGTATAGGCATCAGTGGAGGAGTGAAAATGGACCAGGTCATGTTTCTCATACTGCCTTGTTCTGTTATTCTCCTACTCAAACTTCCTTGACATTTTGGCTTTGGAGCTGGTTGCTTTATGGTGGCAAGGTGGCTGCTGCAGCTCCAACCATCACTTCTTCATATGACAGCATCCAAAATGGGAAGCAAAAGGGACAATGGCAAAGGGAACTTCTTGCATGAATCTCTTTTATTTTGGAGGAAAGTCCTTCCCAGAATCCTCCTTATGTCTCTCACTGGACACAACTGGATTCTTGCCATGTATAGGCCAATCACAAGCAATGGAGCTACCATAATCAGACCAATCATGGTTTATTCTCTGTCGCTGGGCACACTGATGCTTGAACAAACCTGGGGTACTCTTACTCAGAAGGGTAGGGTGGCTGTTGTGTAAACAACCACCAGATGCCTCTTCCGAGACATCTAAGATAAATTCTTTAAGCAATTAGCCAATTTTGCTCCTCAAACCCATCCCATCATTTGGCCCCCTTTCAAAAGAGCCTTCTTAAGGCATTAACTGGCTTGAAGCCTTCCATCAACTTTTTGGAAAACTTGACCCCTTTCCCCTAGGGAACATTCTACTTCCAGTTGTATCTCCTTCCCCTCCTGTTTCAATTATTACCCCCACCCAAGCTCACATGGAATGGAAGGTAAAGAAGAGGTGTCCACATGACAAGTGAGGTGGCTGGGTGCTCCGAGTCCAGGGAGACTTTTGATGTCCCAAATTCTTTGTTTTTTTCAGATAGAGTCTCGCTCTATCACCCAGGTTGGAGTGCAGTGGTGTGATCTCGGCTCGCAGCAACTTCTGCCTCCTGGGTTCAAGCTATTTTCCTGCCTCAGCCTCCTGTGTAGCTGGGATTACAGGTGTGTGCCACCACACTTGGCTAATTTTTGTATTTTTGGTAGAGACGGGTTTTCATCATGTTGGCCAGGCTGGTCTTAAACTCCTGATCTCAAGTGATCCACCTGCCTTGGCCTCTCAAAGTGCTGGGATTATAGGCGTGAACCACCGCACCTGGCCTAATGTCCTAAATTCTTCAGTGAAGTCCAGGAAGAGTGCTTCCAAATCTAGTCTTCACAAGTGGGAGTTCATCTCTTCATTCTCCCAACTGTCTTGTTAGCAGATGTTGAATCAAATTTCATCAAGCACACACATACACACACACACACACACACACACACCACACACACACACACACGCCTCTATCCTAATGACAGACACTAATTCTCAGAGGCAGTGAAGTTTAAACTAGTGGTCATTCCAGTTTTATAGCTCACAAGTCAGAAACATAAACAAACTAGTGGTCATAAAGGATAATGTCTCCAGGGGCCAGACAGGTGACAACAATCAGTGAAGGGAGCCTGTACTACTGGAAGCTCTGATGAGCCCAAGGATGCAGGCCCTACTGAATAGGACAATTTCTGCTCATGTTAGCTGACTGTTTTCAGGTTGGAATGAAGACTAGATTGCCTGGATTTTAAGACAATCCAGAAATCTGGAATTTAAGTGCAATTTCCCAATTAAAGAAGTTTGTGAGTAAAAATATCTGTGAGTCATAGCAGGACATTAAGCCACCAGTTTTTAAGCCCTTGTCTAACCCATAATAAGGAAGAGAAATATGTTCTCATTTGGTAATACCTCCTCTCTCATAATGAAATCTCTGTAATATTATGCAGGCCTGTACCGTGCCTTTCCTTCATCTCGCCAACTCTTTTCAAATGGTCCTCTTCATGCCTGCCTGGCAAAAGAAAGTGGCCTGTAGCTGAGCAGTATGGTTTGGCATGGTAGCACCTTTAGCCTTTACTTGTCACAATGACTCACGGGTTTTTGTTTTATTCAATTATCTTATGATACGTAGCCACCGTTGCTCTTGTTGATGCTCAGGTCTTTCAGATCTGGCCAGGGATGCCCCTTGAAGCTGGATCCGGTGTTCTCCACTGTTTTTGTTTGTTTGTTTTTAGCACCTCCATGTTTTCTGATACAAGATGTTCAGCCTTGCCTTGTAATTTTTCTGTCAAATACCTGGAATCAGCCACTTCTCTAAGAAGTTCAGGTTTTTAAAATTAGAGAATGGCATTTAGAACTCATGGTGTGGTGGCTGCGATCATTTGTACTATAATATCATTGCTTCTATGCTCTTTCAGGGAACAGATTTATAGCTATCATCTCTCTATCTATCTTTCTGGAGCAAGAGGGAGGTCTTACTAGTAATCTTTAATTTAATACAGCAATGTGGTGTTCTTCCTTTGTTCTCATTCCATATGTTTTCTCCCTTCTCTCTTAGTGAATGAGAATTATTATTCCCCCAAACAATATATTTGCTTTAACATTCCTTAGTCACAAATAGTGCTGGAATTACTACATCAATACCACGACCATCAACACATCTACAAAGCAAAGCACAAGATTATATTCCATTAAAATTATATTCCACTAAATTATTAAAGTTCAATTTGATATACAGTTAGGTCTTTTTTCTGTTGATGTTGACGTTTAAGATATCTTTCCATCCTTGCTGATTAACTTTATTTTCCATGTGCATTCTGTAGAGTTCCCCCTCTGAACTTCCTTGCACTCAACTTCCCTTCATCTCACTCCCTCCTCAACCCCTCTTTCTTTTTCTGCCAGACTGAGTCCTTTAAACTTCTGAGCTTCCTTCTACCTCTCCCTTTCTTTGTTCGCTGTCCTTATTGCATTTCCCCATAGGAGCCTAGTTCTGTTCTAGGGACTAGATCTGTATCATGGAGTGAGCCATGCCTCCAGCTCTCATTTCATGTGGAAGAGATGCAGGGCCACAGCCATCACAGCAGACTGGGGGGCACTCTGTAACAGGGAAGCACAGGACTGCTGGGAGAACAGAGGGGACACTTCTCACCCCATGGTTGGGGAGGGGGGGGCTTGCACTCCTTAGCTGGCTCTCACGCTATAGGAAGAAGAGATATTTCCTTGAGTTTTTCCTTTCATGAAGCACCATTAATAATACTGTCGCCATAGAGTCGCTGAGAGGATTAAATGAGATAGTACACGTTAATTGCTTAGCACAGTGCCTGGCACAGGAAAGGAGTGTTGCACAGGTTGGGTATTACTATGTTATTAGTTCTTCGAATAAGCTTTCTACCCCTTGCTCTTGCTCAGCTCCCACTGTTTTGGTTTTTTTTTTTTTTTTTTTTTTTTTGAGACAGGGTCTCACTCTGTCATGCATGCTGGAGTGCAGTGGCATGATCACGGCTCACTGCAACCTTCATCTCTCAGGCTCAAGCGGTCTTCTAGCCTCAGCCTCCTGAGTAGCTGGGACTACAGGTGCACATCATTGTGCCCAGCTAATATTTTTTTAATTTTTAGTAGAGACGAGGTCTCACTATGTTGTCCAGGCTGGTCTCGAACTCCTGGCCTCAAGCAGTCCTCCCACCTCTGCCTCCCAAAGTGCTGGGATTGCAGGCATGAGCCACATGCTCGGCCTCAGCTCCCTCTTGAACACCAACAATTCCTAGATTTGGTCTTTTGAATTACTTTTGTAGATCTTAGATTTGGTGTTTTGAGTTACTTTTGTAGATCTTGTTGGCGGTCTTCATTCCTTTCAGTTATTTTTTTCCTTTTTTTCCCTCTGGCTGTATTTTCAAATAGCCAGTCTTCAAGCTCACTGATACTTTCCTCTGTTTGGTTCCCTCTGCTGTTGAGAGTCTATCGAGTTCATCAGCAAATGAACTTCAGCGATTCAGCAAATGAACTTCTCAGTTTCAAGATTTGCTTGATTTTTAAAATTACTTTAATATTTTGTTAACTTTGATAAGTTTCTGAAATGCGCTTGTGTGCTATCTCGGAGATCACTGAGTTTCCTTAAAACTGCTATTTTGAATTCTTGGTCAGGGAGCTCACCAATCGCCATGTCGTTAGGCCCAGTCACTGGATTTTTGCTTTGTCCTTTTGCGTAGGTCATGGTCTCCTGCTTGCTGGTGTTTTTGTGGGTATACGCCTGTGTCTTTGCAATGAAGGATTATTTATTCCAGTTTTCTCTGTCTGGCTTGTTTGGGTTTCTGTGGGACATCCTTGCCTAGCGAAGCTTCGCGGCCAGGTCGCTTCCTCTTTTTTGGCTCTAGGTGGCGCCCTAAGCCCAGGTTCGCCTCGTCTCCAATAAAAGGTGGGAGCACGGCCTGTCCCAAACAGGGGAGGTTTCAAAAGGGTTATCCTGGCAGTGTGGGAAGGCTGGCTAGGGGTTTGCGCACAGGGCATCAGAGGAACGTACCTTCTACAGCATGGTGCTGCGGAACAGCCGCTCCAATGCGGCGTCTCCTTTGGCCGAGTTACAGGGCAGAGTTTCCGGGCTGGGGTTGGCCCTCGCCTCCCTTTGTCTCCGACTGTGCTCAGGGATGCCGCTCCCTTCAGTCACAGCCACACCTACTGCGGTAAGGCAAGGACCAGGTCTCCTGCCAGGGGACCCGCGAAGGTGGGGGAGTTGGCGCACCCCCTTAGTTTCAATCGTTCCAGTGTAGAAACCGTGCGTTGGGGAGAGATTCCGCAGGATCGGTGCCAGGCCGAATGTGGATGGGCGGAGGTGTCCTGAACACGGAGGTTCCCTTCCCTCACCATCTGCCCGAGGTTTTCCTCTTTTCTGTGGCCCTGGAACAGTCTCATCCTCAGACTGGAGCTCTGGGTTGCTGCTGGTGTGGATCTGGGCGCTGGGTATTTGTTTCTGGTTGTCGGAGGGAGGGGTATTGGAAGCAGCTTGCCTGACGCTGCCATTTCGGGACTGGAACTCTCCACGCTGCGAGTATTGCTGCACGGTGCGTCACGCCCTCCATGGAGCCACACATGCCGCGGTGCGGTTCCAGGAAGAGCTCCGACGGCATGATTTTGGGTCTTCCCTCAACTACTCAGAACGTATCCCACATCGGTGTCGATACGCACGTGTATTCAATTTTGCCGACGCCACAACCATTCTTGCTTCTGGTAACGCTCTTCAGTTTTTCTTTAGCAACCCTGCCCCCCGCTTCTGGGTCCGTGTGGTCTGGGTGTAGCTGATGATCCCCGTACCCCAGCTCAACGAATGGGCACGGAACCCAGGCACACGAATCCACACCAGGACCCACTACGTAATAATCTGCAGGACCCGGTGCAGATGAAAATGCAGGGCTCCTTGTTCGAAAAGTATGAAGAATGACAAAGCTTTGCCCAGAGGTTCATGCCTGTAATCCCAGCACCTTGGGAGGCTGAGGTGGGAGGATGGCTTGAGCCCAGGACTTTGAGGCTGCAGTGAGCCGAGATTGGGCCATTGCACTGAAGCCTGGGTGACAGAGAATGAGAAACTTTCTCTTTTTCTTTTCTTTCTGAGACAAAGTCTCACTTTGTCACCCAGGCTGGAGTGCAGTGGCATGATCTCAGCTCACTGCAACCTCCACCTCCCAGGTTCAAATGATTCTCCTGCCTCAGCCTCCTGAGTAGCTGGAATTACAGGTGGCTGCCAACATGTCCAGCTAATTTTTTTTTTATTTTTTTTTATTTTTAGTAGAGACAGGGTTTCATTGCGTTGGCCAGGCTAGTCTCGAACTCCTGACCTCAGGTGATCCACCCGCTTTGGCCTCCCAAAGTGCTGGGATTACAGGTGTCAGCCACCATGCCTAGCCCCTTTCTCTTAAAAAATAAAAGGAAGAAGAAGTGTTCCACTGAAAAAGTGACCAGAGCCAAGAGGCTCAGAAACTGTAACTGAACCCAAAAAACCCTCCAAGCCTCTGCATCGCAGTGGTGCCTGAGGCAGGTCCAGCGCTCACTTGAGATACAGAGCAAAGAAAAGTCAAGGAAGCAAGGGGATGGGTCAGCAGTGAGGGAGGGCTCACTGATGTGTTGCCTTTGCTTCACACCTGACTGTCCTGAGCCCACAGATGGGAAGTGAGTCCCCACAGGGAATGCAGCAACTTCATGGAAATGAGCCCGCAGATGGGAAATGAGTCCCTACAGGGAATGCAGCAAGTTCATGGAAATGTCTAAACTGAAACCCAGGTCCCCTAGCCGCAATCCAATCACAGGAAACTACATTGGTCTTTACTAGACAGGAGGCCAGAAATAAATTCCAGCCTGGCAAGATCTGGGGCAACTGCTATGGTTTGAATGTGTCCCTCAAAGTCTGTGTATTGGAAATGCAATCCCCAAGGCAACAGTGCTGGGAGGTGGGACCTTGGAGAGGTGATTAGGTCATGATGGCTCTGCCCTCACGAGTGGCTTAATGCTGTTATTGAAGGAGTGGGTTGTGGGTTAGTTTTTGCAAAAGTGGGTCCCTTGTAAAAGGATGAGTTCAGTCGCCTCACCCCTTTCTCTCTCTCTTACCTTTCTGCCTTCTGCCATGGGATGATGCGGCAAGAAGGTCCTTGCCCAGAGTTCAGGCGCCTTGACCATAGACTTCTCACCTTCCACAAAAAATAAATATCTGTTCATTATAAATTACCCAGTCTCAGGTATTCTGTTATTGCAGCATAAAACAAAGACAGTGACCTTTTAAAAACAGCTGTGATAACGATTGCTGTTCAGTTAGGAAGAGTGGACAGTGGCTGCTAATGTCAGGGTTCAGAAAACGATATCCCAAAGTATGGTGTCTTGGCATGCTGAGTGCTTTGAACTGAATGACACTGAAAGGGTTTCATAAACAAAGTCTTTTTCTGTCCTTTTTCCTTTTTCTTCTGCTAACCTTTCTCCTCCAAGTCAGGCCATAAAAACTAGAATTCCTTTTCCCCAAAGCCAGCCATAAAACCTAGAAACACGACTTTAACTTTCCCCTGCCTTTCTGTGTAAGAGCTGGCCATAAAGAAATTCTCTGACCTACCTTGTCTGATAGCAGATAATAAGACCCTTATTCCAGAAGGGACCTTGCCCCATACCAGGGAGGAAGGAACGGCACACAGAGAGGCCAAGAAGAATCTGAAGTCGGGCCTTGCTAGGTTTCCCCACTCCGCCTATTAGCATTAGATCATACCCTTTCTGTCCAATCATCCAATCACATTTCTACATGGCTGTGCATTCTTCATGGGGTCTAAGGCTAAAAACAGACAGTTTTCTCTTGAGTTTTTAGGTCTTTATTCTGAAAGCTCCTGTGTCACATAAAACTTTAAGTCAATTTGTTATGCTTTTCTCTTGTTGTCTTTTGTTATAGGAGTGTCATTCGTGAGTCTTATGATGGGTGAAGAAAGGTATCATACCTTTCCACCCCTACACTGAGAAGGACACTTATAGCATCACCTGCAGGTTAATATTGTCATGTCTATTTTACAGATTTGCAAGCTGAGCTCAGAGAGAGCTGCACCATTTGCCCAGGGTCACAGCTTGCAAACAGTGGAGCCCTGATTTGACTCTAGAGTCTGGGGCCTAACTGCTCCCCTAGTTGCCTGGGAAGGGAAGTTAGAGCACCTGGATTCTTATTCTGGCAGCATCATTAGCTCAGGGTCCATTCTGAGACAGTTTCCCTTCCTAAGTGTCACTATACCTTCTGGGCCTCACCTGCAAGGCCAAGGCAGAATGCCAGTGGGGTCATGGATGTGAATGCATAGTCAGCAGTGGCTGGTAGGGATGCAGGCTGGTATAGGAGCAAGACTCCATGCTTTCTGGCAGGGCCTGGGTTCAAATCCTTACTCTGTCTCTGATTAGCAAGACCTTGCCCAAGTCCCTTGACCAATCATGAGACAGAGGATGACACCAACCTCACGCGATTGTTATGCAGATCACATGCTCCACGAAGGCAGGCTGCTTGGCTTAAGAAGATGCCTGACACACATCAATTCCTTTTCCTATCTCCTTTATAGAGAATGTAGCTTCATTCTCCAAGCATGAGGTAGAGGGAAAAATAGTATGCTCGACCTTCTGAGGGTCCTTTTGATTTTATTTTGAGACAGAGTCTTGCTCTGTCGCCTAGGCTGGAGTGTAGTGGCTCAGTCTTGGCTCACTGCAACCTCTGCCTCCTGGGTTCAAGTGATTCTTCTGCCTCAGTCTCCTGAATAGCTGGGATTATAGGCGTGCGCCACCACACCTGGCTAATTTTTATATTTTTAGTAGAGATGGGGTTTGGCCGTGATGGCCGTGCCGGTCTCAAACTCCTGACCTCAGGTGATCCACTGGCCTCGGCCTCCTAAAGTGCTGGGATTACAGGTGTGAGCCACCACACCAGGGCCCAATCCTTTTAAAAATACTCTAACTAAATCTGAGAGAGAGCTGAATTTACTGCTTTGCAGGTCCACCCGTAAAGTCAGGGCCTGCCTGAGGATGGCATTGCTTGGGCTTTGCTGCCCTCTTGTGGCCACTGTGAGGTCGAAGGAGCTGCCCCTAATTGCGGCCCTGGAATATAGGAGTTGGGGGAGGACTGTATTCCTGATTCCCCACCCCGGGACATTCTGATCCAGCAGCAATAGGGGAGGTTCTGTGTCACTGGTGATAAGCCACATTAAGGAACCATTGAACTAGTCCAATCCCTCATTAGAGAGGAAGACTATGTCCCTGAGGGTGGATAGGACTTCTCTGAGAGTAGCAGCTAGGGTAGGCTAAGTAACTCAGGTCTCCAGACCTCAACACCCTTTCCACTATCTCCCCTGCACAAGGCAATCCTGCCAGGTGAACAAAGCTTCCGAGACATCTGGACCCACCTGTCACCCAGGGCGAGGATTCGTCCGCTGCTTCGGTCAGGTCGTTCTCCAGCCTTTGTGTGAACTCCAGTGGTGACAGGGCGCTCAGTATCCCGTTAAAGCAGCCTATTCCTGTGGCCCTTAGGACGTTTTCCTTTGTATGGGGTCTTGATGTGCCTGTCTGCATCCTCCCCTGTTGGGCCTAATTCTGGCCTTAGAGGCTCTGCAGCTCCATCCTCTGACTCCTGCAGAGACTGCAGAGGCAAGCAATCACAGCTAGGAGAATGAAGAAGATGGAGTCAGTGTTTCATGGCATCTGGCACACGTGATGCATCACCTTCCTCAATCCTGCAAGACAGGGGAGTGGCATTAACTTGTCCAAGCTCACACATCAGTTAGTGTCAAGGTGGACAAAGCGTCCTCGATTTATGCATTCAGGAACCGACATACTGCTGAGAATTCAAGCAGTGAGTTAGTGATGGGGTGAAGGCCAAAGCCGGTGCTCAAGGGCAGCATTCTCAGCTGCACTGCAGCTTTCACTGATGGCCAGGTGGGCAGCCTGGGGTCGTGTTTACTTTCTAAAAACCTTCTGGTGCACAAAACAAAGACATATAGCTCAAAGATCTACAACAAAGCAAACACTTGTGTCACCACCACCTGTCTTGGTCTGTTAAGGATGCTATAACAGAAATACCATAAACTGGGTGGCTTTTAAACAACAGAAAATTTTTTCTTCCAGATCTGGAAGCTGGGAAGCCCACAATCAAGTCACCAGCAGACTTGGCATCTGGTGAAGGATTACTCTCTGGTTCATAGGTGGCTTCTGTGCTCTGTGTCCTCACACAGTGGAAGGTACTAGCTAGCTCTGTGGCTTCTTTTTTAAGGGCACTAATCTCATTCATGACAGTGGATTCCCATGACCTAATCACCCCGTAAGGGCCCATTTCCTCATATTAACACATTGGGATTTAGGTTTCATTTTATGAATTTTGGAGGGATACAAACACTCAGACCGTAGCACCACCCAAGTCAAGAAGGAGGACACGTGCCAGCACCCAAAAGCAACTTTCCACCCCTCCCAACAGCTGCCCCTCCCTTCTCGCTTTCCTTTATATATCTATGATCTAAGCCTGCACTCACTCCTGAAGGCTATTGTGAACTTTATAGACGTGGAATCATACATTTGGCATGAGTTTGTGTCTGGCGGTTTTCACTCAACATTTACTCAACATTCATCCACATACATTTTCACTGTAGGGTGACAGTGACGGATCACAATTTCATTTGTCCTATCAGCGGACGTGTGGGTTGTTTCCAGTTTTTGTAATTATGAATAGTGCTGCTATGAACATTTGTGTCTATGTTTCTTGGCCCATATATGTATGCTTTTCTGTTGGATAAATGATTGTGCTAGTTTCCTAGGGCTACCATAACTAAGTGCCACCCCCAAGGTGACTTCACACAATGGAAGCGTATTCTCTCGAGGTTCTGGATGACGGAGGTCTGAAGTCAGGGTGTCAGCAGGACTATGTTCCCTCTGAGACTGTGGGCACTTGCTTCTACTTGACTCCTTTCTGTGCCTCCATTTTCTCATGGCATTCGTCTCTTGGATCTTCACATTGTCTTCTTATGAGGAAACTCGTCAGATTAGATGAAAGGCCTACCTTACTCTAGTGAGACCCCATCTTAATTAATTACACCTGCAACCACTCTGTTCCTAAATAAGGCCACATTCTGTGCTGGGGTTTAGGACTTCAACCTGTCTTTTTGGGGGACACAGCTCACTTAACCCATAACAATAAGAGGAATTGCTGAGTTGTCTTAGCAGATCCTGAGAAAGGAGTTGAGTGCAGATCATTTGTGCTGTGGTGCCAGGAAGCATGGCTGAGGCTGGGGCCAGGACTAGCCTCTCCTGAGGCAAGTGAGGTGAGTCGGTGCAAAATTTAAAGGGGACTCCCAGGGCTGCGCCCTCGGTGCTGACTCATCATCATTCCAGCTCTGAGGGAGGGAGTAGGAAAATGTGACAAGGAAGGGAGAAATTCCAGCTGAGTTTCCTTCATTATGACTGTGGGCGACGTGGCGTTCAGTCCCACTGGAGATCCTCTAATGCACCTTGTGGAGGGTGCCTCCCATGCCTCCCACTTGTCCCACAGAAGGATGAGAAAGCTGGGCATAGGCTGCCCCTGGGCCACTAAGTCCCTAGTCCTTGTGGGCCGCTCTGCCCCAGGACTGGACAACCTTCTGCAGCACTGGAGAAAGGTCCCAGGTAGAGAAGCAGAGAGACACAGGTGCTTGAGATGGACCACTGTGAGCATGCCAGGGGTTGTCCACTGGAAGTTCGGGTGAAGTCAGGCTGAAGGGGTACAAATTAAGGAATTTCTTTTTTTTTGAGACAGAGTCTCGCTCTGTCACCCAGGCTGGAGTATGATGATGCAGTCTCAGCTCACTGCAACCTCCACCTCCAGGGTTCAAGCGATTCTCCTGCCTCGGCCTCCCAAGTAGCTGGGATTACAGGAGCCTGCCACCACGCTTGGCTAATTTTTGTATTTTTAGTAGAGACAGTGTTTCACCATGTTGGCCAGGCTGGTCTTGAACTGCTGACCTCATGATCTGCCCACCTCGGCCCCCCAAAGTGCTGGGATTACAGGCGTGAGCCACTGGGCCTGGCCCAAATTAAGGAATTATTGATGTCTGCTACAACCCATCTGTTATACCCCAGACACATGTATTCCAGCTATTGGGCATTCAACAGTAAATTACAACAGGCACAGTGGCTAACACCTGTAACCTCAGCACTTTGGGAGGCTGAGGCTGGAGGATCACTTGAGGCCAGGAGTTTGACATCAGCCAGGGCAACATAGTGAGACCCCATCTCTACTCAAATATTTTTAAAAAATTAGCTGGGGCCAGGCATGGTGGCTCACACCTGTAATCCCAGCAATTTGGGAGGCCGAGGCAGGCAGATCACTTGAGGACGGTAGTTCCAGACCAACCTGGCCAACTTGGCAAACCCCATCTCTACTAAAAATGCAAAAAATTAGCTGGGCATGGTGCCATGCACCTGTAATCCCAGCTACTTGGGAGGCTGAGCCAAAAGAATCGCTTGAACCTGGGAGGCGGAGGTTGCAGTGAGCCAAGATCGTACCACCACACTCCAGCCTGGGTGACAGAGAGAGACTCCATCTCAAAAAAAAAAAAAAAAAAAAATTAGCTGGGTTTAGTGGTGTGTGTCTGTGGTCCCAGCCACTCAGGAGGCTGGGGCAGGAGGATCGATTGAGGCCAGGAGGTGGAGGCTGCAATAAGCTATAATCACGCCACTGCACTCAAGCCTGGGTGACAGAGTAAGACCCAGTCTCCAAAACAAAAACCAACAAACAACAAATAATGGCTGACCGTTGAAAATTTATACTGTTTCCTAGATGACAGTGCTCTAACACAAAATGTCTTTCCTGAGCTGGTGCCTTAGTTACACTAACCTTGAAGAGGGCAGTCCAACCTTCGGCTTTAGAGTAAAAACCAGTGGATCCCATTGTCATGTGTTCTTTGTCACATTTTCTTTGCTTCTGAGACATTATTCATGATTCCATATAGCAAAGCAAGTGTGTGTTGGGTTTATTTCAGGGGTGTCTATCCTGTTCTTTTTAACTATTTGTCAATTCTTATACCAATAGCATAAGGTCTTAATGACCTTTATAATAAGTCTTGATTTTTGGTAGAAAAAACTCTCTCTTCTTGTTCTTGTTCATTGGCTATGCTTCACCTGTTGCATTTCCATTAAGTTTCCATGCATTTCCATGTAAGTTTTAGAATCATTTTGTCAATTCTATAAAAACTCTGTTGGGCTTTTAAATGAGATTGCATCAAATCTCATTTTGCAGGGATTGACGTGTTCACAACATGTATTCTAACTCAAAAGCATAATATTTTCCTACTTTTATTTGGGGTTTAATTTCTCTCAACTATGTTTAATAGGTTTCTTTATAGAAGTCTTGCACACCTTATATTGCATTTATTCTGCAGTGTTTGACATTTGTGCTCTTAAATTGTTTTTTTTTTTTTTTTTCTGAGATGGAGTCTTGCTCTGTCCCCAGGCTGGAGTGCAGAGGTGCGATCTCGGCTCACTGCAAGCTCCGCCTCCCGGGTTCACGCCATTCTCCTGCCTCAGCCTCCCCAGTAGCTGGGACTACAGGCACCCGCCACCACACCTGGCTAATTTTTTCTATTTTTTAGTAGAGATGGGGTTTCACCATGTTAGCCAGGATGGTCTCCATCTCCGGACCTCGTGATCCGCCCGCCTCGGCCTCCCAAAGTACTAGGGTTACAGGCGTGGGCCACCGTGCCCAGCCTAAATTGGTATTCTTAAAAATTTAAAACTTCTGGCAACATATAGATGTTCAACTGATTTTTATGTACTGACTTTGAAAACTTAGTTACCTTATTATTTCTAATAACTTACCGGTAAATTCTGTTGCATAATCTAAATACAAAGTGTTACCTGTGAATAAAGACTGTTGAATTTCTTCCTTTTCCAATCCTCATAATTTATTTTTCTTGTTTCTCTGTATTGACTAGGATCTCTACCACAATATTCAGTGGTGGTAAGAGACATCTTTATCTGTTTCTTAATCTGCAAGGAAAAACATTTAACATTTTACCATTAAATATGATTTATATTGTTCTTGCTTTTAAATATTTTCTTCCTTGCAAATTTTATTTCAGACATGTTGACTACAGCTCTGTGGGAAACCCTGAGGCACAGTACTCAACAAGACATACCTGAACCCCTGATCCACAGAAACTGTTAGAAAATGTTCTGCTGTAAGCTGCCAAATTTGGGGTTAATTTGTTACACAGCAATAAAGAGCTAATGCAGAAGGGATGTGTAATCCTCCATCGAAGTCCTATCTAAGTTGATTGTAGCTTAGCGTAGCAGAAAAGGCATGGGTTTTGAATCAGATATACCAAGAATTCCATTTCTACTATGTATTAATTTAACATTACTCAGCCTCAGTTTTCTTAACTATAAAATGGAGATAATCACACCTGCCTCTTAGAGGTGCTGTAATTATATGTGATAGAGTGAAATTTTCTATACGTCTGGTACCCAGTGAGTACGTAAATGCAGTTATGCAGTTCCTGTCCTTCCCTTCTTCTTTTTTTTTTTTTTTTTTTTTTTTTTGACAGAGTCTTGCTCTGTTGCCCAGGCTGGAGTGCAGTGACGTGATTCTTGGCTCACTGCAACCTCCGCCTCCTTGGTTCAAGTGATTCTCGTGCCTCGGCCTCCTGAGTAGCTGGGACTACAGGCACGTGCCACCACGCCCAGCTAATTTTTTGTATTTTTAGTAGAGAGGGGCTTTCACCATGTTGCCAGGATGGTCTTGAACTCCTGGGCTCAGGTAATCCACCTGCCTTGGCCTCCCAAAGTGTTGGGATTACAGGCGTGAGCCACCGCACCTGGCTCTTCCCTGCTCTTTAAAAAGCCATCTGTCCACCATCCCCTTTATGTATGCTGATCATATTTCCTAGGTAACCTCAGAATATATCATGGAGCAATGGGATAGAATGTTTGACATAGAATCTTGGAATTCAGGACATCTAGTCGTCAGACTTGTACTACCCCTTCTTTATTATTTTTTTGACAGGGATTAAAACTGCCTATGCTAAATATCTGGATTCTTTACCTCCTCCCTGGTTGGGCCACTGTTGTATGTTAAGAGTTAGACACTTCATGTCGTGAGCAGTTGAGCCAGCCATGTGGGATCAATTTCACTGTGAACCCACAGGACTCCAAACCATGCCTTTTTTGTTGTTGCTATTCAAAGTGAATGCTGAGATGTAAGGTCATCTCCCACTGCCTGTGTCTGCTATGGATGTGAGCTGCAATGTGACAGGAGGCCCCCAAGATTAGAAGGCAGCCTGGCAAGGCAGGACGGTCAGAAGATGGGGCTGAAACTCCAACTCACTTCTTGGCTATAGGTTCCTTGGCACGTCATTTTCTCTGTTTTTTTTTTTTTTTTTCCACTTGTAAAATGGGAGTAAGAATACCTCTCTGGCATCATTTTGCATTATACTGAGTATTTGGGAAAGCATTTGGAAATTAGTAGGTACTCAATACATTAAAAAAAAATCCTTTTCATGCCAAGGGATCGACTTAGGGGGCTGGCTGGACACTGATGTTGCTTGCCACTCAATGTGTGGTCCAGGCACTAGAGCACTGGTATTGCCTAGGAGTTTGTTAGAAATTGAGGATCCACTAGATCCCTGGTGATTCATAAAGTCTGAGAGGATCTGAAATTCTACAGTTCTAACAAGCTCCACAGGAGTGGCAAGAAGACCTGAGAAACTGAGAAGATGTGGGATATTGATGGCATACTAGCCAAGATGGGTTTGCAAAGGTTTGGGGTTTTCCCTGCATTTGCTGCATCCAGATAAGACTGACTTGCTCTTAGCATGAAATAAAACTCCTATGAGGACTTGCTCTAGCACAGACAAGCCAAACCACTAATCTGAATAAATAAGCATCAATTTTATTGAATCATGAATAATTTAAGACTGGTACAATCATCAGCTTTATTCTCTATGACATGGGGCATGATGTCCAGCAGATCATTGGCAAATCCAAAAACCTCATGACAAATGAAAATTAAATAGGTAGGAAGAGAGAGAGAGGAGGGGAGGAGGAAGGGGAGGGAGGATGGAAACATACCGTACACAAAATACTCAATTCCTAGTTTTCTCTTTAAAAATGGCTAGAAAAAATTCATCAAAATGCAGCACTTTAATCAATTATTTACAATTTCTATGTTACAATGAAAAAATGTACATCTTATAGAACATATTTCATAAAACTGCTCCACTGGAAACAACTAGATCAAAACAGCAAACCTTCCATTTAATATCCACAAAGTTGGATTATTTTTCCTTTTTGAAGTAGATTCGCCACAATCAAATTTGAATACAGAGAATTTTGAAGTTTAAGCATCAAACAACAAAGTAAAAGTCCCCAAGATACAACAAAGATCTAGGCAAGTCTTGTTCCTGTCCCACTCCCACCCCACCCCTAATGAAACTTAAAAGGTATTCCCATTTCAATTATGGCCTGTATCATTCTTGGCAGTTTGGGAAGAGAACTTTTGGCTTCCATTGGTAACTCAACATAAATGTTGCATAGAATTTATATATTTCAAAATTGGCCTAACTGTAGAAAAGGCAAAATGGAAGCATTTCCGATAGAGCCCTAAATGAGTACAAAGTCACTTTGTAAAAGGTGAGTGACACTAAAGTAAAAATATGACCAAAATAAGAAATGTGCATATTAGACAACCCTGCTTCCCGAAACTTTAGGAAGGACACGGAGTTGTGAGTCACACAAGGGCTATGCTACTTGAAGTCAATGTTCACCAATCAGGCAGCACTAGGTACAGAAGTCTTGGTTCTGAACCTGGACCCAGGAGGGAAGTCTGTGGGAAAGGGGAGAAGAGAATGACAAGAGAGGATGTCATATTAAAAAAAGGTTTCAAACAATATTGGCAGGTGTCTACTCACAAGGTGATTGGAAAACTGCCCACGAGGAGAAGTCAACTTTACCTCCTCCCAAATTCACAGTACGCGAGTGTAGTAGGGTCATTGCTGGGAGATAAATTGTCTGAGGAGGGCCACCCTTCAGGTTTACCAGAAATCTTAGGGTTTGGCCCCCCTGGTCACAGGCTAAATATATGGTTTAAAAGTTTTATTAAAAAGAAAAACAGAACAAGACACACTCACACCCAGATGACTAATGAAGGCTAAGCAGAATAGTCTGAGTTTGCTGAGACTAAAGCAGGGATAGTGTTGAAAAGTTTTCCTTTCACTAGTGGGACACATTCCCCTTTTCTTTTCAAAGAGGAAGAACATGGTGTCATCCAATGTGAAGTGAGCAGTTTCGGGTCAAACTCTTATGGTAAGAAACTAAAAAAAGATGCCAAGAGACAAACCTTCAGAAATAGAAGAAATGCAAAAGATGGAATAAAAACCCTGATCATTAAAACAGAGACACCTTCACTGGTGTCCAATAAGGATTCTCTTTACAAAACAGAAACAAACAACTCAAAAATTTACCATACTTTGTAATGAAAATACCAGTATGTTGAAGACACAGCAGACTGGGTTTCTATTAGAACAAGTATCAGCAAGGTCATGTAGACTTGTAGAAACTTTTGCCTTCTCCTGCACCAGACAGATCATTGTCCAGTTGGGTTGTCAGCTGGAGACCGAAAAGAACCTAAAAAATGGATCTTTTTTTTTTTCTTTTTCCCATGGTCACGCATCCACACAAATGAGTCTTTTGGATGAGAAAAGTCACAGCAACTTGAGTTCTCCTAATGAACAGATGACTTTTTAGCCCTGTTTGTTTCAATGGGGAAAACAATGACAAAAAAAACAAACCCCAGGCAGGCACGACACTTATGTAAAATGAACACAGTTAGTACAAAACCAGTAAGGCATCACTTTGGGAAGGTCAGCACCGAAGAGGTCAGGCAAGGCTCGTCCAGACGGGGCTTCTGGGAGGGAGTGACCCTCACCCTTATTGAGCTGCGTCATGTTGGTTCTGAGGAAAGTGCAAGTCTTTTGCAGGGTGACCGCATCACCCCACCGGAAGCTGGGGCGGGGACGCTGGAGGTGTTGGTGTGTGTTCTAAACCCTCAAGGACGAGAAGGGAAGGCAAGGTCCATGGCTCACCCACATGTCGAGGACCAGGTCCTCATCCATTTTAAAGGACACAGATACCCCCAGCCCTAGCAGGAGGAGGCGAGTGTGTAGGACTGTGAGGATGGACAACTAAAAACCAAAACTGAGCAGGACCAAACCAAAACTCAACTCCTGCGGTTCTTACTTTCACCAAAGGATTGATTCTGACCAAGAGGGGAAGGGGGAAAAAAAAATCTTCAAAAATCAATGCATCAGAAAGGAAGAAACTCAACCTCATTTTCAAAAGGTAACCTGTTCTCCAAAGTAGAACAAGTCTCACTATACACAGTGTTTGCAGAAAAAAAAAAAAAAAAACCTGATTCATTCATATATCAGAAGGAAAGAGACACATGCTGTTCTGCACTGACAGCCACATCCACTCGCTCACACTCTCACTCCGTCACTCACTCTCACGGATATTAATCAGAGGCTGATGGACCTGAATGGGGTGGTTTGATTGGAACAGGCAAAATACCTCTCGGGTAAGGAAAGCACCATTTAAAAAACATGAAAGCACGGTTTATTTGCTCCTAAGGTTTCCCTGTGTCGTAGCTCTGTAGTGCGTTGAACGTGACCAAAGCAAGCACCCTGGTTAGCACCAGTTCTCCCTGTGGCCGGCTGTGTGGGAGGGTGGGTGGCACGGCTCTGAGACCCAGTCTGGAGGGTCTGTGCTGAGGGGAAGCCGTGCTTCTCTGTGTTTCCGACTTTGCTCCAGTCTCTTCTGTCTCTGGGAAGCTCATGGCAGGATGCTGTTTGGTTTCAGAGCTTCATGTGGGTTCTCTTTTTTTTTTTCTCTCTGTCTCTCTTTTCATTTCAACGGCGATGATCCTTTCCCGAGAAGTATCTTCAGTGTCTTAGGGAGGTCACAGCAACAAGGCAAAACAATAATTAAAGTACAACAGAAGGTAGTGCAGTTCTCGCTGTGGAAGGAAGCGGTCCGCAGGCAGCTGGCCCGGGATGCCTGCACCCAGGTCGAGGCTGAAGGACGGGGGGTCTCGGTGTTCCCGCAGCTCTAAGGCTGTGGCTGGGGGCTGGCTCAGGAAGTCATCTTCAGGGTGATGTGGGGGATGCAGGTGGAATGCGGTGAGGAGAAGAGGAGGGCGCTGGGCTCCGGGCCCCTGTCACAGAGTGGACTCCAAAGAGGAGTCCAAGATGTCATCGTGATGGCTGTTGCTGTTGGAGTCGCTGTCATAGCTCTGGGGGCTGGAGTAGTTGGCTGCCTCCTGCAGCCTCATCAGCATGTTCATCTAGGGGAAGAGTGGAGAAGCATGAGCTGCTTTCTGTCTAGTTGGCCGCCCACCCTGGACTCCTAAAAGGTCATGCCACCTCCTCCAGACTCACCTGGGATAACAGCCCACAGTGGAGGCAGTGGACAAGAACATGGACTTTGGGCCAGGCTTCTAGGGTTCAAATCCCAGCTTCACCAATTACTAGCTGCATGACTTTGAACACATTACTTAACCTCTTTATACTTGTTTCTTTACTGGTCAAATGTGAATAATAATAGTACCTGCCCTATAATGTTATGGGTGGATTGAGTTAATATACGTAGAGCACTGAAAACAAAATGATGATCTCTATACATAGCTTATTTATTTTTTATTTAGGAGGGGCACACCTTTCAGGCCTAGCCCTCGGCCTGGATGAAGGTGTGGCTGAGCATCCCTGTTCCTGGAACTTGGCATCAGCATCACTGACATCGGAAGCACATGGACCCCCTCCCACTTCAACAAGCATCAAACCCATCTCTTCTCCTTGCTCTGGCCAGGTCAGACTGGAGCCAACTGTGCTGCAGCTCCTGTGGAAGCCTTGGCAGGGAGGTGAGGGGGAGCACCAGTTACAAGCAAAGGCTCCGAGTGCAAAGAGCCTTCGCTTATGATTCAGGAATCTCTGGGCAAGTTACCTAAGGTATCTGAGCCAGCAGTTCGTCATCTGTGGAATGGGGAGAATGGCAACACTTCTCATAGGGTTGAAGTAGGGAATAAAATGATATAATGTGTATTAAACCCTTAGAAAAGGGGCTGGCCTGGCATATAGTAAGCGCTTAATAAATGTCATCTGTTGTCATCATCATCTAACTTAAAAGAGTTTAGCGACAGTGTTCTTGAATCTGCCCTTGTTTACATACTACGGGTCACTTGTTTGGGAGTGGGAGAGGGAATAAAAACTACTTTTATTTATAACTGTAAATTGTGTGTATGTATTTTATATTTCATATAGGAAGTAAGTCAGGAATATGGGGCCTCTCTGAGCTAGGGCCAAGATGTGGTGCAGCTGGGCATACAATCCAGCTGCCCCTCAGGATGCTTTGCAGAGTCTACCCAGATGCGCCAGGCTGCAGAAGCACCATCATCTGGTGTCCATCTGCACAGCCATAACTAGGGAAGAGGCAGAGCTGAAGTATAATGGACAATCCTTGGCAACTGGGATTACTTATTCACTCATTAAACACTCCCAGTGTGTCCACAGTATATGGTTCTGGAACAAAAGCAAGTAAATTCTGTTTTCATGGAAGTCTCAGTCTCATGAGTGAGAAGGATTAATACAGAAGAGAGCTATGATAATAGAGACATATGGCCCTGGGCAGAAAGAGCAGAACTGAGGAGAAATACCAAATATCTAACTCGGTAATGGAAGTGGCTGGACTGGCACAGCTCACTTCTGGGGGCCTGGGGTTGGAAGGAGAAATCTGTTTCTGCATTTCCAAGAATCCTGGGTCTTACCTACACACCTTCTGTGTCCAACCAGTGATACAAATGTTACTGGCTCAGAAAAGATTGTTTAGGGATGGGCTGGCCATTCTTTCCTCTAAATATACTAAATTCTATTTTCTATGTAAGTTAAGACCTCATGAGTTTGCCCCTGCAAAAAATACCTCCGTGACTTTGGCTTTCAGCAATGGTTAACGTTGCAAACGGCTGTTTAAAGTATGCTTCTTTCCTTTGTAAGACTACTGTTATAAATATTGCAAACTAGGTTGTACATGGCAACACAAATAATAAATCCTTAAAAAATACAGTTCCCACTGCAATCTTCAACAGAACCACAGCTACATCCCACCAAACAGTAGGATGGCAGACAACCTGAATCGCCTATTAATATTATTATTATTTTTTTAATCTAGGGACTTAATTAGCTGCTAGGAATAGAACAGTAAATCAGTTGTCTTTTAATCCTGCTACATCTCTTATAATATTTTCTTTCATTAGGTAATGTAAATAATATTCTCTGTTATGTTTTCTTTTTGCTATGCCTGCCAAGAAAGCTTGGGGCTAAATTTAAGGCATGATAATAGTCCTTTAACCATGGGAGGTTTTGGTATATTTGCTTCCTTTTTATTTTACTGGGCTTTTGATTTGTTAGGTCTAATTTAGCAGTGTGACTCTGTGTGGGTCTTATATTGGTAGAGTACTACAATCGATTAGAAATACTACTGTTATTGGCCCGGGTGTTTCTTTTGTTTGTTTGAGACAAGGTTTGGTTCTATCAACCAGGCTGGAGTGCAGTGGCACAATCTTGGCTCACTGCAAACTCTGCCTCCCAGGCTCAAGCCCTCCTCCCACCTCAGCCTCCTGAGTAGCTGGGACTATAGGCATGTGCCACCATGCCCAGTTAATTTTTGTATTTTTTGTAGAGAAGAGGTTTTGTTACGTTGCCCAGGCTGTAACTGCCCACCAAAAGTGCTGGGACTACAGGCATGAGCCACCACACCCAGCCCGGGTGCTTTTTTTTTTTTTTTTTTTTTTTTGAGACGGAGTCTTGCTCTGTTGCCCAGGCTGGAGTGCAGTGGCGCGATCTCGTCTCACTGCAAGCTCCACCTCCCGGGTTCACGCCATTCTCCTGCCTCAGCCTCCCGAGTAGCTGGGACTACAGGTGCCTGCCACCACGCCCAGCTAAATTTTTATATTTTTAGTAGAGACGGTGTTTCACCATGTTAGCCAGGATGGTCTCGATCTCCTGACCTCGATCCACCCGCCTTGGCCTCTCAAAGTGCTGGGATTACAGGTGTGAGCCACCCCAGCCTGGGTGCTTCTTAAAGGGCCTTTATTGTTTTAGCAACAGCCGAATAAATAAGAAGCTTAAACAGTGTGAAAGACTTAGCTCATCTCAATGGCCATGGGACTCATATTCAGGCCTCCTCCCCTCTGTGAGTCCCTCCTGCCCTCAGACCTCTCCCTGTTTACCCTATCATTTGCCTTGGGCTTCTGGTCCTTAGCAATCTCTTCCTCTGCTCTGCTATCGGTAGGAGAGATCAAAGTAATAGGATAGTAGGTAATAGAGGTGGCATCCCAAATCAGAGGGCAAAGTGTTGTATAGAGACAGTAGGTATAAGAACATTTAAGGGGAAAAATCAATTCTTAATCTGTTATCTAATACCAGAAAAAAATTTCAGAGGAGAAGTTTTTAGTGAAAAACTAAAACCATGGAAGAAAATATTGGCAAAAATGGCCCAGTCATTTGGGTCCAGCCTTCCAAAGCAAGGCTGGATTTAGTCACCTTTGTATTTCCAGAGGCTCTGCATCATACCCAACACACAGTAAGTGCTAAAGGAATGCTGAGCTGCTCTGGTGGCTGAGGACTCACCAGCGGGTCACCTTCAGCATCACTGGGGGGCATCTGCTTGCTTGTCGATCCCTCCCGAGGCATGGAGTAGCCGTCGAAGCCGACATCCTCAGGCCGTAACTGCAGCAGGGGAGGCCACTCGTGCTGTTGTGGGCTGGCTGCCCATGGATATGTGTCCATCACCCACTTGGCAGGATCCTCCCAGGGGGCGCGCCTTCCATAGAGCTGAAAACAGGCAAAGAAGGAACAGTCTGGAAGTGGCCCAGATCTCTCTCGTAGCCCCAGTTTTGCAGCTTTCTGAAAAACTCCCCAAATCCAGCATCATGCCTTCCCTGATGGAGTAATTCCACTTCTATTCCATGCTCAGGAAGTCATCCAAGATGCAGACAGTTCGAGGTGCTAAGGCTGAAGGCAGCATGACCCAGTGGTCTAGAATACAGGCTTTGGAGTCAGGCTGATCTAGGTTCATGTCTCAGCTCTGCCACTGACTCACCGTGTGACCCTAAACTCTGAGCCTTGATAATCCAATTTGAAAAACTGGCTTTTGGGGAAAAACAATGACCTGATTTGAAGCATTTGCCAACATCCATGGTACAATCCCACCATGACTGACTTCAAACCACTGACATGATGTCACTGGATGTGGAGTTGGAAAAAGGTGCTATCAGCTTTCAAGAGCCAGCTCTAGTACTCCATTTGGTGCATCTACCCAAAGAATACTGCCTACATACCTTGGGTTCTGGGCACCAACACTGCAGGCAGAGGTCACAATGGCCCTGGCTTAATATTTACTTTGATTTTGTATTGAGACAAGGTTTTGCAATGTTGCTCAGGCTGGAGTATAGTGGCATGATCATGCTCCCTGTGGCCTCAATCTCCCGGGCTCAAGTGATGCTCCTGCCTCAGCCTCCCAAGTAGCTGAGACTACTTGTGTGCCACCATGTCTGGCTAATTTTTAAAACATTTTTTTTTAAGAGATGGGATCTCTCTATATTGCCCAGGCTGGTCTTGAACTTCTGGGCTCAAACAATCCTCGTGCCTTGGTCTCCCAAAGGTCTGGGATTATAGGTGTGAGCCACTGTGCTGGGCTGGTCCTGGCTCAATAAAACCCCGTTTCTTGAAATGGGTCTGACTCTTACAGCCCCTATATAGAAGTGCTACTCCTTTTCAAAACAGCAAATTGCTAACAGAGGTTGCACATAGGCAGTGAAATTATGAGGGCTTCTCTCTTGTCATGTATTTCTCAAAATTCCATAATAGCTAATTGGCTCTTAAAACAGTAAACTATATTATCACTTAATTTTATGGTAAGATCAACACCATGCCTCCAAGCTCCTTTTCTTAAGCCTCAATTATCTAATGGTAAAATGATTTTAGTGACCATTACTAGCAATTTCAAGAAATACATACATTCTTTGAAGAACAGAAACCTAGACTGGCCCAACACGAGGCTCTGTATATTACACAGCTAGGTATAGGCTTTATATTTTTCTCCTTTAACACCACCACATCTTCCAGCTGACTTTGTGCCAGGTACCGTGAGAAATGCTTTACGAATACCTTGCTTAACCACCGTGCAACTCCAAGAGGAAGTACTAATATCCGTGATTTACAGATGAGGAAATAGGCCCAGGGAGGAGAGAAGCCAGAATTGGAAACTAAGTATGTTCAATTCCACGGCCCACTAGTTTGGCCCACTTGGTCCATGTGGCAGGACATGCTCACAGCCAGGGCAGTGTCACCTGTAGTTCTGCAGAGAGGACTCTGCAGGGGGCCTTAGAGCACAGAGACTAAAGAGTCCTGTGGGCCACCACGGCTGCAGTGTGTCTCTAGGGTGGCCACGGCTGTCTGTCTGTCTGTCTGCTCTCCCTGCCCTCCCGCGAATCCTGCCGTGGAGAGGGTACAGAGAGCAAGGTGCTGACAACAGTGTGAAGCTGAGCTCTGAACCAACAAAACCACGTCTTTCCAAGGGGAAGGAGCTGGGGCCACCTAGCCCCACCCCCTCATTTACCAGATGGGCCAATCAAGGCCTGAAGAGCAGAGCCCGCTGAGAAAGGCTGTCAGGCAGAGCCCGATTTGAACCTAGAACCTCAGCTTCCTTTGCCAGGCCTTTTTCCTCTCCACCCCTCCTGACTGACACCACCTTGAACAACTCTGAGTCATGTGAGCCACGTGACTCAGCCAGACCCAGAGCAGGGAGACGCGGAGCAGGCTGTTGGCCAGATATCAGTGTGACAGCCTGCTGGGCTCATTGTCCCTGCCAGCAGTGCCCATACTCCCATGACTGTCTGTGCCATCTGGGACCTCTAGCTATGATTTCTGTCAGGGAAGCTGCCCACCCTGCCCCTTCTCAGATGGGCCCATCTCTCTGTATTCGTGGCTATCACCCCCTCTGCTTAAGTCATGCAGCCTCCTATGACTCATTGCCTTCCCAGACACCAGCACTCCTCCCGTCCTGCGCTCTGGCCCAGTCTGTTGCTAAGTCTTCCTTAACCTGGGGCAGGAGTGAGTCTCAGGCCTAGGAGCTCAGTCTGGCATTTGAAAAGCAATTATTGTGTGAGCAGGAAGGAATCGTGTGAGGGGCATGAGTTTGTGTGTATGTGGGCATGTGTCTCAGGGCAGAAGAGAATGCAAAAGTGGGATATTTGGAGCAGAAGAAGGCTGCTCCACATTAGAACCATTTGTGCAATTTTGAGAAGTTTCTCCCTCTGAGGTCTTTCCCTGTGGAAACTGGGCTGCATTTCCCAAGCCAGACCTCACATGAGGCTGAACCAAACCCTCACAGCTACTGCTTCTGTGACAGCTACTGCTTCTGTCTCCACTCTACAGCCTGGATGAGGACATGCTCAGGGCTGCAGAATCACAGAGGCTAGAACTCCTGGAGCTGAACATGTCCTCAGAGATTATCTGGCACCATGGTTTTCAAACATTTGCTCTTCATCTCTGGTCCTCAACTGAGTAGACTGGGGAACTTTTGGGCTTCATAGAAACCAGCCTGAAAAAACACTCTTCTAGTCCAAACTTGTCAATTTATAGATGGAGAACCCAAGGCCAAGAGACGGGAGACCTGTCTGGGGTCTCAGAGCAGGCTGGATAATCCGATAAATGGCCCCACACTGACTCTGCACTGTTCCTGTTCCCTGCAGGCACCAAGCCTGCCCTGGGCACAGAGAAAGGCCTTTTGAGTTACCCTGCAGACTTTAGACACTTTGGCAAGTGTTTCCAATGACAGCTCCAAAGGGAAGCAGGGCTCAGGACTGAGTCATAAGACAAATGCACATTAGGTACATGTTAACATCATCTGCAAGAACAGAAAATATTTTTACAAGCCTCCTCACTTGTCACTGGACATGTTCAAGTCTGGGTGATGAATGGCTGGGTAAGTACTGTGGTAAGCAAAGGAAACATCATAAAGCTCCTCAGCTCCACTGCAGGCCCCGAGGGCAGCAGCAGAGACATCTGGACAGACAGACACAGAGGGGAGGACATTCACTTTCCCTAAGGCAGGAGAAGGAACCTGGCATCCCCACTGGGTCAGGAAAAATGGGAGCAGGACAACAGGGAGCTGAGACATTGAAAACTAAAACCTGGGCCACTGTGAGCCTTCTGACTGTGGGATGCAGGGGGCTCCTGGGAGGGTGTGCACATCACAGAAGGATGCATCGGCTGCACATTCAGGAAGGTCCTCCAAGCAGTTCCACAAGTGCATCTGCACTTACACGCCCTTGCAGTGCTACCTTATGCTCACTAGAGGGCGATATCATGTTTCCTCCTGGCACGGGTGTACCTGTGGGAGGGGCTACCTGGAAGCCATCCTCATCCCCTGATGACAGCAGGTCTCCTTACGTTCCCACCAAATCCATACTACCATGGGCAGCGCTCCATCCCAGCTCCTGGTGCACGGTAGCCCTGTCAGAACCCATTCTAGGGACTCCACCTGTTCTCAGCCTAGAACCTCACTCTGAACTGCAATGTGCTCACTTCATGGCCACTTACCCGGGTTAGGTGAGGGGCAGGTGACCCTAGAGTAGGTGTGGACTCAAAGTAACACAAAGGAGAGTAGGGAATTTTAATTTTTTAAAAATAAAGGAATCCTTTTGTCAAATGAAATCATAGGGAGAACTCCACTCTATAAAATTCAGTATTTGGTTCCCCAAGCCACCTGTGGCTTCTCAGTGGAGTGATGGGTGTCCTCAGGATAGCCTGAAAATAACAGAAGTAGCCAAGGGGCCAGCTAGTCCTGGGCACCAACACGCACTCCACCATACCCTGCTGAGTGGACATGGTACGGGGCAAGAACGTCCGTGAGCCTCAGTTTCCTCATCTGTTAAGAGACTCACTGGGCTGTCAGAACTAAATGAGATCATGCACGTCGGGCCCCTAATGGTGCCTGTCAAGTAGCAGGCCCTCAAAAAACATCACCAAATGTTCCTTCAAAACCAGAGGCATGAAGAACACAGCAAGCTTCCGCAGGAATCCGCAGTCTATACAGTCTCCTGGGCTGATCAGGATGGCGAGGTCACAAGTTTGGGGCATAGTGACTCACTTTTGAGCCACTTAGTGGGATGCAAACTCTGGCCGCCTCCCTTTGCAGCTCCACACTCTTGAAAGACTAACCTTCAAATGACCTCTAAGCACAAAGCAGTGATGACTTTTCCTGCCTCACACTGAACTAGTGAGTCTTGAGATGGGAGCATGTCTCTGCTCCCTGCCCCAGATGGCTGGGGCCTCACTTTCCCATGGTGGGAAGGACGCCCAATGATCCTCTATGATCAGCTCCATCAGCAACCTCTCCTAGGTGGGAAGGGGAGTTCCTTTCCAGCCATGCCCAGAAAGCCTTCCTTTAGGTTCAGGTCCAAAGGAGCAGGGCCTTGGCACCGCCAACCACTGTTAACCAGTGAGGGGCCTGCTCAAGTGCAGCGCAAGGCTGGAGCACAGACAGGCTCCCTGCTTCCTGGTTAATGCCTTCCAGGGCAGGGGAGGCCTTTATTCAGCAGAGCCCGTGAGTTCTTCCCAGTGACTCTGAGGTTCACTCCCCTTCCTACACCAGAAGACCACATTTAGAGCAAAGATGAAGCAAATGGGAGAAGGTGAGGTGGAATCAGGGGCAAACAGTCCACCTCATCTGCCTGCAATTCTCTTTACTTTTCTTAAGCAGCTTGGGTTTCCCAGAGGTGCTGGGCATATCACACTCCCTGGAAGCCATCAATGAGAACAGAGGAGAGAAGCTTCTGAAATGAGACAGACTGCAAGAATCCAGCAGGTAGGAGATGCTTCCACTGGTCCCAAAATAGGAATGACTGAGTGGTTGTTTGGGTCTGTGGTCTTAACAAAACCATTTGATTAAGGACTAAATTATGGTCAATTTATCCACGCCAGTGACTTTACCTACCTAGGGAGGTTCTACTGCAAAGATCTAAAATCATTCATACCTTCTTGTATGAAAGCAACAGTTGATAGAGCTCTGCTAACCAATGATTTTAGGCTGGCCAAAAGTTGCCTAATTTCTTGCTTTTTTCCTGCTTTCACAATACACTTTATTAAATATGCTGACTTGAATTTGCAATGCGTATGCTCCAGTTTAGTGAAATATATCACAAGAGGCAAAATACTTTCCTTTTCAAGCTCCCTTTGTCCTGAATGCCTCTGAAGACCATCATTGCTGCTATAAATCATAGATAGAAAATAGTTGAATACTCCTCAGTTCAGCCCTACCAGAAATGACAAACACTGACTGCAGCCATTAACTTGCATTTGTCACACACGTGCCTGTGGGTGCACACCAGTCCCTGCACCCTCCACAGGCCTACGATAGCATCTTGTGTCTCCCACTGTCCAGTACCAAGGAAACAAAAAAACTCTTGGAAACCTGGCTACCAAACTGGTTTCTGGATTATTCAGCCACATGTGATGTCTGCTGATTACTAACTGTGAGTGTTAAAAGCCTACAGAACTTCTTAGGCTGCCTCCAGGCTCAACAATAAAACTATCCCAAGTTCCAAATTAATGGTAAGCTTCCAGTTAAACCCTGGGTCAAGTGAGAAGTAAAGAATTTTTGCTTTCCGGGCTGGGCACAGTGGCTCATGCCTGTAATCCCAGTACTTTGGGAGGCCAAGGTGGGTGAATTGCTTGAGGCCAGAAGTTCAAGACCAGCCTGGCCAACATGGTGAAACACCGTATCTACTAAAATCCAAAAAAAAAAAAAAAAAAGCCAGGTGTGGTAGCACACGCCTGTAATCCCAGCTACTTGGGAGGCTGAGGCACGAGAACTGCTTGAACCCAGGAGGTGGAGGTTGCAGTGAGCTGAGATTGTGCCACTGTACTCCAGTCTGGGTGACAGAACAAGACTCTGTCTAAAAAAAAATAAAAAGAATTTGTGCTTTCCAACTGCTGTCAGGCAGGAGGAACTGGCAGCCTTATGGGCCCCGAAGTTCCTAAGAGGGTAGGGGTGCTGATGTCAGGGAAAGAATGCCACCAGCCTCAGGGCTAAGAACCTGGAATTTGACCCAGAAGGCATGGATTCAAATCCCAGACCTTTCAAGCTTCCCTTTTATAACCTTAAGCACATCATTTATTCTCTTTGAGCCTCATTTTTTCTCTTAAAAATGGAGTAAAAAACCAAATTTCTGTCCAAGTTCCAGGACTAATCCAAGGCTTAACCCAAAAGGCAGATAGGAGAATATTTTGCAAACTGTGAAGTACTACACATGTGTATGGTTCTACTTCTCAGGCACTCACGATGCTGAGCACTTCCATTTCATCCTTGCAACAAACTCTTTGTGGCAGAATATCAATGAGGGCTCTGAGGCACAGAAAGGCTAACCAGCTGGCCTGGGGTCACAATGCTAATGGGTGGAAGAGCCAGGACTTGCAGCCAGGTGTGTCCCTACACTGGACTACACTGATGAACTCCCAGGTGAGGGGTTGTCACCCCATGTCAGTCAGATTCCTGGAGGAGGAGATAAAGACAACTCATCTGGTCACCAGAACAGTCCCCCTCAGCTTCAAGGAAGCCAGCAGGGGTGTCTTCTCACCTGGAGTCCTTCTCTGACGGCTTCCAGGAGATAGGGGATAATGGAATAGTTCCACAAGTCGGTGAACCACACTCTCGAGCCGTCCACATCGATGGGGCATGACAGGAAGAGCCGGGGGCCTGGAGACCACAGTGAAAATACATTAGCACTCAAATGGGCATGGGTGATGGGGCATCAGGTGAAGCCATGGTCCGAGCACCCTTCACAGGAGGGACCCTAGACGTTCTGAGGGATGGCAGGGCTGAGGCCTGAACGCAGGTATACTAGCCCTGGATGGTGGCCACAGAGAAGGACACTCTGATCCCTGATTCCACCTGGGGGTCTCCCTCCTCCAGGAAAGGCTTTATGGGGAAGATGCTCACTGTGGCATCACTAATCTTGATTTTTAAAAATGGAAGCCCATGCGCAGTGGCTCACGCCTATAATCCCAGCACTTTGGGAGGCTGAGGCGGGTGGATCACAAGGTCAGGAGATCGAGACCATCCTGGCTAACACGGTGAAACACCGTATCTACTAAAAATACAAAAAAAAAAAAAAACTAGCCAGGCGTGGTGGTGGGTGCCTGTAGTCCCAGCTACTCGGGAGGCTGAGGCAGGAGAATGGCGTGAACCTGGGAGGCAGAGCTTGCAGTGAGCCGAGATTGCGCCACTGCACTCCAGCCTGGGCAACAGAGCGAGACTCCGTCCTAAAAAAAAAAAAAAAAAAAAAAAAAAAAAAAAAAAAAATGGAAGCCCATGACTGCAAGTCCAAAAGAACAGAAACAGTTAAGCAAATGAGGGTACATCTACATTTGATCATTTTGTAGCCTTTAAAAATAATTTTTAAAACTGAGTAATTGGCTGGGCATGGTGGCTCACACCTGTAATCCCAGCACTTTGGGAGGCCGAGGCCGGTGGAACACCTGAGGTCAGGAGTTCGAGATCAGCCTAGCCAACATGAAGAAACCCCTTCTCTACTAAAAAATACAAAAAAATTAGCTGGGTGTGGTGGTGGGCACCTGTAATCCCAGCTACTTGGGAGGCCAAGGCAGGAGAATCACTTGAACCTGGGAGGCAGAGGTTGCAGTGAGCCAAGATCACACCATTGCACTCCAGCCTGGGCAACAAGAGCAAAACTCTGTCTCAAAAAACAAAAACAAAAACAAAAACAAAAACAACAACTGAGTAGCAACAAAGAATGCTCATGAGATAGTGCTAAATGAAAAAGGATTTTTTTTTTTTTTTTTTTTGGAGTCTCACTCTGTTCCCCAGGCTGGAGTGCAATGGCGCAATCTCGGCTCACAGCAGCCTCCGCCTCCTGGGTTCAAGCGATTCTCCTGCCTCAGCCTCCTGAGTAGCTGGGATTACAGGTGCATGCCACCACACCCAGCTAATTTTTTGTATTTTTAGTAGAGACAGGGTTTCACCATGTTGGCCAGGCTGGTTTCGAACTCTTAACTTGAGGTGATCCATATGCCTTGGCCTCCCAAAGTGCTGAGATTACAGGCATGAGCCACCATGCCCGGCCAAAAGGAACATGTTATATGTATGCTATGATTGCCACTTCATAAAGCATATATATATATATATATATATATATATATATATATATATATATATACACACACATATATATATATATATATATACACACACACACATATGAACAAGGACAGAAAAACTAAGCTCAAATTAAAATTATGTCAAGATGGTGGGATGGTTAGTGATCTTTTTTCTCTGTTCTAAATGTCCAGCTTTCAGAAATGCTGATAAAATTTTATTTTTCAAGCAAAGCCAATCCCAGAGGGTAGCTTCAGCTTGGGGGAACCTTGAGGTGGGAGCTCTTTAGTGAGCCAGCAGTTTCTACATTGGGCCAGGCTGGACACATCTCTCTTCTGCAGACCACTAGCAATTTGGGGTCTACCTGGTCTGTGACTGTCCCTCTGCCCCACTTTCTATCTTTATGGACAGTCCAGCTTCTGCTGACTGTGCCTGCAAAGTGCTGTCCTGGCCAGGGCCCAGAGGATGGGCACCTGAGGATGCCAGCCCGCCCCCCTGACCCCAGTCTCCCACCCACCGATGGTGACGTCCGAGGAACTGTGAGCCTCCAGGAAGCGGTTGAGGTGATGCCAGACCTTGGGAATCCAGTCAATGATTTTTACCAGCTCCATATTGCGCACCCGCCCACTGATCTCTGTTTCCATGAGCTTCCTCCTCAGGAATCGGCCAAGGAAACCCTTCACAGGCTCCGTGTGGTTGGCACAAAGCACCCATCTGGAGGAAGTCAGAAACACTTTTCAAGCTGATGATGGTGATCCAAATGATGGCTGACCTCAGGAACCAAAGCACGTTAGAAACAGAAGGTGTATATGCTAATGCAACAAATTGGATTAGCTATGCACCGAACACTCTTCTAAACATTGTAACTATGTATTAACTCACAGTTCCTGATACCAACCCTCTAACATAGATATTATCTCCACCTCCGTTTTACGGACAGAAATGCTGAGGAACAGACAGGTCATGTAACTTTTCCAGGATCAAACAGCTAGTTAATTGAAGAGCTAAGATGAGAACCAAGAAGCCTGGCTCCAGAGGCTAGGCTCTAACCACTGAGACAAACTGCCTCTTGTGCTTGATGTCAGGCCCGGTGCTAGGCTATGGAACTATCACTATGACTAAGACACCGTCCTGGTTCCCAGGAGCTCACAGTCTGGTGGAGGAGGCAGACAGGCAAAGAAAGAAATGAAATATGATGAAGCCTAAGGGAATCAGGGAAGGCTCCTTAGAGGAGGGGATGTCTGGGCTGAGACTGGACAGATAATGGGCAGCAACATAAGGAAAGGCAGGAGCAGTTGTTGGGGTCAGGAGTGGGGTGATGCTGCAGCCTTTGCAAAGGCATGGGAAATAGCATGGATGTTTGGGGAAACTACCAGAGGTTTAGTGTAGCTGAAGTTCATACTTGACCTGCCAACCAACGGAGTCTGGATTTCATCCTGCAGGCCATAGGGAGCTGGAGCTACTGAAGGACTTTAAGCACGAGAGTTCTATGGTCAGATGTGTACTCTAGAATGCTCACTCTGGTCTGGCTGCCACAGTGCAGAGGATTGGCTACAGAGTGCAGGGGGAAAGCTGCAAGCAGACGTACCAGCTAGGTGATGGCAATGGTGTGCTGGGTGATGATGGGGCAGTGATAGGGGGAAAGAGGAGGACGATGGACTTGAGGGATAATTAGGGGAAAGCATGAACAAGACCAGGACAGCCTAAATGCAGAGGTGAGCCATGCTCTCAGTGTGCTGGAGGAGTCAACATTTCTCTGGTAATTACATACAGACCCACTTTCAATAGATCTCCCTCAGAGATGCCCATAGAATGGCCAGTGGAAATGAGCCGGGGGTCCTAGCCCAGGAGACACCTTCACATCCACCTCTAAGGGCCCAGGCAGGAGAGGTGGAGTCAACTGAGATTCAATATGGGGCAAGGGGTGTTTGGTGATGTCAATCAGGCAGCAATGCAATCTAGCACAACCGAGGTGAACAGCCCCTCCCACATCCTGGCCATGAGAGAGCACCAGCGTGGTGCTATGGCAGCGGGGCAGGGAAGACAAGCTGGTAGGGAGTCACAGCAGCTGGGACTCGAGGGCCCACAGACCCAGCTAGGTGGGGACATTTTAGGTAAAAGCTGTCATTGCTCATGTTCACTTGGGACAGAGAGACGCCACTGGAAACAAGCAGGGCAGCAGGGTCACCTGCAGTCCCTTCCAGAGCTGCCCCCTTGACCCTATGACAGCAAGACTCAGAGGCAGAGACTTGATTGCAAGTTCCACTCTGCCACTGACCAGTGTGTGACCTCACCCAAGTCACTTAAGTCTCTGGGCCTTAGTTTCCCCATTGGTAAACTGAGAGTGGTGAATGTAATTACTTGAGGCTGAAGTTAAAATTAAATGGATTAAGCTGAGAAAAATGCTTAACAATACCTAGCATACAACACATACTCAACACAGGCATCTCTACCCGCCCCTTCTTGCTTTTCTTCTTTGTGATTCCATTGTTTAACTGGACAAGGGAAGGGAAAACTGACCTGAAGTTATGGTGAAGCTGCAGGTTGGGAGTCGAAGAGGTAGCCTGGTTCATTGTGCCAATTATGTAAGGGCTGCGGATAAAATAAAGGAAAAGAAAGCTGTGATTCCAAGCCAAGCTAGAGAACAAGGTGGTCACAGAGGCCCATGGCCCTGTGCTTCCAGGCCAGTGGACAGCTGGCTGCCTCCCACTCCCAACCCTATGCGTGTGCACAGCTTCACTCCCACAACGGCCCCGGGCCACCTGTGTGCACAGTGCCCCATCAGCTGGCAGCACTCTCTCCCGGGGGGCTATGAGGTCCAGAACCAGCCTTTACCATTTGTGGTACTTGCAGTTGAGCAGCCCATTGAAGATCTCTCCCAGAGAGCTCACGTGGTGTAGGTTGTCCAGGATGATGACGAGGGGCATGTCCACAGCATTGTTCTCACTGTTGCACTGGTCAGCAAGGTTGGACAGGTACTGGCGCAATTCCTATGGTGGCCAGGAAGGCCGAAGGAGAACAAGTGGGTGAATGCACTCAGTGAAGACACACCGCTCAGGGCCTTTGCCTCACCCAGGCCAGTGGAGGCAGAAAGGCCCTTCATGATTCTGCGCTGTAAACACATTCTGGGTGCCTGCCTATTACAGGGCACTGGCTTGGTCCTCAGGGGATGCAGAGTGGGCATGGGATGAGTTAGGACTGGGTCCTGACTTCCAGTATTCACCTGATGAGTGGAAACCTTGAGCCTGGGGTAAAAGCACAGCACTGTGCTCTTTATGTGTGTAGCCTGAGAGCTACATACACAGAAGCCCTCTACACATCAGAGCAGCAGAGGAGCCAGACACACACTTAAGTCATGCTGAGTAGTGCTGTGGCAGACACAACACACAGCATTGGGGAGACAAGTCTATATGCACCGGGCTTGGGGAAGTCCTGCTGAAAGGGCAAGCTTTGTATTTAACCTTGGAGAACGGGTGGGGCATTGGCTCAACAGGGACTAGAACACAGCCCTGCATGCCTGGGGTAAGGGATGCATGTCAAAAATGGAAGAGGAAGAATAATGGTGCATCAGTGGAAAAGGCTGAAACGGCAAGATAAGGAGCTGGCAGAGAACCTAGGATGGCTGCCTGCCATTACTGTCATAATGATAGCTGGCATCACTTAGAGCCAGGCAGGGCTTTAAGGGCCTTACACACAGGAACTTCTGTAGTCCCACAATAACCTAGAAGGTGAGTACTATGATTACGTCCATTTTACAGAAGGAGAAGCTGAGGCATGGTATGATAAGGTGCCTGGCCTGAGAGTGCACAGCGGGTAAGCAGCGGGCATGGGTCAGACCTGGGTGCCTGCCCCAGTCTGTGTCTTCACCACACTGGCCTGTCTTAGATGCTAGCCTGCTTGCTCAGGGGGTAACATCTTCTCCATCTCCTACCAGCACCCACCCACCCTGGGCCTCCATTTTAAGTCAAAATATGTCTTGTTAGCAGTAGAAAAAGCCCACCTTTTAAAGTGGCTAGTTCTCTTAGTCCCTCTTCACCGTGATCTCTGGGCCCCAGGCATGTGGCTCCCCATGCCTGCGGAGCCTTCACTTACTGGTCCCAGGAGAAGTTCCCTAACTCACACAAAGGCTCTCAACAGAAGAGCTCTGGGTACTTCTCTCTTGTCCTGCACCTACATCAAGTTACTTGGGGAACTTGTAGATGGTGCAGATACCCAGCCTCAAACAACCTAGTGAAATAGGTCATCAAGAAGTGAGGTCTAGGAACCTGTATCTTCAAGCACACTAGGTGATCCTTAAGGCGAAGGAGTCATTTCCAATCCACCTTTGATTCTCTGGCCCCTTTGCATAGGGCCAGCTAGAGTGAATTATCCATCAATGCTCACTAATGCATGCATGAACAGGTCTGAGAAAGCACTTTCCAACTCTCGGCTGGGACCAGGTCAGGCTCCATTCAAACAGGTTTCCGTTGCTCACCGTGAAGCAGGAGCCAATCTATTTGCTGGCCACAGGGCTCTAGAGTCCAAGACTTTGACTTGAGCTTCAGTTCTACCACTTAGTACCATCTGAGTGGTCTTAGGTGCAGGACCAATCTGCTTCAAGCCTCTGTTTCCTTCTCTGTAAAATGGGGATGGTGACAACTACTCCCGTGAAGGTATTGCTGTGAGAAGGTGTTTGCTGGTGATGGGGCAAACAGTCTATAAATGTGGGCTTCTATTATTTTTATTATTGTTATTTTTGTTATTGGTGTTATTATCGTTGTTCCACAAAATATTTTACTTTGGAAAATCAGTAACACCCAGTACGCACATGATAAATTCTTGGTAAATTGCAACAGATGTATCGTGGATAACATTAAAGAACTACCAGCACTGAGCATCATAAATGAGCTCGATCAGCTTAACCACAGATGGAACTTCTTTTCTGCTAGCCCCCTCTGGACCTCTTTCACTTGGCTTTCTAAAACCACCCAAGGATTGTTGATAGGAAATGCTGCTTTCCCTTCAGGCTAGTGGTGATATCATCAGTTTTGAAAGGGCCAAAAAATACAGCAGACTCAGAATGACCTCCTCACCTTGCTGGACTTATGGTCCACGTTAAAGGTGGCGATAACCCCGTCTGTCAACTCCCGTCCCTCTCGAAGCACTATATACTCAGACAGCCGGTTGGCCAGGTAGGTTTTCCCAGTGCCGCTGGGGCCAGAGAGAATGATCCGACGGTGCTCTATCAGGAGGGAGACGTAGCGCTGCAGGATGGGCTTGGGAATCAAGGACTCAAACACCAGTGAGTCCAGGCTGTTTTCTGCGAGCCCTGCATTTGAGAGAGACAGGAATCATCTGAAGCCCTGTAGAAAAGGCAGCTCTCTGTGCTTGCCTAACTGGGACTGCCAAGACCTGAGGTGATTCCTCTCCTCGGCAGTCCACTCACCTGAGACTCCTGCACACCCAGGAACACTGGAGGCTGAGAGCAAAGTGCTGCTGCTCTAGGAAGTCACCTCCCTGTTCATCAACGCCATGTGCTTCTGTCTCCTGTCTTGGCTAACTTCCCAGATTCAAACTCACCTTGAACATTTTGGCTCTCAGTCCCTATCTGTCCTCTGCAGAATTCATGAGGCTCTGGGCTCTATTTGCCTGTCTGGATTTACTATACTTACTACACACACACACACACACACACACACACACACACACACACACACACCCCTCTAGTATACTATACCTATGGCATCTGCCCAAACCAAACCTGAGTCCTGTCTGTCACAACCCTGAGGTTGCCTCTTCACCCTGCTCCCTCCCACATACCAGGTACCACTGCTATCCACACTAAGATGTGCCATGAAGGCAACACCACTTTTATCTTTAAAAGGAGGAAAAATGCAAGGCGGGATCATTTGATTCCGGAATGTGAATACTGGCAGACCTAGCCTGAAATGTTGTTAGCTGGGACTCTTGGTCCTCAACAACATCAAGTGGAAACTTATCCTTCTCCTTTCCTATCTGGGACAATGTCATTAATCAGGGTTGTTGGCTTCAAAAGGGGTATCTTTTGGATACTGTCTCTAAGAGAAGATCCATCCAAGGTTAGCTGTCCAGAACCTCAGGTCATTGTTAAAAGGTACTCTCAAGAAACCAGCAAAATTAATAAAAAGTAAACTGAAGAGTATGTACTGTTTTATAATAGCATATTCCTTCTACGTACTCAGTCACTGCTAGCAGATCCCCCCAATGCATCTATATCTAAGTGTACAATGACTCTTCCAGAATGAACATGACAAAGGCCCCCAGATGTCTTATCTGCTAGGGACAAGCCTAAGATTTTCCTGCTACTGAGCTTGATGTAGTGTACACTTGCTCAAACCTCAATGCAAAGTATGGAGTGTAGGGTCTCTAAATTTAATAATAATAATAAACACAGGAAAAAACCACTAGAACACCCTCTCTGTATATATATGTACTGCTCTGTTTCGGTCTTCTGCCATAAACCCCACAGGAAGTGACTATTTTGCACAAGAGCTCACTTGAGGAAATGCAAAGTCAAACCCCCTTCCCCTGGTACCACTGAAGTGAATCACTGCAGCTCAGGCAACTCTTTCAGCTCAAATCCTTGAGTGGTTTTTAGTGTCTTGAAGGCATAAGTTTTAAGTACTCTAGGAAAGAGAAGAGTCAGGTGTCACTGAAAAATAAACCTGAGCTGATCCCTTGAGGTGCTAAAACTTGACGTGCTGACAGCAGCGATGGATCAGGGTCTGCAGAGGGGTGGCACGCTCCACTAGAGGCAGGTAATCTTGTTACTTTCTAGAGAGGCTTGGCCTGGTCTCAGCAATAGGCCATTCCTTTTACTCCTCAGTCCTTTGTAATGCTCACAGGTAAAACCAGCAAGTGAACAACGCATGCTTGGCAGGAGGGATGAAATGCAATTTGAACTCAGGACATAAAAGGCTCTCCTTAAAGGGTTCTTGTCGAGGATGATTGTTCCAGTGGGTCTGATACTCCTTCCTGCTTCCCCTCATGGTAGAACTCTTCTTTCCCATGGGGAGCTCATTCCTGGTGGTTCAAGTGGAACCAATCCAGCAACTCCACCAATTCTCCTCCACTGGTCCAGCTCTTCCACCAACCCAAATGGATGGGCTGGTGCCCAGGCTCGGACAAATCCTCTCCCTGGTCATAATGACCAATTCAGTGATGGGCATTTGACCTATAGTGGGCCAGAGTCATCCCTAGGAATTATCTGTTACATTTTCCCAAAAACCCCTCTTTCCTTCAGGTTCCTAAGCTAGAAGAAGGAATTGGGCTACCAGGGGCCATTTCATCAACCAGGTACAAAGAGCTCAATAAATAAGCACAGCCGATGGGCAAAGCTGAGGCAGGCCTGGTCCTGATTCACTGTCTGACCACCTGGATCCAGCTGTGCTTGAGGTGTACCCCTGGATTGCCCAAGGCCATGAGCCCATACATTTCCTTTTTTGTTACAGCTACTTTTGAGTCTGTTTCTGTCACTTTTAGTCCAAAGGCACAATTGTGGAATTTCACTTGCTAGCAGGAGGAGGCTGTGTGAGGCTCAAGCAATATGTACCACTTGCCACCTGCAGAGCAAGATCTTAATTCCTGCTGATGGAAAATGGTGGGGTGCTTGTGGAAATTCTACCAACCAGGAAATACACCTTGCATCAAACAACTGCAAAACTGCAGTCAAGAGCAGTGCCTTTCAGGGAAGTAAGAAATGAGACAACACAAAAGAATGAGCCTAGTACAGTATTTATGAAAGTCTATATTCAAGTGGTCCATAACATATAGGAAATGATAGGGTTTTACAATCAAATACATTTGGGACAGACTGGATTAAACAGCCTTTTTAACAGCAGGAGTTAGGACACTGAATGACAGAGCCTTTGATGTACCAGTGCACTCCTGTCCCCTAAACACAAATGGGGATAACGATGTAGTTTCCCAGAATTGCATGGCAGTGAAGCTTTTTTTTTCCTCAGTGAACTTTGTGGGCCTGGAGTTCTAAGGAATCCACTGGCCTGGGGCTTAATATCACTAGGTAATGAGAAACTGGAAGCTCTAGCAGCATCATGCGTGGGCACAAGCTTCAGCAGTTTCATCAGGATGCTCAGAGTGACTCCTACAGCCTATTGCAAGTCGTGGTTTTCCCATCTGTAGAACGGGACTGCATCCAAAGCTTGCTGGCAAGAGTAATTCATCAGTATTAGTAAAGCCCTATTTCAACAGGGTTATTAAGATTCCATCATCTCAGAGTCATAAGGCTAATGGGATCTTTTGTTAGATAATTGCAGCAATAAACTAAAATGATTTTGTTTCCTAAGGTGGTTGAAAAAGCAAAAGACGGTTCAACTTGCATAGAGTAACTGTGGTAGAAGGGAGACAAGCAGCCCACAAATACATGCACAAACAAAACTGGGGCCACAAGTGCCTATGCCAAGTCACAAAACAAACACTGCAATTCCTGAAAGCTCCGACTTCTGCAACAAGCTCAATTACCTTTCACAGTCACTGAGATGGTCGTGTTCTCTCCAACCAGATAGCCACAAGGAAGCAGCTCCGGTGTTTCGGAAGTGTTGCTGCGCTTGATTTCTCCAATGCTGTAGCCAAGAACGCTGTCTGAATTCAGCCCTAGCTGACTCACTGGGTCGACATGAATGATGTATTCCTGGAAAAAATAAAAAATAAAGACCCCATCAAAGATGTGGCTAAAATCTGCCCATGACTCATGTTTTCCCTGGGTGATTTATGATCATATTCTCTTCTTTCTCAGATGTCTGAGTTGAAATTGAGCTGTGGGATGAGGGGGAGAAAAACTGACTTTCTAAGGGGATAAAGCCCGAGTACCACAGGCCTCTTAAAATACAGATTTATTTGGTTAGCAGTGGAAGAAAAAAAACAAACCCCTAACAAGGTTGTGAACGTTTAGTCTGGATGAACCAAGCACGGAAAAGCTAGGCTGCTTTTCCTAAGTTCGGCTGAAGTCTTGAAGACATCAGGGCCTGTGAATGGTGCTGGAAAATTCACGAAAAAGTAATTTTGACAGGAAATCTCTCTTCCATCCCCTTCTTTTGGCTCAAAGATCATACAAAGAGATTAAAATGCAGACTGCTAGAAAAAATCAGCTCTAGATCTTTGAGAAGGAAAACGTGTGTTTAATTTGGAAAGTGTTCCCTCTTAGTTGAGTGAACAAAAGGTTTTAGGTTAGTAAATGTAGAACTAAGGTCCATGTACTAGGAGGTGACTGCACGATGACTTAGGTGGAATCCCAGTAACAGGCTTTGCATGGTCTCATTTCCTCACTTACTATGATGCCAATGTGTCTCTTTTCAGCCCAAACTGTTATTCTAATCCAAGGATGTCCCAACTGTCCATCACCAGAGATAAGTTTTTGGCCTAGGTCGGAGAATCGGTCCATCTAAGCCATTCATATGTCTTCTCTGGTCTCATTTCTATAGGCTGGCTTACCAGGATGGGGACCAATCTCCAGTCAAAAAACAGAATTTTCTCTGTATGAGGCTACCTGGATCTAGCTGTTAGAAAGAAACTATAGTGTACTATTAGGTTGTTGCAAAAGTAATTATGGTGGTGCAATTACTTTTGAACCAACATAATAGTTAAGTTAGGTTTTGAAGTCAGACCAACTAAACTGGACCAACGGGGTCTAATTCTAGATCCATGACCTTGAAAAAGTGCCCAACCTGACCCTCACTTTCTTCACCTTTAAATGGGATAATATAAGGGGCTTGGCATAGTGTCTGGCACAAAAAACGTGGACTATTATTACTACTCAGGGAATATGATTAATGAGCCCTTATAGTTGTTGACTTACTTCAGGACAATAGAAAAAATGTACCAAAAGCTTCCTTCAAATCACCATGTGTTTCAAGGTTCACCCTGGTACTCATTAGTTATTTATCCCATGGCAAACACCCAATCTAATGATGTGATTAAAAAGAATAGAGAAATAAGTATGGCAACATCCTTGAGCCTGGCCATCGATCAGACATTAATGTCACTCGTAAAACAAATCAAAGACTCTGAAGTGTTGGCACAGGATACCGGGAAAATCAGATCAAATCCCCCAAAATGAAGGCTAGAAATCTGGTGTCTAAGCCCTGGCCACAGATTACATACTCCGAAGCATATGTCCTAAGACACAATTCTAAGGTGAAAAGAGAGTTGGACATTAGCAGTTCACTGTGAGAGGATCAAAGAGTTGCTCAGATCACACTCACTAGCTGGCCCACCACTGCAAAGGGCAGACGGCAAGAATTTGGCCGATGACCAGTCTGTACTTACCATTGTCCTTCCATTCCCTTGAGAGCCAGGGAACAAGTTCCAGCAACATTAACATGTAGGGAAGGGGACAGGTCTGAGAAATGGCCAAGCTCAGGACATCAACCTCTCTTTTCCTCCCCAGGCCCGGATGCCCATGTTAGGTAGTATGCTGTAGCCGTTGTCTTGAAACACTTACTTTGAACAGCCGTCTAACCACCCCATCGAGCACATCCCACTTCGTCTTGCCACTAACTCCAATGCAGCCAATAAGAAAGAGATGTGGTCTGGAATCCTAAGGGTAAGGAAATGTACACAGGTGAAAAACAGGTGGATCTTTTCTGACTCAGTTCAGCAGAGGACTCAGGTTGCCTTAGAACTCCGCCAATGGTTTGAGAGGGGAATAAAAGTCCTATTTGTATTAAAACCAGGTATAACTTAGGTGGAAGTAATAGTCTTAATACCTTTCCCTGCTTTACTGCTAAAACAGCGGTCCAAGAGTCAGGAAAAGAGGATTTCCTCTCTGGAATATGGAAACTTTTGCTAAGTAAATGTGTCAGACAGGGCATAAATCACATATTCCTTGTATGGAACTCTCTCCACATCTGTCTAGCATCTCTCTCTTTTCAAACCTTGCTTATAAACTCACCTCTTCCAGGAAGCCTTCAGTGATTAACCCCATCAGGCTCAGAGCTTAAATTGCTTCGGCAATTCTGTACGTAACTTATATAATGATATATTCTGTACTAATTTATATTTAGTTTTAGGTATTTCTGTCATATTTTTGCATATCAAGTTTACCTCCTTACTAGATCTTAAACATTGTCAGGACAAAATGTGTTTCTATTTTTTCTTCTATCTTGTTTTTAAATAACATTTATTGTTTTTATTCTTGTTAAAACTTAAAACATGTGCAACTCAGAAAACTAGTAAAACTCTGGGAAGAATACTCTCAAAACATCTTTTTCTAACTCTTTTGCATCTCTGTTCACAGGGCTTTGCGTAGTGGCAGCTAACCAGATCACAGTGATAAAAGAAAAGCTGATAGAACATGCCATAATATTGGGTTTTTACATGCTCATAAGGATCAGAGTCAGGAGCGTGGTTGGGTGGAGGTGGGGGAGGTGTCATATGGCGGCTAAGCAAAATCAGCAGAGAAAAGAGCAGCAGTCTTGCAGTGACATGATCTGACCCCACCACTTGCCCCTGGCTTCAAATAAGTAATGTTTGGGGTCTCGGGTTTCTCAATTGTATAATGAGGATAATAATCCCTGGTCAACCAACCTCACCTGGATGCTGTAGTGATGCAGAATAATATAACTTTTGAAGGTGACTTGTAAACTTTTGTAAAAGGTATGCTCTATGTGTTCATATTGACAATCACTAGAATAAATAATCCACAAGGTGTAACCTGCATTTACTGTAAGAATGAGTTTCCCAGCCGGCTGTGGTGGTTCACGCCTATAATCCCAACACTTTGGGAGGCCGAGGCAGGTGGATCACAAGGTCGGGAGTTTGAGACCAGCCTGGCCAATATGGTGAAACCCCATCTCTACTAAAAATACAAAAATTAGCCGGGCATGGTGGCAGGTACCTATAGTCCCAGCTACTTGGAAGGCTGAGGCAGAAGAATCGCTTGAACCTGGGAGGCAGAGGTTGCAGTGAGCCAAGATCGCACCACTGCACTCCAGCCTGGGCAACAGAGTGAGACTCTGCCTCCAAAAAAAAAAAAAAAAAAAAAAAGATAAAGAAAAGAAAAAAGAACGAGTTTCCCCTAACAGTCCATCACTTTACTAGCTATGTTTTGAAAACGGAGCTATCTACTATATATTTCATGGCTAGATGACGCTAATGGAAGTGCCAAAATGCTGAGCTTACCCCCTATAGTGAGGCTAGCAAGCCAGCCGCAAAGCTGAATCCCCTAAGAAAGGTCTGGCTGCAGACGCTTTGTTCTGTGGGTTCCCTAGCTGTCTGAAACTACAATAGCATGTTGGCTAGAAATACTAAGAAATAACAAACAAAAAACTCAAGGGAACTTGAAATGGTGACTCATGAGGCCTTTTTACATTTATTCGAGAAACAGTCATTCAAAGCATCACTGGGTTTTAATCACTGGCTAAAATTCAACTTTCAATATCAGCTCTAGCCCCCATCCCAAAATAGTCTCTGGCAGTGGTATAGACTCTGGAAGTTCCTAGACTTTGGAAGTGAACAGAAACCGTACTAGGAAAACTCGGATTCCCCAGCCTTGGGGAGTCAGGACGCCCCACTAGCTCTATTTTCAGCCACCTGCATGCTCCCAGGGCTTGGCATCTCCATCCCTTGATGTCTACCAAGATGTGTACTCTTGGTGACTGATGACCGATAAAACTGGTGCTCTTGGTCGGCTGCATGTGGTCAGTTTATTTCTGTACCTTACATGCTGAATGTGCATAGCTGCCTCTGAAGTGCTTTGGGAGTATATTACATTCAGAAAGGCCCTTTCCAATGGATGTTAGTGTTTAGTTAATTACATGAAAGTGAAACGTGGGACCATTTTTAGTATTCTTTATTAGACTTTCAAGCACACGAGAAAGGGAAATGCCGTTCGCACACTTTACTTGTGTCAGAATGCTGCAAGGGATTATGGTTAGTTAAGAGAAGGGTTAGTAGTATTTCCAAATCACCTTAGGCTCCAAGGTGATAGAGGTTTTACAATTAGATCACTAAGCTAGGTAGTTCTACCTGGGGGAGGGACAGGCAAAGCAGGGAAAGGGATCCAACTAACCTCCTTCCACTTCATTTCCTCCTGAAAGCTGACAACTATCTTAACATGCCTGCCTCCTTCCTTCCGAGCCGAGCATTCACCAGTGTCATCCAGCAACATGTCTGCGAATGGAAAACATCAACAGCCTTAGGCACATGGGGACAGCAAAGCCAGCTTCCTGACACCCCCGCTGCAGGTTGGCACAGCAGCGGGACAAACAGGTGTCAGGGTGCAGGGGGTGGGGGGGTAGGGGAAGAGGAGAGGGCAAAATGGAGAATGCAATCACAGAAACCAATGGTGGACCAACCAAAGAACCAGTAGGCTGACAATGCACCTTGCCGGATGGAAGTGCGAGGGAGAGACTCAACCAAAACAACAACAGCAGCAGCATCATGGATAAAAAATAAAAGCATCAGCCTTAATACGCTTACAAAGAAAACCTAGATTGTGTTCACTGATGGTTGCACCAGCCTGGAATCCATCCTGAAGGCAGGAAGATCATAGACCAAGCCACTGCCTCAACTGAGACCTGCTACTATGGGGTTTGTGTACAGCATTCAGCTTGCAGGTCAGCCTCTTAAAATGGATCAAACAAACTCAGCATGGTGGGCGAGGGGATCCAAGCTCAGGGCTTGGAGAATTTGGGGTGCTGGAGCAAAGCATGAGAGCAGTCTAACGGCTGGGCTCATGTTGGTAGCAGACTCACACCCAGACACATACACACCCCAAGTGCACACACGCCTGTTGCCTCTCCATTTGATCTGTTGATCTGCTTATTTTGGGGTTCTCGCTTAGAGATCAGGGTGCCAGCTGTAGGTCCATTCCTGCCCCCAAACCCTGTAGGCCACTCACCCAGGCTGGTTGACTCAGTGAGGTTCAAGCTGTGCTGGGAGAGGCCCATGGACTGCCTCGGGGAGGCAGAGATGGACACTTGGGAAGGAGCCCGGCTGCAGCCACTGCCTTGAGACTCTGACTTCAGCCGATCATTCTCAGCTTTCAGCTTCTCTATTTCACTCTGCAAAGAGTAATGGAGAAGCTCCCTTAGTAGGCAGAAGTAATGTGAACAAGATTTTTCTGAAGGAAGGATCTGAAAGTTCCCTGCAGAAACCAGGCTGGTCTTCCACCCAAGGCGAACAACACCCTCAGAGAGATTTAGCAGTGTTTGCTAACCCTGCGGTAGACATAAGACATGCTGCCATGGGAGGTCCATCCATTCAGAGAACAGGCCTTTGAAAAGACCTCTGAAATGCTTCCCAGAGTCTGCTGCTTGAGGGTTAAGTGAAAAAGAGTCTTATGATCTAAGAGGTTTGTGCAACTCTGGCTTTTACAGGCTTCTTTCCTGCAGGACTTCTCAGAATCTTTAATGAGCTCCTCTACGCCATGAATTGAACAGAGGCACATGGTGTGCAGCATTTTCCAAACATATTTGATCAAGGTATTCTCCTTTCATAGAGCTTCTCATGGAAAGAGTGTTTCAGGGAACCTCCTTTGTGAAACACTGACTCCATTAAGATCCCAGCAGACTCTAGAGGTATCTTTCATTCTACGAATATTCATGAAGAACCTACAATGTGCAAGGCATTGGTGCTATGTCCACAGAAAGGTATGCAAAAAGCCCAGAAGACCCAAATGTCTTCACTCCATGGCAGAAGGTGGGAGGGGCTGTAAGAACAAATCTACAGGAATACTCAGATAAGGGTACTAACTCTCCAGCTGCAAGACTTGGAAAGGAATCAGGCCGAGCATTAAGGGAAGGGTCTAACTTGGATGTGCAGAGGAATATACCCAGTGGAGGGAACAATATGAAAGAGGAATTTCCAAGGATGCAAAGGGGGCAGTCAGCGACTCCATCTGGCTGGCGAGTAGATTCTGGGAAGAGGAGCTGGGGAGGGTGGTGTGGATTAACAGTGGAAACGACCCTGCAGAAGGCCTTGAAGGCCAGCTGAAGGAGACTGTACCACATGCCACAGGCACCAGGGGAGTCACCAAAAGTATTACGTAAAGGAAGAGCATGGGTACTCTTATTCTTCCAAAAGACTGGGTCTTTGAGCAATGTGTGGGAGGGACTGAAAAGAGATAAAGGCTGGGAAAGCGAGGGCCGCCACCAGATTCTGATGCAGCCCTCAGGGCTTAGTGGAGAGCAGCCTCTGGGAGCTCCTTCATAGACAGCCTTGAGCTCAGCCCATGCTCCTGGGCTCTCACCTGCATCCTGTTCATGGCCTCCCGGAGCTGGTCCAGCTGGTGGGCAGAACTGAGAGCTTCTAAGCGGATATCCGTCAGCTTCATCTCCTTGTCTCTTAACTCATTTCGGAGCTGCATGACGGTCTCAGCTTCACTATCCATGCATTCTGAAATTCTAGGGAAAGAGGAATGTTACTGATGAAAGCAGCTCCTTTTAGTCCCCTACTGAACACTGGTCCACATCAATCATCAGGTTTGTTTAGCAGTAACTGTGAATAACCAGCTGCCTGGTGCTTCCTGTGGGTGACAATGCCAAAAGCACCTGAAAACAGATTTTATTCCTTCTCTGTATTCTTTTTTTCTTCTTTAAATTGGTTTATTTAGACCACTGATGTTTAAAATCGTTAATATAGTTAGATTATTATTTACTGTATTGTTACTTTTCTATTTGTTGTCCTTTTTCTTTGTTCCTATTTTTGTCTTTCACTCTTTTCCTGAGTTCCTACTTTTGTCTTTCACTCTTTTCCTGCTTTTTGTGGTTTCACTTTTTAAATTTTATTTTTATTTTTATTTTTAGAGACAAGATTTCATTCTCTACATTCTTTCTTTGCTGAGCTCTGGCAATCAGAATGGCTTTGGTGTGCCTTTCAGCAAAATTCCAGGAATATAAGGATAAGCAGGAGCTGGCAAAAGGGAGTAGTAACCTTCCAGTTTGATAACCCCCTCCCCCACCATGTGTACACAGCTGGGCTTCCATGACACCACACGCCCTTGAGTTCCAAACCGACTCAGAGAAGCAGGGTCAGCTTACAGTTTTAAAGATTAGAAACTTCTTTATTAAACAACTGAGGGGTGATTTTTATTTGCCAAAATGGGGATGAAACCTAAAGATATGCGTGGAAGGTGTTAATCTGTTCCTGATCACATTCTGAAAACTCACTCCCCTAAAAGTGTCTAGACAGATCAACCTTCTTTAGTTCTCTCAGCCCCCACACTGCTTAACACACTCAGGGCAAGAAGGGAAACCTCTTCAGGGAGTTAGAGAACAGACGGGATGGTGTGACAGGCAAGCCAAAGTTGTATCTGAAAACTCTGCAACAGCCTGGCTAATTATCTTCTTTTCCCTGCTGCACACCAGGTCAAGGTCACCATGGGACCCTGTTGAGTTCCTCTTTCTGAAGAGGTGGTTCTTCTAGCTTAGGCTCCTTAGTTACTTAGGTTTGCTCTTCAAACACCTGGCAAATCAGCACAAAGTAGAAGATCATACAAGTCGTGATGAATTGCAATGTTAGGAAAGATAGTTCTCTTAAAAAAAATAGTTCTGTGAGTTTCGACGATCTTAGCATCTGGGTTACTGGGTGATCCAGAATAGAAAGCTTTGACATTTCTTGGACTGAAGACAGAAAAACAACCCCAAACACCCCCACTCTCAAGTTCATAAAGTTACAAAGCTGAAGCTGATTATGTCTAAAGGAGATGATGAGCATGTGGTCTCTGCAGAAATAAATGATCACATGAGTCTGGCTCTCCAAGACCCAAGCTATGGGTTTGGGGCCAAACAAAACCTGACCTGTAAAACTGGGTGAGGGTGTGGAAATTTTAATTCCCAAAGGAAAATGATTTATAAAATTGTTAAAAGAGATGAAATTGTATTTCGGGGGCAGAAAGAACTGGAAGAAAAATTTAACACTTGAATAGCCAAATGTTTCTGTTGCTCTTTTCTTGACCTGAACCTGAACTTTTTTGATTTGAGAGACACGGTAAAACCACCTTATGTTTTTAAAAGTTACCAGTCACCAAGGAAGATTCTTAGCTTCAAAATCTTATTGAAAAACCCAAAGAACTCCTGAAAATGATCTAATTATTTCCATCTCACACTTTTGAGAGACTGAAGCCAATAGATTCAGGACTAAAAGGGCGAGACAGAAATGTCTTTAGAATTTGCAACATCCTTTCTTTCTCAGCTCTCTGTACTTTGAATAGCCTGTGGTTTGTGAGGTTTACTGATAGAACCATGCTTTTTTTTTTTTTCTTCGGTTTGGGAGGTTTGCAGGAGGAGCTTGCAAAAACTGGTTCTATCTTGAGAAGACTATGGTTTCTTGGTTTAAATGGAGTGTAAAGTCTGAACAAAATTTCACTGTGATACTCCCTTCTTAGCCAAATCATGTCCTACATGAATCTTGAAGGCTCAGATTCACTGCAGAGAACAGTCTGTTCTGGCTGACACCATGTGAGGCTCGTCTGTCCAGCACTCCACGATAAGGCACCTTGCTCAAGTCATCTTCACCTGATCTGCACCCTTTTCCCAGAAAGCTCTCAGCAAGAGAGAAAATACCTTCTTGGCACTCACGTTGTGGAACGTATCACATGGGTTACTTTGCAGAGCTTGGCCTAAACCCTTGACTTTACAAACGGTACCAAACTGAAATGAAGAAAGTCTGTGTTGGGAGGACTTTGTCCTCCCTATGCTCCTCCAGAATCAGCCAGCTCTCAGAAACACACAATGATGAGGCCTCATGAGACAGATGCCCTATAACGTAGACATGATGTTGAAAACACATTCTTGGCCCGGGTTGGCGGCTCACGCCTGTAATCCCAGCTGAGGCAGGTGGATCATCTGAGGTGGGGAGTTCGAGACAAGCCTGGCCAACACGGCGAAACCCCGTCTCTACTAAAAATACACAAATTAGCTGGGTGGTGTAGCTTTGGTGGCGGGCACTTGTAATCCCGGCTACTCAGGAGGCTGAGGCAGGAGAATCGCTTGAACCTGAGAGGTCGAGGTTGCAGTGAGCCAAGATCGCGCCACTGCACTACAGCCTGGGAGGCAAGAGCGAAACTCAGTCTCAAAACAAAAAAGAAAACACATTCTTTTGCAGCAGCCTTAACTAAGCTTTAGTCCCTAATCCTAATGCCCAAGACAGAGCCTTCTCCCCTAGTTCCTTCCCTGACTAGACTTATGCTGTATCGCTGATAATTTCATTTCAACTTAACATGTTACCTCTGCTTGGCTGCTGGCTCCTCAGGGACCAGGGTTATTCTCTGCATCATTTCTGGCATCTGATCACATTTACATAATGGGTACCTAACAAATGCTTATGGAATACCTAAACAAATGGGCTAGGTATTTGAAGTATATTATTCCATTTCCTTTGTACATTACTCACTCCATGAAGAGGTACTGTAATTATCTCCAGTTTTAAAATGGGGAGGCAGAGACATGGACACAAGCAGGCCCAAGACTGCACCATGTAAAAATGATAGAGGCAGATTCAAACCTGGCAGGTCTGCTCAGCTCTAGAGCCTGTGTTCCTGAACTATACCCACTAGGCGCTCAATACATGCTTGTCCACTTCATAAACTGCTTACTGAAGACACCTTATGTGTGTTTTTCCCTACTCAGTCCCTTAACTGTGATTCAAGCCTTTTTCCACTGTCTTGTCCACAGTCAGGGCTGGTGGCATACCTAATTTTAAAATGCCTCGAGTGTGGGAAAACGTTGCCTTACCACAACTACCATTCCTTTTGCCCACGGATTGGGGAATTTCCTAAGCCCAACTCCTCTGCCTATGGTTTTGTCTTTGAACTCCCTCTCACATCTAGATTTGCACATTCTTACAAACCCTTCGAGGTTGGAAACAAGCATTTGCTCTCAGCCTACCCTTTGGAAAACGAGACCAAAAACAAACATCTCCAGTGTGCATGGATGCTGTGGAATGTAAGAAAAGGGCTGGGGAGCCAGGAGCCAACCCCACCCGATTCCTCTGGGGAAAGTGGCTTGGAGGATAGTTCTGCCATGGTCCTGCACAGCTGAGTGCATCACCGCCTCTCTCTGCTCATCTTACTTGGCCGCCCAGCAGCATCTGGCCCCGTTCCTACTCCCTCCAGCAACAGTTTCTCCTCTCTGCTCCCAGGTTTCCTCCCACCTTGCTGGCCGGCAGCTGTAACTCCCTCTTTCTGAACTTCAAATATCAGAGTGCACCAGAGCTCAGTCCTCTTGCCCTCTTGCCCTCTGATCATCTTCGTCTTCATTCAACCCCTTGGAGAACTCTTCCAGTTGCCCAGCTTTCGACACCACCAATAAGTCTGTGTCTCCCAAATCTACACCTCTAGGAAGTCCAGGCTGGTTGACCTGGATATGGATGTCTGCTGGCATCTCAAATTTAATGGAACCAAAGTAGTGCTCCGACTCCCCACTCTGCCCCCCTCTGTGTCTCCCACTCATCCCAGGTACTCAAGTTGTAAATCTAGGAATATCCCAGGATGGCTCTCCTCTTTCCCTTGCACTCACATCTGATCCATCACCATACACTGTCAACTTTTCTTCAAGAATATCTCCTAAATACATCCAGAACTCACTACTGTTATCAGTGGCTCATTCATTCCACCAAATATTTGAGTGCCTGCAAAACCAATACAGTACTTACCTCCATGGAGCTTCTACTGTAGATCTGGGGTTGGGGTGGGGGACAGAGAACAAATAATCAAGGAAAACCTCTATGTCAGGTGTCAGGGGGCAACATGTGCAATGGGGAAAAATGAAGCAGGGGCAAAGGGACCATGGGGAGCACTGGCTCATGGTAGAATGTTGGTTTATGCAAGTGAATGGGCAAGGCCTTATTCATTAAGTCACATTGAGCAGAGACCTAAGGAAATAAATATCTGAGGGAAGAGCACACCAGGCAGAGGACACAGGAAGGACACAGGCCTTGAGGTGGAGAGTGTGATTGGAATGTTCAAAGAACAAGTGGGCCAGAGTGGCTAAGAGCCCCTGGGTGATCTCCCTTCCCCATATTCCTTATACACAGAACAGAGACTGATCTTTGTAAATTCAGATTATCTCATATTCCTGTTTCAAACTCCACCACACCCACCCATTATACATGAAATTGGATGCGAATTCACTTCAAAGCCTTGCGTGTTCTAGGCCCTGACTATGTCTGTGGCTGTAGCCTACTCGCATATGTGGGAAGTCACGCTGTCCATCCCTCTCTCTTTCAGACATATCGAACCTGTTTCTACATCAGGCTCCTTGTGTTATTTATTTTTTGGGTCAGGAAGACTGCCCTGCTCATTGGGAGGCTGGGGTGGCAGAGGCTGCTATGTGTTCACCAAAGCCCATTTCCTCCTTCACTTCTTCTGCTGCAGGTGGTATGGCTTTGAGTCCTGGTCAGTGGACTGTGGGAAGAGGCGACATAAGCCTCTTCTAGGCCTGGTCCTTAAAACCCTCCTGCAGGTTCCTCTGCACTCTCCAAACCCCCACGCCCACTGGCTGGACACAGAATGTTGAGCAGTGGACTGGGCCCTGTGGATGGCGGGAGCCTCAGTGCCTACATCACTAGAGGGCAGGCCACCTGCTGACTAGGACTATCTGCACTGGGTTTGGAGTGAGCAAGAAATAAACAGTCATATGTAAAGCTGCTGAGCGTTGGGCTGAGTTTGTTACAGCAGCTAATGTTACCCGCTGAAACTAACCCAGTGGCTCCCCCTGGCATGCAGATTCAGCTGAAATGTCACCTACTCAGAGGGCTCTTTTCTGACCACCCCATCTAAAGTTGCTGCCAAGGTACTCTGTATCTCAGCACTGTTTTAATTCACAGCATTAGCCCTTAGCACTCTCTAATTTTCCTAGTTTATTCAGGATTTATTTGTTTAACATTCATCTCCTCTCTTGGTATACAGGGTCCATGAGTAGGAACTTTGTGTTGTACTTTATCGTAACCACAACTGAGAATGGGGCCTTCAGAGTGAAAGTTCAGGAGTAGAATGAACTGTACTATGTCATGTCTCCACTAGTATTTACTCTTCTCAGGGGTGGAGAATCTGTTTAACTTTTTTTTTTTTTTTAAATAGAGACATGGCCTTACTCTGTCACCCAGGCTGGAGTACAGGGTGATCACAGCTCACTGGAGTCTCAAATTCCTGGGCTCAAGTGACCCTCCTGCCTCAGCCTCCCAAGTAGCTGGGACTACAAGTATGCAACACCATGCCTGACCGATTAAAAAAAATTTTTTTTTGTAGAGACAGAGTCTCACTATATTGACCAGGCTGGTTGCCAGCTCTTGGCCTCAAGCAATCCTCCCTCCTTGGCCTCCCAAAGCGCTGGGATTACAGGCGACAGTAACTGCACCTGGCTTGGTTAACCCCTTTTTGGTCTCTTCAGAGCATCTGGAATAGTGCTCTGCTCACACAGGTTGCTATACAAAAAGTTTAAATCAATAAATAAAGAAGACATGATGAGTTCCTTTTTCTCCTGGTCAGGAGACAACTGAGTTGGGATGCTTTGGGATGATGGCATGTGTGAGAGTCACAGGCAACTGGTTCTTTACTCTTTCCTTAGGCACTCTGCAGATGGAGGAGGACACACTCTCTCAGTAATTTGTCTAATTCTTCACTCAAAATAACACAGGACACTGGGCTGGGCACTGCAGGGCCAAACCGAAGTCCAGTCCCTCAGTGTCCTTCTTCCTTCCCCCATTCAATTTTACCCTCACCCATAGCAGTAGGAAGTACACACCCCTGTGGCTACCTCTTACTAGGGTGTTCTCCAAGAAAAGAGGAATTGATCATCTAACTCAGTAAAGTAGAGACCCTGACAGGGCCATGTTTCAATAGTGGGTGAGGTTGCTTAAAAGTCATAACCCTGGTTGGGTGCAGTGGCTCATGCCTGTAATCCAAGCACTTTGGGAGGCTGAAGCAGGTGGATCACCTGAGGTCAGGAGTTCGAGACCAGATTGACCAATACGGTGAAACCTCGTCTCTACTAAAACTACAAAAATTAGCTGGGCATGGTGGCATGCGCCTGTAGTCCCAGCTATTCAGGAGGCTGAGACAGGAGAATTGCTTGCACCTGGGCAGCAGAAGTTGCAGTGAGCCGAGATCATGCCTCTGCACTCCAGCCTGGGCAACAGAGCAAGACTCCATCTCAAAAACAAAACCAAAACCAAAACCAAAAGAAGGTCATAACCCTACTATCCTCTGTTTCCTCTCTTCCACTCCCATGCAGTTGGTATACTACAAAGATCTGGCCTCTGGACAGGCTGATTTTGCCTGTACTCCCTCTACCCATCTGGTAAGCTGCTAAGGCAGGGCCTTAAGACACTTATGCTGTCTTCAGTGGGCTGGCTGGTTAAGTGGACTTAGGGTCAGCGGCACAGACCTGGCCCCCTGAGAATGAAGAAAGATGGAACAGCATGGAAAAGGCCCTTCATGCATAGTATTTAACTTGGCCTTCCCAAGAATCCAGTGAAGTAGATGTAATGAACCCTATTTTTACTAGTGAGGAAACTGAAGTTTATACAACCAAACTTCTTTCTCTAACCCTATCTCAGTGGCTGTCCTGACCCTGGCCATGACTTCCCTCTTCTCCCATGCACTGTCTCATCTCTCTGACAACTTTCCTTGCAGACTACCTGTGCTCCAGTTCTTTAATTCTAGACCTGGAACACCATGGTTTCAAAAGAAATTCAGCCCTACTGAGCAGGGCCAGCCTTTCTTACTGCTGCAGGAAGCAAGCTCCTGTATATCCATTTATCTCGTCCAATTCTTAGGGCTAGGATACGTACACAAAAACCATTATCCCAAATTGATATATAGAGGTATGGAAACAAAGAGAATTTAAGTAACCCGCTTAAGGCCAACCAGTTAGTTATGGATATTGACACCATCAGAACGAAAACCTAAGTTTCTTTTCTCTTTCAACTTTCCCAGTCCTAAAGCATTGAAAGAACATGCACAGTCCTATTAAAGCAAAGCATAAAGGATCCCAAGGAGCAGATGTGTCATAACAGGACTCCTAGCCATTCCTACTGGAGAAGGTTCTCAGGGGCCAAAGATGTTATCTGACTAGACAGACAGACTTACAGAGAGTTGGAGTGAGAATTCCTCAGCAGTGGGGTGGAACCTGTGGACCCATTGTGCGGTAACTTTGGTGAGGAAGGCAAAGAAGAATCCGTCATCTCCTCAATATCTGAATGAGAGGACGCAGATTTTGGGGACTTCTTCTTCCCGAAAGCTTGCTTGAAGGAGCTGCGTAACTGAATATACAAGACTGTCAGTCTCACAGCGGGGGCAACCAATGCTTAGGCCTTGGCAAAACAGAGACATGCACACAAAAAAGCGATTAATTCTCCCATGTTTTTCCCCCCACCAATGGAAGAGGTTCCCAAGAGCTCTTTTGAATCAGTGCATTAAGGGAGGAAGAGTTATCTGGTGTTGCCAGCTTGAGGGACTGCATCTGTGGGTAACATTCCATGCCTACTCTTGGTTCAAGACTAGATGCCAACAGCAACACAGAGTCTGGCTCAGCAGATGGATGTTGGGAAGATGAGGTTACACAGCAACAAAGCAGGATGCTCAGACACGGTGATGGATGCGGATGAGGTTAGTCATATCAATGGATGGGTTAGCTTGGTATCTGATATTAAAGTTGGTCTTGCTTACCTCATTGACCTGCCAGAGAAAACGCAAGCAAAAATGGGGAAGGGGGAGGAAAAAAGACAATTTTTTAACAGAGAAAGCCAGTGACAGGGAAAGCTTCGGACTTTCAGACACAACATGGCTAATAATAAACACCACACACAGGGGAGGTTTCCAGTAGGAACACAAATCTTTAAAAGCACTGGGGGCATGTTCCTCCCTTCTGAAAGGAAGGGAATAGCAGGTTGGGGAGTCCTCTACAATTCCAGTTCTTCCAGCTTTTCCCTGTCTGGCTGAAATGGCTGCCTCCCACCTTCCTGTGCTTCTCATTCTCTTCTTTTTTCTTGTCAGTCACCTCTCTGTGCTTTAAATTTTGGGGGAGGTTGGAGAGGATGTCTTCTTTTTGAGCAATTCTAGCTTCACTGTCACACTGGCCCTGGATGGCTGTATAGCTCCTTAACCTATCCACTTAGGAGTTTCAGCTATTTGTGTATATAAGAAGATAATCTAATAAGCAGCAAATTAGCCATGTCACTTGTTACTCAGAAAATGGTTATTTTAAAGAAATTTATTAACCATATGGGGGGAAAAGGAACTAGTATATTACAATTTCCCCAAATCATGAGATGGATCTGAAAATTCTTTCCCCCCCGCCTCTGTTGCAGGAAATGGATACCTAAACATTTTAATGAGAACATAAAGAATTAAAATGCAATGTCTTCTCTGAAAGCCATAATCAGATTTTTCTAGGCCAAAAACTAATGTTTCATCTTGAAAACAGGCCTTTTAAAAGTAATTTCCTTTTTCTAAAGTCTTTTTTCCTTGTGAAAATACGTTCCAGGGGTTTTCTTAGCCACTGAAAAATTCAGAAAACAGGCCATTCTAAAAACTGATGAGATTTTTCTCCCATCAACAGGTTTCATCTATAATAAACCACATGTCCAGCTTGTGGGCAAATCTAGATCCCTTTTCTCTCCCATTTCCTACCTCTGATAATATTTCCAGAGAGCAGTCACAGAAACAGAAGGATTAGGGACACAAGCCATCACCTGAAATCCTTGCCTCTACCTCTGGTGAAAAGCCAGGTGGAAGAGGAGATTACAAAGATCAGACAGAGCTAAGCTTTGGGATTAGCTGAGGATGCCAATTATCCATCTTCCCTGATTTGACTGATAAGCGGGAGTTGTCTTAAAGCAACATAAGCACGTTTTATTTCTTGAAGAAAATGGAATAACCACTATTTTTCGTAGAAAATATCTCTCTCGTCACTTTGAAAATCAAAGCTGACCATGTTTATCGATTGCATATTAGAGACAGCAATATGAATTAATCCTATCTGTGTTTAGTCATAACAAATAAGTTGACTAAGAGCCATTAGTAACTTAAAAAAGAAAATTTAATCAGAAAGATGAGAGGGTCACACTAGACTGGCTTTTTAGCTTGCTTCCAATGCAAGTCATTGACAACCAAAATTACTAAACCCCTGATGTCTGTATCACTAGACCTCGCCACCCATCCAAGATAACACAAAATGAGTGAGAAGTGTACAGAATGAATGAGGACACTGAAGCTACTAGTGAAACAGGATGCCGTCAGCACAAATGGGGAACGGGGCCACTGGTCAACTCCAGATCAACTTGAGATATTCTTGCACTGAAGACAAGGGATAGCAAATCTCAGTCAGAGCTCTGTAGCCTTTAAAGAAGAATTAAAAAACTGGATGGAGAGTGAGGGGTGGAATTTTTCTGGGAGAGTGGAAAAAACCACTCAAGGCACCACTGTCCAGAAATTCAAATAACTCACTGGGATTATGAAACATGGAGAAACACTGTAATGGAGACTGATTCTATTAAACTTGCTATTTGAGGTACAACCCCTGGTTTAGAACTACTTGCTAACTTCTAACACTGACATTAGGACACTTTTATTTATAGGACATGGTCAAAAAGTTTTCAAAGAGAGGGTTGGTTTGATGATATCCCTAGGCATTTGTGTAAATAAATAGATAAAGATTACGGCTAAAGATGGGATAACTAGCAATATGCTCAAAAAAATATTTTGGATCTATGAAGAAACCATTTAAGAATAACTTTCCTCTAGTACCTGAAACTTTGTGGCCAACATATAATGAGGAAGAAATGACACACATATGAAATGAAAGATGAGTACTTTATGAAAAGTCTCATGAAAGAGAAAAAAATACAAAGTGGTAGGGATGTTACAGATTCTAGTGTTTTGCTGAGTACAATATTGATTTTAGTAAAAACCCATCCACAAACCATTTCCTGGGATCTACGCCCAAAGTGCTATGTTCCACAGATAGTAGCTGGGCTGGACTTTATCTGGGGAGATGCAGCAGCCAGTTCTGCAACTGACTCTGTCCGTCAGTCCCCAGGAGAGTGGATGTGCACTCACCCAGTTCTTCCGCTTCTTCTTCTTTGAGTCACTCTCTATGTTGCTGCCCACGCTGGAGTGGCTGGTGGCACTGTTGATGCTGGAGACGCTGTCTGAGGAGTGCTGCCTGCGGATGCGGAGGTCTGCAGACTGGGCAGTGCCGTTTCCTGGAGACCAAGGCAGGGTGTTTCAGCAGCTGCCAACCTGAGCCCTATTCTTTATCTCAGGATTTTGCCCTTTAAGCAAAACCCACCCACCTGAGGACTACTGGGTGTTTTCCACATATACATCAACTCTGATCCCTACAGCTGTTTCTAAGATCCTTGAATAGGTGAGTGCATTGCCCTCTTTGGTCAATTAAATGAGGTCTATCTCTCCCCACTTTACAAAACAGAAGTCAAGGGAGGTGTAGGGAGAATTTCCCCAACACCAGCTCTTAAGCTTTAGATAGGTGTGGAAATGTGCTTGTGAACTGAGCAGTTGGCACCTTCATTGCTAGCCCCCTCCCTCTCCTGCTCTCTGGGCTCCTGTCACAGTGGCCTTCTTGCAGCCCTCTGGAAGTGCCATGCCTGCCTCATCTAGGGCCCTTCCATGTGCTATCCCTCTATCTGGATATTCTTTTCCCTTGACTCTGTCCAGCCAACTCATTTGCAAATCCTTCCCATTTCAAAGCTATTATCACTTTTTCGGGAGGCCCAATAGACTAAACAACACCGATATTGAAAATGTGTGATATCTGACATAAAGTTTGCAGATAGTTTTTCTCATGAGGACAGAACTACACCTAAAGGCTGGTCTTTGAGAACACTAGTTGTAGGGTCAAACCAACTCATCAGGTTCTAGCCCCACTTCAGTTTCTCCCTAATCCCTGACCTTAAAAAGTGACCCTCGGCCGGGTGTAGTGGATCATGCCTGTAATCCCAGCACTTTAGGAAGCCAAAGCAGGCAGACCACTTGAGGTCAGAAGTTCGAGACCAGCCTGGCCAACATGGTGAAACCCTGTCTCTACTAAAAATACAAAAACCAGCCAGGCGTGTTCGCATGCGCCTGTAGTCCCAGCTACTCAGGAGGTGGAGGCAGGAGAATCACTTGAACGCAGGAGGCAGAGGTTACAGTGAGCGGAGATCATGCCAGTGCACTCCAGCCTGGGCAACAGAGTGAAACTCCGTCTCAAAAAAAGAAAAAGGAAGTGACTCTCATCTATGAACACTAGTGTCCTCATCAGTACAAGCAGGAAAGAACAGAATCACACTCACAAGATTGTTGTAGAAAGAAAACCAGATAATGAAATCATTGAAACACTTAGCACTGCCCTTAGAACGTAGTAAGTATTCCATAAATCCTAGCTCTCCATATTACTTCTGTGATTACTATTACTGTTAATATTATTGTTATAAGAGCTAAGTCACCTGCACTCCTACATTACCCCAAGATACACAAGGACAAAATAATTCACTTAGAAATGTTTTCCTAGGCTGGGCATGGTGGCTCATGCTCGTAATCCTAGCACTTTCGGAGGCCGAGGTGAGCGGATTGCTTGAGGACAGGAGTTCAAGACCAGCCCAGCCAACATGGCAAGACCTGTCTCTACTAAGAATACATAAATTAGCCAGGCATGCTGGCACATGCCTGTAATCCCAGCTACTTGGGAGGCTGAGGCAGGAGAATCACTTGAACCCGGGAAGTAGAGGTTGCAGTGAGCCAAGATTGCACCACTGCACTTCAACCTGGGTGACAGAGCAAGAGTGTCTCAGAAAAAAAAAGAAATCTTTTCTTGGACAAATAAGGGAGGAACTCAGTTCAGCTTATGCCATATATCAGCATGCAAATATCAAAGTGCTAGTGAAATTAAGGGTTGTAAAATACTTTAACACTCTGCCAATAGAAACATGTTTTCTTCCATTTTTCAGATATATCAGAGAAGAAGATGAACTACCATAGCCATCTTTGTAGAGGCCAGAAGTGACTTGATTAAAGGTGTTTGCCTTCCAGTTCCTGCTTGCCTGACATGGAGCTGAATTACGCAGACACTGTCTTCTAGCAAGGAGGTTGCATCATATGATGTCAGGGGAGGGCTCCTAAGGGCAGGCAGGTCTTCTGGCTAAAGGCTGTTTCCCTTACTTTACCTTTGCAGTTGAGCTCAGGTGTGTTAATTACTCCATTAATGGCAGCCTGGGCAGCTGCGTTCTGTTTCTTTAGCAGCTCAATGGTTTTTCTTAACTCATTCAGTTCTGAGTCCTAGGGAACAGAAAAAATTATTGGTCAGCCTAAAATCATTCTGTACAGAGTTCAACTGAAGTACAACTTGGCTTCAACACAGGAGGAGCGGGAATGAAGTAGCTCAACAAAACCTTTCAGATGGATCAACAGGCATGAACAAACACATAAAAGTAGGATTATAACTACAAGATCTATCATTGATGCCATTATCAATCTGTCATATTTTCACTCAACAGATTGGACTCCTTACAATTAAACTTTAACAGTTCAAGAAATACATTAACATCCACACAATGATCTGAAATGAAAGAATAGTATTTTCAAGTTTGTTGTTAACTCCAAGTAGGGAGGGTTAAAGTATCCTTTCTGCCTTACCTTCTGCTCAGCTGTCATGGTCAGACTCTGGAGCCTGATTGTCATGTTACCAAGACTCTGTTCAAAGGCTGCCACAAGGTGAGCCTGGAGGGGAAGACACAACCTCAGTTATATTACCTTGCAAGGCAAGAGTGCTTAGAAGGTGTCTGGCTCTTAAAGATGAAAATCCTGTGGGTCCATTGATCTAGGCTACTTTTTCAGCCTCCTCTTGAATCCCACTCCCCACCACTCTTTGGGATCCAGTCACTCCAGTCTTCTACTTGCTCAAACAACCCGTGCTCCTTCCCATCTTAGGGCCCTTGTACATCTTTTCCCCTCTACCTGAAATGTTCTTCCCTCTCAACCCTTTCTCCCATTCCTTGCCTAATAATTTTTACCTGTCTGTGTAAAGAGCTCTCGGCTCGTACTTTCACGACACCCTCATATGCACTCTCACAAGCAAACTGTACTTCTGATATACACTTTGAGATATCATAGTTAAAAATACATGCAGTCTTGTAATTGGTAATGTATGTCTGTCTTCTCTACTACAATGGAGGATGATCTTCTGTTCACCAAGTGCTAAGCTCACAATAGAGGCTCATATTAAGCATGTTAGTAGAATGAACAAACAAAATGGTTGGCGTAGTTTGCTTGTTATAATCCTGGTTAATAAAAAGCCACTGAAAGGCCCATCTGCTACCTCCTCAGAGAAATGTTTCCCAGTTCCTCCAGGGGGTTACCACTTTCCCACAGGCTTTCACGTAGTTTTATACACTTCTGTTAGAATATGACATAAGATGTACCATTATTTTATATTTCTAAGAATTTTTTAAATGCTTCCAGTTATAAGTAAAATAGCATCTAATTTTCAGAGATGTTAAAATACAAAAAAAGAGTAAGTTTAAGAATGGGGAAATGTGGCATTTTCCTGACTGCCACTTGCTCTGCAACTCTCTTCAAGGGTAAGAGGTAACTTTGTGCCCTAACACTAAGCTTTTGACTGTGAAGCAGAGTAGTAGGTGATATATTAGTTGATTGAATGAGAATCCTGGTAATGTTATTAAAGCCAAAAATAAAGAATGGAGCTGTTTCAAACAGTCATGCTAAGGAATTTCCAGCAATAGACTGAAGAAGCCATTAGGCAGCTAGGATCTTCTAATCTCCAATCTCTACTTGTATAATGGAATAGTGGCATGTCCAAGAGTGAGAGGCATTTGAGCAGCAGATGAGAAGGATCACCAGATTGTGCATTTGATGAGGACTGACACCATGTCTACCTTGCTCCTTACTGTATCCACACTGCTGGTACAAAAACAGCCACTCAATCATATATGTTGGATGAGCAATTAAAGGATTGAAAAGAAAAGCACTTAGATGAAGGAGGCAGTGTAGTACAGGGGAAGGGAACAGGATTTAGAGTTAGAGGTCTTCAGCTCTCCCTGTAGTTCCTTCTGAATACCCATAACAGAGCAAATCACCTGATCCTAGCAGCCTCAGCTTCATATATGAAATGGTACCAATATCTATTTTCCTCCCAGGGTTATTTTCAGCTAAATGAAACAAGGCCGGTGAAAATGGTCTATGAACTGTTCAGGTACTGCAAAACACAGGAATGCATGGACACTTGTGGGGAAAAAAGGAGGTTTGGGAATGAGAAAGTGACAAGAGAAACTATGAGAGGAGTGAGACTACCTGAGAACACAGGTGTAGACAGGGGGAGTAGAAACACAGTGGGCTGCAAGAGGGATGAGAAGGGCAGAGGATATATGGGAGGAGCTTGGGAGATGTGAGATTTGATCATGCTGTGAAATTCGAGAGGAGGAGATGACTGACACACACAGTGAGGAATCAACGCTGGATAAGCATGGGGGGTGGGTGGGGAGATGCTTTTGCCGTGCACTGTGAGGAGGCACAGTGACATTTCAATCTAAGGAGAGATGTGAGGGGTAAAGAGAGGCCTGTTATTAGACTTCATTAAACAGGGATGGTGGAGGCTAAGACATCTCTAGAATCAACCGCTGGCAGGGAGCATTTCTACTTGTAGTAGAAATGTTAAGTGGAATAGTTAGCTTCTCTCTCATTGCACTCCCTCTCTCTATTAAAAATGGAGACAGGCCAGGCGTGGTAGCTCATGCCTGTAATCCCAGCACTTTGGGAGGCTAAGGCGGGCGGACCCTGAGGTCAGGAGATCGAGACTATCCTGGCTAACACGGTGAAACCCCGTCTCTACTAAAAATACAAAAACAAACAAACAAACAAAAAACTAGCTGGGCATGGTGGTGGGCACCTGTAGTCCCAGCTACTCGGGAGGCTGAGGCAGGAGAATGGCGTGAACCCGGGAGGCGGAGCTTGCAGTGAGCCAAGATTGTGCCACTGCACTCCAGCCTGGGCAACAGAGCGGGATGAGACTCTGTCTCAAAAAAAAAAAAAACAAAACAAAAAAACAAAAAACATGGAGACAGTGCCTCTGCATTTTAAAATAAAGAGATATGCTTTAGTCTGCCCTGGAGAGTGTGGCAAAACAAAAGCCAATCAATTTATGACAGTCACATAGTTGACAAAGGAAACAGGCCAGGGCCTGGATGTTTCAAAGAACATTTACTATCCTCATATTGCAAATGAATGACAAAGTTAAATGTAAATGATTGGATTTCCATTGATTTCAGTTCTGCATTTGATTGTCACCCATGACTCCACTTACGGGCATTCCTATTGTAAACAGGCTAAATGCCCCAATCAAAAGACACAGACTGACAAATTGGATAAAGAGCCCAGACCCTTCAGTGTGCTGTATTCAGGAGACCCATCTCACGTGCAAAGACAGACATAGGCTCAAAATAAAGGGATGAAGGAATATTTACCAAGCAAATGGAAAGCAAAAAAAAAAAAAAAAGCAGAGTTGCAATCCTAGTCTCCAATAAAACAGACTTTAAACCAAGAAAGATAAAAAGATACAAAGAAGGCCATTACATGACGGTAAAGAGATCAATGCAACAAGAAGAGCTCACTATCCTAAATATATATGCACCCAAAACAGGAGCACCCAGATTCATAAAGCAAGTCCTTAGAGACCTACAAAGAGACTTAGACTCCCACACAATAACAGTGGGAGACTTTAACACCCTACTGTCAATATTAGACAGATGAACAAAACAGAAAATTAACAAGGATATCCAGGACTTGAGCTCATCTCTGGACCAAGCACACCTAATAGACATCTACAGAACTCTCAACCCCACATCAACAGAAAATATGTTCTTCTCAGCACCACATCACACTTATTCTAAAATTGACCACATAATCGGAAGTAAAACACTCCTCAGCAAATGCAAAAGAATGGAAATCATAGCAAACAGACTCTCAGACCACAGTGCAATCAAATTAGAACTCATGAATAAGAAACTCACTCAAAACCACACAACTACATGGAAACTGAACAACCTGCTCCTGAATGACTACTGGGTACATAAGGAAATGAAGGCAGAAATAAAGATGTTCTTTGAAACCAATGAGAACAAAGATACAACATACTAGAATATCTGGGACACATTTAAAGCAGTGTGTAGAGGGAAATTTATAGCACTAAATGCCCACAAGAGAAAGCAGGAAAGATCTAAAATCGACACCCTGAGATCACAATTAAAAGAACTAGAGAAGCAAGAGCAAACAAATTCAAAAGCTAGCAGAAGACAAGAAATAACTAAGATCAGAGCAGAACTGAAGGAGATAGAGACACAAAAAACCCTTCAAAAAATCAGTGAATCCAGGAGGTCGTTTTTTGAAAAGATCAACAAAATAGACTGCTAGCCAGACTAATACAGAAGAAAAGAGAAAAGAATCAAATAAGATGCAATAGAAAATGATAAAGGGGATATCACCACCAATCCCACAGAAATACAAACTACCATCAGAGAATACTATAAACAGCTCTACGTAAGCAAACTAGAAAATCTAGAAGAAATGGATAAATTCCTGGACACATACACCCTCCCAAGACTAAACCAGGAAGAAGTCAAATCCCTGAGAAGACCAATAAGAAGTTCTGACATTGAGGCAGCAATTAATAGCCTACCAACCAAAAAAAGTCCAGAACTAGATGGATTCACATCCAAATTTTACCAGAGGTACAAAGAGGATCTAGTACCATTCCTTGTGAAACTATTCCAAATAATAGAAAAAGAAGGAATCCTCCCTGGCTCATTTTATGAGGCCAGCATCATCCTGATACCAAAACCTGGCAAAGACAAAACAAAAAAAGAAAATTTCAGGCCAATATCCTTGATGAACATCAATGTGAAAATCCTCGGTAAAATACTGGCAAACCAAATCCAGCAGCACATCAAAAAGCTTATCCACCATGATCAAGTGGGCTTCATCCCTGGGATGCAAGGCTGGTTCAACATAAGAAAATCAATAAATGTAATCCATCACATAAACAGAACCAAAGACAAAAACCACATGATTATCTCAATAGATGCAGAAAAGGCCTTGGACAAATTCAACAGCCCTTCATGCTAAACACTCTTAATAAACTAGATATTGATGGAATGTATCTCAAAATAATAAGAGCTATTTATGACAAACCCACAGCCAATATCATACTGAATGGGCAAAGACTGGAAGCATTCCCTTTGAAAACTGGCACAAGACAAGGATGCCCTCTCTCACCGCTCCTATTCAACATAGTATTGGAAGTTCTGGCCAGGGCAATCAAGCAAGAGAAGGAAATAAAGGGTATTCAATTGGGAAAACAGGAAGTCAAATTGTCTCTGTTTGCAGATAACATGATTGTATGTTTAGAAAACCCCATCTTCTCAGCCCAAAATCTCCTTAACCTGATAAGCAACTTCAGCAACATCTCAGGATACAAAATCAATGTGCAAAAATCACAAGCATTCCTATACGCCAATAACAGAAAAACAGAGAACCAAATCATGAGTGAACTCCCATTCACAATTGCTACAAAGAGAATAAAATACCTAGGAATACAACTTACAAGGGACGTGAAGGACCTCTTGAAGGAGAACTACAAACCACTGCTCAAGGAAATAAGAGAGGACATAAACAAATGCAAAAACATTCCATGTTCATGGATAGTAAGAATCAATATCATGAAAATGGCCATACTGCCCAAAGTAATTTATAGATTCAATGCTATCCCCATCAAGCTACCAATGACTTTCTTCACAGAATTGTAAAAAAACTACTTTAAATTTCATATGGAACCAAAAAAGAGTCTGCCTAGCCAAGACAATCTTAAGCAAAAAGAACAAAGCTGGAGACATCACACTGACTTCAAACTATACTACAAGGCTACAGTAACCAAAACAGCATGGTACTGGTACCAAAACAGATATATAGACCAATGGGACAGAACAGAGGCCTCAGAAATAATGCCACACATCTACAACCATCTGATCTTTGACAAACCTGACAAAAACAAGCAATGGGGAAAGGATTCCCTATTTAATAAATGGTGTTGGCAAAACTGGCTAGCCATATGCAGAAAGCTGAAACTGGACCCCTTCCTTACACCTCATACAAAAATTAACCCAAGATGGATTAAAGAATTAAACCTAAGACCTAAAATCATAAAAACCTTAGAAGAAAACCTAGGCAATACTATTCAGGACATAGGCATGGGCAAAGCCTTCATGACTAAAATATCAAAAGCAATGGGAACAAAACCAAAATAGACAAAAGGGATCTAATTAAAGAGCTTCTGCACAGCAAAAGAAACTTCATCAGAGTGAACAGGCAACCTACAACATTGAAGAAAATTTTTGCAATCTATCCATCTGACAAAGGGCTAATATCCAGAACTTAAACAAATTTATAAAGAACTTAAACAAATTTACAAGAAAAAAACACCCACCCACCCATTTAGTGGGTGAAGGATATGAACAGACACTTTTCAAAAGAAGACATTTATGCAGCCAACAAACATATGAAGAAATGCAAATCAAAACCACAATGAGATACCATCTCATGTCAGTTAGAATGGCAATCATTAAAAAGTCAAGGAACAACAGATGCTGGAGAGGATGTGGAGAAATAGGAACACTTTTATACTGTTGATGAGAGTGTAAATTAGTTCAACCATTATGTAAGACAGTGTGGCAATTCCTCAAGGATCTAGAACTAGAAATACCATTTGACCCAGCAATCCCATTACTGGGTATATACCCCCAAAGGATTATAAATCATTTTACTATAAAGACGCATGCACACGTATGTTTATTGCAGCACTGTTCACAATAGCAAAGATTTGGAACCAACCCAAATGCCCATCAATGATAGAGTGGATAAAGACATGTGGCACATATACACCATGGAATTCTATGCAGCCATAAAAAGGATGAGTTCATGTCCTTTTCAGGGACATGGATGAAGCTGGAAACCATCATTCTCAGCAAACTAACACAAGAACCAAAAACCAAACACTGGATGTTCTCATTCATAAGTGGGAGTTGAACAATGAGAACACATGGCACATGGATACATGGAGGGGAACATCAGACACCAGGGCCTGTCGGGGGGTGGGGGGCTAGGGGAGGGATAGTATTAGGAGAAATGCCTAATGTAGATGACGAGTTGATGGGTGCAGCAAACCACCATGGCACATGTATACGTACGTAACGAACCTGCACATTCTGCACATGTACCCCAGAACTTAAAGTATAATAAAAAAAAAATTTAAAAAACCTGACCCCATGAAGACTGCTATTGAGAAGGTGTTTTTGCAAGCTTAAAAAGAAAACACATTTGCTCTGGAGATCCAGAGGATCCCATTTTTCTGCTAAACAAAAGGGTTGCCTTTGTGTCATTAGCACAACTATGAAAATACAGACTGTGGAGGCTGTTCCAAGCCTGGTTCAGAGCCACACACAACAGCCTACTCATCAAGTGCCACGCTCACATTCCCAGGGAAAACAAACACAAGTGGTATAAAAACACTCAGAGAAGGTGGTTTTGAGTAGTTTGCCCTAGAAAAACAAACACAGCTTGGTTTGCGAGAAAGATGGCAGACAATAAAACATGTTCACCCTTCCAGCAGTGTGCGGTAAGACTAAATATTTACTTTAAAACAATACTGGATTCAGTGCCTTTTATGAGGAACAAAACACTCTTCTGGAATAATATAAGGGATCTCACTCTGACTCTTCTAGAACAGAGAGCAGAGTTCCAAATGGCCCAAGGTGAGGCTCCTGTGGCAGCACGAGGTCACTGGAACAATTAACCCAAGTTCACCGGAAAGTAAGTTAACTACTATTTGTTGATTAGTAAAGGCAACAATTGGCATCTGTAACTCTTAAACTAGGAGAGTAGCTCAGAATCACTGTGGTTTGACAGGGGTTTGCTGTCAAACCACACATTTGGATTACACTCAGAAGACCCTGACTTGCTGGGTCTAGGGTTTGTTCTGGATTCAAATCTACACATCTAGTTATCCAGATGAAGAATCTGCCCACGGGATAGAACCTGTCTATAGAATACTGTTTTTCTGAACAGGACCTACGCCTCAGAATTAAGTTCTCATGTCAGTTTTTAAAGTTCTTTTGATAGCATTACTGGTGGCAGAAGAGGTAAAGAAAATAAAAGATTACAAAACACGTTGTGGTCTCCTACGTTAGGGTTTTTAAAAAAATCAAAGATTTCCAGAAAAGAAAGAGAACTTAGGAGACTACATATTAATGGGGGCAGCTACCAGTTACTGAGCTAATAACTAAGGTCAAGCACTGTACTAGGTATGTCACATGCCGACCTTAAAGAGAAATGGTTCCCTTGAGTAAACTAAGGCTCAAGCTGGGAATACCATGGCAAAAACTCCGGGCGAATGACTGATGTGGGGGACTGGCTCAGTTTTCTAGTTGAGGGAAGACAGCCTCTTGAAGTTGGTTTCCATTTTAACGACATGCTGTGGTCATGCAGGTTGCTTTCTGTCTGGCTTGAACACGTTTATCAACGGGCTCAGGCTGGGTGGTGAACTCCTGGGCAGCAAGCCTTGCCTCAGAGGCACCTTAGCACCTTTCGATATCTCAGGCTCTGCCCTCTGAGCTTCATCCTTCACCTGGTCACAGCTGTGCATCAGGGCTCCAATACAGACATGGCTGATGGGGGTGGGGGAAGAGGCACCTCTGCCTCTACTCTGATCCTCTATCTAAAGTGCAAACCAGCCCACCCACTGCTTACTTAAAACGCACTGAGAGGTGTCTGCTAACTTCAGGAGGAAGCCCGGATGCTCACCCCAACAGCTCAGACACTGTGATCTGACCCCTGGCTTTCTTCGCTGCCTTCTTCCTCCCTACTTCTGTCCCCTCTCCACCCTTACCTCTCCTCCACATCCAAGCCATAGACACTAATTACACCCACCTACTGAGAGTTCAAAATACACCAAGATCTTTCTCCTTAACCTTTGTGCAAATTATTCTCTTTGGTTAGAATGCTGTCATCCCTATGCATTCTCCCCTACCTAGCATCCATTAGATGTCACCTCCTCCAGGAAGTCCTTCCTGTCCCCCTTTTAAAAAATTTTTTTCTTATTTTCAATATCAGATGAGCTGTCCCCTTTTTCATCCCCCACCAAGAGTGAGCTAGGTGCTCCCCCTAGATATTCCCACTGCCACCTCCTCCCTTTATCTTAACAGTTATCATGTTATAGCAAAATTGTTTGTTTTGTTTCTCTGCTGTCCCAGAGACTGAATGTTAAGATGTCAGTCACTGTGCTTGCTCTGCTGTTGAACCCACAGTGCCCGGGGCATAGCTGGCACTCAAACAGTTGTTGAATTGAATGCTGGTTGGCAGCATCTCCTAAACTCATAATCGTGTATATCACAATGACAGAGCAGCTACCTAGATATTGAAAAGCCCTACATTTCTTTTCTTCCCCCTTCTTTCCTTTTTGCTTCTTTTTCCCACCCTTAAAATCAAAATTTTCAGAAAGAGGAAGAGAAATTAAGATTTTAATAAGCACTTCGCATATTGCAAGCATTGACTGTGGGCCAATACTGAGATGTAAATACTATCACCCTCGTTACACAGATAAGGACACGCAGGCTGAGATTCAAGAACTTACCCAAAGTCACAAAGCCAGTAAGTGTCCAAACTGACATTCACACCCATGATGCCAAAGCCTGTGTCTTTTTCTTTATAATGTGCTACTTCTATTTGTTCAGCACAGGAGGACTTGAGGCTGTTCAGAAGGCAAGGATGGTGCTTCCTGTCCCGATGCTACTGCCCTATGTCTGTACTTACATTTGCTGTCAGCTGGGTGGTCAAAGCTGAAACTTTCTCCTGGGAGGCATCCAGTTCCCGCCGCAGCTTGCGAATCTAAAGATGACAAGGGAGAGGGTTACATGCTTTGGGGGTCCATTTCCAAGGTGAGCAGGGTCAAATAATTGACAATACTTAAAGAGGAAATCCAACCAGAAAGCTGTTCCTTACCTCTGACTGGCATTTTTCTTCTGGCTGTAAAGAAAACATAAAGGAAATTAGACCAGTTAAGGAACAAAGAATAGTGTAGTCCAGCCCATCGGGAACACCATATTCAGATGGTTGCAGCAGTCTGGAAGAATTATTAGTTTCTTTTCTGGTGTATTTCTCTGGAAAAACTGGTTCAATTAAATTGACCCATCAGAAAGGCCAAATACAAACGGCTTATGATTTTTAAAAATTAGGAAGAATGAGAACACCACTCCACATTTTGGTTGTGAGGAGCCACCCTGCTCCCCAGGCGGGGATGGTGATAGGTAAAGTGCTCAGAAGAAGATATGTGATAAGAAGGCCATGAGTCAGATTTAGTAAACAAAAATACAGGAGGCCTAGTTAAATTTGAATAGCTTTAAAAAAAACAAAAAGGTCTAGGACTGGGCATGGTAGCTCATGCCTGACATCCCAGTACTTTGGGAGGCTGAGGTTGGTGGACCACTTGAGGTCAGGAGTTGAAGACCAGCCTGGCCAACATGGTGAAACCCATCTCTACTAAAAATACAAAAAAAAAAAAAAAAAATTAGCCGGGTGTGATGGCATGCACCCATAATCCCAGCTACTTGGGAGGCTGAGGCAGGAGAATGGCTTGAACCCAGGAGGTGGAGATTGCAGTGAGCTGAGATCACACCACTGCACTCTAGCCTGGGCAACAGAGGCTACCCGTCTCAAAAAATAAAATAAAGGGTCTAATATGTCCCATGCAATATTAGGGACATATTTATACTAAAAAAAATTTTGTTGTTAATCTAAATTTCACATTTAATTGAGGGTTTAGTATTTTCTCTGGCAACCCTGTCTAGGGAGCAAGGAAGACTGCTCCTGGGTTAATTCTGCCCCATTTTCTGCCCTCCTCTCACTTCCCTAGGACACCACAGTGGGAGCACCAGGGTAGAAAGATCTCAAAGTGAGGGGGGTTTGGGAGCCCCTATCAGCCAGCCTGGTAACTCCACAGGTTGTGAGGATAAATGTGGCCTTCATCTTCGTGCTGTCCCATTTCAAGGACCCCAATTACCTGTGACCCTGTGAAGTAATCGTGAACTCTGCTGCCCCTCTTACTGGCTTCCCTCTTTGTCCCTTACATGCTGGCTCTGTGTCTAGGTGACACAGGTACCTGCTAGCCAGAAACTATAAGACCCTCTCTCCTCCCACAGGGGGAGCCCACATGAATTGGGGAGCCTGCTGCAGGAGGAACCTTTCTTTCCCTCTCCTCTGGTTCCCACAGGGGCTCATAAAGAGGAACCCTCCTCCTTCCTGGAAATGTTGAGTGTTCCTGACCTTCTCTCTACCCATCGCTGTACCCAGGGAGGGAAGAGTGACTTGGGAACCAGATAGGTGAGTGAACATCAGTAAGAACTCTATTTTGTCCTTGGGTCCTCGCTAGGTGTCCTAATCCAATTTTACTAGGCATAAGCCCATTATTTTTTAAAAATCAGCATCTGACCCTGATGTCAGCATCTCCATTAGTTCACAATACAAAGTGGGTATGATTCATTAGAACTCGCAGGGCACATCCATCAGCTGGAATAGGTAGGCAGCTGCTTCCTGTCTGATCCGCCTTCAACCTATGCTCCCCATTGTCCTCCCTCCTGATCCTGCCCACAAGTCCCCTCCTCTAGGTTGGCTCCTACTAGCAGCAACCAATTTTTAAATACACGGAGCCAAGTCATTTAATCCTTGCAGAAACTCCATTAGGTAGGTTTGTTTGTATTCCTTCTGAGGTTCAGAGACGTTAAATGTCTTGTATAAAGTCACACTGAACAACCTCCTTATCTAAGAAATGCTTTCAGGAGAAGGTTGGAAGATGTCTTCAGAGCTCAATCTTCCCTCCCAGATAATATTCATTTGTCTTTGTCTGTCCATCTATCCTCACTACCACCACCTATCAAATACTTACTGATTTCCTACTGTGTGCCAGGCACTATTTTTAAGAACCTAAGATAGAGCCGTGAACATGACCAAGTCCCTGACCTTGTGTTGCCTGCATTCTGGTAATAACAGCTAGCATTTATTGAATGCTTACCATGTGCCAGAGACTGTTCCAAGCACTTTACATTCATTATTCATCTAATCCTTTTAACAACTCTTTGAGGAGGTACTAATACTATTGCTTTCTGTTTTGTGTATGAGGAAACTGAGGCACAGGAAGGTTCAGTCATTTGTCCAGGGTCACAGCTGGTAAGTGGCAGAGTTGGGACTGGATCTAAAGTAGTCTGGCTCCAGAGCCTAGGCATATTCTCCTGCACTTTTACTATAGTTACATTCTCACGGGGGCTTTCCAGAAATAAGCCCCAAGTTCAATCCAAAGGGTACAAGTTAATGGTGAGAATGTAACCACTATCTAACATTTAGAAGGCTGGCGGAGGCCTGTTAGCAGGCTTAGCCATCCACATAGGACAAGGCTACTTTGAAACACTTCTATCGACAGGCCCTAACAGCCCTTCCCCATGCCTCTGCCACTGTCTGTCACTGTGCCCACCTGTCTCTGGGGTTGGGCCCCAATTATCAACAGCAGCCTAGAGAAAGCATGTGCTTTGTATCTTGCCCCCCTTGCCGCTGTTCTGCACATCTGGTAACACTATGTGAAGCTGCTAGCCTCCATCCATCCAGCAGCTCTCCTGGGAACTCCAGTGTTCCCTACCAAACAAGAAAGCAAGTCTAATGCCAGAAGTGGCCTTTGAGATTTTCTCTACTCCAAGAGGTAGCCATAACTTTTCCATGGCAATCATTTAGCACTGTGTAATCTTTTCTTTCACTGATAATTAAAATTGCAAATTTCATGCAGAATGAGCATTCTTGAATATTCATTATAGACATTTCAAGGAAAGAATCTACTGTCATCCAATAAGAGCCTTTAAAACTCTCAGCAGGCTCCTTGGTCTGGGTCTGTGGCAACTTAACATTTCAAAGATCTCTTTTCAGACAACAAACAAATACTTTATTCACCTTAACATTTACAAAGGTGCCTGGAGCATGTGTTTCAGAATTTCATTATCACGAAGAATGTAATAACAGATAAAGGACCACACCTCAGTGCTAGGCGGTAGCAGAGTCTAGCCAGACTTGTAGTTTTTCTTGAAATTAGTAGACAGCACCAGCATAAAAACATTCCACTGATAGGCTATTTTTTTTTAAGTCTGCAAAAGCAACCTATATTCTCAGAGAAGGCATACTGAGGACAGTAAATGGGAGCCTTTGACTCCATGACTCATGGAATGTCAGAGATTGTAGGGGCCTCAGAAGATCACCTTGCTTGGTTTCCTGATGCCAAGGGCAAAACTGGGGAGACACTCTGAATAACCAGATGACTTGTCCAAAGTCATATGGTGAGAAGAACGCTATGATTACACCTCGGGTCTCTTGTTATCCAGATAAAAATGGAATTCAAAAGTATTATTATTAGGTCTTTACTAATTCATTGAATTTATATTAGCTCAGAAAAGACAATTTCAAATTTCATGAAAACAGTATCTTCACGTCCCCATACCCAGAACAACAGCTACTGAAGGAGAGTCTTTTACTGTAAGGACTTCTAGTGGTTGGCATGAAGGGGCTGCCCCCAGGAACTGCATGTGACAGTTTCCTAGATCTGAAGACACACAGGTTGAGAAGCTTAAGCTCTTTCCCTCCAAGTCTGCATAATGCTGGCCAGTCTCCCATTTTTTTACTCTTCTGGAAAACCCACTCCCCTCTGTGTTGGCAAGAACCCTTGGGAATGCCACAGGGAAAACACGGGGCTGGGCACTGAAACATCCACTACAGCTTCTCTGTGCCAGTCCTGTGAAGCTAGAGTCCCATGTCCCTCTGGTGCCTACAGCTTCCTCCGTCAGTAGCAGGCTCCTTTCTCTCCTAAATTATATCCTAGGGGTTAGTCCAGAGCCTGGTATATCCATGGTGCTAGTAAATACTGTTGAAGAAGTGCATTTAGGTTTGAAAGTACCAGCCTTGGTACCCATATCCCACAGTTTCATTCTAGAAGAAAGGACATAGTTTATCTACTGGCTGACAGCTGAAAGACCATCTCTATGCTTTCTTAGCAGATGATGGCTTAAAAAACCTCTCTCCAAGGTTACTCTATATAAAGCCTTTAAAAGGAAAGCTAGGACTTAGTGATGAAATTTCAAACAAGATGACTAGCTGAGGAAAGAGGAATTTTAGAGTTGGAGGGGTGAGGTGGGTAGAAGCAAGGGTTTCTAGGTCCTTCAAAACAGACCATATCAGCAATCACTGAAGTTTGTTTGCTCAATACAGGCCTAAGTTAGGCCCTGGTATCTTTAACTTGATTCTGGGGTGTCCTCTTATTTTCCAGGAGCTATACACAGTGTATTCTGCTATATAGAAACCAGGCATTATCAAAACCTAAATTATTAAAACATTTGTTTCCATGGGATTAAGGGCTAAAGAATTTCCAATTCACAATTAACAAAGAGACTTTTTTTTTCCCTGTAGAAATTCCCAAATTACTGTTTTTAAAGTAAATAGCATACAGCTATAGCCATGCGCGGTGGCTCACGCCTGTAATCCCAACACTTCGGGAGGCTGAGATGGGCGGATCACTTGAGGTCAGGAGTTCAAGAACAGCCTGGCCAACATGGTGAAATCCCGTCTCTACTAAAAATGTAAAAAAATTAGCCAGGCATGGTGGTGCCTGCCTGTAATCCCAGCTACTCAGGAGGCTGAGGCAGGAGAATTGCTTGAACCCAGGAGGCAGAGGTTGCAGTGAGCCAAGGTCGTGCCACTTTACTCCAGCCTGGGCGACAGAGCGAGAGTCTGTCTAAAATAAAATAAAATAAATAGTGTACAGCTATAAAAAGTAAATACTACTGAACAAATCCAGTAGTACTGAAGATCTAAATGTATTTGATTACATTTGGCTTTCGTTTACTAAACCTCTCTCATGGATGATAGCTAGCATTTAGGAGTGCTTGCTCTGAGCTGTGTGTACTATATTCATTGTTTTAGATTCATTTTCCCATTTCTTTCAAACCTACTTAAAAAATACCTACTACGTGCTAGGTACTGTTCTAGGCACTAGGAATAAAAACAAAAATGTCCTTGTCTAGAAAGAGTTTATATTGTAGTGAAATGTAATCTTTATAACATTTAATCCTCATTACACCTCTATAAGGTAGGAACTGCTATTATTTCTACTTTACAGATAAAGAAACTGAGGCTGTTCGGGCACCATGGCTCACGCCTGTAATGCCAGCACTTTGGGAGGCCGAGGTGGGTGGATCACAAGGTCAGGAGTTTGAGACCAGCCTGGCCAATATGGTGAAACTCTGTCTCTACTAAAAATACAAAAATTAGCTGGGCGTGGTGGCACATGCCTATAGTCCCAGCTACTCAGGAAGCTGAGGCAGGAGAATCACCTGAGCCCAGGAGGCGGAGGTTGCAGTGAGCCGAGATCAAGCCACTGCATTCCAGCCTGGGCAACAGAGGGAGACTCCGTCTCAAATAAAAAAAGAAAGAAAGAAAGAAACTGAGGCAGACAAAGGATTAATAAATTGCTCAAGGCCTTTATTTTCCAAGTCCATCAGCAGGTGGCCAAGGCTTCTCACACATTCTAAATAGTTATCACCTAAAGCACAATGCCACTTTAACAAGGCAGCCAGTTCTGGATTTTGGGGTTGGTATAATATAATTAATAGCTGTTTGTGAATTTTAAATCTTGTTCCCTAATTAATTGATCCCCTTATAATGGAAATGCTTTCCCTAGGATAAATGCATATATTTTATTCTTGACACATTTGATAAAGGAACCCCAGTTCTCATGATCACAGCCACACAGCATTGATTTATACTCACTGTAGAATAAACTGACGATGTGCTGGAAACCAAGGAGAGTGAGGATCCATGAACTATTAAAAGAAAAAAAAAAGGTGAATTGATAGATGGCTGTTATGGAACCAAAAAGGGGACAGGGGAGGAGAACATCAGCAATACAGGACACTCCAGGCTTGGAATGACTTAATCTCACCTTGACACAACCTTTCCTGGTTTGGCGATAGGTCAGTGACAAATAAGTAATAGTTTGCTAAGGATGTCACTTTTCTATTACCGCATTTTTCCCTTCAACCTTCTGAATACTTTTTCTCTTGACTGTCAAAATAATATATGATTACTGAACAAAAATGTTCAAGTACGGAGAAGTGTTAAGAAGCATATTCACTGTCACAACCTGCACTGACTCACAATTGCATTGCCCGGAGGCAACCTGTTACTGTTCCAGCATATTTCGCTTCACTCTTTTTTCTAATGTATTCCTTTAGGGTTAAGACTGTGTTCCAAATACAGTTTTTTACCCTGTTGGCATCTGTCAGTTGTATATGCAAAAAAAGAGCTGATTATTTTTAACCTAAGAGGCTGTTGGCCACAGTAAGTTCATTCTAGATGACCATATAGCAGAATATTTGTTTAGAAAACATATCCATCAAAATATAGATTCTTTATTTGATTTCTATCATGTCTACAAAGTGATGAGCAAGTGGTGTCTTCTTTTCTGTTTCAAACTGATACTTTTGGACTAGAACCACTTATATGTCCTTAGCACCCTTCCTGCCCCCAGCCAGTGGAGACATCTTTTTTTTTTTTTTTTTGAGATGGAGTTTCACTCTGTTGCCCAGGCTGGAGCGCAATGGCACGATCTCAGCTCACCACAACCTCTGCCTCCCAAGTTCAAGTGATTCTTCTGCTTCAGCCTCCTGAGTAGCTGGGATTATAGGCGTGCGCCACCATGCCTGGCTAGTTTTGTATTTTTAGTAGAGATGGGGTTTCTCCACGTTAGTCAGGCTGCTCTCGAACTCCCAGTCTCAGGTGATCCACCCAGCTTGGCCTCCCAAAGTGCTGGGATTACAGTCATGAGCCACCGCGCCCGGCCAAGACATCTTATTATTTGTTCTAATTTTGCAATATAGTGTTTTCTAGGACTTGGGTATTCTGGCTGCCTTCTTCTGTGGGAAGAAGGTTCTTTATTTTCTTGGTAACTTCTCGACAACTTGTTTGAAAAACAGAACTATTCCTATGTTAAGGCGTCACAGGACTTGTAACTGGGCACAGCTTTCCTGGCCATGGGTGGAATGGCTCTACTCCCACACCGAGTTATGACCTGTAGTCTAAAGTGGGAGGCACTGGGGTAACTTCCACGTGTACTAAATGGCATTCATCTACCACCCACGAAGTGAACTCACCTTGGATTAGCAGTCAGCAGAAGCTATATGCCAACAAGATAGCTGATAAGTAGCTCAGCCTAACACTCAGGTTCCTCTCTGTCATCTTTCCAATAAACCTTCCCTGACCTCTCCTTCTTCCCTTATATGTTCTTGTTACACTATGAATTCTGCACTGCTCTCCCAAGCTTGCCCTAGACAGTACTTTCCTGCCTCAGAGTCTCTGCCCATGCAGTTCTCTTCGTTTAGGCTGCATCTAAATACTGTCTATCAAAACAGATCTGCTCAAATGACATCTTCTCTATGGGACCTTTCCTCATTTCGCAGACTGCCACCTGGGAGGGCTTCCTCCTCCCTCTGAGCCCACGTAACTCTTGGCTTGCTATTCCAGCCCTCTTCTCTCTTAGCAGCTCCCTAATGCTCTAAGCTGTCCCTATATCAGCATGTACATCCACCCTCCTTAGCAATGCCCTGCGTTCTAGATCTTTTCCTCCGTGCTTTCTTCATCCATGACTAATCTGACTCATGCCCATAAAAAATCAGGTTAAGGTGTTAATGGCCAATAATGGCTTTCAGTGTTAATATGTCCACACATTAACAGAGGCCTTTAATGTCCCAACTTTGTGGCCTAATGTTCCACAGAGGTAAGTTAATTCAGCTTACGACACAGACAATAGTGGAGGAATTATGTTGGAGGCCAAGCTGGGTGAAGAGATGTGTGTAACACATAGCCACACACACTTGCATGACTGGCCTGCCAGAGACTAGCACAGGGCTGCTATATGGCCTGTGGCTAATGGAAAATGGAAGTTTTTTCTTTTCTATTTCTACATCTCATATACATACATTTACTGACACAGTTTTAGCAACAACTCGGTACAAGCATGGGGCCACAGGCAGAGAAGAGCACATCTGGCAGGCTTAAGGTAGAGGTAATTATTTTTCTCAATAATTAACTCCTCTCACTTTGTAAATAGCAACAGCAAGGCTGTGTTCCA